>NC_000014.9:28361713-29611713 GCF_000001405.40 Homo sapiens
GCATTAATGAGTAACCTGTTTTGCTGCATTCAAGATTTTCTCTTTGTTTGTGCCTTTTAACAGTTTGATTATAACATGATGTCTAGATTTCTGTCTTTTACCAAATATGGAAATTTGGGGTCATTATGTCTTCCAGTATTATTTCTTTCCTGTTCTGTCTCCACTCATCTGGTACTCTATTTATGAATATGTTGCTATGCTTGATGGTGTCCCACAGTCTCTTAGACTTTGTTTATATTTCTTCATTCCTTTTGATTTCCGATCTTCAGACTGGATATTTCAGTGGACCTGTAATTAAGTTTTCAGGGTTTTTTTCGTCTGCCTGCCCAAAGTTGCTATTGAAACCACAGCATTTCATTCCAGTTATTGTACTTTTTAACTCTAGAATCTCTGTTTCATTCCTTTTTATAATTTCTCTTTGTTGATACTCTCTATTTCTTCAGACATTTTTCTCTGAGTTTTCCTTACCTTGTTGTTTATGGGTTTCTTTCTTAGCCTTATAAGTATTTACAGAGTTGATATAAAGTCTTTGTCTAGTAAGTCTACTATCTACACTTCCTCAGGAACAATTTATGTTAATCTCCCCTGTGAATTTGGTGGCATACTTTCTTTTTTATTTGTGTGCTTCATAATTTTTTGTTGAAAATTGAACATTTTGATTATTATATTAACTCTGGATATCAGATTATTTCCAGTTCTCAGGATTTGTTTTTGTTGCTTACTATCAATTGTAGTTAGTCTGCTTACTTAGTGACTTTTAAAAATTATTTTTGTTAAGTCTATATTTCTTGTCATTTATGGTCACTGAAGTCTCTCTTTTCTCAGATTATTGTCAACTAGTGTTTTGAAAGAGATTTTCTTGAATGCAGGAAGCCAAAACAATAAAAATTTAAAAAGCAAATAAAATCTTTTCCAGTCTCTACAAATTGTTTCTGTGTTGGGGGAAACCCTTCAATGCTTAGCGAGATCATTTACAAATCTGCCTTAGACTTCACTTTCTGCTTATGCTGAACCTACAGATCAGCCAAAGAGGAAGTCTTAAGGTTATATTATTTGTACTTGCATAATTGTTCCTTTGATTCACCCCTGCTTTTCTCATGTGTTTTTTTAATCTCTTTATCTAATTGGTCTGCTTTATATTTCAATTATTTGTTTTAAAAAAATTAGCCACCATGTTTAAATGCCCAAGAGATCTGTCTTGTTCTATACATTTTTTCCTTTTCCATATTACCTTATTCTTTATGAATGCAGTAGTTTCTCTTAGATTTCTGCTGATTTTATTTACAGTTTCTTTAAGGCATCATTCTGCTCTTTGCTTTTTTTTCTTTTCCTTTTGTTACTGTTGGCTTGCAGTCTACTTTCTCTCAAATATGTGGTTATTCATATTTACTGTTGTGAGAATTTTATAGACTCAAGGGTTATTTTGTATTCATAAAAGACTCTTAAGGACAATATTTTGTCTTTTAAGAATTAATATTCAATTTATTAACGCTATAATTTTCACTTAACTTTCTAAGGAGAGTTTATGAAACAATTGTAAGTTTAAAGAAGTCTTTGACTAACACACATTCAATTCAAATGTAGTTAATTGTAAACTTTAAATTGCATTTATACATGTAATATTTTCAGTTACCTTCTAAATTACTTCAATTGTCTGATTCAAACAAAACCTTCCTGCATATTTAAATGATTCATAAATTTAATAAACTTGTGAATATGATTAATCTAAAGTTCTCTCAGATCCTAACACTGAGTATAAGCTCAATTAGATTGCATTTTCAAATCAAAAAACTAAGTTACGTAATAGTAATTGGAAATCTGTCACTTTAATATATGCCAAACTCCCTTAAAAATAACAAGTGCATATATGACATAAAATGTCGGTACAGATCCAGACATCCCAGGAGGTTTTTCTCCTCCCTCTTTCTTCATCTTGGCAAAAATAAAGCCAAGCAGTTTTAAGGCAGCAAAATAAAAGAACACAAGACTCCCCAGAAGCTCCACCTTCCAAACAAAAATATTTCCTTCAGCTAGAAGTTCCCATTGTTACAGCCAACTAAGTGTTCTCTGCTCCCTTCCGGTTCCCTTTTGATTCCATACTGAGGCGAAGGAATGGGGCCCTCCGTTGCCTCTCTTACCATGTTGTCATTCTCTGACGGCCTCGGCAAGCTTTTCAGTGGGATAATGAGAGGGATTAATAAAAGAATCATGTGAACTTCGTTGCAGAGTTCTCTGCCTGTTAGCTACCCCAATAAACCTTACTGGGTTTAGTAATAATGACATTACACAGTTTCTTTGTTAACACGAAGGTGTCTTTACCATGGTTTTTTTATACTAAGAAAGACAGTTCCTCTCAGTTAATTGAAATTACTTACTATTTTATAATTGCTTTGTTTGGGACTTCAAAATTTCTAAAGAGATTTGTCTTGGAGGTTATTAAATGTGTGTTGCTGGATTTATCAGAAAGTTTTACAATCATATCCAAGAAATTCTTCTGTCCACCCACAGAAGTCTGAAGCTCTCAACCAGATTAATTACTTTGTTACATTTTTGCACTTCTACAGCTTTTAAATATGTAAAATATTTTTCAAACAATGCAAAAGACATCTGAATGCTATGATTCTAACATTCAGAATGAATTTTACAAGTTCTAAAATATGTAAATTAATTTTCTATTCAACTTGATGGAATTTTAGGTTCTTTTATACTCTTTAGCTCATACAAATTTTATAGATATATAAATTGATATCCAATTGAGTTTGAAATATTCCACAATAGCTTTGTCTGTCTATCACAAATTTTGAGATAATCCCACTCATGTAGTTGGAAACTTAAAAGATAATTGAAAACTTTGGATAAATGGTAGGACTTGACAATTCTTTGGATTCATTGTAAAATAATCAAGTACTTTTTAATTAAAACTTCTTAGATAATGGGATATGTATAACTTTTCTTTGAAGCCATTACACTTTTTTAGAAGAGAATGATCCAATATCTTAACTAGAGGTGGGAGAAAAAGAGGTATAATCATGCATCATGTAACAACGTTTTGAGCAACAGTGGACCACTTATTTAATGGTGTTACCATAAGATTACAATGAAGCTCCCCTATACAGGTGTACCATTTTAAACCTTTTATACAATATTTTTCCTATACCTTTTTGTTTTTAGATATACTGATACCATTGTGTTACAATTGCCTGTAGTAGTCAGTATAGTAAATATATTCTACAGGTTTGTAGCCCAGGAGCAATAGGCCATACCAGATAGCTTAGTTGTGTAGTAGGCTATACTATCTAGGTTTAGGTAAGTACAGTCTTGTGTTTGTAACGACAAAATTACCTAACAACACATTTATCAGAAAGTATCCCCATTGTTAAGCAATGCATAGCTGTGATAGGGGAGTGGGGCAGGGAAATGCTGGGTAAAGAAGGGTGGGGTCCCCAGTGAGGGCTCTGCCCTTGGGCCTGTGCCCAGGGACCTAAGTGAGGACAGGCATTTCTGTTTTTGTGCCCCAAAAGTTGCCTTTTAGACCATCATGCCCCCATCCTGTGCCCATAGAAACCTGGTACTGTAGCAGGCACACACACAAGTGACTGGATGTCAAGAGGAGCAGAAGGATACACCAACAGACACTAGCAGACACCGGCAGGCCATCAACAGCAGGACAACGTAGAATTCAGTCAGGGGCAGTTGGAGGAGAGTCCGGGCAGCTGGAGGAGAGTCCGGCCACTGGGCAGCCTGACTCCAGGGGCAGGCCACCTTCCCACTCCATCCCCTTTCTGGCTCCCCATTTGCCTCACTGAGAGCTACTTCCACCTCTCAATAAAACCTTGCAGCCATCCTATCCTCCACACCCACATGTGATCCTATTTTTCCAGTACTCTCTAGGGCAGGAACCCAGGATACAGAAAGCCCTCTGTCCTTGCAACAAAACAGAGGGTATAATTGAGCTGATTAACGCAAGCCACCTGCAGACGGCTGAGCTGAAAGAGCACACTGTAACACATGCCCACTGGGGCTTCCGGAGTAGCAAGATGCTGCTTTGGGGTTGGAGTCCAAAAATACCCCCGACGACCTGCCTGTCTGCATGCTCCTCCTAGGGATTTGAGCAGGGGGGCACTGAGGAAGCAAGCCACACTTCTGTCACATGTCCTGCAGAGGGGATGAGGGAACTCTTCCCTTTTAAGCTGTACATGCTTGGCAAGGAATGTAATGGGATCAGGGAGGAAAAGTAGAGCTGAGGTTTCAAATAGTTCAATATACAGATTTTTACTTAATGCTCCTGTTCACAGTCCACAAACTCATATTTTTATTACTATGTGTCTGGGTGTATCTGAACCTCGTAAACTTCTAATGAATAAGCAATAAATAATAGTCCTCCATTCTCCTGTGAGATTAAAGGTTTAAATAAAGGAATTAGGGGTAGTGACCTATTCTGTGTAGTGAGATACCTATTTTTCTGTTTTCAGCCTTATATATTATCCTGGCCTTCCACACATATTCAGTAGAGTTCCTGGCATATTCAATAGAGTTTCTAGAAAATTTTTCAGAGAGTTTGTTCTGGTTTTCCCTTATAAGTGTTTTGGCAGCAAGTTATCTTTTACCTTTCTCTGCTCTGCTATGACAGTTACCACCCAACTACATTATTTGTTCTAAAATTTGTTGAATTCATGTATTTATTCATGAATTCATGAATAATAATTCATGAATAGAGTAGAGTCTCCTACTCTAGCTCTTTTTCTTTGTTGGTAACATTTTTATTTCTTTGCTCTCATTTGAGTGAGGTTTCTGAAAGAGGAGGAGTTCAAATATGTGCAATCTTCCATTTTTAGGAGGTAGTTTATTTAAATGACTTAAATTGAGAAGATAGTACAACATATACACCCATATAATTTGGTGAATATATATATATATACACCATATAATCTAAAAATAATTTGGTATATACGTATAATCCATACATATATGTATACATTATATATATATAATTTTAAGAATAATTATATTGTGTTCATTATATTTAATACTTTTAGAGTATAACAACTATAATTTATAATGATTATATTGGAGTATATATCACATATTGTTTAACAAAATACTCTGGTATATCTGAGCAAATAAAAGGAATTTGTTCTCTTAAAATAAGCATGTGATGAAGAGAAGGTCAGCATAACCCAATGAGCAGAGCAAGAATTACAATCAATTTTAAGGTTCATTCAGGAATGGTCCTATTTGATAATATCCCTAGAAAATAGATTATCAGGAAAATAGTCTAATTTGTGAAAAAAAGGAAATTTTCCTGCAGACACATGACCAGTGACAACCATTAAATTATTTTAGAAAAAAAGATACGACCTATCTTTAGAAGTTATAATATGCCTGGACCATATTGTTGTGTGATAACAGTTATAACATGCCTGCTATTAGAAGTTGATTACTCATCACAGTGAGAAGCTATTTAAAATGAGACTGACCTGAAAATGAAAGAGTACTTGTTTTCTCCCATGTTGAACATGTTCTCTTTTTGACTAGACAAATAATTATGTTTATTTATCATTATATTATACAAATATAACAATTAGATTTACACTAAACCAGGTCCTTAAATTCAGAGAATTCACATCATTGTCCATATACAAAATAATTAGAAAAAACATTAATATTTCATACAGAGTGTTTGGAAGACATGGAAGTTGACCATGTTTTTGCACAGTGATCATGTTTTTGCACTGTGTCTACGTTTTTGCACAGTTTTCAAAATGGTAGACAATCCATGCACAGAGACTATGATACACAGTACAATATTATTTTTCTAATACTTAACATAAGATATGACATATAATCTGTGCCTAACAAACTTTTGTAGAAATAATGAAAAGCCATTCTTGTCATTAGAAAAATTGTGGCCAATTGCAAAACATTAAGGAGGTCATGCCTTCAAGGGAGAAAGATTTGAAGAGTTATGGGAAACAATATCAGATTATTCAGTATTATGGGTAGTCTTGAAAGGGTATGAGAAAGACTTTTTTAACGGTTAAAATATCAGAAGACAAAATTAGTTGGTGGAAACATATTTGTGAATATTTTTAGAACTGACTCATTTCAAAACATTGCGACTATGGCAATATGGAAGGAAGTATATGAAATTCAAAATAATAGGTTTATTATAGCAAATCCTTCTATATTAATAGTAATTAACCATCTGCAGCTTTCATATCACAAGCAGGAACTCATGATAATTTCCTGCTCACTAAGGCATGAAAAAGCTATTATTTACTCATTAACACATTAGTTTAATATTGTTCCTTTAATTACCAAATTCCAAGATATAAATTATCAGAAGCTTTCTTTCAAACTATAGATTACGTATCTGCTCATAGATTGATTATTTTTAAATTTTGTATTCTAGAGAGAAGTAAATTTTTGGAGACCACCAGCTATTCATGTTTTTCTGAGAGGAGAAAATAGATTTACCATCAATGCTTGGGTTACATCATGTACTCCAGAAAACGCAATAAAAATATATTTATTTCATATCTGAGATGTCTGGCACAAATCTTTCTGAAAGGCAGAAAGCATGTAAAATCTAAAAACTCCTGGAAAAGTGCTAAATGCTGTAATCCAACCTGTCATAACTGCATTGCTGTTTAAAGATATTGCCTGAAGAGAACATTTAGAAAGCTCTTGGGTTGGTAAATCAAAATGCTTTACTTTTCTCCGTGGGCAATCAAAGTGATTCAATTTCAGTCCTGAGAATAGTGCTGTATATATGGAGGTGAAGGTATGAGAGTTTAATTTTTCTGATGTTTATTTATCCTCACATTTTCCCTTAGATAATTTCCTTTTCTCTATGGTAAAGAAGACAAGGAGGATATGTTTAAGGGTCTCACCAAGCTCGTTTTGTCATAAAACCAGTTATTTTCACACAGAGCCAATTATACAATTAAATACAGAGCCCAGTGGAAAATAAAAATTTGAAACTACTTATTCAAAACTTACTAAGAATTTTAGGATGGCTTAAATCTAAGCACAGTGCTCTGGTAAGCTTGGGGCTCTGTATGACTGCATGATCACATGCCCTGTTTGTGTATAAACAGAATTTTACTGATTACGTAGTTTAATATTCTAAATTACAAGTGAGGAAGTACAGAACCAGAAAGGCTCAATGACTTATCCATGATTAAAGTATATATAAAAATATGGAACATCCTGAGTTCCTGCCTTTGACATAAATTGACGTTGCTTTTTTAAAAAAATCTTAAGGTATCTAATAAACTAAATAGATTTTATGAATTGAGAAAATAGGAGCGATGACTCCAAGTGTTTTAAAAGATTGTTGACAATAAATAAAATATATAATAGTTATTAATTTTTCACTTAGTGTTGCCAAACCTAAGGAATGTACTTAATGCCACTGAATTGTACACGTAAAAATTGTTAAAATGGTAAATTATGTTATGTATATTTTATGACAATAATAAAAAATCTGAGATCTATTTACATAAATAAATAAATGTCCATTTTTAAGACCATGTAACTCTCTTTTTCAATCTTACAGGATTATCTATTTATCTATCTCTGTTTGATGGTTATAACAAGAACAACATACTTCTCTGGGATTCTATTCTTAACTTTCTTATCTTTAACTCTCTTTGATCTATTTTCATACTGAAATATTCTTTCTTTCTTATACATGCTTTTTATCCCTGATACAGTAGCCTAACCCTTTTCCCCTCTTCACAAACACACACATTCTCTCATTTCCAGCTTTTGAAATCCAACTTATCTTTCAAGACCTTAGACCTTGCTCAAGGTCTAAGTAATAGGTCATTTCTAAGAAGTGTTCCTTATGCTCAACAATAATCACCAGATAATCCTTTTTTTTTGTGGTAACAGTTTTATTGTTTTTCTATTATTGTGAGTATTGCGTTATGCAATAAATTACAATTAATTGTGTCCATACCTGTTTCAGTGTCTCAAAAATTGGTTGATGTTAGATAACTCGGCAAATATTTATATTTGCCTTTTGATCACCATAATAAAAAAATTTAAGCATTACAGCCTTTCCTTGGATTCTAAGCCTCGAAAAGATAAACTCTTTAGGGCTGTACTTCACATAAACCCATAAATCATTTATTTCTTTAATATTAGAAAACAAAAAAATTTTATATTTGCTTTTTAATGTTACAGAATAAGAGAAAACAAAGTATTAAGTCTTTTCTTAATGGTTATGAGTACCCACAATGAATCTCATAGGGCTCTGTGAGTGTTAAATTTTTCTGTAAGTTACTTATTGCTCAAATGCTGGAGATCGACTTTATTTTTTTCTTTAATCAGTACTAAACTTAGAATTAGTACTTACAACTTTTCTATAAACCTGAGTACAAAATTCAGAGAAACAGCATTTCAATACATTCTTTCGCAAACAGATGTCACTTTATGTTTACAATTCTAGTACCCATATAAGTGTTGCATTCTTGCAACATATTAGCCAAGCTTTTTCTTAATTCTTTCAGAAAATTTGCCATGTTTTACTAAATCTCAAGGAAAAGTTTATAACTCCTCCTGAGTCAATTCTTTTATAATAAAATGTCCCTTTGATTACATTCAAATTGAGATCTATTTCATTCAAACAATAAGCGTTAAGCTTGAAAAACCAGGTTAAAATAGTTCTGCCATAAAAAACAGGTAATAGATGATGTAACAAGAAAACTTAAGATTAAGGCAACTTTGTCCTTCCCGGATAATATTTTTAGGGAATATATAAGTACTCTGTTTCCAACAATTTACCTTATGCCCTAATTTTAGCAAATGATAACTAAGAATGAATGGACTCTTATCCAAGTTCTTTAGGAGAGTTAATTTAATTTTGTTCAATTCCTAGCTAAGGTAATGTGGGCAGGATGTATCTTATTTTTAATGTATACTTACTTATTATAATTAAAATATTTCAAGAAATATTTTTCTGGACATGAAACATTCACTTTTGGCTTACCAAAGTATGATGGAGATTCTAATCTCATATTAACATTATGTAATCTCTTGTTTATTAGAAACTTCTACATGAAAAAAACAGTTTTAACTCAGGGTTCCAGACAATAAAACAATCTAGAATTAAAAGCTATTTGTATCTCTTTGTGTATAATCTTATATTTAAATAATTTAATTTGTGCTTATTGCAAATATAAATGTAATCCTCTTGGTATAAGAATAAAATTATATACAAAAGAATAAAGTAGAGAAAATAATTAACACAAAATATCTCAAATATAAAAGTAATCCATTTTTGTTTCTAAAAATTTTTTTTTTGTGCAATATTGGAATTTCTAAGAACTGAGAGAACTAGGCAAAAATCTCTTACTATGGCTGAAAATCCATCTATTTGCTTAGTAAATCTGGATTTGAGTTATAATTGGATGCCTTTTCATCTCATCAATTAAAATTCATGGCTAGTATATCTTCATTATGATATCATTGAATACCAGTTAAGACTATGATGAATACATCTCAAATCTGTGGGCTAAAAATAAATTATTAATAAAGAACTTTGTGAGTACTTGGTAGTCATTTGGAAAAACAAGTTTTAATTCACATATGGTCTGCCAAGATAAACTTCACATAAATTAAAAAAAGTAAGACATAAATAAATAAAACCATACAATTAGTAGGAGGAAATCTGGCCAAATTACTTTATCACCTAGAAGTGGATAATGTAATTCTAACTAGGACTCAAAGTGCAAAAGACATTAAGAGAAAAAAATTGGTTTGATTGGCTAAAATTCAAAATTCCTACATTGACAAAGTCAAAATATATTAATGTATCAAAAGATATATTTGATAATTTATATTTATATAATTGATATAATTTATATTAAATATATCTTTTATAATTTATAACATAGACAAAAAGCTAATTCGCTTAATATAAAACAAGCTAGGAATCCAGAAGAAAGAAAGTAGCCCAAGACAAAAATTCATAATCAACATTTAAGGAAGTTTATTGAAAGAAATATGAATAGCCTTCAACATGTAAAAACATTGTTCAACTTCAGTCATAATATGAGGAATAAAAATTAAAAGCACTAATATATAGTTTCTCACTTATTAAATTGACAAAAATCCAAACATAAAGAAATTCTTCAAATAGAAAAGAATTCTCTAAAATGAATGAAGCTAACTATGCATCAAATTAGAAACTAAACTACAGAAAGTATGTTTTACAAATAAGTCTGTAGTTTAATTTTGTATATATTTAGTAAGATATATTCTAAAAATCAAAAATAGACTTCAAAACATTTTAAGTTATTTTGGATTTTTAATTTGTAACTTACTGGTACACACAAATCACTGCCTTTGTGCATTGTAAGAGGAAGTAAATAATACGTGAATTAATATTTTCAGCCAAGAAACATTCTAAAATCAAATGAGTTATACTATTTATTCAGCTAAAAGTTTACTGAAAGTATTATTAAAAACTCATAATTTCTGATATACATATTTTCTTCTTTTTAATTTCACTTTAATTTCTTGGATACATTTGCAGAACGTGAAGTTTCTTTGATACACATATTTTATTGTTCTGAACATTGAACTGGCCCAGAAACTATATTTTCTTGCAATTATTTTCTTGAAATATGCATTTTAGACTTCAAAGCCATTTACAGCTAAAAATAACTAGGTTTTGGTAAGGAAAACATTTAGTACTTAAAATATTTTATTGTTACTGAAAACAAATAACATTTTAAAGGTTAACAAAGCTGTGATAAAAAGACCCAGGATCCAACTTGAAAAAACAAAAACAGTGGAAAAAAAAAAGCATGCCAATTTGAGCATCAAACAAGTAATGACTTTAGTTAATTGAAACACATTGTTTATGAAAATCCATAAGTCTAAAATGATACTTCAAAAAGAGAAAGCCCGAAAAAGTATCATTCTCACCACCTAAGGGGATTTATAACCAAAGTTTTACTTTCGAGTATCATAATTAAAGGAGAAAAATTAACGTAGTCTGCCTTTGCAGTAGGAGTTATTTTTCATGATAACCAAACAGTTTAACCTATTAAAAAAGTTCTCTTTTAATAGCTTGTGAGAGCAAAAAATTAAAATAATTGAATTTATGGGGTTAGATAGCAGAATACTGGTTCCCAGAGGGTAAGAAGAGTAGTTGAGAGGTGATGTAGGGAGTAGGGATGATTAATGTGTGCAAAAATATAATTGGATAGATTGAATAAGATCTAGTATTTGGTAGCAAATCAGGGTGACTACAGTCAACAATCATTTATTATGTATTTTAAAATAACTGAAAGAGTATAATTGGATTGTTTGTAGCACAAAGAAAGGGTAAATGTTTGAGGTGATGGATACCCCATTTAGCTTCATATAATTTTTACCCATTGGATGCCTGTATAAAAATATCTCATGTACACCATAAATACATACACATACTATGTACCCACAAAAGTTTTAAATTTAAAACTTAAAAAAGTAGCTAACAAATACATATTCAAAGAACAACACAATTAGGAAACTATCAACATGCAACCCTAATAAAAATTTAAGCCTGGCACAGTGGCTCACACCTGTAATCCCAGCACATTAGAAGGCCAAGAGGGGAGGATTGTTTGAGCCCAGGAGTTGGAGACCAACATGAGTGATGTAGTTAAACATTGTCTATACAAATAATAATAATAATAATAATAATAATAATAATAATAATAATAATAATTAGCTAGGCATGGTGATGCATGCCTGTAGTCCCAGCTACTTAGGAGGCTGAGGTGGAGGATTGTTTGAGCCCAGAAAATTGAGGCTGTGAGCTATGGTTGCACCACTGCCCTCTGGCCTGGACTACAAAGCAAGACCCTGTCTCAAAAAAAAAAAAAAAATTATTCATGCATGTTTTACTAATTGGAATGAAAATCACTAGGAAAATGGCTGATGTGGGCCTGGGCATTCATCTGAAGAACAGCATATAAACAAAGGAAGGATCATGTTGACCCACTGTGGAATCATTGGTTAATCCTTAGTCGTATTAGTAGTAGGTCAACCAGATAGGGTGAGTCTCCTCATTTTAACTATACTATAAAAAAACTGTACATCATTAATTATTTAAGGTTGCCAAATAATTTTAATTTGAATCTTACCAACACTTAGATATAACTTCCTGTTTCTAAGAAATAGCAAAGGCTTAATGAATTAGCTTCCTGTTTCTAAGAAATATAACTTCTTGTTTCTAAGAAATAGTAAAGGCTTAGTGAATTAACTAAATGACCGCCGGAAGAAACTATCACAGAAATTCAAAAATATGGGGCATTCTACAAGATTGTCCACATTAAAACAGGGCTGTTGTTACAGGACATTTCTAAATTAAAAGAGACATAAAGGATGTAACAAAAAGATACAATCCATGATTCCGTATTAAACAAACCTACTAGTGTGAAGAACATATTGGGAATAACTATAGAAATGAACCGGCTTCTAGATGATAGTAAGGAATTATTGTAAATTATACATGATTATGTTATTTTTGTCTAAGAAGGAAATGGTTTTATATTTTGTAAAGTGAACATTAAATTATTCAGGGATAAAATGCTACATTTGCAGTAACTTTAAAATACCTAAGCTAATAATAATGATAATAACAAAGCTACTAGAGCCAGATTAAGTGCTTTCAAATTGTGAACTTTGTAGCTGTGTGGCTTCAAATATGTTACTGAACCACTCTGATATTCTTTTGCTCACTGTTGAAATGGGGCATAAATAATACTTCCTATCTCAATAAGCTTTTTTTTTTTCAGATTTAGCTTATAGATGTAAAGCACTGAAAAACAGTACCTGACATGTAGAAAGCAAAATATAAGCATCCACTATTGTAGTGTACTCTAGTGCTCGTCTTTATGAATAAAGGGTTTGGTCTTAAGTTCAATAGGTGCCTATTTCTTGAAAATAGGACGAGCAGATTCTTATTAACCCATTTCCTGTCTACCCAGGTCATAATTGAGTTCCTTAACAGAACATAGGATTTGGTTGTTTAAATGATCTTTTTAGCCATCATTTGCTGGTAGGTTAGGAAGAAGCATGTGCCTTCTATAAGCGGAGACTGTATCTCTACTCAACTTGTAAATTCACCGAAACCTTTATGGTGGGTCTTTTTCTCCAAAGTAGAGACCTATACTTTCTTGTGGAGTTCAAAGCTTAACATTGTTTTTTCTTTTTTAAGGTAAATCAATCACTGCACTAATAAATCAGCTTAAAGAATGTCCTTTTAAATTATAGGTTTTTTGGATTGCTGTACCACGCATATTTTCTTTTGACTCAGTGGCCTTTATTCGCCACTGCTATCTCTTGCCTTATGTAGCTACATGATTTTCCATCTTTCCTATAAAAGCAAAGAAAATGTTGTATAATTTTCTCACTGGAAGGTTTTTATACATGTTACACACTCTGAGCACTGACAGAATTAATATTTGAATGCCTAGAAGGTGTTGGGAACACAGATGATCAAGAGGGCAACTTGCTGTAGCAGGCATGAGTCAGTGTAATCAGAAGACATACAATTTGAGGTTTCTCATTCAGATAAGAGGGACAAGAGTGGAACTTGTGTCTGAAATTCTGGCTACTTGGAGTGCTTCCCAAGAGGCTGATATCTGTCTCTCCTGACTTAGGGAACTGACAGGGGGCTGAGATACTTTTGATGCCTGGTTGCTGCTGAGACCAAAAGAGGGAAGGGCAACTTGCTACCATAGAACCAGAGAACTTGAGTATCTGGTGCAGGCAAACACCAGAGGGGGCAAGAGAGTAAAAGCTCCTGTCAAGCCTCTCAGAAATTTGCATGCACAGGCTCAAAGAAATTGCATCTCATCTGCAAAGGTTTCAGATGCTCCCAGAATCTTTAGCCAGGCTGATTCATGAAGGTCTTCCACTGTACAAAGCCTGTTTATAAAGACAAGTAGAGGAGGCTATTTTTTTCAGATGAATAAATCCTAACAGAAAGTTCTAAAATAACACAAAGAAAGGGAGAAACATGGTCCTAGCAAAGGACCAAAATAAGTCTCCGGAAAACAAGGCTTAAAAAAACAGAGGTATATGAATTAGTTGATATGAATTCAAGATAGCCATCCTAAAGATTTTCAAGAGCTAAAACTTGCATGAGGAAGGCCGAGCGCGGTGGCTCATGCCTATAATCCCAGCACTTTGGGAGGCTGAGGTGGGTGGATCACGAGGTCAAGAGATCCAGACCATCCTGGCAAACATGGTGAAACCCTGTCTCTAATAAAAATACAAAAACTAGCTGGGCATGGTGGTGAACGCCTGTAATCCCAGCTACTCAGGAGGCTGAGGCAGGAGAATCACTTGAACCCGGGAGGCAGAGGTTGCAGTGAGCTGAGATTGCACCACTGCACTCCAGCCTGGCGACAGAGCAAGACTCTGTCTCAAAAAAAGAAAAAAAAATGCATGAAGAAAATGAGAACATCAACAGAGAGAAAAATATAAAAATGAACCAAACAGAATTTTGAAGTTTAAGAATTCTAGACACTACATTAAAAAAAATCAAAATAAAGACATTAATACCTGAAATTATAAAACTACTAGAAGAAAACATTAGGGAAACACTCCAGGACTTTGGTTTGGGTGAACATTTCTTGTGTAAAACCGCAAAAGTACAGGCAGCCAAAGCAGAAATACTAATTGGATTACATCAAACTAAACCACTTCTACCCAGTAAAGGAAACAATCAACAGAGTGAATAGACAAACCAGAGAATGGGAGAAAATATTTGCAAACTCCCCATCTGAAAAGGCATTGATAACCAAAATATATAAGGAGCTCAATCAACTCAATAGAAGAAATATAAACAATCTGATTTTAAAATGGGCAAAATATCTGAACAGATATTTCTCAAAAGAAGACATACTAATGGGCAAGAGGTATGTGAAAAAGAATGATCAACATCACTAATCATCAGAAAAATGCAAATCAAAATCACAATGCAATGTCATCTCACCCTAGTCAAAATGACTTACATCAAAAAGACAGACAATAACAGGTGCCGGTGAGGATGTGCAGAAAGGGGAACCCTCATACACACACTGTTGGTGGGAATGTAAACTAGTATTGCCACTGTGGAGAACAGTATGAAGGTTCTTCAAAAAACTCAAACTCAAACTTCCATATGATTCAGCAATTCCACTACTGTGTATATATCCAAAAGAATGGAAATCAATATATTAAAGATATGTCTGCACTCTCATTTTATTGCAGCAGTATTCACAATAGCCAAAAATATGAAATCAACCTATGTGCCCATCAACAGATGAACGGATACAGAAAACATATTATATATACACAATGGAATATTACTCAGCCCTAAAAAGAATGAAATCCTGTCATTTGTAGTAACATGGATGGAAGTGAAGGCCATTATATTAAGTGAAATAAGCCAAGCACAGAAAGACAAATATCATATATTCTCACTCATATTCAAGAACTAAAAAAGTGGATCTCATTAAGATAGAGAGTAGACTGGGGGTTACCAGAGGCCAGCAAATGGTGGGGGTGGGGATGATAAATGGGAAAAATGGAATTTAAATGTGTTTATTACCACCAAACTGTAAACCTAAAAATGGTAAAGATAATAAATTATATATGTATATTTTATCTAAATAAAAATTTTTAAAGAAAATAATACAATAACTGACTAAAAACTTCACTAAGGAAGTTGAACAACCTACTTGATCAAGCAGAAGTAAGAATCAGCAAACTTGAAGATATGTCATTTGAAATTATTAGCTCAGAGGAATAAAAAGAAAAAAGAATGCAAAGAGTGAGAAAAGCATATGAGACTATGCAACACCATTATTAATAGAATGAAGAATAAAAACACATAATCATCTCAATAAATACAGAAAAACCGTTTGATAAAATTTAATACACTATTATGATAAAAATCCTTAACAAATTAGGAACTTACCTCAACACAATAAACCCAGATATGACAAGCTCACAGCTAACATCATATTAAACAGTAGAAAACTGAAAACTTTTTCTTTAGTATCTGGAACAAAGCAAGGATGTCCAGTCTTACCAGTTCCTTCAACATAATACTAGGAAATCCTAGCCAGTGCAATTAGGCTAGAAAAAGAAATAAAAGACTTCCAAATAGGAAAGGAAGAACTAACAGTACACTATGAATAAAACCCTAAAGACTATACACACACACAATCTATCAGAACTAATAAACAAATTCAGTAAAGTTGCAAAATCAATGTAAAAATCAGTTGCATTTTTATATACCAAGAATGAGCTCTCAAAAAAGAAGCTATTATATTTACAATAGCCCCAAAAAGAATAAAATATTGAGGGATAAACCTAACAATATTAGAGGTTTCTATGCTGAAAACTATAAAACACTAATGAAAAAATTAGACATGCGTAAATGAAAAGACATCCTTTATTCGTGAATAGGAAGAATTAGTATTGTGAAAGTGTTCATTCTAACCAAGGAAAACCACAGATTTGGTGCAATCTTTATCAAAATCCTAAGACTTTTTTTTTACAGAAATAGAAAAACCAATCCTAAAATCCATATGCTACCTCAAAAAACCTTGATTAGCCAAAGCAGTTTTGAGCAGGAGGAAAAAGCTAGAGGTATCACACTTTCTGATTTCAAAACATGTTATAAAACTTTAGTAATCAAAACAAAACAATGTGGCACTCGCATAAAAGTAGAGCAATGGAATAGAATAGAACTCCCAGAAATAAATCTACTTATCTTATAGTTAACTATTCTTCGACAAGGGTAAGAAGAATACACAATGGGAAAAAGATAGTCTATTCAAAAAATAGAGGTGGGAAATGTGAATATCCAGAAGAAAAAGAATGAAATTGAGTTCTTATTTTACATAATATACAAAAATTAACAATATGGATTAAAGACTTGAATGTAAAGTCTGGAACAGTCAAACTCCTAGAAGAAACCATTGGAGACTCAATATGGATTAAAGACTTGAGTGTAAGATCAGGAACAGTAAAACTGCTAGAAAAAAGCATAGGAGAAATGTTCTTGACTTTAGTCTCAACAATACTTTCTTTGCTATGACATCAAAAGCACAAGCAACAAGAGTAAAAATAGAATACAGAATTCTATCAAACTATGCCTCTGTGCAACAAAGAAATCAACAGAATGAAAAGGCAACCTATGAAATAGGAAAAAAAATTTGCAAACCTTATATCTAATAAGGGGTTAATATTCCAAATATATAAGGAACTCCTACAACTCAATAGCAAAGAAACAAATAACCCAACTTAAAATGGGGCAAGGAAACTGAATAGCTGTTTCTCCAAAGAAGGCATACAAATGGTCAAAAAGTATATGAAAAAATGCATAGCTATTCGTCATAGAAATGCGAATCAAAACCAGAAAGAGATATCACCTCACATCTTTTAGGATGGCTATTATTTTTAAAAATATAACAAGAATTGGTGAGGTTGTGGAAAAAATGGAATCTTTGTACACTGTAGTTGGGAATGTGAAATGGTGTAGCCAAAATGAAAAACAGTATGAAGGTCCATCAGAAGTTATAAATAGAACTAATATTTGATTAAGCAATCTTAATTCTAGGTATATAGCCAAAGGAGTTGCAATCATGATCTCAAAGAGATATCTATATTCCTATATTCAGTGCAGCATTATATACATAGCTAAGATAGGGAAGCATCCCAAATGTTCATTAACAGGTGAATGGATAAAGAAAACATGGTGTATATATATATATATATATATATATATATATATATATATATATATATATGCAATGAAGTATTATTCAGCCATTTAGAAAGAAGAAAATCCATCCATTTGCAGGAGCATGTGTGGACTGGGTAGGTATTGTGCTATATAAAATAAGTCAGTCACAAAAAGACAAATACTGCATGATTCCTCTTACATGAGGCATCTAGAATATTTAAAATATAGAAGTAGACAATATAATATTGGTTACCAGAGGATGGAGACAGGAGATGGGGAGTTGTTCAATTGGTGTAAAGTTGGAGTTATACAAGATGAGTAAGTTCCAGAGATCTGCTGTACAACATAGTGCCTATAGTTAACAGTAAGGTATTATGCACTTAAAAATATGTTGAGTATATATTTCACGGTAAGTGTTTGAAACGCAAAACAACAACAAAAATAACAAAGGGACACAAAAAAAACTTTTTAAGGTGGTGGATATTTTTATTACCTTGATTATGGTGATGGTAGCATGAGTATACACGTGTCCAAACTCACCAAATTGTATACATTAACTATGTGCAACTTTCATATACCAATTATGCCACGGCACACCTAGAAAGAAAACAAAAAAGCAAAACAGAAAAAAGAAAACTACTGAAAAAAAATGTTAAAAAGGAATTTCTCGGTAATATACTACCTCTTCAGTGAGCTTTCGTGGTTTTTGTCTTTCAAGGAATTTGTCCATTTTAATTAAATTGTCAAATCTGTAGGCAAAATGAAAAGAAAGAAAACGTGGTACAGGTAGATAAATGGATGATAGATAGATAATAGAGATAGATGATAGACAGATAGATAGATAGATAGATAGATAGATAGATAGATAGAGTATATATATAATGGACTATATAATATGTGACATAGCATATATAATGGAATATTATTCATCCATAAAAAGAAGGAGATCCTCTTGTATGCTACAGCATGGATAAACCTTTAGGACATCATGTTAAGTGAAATAAGTCATTCACTGAAGGACAAATACTACATGATTCCACTTATACTAGATATCTAAAGAAAGTAGTCAAACTCATAAAGAGAGAAAATAGAATCATTGTTGCCAGGCCTGGGTCGGGGAGAAAGGGAAGTTACTATTCAATGAGTACAGAGTTTCAGTCATGCAAGATAGAAAAAAAGTTCTAGACATCTGCTTCATAAAATTTTTCTTATAGTTACCAATACTGTACTGCACTAAAAGATTTCTTAAGTGGCGAGATCTCATGATATATGTTTTTTACCAAGATTAAAACAAAAAGAGCCAAGCAAAATAATTTGGGTTATACATTATTTTTTAGTTTTGTTTTATTCACTTGCAGTCAAGCGCTACAGAGCTATTCCCTTTGTTACTTTTTAATTTGCTAAATTATTCAGATGTGGAGATGGTGGTGCAAAAACAAGCTAGTTTCCAAGAAATAATAAAGAGTAGATCTACATTCTTACATTTTAAGAATTTGGGGTCCTTCATCTGCTCCCATGCAAATACTGAAAATCTCATTTATTTTATCAGATAATAAAAGGCCTCCCAAAAAACAGAGTGTACTTTTCCCCTAATGCTTTGACAAAATATCAAGGAAAGTAAAATAAAAGATGAAATGAATGAAAATACATTAAAACTTGTGTATATTTGTGGCACTAGATTTTAATTGTTCTTTGCATAATACTTTAAAATTCCTAAATACTTTATTCACTTGAATATTTATCATTGAAAACATGAACGGAGATTTGAACTCTTCTGTAGGTTTTATATAGGATTTAAGTAAAGGACTATTGAGAATGCCTTCCCATCTTCTACATGTTACTTTTACTGAAAATTAGCATCTTCCTTATGAAGTTCCCCCAGGTGAGGGAAATGCTATGATTTCCACATTGTTTTTCAGCATTTAGAACTGTGCCTGCTAATGAATAGGCATTCGATATATGCTTTAAAATAAAATATTAAATGTTGAACAAACGAGAGAATCTAAAAACAGCAGTAAACATAAAGACACACTCAGTAAATTCTGATCAACATTTTAATCCCGTGTTTCCTCTGACATATGAAGAATCTCTTTATTTACTATGGCTTGTTTAGAATTCACTGGAGTATCTGAAAGCAAGCATTAACTTTTTAAGAATTCTTAAGTAGAGACATTTTTGCTTTAGTGAGTGGGCCCTGAACAGAACAATTCCAGAATAACTATTAGACCCAAGCATATGCTGTGATAATCTCTGTTATTAACCTTGTATGATTAATGGAATCAAAATTTAAACATTTTATAGATCGTTTCAAAATGTCTGAAAACTTAAATAAAAGTTTCAATATAAATGCCAAGCATTTTTAATGACTCATACTCAAGTCAATGATGATGAAATGACAAATACATGTATGTGTGCTTACACACACACACACACACACACACACGAAGAAAAACATAATTTTGAGAACATAGTGGCAATAATGCAGTTTCAGAGATAATAGATAATATGTAGTGATTCAACTTCCAAGTAATGTATTTCTATCTTCATTTTCCATTTATTTTTCCCAAATTCATGATCCAATGTACAATATTAGTTCATAGTGAAAATACATAATAATACATCTTGCTAATAATATAGTAGTAATATTATCGAGATGGAATATAATCTTAATTTATCATTATTATAGACCAATTAAGATAATTATATGACTTTTTCTGGCATCTGCCTGTAAGAATTGAAGCTAGAATCAGAAATGACCTGCTGCAACATATATATGCTATATAAATATGCAAACCAAATTATATGTTGTAGCTGTGCTTTAGAAATCTCTTGAAACTCTATTCACTTCCTGTAATAGCTAGATAAAATTGTGTAGGTTTTCATCATTCATTGTTGATGTCTTTCCATGAAAATGTCAACAGTGTGCCCCCCACCCCAGCCAATAAGTTGCATTTATCAAGAGATCAGTTAAACTGTTTCTTCAAGTAAGAGGATAGCAGTAGTGTCAAATACTTTCTGCTACTAAGAAGATAGTATTTTTTGCTATTTAAAAAAACCCATAGCCTTCATTTATCTTTTAATGTTAATCAAAATCTTTACAATAGTCATGAAAGCTAGGAAATAGTTAATACATAAATCACTCCTTTCCCAGCCCTGCAAGATTTTTATTTCTCTTACAACACTTCAATCATATCAGTGTGTCATCGTCAACCACTAGAAGTTCATGAAAATGCAAAGGCTTAAATCATTTGGTTCTAAATCATAATGTGATATGACCTTGTCAATCTTTTCAAAGAAATTTATATTCTTCAAGAATTTTCAGCAGATTTTTTTACAGTTTCGGAAAGAATTAATGGTGACTGGCACTGAAATAGCTTTGCAAGAAGGCAACAAATAAAGAACTTGGCTCATAATTGAGATTAATATCACAGTGTTCTACTCTAGGTATTCGACATCTAGCCTCAGCCTTTGAGAGTTTGTCCAATATTTGATTGAGCCACAGGGAACAGCATATCACGTACTCTTTGCTGAACTGCTGTTCTCAATGACTCACTTTCAAATACCTTTGAAGTTCTATAGCACTCAATGTTTTGCAAATGAGTCATACATTATAAGTTTCGAAAGTGATTTGGTGGGAATTAAGCATAAATATTTTGTGCCACTCAAGCCGATTTCCTTCATGATAACCCATTTCCTTTACGACAACTAAGCCAGTCATAAAGATTTCAGAATACATAAACCCAATGTACACTATGGTTCAATAGCTGCTGATTTTATTATTGCATTCTTTATGCTGTGAATGTGGAGTTTTGAGAAATTTTTAAAAGTATAATATATTTATAATGTGGAATTCAAGACTGTGCTTGACCTAAATTAATACATTTATATTAAATTATTGAGGCTAAGTATGCAATACTAATATCTTTTGTTTTCTATTACATTTGGAAAGCTTATATTTACATGGTAGAAACATTAGCACAACTCTTCAATCTGAGAATAGAAAATTTATTCTATAAACAGAATTTTAATTAATTTGTAGTTCTTCTTATTTTTCAAAATATATCTCACCTCAATGCTTCAAATTTTCTTATATTTCTTATATACCCAAGAATCTTTTGTACACATTACATGCTGAATAAATGTTTGCTATATTAGCCCATAAAAAATCATTCATGGACAAAAAAAGCATTTCAAATGCAGATTATGTGCAATACTGTTAAGGAAACATTATTAATATGTTATGAAATAAATCAATGCTAATCTTTATAACTAAAAATATAGATTTTATAAATTAATATAATACATAATTAATATGATATAAATACTTTCTGAGAAGTATTTCTCAGAAAGATCCATGAATGATTATTCTTTTATAAGTGGTATGTAGCTGTTGAATAAATTCCTGCATAATTTTGGATTTATAAAGTTATAAGTATAAAGATATTCACTTTTATTTTAAAACTGAATACACTTATTAATCCTTTTGAAATTATAATGTATCACTTAATCTGTTGGGTATGTTGAACCT
Source organism: Homo sapiens (assembly GCF_000001405.40). NCBI lineage: Eukaryota > Metazoa > Chordata > Mammalia > Primates > Hominidae > Homo > Homo sapiens. The sequence continues at coordinate 28,383,991 of NC_000014.9, forward strand.
TGGGCTTGTGTGTGTGTGTGTAGTGTGTTTTGTGTTTATACTCTATATGTAAATGTATATATATGAAGTTCGTATTTTAAATTTGCATTTATATTCCTTTTTATGTGCCAAGATTATTTATTAAATCATCTTTCAATTCAATCACCAATAGTTCAACAGGCTCACAAACTTTTAATGTTAAAAGTTGACAGGTTCGTTAGTCATGTTGCTGGGATAATACAAGCTACAATCTGAAACCTGTCATAATAATCATACATTGTGGACATTTGTTGTATAGTAATAAAAGAATCAAGCTGAGATATATTGTCATACCTTACAATAAAACAGAAGAAAATAAATAAAATAATTTTTTATAATTGTGCTTTTTCTTGGAATATAAAAATCTAGATTGCCATTAATATCAAAGAAAGTATATCTTGACATGGAAATATTAATTAATATATAATTAATAAATACTGATATTATAAACTGCTCTGGATGAGTCATCAACTCTTTAATATAAAGTTATCACAGGATTATGTACAGTTAGACTGTAATTTTCACTGTAAAATAGGAATTCAAAATAAATATAAGCATTATGAGCTTGAATTTTCAAGAAGTATTTATGAACCATTCTCCTAACCCTGTAGATTAAAATCTGTGCTCCTAAACCTGTAGATTAGAAGATCTCTGGATCCAATGAAAAGCTATTAAGGTGTGAGGGACAGCCTAAACAAAAATTTAAAAATTAGGCAATATGATATATGTAATAATAAGATGATTGATTAATAGAAAAATATAAATGTTGAGTATTGGTCCTTGGACTCAATAAGGTTCTAAGACAATACAAGATGATATTTGAAAATATCTCAAATATAACAATTAATATAGAAAATATTTTCCATTATATTATCACTCAGACATGGGAAAAATTAATGTTTCCTAGTAACAAAAACAATTTAAAATACTACAAATATGAATGAAAGTCTACAAACACCTTTCAGTTTATAATTCAGTTGTACACAAATGAACAGCATAACATAAAGCAAAAGTAAAATAACAGACATTATTTGTAATGATTAGTTCAAGAACCACTGAAAATCTGATTTATCTTTTAATTTAACTCCTCAGCATAATAGTTGTACTCTGAGTACTATATATTTATCATTTTTATCTAAGTGAATGATTACATTTATTTATGGCACATAGTAGCTTCCCAGTAAATATCTGTTGAAGAGATAAATGAATTGGATGCTGTTTTCCAAATGACAACATGCTCAAACATGTTGACAATCTTCAGGCTTTTTAGAGCATATTTTATAAAGGACTAAGAATCATGGGATCCACATATATTTGGTAAAGGAAAATCTTTGTTTTCATATTTCTGAACCTGTTTCCAATTTTTCCAAAAACATTGCCTAACCTGATATTAGACAGGTTAGGCAATTCTTTTTGATAGTTAATTTCTAGAATAATAGATAACTAAATGTAAATAATTGTTTATATAATACATACATCAAAATATACAATTATTTGTTTATTAATGTATTTTCCACACTGGAGTATGAGATCCTTGAGGAGAAAATTAACATCACTTGCTGTTTGTCATTTTTGTTTCTTATTATTTAGTTTTTTATTTTTACATATTCAAAGTATACATGTGCAGGTTTGTTACACGGATATACTGCATAGTGGTGAGGTCTCGGCTCTTAGTGTAACCATTACCTGAATAGTAAACATTGTACCCAAAGGGTAATTTTTCAACCCTCAGCCCCTCCCAGCATCCCCTCTTTTGGCATCCCCAGTGTCTATTACTCAACTTTATATTTCCATGTGTACACATTGTTTAGCTCCCACTTACGAGTGAGAAGAAGTAGCATTTTATTTTCTGTTTTTCAGTTATTTCACTCAGGATAGTGGCTTCCAGCTCCATACATGTTGATGCAAAAGACATGTTTTCATTCTTTTTACACATGTGTAGTATTCCATGACATATATATACCACATTTTCTTTATCCAATCATCTATTGATGGATACTACAGTTGTTTCCATGACTTTGCTATTGTGGATAGTGTTGTGATAATGATATGAGTTCAGGCATCTTTTGGACATAACAATTGCTTTTTTATTAGGTAGATACCCAGTAGCAGGAGTCCTGGGGTAGTTCCATTTTTAGATCTTTCAGAAATCTTCATACTGTATTCCATAAAGGTTGTAGTAATTTACAACCCCATCAAAAGTATATAAGCATTCCCTTTTTTCTGCATCCTTGCCAGTATCTGCAGTTTTTGAATTTTTGATAATAGCCATTCTGACTGGTGTGAGGTGGTAACTCACTGTAGTTTTAATTTGCATTTCTGTGATGATTCGTGATGTTGAGCATTTTTTTTCATAGGCTTCTTGGCCATGTGTATTTCTTCTTTTGAGAAAAAGTCTGTTCATATCGTTTGTCCACATTTAATGGGATTTTTTTTATTTTCTTATTGAATTGTTTCTTGAGTTCTTTGTAGATTCTGGATATTAGTCCTTTGTCACTGCATGGTTCACAAATAGTTTCTGCCATTCTGTAGGTGTCTGTTTTCTCTGTTGATTACATCTTTTGTTGTGCAGAAGATTTTTAGATAAATTAAGTCCCCTTTGCCTACTTTTGCATATCCTTTTCAGATCTTACTCATAAGTTCCTTGCCCAGGTCAATGGCTAGAAGAGCTTTTCCTAGTTTTTTTCCTAGGATTATTAAACTTTCAGGTCTTGTATTTAAGTATTTAATCCAACAACAGTTAATTTGGGAGCATGATGAGAGATAGGACCCAGTTTCATTCTTCTGCGTATGGTAATCCAATTTCTTCAGCACCCAATAGGGCATCCTTTCCACATTGTATATGTTTATTGATTTTGTCAAAGATCAGTTGGTTATAAATAGGTGGCTTTCTCTCTGGGTTCTCTATTTTATTCCATTGATCTGTGTGTCTATTTTTGTACCAGTTCTACACTGTTTTTGTTACTATAGATTTGTAGTATAAATTGAAGTCAGGAAATGTGATAACTGCAGCTTTTTTTTCCCCCTGGTAGTGCTTTGCTATTCAGCCTCTCTCCCGGTTTCATATAAATTTTAGGGTTGTATTTTTTAATTCTGTGAAAAATCACGTTAGTAATTTCATAGAAATTGCATTGAATCTAGATTGCTTTGTGAAGTATTTTGTTTGTTTGTTTGTTTTTTGTTTCTTGAAACGGAGTCTCACTCTGTTGCCCAGGCTGGAGTGCAGTGGCAGCAATCTCGGTTCACTGCAAGCTCCACCTCCCGGGTTCATGCCATTCTCCTGCCTCAGCCTCCGGGGTAGCTGGGACTAAAGTATGGTCTTTTTAATGATATTAATTCTTCTAATTCATGAGCATGAAATGTTTTTCCATTTGTTTGTGTCATCTACAATTCTATCACTAATGTCTTGTAGTTCTTCTTATAGAGATCTTTCACCTTTTTGGTTAGATACATTCTTAGATATTCATTATCCTTTGTAGCTATTATAAATAGGATTGAGTTATTGATTTGGTTCTCATATTGAACATTATTGGTGTATAGAAATGCTACTTCTTTTTACACGTTGATTTTGTATCCTGAAACTTTACCAAAATCATTTATCAAATTTAAGTGTCTTTTGCGGGATTCTATAGAGTTTTCTCTACAGAGAAATGCATTTTATTTTTTTCCCTTGCTTGATTGCTTGGCAAAGGACTTCCAGTACTGTGTTGAATAGGAGTGGTGAAAGCGGACATCTTTGTCTTGTTTCAGTTCTTAGGAGGAATGATTTAAACCTTTCCCCATTCAGTGTGATGTGGGCTATGGGTTGTAGTATATGCCTTTTATTATTTTGAGGTATGTTTCTTCAATGCCTAGCCTGTTGAGGTTTTTTATCATGAAGGGATGTTCGATTTTATCAAAAGCTTTCTCTGCATCTATTGCAATGATCATAACGTTTTGTTTTTATTCTATTTATATGATGAAATACATTTATTGATTTCCGAATGTTGAACCTTCTTCACATCCCTGAAATAAGACTTACTGGATTGTAGTGTATTATCTTTTTGATGTGCTTATGGTGTCAATGAAGAGTCAAACTCTGCAAAATATTTGAAGAGATTTATTCTGAGCCAAATATGAGTGATCATGGCCTATGACACAGCCCTCCGGAGGTTCCAAGAATATGTGCCCAAGGTTGTCTAGGCACAGCTTGGTTTTATACATTTTAGAGAGGCATGAGACATCAATCAAATACATTTAAGAAATACATTGGTTTGGTCCAGAAAGGCAGGAAAACTCAAAGTGTGGGGGCTTCCAGGCTATAGGTGAATTTAAACATTTTCTGGTTGACAATTGGTTGAGTTTGTCTAAAGACCTGGGATTGATAGAAAGGGCATGTTCGGGTTAAGATAAAGATAGTGGAGATCAAAGTTCTTTTGAAGTCTTATAGTGGCTGCCTTTAGAGACAATAGCTGACAAATGTTTCCTATTGAGATCTTAGTTAATCTCTTTAGGATTGGGAGGGTCTGGAAGAAAAAGATCTAGCTGTGTTTACTAGAGATTCTTTACATATGCAAATATTCCCCCACAAAGAAGAGTTTTGCAGGACCATTTCAAAATATGGCAAAGAAACATGATTTGGGGTAAATATTTTATTTTCTTCCTTGTCTCATAATGTTATGCCAGAGTCAGGTTGGAAAGTAAGACACAATATATAGAGTCAAATAAAATTCATCTGATGAGAATTTATGATTTGTAGGGCATGACTCCCCAGGCCCCTTAGACAGGAATTTGGACGAGAAAAAAAATCAGAGTTTAGTCCTCAATGGTTTTGATTTGCTAGTATTTTGCTGATGATTTTCTCATCTGTATTCATTAGGGATATCGGCCTGTAGTTTTTAGTTGCTGTTGTGTCTTTGCCTGATTTTGAAATCAAGATGGTACAGGTTTTGTAGAATGAGTTATAGAGAAATTTTTCTCCCTCAATTTTTTGGAATGGTTTCACTAAGATTCTTACCAATTTTTCTTTGTATGTCTAGTAAAATTTGGCTGTGAATCCATTTGGACCTGGGCTTTTTATTGTTTTTGTGGGAGACTTTTTTATCACTGACTTAATTTCATTACTCATTATTGGTCTGTTCAGGATTCTGTTTCTCCCTTGTTCAATCTCAGGAGGCTGCATGTTTGCAGCAATTTGTGCACTTCCTCTAGGTTTTCTAGTTGTGCACCTAAAGATGCTCATGAGAGTTTCTGATGATCTTTCATATTTCTGTGGTATCAGTTATAATGTCACATTTATCATTTCTGATTGTATGTATTTGAATCTTCTTTCTCTTTTTCTTGGTTAAACTAGCTAGAGGTCAAACTATTTTATCTTTTCAAATAACAAACTATTCATATCATTGATCCTTTATATTGGTTTTTATTTTGTGGTCTCAATCTCATTTAGTTCTGCTCTAATCTTTATTATTTATTTTCTTCTGCTAGATTTGGGGTTGGTTTGGCTTTGTTTTTCTAGTTCTTTGATGTGATACGTTAGGTTGTTAATTTGAGATCTTCCTATCCCTTTGATGTATTTAGTGCTATGAAGTTTCCTCTTATATTTTGCTATCTCTCAGAGATGTGGGTATACTGTGTCTCTATTTTCATTTGTTTCATTTTTTTTAATTCTGCCTTAATTTCATTATTTAACCAAAGATGATTCAAGAACAAGGTGTTTAATTTCCATGTATTTGTATAGTTGTGAGACTTCTTCTTGGTTTTGACTTCTACTTTTATTCCACGCTGTCCTAGAAGATACTTGATATTATCTTGATTTTTTGAACTTATTGAGATCTGTTTTATGGCCAGAAATATGGTCCATTTTCAAGAATGTTGTGTGTGCAGATGAGAAAAACATATATTCTACTGTTGGGTAGAATGTTCTGTAGAGTCTGTTAGGTCCATTTGGCCTCAAGTCCAGTTTAAGTCCAGTATTTCTTTGTTGATTTTATGCCTCAATGATCTGTCTAGTGCTGTCAAGGAGGTACTAAAGCCCCCCACTATTATTGTACTGCTGTTTATCTCTTTTCTTAGGTCTGGAAGTGTTTGTTTTATGGATCTGGGTGTTCTGATGTTGGGTGCATATATATTTATGATACTTATATCTTCTTGTTGAATTGGATCCTTTATGACCTTCTTTTTCCCTTTTTTGTTTTTTATTTAAAGTTTGTTTTGTTTTATATAAGTATAGCTACTTCTGCTCATTTTTGTTTTCCATTTGCATGGTATATCTTTTTTCACCCCTTTGAATGTATGGATGTCCTTATCCATTAGGTGAGTGTCTTGTAGAGAGCCAATGTTGGATCTTGTTTTTTTAATCCAATGCCAGCCTATCTCTTTTAAATGAAGCCTTTAGGCTATTTACTTTCAAGATTAATACTGATATGTGAGATTGTGTGCCTGTCATAGTATTGTTACTTATTTGTAGCCTCAGTTGTGTAACTGCATTGTAGGATACAATTGTACTTTTGTGTGCTTTTATAATGGTGACTACTGTCCTTTTGTTTCCATATTTAGAATTCCTATGAGTATATCTTGTAGGGCTGGTCTAGTGGTGATGAATTTCCTTAGCATTTGCTTCTCTGGGAAAGGCTGTATTTCTCCTTGACTTACGAAACTTAGTGTGGCAGAAAGTAGAATTATTGGATGTTTTTTGTTTTTTGGTTTTTTTTTGGTTGTTTGTTTGTTTTCCTTAAGAAGGCTGAAGACACACCTCCATTCTCTTCTGGCTTGTAAGGTTTCTGCTCGAGGATCCTTTGTCAATCTGATGGAGTTTCCTTTATAAGTAATTAGATGCTTCTCTCTTGCTGCTTTTAGGATTTTTTTTTTTCATGTTGACTTTGGATAGTTTGATGACTATTCCTTGATGAAATTCATCTTGCAGTCTCTCCCAGGTGTCTCTGAACTTCTTATATTCGATGTTTTATTCTCTAGCTAGACTAGAAAAGTTTTCTTAAATTATTCACTAAAATGTGTTTCCCAAGCTTTTTACATTTTCTTCTCCCTCAGGAATGCCTGTTATTCATGGGTTTGGTCACTTTACATAATCTTATATTACTTGAAGGCTTTCTTCATTTTCTAAAATTATTTTTTCTTTATTTTTGTCTATGCTAATTCAAAATATCAGTCTTAAAGCTCTGAAATTTTTTCTTCTGCTTGATTTTGTCTTTTTAAAATATTTTAACTATGTTTTATAACTTTCAATGAATTTTTATTTCCAAATGTTTTAATTGATTTTTTAAAAAATCTATGCTTTTATTAAAGTTTTAATTCATATTCTGAATTTTTTATCTGATTTCTGTGGGGTTTTTTTTCTATTTTCTCTTGGATCTCATGGAGTTCCTTATAATCTATATTTGGAATTATTTACCTATTGATATTGTTTGGCTGTGTTTCCCCACCCAAATCTCACCTTGAATTATAATAATCCCCATGTGACAAGGACAGAGCCAGGTGGAGATAATTGAATTATGGGGGCGTTTTCCCCCATACTGTTCTCATTGTAGTAAATATGTCTCTTGAGAGCTGATGGTTTTATAAATGGAAGTTTTCCTGCACAGGCTCTTTTTGCCTGTCACCATGTAAGACATCCCTTTGCCTTCTGCCATAATTGTGAGGCCTCCCCAGCCATGTGGAACTGTGAGTCCATTAAACCTCTTTACTTTAAAAATTACCCAGTCTCAGGTATGTCTTTATTAGCAGCATGAGAATGAGCTAATATATCTATCATTTCAGAATTTTTATTTTGTTTAAGATCCATTGCTGGAGAGTTATTATGATTCTTTGGGAGTATTGAAATACTGCTTATTTGGGGTGTGTGTTTGTGTGTGTGTGTGTGTGTGTGTGTGTGTGCTAACTCTTCCTCATCTGGAGAAGCTATCACCTATATTTCATTTTACTTTCATTTGGCTAGGACTTTCCCTCACCACATGAAAGTATCACTGTAATGTATGTTATATTAATACATGATCATTTGGCTTCAATTCTGGATGCTTTCAGAGGACCACACTTCTGTTTGTTCCTTTGTTATAAATAGCTTTTGTACAGTGGCTTCCTCAAATGTTGGTTATACATTTACTCATTTTCTGATGTTCTTCTTTTGTTTACATAGATCTAAGTTTCTGACCTATATCATGTTCTCTCAAATGAAATTATTTTAACATTTCTTGCAAGGCAGGTCTACTGGCAATAAACTCTCATTTTTTTTGTTTTTCTGAGAAAGTATTTTATCTTCACTCTTGAAGAACAATTTTTGCAGGGCACAGAATTTAGATTGAAGAGTTATTTTTTTCTCAACACTTTATATATTTCCATCTAAAGTAGTCTCTTGTTGCTTGCATAGTTCTGAGGTAAACCCAGACATAAATCTAACTTTGCTCCTCTAGGGATAGAATTTTATTTCCCTCTGGCCTCTTTCAAGACATTTTTATGACACTGAAATTTCAATGTAATATGCCTTGAGGTCATTTTTGTTGTTTTTTTTAAAAAAGGTGGGTTTTTTTTTTCTTTTGGCATTTATCCCACTTGTTCTCTGAGTTTCTGGGATCTGTGGTTTGATGTCTAATGTTAGTTTGGGGAAATTTCAGTCACTAGCCTTTCAAATATTGCTTCACTTTTTCTTTCTTTCTTTCTTTCATTTTTCTTATCTTCCTGTGGCTCTTATTAAACACATGTTTATACATATGTTATACCTTTTGTAGTTACCTCACAGTTCTTTAGTGTTCTTTTCTATTTTCCTCAATCTTTTTTTTTACTTTATTTTTAGTTTTGGAGGTTACTTTTGATACATCCTCCAGCTCAGATATTTTTCCTCAGCTGCGTCCAGGCTACTAATAATCCCCTCAGAGATATTTATTATTTGTATTCCAGTATCTCTCTGTTTACATTGCTCATCTGTTTTTTCATACTGTATATTTTATTCATTATAAAAAAAAGATGTGATGTAGTTAAACCTTTAGTAATGTAGTGGTAATATTTGGGGATAGGGGAAGCATTCTGCAGTCTTATGATTAGGTCTCAGTCGATTAGTATGCTTGTGCTTCTGAACTATGAACTTCATGTGTGATTCTCATGTCTTTTTCCCTCTCCATTGGGTAGGATAGGATACCTAGAGTGGGCTCGAGTTGAGTATTTTCCTCCTCCTAAGTGGGAGTCTAGAGCCAGTTAGAGATGGGTGCTTTGGTTCCTTGGGACCAGTTAGGCTCTAATAAAACCCAATCAGGTTGATACCTGGTTAAATAACTTCTCCTGAGAGAAGAACATAAGAAGAACAGAATGGTCTAATGTATTTCAAAATAATTTCTCTTCTTGTTGGCCTGCTCTAAGAAATATTGTACTGTTTCTGTTGTTCACTGTGAGAACCTGGTAGCACTCCTGAAGGTAAAACTCGCAAAAGTACAAAGGTCCCATCTCCACCTTCAATCTTCCTGGAGTTCTCATTTCTCAGATTTATTCATGCTGGACCTGCAGCAATTCATCAATTAAAGTTCAGGTTTTCCTGTTCTGGCACTGCTTCTTGCAGGGATTTCAGCTTCTGGGTTTCTGCTCCATTAAGCTGTGATTCTCTGTATTCATCTATCACTCTCTCCAATTTTGGGGACAATGGTTTGCCCTGGAACCAAATTTCTCTTATGGATTTAAGAAGAGTTGTTGATTTTTTTCAATTATTTTATCTTTATTTTTTGCTTTTTCCTTCTTTTAAGAATGGAGGGGCAACTTTCAAGCTTCTTACATATTACATAGGAAACCAGAAGTCTTGAATGCCTTTTATTTCTTTTTCTTACATAATTTTACCGACTAGAACTTCCAGTGCAATCTTGAGGAGAAAAGCAAGAGCAGACATTCTTATTGTAATGTTGTGATACTAAAGGGCATATTAGTCTTCTCTAATTGCCATAACAAAATACTACAGACTGGGTGGCTTACCCAACAGACATTTATTGTCTCCCAGTTCTTGACACTAGAAGTCTGCAATCAATATACTGGCAAATTTGGTTTCTGGTGAGGACCCTTTCCCTGGCTTGTAAATGAGTACCTTCATCCTAAGTTCTCACTCTCTGCTGACATGAAGAAAAAGAGATCTCTGATGTCTTTTTCCTTGTTTTATAAGGATGCTAGTCCTCTTGGATGGATGAGAACCTCACCGCTGACCTCGTTTAACATTGATTACATCCCTAAAGACCCTATCTTCAAATAAAGTCACATTGAGGGTTAGAGCTTCAACATATACATTTTAGGGGAAAACAATTAAGTCCATAACAGAGAGAAAGCTTTCATTTTCAGGTTTGTACATACTCTTTATCACATTGAGGAAATTCCTTTCCATTCCTAGTTTTTAAAGGGTTTTTATTGTGGAAACACTGAACTTTCTCAAATGCTTTTTTTTTTTTTTTTTTTTTTAATATCCTACTTGGACATGATGTATATTCTTCTTAAAATGCTGTTGGATTTGGTTTGCTAATATCTTATAAGCAAGAAAATAGATGTATTTGTCTTCTTATAAGACAACAAGGGAGATTTTGTCTTATAAGGACAATGATAATCAGGGAGATTTTCATGTTTATTTATAGGGCATATTGGTCATTAGCTTTATTTTCTTATAATGTCTTGGTTTGGCTTTGGTAATTTTGACCTCAAAGAAATGAATTAGAAGATGTTCTCTCTTCTTCTATTTTTTGGACAAGTTTGAAAAGGATTGGTTTAAATCTTCTTTAAAATTTGGCAGAATTCCTATGTGAAACCATCTGGTTCTGATCCTTGGTCCTAGTTGTTGGCTTTTGTTTTTCTTTTTGTTGTTAATTACTAATGTAAGCTTTTTACTTATTCATACTTTCTATTTCTCCTTGAGTCAGATTTGGTTTCTAGGAATTTTTCCATTTCATATAGGTTATCTAATCTTTTGTTATAAAATTGTTCATATTATTATTTTATAACCTTTTTTTTGGGAAAAAGAGAAATGGGGTCTCACTATATTGTCCAGACTGGTCTCAAACTCCTGGCTTCAAGTGATCCTCCTGTCTCAGCCTCTGTTTTACAATCCATTTTCTTGCTGTTAGGCTAGTAGTAGTGTTCCTGCTTTCAGTACTGATTTTAGTAAATTTAGTTGTCTCTCTTTTTCTCTTGGTCAGTCTTGCCTAAGTTCCTCAATTTTATTGATTTTTATTAAAAGAACAAAATTTGTATCTCATTGATCTTCTCTACTGATTTCCTACTTTCTATCAACTTGTGCATTTTAATCTTTATTATTTTTATTATTTTATTATTTATTATTTTCTTCCTTTTTCTAGATTTTAGTTTACTTTTTTCCTTTTTCTATTTTTTTGAGGTGGATAGTTAGGTCACTGTTTTGAGATCTTTCTTCTGAATGCCTTCTAAAGGTAAATGTTTGGATTATAATACTTAAGGTAAGTGTTTCTCCTTGAGCGACTACTATTGCTGCATCCCGTATGTTTTCATATGTTGTATTTTGATTTTTATTTGCCTCAAAGTTTTTTCTAATTTACCTTATAATTTCTTCTTTGATTATTGGCTATTTAAGAATGTAATATTTAATTTCAACATATTTGTAAATTTTTCTAATTTTCTTCTGTTATTTCTAATTTAATTCTACATTATCCAGAGAAATTGTACTGAATAATTTAAATCTGTTTGAGCTTTTTGAGACTTGTCTTGTGGCCAAAGAAATGGTCTATCCTAGAGAATGTTTCATGCACAGTTGAAAACAATGTATATTTTGTTATTCCTGTGTGTAGTATTCAGTAGTTGCCTATTTGGTATAGTTAGGTTTTAATGTTGCTGAAGTCTTCTATTTTCTTGCTTATAATATGTTCAGTTCTGTTATCCATTATTGAAGCACTGCTAGTATTTACTTAATAAATTTTGAGTCTATCTTATTAGATGCATATATGTTCATAAATGGTATATGTTTTTTATGGTTGGCTCTTTAATCATTATATAATATCCTCTGTCTGTATAAAATCTTAAAGTCTATTTTGTTTGATAATAATATTGCCACACCAACTCTCTTTTGGTTGATCTTTTCAGGAAATATTGTTCTATCTTTTTACTGTCTATCAATTTGTGTTTCAATGCAAAGAATGTCTCCTGTAGACAGCATATAGTTTGGTTCATGTCTTCTTATCTGTCCTGCCAAACTCTGCCTTTAATTGAATAATCTATTTACATCTAATATAATTACTGATAAGGATAAAATTAATTCCAAACTTAATTTGGATAGTATGGAAACCTTTTATTTGTATAGCTACAACTGCATTTTTTGTTGTCATTGTCACAAATTAAATCTTTATACAGCATCCATCAACAGAGATGTATAATTATTGTTTTATGCAGTAGCCATATAAGTCAGATTGGAAACAAAAAGAATTACAAATAAGAAATTCATTAATAGTGACTTTTAGATTCACCTATGGTGTTACCTTAACCAGTGCTCTTTATTTCTTCATGCTTTGCATTATTTCTTTCTACAGCTGAATAATAATCCATTGTTTGTATATATCACATTATATATATCAATTTTTCTGTTTATAGACACGAGTTTTTTCTACATTCTGCCTCTTGTATATAGTGTTACAATAAACATTGGTGTACAAGTGTCTGTTTGAATCTCTTTCCTCAGTTCTTTTTGGAATATACTTAGGAGTAAAATTACTGTATCAAATGGTACCTCGGTCTCTAGTTTTTTGAAAACCACCAAACTGTTTTCATGGTGGCTGCACCATTTTCCATTCCCACCAACAATGTAGGACAATTCCAAATTTTCTACATCCTTAACAACATTTGTAATTTTTATGTTATTCTTTTAAATTATAGACAACCTAGTAGAAGTTAAGTAGACCTTATTGTACTACTGCACTATACTACTAGTGTATTGCCATTTCCCTAATAACTAATGATATTGAGCATCTTTTCATGTGTTTATTGGCCATTCGAATAGCTTCACTGGAGAAATGTCTATTCAAGTACTTTTCCCATGGTTTGAATTTGATTACTTTCTAATTGAGAAGTAAGAGTTACTTACATAGTAAGCCCTTTTTTGATATATGATTCACAAGTATTTCCTTGGATTATATAGGTAATATTTTTATTTATTGATAAAGTTATTTTATGCACAATAATTTTTCATTGATATTGAGTCTAATTTATCTAATTTATCTATTTGTTGTTGTTGTTGCTGCTGAGCATTATTCTGGTGTCTAGAATTTCCACTGACAAATTCAAAGTCATTCAGATTTATCCCTTTTATATATAGGTCATTAAGCCATTTTGAGATAATTTTTAACATATGGTTTGAAGTAAGATTCCAACTTCATCTCTTGCATGTAAAATCCAACCATCCCAGCACCATTTATTGAAAGGACTGTTCTTACCCCATTGAATGAACTTAGCAGCATTGTCAAAAATCAATTAACAATAGATAATATGAGTTTATTTCTGGACTCTCTTTTGAAATTTTTATTTCTTTATTGATATTGTCTATTTGATAAGATTATTTTTATGGCTTCATTTAGTTGTTCAAATATGGTTTCCTTTAGCTTTTTAAAACATATTTAATATACTTGATTTAAAATCTTTGCCTAAAAAGTCCAATACTTGGGCTTCCTAACAGAAAGGTTCTATTAATTGCTTTTCTTCCTTGTGTACTGCCCATAATTTCTTCTTCCTTTGCATGTTTTCTTTGTTGTTGTTGTTTTTGTTGTTGAAAACTGAACATTTGGGATATAATAATGTGGACACTCCCAAATTAAGATTCCCTTCTGTCCCAAGGTTTCTTCCAACAATTGTTTTATTTTTTGCTACTTGTTTATTCAGAGACATTTCATGAACAAATGTTATGAAGGCTGTATTCTTTATTTTATGTATTCACTGAACTATCTGTTATTTTAACTTAATGATCAGCTTGTTATTGGACAGAAATTTTCCTGAATGCCTGAAGTCAAAACAAACAAAAAACCAAATTCACACTCTCTGTAAACTACTTCTCTGTATGTATTGGGACACACAATGAACACTTAGCCAGGTAGTTCACAACTCTGTTTTAGCCTTTACTTTCTGCTTGTGTGAAACCTTAAGGTCAACCAGAGTTGAGATCAAGACCTTCTAAGATCCTTCTGAAGCATGTGCACAGACTTGGGCATATTTTTGGCCTTCTCAATTCCCAGAAATGTCTTAGATCTTTTCAAAATCCTTATTCCCCAAAGCATCCCATTTACCAGTCTTTCTCCTAAGCTTTTGGTTAATCTATGTTTGCTTCAACTGTTATCCATTGACCCCGGCAACAATGAATATATGTTTACCTATAAATGCTTCTTCCAAACACTCCTTGGTAGCTGACTCAGCATCAAGAGAGTTCCAAGTAAGGAAAAATAAATGTAAACTCTTAAACTGATCCTACAGGGACCAGGTAGATAAAAAAAAAAAAAAGTGTCAAAATTCCTTACAAATTAAATCTGGCATGTTTTTCCCAGTACTTTTATCAAGAATCTGGGTTGTTAGGGGACAATCTTCAGGGCCACTGCTGAGTGGGGAAGAGGTGCACGGGACTAGGGTTACTTAGAACACCACAGATCTCACTGTTCTTTCTGATATACAGCTGTTTTTGGTTTTGGTTTTGTTTTATTAAGTATTCCATGATTGCTTCAGGCTTTGGTCCTTTTCCAGAGCTCCAAAAAAGTTGATTCTGGCAACTTTCTGCTTGCTTTTATGGAGTAACAGACTTTTGAATTTGCTTACTCCACCACGTTTGCTGATGTCACTCTGAACAGTCAACTATTTTTTAAAGAGCTTTAAAATAAGAAAGATGTCTTGTAATTATTCATGTGATTAGCATTTTTGGGGTTCTTTATTCTTTGTGTACATCTGTAGTTTCATTAGAATCATTTTTCTTTTAGCTTTATAAACGCCTTAATATGTCTTATAGTGTAATCTTTGCTCAATAAATTCGTGAATCTTTTGTCTAACAAAGTTATTATTTGCCTTCAATTTTGAAATGTTTTTAGCTGAGTAAAAAACTCTAAGTTGGCAATGTCCTTTCTTATTATTTTAAAGATGTTGCTTGACTATACCATTATTTTCAATGAAACATCTGCTGACTTGCCTGTTCCTTTTTATTAACATGCATTTTTTCTCTGTATATTTTTAAGAATTTTTTATCCATTTTATGGGTATATTAGTTATGACTTGATTTAGTTTACATCATTTTTCTTGTAATCAGGGTTCATTATTATTCTTAGAACTAAAGGTATAATTTTTGTCAAATTTGACATTTTTTCAGCTTTTTTTTCAAATATTTTTCTATCACCCCAGCTTTTTTCTCTTCATTTAGTACTCCAAATTCATGTAGACAGTTCCCAACTTATTATAGTTCTATTTAAGATTTTTCAACTTTAAGATGGGTTTATTCGGATGTAACCTCTTCATAAGTTCAGGCACTTCTGTGTTTATTACGATGGTTAGACTTAAAATTTCTTGACTTTAAGATGGATTATCAGGGTATTAAATGCATTTTCCAGTTGCAATGAGTTTATCAGGACATAGCCCCATCATAAGTCAAGGACCTTTGTATATTAGGTTGCTTGACGTTGCCCCTCAGCTCAACATTTTTAATATTTTTTCAATCTGTTCATTTTCTAAAGATTATTTTTGGTCTTTAGTTTTGTTAGTTTCTATTGCTATGTCTTCAGATTCACTAATATTTTCTTCTGCCCTGTCTAATCTTCTATTATTTATCTACTATGTTTTTTATCTTGGACTTTGAAGTTTTTGTCTTTAGAATTTGATCTGTCTATATTTTACAATTTGACTACTTAATATTTGAAATATAGAAGATGTAGACATAATATATATGTTGATCATCTTCTTTGTTAATCCTAACATCTATTTCAGTTCTTTTTTGATTTATCAACGTTTTCTCTTCTAGTCTTTTTGGAAGATTCTTTTCCCAAGCTCAGTACTGATCAATATTCAGTTGAATATTTGAGGAGGATACTTCAGAGTCCTCTGTCTCTGCAGCTCTCTCCTACTTGGTATTCCCTAATAATTCTAATTGCATTGGTATTCCCAGGCTCCATAGTCCATCTTCTCAATTTAAGGAGTAAGCTGGGGTGTTATGTATCCCTTTCCTTGTGCTATAGAGAGAAATTCTTTCAGGCAGTATACAGAAAAAATTTGAGGGATAATATCATTTTTGTTAGACCCTCAGGAATAGCTGTCATTAATTGCCTATCTCCAGTGTGTTGAAAAAACTGTCTCCTGTCCAGTTTTTTCATTAGTTTGACTAGGGCATTTTGCTTATTTCCTGTTAGTCCATCTTGGCTAGAAGCATAATTGGCAACTTTTAATGTAATAGCTAAATTATATACTAGCAAGAAAACAATCTTTTAATGTGCTACAAAGTAGAAAATTAAGAAATATATGATTAAATATTCAGAGAAGAAAGTGGAAAAAGATAAAGATAGAAAGGAAGTATATTAAAAGATTATAATTGTAGTGTTTAAGTAGCCTGTTTATTGTAACATTTCCCTTTTTTTCTCTTTCCAAATTTTCTCCAAGAAGCAGGTGTAAGTAAATTGTATGTGTATAGTGAACTTCTCTTTTTTTTTTTTTTTTTTTTTTTCTGAAAATAAATGTAGAATGGGTTTTGACATTATTTTATTTGGAAATTAAAGCTAAAACAGAACCCAAATCTCCTGACTTCCATTACAGTAGTTTGCCTGAGGTTGCAAAAGGGTCTAATAAGGAAGATCTGTACTACGCTTTTTGACAACACATTGAAGACACAGATCATAGCACTATGGCTCAAGATTATAATACCAAATATACGCAACAGAGACAGGTGCTACTCATCCTTACACTTCTCCTGCTCTTTCTTTTATTTATTTATTTTTTAAATATGAACATGTGTCACAATTTCCTGTCACGAGAGAGGCAGCCCTCTTGACACTTTCCTCTGTGGCTCCATTAGCTGCTTCCATCTCACCACTAAGGATGTGGAAGGAGCCATGGAAACTCTCATCCTGGAGCCCACAGGTCCCTTCCTAGGCCTGGCTCACTGTAAAGTATGGGGGTACCATGATTACAAAAGGGGTGTGCTTCTGAGGCCAGGTAGATTTGGTGCCTTCTAGAACTCTATGTGCTCTCACACAGGTGATGAGATACCTGCTGCTTTTCAGAGAACTTGATTGCAATGGCTGGGTGGGAGAGGTATGAACAGAGATGGGTTCGCCCTGGGGGAGAGAATGGACAGAAGTGGGTTCACCCAAGGACCAAGATGGGCTGGCCCCAGAAGAGTGCAGACAGATAAGAGAAGGGCTCCACATGGGGTTTTAGGCCCACAAGGTCTCATGACCTGCCAGGGCCTGGGGCCAGGGACCACTAGGGCTCATGTCCAACTGTGCAGCTGCTCCTGGGGGCCCTTGGCCATTGGCAACCCCTAAGCCACCTCCCCATGATGTGTGGCCTACCCCCCATCCTTTATTTCTTTCTTTTCTCCCACCACCACAAATTTGCAGTGGAGCTTCCTATATTTGGGAAAATGGCAGGGGTCAGCACAATCAGAGGGCTAATCCTCGTCCTGGGAAAACCATGGTATCTCCCCTGCCAGGCAAATATTGCTCACTCTTAACTGTCATGGTACACGCAGCAGCCAGGCAGCTGACATAAAGCCACTCTGGTGTCTGCGTCCTCTTGGGGTCTTAGGATTCTCACAGGAACTCACTCTAGCCAAAGTTTTAGCACAACATTTCAGAAGCGGCTATTTTCTGGCCTGGCAGATATGATCCGTGCAGTGTTTTTTTCTAACCATTTTAAGCTCATGGAATGTTTCAGGATGGCCCACTGTGATGATGACTGATGGCTAGTCACTTTTGTAATGGAAACTGGGTCCCCTGTGCACTGGCTTAGCCCCATTAACATTTCTCAACCCTCCGTTGGATAGATTACTGACTCTTTTCATAAGCTTTCTGACCTTGTCTTTTTTTTTTTTTTTCTTATATCCCTTTATTAAATACACACACATACTTGCTCAAAATGGTAGCAATTATTTATATCAGTAGTTCTCAGCTGGGCATGATTTTGCCGCCAATGGACATTTGGCAATATTTGAAGGCAGTTTTACTTGTTACAGCTGGGAGGCACTACTGGTATCTAGTAAACTGAGGCTCTGCTACATATCTTTTTTTTTTTTTTTTTTTTTAATTTTTTTTTTTTATTATACTCTAAGTTTTAGGGTACATGTGCACATTGTGCAGGCTAGTTACATATGTATACATGTGCCATGCTGGTGCGCTGCACCCACTAACGTGTCATCTAGCATTAGGTATATCTCCCAATGCTATCCCTCCCCCCTCCCCCGACCCCACCACAGTCCCCAGAGTGTGATATTCCCCTTCCTGTGTCCATGTGATCTCATTGTTCAATTCCCACCTATGAGTGAGAGAATATGCGGTGTTTGGTTTTTTGTTCTTGTGATAGTTTACTGAGAATGATGCTTTCCAATTTCATCCATGTCCCTACAAAGGACATGAACTCATCATTTTTTATGGCTGCATAGTATTCCATGGTGTATATGTGCCACATTTTCTTAATCCAGTCTATCATTGTTGGACATTTGGGTTGGTTCCAAGTCTTTGCTATTGTGAATAGTGCCGCAATAAACATACGTGTGCATGTGTCTTTATAGCAGCATGATTTATAGTCCTTTGGGTATATACCCAGTAATGGGATGGCTGGGTCAAATGGTATTTCTAGTTCTAGATCCCTGAGGAATCGCCACACTGACTTCCACAATGGTTGAACTAGTTTACAGTCCCACCAACAGTGTAAAAGTGTTCCTATTTCTCGACATCCTCTCCAGCACCTGTTGTTTCCTGACTTTTTAATGATTGCCATTCTAACTCGTGTGAGATGATACTTTGAATGAAGTAATTGGATTTGCCAAGAGAATGCTTTAAAATTTAATCTTCTGTAAGAGCCCTTTAGTAGAGAAATATGGTGCAGATGAGGCAAACACTCTGCAATAGTTCTCATAGTAACCCAGGCACATTTCTTCCAGTAAATTGTTACTCTGGTCCTCATCATTTTGGCTTCTGTGACCTTACAAATATCCCTAGATGTGCTTTTTGCTATTTGTTTTATTTTACAAATTTGAAAAATAATATAAATATCTATGGCTAACTCTTTTTTGTTACTTTATTAAGGAGAATTACAAGATTGCATATGAAAATAACTGATGAATAAGATGTCTCATTCAAGGGCATATAACAACTTTGTGTAACACTGATTATGGTTAATTTTCACTGATAACTTGCTTTTATATTTAATGTGACTAAATTATGCAATGTGACTTTTTGAATATCATTTTAAGCACCTTTGAATTAATAGACCTATATTATCTATGAGTTTCCTGAGCCTTAAATTTTAAGAACATGCATAAAAATTCTATCAATAATTTTTAGCATCCCTAACTTTTAATTTTTTCTCAAAGAAAATGCATGTATACTTTGACCTCTGCTCTGTGGTGTGTTGCATCAGCTTCTTTCATTGTTATTCCCCAAGTGCCTGATTGATCATGCCCAAATGGCAGCAGGTCAGTTAGCTGCAGCTGGAAGTCAGTAGATTGATTCTCATCTCCCACTCCAATATTCTCTGACCTTGACTCATTTAATTATAGGTTATTGGAATACAAAGTTGACAGAATTATTTGCTGTAAATTAAATGTAGAGAGATTATATGTAGAAAAATAGAATTAAAAAGACAATTGGCAAATTTCTATATGATTTCTATAAAATCAACTTAAAGTAATGTTTGCTCCAATTAAGTCCACAAACTCTGTTATCTCTTTTCATGTCTCTATTTACCCCTCCTTAGTTAAATAAAATGAAGTACCTATTAGAACAATGTGTGTAGGGTTCGCGATATTATCAGTGATAAACAGTTTATGGTAAAAACAATGTGCAACTTTGATCTACTAATACAAGTCATTCATTTATTCATTCATTCATTCAATATGTTTTTAGGCTCTGATATGTACAAGATCCTGTGCTTGACATTAGATATATATCATGCTGAACAAATTATATACAAACTCTGCCCTCAAAGTGGCTCTAATCCAGTGAAAAAACACAATTGCATGTTTTCAAATTGTTTATTTAGTTATCCATAAAGATATTTCTATTGTCTTTTAGGAGGCTTTCTGCCATAGTCTCATTGACGGAACCATCTGCACTCACTTGTTCGGTGTTTCCTGTCACATCATGGCCAGAGCTCAGATTTTTCCTTGTTGAGCCTTATTAGCCTATGTAGGAGTTAAAAGCAAGTCTAACTAAAAATTTTCACAAAAATGCCTTAATTTTGCTTCCTGAATTCATTAAAGGTTCAGAGTTCCTGTGGCTTCCTGAATCCAATAAAAGTTCAGAAATTTCTGTACTTCAGGATATTTCAGCAGTGTCTGCTTAGTCCTTTCTGCAAATCTAGTTTGTTTTTTCCCAATTCTCTGGCATATCAGAACACAGTATTTCACACAAATTGCCTAGAAATATATTTGCAATTTAAAATTCCAGACAGGCAGGCTTTGTTTACTTTAACCATTGTTAGGAAATTGTTTTAAAATATAGACTTTTCTTCCTCCTTAAATGGTATACACAAGGTTTTTTTCTTGTTGACTCAGAATGTGAACTTTACTTAGTGTTTTAAAATATATAATACCACATACTTTATTTTTATATTCTCAGTGATTATTTTTTTACCCATCTCTATCTTCTCTCTGTCTTTCTAGTTTGCTGACTTTTTTTTTTTTTTTTTGAGACAGAGTCTCGGTCTGTCGCCCAGGCTGGAGTGTAGTGGCGCGATCTCGGCTCACTGTAAGCTCAGCCTCCCGGGTTCACGCCATTCTCCTGCCTCAGCCTCCCGAGTAGCTGGAACTACAGGCGCCTGCCACCATGCCCGGCTAATTTTTTTTTTTTTGTATTTTTAGTAGAGACGGGGTCTCAATCTCCTGACCTCATGATCAGCACGCCTCAGGCTCCCAAAGTGCTGGGATTACAGGCGTGAGCCACCGCACCCAGCCTGCTGAGTTTTATGTACTATAGGCTATAAAAACTCTCTTCAAATTTTTGAAGTTATAGAGCGTAAGTAAAAGTAAATTTAGCTCTGGGTTAAAAATCTAAGGGTTTCTTTTTATGTCACAAAAGACAGTGCTAGAGAAAAGCAGTTTCATAATGTTACATGCTCCCAGGGATTACTCAAATCTGACCTCTGAGTAAATCAGAAGTAGTATTTGGGAAAATTTTAGTGCTTTACATACTATACTCTGGTTGTAAATGTCAACACATGAAATCTAGGATAGACATAATTAATTTTTCTATTTATTATTTCTTTAAGCAGCCATATTTTGAGATTCTCCTATGTACCTGAATCTTCAGAGAGCACAGGTGAGTGGATTCAAAGATATGATACATTAGCTATCTTTGATTGTACAATGCATTCATAGTTGAGGAGGTGAATAATGGATAATGTTTCAGCAGTTATTTATTTGTTTTTTTAAAACTGGGCTTTAGGCCAGACACAGTGGCTCACGCCTGTAATCCCAGCACTTTGGGAGGCCGAGTTGGGTGGATCACCTGAGGTCAGGAGTTCGAGACCAGCCTGGCCAACATGGTGAAACCCCGTCTCTACTGAAAATACAAAAATTAGCTGGGCATGGTGGTGGGCGCCTGTAATCCCAGCTACTCAGGAGGCTGAGGCAGGAGAATTGCTTGAACCAGGGAGGCAGAGGTTGCAGTGAGCCAAGATCTCGCTACTACACTCCAGTCTCGGTGACAAGAGAAAAACTCCGTTTAAAAAAAAAAAGGCTTTAGATATAAATATGAGATTCAGATGGAAAAACAATAAAGAAACCACATTGAAAATGGTCAACTTAGGGACTAGATAATAATTTGTAATATAAGGTGCATGAAAAAGAAAACAAAATACTATATAGAAAATGGAAATAGAAAACAGTTTTAGAACAGGACATGAAGAATGAGATATCAAGATAAGGAGATTAGAATTTTCCCTGTAGGAAACGGGGTTTTAATCAAGAAAGTGATAAGATCACATTTGTTCTGGAAATATAACTCTGAAGATAGTACCTCAAGTAATTATTATTTCAATGGATTAACATAATTTTTTAACTGATAGAAAACAATAAATATATTTTTAAATCCATCCTTATAATTACATATTACTTCTTTAGGAAATAGATATTGCCTATATTCTATATGGATCTTGTTTGCCAGCCACCAACTTGAAAACTCTTAAATAGCTCTTGGCAGAGTTTCCAAAAATGACTAACAGAAGCCAGACATCCAGAAAATGCATGTCTTTTTTGATTTCCCTAAGTCTCGGGTAGGTGGTAATCTCATATAATTTCTCAGAAAAACCTGCTCACTCAGAGTGTTTATAAATTTGCCATATGGTATTTAAAACCTCAAGTCAAAGTAGTGTTGGAAATCGTATAGACAGAACCAGAGCATGCTGGTTAATGCTGTTCTCCATTCAGGAACCATGGAGATTTCTTTGGGTGCCAAAAGCTGAAGCCAAAGAACCTTAATATTTGACTTTTACTCTTTTGTTTTTAATCAGCTGCACAAACCAAGAATTGCATTAGAGCCTAGAGGTTTTTCTTCCTCACATAAAAATTAAACATAGAAACATAATTTTTCCAAATCTACCCCATACCAGAATGCTTCCAAACTAATTTATGTAGAGCTATGTCTATTCATGTGCCTAATTATCTTCACTGATTATTTGCAGGTGTCAATGAATGAGAAGCCAGGGAATGGGTCCATTGGCTTATAATAAATATTGAAATGACTTGTAAAATGTACTGTGATTGTGACACGTGATTAAAAAAGGAAAATATAAATATTTGTGTAATTTCTCTCAAAATGCCTTTATACAACAAAGATTATACATGCAAAAACTACAGAACTTCTTCTGATCATTGGATAAAAGAAATCTGTGATGGAAGATGGTCTGAGATTAGGGGGACTCAATTTCTTCCCTCATGAATAGAAAATACATTTACATTATGTCATATGAAATTATTGAACAGCTGCTTGGAAAGAGAGAAAAACAAGAACACCAGCCTGCCAAGGGGATGCAGTGCTGACATGAGATCAGATGCATAGAGTAAACAGAAATGGCATTCAGGAAGGGTGATAAGCAATCAAGTAAAGACCAAAGTGAGATGCTCTGACCTTATATTTAGCATCCGTGCCAAATTAGCATAGCTGTGCAGTGTACTAGAAAATTAAGTGGAAAAAAAGGACAAAGTAAGTGTAAAATCAAAGCAGAAGTTGCACATGTTTGGAATATCTAAAATAATTATGCTCTTTCATATCCAGAGGGCTACACTGTGGTCAGCTCATCTTTTCATGGGGAGCCACAGGTTCAAAAGAAAATACAATGAGCTTGACCTATACTAATTAAACAGCAGCAGTTTACTCTCTCTGGGTCTTGGCCTAGATGAGTCTGAGTGGTCTCGGGGTAAAGAGGTGACTTGAAGAGAGGAACAAAGAACCTTAGCTTTATTCATTATGCTACCCTCATTTTCTTTCCTGCTCAGCCACAGATCATTAACTCAGCAAGTTTTCTTTCCACACACCGAGAGACTGCTATACCCAGTTTAACATATATGGAGTCTTGTGATTTGTCAGAAAGCTGCAAAGGTAGAAAAACATGAGGTAAATCAGTCTTTTGTGCTCTATTTTTTCACCAATATGCTAATCATTCCTTAAGAGTATGTAAATGAATTTATCATATGCCCTAGAGCTTCCTGAAGTAAGTTATTTGAGCAGAGGTAATTTACTTCAAAAGAGAAGGAGCAAGATTCTTTTTATTTGTCTTTTAGTCTTAACATTAAATCAAAGCTATTCGGAGAGGTGAAAAGAAAATTAAGATGCTGTTCTATAAAAGTAGTGGATACCAAGTTCAAATCTGATCGCAGAAAACGGCACAGCACAGAGAATGTTTCAAAATAATTAACAGCTGTGGCTATCTTTCTAACAAACTTAGAAAGATATGTTAGAAATCCCTTAGCAGATTGCCACCTGTTCTCTTGCAGCTGGCTCCTATGGAAAAAAAAATCATAATGAGTGTAATCAGTTCTCTTTCCCAGCGTCCTAACATAACAATGAAGTCTGCAAGGGCTACCTACCAAGACAGCATAAACTTATTATCTGTGCCCAGATCTTTTTATTTTTTAGGAGATCAACTAATCACAGTCAGTTTTTCTCAGCAGGAATCATAGAAATTGTTTACACTTGGAAAAAGAAAGAGACTAACATCCTGGAGCCAAATTTGTAAGAGGTCCACATTCTGGGGTCCCACTGGGCAAATGCATCCTCCAGCAACATCTGGTTTCTCCTAAGTTTCCTCTTTTCTTCACACTACTAGTGCTTACTCCTGAGAAATTCAAGTGTGTTCAAAAGTAAAAGGGAACAAAGGCAGATCTATATATGGGCTCTGCACTCCAACATTATTTATGTTATAAATAGTCAGAGAATCTTGTGATTGTCATGATTAGGAACTACCATAAAACTCAATACCTTTTGCTTTCTTATCTTTTTTCCAAGAACTGTGATGTCTCTTTTTATTAATTATGCAAGAAACTTTCTGCTTACTTTTCTTTCTCCCTTCAATCTGGATGTTAGAAACACTCATCTAGACGTGTCTGTCACAGGAGCCTAAATGCTCAACATCTCCTTCTGGCAGATGTGTCCCTGCCTGTGGACTCCTGATCAGCAAAAGGGTGTTAGATCAATCTTTATATTTGTCTAACCACCGAATAAATCAGCAGACCCCTACATGCCTATCCCTGATGTGGCCTATGGGAAGGTTCTTTTCAATTAATTAATAATAATATCTGTCATTGATTTGGACTGGAAAATGCAAAGATAAGTGCTGGTAGAGACAGAATGAATGAAGAATGAAAAAGAGGCTGAATAGATTATGAAAAAGAAATCAGAAAATTGAGAGCAGGAGAGAAAAGGGAAGAACAGTTTCTGGACCTGCCTTGAATCTAGATCTCTTCTATTCTAATCTACTTAAGTAATAAAACTTTATAATAAACCCTGTTTTTTTCCATAACATGTATAACTGTTTTTTCTCTCATGAACATAATACAGGAAATATATTAACAGTGCCTATACACCAGGATATTTAAAATATATATACTTTATTTTGCATAATCCTATTCACTCACTGTTTCAGTTCTTTTTCCAAGAAACTCCTAAGGAAGCTTTTTTTCTTTCTTTCTTTTTTTTTTTTTTTTTTTTCAAAAAGCTCTTATTGAAGCCCTTAGGGCAGTGATCCTCAAAGTATAGCTCTGAGACCAGTCCCATGAGCATCACCTGGAAACATGCTGGAAATGCAAATTTCCAAGCCCAACTCCATACATACAAATTTCCAAGCCCAACTCCCCACATCCATAGGATGTGGATAAACTAGAATAGAAACTTCGTGTGGGTGGGGCCCCAAAACCTGTTTTTTCAGCAAACTCTTCTGTACTTGGACCCTCCTACAAACTAAAATTTGAGAGCAACAGCAATATGACATTGAAAATTATGGGACTATATCATCTCTATGTTCTAAGTTTAAAAAGAATATGTGGACTGAATTACATTAACTGTTAAATGTATTAAAAAGTGGTTTACTCAATCAAAAATTTACTGAACAATACCTAATTCAAGGTAGTGAATTAAGGTTAAGAAAATCATGAAAATAGTAGTCACAGCCAGGTAGAGGAAGCTGTGCCTGTAATTGCAGCAATTTGGGAGGCCAAGGTGGGAGGATCACTTGAGCCCATGAGTTGGACATCAGCCTGTCAACATACTGAGACTCTTATCTCTACAAAAATAAAACATTAGCTGGGCATGGTGGTGCATGAATGCAGTCCTAGCTACTTGGGATGCTGAGGCTGGAGAACAACTTGAGCCTAGGATTTTGAGGCTGCACTGAGCTCTTATTGTACCACTGGACTCCAGCCTGAGTGAAAGAGTGAGACTCTGTCAGAAGAAAAAAAAGAAAGGAGGAGAAGGAGGAAGAGAAGGAAAAAGAAGGAGGAGGAGGAAGAGGAGGAGGAGAGGAGAAGAAAAGGAAGAGAAGAGGAGAAGAAAAGGAAAAGGAGAGGAGAAGAAAAGGAAAAGGAGAGGAGAAAAGAGAAAAGAGAGAGAGAAAGAAGAAAAAGAAAGAAAGAAAGAGAAAGAAAGGGCTACATATGATGATATATTTGAAAATAGACATATTTACCAAGTTTTAGTGCATGCAGAAGAAGTCATTATAGATGTCAAGGAGATGGAATCTGAGCAGAGAAAAAGCAATTTCTATGCACATAGCAAATTGTTATACTATACGTCGTGGCAGCTAGTAGTATTTTCCCAGCAAGTGATAGGATAATCTGGAGAGCAATTTTTCTTTATCATGACACATGATTGCAGAACCAATGCAGTATGTCTTCCAATTTTTTACCAACTACTTTGTGCTTCAAATCAGAAAGATTTAAGTAATATTGAGATCTAACCAGAGTTCATATCAATAGCTTTCTTATGGAACCAGTGTACAATTAGAAACTCCATGATATTTAAGAAGAAATTCTATGTATACTACCTTCAAGATACCATATCTGTTGGGAGCTGAAAAGGCCAAAGGGATTGTGACCAACTCAGCATTTCACTGGAGGCTATATGATCAAACAGCAAACTGTTTATCATGAATGCAGGATGTGGGCAAGTTCACAACTGTGCCTGCCACCAGGAGGTTTGCTGAGGGCGGTCACTCCCTGGCGCCTGGCCCCTTGAGGTTATCTACTGGGACATCTAGAGGCTATTGTTCAAGGCATGCAGTCTTGGACCGAGCAGCTGACCTCTTCTTCCACCCCCACTTCTCACAATCTCTTTTGCCTGATAAATATGGAGAGCTGTGTAAAGCTCAGGACCCTTGTCTACTAGAGGCAAGGTGCTCCCTGACCGCTTCTTCTAAACATACTCTTTTGTCTTTTGTCTTTATGCCCACATTTGTCAACCTTTGTTAAGTCCCCCAAGATCCATGCAGGTAACAAGTGGTGCCCCAGAACAGGGACTCTGAGGACGTCGACAAGTGACGTCTGAACACAGGGACTTCAAGGATTTGAATGAAGAACGTCTGCTGGAGCAGATAAACTGAAATTGACAAGGCGAACGGGGACCCCAGGATGAATCTACAAGCAGTGGATATAAGGTCAGTGCCCTAAAGAGGTACTGGGAACAGTGCTTTAAAGAAGTACTGGGAACGGGAAGTTTTCTGAATCAAGGTAACATGGGGCAGAATTTGTCTACTGAAGAAAAACATTATGTGAAGTTGCTTAAAGTTTTGTTAAAACAAACTGGGGCTCAGGTTAGTTCTCAGACATTAACTAAGATGCTGCAGGAGGTTATTACACATAACCCATGGTTTCCACAGGCAGGCACTCTTGATGTGGAAAATTGGGACAGAGCAGGAGAAGGATTAAAATGGGCTCATCAAAAGGGTCTTAAAGTTGATTCTTCTGTTTTCCCCACTTGAAGTTTAATTCATACTGTACTTCTACCATTATCTCATTATTCTGTGGGACAGCAGGCTGAGTCTAAAAATCTGAAAGAATCTGTTGACCCACCCACAGCACCGATTGAAAATAAAAGACAGGAGAGAGAAGATAAAAATTGGCCTATACTGCCTCCTTCAGTTGCGGAAACATCTGTACTGCCTCCTTTGGTAGCAGAAATAGAGACCCCAATACAAAGAATTTTACACTCTGCTGCCATAGCTGGAGAGTCCTTAGGACCTTGTGCTTTTCCTGTTTCTGTAAGGACTGATCCAAATAATCCACAGCAGCTTATTCATGAACACACTCCACTAGAGTTTAAGTTGTTAAAGGAATTATAAGCAAGTGTAGTAAATAATGGCATACAGAGCCCATTCACTTTAGGATTGCTAGAATCTGTGTTCGGTGCTATGCGTCTTTTACCCTTTGATGTAAAACATTTGGCATAAACTTGCTTGTCTGCTAGTGCATATCTGACATGGAATTTAAATTGGCGAGAAATGTGTGCAGACCAGGCTAGAGAGAACCGTGATGCCAGACATGGAGACATTACAGAGGATATGCTATTGGGTAATAGCCCTTATTCAGACTGGAACATCAAATGGCACTCCCAGATGCTGTATCAGCAGTGTGCACAGGCTGCTAAACATGCCTGGACCACAATTCCAGAAGAGGGAGTCCCAGTACATCCTTTTTACATATTATGCAAGGGTCACAGGATCCCTATGTGCAATTTCTTGTAAGATTACAAGAGGCAGTGAAGCATCAGATTCCTCATGCCACTGCTGCAGAAATGCTAACCGTAACTTTAGCTTTTGATAATGCAAATGTGGATTGTAAACATGCACTGGCACCTGTGAGGTGTACAAAAAACTTGGGAAATTTTCTCAGAGCTTGTCAGAATGTAGGAACTGAGCTTCATCGCTCTTCAATGTTAACTGAAGCTGTGGGGAAAAGAAAGAGAGATTAGATTGTTACTGTGTCTATGTAGAGAAGGAAGATATAAGAAATTCCATTTTGATCTGTACTAAAATAAATTGTTCTGCTTTGAGATGCTGTTAATCTGTATCTTTAGCCCCAACCCTGTGCTCACAGAAACATGTGCTGTATTGAATCAAGGTTTAATGGATTTAGGGCTGTGCAGGATGTGCCTTGTTAGCAACATGTTTGCAGGCAGTATGCCTGGTAAAAGTCATCGCCATTCTCCATTCTCTATTTTTTTTAATTAATTAATTTATTTATTTATTGTTATACTTTAAGTTTTAGGGTACATGTGCACATTGTGCAGGTTAGTTACATACGTATACATGTGCCATGCTGGTGTGCTGCACCCACTAACTCCTCATCTAGCATTAGGTATATCTCCCAATGCTATCCCTCCCCGCTCCACCCACCCCACAACAGTCCCCAGAGTGTGATGTTCCCCTTCTTGTGTCCATGTGATCTCATTGTTCAGTTCCCACCTATGAGTGAGAATATGCGGTGTTTGGATTTTTGTTCTTGCGATAGTTTACTGAGAATGATGGTTTCCAATTTCATCCATGTCCCTACAAAGGACATGAACTCATCATTTTTTATGGCTGCATAGTATTCCATGGTGTATATGTGCCACATTTTCTTAATCCAGTCTATCACTGTTGGACATTTGGCTTGGTTCCAAGTCTTTGCTATTGTGAATAATGGTGCAATAAACATATGTGTGCATGTGTCTGTATAGCAGCATGATTTATAGTCCTTTGGGTGTATACCCAGTAATGGGATGGCTGGGTCAAATGGTATTTCTAGTTCTAGATCCCTGAGGAATCGCCACACCGACTTCCACAATGGTTGAACTAGTTTACAGTCCCACCAACAGTGTAAAAGTGTTCCTATTTCTCCACATCCTCTCCAGCACCTGTTATTTCCTGACTTTTTAATGATTGCCATTCTAACTGGTGTGAGATGGTATCTCATTGTGGTTTTGATTTGCATTTCTCTGATGGCCAGTGATGGTGAGCATTTTTTCATGTGTTTTTTGGCTGCATAAATGTCTTCTTTTGAGAAGTGTCTGTTCATGTCCTTCGCCCACTTTTTGATGGGGTTTTTTTTTTCTTGTAAATTTGTTTGAGTTCATTGTAGATTCTGGATATTAGCCCTTTGTCAGATGAGTAGGTTGCGAAAATTTTCTCCCATTTTGTAGGTTGCCTGTTCACTCTGATGGTAGTTTCTTTTGCTGTGCAGAAGCTCTTTAGTTTAATTAGATCCCATTTGTCAATTTTGGCTTTTGTTGCCATTGCTTTTGGTGTTTTAGACATGAAGTCCATGCCCATGCCTATGTCCTGAATGGTAATGCCTAGGTTTTCTTCTAGGGTTTTTATGGTTTTAGGTCTAACGTTTTAAGTCTTTAATCCATCTTGAATCGATTTTTGTATAAGGTGTAAGGAAGGGATCCAGTTTCAGCTTTCTACATATGGCTAGCCAGTTTTCCCAGCACCGTTTATTAAATAGGGAATCCTTTTCCCATTGCTTGTTTTTCTCAGGTTTGTCAAAGATCAGATAGTTGTAGATATGCGGCGTTATGATAAAGGGGATATCACCACCAATCCCACAGAAATACAAACTACCATCAGAGAATACTACAAACACCTCTACGCAAATAAACTAGAAAATCTAGAAGAAATGGATAAATTCCTTGACACATACACTCTCCCAAGACTAAACCAGGAAGAAGTTGAATCTCTGAATAGACCAATAACAGGATCTGAAATTGTGGCAATAATCAATAGCTTACCAACGAAAAAGAGTCCAGGACCAGATGGATTCACAGCCGAATTCTACCAGAGGTACAAGGAGGAACTGGTACCATTCCTTCTGAAACTATTCCAATCAATAGAAAAAGAGGGAATCCTCCCTACCTCATTTTATGAGGCCAGCATCATTCTGATACCAAAGCCGGGCAGAGACACAACCAAAAAAAGAGAATTTTAGACCAATATCTTTGATGAACATTGATGCAAAAATCCTCAATAAAATACTGGCAAAGCAAATCCAGAGCACATCAAAAAGCTTATCCACCATGATCAAGTGGGCTTCATCCCTGGGATGCAAGGCTGGTTCAATATACGCAAATCAATAAATGTAATCCAGCATATAAACAGAGCCAAAGACAAAAACCACATGATTATCTCAATAGATGCAGAAAAGGCCTTTGACAAAATTCAACAACCCTTCATGCTAAAAACTCTCAATAAATTAGGTATTGATGGGACATATTTCAAAATAATAAGAGCTATCTATGACAAACCCACAGCCAATATCATACTGAATGGGCAAAAACTGGAAGCATTCCCTTTGAAAACTGGCACAAGACAGGGATGCCCTCTCTCACCACTCCTATTCAACATAGTGTTGGAAGTTCTGGCCAGGGCAATTAGGCAGGAGAAGGAAATAAAGGTATTCAATTAGGAAAAGAGGAAGTCAAATTGTCCCTGTTTGCAGATGACATGACTGTATATCTAGAAAACCCCATTATCTCAGCCCAAAATCTCCTTAAGCTGATAAGCAACTTCAGCAAAGTCTCAGGATACAAAATCAATGTGCAAAAATCACAAGCATTCTTATACACCAACAACAGACAAACAGAGAGCCAAATCATGAGTGAACTCCCATTCACAGTTGCTTCAAAGAGAACAAAATACCTAGGAATCCAACTTACAAGGGATGTGAAGGACCTCTTCAAGGAGAACTACAAACCACTGCTCAAGGAAATAAAAGAGGATACAAACAAATGGAAGAACATTCCATGCTCATGGGTAGGAAGAATCAATATCGTGAAAATGGCCATACTGCCCAAGGTAATTTACAGATTCAATGCCATCCCCATTAAGCTACCAATGCTTTTCTTCACAGAATTGGAAAAAACTACTTTAAAGTTCATATGGAACCAAAAAACAGCCCGCATCGCCAAGTCAATCCTAAGCCAAAAGAACAAAGCTGGAGGCATCACACTACCTGACTTCAAACTATACTACAAGGCTACAGTAACCAAAACAGCATGGTACTGGTACCAAAACAGAGATATAGATCAATGGAACAGAACAGATCCCTCCATTCTCTATTAACCAGGGACAAAATGCACTGTGGAAAGCCGCAGGGACTTCTGCCCAAGAAAGCCTGGGTATTGTCTAAAGTTTCCCCCAACTCAGCCTGAGATATGGCCTTGTGGGAAAGGAAAGACGTTACATCCCCCAGCCCGACACCCGTGAAGGGTCTGTGCTGAGGAAGAGTAGTGAAAGAGGGAGGCCTCTTTCCAGTTGAGATAAGAGGAAGGCTTCTGTCTCCTGCTCATCCCTGGGAATGGAATGTCTCGGTGTAAAGCCGACCATTCATTCTATTCTGAGATAGGAGAAAACTGCCCTGTGGCTCTGAGGCAAGATATGCTGGCAGCAATACTGGTCTGCTACTCTTTGCTACACTGAGATGTTTGTGTAAAGTGAAACATAAATCTAGCCTATGTGCACATCCAGATACAGTACCTTTCCTTGAACTTATTCATAATACAGATTCCTTTGCTCACATGTTTCCTTGCTGACCATCTCCCCACCATCACCCTTTTGCCCTGCCATACTCCCTTCACCAAGATAGTAAAAATGGTGATCAATAAATACTGAGGGAACTCAGAGACCAGCACCAGTGCGGGTCCTCGCATGATGAATGCCAGTCCCCTGGGTCCACTTTTCTTCCTCTATACTTTGTCTCCATGTCTTATTTCTTTTCTCAGTCTCTTGTCTCCACCTGATGAGAAATACCCAAAGGTGTGGAGGGGCAGGCCCCCTTCAGAAGCAATGGCTAATTTAGGAGTTGACAAATCTAAGAAGAACCAAAGAGTAAGCCCTAAAGTGGGAAAATGTTATAATTGTGGAAAAACTGGACATTTTAAAAAGGAATGCTGCCAGATCCCAGGACAGAAGGGATCTTATAATGCAGTTCCCTCCCAAGTGGAAAAAACGCCAGGGCTCTGTCTTCGCTGTAACAAAGGAAATCACTGGGCTAATCAGTGCCGCTAAAAATTTCATCAGAATGGCACCTGGCCCCTCAAACAATGAAGGCATTCCCAGTTCAGACCACAACCCTGTTTCAGGGATGGGGGCACATTGATTCCCTCACCCCAGGAACACCAGGAAGTGCAGGATTAGATCTCCCTGCCAGAAAAGGGGTTACATTAGTTGGGGGAGACAAACCCACCAAGATTCCCATTGGCATCTCGGGACCTTTACCAGCAGGATACACGGATATATAGGACACTAATTTTAGGCAAAAACTGCCTTAAGTTGCAAGGCATTACTGTAGTCTCAGGAATTGTTGACTCCAATTATGAAGGAGAAATTCAAGTAGTTTTAATGTCACAAGATCTTTGGGTTTTTGAACTGGGAGAATATATTGCTCAATTATTGCTTATTCCCTGCAAATTGCATCCTTCTCCATGAAAGAAGAAATGAGGAAATAAAGGGTCTGGGAGCACAACTACATGAGAAATCTATTTATCACAACCTATAGCCTCTAATAGACCCACCTGTGTAATACAACTTAAAGGAAAGAAATTTTAGGGGCTTTTGGACACAGGAGCTGATATGTCAGTAATATCCAGTAAGGATTGGCCCCCAGCATGGCCTCTCAGACTAACCTCCACATCCCTAGTGTGAGTAGGAACAGATCAAAGCATTCAACAGAGTGATGAGATTTTACCTTGTCTTGGTCCAGATGGACAATCATGTACTTTTCAGCCTTATGTTGAAAATATAGCTATCAATTTATGGGGTTGAGGCTTACTTACAGCATGGGATATGAGACTTACAAGTGAAAACTTTGATAACCCAGGATTCAAAATGTTGAAGGACATGGGATATCAGAGTGGGAAAGGTTTAGGGAAATTCCTGCAAGGAAACCCTAACCCAATATCAGTAACTGGAAAGACAGGTTAAACTCTGCAAGGAGACTCTTCTTTAAATTCCCTGTGGCAATTAACTAAAGAGGCAGAAGCCAAATTTTGGCTTGTAGAGCAAACGTTAGAGCAGAGACATGCCTCATGGCTACAACCACAAAAACCTTTGCTTTTGTTTATACTTCCTGCCCCCCACTCTCCAACAGGACTTTTGGGCCAGTTCATAGACAAGTCTTTAACAGTAATAGAATGGCTCCTTCTACCTAATCAAACAGTCAAAACCTTGCAAGTTTATCATTCTTTAATTCCCAGCCAAGCTAGGGCTATAATACAAGCCTGTCCTACTTGCCAGCATGTCCCTGGAGCCACACCTGCAGAGGCTGTAACCCACGAGATTTGGCTCCAGATGAAATCTGGCAAATGGACATTACACACATAGCAATCTTTGGTAAGCTTAGCTATGTTCATGGGACTATAGACACTTAGTTTCATATGCTGCATGCTACATGCCAAATAGGTGAGACAGCTGGTCATGTACAGTGACATTGTCTTCATCATTTGCTCATATGGGGATACCTAAACAATTACGAACTGACAATGGACCCACTTATACTAGTCATGCTTTTCAAAATTTCTTACAGCTTTGGGCTATAACCCATAAAACAGGAATTCCTTATAATCCTAGAGAACAAGGCATTATAGAGGAGGCACATCAAATATTACAAGGCATGTTGAAAAGACAAAAAGGGGGTGTAGGGGGTCAACTATCACCTCAATCAAAACAACAGTTACCCTTATTTACTTTAAATTTTTTGACTCCTGGTAAGGATGGTAAGACTCTGGTAGAAAGACATTGGCAAGCGTTACAGGAAAAGAGGAAAGTTTATCCGAAAGTGTTATGGAAATCCCCAGAAGAAGGACAATGGAAAGGTCTGGTGGATTTACTGACACGAGGAAGAGGGTATGCTTGTGTTTTCACAGGAGATGGACAAACTCTGTGGGTGCTGTCAAGGTGTGTGCGACCAAGGAATGGGAGACTAGAGGAACCCAGGGTGGCCAACCATGGGCCCAGTCCCTCCAGTACAAGCCATGAGCCAGCTGAGCCTGAGTGCAAAGACAGAGAGAAGACCAACCAAAGTCATGACAACATCAACCCCCATAACCTGGGGACAACTCAAGAAAACCACGCAGGAAGCTGAGAAACTACTGGAGCATCAAGGCCAGACAAAAACCCCTGATTCCATATTCATGGCTATGTTAGCTATAATGTTCTGTGCAGTATGTTTTCCTTGTGCAGAGGCAAAAACATATTGGGCATATGTTCCCAATCCCCCAGTAGTATGACCTGTACTTTGGAGTGACACTCCTTCTGAGATTTATCATGATCAGGGAGCATGGGCTCCAGGACCCCTAACTCCCCCGACATAGAAAAGTTAGACTCTCAAAACAATATCATTAATTATACCGCTTCACTGGAAGGACTTCCTTTTGTATCACCACGAAGACTTCACTAAGCAAAGCTGTCTTACAATTCAAGCTGAAACACGGTTGAGTCACTATGGAAAAATCATGTGTTTATTAAATCTTGGTTGTATTAATATAACTGGTGTGCTAACCAACAATTCCAGGCCCAGTCACCCTAATTGTGCAGACTATATGGAATGGATTCCCTACAATAGTTCCTATCCCCCTCCATGGACAAAGTGTCTTGGGCCACTGGCTAGAAAACAATCTATGTTAACTGGAGACATTGTGGGTTGGGGACCTAAAGGTCAATTAGATGGAAAAGATGAAAATCAGAAATCATGGCACAAACTTCGCTGGCATGGGTGGCAAGATTTTAATGCTTCTTCTTTATACAACACTGGGATCCAATCCCAGCCTGCCACCCAGATTGCTTGGCATGGAGCAGGCTTTAGCCTGCCTCCTCCTCAGTGGCATTATCTCAGGAGGAAAGGACCAATTCAAGAGATGATCTGTAAGGCAGCACTCGCATTTATGAATGGCAACATCTGGGTTGGAATACTATCCAGTAATAGCAATAGGAAGTGACTATCTTACTATTCTTATGTTGCACTTGTAAAGAATATCACCACTCAATTTACAGTTTGTATTTTTAATCCTTATATCTTTTTGGCCGCTAAGAAGGACCAGCTCCAGGTAAACAATACCCAATTGACCTGTAAATCTTGCCAGTCATATTACTGCACTAATGTAACTCAACTTACTCATCATGTCCACAAAGCCTTAGGCATGATAATTTTTGCTATTGTTTCCTTGGTCGCACTAACAACTTCTGTTGTGATGTCCTCCATAGCTTTGCATAGTTCTGTTCAAACAGCTCAGTATGTGGAGAACTGGACATGCACAGCCAACCAAGCATGGGTACTTCAGAATAAAATTAACACTGAGTTACAAATTGAAGTGGCAATGTTAAAATCCATGGTTCTATTGTTAGGGGAACAAGTAGAAAGCTTGCAATTGCAGCAGTGATTTTGTTGTCCTTTTAATCACACTCATATTTGTGTAACCAACTTAGAATATAACCAAAGTGAGTATCCGTGGGACCTTGTGAAAGCCCATTTGCAGGGAGCTTCCACATCCAACATCACCTTTGATTCTAGTGAACTACAAAACAAAATTCTTGATTTAAATAAACAAGCTCAAGAGTTTCAGCCTTCTTTAGAAGACTGGACCCAATTCCAGCAAGGCCTGGAGAGCTTCAACCCTTGGACCTGTCTAAAGCACCACATTAACATCTTATATGTAGTTCTTGGAATAATGTTGTTTTGTCTCTGTCTTCTGTTCATAGTCTGTAAAATCAGATGAACTGCCAATCAGAGAATGAGAGCTATCCAGCCTGGCCTTAACATTCTTTCAATTAATACATAAACAAGAAGGGGGAGATTTTGGGAGCCAAAAAGGCCAAAGGAATCATGACCAACTCAGCATTCCACTGGAGGCTACATAATCAAACAGTAAACTATCATGAAGGCAGGATGTGGGCAAACTCACGACTGTGCCTGCCACCAGGAGGTTTGCTGAGGGTGGTCACTCCCTGGCGCCGGTCTCCTTGAGGTTATCTACTGTGACATCTAGAGCCTATTGTTAGAGGAATGCAGTCTTGCAAGCCTACTCTGGACCAAACAGCTGACCTCTTCTTCCACCCCCACTTCTCACCATCTCTTTTGCCTAATAAACACAGAGGGCTGGCAGGGTGAGGTGGCTCACGCCTGTAATCCCAGCACTTTGGGAGGCTGAGGCGGGCAGATCACGAGATCAGGAGATGGAGACCATCCTGGCTAACACGGTGAAACCACGTCTCTACTAAAAATACAAAAAATTAGCCGGGCATGATGGCGGGCGCCTGTAATCCCAGCTGCTCAGGAGGCTAAGGCAGGAGAATGGTGTGAACCTGTGAGGCGGAGGTTGCAGTGAGCCGAGATTGTGCCACTGCACTCCAGCCTGGGCAACAGTGCGACACTCCGTCTCAAAAAAAAAAAAAAAAAAAAAAAAAAAAACGGAGGGCTGTGTAAAGCTCAGGACCCTTGTCCACTAGAGGCAAGATGCCCCCTGACCCCTTCTTCCAAACATACTCTTTTGTCTGTTGTCTTTATTCTCATATTCTCAACCTTTTTTCCGTCCCCCAAGGTCCATGCAGGTAACACATATCCAAGAATATACTCATGTATTACTGCTTCCTTTGCAGTAATACCTTTGTCCTATCCACCATCATTTCTTATTGAAAACTTGCTTCCATGCTTCCAGACTTTCTTGCCTTTCATCTGTTTTCAACACAACAGCAAACATGGTCTTGTTAGAATGCAAGCCTGACCAGGCTGCTCCTGTCTGAAAACCCTCCTTTGGCTCTCCGTCTCAGAATCAGTCAGCATCTTTACAATGGCAAGCATGAACAGACTTCTGTTTCTAGTTGACCTCTACTGATAATTTTTCTCTTGCTCCTTCTCATTTCCCAAATGTGTCAGTCACTCTCCCATCTCAGGACAGTCCTCTTCCCCCAGCCTGAAATTCTTCTCCCCAGATATTGATAGAGCTCACTCTCTCATTTTCTTTAGAGATTTGCTCTAATGAAACTTTCTCAGCAAGGATTTCTCAGGCCACTCTATCTAAAATTGCAGGTCCTCCTGATATTTATACCCTCTCTTCTCTATTTTATTCTTCTCGTTATCACTTACTAATATCTAATATAATATGCAGGCTGCTTATTTATCTTGAGTATATCTGACTTCCTGTATTAAAGTGGAAAATCAATGAGGCTGAGGGTATTTGACTCTTCTTTTACTATTGTGTATGCAGCTCTTTTAGAACAGGGAACAGTGCCTGGCTATTGAAGACAAAAAGATACTTACGAACAGATGATTGGTATTAAAAGACTATGACTTTGTCTCCGAAGGTATGTCACTTAATACACTTTCCCTTATAACCTGCCCCAGCCTCACCCCAAAAAGAGAAAGAAACATAGACTTTATTCTCTCTTAGATATTCATAATTCACATTAATATATAAATAGCTAAGAAAAAAACTTTTCTTAACCCATTTTTGCCAAACTCATTTCATTATGGACAGTTTCTCCACCCATAAGATTTCCTATCATTCCAGAGCACACCTTGGGGTATGGTATTGCAGATGAATCTAACAAACCCTGTACGATACAGCCTACCATGCATAGTCATTTCCCTACCATGCGCAGTGCTCACAATGTTAGAGTGCTTATAATGAAGTAAAGATTTTGGTAATTGGGAATGGTTATTACCCATGCTTTAAAAACTAAGATGATGTTTCCAGTGCTGTCTTTGCCACATTTAGCAAGTATTAATAGTCAAGGGATATCAAAATAAAAACACTTGATCATTGTAGTCAAAGATTTTCACTGGTCTGCCTTAGCATTCAACATAAAATATATTTTGAGAAAAAAAAAATTTTTTTTTCCTGTAACGTTAAGACTCAGTGCCATCTCCTTTTTGCTGACGTTTTCTCATTTCTTTTTACCAATCTTTCTTTAATACTAAAGGTGATGCTTTGATGTGTTTATTGAGAACTACCTGCTTATGATTCTTTAGGAGTGGGGAGATGTTGGTCAAAGAATACAAAATTTCATGCAAGTCATGCATGCAAGAGATCTATTGTATAACAGTGACTATAGAACAATGTAATGTATAATTTAACATTGTTAAGTGAGTAGATTTAATTGCTGATAATTCTTTATGTCACAGTTTCTTATTCTCTATGTAGTGTTCTCTTCTTTCTATGTAGCTCTGATATGAGATACTTAGTTTTCTATGATCCACGGACCCTCAGTTCAGATACAAAACATATGCAATTGTTCTTTCTTATTCAATATCCACCTCAATTACTGTCCAATCATGAGCTAACTTTTAAAAAGCCAGGAATAGTGGCATAGGCCTGTAGTCCCAGCTACTTGGGAGGCTGAGGCCAGAAGATTGCTTTAACCCAGGAGTTTAATGCTGTTACACTGTAATACCAACTGTACTCCAGCCTGGGCAACATAGCAACACCCTGTCTCTAAAAATAAATAAATATGAATAAAATAGTACTATGACTTTCTACTTCCCCATAGCCCTGTGATTTCTTTTACAACCCTTACATATGAGAATGACAACAATGGATGAAAGGCCTCAGCTTTAGAGTCAAGCTGAACAGTTTGAAATCTGTATTTGACATTTACTAATGTGATCTTGCACAAGTTATTTTAACTATCTGTGCCTCAGTTTCTTTATCTATCAATAAGGTAGCAATAATACTCATCTTTTAGAGTTGTTGCAGGTTTTAAATAACTGCATGGATGGAAAAATATTTAAAGAAATGCCTGCCTATGATAATAGTACATTAAATGAGCTAGTGTATGTAAAATAACTTTGGAAACTACAAATTTTAAGAAAATATGTCCCTAGAAGCAACGATGTATAACAAGTACACAGAGCCTTGCTGTATTTCACTGAATATCTAACTTCATCAAATGTAGAATATCACATACCACAAGGTTATTAAACTATTTCATATACCACAGGTAAGAAAAAAATACTGCTATTTAACTATGACATGTTTACTTTCTTTTGAATTTGAATTTTTGTTACTATTCATGTTTTTTGAGAATTAGTTACACATTGATTCTTATGTCACTCTTGCATAATCATGAACTTCAGGGCAGTATTCAATACTTGTGTGGATAAGTAGCCTCCTTTTTCTTCCTGATTTCAGGAAGAAAGTTTTCATTACTTCACTACTGATTATCAAGTTTATTATGGAATTTTTGTAAAGACTTTTTATCAAATTAAGTCCTTTTTCACTCTTATTGTGAAGGTTTTTCTTTATGAACTGCTAGTGAATGTTATCAAATACTTTTTCAGCATCTGTTGAAATGACCGTGGTTCCTTTCTTTGTTTTTGCAATATGGTGAATTACATTGACTGTTCTTCAAAGGTTAAACTAACTTTGTTTAACCAGTTAACTTTTAAAAATATCTATAAAATTAGAAGTCATGTTACTCTTTCCAGTACTAACATTGGTTTTTATGTCTTATCCCAATTATTTTGTTTATCAGGTCTTTCAGGAATTTGTCCATTTCATTAACTTCTATATTTTATCTTTATTTTTATTTTTTAATTTGCTGTTCATTTTCTAACCTCTAGAATGAATAGGTTACTGATTCTCAGGCTATCTTATTTCCTAAAATATTATTCTATGTTGTGGATTTTTATCTAAGAACTTTTAACCTACATCCAATAAGTTTTATATGTGTAGTATTTTAATAACCATCCTTTTCAAAATATTTACTATTTACTATTTCTTGTTTCTTCTTTGAAACAGTATTTTCATGCTAATTAGAATCATGCTATGTATATTACCAAGAACTTGAGGATAATTTTATTATTATTTAACTACTATTTCTAACAACTCTATTAGATGAGAGCACTTGCTTTCAACTTTCAATTTTTGAAATGTTGTTATTTACATTATTGCCCCATGTATGGCCTGTCCTTATTAATATTCCAAGTATACTTGGAAAAATGTGTTTTTTTAATTGTAATTTTGAGACTTACTTCATGACACAGGCTATTATTCATTATACAAATGTTCCAACTGTATTTAAAATCATGTGGAATCTGGAGTTGTTGGACAAATTATTTCATACATATTAAATAAATTAACTTTGTTAATTATTCAGCCCCAATATTTTATTGTCACTGAATTTTGTATTATAAGTTTCTGAGAGAGAAATCTCAGAACCCCCATTATAACTTGCCTGATTCCTTGCATTTCCATGCAAATTTATAATTGTTACATATTTTTGAGCCTCAGGAAGTTTCTCTCTTTATTGCTGGTAATGGTTTTTACCTTGTCATTGACATTTTTTATATTATTTGAGTGGTTTCAACTTTCTTTTCATTAGTACCAGTATAATATGCTTTTTTGTTGCTTTCACTGTCAACCCTCATGTATCTTCCTATATCCTTATGTTTTAAATATCTTTCTTACGCAGCACACAATGTTTTTGTTGGCATTTTTGGTTTTTAAAATAAAGTTTCATAATTTTCTTAGTCTATTTTGTGTTGCTATAACAGAATACCTGAGAATGAATAGTATATAAAGAAAAGAAGTTTATTTGGCTCACAATCCTGGGGGTTAAAATGTTTAAGATTCAGAATCTGCATCTGGTAAGGGCCTCAGGCTATTTGTACTCATGGCAGAAAGTGGAAGGGGATCCAGTGAATGCAGAGATTACGTGGTAAGAGATGAAGCAAGAGAAAGAAACTGAAGAAGCCAGACTTTTAACAAACTGCTTTCTTGGGAATTAATCCATTCCAATGAAGGTAAGAACTCACAGCCATAGGAGGACATTCATGTATTCATGAGGGATCTGCCCCCTATGATCCAAACACCTGCCATTAGGCCCAGCCTTCCAACACTGCCACCCTGGGGATCAATTTTCAACCTGAGTTTTAGTGGAAATAAACCAAACCATAGCAGTAATCTTCATCTTTTACTTGAAGCATTCAGTTAATTTAGAATTAAGCAAATATATGTCTTTGTATTTTTCTTTACTTTCTATTTGGCCTTCTTAATATTTCTTTGTTTAGTTTTGGTGTAAAAACACAACATTTTATGACACTTTAACTCATTTGTGCCCCTAACTTGTATGTTATTATATTCTAATTTCCTATAATCTTATGTGCCACTACACATGATCTTTGTACAGTCAATGTATCTTTAGATTTTCCCACATTTTTATGCTTTCTCTCACACCTCATTGTTTTCTGCATCTACAAATGTTTTTTCATATGAAATCATTTTTCTTCTCCCTAAAAGTAATACCTCTTAACACTTCTGTTAGTATGTTTATTGGTTGTTAATTCTCTCAGATTTTTATGTGTGAATATTTATTTATTTTACCTTGAAACAAAATTTTTGAATGATATTTTTTCCTGGACTGATACTTTTGTTTTCATTCATTTCCATTCAGGACTTGAAGATTATCTTTTGGGAACCATTGTCTTTTGGGTCCCATTGTTTCAGCTGCAAGATTAACTATTTCATTAATATTTACTCCCTTGAAAATAATTTGTCCTATTTTTCTCTGGCTGATTTAAGTATTTTGCCTGGGTGTGCTTTTCTCTTAAAATATCCTACTTAAGGTTATTAGAGCCCTTTGAATCTATGACTTGCTGTTCACTGGTTTTGAAAAAATTTTAGCCATTATCTTGCTTCTCCTTTATTTTCTTTCCTTTTCTTCTGGGAAACCAATTATACGTATGTTAGATATTTTCATTCCTTGTATCTTTTAATATTCTTCCATATTTATTTTCTATCATTTATTGCCTCCATGTTTTATTCTGAAAATTGTATTCTAACCTGCATTCAAGTTTATTAATGTTTCCTTTAGCTATGCCTAATTTAACAAATCCATGTACTGAGTTCTCTATTTCAATAATAATATCTTTCACTTTTAATATTTTCATTTGTTATTTTTTAATAGTTTCTAGTTCTCTGATTATATTGTCAAACTTCATCTTTTATTAAAAATATTAAGCAGAGTTATTTTAAAATCTTTTTCTAACAACTTTATCTGGGTACTCTGGGAGTCTATTTCTATTATGTATTTTTTCTTTGCTGTCAACCTAATTATTGCCACTTTCTACACTAATTAAGCTAGTGAGTTTTCATTAAGCAATAGACATTGGATTTGAAAACAAAATTATGAAATAACTAAGACCTTGTAGCATATATTCTTCCTTTAGAGAAGAATTACACTTGCCTCCAATAGGCAGACCAAACAATAGCAAAGATTGATAGCTGAATTTAATTAATTGCTTGCTCTTGTGAGAGCAAGCAATTGCTGTTTTGACCTTTAGAATATCCACTAAAATAAGTTGGTGTCCTTAAGCTAGCTCTTCTTGGTGTGCCCTGGATTGGACTCCAATATTTTTCTTTACCTCCCATAGCTCCATTGATGCTGAAAATAGCTCTATTCAACCTCCCAGACCCTCAGTCACATATCAGTTATCTGGCAGATTTCTCCAGGGGAAAATGTGCCCCAAGAGATTCACTATCCTGGGTTTCCTTTTCTCTTGGATTTGTATAGCTTGTGAGCACCCAAATGTCATCAAGTCATAAACTATTTTTAGTGACCATTGTCAAGAGGATTGGACTACAATACCTAGTCTTTCATGGATGCAAATGAAAATCCTAAATTACTTTTAAATCCAGATAAAGTCATGCTTTGCTTTCCACACAGTAATGTCTTGTGTAATATGAAGAGAATTGATGATGCAGTATTTAAGAGTATTCCACTCCAGTTTTGTGACTTTTCTTCCAAAATGCTAACATTCATCCTATAGATATTGATCTGATATGGTCTTACTTAATAATCTGTGGATTGGTTCTTATTCTTCTATTGAATATATGTCTCTGGATGTCAAGTAGCTTTCATTCAAAATCTGCAAAATTTTGATAAATTGATATGTGACATGTTAATGACAGATTTATGTTATGCATGATTTAGACATCGCCTTCTTTTATTGACTTTGAAATTTCATTTACTCAAAGGGACCTTGAAATTTTATCTACCTTCAATTAGTACATTTGTAATTGTACCAACTTAGTTAAATTGATGATCAAATGAATAGCTCTGACCAAATTTGCATAAGAACAGGCAGAGATAATTATGTCATAATGGCTGTCTAAAATAACGATTAAGGAATTTCGATATTTGGTAAGTTAAATTGTGAAAAATACATCTTAGAATCTGTGAAATATATTATTTTTATAATATATTTTGTGGAAATCAACCTGATCATTCATTTGATCGTTCACTGCATTTTTATAAAATGCTTGTTCTGAGTTAATGAGAAGCATAGTGTGTGGGGACATTGGAAACGGCCTTTTTTGTTTTTTTTTTTTTTCTCCCCTGAGACAGAGTCTTGCTCTTCGCCCAGGCTGGAGTGCAGTGGTGCAATCTTGGCTCACTGCAAACTCCGCCTCCCGGGTTCAAGCAATTCTGCTGCCTCAACCTCCTGAGTAGCTGGGATTACAGGCATGTGCCACCATGCCCGGCTAATTTTTGTATTTTTAGCAGAGACCGGGTTTCACCATGTTGGCCGGGCTGGTCTCAAACTCCTGATCTTGTGTTCCGCTGGACTCTGCTTCCCAAAGTGCTGGGGTTGCAGGCATGAGCCACCACGCCCAGCCGGAAACAGCCACTTTTTCTAAGCTTGGTTTTTGAATATTGGTACTTATAAAGGGTAATATATTGACATTATTTTTGTTAGGCTTACAATAAAAAATTTTGGAAGAAATAATGTCAAAACAACACATAAGAGCTATAAAGGAGTTAATAAAATAAGGATATTATTTACCAAGCTCAATTTCCCAGAAACCAAAGACCAAGGCCTTGTCCCTGGTACAGCTGAGTGCCTAGGTTCACTCACTCAGATGTAACAACTTTGCT
Source organism: Homo sapiens (assembly GCF_000001405.40). NCBI lineage: Eukaryota > Metazoa > Chordata > Mammalia > Primates > Hominidae > Homo > Homo sapiens. The sequence goes on from NC_000014.9 coordinate 28,428,550, forward strand.
ATGTACTAGTACAAGCAGTGTACAATGTAATGTGGCTATAGGGAATCCTACCACTTTGCAAACATGGCATTTTTTTAATATGAAATAAAAGATCATGGTTATGAGCATGATTAATATGTTCATAACTTTTTATGGTGTTTTTAACCTATCAGTTTAAAATAATTCCTAGATTCTGGACCTACTTTTTAATGGTAACTATATAGATCATTTATAAATAAAGCTTCTTACTTTTTATTTTGGAATGCTTTGCATTCATATGAGCTACGCTTAGCTGCTGGTTTCATAACAAACCTAATATAAGGTTTCCAGAAAAATAATAGTTATATATGTCTAAATCACTGGTTAAACTCAAAGTTTTTCTTTATACAATTATGTACAACTTCAGAGTTTTTAATATACTCCTGCAGTTTTAAAACTGAAAATTTACTAGAAAAGTTTGATAATTTGGGGAGCAGAGATAAGGAGAAAGTTATGTAACAATAAATACTTTAATAATAAATGCAAATCACAACTCTGGTCAATATTTTACTAGAACAGTCACTTCCAAAAAATATGTTTAGATAAAACACTTAAAAAGAAAACAGTGTTAGTAGAAAATAGTCAGCTTTCAATTAAGCTGGCAATTATATTTTAGAGTGATTGGAGATTCAGGAAATCATATTAAATAAGATAGTGAGGACGAATAAGTTGGAAACTCGTTATGCTGTTAATCTTAAAGAGAGGTGACACTTTGACCTAATTTTGGTTTCATCTGCATGGCTGTAACATAGCGAAGCCTGAAGGAACATTCCTATTCCTGATCTACTCTAGCTAATCCTCTTATGCTACCCTTTGGGCACTGAATAAATTACAGCTAATCTACAAACAACAGGAGGATCTATGCAATTTCAGCTTTCAGGAGCAAAGACAGAAAAAATTTTCTAGGGGAATGAAAAGTAAGGAATAATGAACACCAGTCCACAATGACTCTTTCAAATAAAGATGAAACTACATTTTCAGTCTATAGAAAGTATGTTTCAGAGAGAAAAAAACCCACAGAGATACGCAGTTTTACTTTGATCACAAATAAATATACCATATTGTGTTTCCTAAAATGTTGGTGGAAGAAAAAAGTCCATTTTAGGGAACCGAGCTTACATGGACTGAAATAGATATCGCTGATGGGGTAGGTGTCAGAAAACTTCCCGAGATTGCAAGGGCCTATCTGCATCAAGAAACAGTATTAGTCACTTAAATTTGACAACTGGCATAGAAACTTTTCCAAACCCAGAAAAGAAACTACTTAGGAACCAAGTGTCCACTACTGTTAGGATTGTCTAGGACTCTGGATGCCTCTCCTACCCACCTCTGGCTCAGAGATGACTGCACTGGCCATCAGGATACAGTCATATGATCTATGACAAATATTCTGCAACAGGGGTCCCCAACCCCTAGTACTAGTCCGTGGCCTGTTAGGAACTGAGCCACATAGCAGCAGTTGAGCTGCTGGTTAGTTTACAGCTGCTCCCCATTGCTAGCATTAGGACATGAGCTCTGCCTGCTGTCAGATGAGCAGTGGCATTAGATTCTCATAGGAGCGTAAACCCTACTATGAGCTGCACTTGCAAAGGATCTAGGCTGTGTGCTTCTTTTGAGAATCTGGTGCCTGATGATCTGTCACCGTGTCCCATCACCACAAGATGAAACCATCTAGTTGCAGGAAAACAAGCTCAGGGCTCCCACTGATTCTACATCATGATGAGTTGTATAATTATTTCATTATATATTACAAAGTAATAAAAATAGAAATAAAGTGCACAATAAATGTAATGTACTTGAATTATCCTGAAAGCATCCCGTAACCCACAGTTAGTGAAAAAATTGTCTTCCACAAAACTGGTCTCTGTGCCAAAAAGGTTGGGGAACCTCTGCTCTTACAAGTGGGTGAGATGTAGAGATTGTCAACTTTTGGAGACACATTCTTTTCACCTGTTTATTAGTCATCTCTACTTTCTTTTTTTTTTTTTTTTCCTAAATTGTCTGTATCTGTTTTCTTTACCCACTTTCTAATGAGAGATTTGGCTTTTTAATTGTTTGTCAATGTGTTAGATATCTTCATATTCTGAGGATATTAAATAAATATTTGACATAAAGTTGCAAATAATTTTCCTTCATTTACTTTTAGCCTTTTAATAAACCTTATTATGTTTTTTGCTCATAACAGATCTTATACATTTCTTTTATATATATATATATCTACAGCTATTAATCACTTTCTTCACAATTTCTGCCTTTGGTATCTTATATAAATATTTTCTTACCATTTAATTTATATAAGCATTTTTTCTGTATAAATTTTTTCATCTAGAGAGATTAAAATTACTCTCATTTTTTTGAAATGTTTTATCAACTCAGTTATTTGGATTTAATCTTTAAATCTATTTGAAATTGCTTTTGAATGAAATAAGGTTCTAAGTTTTCCTGTAAAGGTAGACAATTGTCAGTCATAGAAAATCCTTCATGTATGATTTACAATATAATCATTATAGTACATTAAAAGTATTTTGGTTTTGTCTGCACTGTTCTGTTTTATAGTTTCTCCTCATACATGTACTAGAATGTTTAAGACTACTGAAGTTTTAGAATCACTTTTAATATTTGATAATGAATACTAAGCTTTCCCTTCAGTTGTTTGTTAGCTTATTTATTGAAGTATAACTGTATATTAAGCAGCACACATTTATATGTACAATTTGATAAGTTTGAAATACAGAAAGATCCATACAATTATCACCACAATGACAATAATTAGCATATTCTTCATCTCTAAAAGTTCACTCATGTCTCTTTGTCATTCTCTTGTATTCTCAGTTCAGCTAGTATCTACCCTCTCCCTATACAACCATTGATCTGCATGGTCTTTCATCAATATAGCTAACTTTGCTTTTTTAAATATTATATAAGCAATCATTCAGAATGTAATTTTAAGGCATCTGGCTCCCTTTACTCATTGTTATCATTTTTAGATTCATATATGTTGTTATGGGCATCAATAGTTTATCATTTTTTGCTACATAGTATTTTGTTATATTTCCACATTGCAATTTTTTACCCAATTCACTATTAGTGAATGTTTTGGTGGTTTCCAGTTTTGGCTATTACAAACAAAGCTGCTTCATTATATGTATGTAAGTATTTGTATGGATGTATGCTTTTACCCATGTAAATACCTAGAAGAGAAAATAACTGAATTGTATGGTAGCATTATGTTTAACTTTTTCAGAAACTGATAAAATTATTTCCAAGTTAATTTACCATTTTACATTTCTGCCATCAATGTACATCCTCTTTGTTGAAGGGACTATTCAAATACTATGCTCAATTATTTGAGACTTCTTTTCATACTCTGGATACAAGTCCTTTATCAGATAATTGGCTAGTTTGTGATTCGTTGGCATATTCTTTTAACATTATTTTCTGCAGAGTGAACATAAGTCCTAGGACATATTTGACAACCTTAGGGTTATAATTTTTCTCATATGATGTCTCCTAGATGTTTTATAGCTTTCTATGTAGTCCTATGATGCATTTTTGAGATAATTTTTACTATAAGTTTAGAACTAGAAATACCATTTGACCCAGCAATCCCATTACTGTGTATATACCCAAAGGATTATAAATCATGCTGCTATAAAGACACATGCACATGTATGTTTATTGTGGCACTATTCACAATAGCAAAGACTTGGAACCAATCCAAATGTCCAACAATGATAGACTGGATTAAGAAATTGTGGCACATATACACCATGGAATACTATGCAGCCATAAAAAATGATGAGTTCATGTCCTTTGTAGTGACATGGATGAAGCTGGAAACCATCATTCTGAGCAAACTATCACAAGTACAGAAAACCAAACACCGCATGTTTTCACTCATAGGTGGGAATTGGACAATGAGAACACTTGGACACAGGGCGAGGAACATCACACACTGGGGCCTGTAGTGAGTTGGGGGCATGGGGGAGGGACATCATTAGGAGAAATACCTAATGTAAATGTCAAGTTAATGGGTGCCGCAAAGCAACATAGCACATGTATACATATGTAACAAACTGCATGTTGTGCACATGTACCCTAGAACTTAAAGTAAATAAAAAAAATAAGTTTAGAATTATATGTGAAACATTGACATGCCCATTTGTTGAAAAAGGCTTCCATGTATCTATTGAATTACCTATACATCTTTGTCAAAAATCTATCAACCACATGCATGTGGCTCATTTTATGAATAATCTGCATTGTTCCATTGATAAATTATTCAATGGCTATGCCAATACCATGCTGACTTGATTATTGAAGCCTTGTAATAAGCCTTTCAGTCACGTAGTACAAGCCTTCCAGCTTTATTCTTATTTTTCAAAAAATGTGTAGCTCTTCTAGGCTCTTTGCATTTTCACAGAAATTTTATAATCAACTTGTTAATGGGATTCTACAAAAATAAGCTTCCTATGATTTTTGATTGGTGTTAAGTTTAATTCATATATCAATCTAAGGATAAATGACATCTTTATAATATTGTCTTCAGATATATTACATATATCTTTACATAATTATTTGTCTTCTTCAACTTCTCTTAACTTTACTTTGTATTTTTCTCTCTATAGATCTTGAACATTTTTTGTTGATTATATCTCCCAGCATTTCATATTTCTGATTCTGTTGTAGGTCGTAATTTTTATATCTATGGTTGAATATATGTTCTTAGTATATACAAGTTAAATTCATTTTTCTAGCTTAATCTTATATTTTGAAACTTTGCTAACATTATTTATTCTAGAAGTTTATTTTGTAGATTCTGTAGGATTTTCTATACAAATGTTCACATCTTCTGCAAGTGGAGATTTAGTTCTTCCTTTCAAAACTGAATAAATTTTACTTATTTTTCTGGCCTTATTACATTGTCTAAAACCTCTTGTACAGAGTTGAATATAAGTGAATACAGCAATTATCCATCCCTTACCCCTGGTTTTAGGGTAAAAGCATTAAGTATTTCATGATTAAATATGAGATTAGCTGTAAATTTATTTGGAGATGCCCTTACTCAGACAGAGAAAAACCCATTATATTCTGAATTTACTAAGCTATATCATCAGGAATGAATTTTCTAAATGCTTTTTCTGCATCTGTTGGGATGACAGTATGTTTTGTTTGGTTTAGTCTGTTTATACGGTGAATTATGTCACGATAATTATTGTCTTATCTGTTTCTATTTGATGTTTTGTCAATTTTTGTTTTATTTATTTGATGCTTCAGCTTTAAGTACACATCAGTTTGGATTATTTGGTCCTCTTAAAGAATTTGACAACTTTGATTATTAACCTTGGCAATATTCTTTCCTCATACATCTACTGTATTTCATATTAATAATGTTACTTTGATTTTCTTTTGATTAATGTTAGAATGGAATTTTTCTGTTTTACTTTAATTTTATTTCAGTCTTTATATTAGGTTGAATTTCTTATTAACAGCATATTAATAGGTCTTTCTTTTTTATCAAAACTAACAATCTTTTACATTGAATTTTGTTTGTGGTTTTTAGTAGTTATTTTAGGTTTTATACTATTCATTTTTATCACTGTCTACTTTTAAGTACTATATTCACCTCATGAATATAAGAGCCTTATAATAGTAGATTCCCATTTTCCCAACTCATATTATGGGCTACTATTGTCACATATTTTATTTTATGTATATTATATGCTACATTGTGGGCTATTTCTCACTTAAAGGATTAGCTTTAAGAAGATTGAAATTTAAGAAAAAGTATTTTATACTCATCCACATATTCAGTTTCTGGTATTATGTATTTCTTTGCATAGAATTTCAATCTTAGGTATATCTCTAAAAGAATTGAAAACAATTGTTCAAACAAAAACTTATACACAGACATTTATAGCTGTGTTATTCATAATAGACAAAGGTGGAAACTACCAAAATGTCCATTAATTAATGAATGATAAACAAAATGTGGTATATCTATACAATGTAATATTGTTTAGCCATAAAAAAGAACAAAATACTAAAGAACCTTGAAAACATTATGATAATTAAAATTATCAAACAAACAAAGAAGTTCATGTGTTGCGGAAAGTCAGGGACCCCAAAGGGAGGGACCGGCTGAAGCCATGGCAGAAGAACATAAATTGTGAAGATTTCATGGATGTTTATTAGTTCCCCAAATTAATGCTTTTATAATTTCTTACACCTGTCTTTACTGCAATCTCTGAAAATAAATTGTGAAGATTTCATGGACACTTATCACTTCCCCAATCAATACCCTTGTGATTTCCTATGCCTGTCTTTACTTTAATCTCTTAATCCCGTCACCTTCATAAGCTGAGGAGGATGTATGTCGCCTCAGGACCCTGTGATGATTGCGTTAACTGCGCAAATTGTTTGCAGAGCATGTGTGTTTGAACAACATGAAATCTGGGCACCTTGAAAAAAGAACAGGATAACAGCAATGTTCAGGGAACAAGGGAGGTAACCTTAAACTCTGACTGCCAGTGAGCCAGGCAGAACAGAGCCATATTTCTCTTCTTTCAAAAGCAAATGGGAGAAATATCACTGAATTCTTTTTCTCAGCAAGGAACATCCCTGAGGGGAGGCCTCTAAAATGACCGCTTTGGGGGTGGCTGTCTTTCATGGTCATAGCACTCCCAGGCTTATTAGGACAAGGAAATTCTCACCTAATAAATTTTGGTCAGACCAGTTGTCTGCTCTCAAACCCTGTCTCCTGATGAGATGTTATCAATGACAATGTGTGCCCGAAACTTCATTAGCAATTTTAATTTTGCCCTGGTCCTGTGGTCCTGTGATCTTGCCCTGCCTCCATTTACCTTGTGATATTTTATTACCTTGTGAAGCATGTGATCTCTGTGACCCACACCCTATTCATACACTCCCTCCCCTTTTGAAAATCACTATTAAAAACTTGCTGGTTTTACAGCTCAGGGGGCATCATGGAACCTGCCAACATGAGATGTCTCCCACGGACACCCAGCTTTAAAGTTTCTCTCTTTCGTACTCTGTCCCTTTATTTCTCAGACCAGCCAACACTTAGGGAAAATAGAAAAGAACCTACGTGAAATATCAGGGCTGAATTTCACCCAATATCCATGTAATCTACAATTGTGTTTACATAAAATGTAAAAACTTTAGCAAATTTATAGAGACAGAAAGCAGGTTGGTATTTGCCTACAGATTGCAGGGTGGAAGAACAAATGGAGAGTGGCTGTGTAATGAGTTATGGCTTACTTTTGAGCTTATAAAATGTTCTAGAACTAGATAGTAATTATTATTTGAACAATGTGGTGAATATTCTTAATAACACTAAATTATACACTTTTAAATGGTTACAATGGTCTATTTTATGAAATGTGCATTTTACCATGATAAAAAATAGCTTGATATCCTGATTATAGTCTCATTATAATTTTCCCCTTTTTTTCAAGAATATTATGGAATATAAATTTAAGAAACTATGCTATAGCAATTTTCTCCATCCATCCATGTACCACTTAATTTCAGAGAATTTATTGGTATACATACAAACTTGGAAGTCCTTTGTCTGGCTGGTTAATTTTATAAATGAAGAAAATGCTCTGAAGACACTAGAAAATATAGATGGTAGAATAAGGACAAGAATTCAGGACTCCTGACCCCAAGATTGTTGTTGTCAGTACTATAAAATCCTGCTTCACATTAGCAAAAACAATTTGCATATAGAGACTTTTACATTATGGGAAAATCTTATTGATTGATTCCCCATTTTATCTGATGCATTTATAAATTGTATTTGTTACAACTAAGTTAATAAATGAGAAGAATGAAGAAAATGAGGGAATATTTAGTAAAATTAGGTAGGAAAGATAAGATCAATGCATATCATAAGTTCATATGTATTTTCTAAAGGTAGGCTGAAAATGAAATACATAGAGCTCATATATGTATCTGAGTCTTCTAGAATTCAAATAAAGACAGATGTGCGTGCGTGTGATGGTTAACATTTATTATATACTGGGTGGAACTATTAATAACAATGAGACTTGAGAAATATTTTCTTTTATGCATCCCAATTAACTGACACTATGTAATATAGGGAACAATGCATTATTCCCATGTTTTTCAATGTTGTTATAGCATGTTCTTCTTTCATCTATTATTTCTAAAATTTGTAATATTTTAATACCATTTTCTGTAAACTATAAGACAATATCATAACCCCAGGTTGGAAAAATAGCTTTACGTTTATTATATATTTAGCAGAGAAAATTTGGAGAAAATAAGTATAAGCACCTCTAATTTTAATGCTCCCCACAAAAAAAAACATAAAAAGGAATTTATTTATAATTACATAGTATATAAAATGTCATACCTTAATTCCTTATTTTATGTTCTTTTCACATAATATTGTAACATCAGCATTTTCCACATAGGCATGGGCATTAAATAATTGTTTTTTCGTTAATTTTTTTTTTTTTTTGCTCTTGTTTTTGTTTTGAGATAGGGTGTAGTTTCTCAGGCTGGAGTGCAGTGGTCCAGTCCCAGTTCACTGCAACCTCTGCCTCCCAGGCTCAAGAGATCCTCCTACTGTTTTCTCCTGAGTAGCTAGGACTAAAGGCACACACCATGATACCTGGCTAATTTGTTATGACTATCATTATTATTATTATTATTATTATTATTATTATTATTATTATTATTATTTTGTAGAGACAGGGTTTCACCATCTTGCCAAGGCTGGTCTTGAATACCCAGGCTCAAGGTATCTGCCCTTCTCAGCCTCCCAAAGTACTGGGATTACAGTCACAAGCCACCATGTCCAACCTCTAAACAGTTGTTTAATGACTGCATTGTAGTCTACACAGCAAGTTTACACTTACACATAACGAACTTCCTATTGGTAGACATTTTACAAATTATTACTTTCAATTTTTCAGTATTATACATAATAATGAAATGAGAACTCAGCAACCTCATTTAAAATATTAAGCACTGTTTCCTTAGGCTAGAATAATGTCAAACTATACAAACTTCTTTTTAGATTCTTGATGTATGTTTAAATTTTGTTTTCAAAAGAACTGTGTTAATTTACAGCCCCAACAGTAATGTCTGAGATTTTTCATCTCTCTACATTCTCTATTATAGTGAATAGTAACTTTATTTAATCACTTATTTTGACAGATAAAATGATGAATACATTTATTGAAATACTAATGAGACAGAATTTTTCTTCTATCCTATTAAATAATTATTTATTCTTATTTTTATAGCTACTTTTGATGCAAGACAGGCAAGCCCAAAATTGTGGCTCAGCCAGGAAGGGTTCTTGGCTTCACCCAGGAAAGAATTCAAGGGTTAGTTGGTGGTGTTAGCAACTTTTGTTGAAGCAGCAGTACACAGCAGCAGCAAAGACACTGCTCCCTGTGGAACAAGGCTACCCCATAGGCAGTGTGCCCAGAATACCAGCTCAGAGGCAGTTCTATAATCATATTTATATCCACTTTTAATTAGAAGCAAATTAAAGAGCAGATTATGAGAAAATTCTAGAAAAAGGGTGGTAATTTCTGGGTCATTGGGTCATTTTCATGGGAAGCGGTGGTAACTTTGCAGAGCTGCCATGGCAGTGGTAAACTGACATGGCACACTAGTGGGCTTGTCTTATGGAGAGATGCTTTCATCTCTTCCCTGTTTCAGCTAATCCTGAATCTGGTCTAGAGTCTGAGCCCTGCCACTGGAGTCAAATCCCATCTTTTTCCTCACTCTTCCCTTAGAAATTAGATATTTTTCTTTAATCTTAAGGGGGCTGTAGAAGGGTGGAGTTTCATTTTCTGTAACTACTCCCTACTGATTTTATAGGCACAGGCTCTGCCTAGCACTGGAGGAGTAAAAGTCTCTGGATACCTGATCTAAGGGGCCCAGAGGCAGGACATATTTATTCTCTGGGTCACTAGACAGGATAGGTTGGAAGCCTCATGCCAGCATTGTCTTTACCTGGAACTACTGTAATCTAGATGACACAAATTTTTTTAAGAGATTAAAGAGGCAAAGGCCAAAGATTAGTAATAACACAGGACAGGTATTAAAGATACTGGACAGAAAAAAAAAAAGTGAGATTTGGGAAGGCACTTTTGATAGTAGACCAGATATAGTTGGGGTCAGTTCCCTGCACACAGCTATGTAACAAGGTAGCTTGCTTATAGATCTTTGGAATATTAACCTCAACCTGTACAGAGTTGTTCAGCAGTTTTATCAATAACTGCTCAGAATCCTATGTGTATAGATAGTAAATAATCCAACACTATCTGTTATCAAGAGCTACATTTGCCAAAGTAACCAGAGATCTTGAATTCTCTTTAATGCTTGACCTGTGTTGGTGGCTCAAGATTCCAGGGTTTGAGTTAAGTTTTCTTAGGGTTGGCTCATGATAGGCAAATGCCTCAGTGTGCCACTAGTGCTGTGGCTGCCCCAGTTCCTGCCAGAATTAATCCTATTCTGATATGGTTTGGTTGTTTCCCCAACCAAATCTCATCTTGTAGCTCCCATAATTCCCACATGTTGTGGGAGGGACCCAGTGGGAGATGATTGAATCATGGGGGCGGGTCTTTCCTATGCTGTTCTCGTGACAGTGAATGGGTCTCATGGGATCTGATGGTTTTAAAAATGGGAGTTTCTCTGCACAAGCTCTCTCTTTGCCTGCTACCATCCACATAAGATGTGACTGGCTCCTCCTTGCCTTCCGCCATGATTGTGAGGCCTCCCCAGCCATGTGGAGCTGTAAATCCAATAAACCTCTTTATTTTGTAAATTGCCTGGTTTCAGGCATATCTTTATCAGCAGTGTGAAAATGTACTAATACATATTGCTTGCTTAACTTCTAGTGTTCCTGGGTCTTATAGGATTATAGACTGTAAACCCCAGAGGGGCAAGGGTGGCCAATGCACATTTACCTCTGTTCCAAGTTGTGTGGTTTCTTTTGTTTTGTTTGTTTTTTTGAGATGGAGTCTTGCTCTGTTACCCAGGCTGGAGTGCAGTGGTGCCATCTCGGCTCACTGCAACCTCTGCCTCCCAGGTTCAAGTGATTCTCATTTCTCTGCCTCCCAAGTAGCGGGGACCACAGGAGTGCATGACCACACCTGGCTAATTTTTGTAATTTTAGTAGAGGTGGGGTTTTGCCATATTGTTCAGACTGGTCTCAAACTCCTGACCTCAAGTGATCTGCCCACCTTGACCCCCCAAAGTGCTGGGATTACAGGCATGAGCCATGGCGCCCTTCCCTCTGTTGCAAGTTTTTGATATACAAGGGAAAGCTCCTCCTACGGCGGCTCCCCAGGGAGTCAAGTGTGGTTATGGGGTATGACCTCTTCCTATTTATGGCCATAAACAATGAGCTCAGATGGGACACAAATAGAGGCCCTATATGGCACAATGTCTATCCATTGCTCCCAAATTAGGTCTATAGAGATATTCTTTTCCTGTTCCAATGAAGGGGCCAAACAATCGATTTTTTCAGAAGGGAGCAGTACTTTCACCTTTTGAGACTAGGCTGTTGTTCTAATGCAGAAGAAGGCACCATATATGGTCTCCTCACTTGCACGTGGAATCCCATTTGCCTTGCTGCAGCCTTAGGAAGTAGGCAACTCGACTTGGATAAGAGCATTTCAGAGAAATTTCTGCTTTTGTGTCATTAACACAGCAGTAGGTGCAAAAGATAGAATCATTAGTGCAGTGGAGATTTAGATACCCAACTTCCTAGGTCCTGGTAATACTGGTAGGGGGTGGAGTGTGGTTATGTAAAATCCGTTAAGTGGTGAAAAGTTCTTCCTAACAAACAGGGGTTTGTTGGACTAGCATCACATAAAGAAGGGAGGGGGTAAATGCAGTGCTCAAGGGGAGACCCCAGAGTTCCCAAGCTGCCAGACAGCTCACCCAGCAGTGGAGACACTGAAGAAAATTGTTCAGATAGCTGCTCGTCTGCTACTGCAGGAAGGTATACATAGGGTCAAGAGTCCAAGACCCCCTGTAAAGTTCCTTGAGAAAGGCAGCTCTTTAGAGCTAGTTGAAGAAGGTTAGTCCTTAAATTGATGCGGAGCTTTTCTCTCTCTTTCACTGGGAACAGTTAAGACATTATCATTGTCAATGGCCTTATAATATTTTACTTCGAGTAAAATGGTTGTAGTGTTTTACTTAGAGTAGGCACATTGATTCTGGCCCAGGGGCTAGAGAGACAGGGGCTCTTGTCTGGGCATCTCAGATGCTGATCTCACGACTTTCTCAAGATGGGTAACCCTGAGTGGCGAGGGTGCTTAAAGTATTTGCTAATAGTTGCTTTTTAATTTTTTTTTTTTTTTTTTTTTTTTTTTTTTTTTTTGCTATTTATTTTCACCTCTTTTGCTCTGTCCTTGTTATTTTGAACTTTAAAGGCCACATTTAAGAGTTGGCTCATAGGAGTTTGAGATCCCATTGTTGATTTTTGTAGCTTCCTCCTAATGTCAGGGGCACATAGAGTAATAAAACATATACCCAGGAGAACTTGCCCTTCTGGGGAGTCTGGGTCTGCATTAGTATATTTCCTGAGTGCCTCAACTAAATGACCCTGAAACAGAGTGTAATTTTCGTCTTTTCCTTGAGTTATTTCTCTAACCTTGTCATAGCTGACTGGCTTGGCCACATAATTTTTCCTCCATGTTTTTCCCACAACACAGCAAGATGAGAATATTTGTAAGTCACGACAAGTTAAAGAACATGGTCAACTTAACAAACTCCTCTATAAACTTTTCTGTATTCTCTGAAAAATGGCTAAATTTCTTCTTGTATAAAGCCAAATTAGACATAGAAAATGGCACATGTGCTCTATGTGTTTCCTCATTTTCATCAGCTACCTGCTGCAATGGACACAGGTCACAGGTTTGACTTTAAGGGCTTATATGGGGGCCTCACTTCTGGTGGTACTGGTTGAGTTTACTTTCTTGCACAGCAGGGGTTATAGTCTGGGGCTAGTTGGTAAAGGGGGGCAGGGGACTGCCTGATGACCTTGGGGTGGAATCCTTCATTAGAGAACTGGCAGGAACCACCTCAGAACTGGAGGATTGAGAAGACTGTGGGGAGACCGTAGGCTTTCTAGGGGAAGCAGCTAGGAGGAAATCCCTTAGGTTCAGCTTCCTTGTGCCTGGATGTAATGTGGACCAGTAAAGGACCATAACAGCCTGTACATAAGGGACCTCTTCCCATTTTCTTTCATTTTTACAGAATAAGTCCAATTGCAAAATATCATTATAATGTATAGAAACATGTTTAGGCCAAATCTACTGGTTTTCTAATTTGTATTGAACCTAAATAGTGTTGGAACAGAAAATGAGTTTCATTTTCTTTAAGCCAAATTTGAATATGCTTCAATAGCCTAAAAGACACCCTAGTGATGAGTCCTCTGGGATGCTCATCATTGTCCCCATGTCTAAAAAGGATTTCTACTGGACACAGAAGTGTTTCTAGGTCTAGTGAGAAGGAAAGCAACTATACACCCTTGCTATTTTTCCCTTTAAGATTCTCACTTCTTGCAGAGAATGTATAAGTATAGGTAATGGGATGTTACTAAAGTGTATTATAAGCTTTTGCCAGTGAACTAAGTATGACAAAAGAAGTAATTTTATTAAGCAAAATGTAGAAGTTGATAAGAAAAGATAATGCTGTTACAGAAAATGATAACTTTAGGGCAGAAAACCAGAAAAGAAAAGACCAAGAGACCCCAAGGGGAGGCCTTCAACCCACAATCCTAGAAGGAATGGCATTGCCAAAAGCCCCGAAGCATCAGGGAGACAGGGGAAGGCAGCCAACAATACCAAATGCCAAAACTCTGGAATACCCTAGTATCAACCAATGAGGGTCCCCACATCACATGCCGGAAACTCCAAAGTGTCCGGGAGCCAACCAAATGCTGAAAACTCTGGAGCACACAGGTGTGGACCACAGTGAACCCAAAAGGCCTGATTGGGACCACAGAACCATGTGACTTTGTTGTTCCAGAGTCAACACAACGGGGGACTTCTCACAACAAATTGTCCTATCTTAAACAAACAAGGATGTCCTTGGGGCACTCAAACAATAGGGGACATTGACCACTTAGCCAAAGGGTTTTATCCCACAGCGTACCAGATACTGTGGGAGAGTGAAAAGCAGAGGGGACACTCACCCATCCACAGGAGCCAAATGAGGCTGACCGTCTTCCACATGGGACCCAGTTGAACATCTCTCCAGGTTTTCTCAGCTTGGGAGGGATGGACAGGCACAGTGGGAGTTGGGAGACAGTGTGGAGACCAGCTACCTGCCTGCCTGCTGGTAGAAGCAGCAGCTCCCACATGAAGTGGCAGTGCTATGACTCCACTGCCCACCGAAATGATGATGGCTCTTAAAAGAGACTTTGACTAGTGTTACAGCTCTGTAGTGTTAGTAACTCCTTATTGTTGCGGTTGCAGTCTCAGTGTCATAACTGCAGATTTTGATCACCTTCTTGCTTTCTCTGGTCAATTGCTGCCTCTTACTATCTCACCATCCCATTGACCACTGTCTAGCCACTTATCGCTGTCTGTCTGTCCCACCTACTGCCACATCTCTGTTTCTTTCCAATTGCCACCTCTCTGGCTTTCTTCATCTTTCATGGTAGCCAAATGGTGCAAGGCAGATGTGGCCTAAAATTGGGGATTAGCCAGAAGTGTTATTGGCTTCATCCAGGAAAGAATTCCAGTGCGAGCTGGTGATGTTAGACAGCAACTTTTACTAAAGCAGCTATATACAGTAACAAACAGAGGTATTGCTCCTTGCAAAGCAGGGCTACCCCATAGGCAGTGTTCCCAGAGTAGCAGCAGCTCACAGACAGTTCTGCAGTCATATTTATACCCACTTTAATTATATGCAAAGTAAGGGACAGATTATGCAAAATTTTATTTAAAAAGGGTGGTAACTTTCAGATCATCACATCATTGTCATGGAAAAAAATAGTAACTTGGGGAGTTGCAATGGCAAATGTAAACTGACATGGCACACTGGTGGGTGTGTCTTACAGAGAGGGGCTTTTGCCTCTTCTCTGTTTCAGCTAGTACTCAACCTGGTCCAGTGTCCAAGCCCCACCTCTGGAGTGGAATCCGACTTCCTACCTCACTTGGTCTTATCTGTTTCCTTTAGAGTAATCCCTTAATTTTATTGTCAACATATATAATAGCAGTTTCCTGGTTCATAGTTAGCTATTCGAATTTGGATATATAATTCAACTTACATGTACACATGCTTAGAGAAATGGACACAATGAACAAGTGGAACTTCTCATGTGCAATCAGAAAGCAAGGCTAATTCTTACCTGGCCTACGGATATGGTTTGGCTCTGTGTCCCCACCCAAATCTCATCTCCAGTTGTAATCCCCATGTGTCAGGGTAGGAACCTGGTGGGACGTGATTGGATCATGGGGGTCATTCCCCCATGCTATTCTCATTATAGTAGTGAGTTCTCATGAGATATAGTGGTTTAAAAGCATGTGGTGGTTTCTCTCTGTGTGTGGGGGGGGAGAGGGGTGCCTCTCTCTCTCCTGCCACCATGTAAGATGTGCCTTGCTTCCCCTTTGCTTTCCAACATTATTGTAAGTTTCCTAAGGCCTTCTTGGCCATGTGGGACTGTGAATCAATTATACCTCTTTTCTTTATAAATTACCTAGTCTCAGGTAGGTCTGTATAGTAGTGTGAAAACAGACTACCCCTACCTACATACCCATGCAAAACCATTTTTAGGGTTAATGTTTATCTGCCTATTGGGTAAAATTGTGGACGTGTGCTATTGGCATTTCTGGTAACTCTTGGTAAATAAAAAGTTGCCCTGTGACTTCTTTTGATAAAAAAAAAAACCTCACATAAATAGTTAGGACTTGAAATTCCATGTAATAGTCAAACTTCTGAATTCCCATTTAAGATTCACACTTCTCTACTCCAGCTCTTACCTGCTTCAGGTGGAGAATTTGCAGAAGGAAGTGAGCACAGATCAACTTTTACTTCCTTATGGTTGTAATTGAGGTGTACTGAGATGTGTGTTGCAAACAGAGATACTTTAGCAAGGTACTGATATGAATCAGATCACCTGGGAACACCTGTGAAGGAATCCCAGTTCTGAAATTTACTAACTCCGTGATCTTGGGAAAATAGTTACTCATATTGGATTATTGTCTGGGTTAAGTGAGTTAGAAAGAGAGAGAGTGCAGCACTTAGAAGAGTCCCTGAAACTGGAATATTTGTTTTCTAGCCTTTGCCCTTGTGGACATTATATCTTCTTGCTAGCAAGCCTTAATACTTGCCCCCTCTAGAATAGGAGCTGTGTATGGGGAGGAGGAAAATAAATATTAGGGCGGGAAGCATCTGTAATATAAAGCAATTTGGTATTAATTTCCTCTGTCCATGGTAGATGTTTAAAGCTGACTTTTGCTCTCATGGGGTCTTACGGGTTTTTCAGTGAGCGTATAACTAAGGATCTCTCATCCTACCTTTCTTGATACAGGGCAAAATGTATCTTTTCAACACAGTCCTTACACAGCTTCTGGGCATCCAGAATTAATTCCAGTCTCTTTCCTTCTTGTTCTCATTCCCCTTCTTTTTTCACTCTTTTATGGACTAATTATAATGACCTGAAACCGGACTTATTGCTTGCTTGGCCCATATTTCATCATCGCAAGCAAATATATTTGACCTTGTAACCATGAGAATGCAATAACTTTCCAAACACACCCCTCTATTTGTCTACCACAGACCACTTTAGTCAGCTACTCACATTTTGTCCAGCATGTATCATTGGCTAGTCCATCTGTTGTCTCCCAGATTCCAGAGGATACATCAGCGGTTCAAGTAATCACTTGAACATCACTAATGTTCTACTTTCTTGATTTGAATTGAGCCAAAAGCATCTCTCACTGCTCCACTGTACCACGGATGCATTAGGACATGGGAGATGTACAGCACAAATCCCTCTAAAAAAATCTCAACTTTCCAACTCTTCTCTCAGTCTCTTGTATGCTGAAGGTACATTCTCAGTTAAAGGTTATAGTTTCTGAAGACCTCTTCTACTACTCTTGCTTATATGATCTAGCATCTTAATTGGAATATAGGGATAGTTTGTCTGTTTTCTTCGGGACACAGCAAAAAGAGAAATAGAAGTGCTATTTGGCATATTCTTGCATACATAACCAAATGTATATTCCACAAATAGTATATTAAGTAGAAACATTGTTTAAATGATATTTTGAAGGATTTAATATATAAGATTTATTTATTTATCCAATATTTATAGTGTACTACTTTCTTTGTACAATTGAATAGACAACAATGCTGCTTTTATGAGGCAGAATTGTGAGAGAATAGCTAAAATTTGTTGAACTATTTTATGCCTTATAATGCAGGAAGCTACACTTATTTTAAAGATCACCATGACTCAGCTTCCATTGACAAGGCATTCCTATATTGCTAACCTAGAACAAATACTGTTCCACAGCCATCAGCACTAACAGCTATCAATGCTACTACTCCACATGTAATCTCATAATAATGCCTTTACATTTGGTATCAACAAACAGAAATGTTAGGCACAAGCTCCTTTGACAGTGACCATGAGATAAGGTTATAACTTTTACTTGATCCTCTTGTCATTTGTATTAATGATGATCAATCAACTGCTCCGCATGGTAGAAAACAATAGATCTGAGACACATACAACAGCTTTGTTGACATATAAAATGCACGGCTAACACGTAAAATGCATGGTTTTGTTTAGGGGAGTAGACTTTTGCAGACCTGCCATATGTCAGTCTTGTTCAGCAGTGTCACTGGAGTAAAAGAGAGTCAAAACTCATACTACCATGTAAACACCATCTTATGAATGAATGTGTGTAGTTACTTGAGTAAAATACATAAAATACAATTTGTAAGCTAGATATTAGTGTTGTGTACATAGACATTTAATTTTTCATCTTTCTAATTATTCGTGAATGTCCTAGGACTATAAAGCATGATTATTCATCTCTCAACCTTAAACTAAACTAAACTAAATTAAAGATTCAAACAAAAGAAATTTTCATTTCATCACGAACATGTCATTGCTGGCATATGTCTTTAACAAAGAAAGTTAATTCCTTATAATCATTAGCTACTTATAAAATGAATAAACTAAATTTATCCACCATCACCACCACATCACCATCCCCCTAAAATAAGGCACTGATGGTCTCTGGAAAAGCTTTGTATTTACTTTTCATTTTATTCAAAGAATGTCTTTGATAACAATAATTTTTAAAATGAATTCAAACTTTAGGAAGCACCATCCATTTTTGTCTGTTATTTGTCCCTATTAACAGTTGAAATTTACACTGCAACCGTTTCCTTTGCCATTCTCAACCACTCCCTGAGAAAAAGTTAGCTAATTAAATTTCAAGCTAATTGCCTACACACACAACAGTGTAATATCTGGAGTCAAAGTGATAACAAAATGACTTTTGATCATCAGTGGAAACCTGCATCTAGTTCTCAACCTTGTAGCCAAAGGGATATTGTGAAAATTACAGAATAGAAAATAAACTGAAAGAAAGAAAATAACATTCATAAAAACAACAGAGAATAAAACTAGAATCTTTAGCTGAATGAAGAAAATGTTAAAGGGTCATGTAATAATGCAGGGCTTTAAATACTAAAGTCTTTTTAGGAAGAACAATGAAAACAAATTTTTTACATCTCTATGAAGGACCCAACAATTATCAGAGGGATAATTCATAATTCGTAGAATAAATTACTCATAACGGGACCTGAAATTATTGGCACAGTGGATTTTGGGAGTGTATTATTTAAAAAAAAATTTATTATTCTTAGGTGAATGTGTTGCTACTTATAGGTAGAAAGCTGGCATATAAGACAACTCAAGCCCATTTTTCTCTATATGCAATTTGTTTAATAAATTTATATAATTTTTCACCTTTAAGATCTGTACTTTTTTTCTCCTCAAAATTCTTTCGTATTTTTCAAAGAATCTTATTTTTCATCCAGAACTAAAATATTCATTCTACATGTATTAGAGCATGTGCTTTTTTTATTTCAGTATTTAATTAGTTCCCTATATAGAGAAGTGTCTAAGTTACTGACAGGAAAATATTTTTTAAATATATATAGCATTCTCTTTTATCAATTCACATTTTTCTCAGCAAATGACACAAGGAATTGCCAAATATCTTCCTAAATATATAATATGCCATTATTATCAAAAATGACAAATAATGTTGCCTTAAAATTCTAGAGAATATATTTTTGTTAAACAGTTTAAACAAAATAGATTCTTTTACACTTCCATCCTAATTATTACTGTATTAAAATTATTTTTAGACTAGATTGACTCTTACATGGCCCTCTAAAGCCTGTTTGAAAATTTTCTATTTTGAGTATTTACACTTTTTAAGATCAAGTAGAATGGAATTACATTGGCATATAAAAATATTTTGAAAGGTAAAAGGAAAGTTCTTTATTTAAATTTAACAGTCTCAATTACATTTCTATGAAAAGTTCAGTGATAACTCAGTTAATCAGAATTAGAACATCAAGTCATGTTTGCAAAATATTTAAAAGAAAAATAGGTATAAAATAAACTTAAAATCTAGCAAAAAAATGTGACCATGTAAGATTTAGCTCAAATTAAAATGAATCATTTATCTACTCCACCTATGTTATAATGGTAATTTAAATTAAGAACCAGGCTGTTCTATAATCTCCTCCCAAATTAGAGAATGCTTACATCATCTTCACTTTACTCTTATTAAGGCAAAAAATAGACTAATAACATTTTGGATTTAAAACATGAAGAGTTTCTGTTAGCCCCTCAACTCACCAGAAAACGAAATTGCAAATAATGTTTTATTCCTTAAGAATTCTGATTAACTAATATTGTATTATATTAGTTACAATATGAAGAGTTTAGTTTTAAAATACCACAAATACAATATGTACTTCCGTTTTAAGAATAACGCATTCATTCTTGAGTTTTAGATGTTATTTTTCTTCCCATTTGTGCCTCGTACATATTTTCAAGACTTTAGTTATCCCCATACAAACTTGAGAAGAAAGGAAACTATCAAATATACCTTTGGATGATGAAGAGCATAATAGAGCTGTTTGGACTATCAGACAATAGGAATGATATTGGATGGCTCTGCATCCAGCTTCTTTTGACATCTTCGCCAGTCTCAATGGTAAAAACAGAAGAACTAATACCCTTTCTTCTACCTTACCTTTATTCTGAGTTTCTCATTTGTATGTTGTAATTCACTTTGGAATGAAAATTAGATAATCAAGCTTCTTCAAATTCTGTCTTAAATAATTAGATTCGCAATGAAAATTTTATGGTATTTCCAAAACTCATAAGCTGTAAGCCAAATTTATGAACTTTACAACAATTACTTTTTTGACTACACAAAGGTATTGCTTCCTGTTAGTTTAACATGTAAAAGCATCTGGGTATTGTTAAATTAATGACATTTGAAACAGGAAGTTATTACTTTATGCGTGGCTAGTTGGTAGATTGGCAATTTCATAGGCATAGCTTCTGTAAATGACTTCCTAATGAAAACAATAACCTCCAAATGGATAGGTTATTCATTCTTAAATTGTTTATTGACACTGTGGTTAGAGACACTAAGTTCAAAAATAGGCTTGATCATGTTTTCAAATGGGAAGAAAAGTACATGAAGAAATATATACCCATGGAATCTAAGTTAAAATAGAGGATGAAAATATATGATACCACTAAATAGAAAATGGCCCAGTATTGGGATAATGTTTACTCTTACTCAAATTCAAGGTTTCCATGTAAATGCTCTCAAAGTTGAAACCTATGTCTCATGGCAAAGACTTGACCAACTTGTGAGCAGGCAACTGGCCAGTCTAGCAGATGGACATGAAAGAATCTAGCCAAAGATACACTTGCTCCATGCCAAGTAGCTGTGACGTGTATATTAAGATCATTATTCCCTGATGAGAAATTTAAAACATCTGTCCATTTGGGGCTGCTGTTTCACCAGATGGAAGCTTGTAACAACCACTAAAGCAGCCGATACTGAACTGATTTTTACGTTATCAAATAGGATATTTTATAGTTGAATGCTGAGATCAAAATGATTGGCCTTATTTTGAACATATTTCCCTGAAGACTTCAAAAGATAACATTAAATGCAATTTAAGATTTATTTAGTTATTTTTATTAATATGTTATACTTACATGAATCTAATGACTGAATTATTTATGTATCAAAGACTATTATTGTTGGAGAAAAGCACATTAAATATCTGATGTAACTAACAGAAGGTAACTGAATGCACATACTTCTTAAGGTGTTTCTCAAACATATCCAAATTAGCCACTGATGTTAAAGCCCACCTATTCACCAAATCCACCAAATTAATCAAGAGCTGCCAGCTAGACCAACTTTCGTGTGCTCATTTCCAAGTTTTATGTATATGACTACTGAGAGGAAAAGTGAGGTTGGGAATATATTAGGCACCCCTTTGTGTAGGCCTTAATTAATTGATTCTCTATCCCTTTGCACCACGGGGAGCAGGGAGCAAAATCAATCTACCTCCCCCATTATTATTTCCCATATTTACATAAAGAAAAAATAGCTCATCCTTTAGAAAATAGTTTCCTAGATTTAATTAATAAATTTAAATAATACCAGTATTTTTAGGCCTATTCAGATATGATTAACATATACAAATTGTGTATCTTTCAGATGTGAAACGTACTGTGATATACATGTATATTGTGAAATTTTTGAAATTCTCAAACTAATTAACATATCCACCACCTCACATAGTTACCTTGTGTCTGTGTGGACAGAACATGTAAAATCTACTCCCTTTGCAAATTTCAAGTATACAATACGTTAGTATTAACTATAGCCACCATGTTGTACATTATGTCCCCAGCACTTACTTATTTTATGATAAATGTTTATACCTTTTAACTAATGTCTTTCCACTCCCCATCCCCCCAAGCTACTGGCAGCCACCTTTCTATTCCCTACTTCTATTAGTTTGACTTTATTAGCTTCCACATATATGTAAAATCATGTATCGTCTTTCTGTGTCAAACTTATTACCCTTAGTATAATGTCCTCCAGAGTCGTCCATGTTGTCATAAATGACAGGATTTACCTCTTTTTTTAAGGCTAATTTTCTACTTTGTGTGTATGTATATGTGTATATATATATATATATGCACATAGTGTGTACATATATCGATGCATGCACACATACATATATCTCTATATAAATATATACATACATACATACACACGTACACATATATATATTCTTTATCCATTCATCAGTAGGCAGACTCCTATATTGTTTCTATATCTTGATTATTGTGAATAATTCTGCAGTGAATCTACAAATGCACGGAACCTTTTCAGATGATATTATTTCCTTCGGAAATATACCAAGAAGTGAGATTGCAAAATTACATGTATGCTCTACTATTAAATTCTCCATACTGATTTCCATAATGGCTGTCCAATATACACTTCCACCAACAGTGTATACGTGTTCCCTTTTCTCCACATATCCACCAACACTTACTTCTTATATTTTTAATAACTATCCTAACAGATGTGAACTGATAGCTCATTGTAGTATAAATTTGTATTTCCTTGATAATTAGTGATGTTGAGAACCCATTCATTACCCAAAAGCCATTTTTATATCGTCTTTGTAAAAATGTCTAAGTCCTTTGCCCATTTTTAAATCAAGTTACTTGTTTTTTGCTATGAACTTGTATGTTTCTTATATATTTTGAATATCAATTTTTATTAGAGATATAGTTTGCAAATTTTTTATTCCATAGATTGCCTTTTCATTAGATTGAGTTTCTTTTGCTATTCAGAAACTATTTTGTTTCATATAGTCCCACTTTTTTATTTTTGCTTTTACTGCCTGTGCTTTTGATGTCATATCCCAAAAAGTCATTGCCAAAATCAGTGTCGAGGAACTTTCACCCCCATGTTTTCTTCTAAGAGTTTTACATTTTCAGTTTTATGTTTAGGTCTTTATTCAATTTTGAATTAATTTTTGTGTATGGTGTAAGATAAGGTCCAGCTTCATTCTTTTGTATGTGTATATTCAATTTTCCCAACATCATTTATTGGAGATATTTTCCTTTCCCTATTGGTATTTTTGGCAAGTTTGTGGGAAATTAGTTGATCTCAGATATGTGGGCTTATTTCTGGGCTGTCTGTTCTGTTCAGCTTGACAATGAGTCTGTCTTTTTATTGCCATACCATGGTGTTTGGTGACTATAGCTTTGTAATACATTTTGAAATCAGAAAGTACAATGCCTCCAGCTTTGTACTTCTTGCTCCAGATTGCTGTAGTTATTAAAAGTTTTTTGTGGTTACAAATTAATTTCGGGATTTCTTTTCTATTTCTGTGAATAAAATGCAATTGGCATTTTAATAGACATTGCATTAAATCTGTAAAACACTTTTGGTGGTATAGACATTGTGACAATATTACTTCTTCTAATCGAAGAACACAAGATATCTTTTTATTTGTGTCTTCTTCAACTTGTTAACAGTATTTTATAGTTTTCGGTGCCCAGGTCTTTCACCTCCTTGGTTAAATTTATTCCCAAGTATTTTATTATTTTTGTTGCTATCGTGAATGGGATGGTATTCATAATTTCCTTTTTGGATAGGTTTTTGCTAGAGTGTGGAAATGCAACTGATTTTTGTAGTTTGATCTTATATCCTCCAACTTTACTGAAATGTTTATTAGTTTTAACAGTATTTTGGTGAAGTCTTTAGGCTTGTCTATATATAAGATCATGTAATCTGCAAACAAAGATAATTTTACTTCTTTCTTTTTTATTTGAATACCTTTATTTTTTTTTCTTACCTGATTGCTCTGGCTAAGACCTTCAATACTATATTGAATAGAAGTGGCAAGAGTGAGCATTCTTGTCTTGTTCCAGTTCTTAGTGGAACCATTGAAAGCATGATGTTAGTTGTAGGTTTTTCAGACAGAACCTTCATTATGTTGAGGTACCTTCCTTCTATACCTAATTTGTGGAGAGCTTTTATTATAAAAAGATGTAGAATTTTGTCAAATTGTTTTTCTGGATCAATTGAGATTATTATATAATTTTTATCCTTCATTCTATTAATTTAGTGATTTATATTTATTGACTTATGTATGTGAAACCATCCTTAAATACCAAGGATAAATCCTGCTTGATCATGTTGTATGATCCTTTTAATGTGCTGTTGGATTTGGTTTGCTAGCATTTTGTTGAGGATTTTTTCATCTGTGTTCATCAGACATCATGGCCTGTAATTTATTTTGTTAAGAAGGATTAATATTACTTCTTTTTAAAATGTTTGGTAGAATTCACCAGTGAAGTCATCTGGTCCTGGACTTTGCTTTTTTGGGAGATTTTTGTTACTGATTTGATTTTCTGTTATTATTCCATGTAGATTTTCTATTTCTTCATGATTCAGTGTTTGTAGGCTGTATATTTCTAGGAATTTATCCATTTGATCCAGTTTATGCAGTTTGTCAGCATATAATTGTTCAGAGTAATCTCACAAAAATGCCTCCTCTTTCATTTTTTATTTTATTTTACTTTAACCTTCTCTCCTTCCTTGGTCTAACTAAAGATTTCAGTGTCTATTTCATTTATTCCTGCTTTAATCATTGTTATTCCCTACCTTCTGCTAACTTTGGGCTTTGTGTGTTCTTTGTTCTAGTTTCTTAAGACTAAAGTTAGGTTGTTTGAGATATTTTTTAATGTACTCATTTATAAGTATAAACCTCCCTCTTAAACATGCTTTTGCTATTCCATAAGTTTTGTATGTGTTCCCATTTTTTGTGTCTCAGTATATTTATTTCCCTACTCATTTTTTCTTTGTCTCATCAGTTGTACAGAAGGACGTTCCTTAATTTCCATAAGTTTATATGTTTTCCAATTTTATTCATTATTGATTCCTAGTTAAATGCTATTATAGTCAGAAAATACACTTGATATGATGTTAATTTTTTAATTTGTTAAGGCTTATTCTTTTTCCAATTTTATTCATTACTGATTTCTAGTTAAATGCTATTATAGTCAGAAAATATACTTGATATGATGTTAATTTTTTAATTTGTTAAGGCTTGTTCTGTGGCCTAACATGTAATCTATCCTGGAGAATGTTTCGCGTCTGCTTGAGAAAAAATGTGTATCCTGCTGCTGTTGGATGAAATGTAGTGTGTATGTTTGTCAAATCCATTTGGTCTAAAGTTAGTTCAAGTCTAACTTTCCCTATTAACTTTCTGTCTAGGTGATCTATATATTGTTGAAAGTGAGCTCCTGCATGTAATCCCAGCACTTTGGGAGGCTGAGGTGGGCGGATTGCTTGAGTCCAGGAGTTCAAGATCAGACTGGGCAACATAGCAGGACCCCATCTCTACAAAAAAATGAAAAAATTAGCCAAGTGTGGTGGTGCACAACGAGCTTCCACCTCAGAAGCTGAGGTGGGAGGATCACTTGAGCCCAGATGGTCAAAGTTGCAGTGAGCTGTGTTCGTGCCACTGCATTACAGCCTGGGTGACAGGGTGAGACCCTGTCTCAAAAAGAACAAAGAAAAGAAAAGAGAGAAAGTAGGGTATTGAAGACCCATACTATTATTGTTTTGCTGTCTATTTCTCCCTTCAGTTCTGTTAACATTTGCTTTATATAAAATTTAAGGTCTCTAATGTTGGATTCATATTTAATTACAATTTTTACATCCTCTTGATGAATTGACATTTTTATCATTATATAATTATAACCTTATTTGTCTCTTATCACAGTTTTGACAAGTTTATTTATCTGATACAATTATAGCTATTCCTCGTCTCTTTTGCTTACCATTTGCATGGGATATCTTTTCCATCATTTTACTTTCAGCTTCTGTGAGTCCTTGAAGCTGAAGTGCATCTCTTGTAGCCAGAATTTAGTTTTGTTTGTTTTGTTATTATTATTAAGCCACTCTATATGTCTTTTGATTGGATAATATTATTCATTTTATTTACATTTATAGTAATATTATTCATATTATTTACATTTATAGTAATATTGAATGGCTACAGCTGAGTCATGAGGCTATTAGGGCCAGAACACAGGGCTGCTTCAGGATCTGCAGTCCAGTACACGGCCAATGAGCCTGTTACCAGCGTCATGAAGGGGTATGTCTGGCTGCCCCTGTGTAGGCAGGATGACTTTGAACTGGTGATAGAGCAGGGCTGGATATCAGTTACGGGGTCACTTTAGGATTCATAATTAAGTCTACAGCCTATGGGCCAGTTACCAGGATACAGATGGGTGTTGCTTCTCCCGGGTCCCTTGGTGGATAAGGGGTAGTTGTAGGATCACAACGAAATGGGAGCTGGAGCTGAGTCCATAGGGAGATGGGTTGCTTCCAGGTTTCTAGCCAGGACCACTGCTGGCAAGCTTACTACCTGGTATGAGCCTGACTTCTCAAATAGTCTTCCTCAGTCTTGGGTTCCACCCGTGTTTCTCAGACTCTTATCGGGATCTCAAAGCTTCCATAAAGGCACTTTTGTCTGTAGATGGTTGCCAAATTATTGTTGCCATGGAGGGACACTAGAAGTCTTCTTGCTGATATCACCTAAGTTCAGTCTTAATGTTTTTGGGTTAAAATATAATGTTATAAAATTCTCTCATAGTTGTATTCAGTAACCTTAACTCTACACTTTATCTTGTACTTGAGGTCACATGAACCCACAGCAATTAATTTTTCTTATCATCTGGCAAATGATTTGGTGAATGATAGTGCAAAGCTAAAAAGAATATTCACACATCTCGAATTTAGCAGCTTCCTGGAACTGCTGTCTGTGCCATTCCTTTACTGCTTCCGTAGTTGTGCTGCTATGTGTCCTAGCTACAATAAGCCCTTCATGGAAAGCCACCTCTAGACTTCATCACTGATAACCAACTATTCCAGCATTGAGCACAATCTTATTTCACACCTCTCATCCTAATGGCTGGGTGGTAATATTAAGATGGTGTATAATGAGAGAAGTGGGAAAGTGGGGAGGAGAGAAAGTACAAAATAAAGGACCTTCTTTTCTCTTCCTTATAGCTACTACACCTCTGCTGTACACTCCTCACTCACCCCACAGGCAAAGCAGCAAGGTGTCAGTATTTAGGATTCATGTTAAGATCTGTTTTTACACTGATAGCTTCAGAGGTAGGAATTGTAATCTTTGCAATAGCCCTCCAGCTCTGTTGCTAAATGGATACTTCTGAATTCCTGGTGGAATCTTTATGAGACATGGCAATCTGGTCAGTAAAACAGTATAGGCAATGGCTTGTTGGAGTTAGGTAGGCACACCACAGCTTAAGCAGTCCTTGCTCTTCAAAATGGACAAGTTAAATTCTTAGGTTAACTAATGGGCCCTGGAGAGATCTGGTTAGAAGACTAGAGTGAAATAAAGGTGAGATTCAGATAAGATCTAAGCAAGTTAGGACTGTGAAAATAAATCAACAATAGCAGAGTTGCTGCAAGATGGCAGCAGTTTTAAAGACAGATGTTTAAGAGTCTGATTTGGAATGCTGGTTAGCAAATAGTTGGCTTCTTCAAGGTTCATACTTACGAATTAGCCAGACAGCTTTGAGTTCTAAGTAGACAACTTACGAGTTGTGACAGAAATCTGGCTGACGATGGATGACTGTTAACCTTAATTCAAGCCCAAATTATGCTGAGACTGAGGAAATTATCTCAGCATGGATTCAATCATAATTCCACTACCTGTAGTTGAAAAGAAAATACTACCTGATAAATAAAATCTGAAATGAGACTTGCTCCCTGGGGAGGTAAAGCTCTGAGTTAACAAACTCAGTCGTAATTCAAGGTCATCTGCTCCAGTCAGGCACAACATGGTGTTCCAAGGGTATTACAACAGATTTGTATTTAGCCTGAAAGAATTAAAAAAACAAAACAAAACAAAAAAAAAACATGAAGGGAGAATCCGTTATGGAACCAAAGAAATTTTAAGAAAAAATCCTACTTAGAGATTGAAAAATGCATTGATTTAGACATAAAATATTGACTCAGTAACTAACAATGGTCCAGCTGCTAGGCTAAGGTTCAAGAATGGGTTCTACCTGTAAAGTAACTTCAAGAAAACAAGGCAGAGTTCTCAATTCTTACAGCACTAGAATTGGAGTAAAAACAAATAGAACAATAAAGGATTCCAGAGCTGCAGTACAAGCTAGAGACCAGAGGACCAAGCAGATGATCATAATGTAAGACTTAAAGCCAAATCCCACATTGCTTCATAAATCTCTTAAGGCATGGTTTTGGGAACTTCATGGAGCTATATAGTAAAGCAAAACAGGTCCACTGACCTCAGTTGTTAGAAGAGGCAGATTATAATCATTTTGAGTAGGTAGGTCTAATAGTGAAGATCATTATTGTAATTGTTATGAACAAAATTGTGGTTATAGGTCTTTCTCCTAAAGCTTTTCCTACCATTTGAATCGAGAAGTCATCATTGAGCACCTTCTACGTTCAATGCATATTGCTAAGGTCCTGTAGGCACTGCAATGATGCACGAGTTTGTCAGACATATTGTAATTAGAAAATGCAGTAGTGTTTGGAAAAAAACAATGAAAGAGATAATGTAGCAGAACATCTAGCATGCTAAATTCTTCAAAATTCTTTGAAAAATTAGATATATTTTAATAAATGAAGGTGTGAAAACTCACTTTACAAAAATATTTGTATCTATGAAAAATAAAACATAATACATTTTACATAAAGCATTAATTTCTATCCATCTTTATAAGAATATGTGAATTATAAAATCTGATATGCATTTGATTTTATATTTTAGTCACACAGAAACCCAGTCTTTTAAAACCTATACACATGGAACTATATTTCAAAGAAAATGTCTGGATTTATATAATTTTTCACAATTAAAGTGATTCCAACTAATAGTACTGTTTTGATACTATTGAACAGTAGCTGCCTCTCTAAGTATTGCCTGGGCATAACACTACTATTTTGAAAATGACTAGGTCACTGCTGAAAATTGGTTGATTTATTTTTGATCAGTAGGATCTGTAATATACATTTTATCACATGCAAATCTCTTTGATTGCTTCTTTTCCAAAAGTGGTAGAGAATAACCGATTAAATAATCTGAGTATTCTTACCCCAGCTCTTCATCGTACTCCCTGACTATTTGACGCTATAGTCTCAGTCCTAAATTCCAAAAGTGCTCAGGCTTCATGTACAATAGATTCCTAAAGAAAATGGAAATTTCAGTTTCCTTATCATAGAGAAATAATACTGTGTACATACACACACATACATGTATGTATAAAGTATAAACTTTATATACATATTTGATGTATGCTTGTATAACATGTATAAATTTTACTTAGTAATGATTATACTTCTACAAAGTCAGAAGAAATATATTTGTATAAACTCAGTATAGTTATTATTTGTTAATAGGCAGATTCACTTTTTGCCCCATCATTGGAGATAAGCCTCCCTATAGAAAAGTGACTTTGCACCACCAGTGTAAACAAAGCTAATACATTTTTTCAAATGGAATTCCCTGTACCCATCAATGAGAGAATATATAGGAAATTTGTTTCATAGCTCAGGGAATTTCTGTGTCATCTTCACTTTTATGTCTCCAGATTTTTTTTATTCTGCTTTTCAGATTGCTTTGTTTATTCCTGTTAGCTTACTGCAGCTCAGTAAATGAATTTAGTTTTTCAGCTGGGCTCCAGAGATCTATTCTTATAACCTTTTCTCATCTTATCTTAATTCCTTAAGGGTTGGCTACACTTATTCATTGCCAAGGTTTTATCAGGGGATTTTCACCTTTTCTAAGGGATATCAAGATATGCAATTAATGAGATGTCGACAACAGTAATGGGAATAACTGTTATTTTATTATTCCAAGGCTTGCATGGAGATTACACTGTTTCAAATTATTATGCTGAGTATAACCTTTGAATCTAATATTTCCTTTTTATTTCACAATGTTCTTTTAGATACATAAAGTGGGTTAGTATTTTGTTCTACAGTTTTATCCATATATTCAAGCTTCAGTGGTTTATGATGATCTAACATATATTCTTTCTTTTTTCACCTAGTATCTTTCCGTTTGTTAGTTGTCTATAAATAGGTGCCTTAGAAGGTGAGCAAGATAAGGATTAGACCTGCTGCTTATCTAATGTAATTCATTGGAAACTCCGATAAGTTTTGGTGAGGGTGGAAATAATTATCCATGAAAAAGGAGATTTGAAAGTTATCAGATATCTTGGTGAGGATGCAGAGTAAAGGAAACTCTTATATACCATTGGAGGGAATGTAAGCTAGTACAGCCCCTACAGAAACAGTATGAAAATTTTGCAAAAAAATGAAACACAATTTTCATTTGATCCAGCAATTTCACTGCTAGATATCTACCCAAAGGAAAATAAATCAATATATCAGAGGTATAGCTGCATTTTCATATTTACTGCAACACTATTCACAATAGCAAAGATAAGGAACCAAACTAAGTGTCCATCAGTGGAGAAATGGATGAAGAAAACATGGTATATATACACAATGGAATACTATTCAGCTATAAAAAAGAATGACATGCTGTCATTTGAAGCAACATGGCTGGAATTAGAAATCATTATCTTATGTAAAATAAGCCAAGCAAGAAAAGTCAAATATCTTATGTTCTCACTTATATGCGGGTGCTAAAAAATTTCAACACATAGACATACGGTGTGTGAAAATAGATAACAAAGACTGGAAAGGGTGAGTTGAGATGGGGGAAATCAAGAGAAGTGGCCTAAGAGGGATAAAGGAACAAATTCACTGTTTGCTAGCAGAGTAGGAGGACTATACTTAAAACATGTGTTGTACTCAGGGGATAGGCACCCTAAATATCCCAACTTAATCACTATGCATTATATACCTATAAAAAATGTATCACATGCCCCATACATTTTCACAAATAAAAACACTTCTCAAATATACTTCCATTGACTACCTGAGCACATTTTTTCTCTCATTTGCATTGATACTTTATTTTCCTAATTGTAACTTAATTTAAATATATTCTACATTTTAAAAGTATCTTCTTTCTTACTATTTTAATAGCTACTTTAATTCTGATATGTAATACTTTTATTTGCTTGAATTCTAAATATTCACTAGCTTTCAAGAATAAAGAAAATATTAAATTTTAAATATAATTTAGATGTTATATGTATTTTCTCAAAATTGATGCTCGAATACATTAACAGGCAAAATGTAATTTTCCAGACCACTTTATAGCATAATGATTCTTCCTCTCAAAAATAAAGAAAATTACACTTGCTATATAATGTCAGAAATGTCTTTATAATATGCATTGTAAACACATACAAATCAAAAGATAGAGAAAGCAAGCTATAGACTTGAAGGAAATATTTGCAAAGAGCACATCTGATAAAGGGCAGCTGAAAAAAAAATTCAAAAAACTCACCAATAATAAGATATGCCACCCAATTTTAAAA
This sequence comes from Homo sapiens, assembly GCF_000001405.40. NCBI lineage: Eukaryota > Metazoa > Chordata > Mammalia > Primates > Hominidae > Homo > Homo sapiens. The sequence continues at coordinate 28,460,216 of NC_000014.9, forward strand.
CAGGCAAAAACTTGAGTAGAAACCACACCAAAGAAGGTATACATATAGCAAGTAAGCATATAAAAAGATGTTCAACACCATATGTCACTAGGAAATTACAAATTACAATGAAAATGAGATACCATTACATGCCTATTGGAATGGCAAGAATCCAAAACTGAAAACCTTAAATGCCGAAGTAAATGTGGAGCAACAGGAACTTTCATTCATTGCTGGTGAAAATGCAAAACAGTACAGTCACTTTGGAAGACAGTTTGAAAATTCTTTTACAAAACTGAGCAGACTCTTACTCTATGATCCAGCACTTGATATTTATTTATCTAAACTCCTTGGTGTTTATCTAAAGGCGTTGAAAACTTATATTCACACAAAAACCTGCACACACATATTTAGAGCTTGATTCAAAATTGCCAAAACTTATAAGCAACCAAGATTTCCTTCAGTAGGTGAGTGTTTAAATAAGCTGTGGTCCATTAGACAACGGGATATTACTCAGCACTATAAAGATAATGAGCTTTCAAGACTTGAGAAAATATGGAGGAGACTTAAATACATACTGCTAAGTGAAAAGAAGCCAATCTAAAAAGCCTACATATTGTATAATTCCAACTATATGACATCTGAAAAAGACAAAACTGTGGAGACAAAAGAAAGACCAGTGGTTGCATGAGTTTAACAGGGAGTGGGGGACGAATATACAGAGCACAGCGGATTTTTAGGTCAGTAAATATACTATGTATGATGATATAATGGCAGATATATGTCATTATACACTAATCAAAACTCATAGAATGTACACCAAGAGTAAACTCTACTATAAACTATGGATTTTGGAGGATAATAATGTGTCAATGTAGGTTCATTAATTGTTATAAATGTACCACTATAGCGTAGGATGTTAACAGTGGGAAGGTTATGGGTGGAGGGGATTGAAGAATATGATTAATTTTTTTGTGAACCTAAAATTTCTCCAGAAAATAAGGTTTTTAAAAAGAACCAAATGCATTTGTACTTTAAACTCCTTATCATCCTAATGTGGCAATTTTCATAAAAGCCATGGAATAAAATAACTATTAATAAACAGTACAGGTATTGTAATTAATTTAATATAAAAGAGAAAGTTTAAGATTATTTCATAAATTTTTATTTATCAACTTAAACGTCCCAGAAATACCTCTTGAGCTCTGTTATAAGTTAAATTGTGCCTTCCCTTCTCAAAAACATAAATGATACATTGAAATCTAAACCCTCAGTACCTTGCAATGTGACCTTATTTCGAAATAGGGTCTTTGCAGATGTAATTAAGATGAGGTCATACTGAAATAGGGCGAGCCTCTAATCAAATATAGCTGGTGTTATAAGGAGACAGCCAAGTGAGGAAAGTTGCACATGGGGAAAACGTCATGTGATGACGAATGCAGCGCTTAAAGTATGCATCTACAAGCCAATGAACACAAAAATTGTCAGTGAATAACCAGAAGCTAGGAAGAGGCAAGAAAGAATTCCCCTACGGGCTAGAAGTGAAAACGGGTGTGGATTCTGCCCACACCTTAATTTTAGACTTCAAACCTCCAGGACTGTGAGACAATAAATTTTTGTTGTTTAAGCCACCTAATTTGTGGTACAGTCCTGCATCACTTAATGATGGGGATACATTCTGAGAAATGCACTGTTAGACAGTTTTGTCATTGTGTGAGCACCACAGAGTGTACAGCACTTACACAAACCAAAACAGTATAGACTACTACACACCTAGGTTGTACAGTAGAACCTACTGCCCCTAGGATACAAACCTGTGCAGCATGTTCTTGCACTGAATATTAAAAGCAACTAACACAAGTCATCAGGTAATAGAAATTTTTTAGCTCCATTTTAATCTAGGGGATCACTGTCATATATGTGGTCCATTATTGACTGAAACATCTTAAGTGGAGCATGACTATACTTCATTATGGTGTGCTAGGAATCTAATACAAGCTCCCTGGGCAATTAGGAGTTTCTGTATCATATCTTTATAGTCTTGTGGATTACCTTTATTGTGACACCAGTTCATGCTGTTTACCTGTCTAACTGCCCATTATATTTTTGTTATAGTAGAATACAGAAACCACATTCTAGGAAACTATCTAGACATTCATTTATGTGTTGAATGAATGACTGAAGCATCAAAAGAAAAATAAAACAAAAGGAAAAAATCTTCTACATCCCCATAAATAATAACTGACATTTATAAAGGGCAGACTGTGAGCAAATAAATCTTCCAGAATTTTGCTTCTATTGTTTACTCAGTCTTCCAAGAATTCTGCATTTATTTCTTCTGCAAAATAAGGAGATGATTATGACTTTATTTCCAATTTTACAGATTAGGAAACTAAAGACAAGCAAGTTATGTATTTTGCAATGGTTGATCCAGTATGGCTTTTAATTCAGACAGTATAACTATAGAGCCTGAGCTCTTAAAGTCTATGTTATACAAACATAGGACTCATTTCCTTGTTTGTTTGTTTGTTTGTTTGTTTTACTATCTCCTCTGCATTAAAATGTACGTTCTTTGAGGCAGGAATTTTTATCTCATGTATTCACTGCTATATCCTTAATGTCTGTATAAGTGCTTGGCCTATAGAAGGCACTCAATAAATATTCAACAAAAGAATCAATAAATTGATACATAAACAAATAGTCTTGGAATAACTTTCTAAGAATAATCAATATAGATAAAATATTTTAGAGCTAAATATGTTTGCACAGTATCAGTACAAATGGAGGTTCTGCCATATTTCTTACTGTTCAGGATCTAGTCTGGCCAAAAGACTTGGATTCAAGTTGTGTAATGGTAATTTACTATCCACTTGACCTTTAAAAAGTTTCTAAATTTTCTGATTCTGATTGCTTCATCTCTACAAATAGAATATAAATTTCATGTGATAATAAAATTATTATATGTAAGAGCACCTGCATATTATAAAATACTATATGTGTTATTACTCAATATTTTTAAAGCATTGTCTCATAGTCATTTTATGAGCCAAATAATTTACTTAGTTCTCCTTCATGAAACTCTGTATATGGAGCACACCTTTCTCAACAGAAAATCTTGTTCTTGGGTCCTCATGATGATATTATGATGAATGGTTAATTTTAACTTATTCAGGAAGCTCAATTTCTGTGTGCAGTTCTATAGCTACAGAGTGGAATATCAGAAAGAAAATAGAAGTCACTACACATAGTAGCTGTATTAGCCCGTTCTGACACTGCTATGAAGATACTACCTGAGACTGGGTAATTTATAAAGAAAAGAGGTTTAACTGACTCACAGTTCCACATGGATGGGCAGACCTCAGGAAACTTGCAATCATGGTGGAAGGTGAAGGGGAAGAAAACCACATCTTATATGGCAACTGGCAAGAGAGAGAGAGAGAGAGCAAGGAAGTGCCACACTTTAAAACCATCAGCTCTCATGAGAACTCACTCACTATCACAAGAACAGCATGGGGGAAACTGCCCCCATGATCCAATCACCTCCCAGCAGGTCTCTCCCTAGACACATGGGGATTACAATTAAAGATGAGACTTGGGTGGGGACACAGAGCCAAACCATGTCAATAGCCATACTTTTTGTATTGTACAATAGTCTAACTTGATTTATCCTTTTTTCTTTTCTGATTAAAGGAAAACTCACACAAAAAATTAGCTCGCATGACATATCCTGGTAAATACAAACATTAGCCACTACTTTACAGATCACATTTATTGAAATTTAGGCAATAGACAGATAATGTATTTGAGAGAATTTTTTATTTTGAAGAATTTAATGTAACCAAATAAAGTATAGTTATCAAGAACATACAAATGTTAGTACATGCAATTAGTTGTATAATTGTATCCAAATTTGATCCAACATTAGAAATGATGTAATGGAGAAAAGGACTTTGGTTTTGGATCCTGGATATACTACCAAAGGCAAGTTAACTTACATATTTAAAACTTAGTATCCTAATATTCTTAGCATAAACATAAGGACACATAACTTTCAGGGGTTTTGTAAGGATTAGAAAAATATATGTAAATGAATCTACTATTCTTTAGGTAACTATTCTTTACAAGGCATTCAAATGTATTTCTTCTCATTCCCACTCATTCCTACCTCATTCTTTTAGGCTGATATTTTAAATTTCAATAATGCATGAATGGGTTAGGGTTTTTTCCCCTTTGTAAAATTTTTATAGATGTGGGAGATACAAGTGCAGTTGTGTTTCACAGATATATTGCATAATGGTGAAGTCTGGGCTTTTAGTGTACTCATCACCCCAATAGTGTACATTACACCTAATAAATAGTATTTCATTCCTCACCCCCTTCTCACTCTTCCACCTTTTAGAGTCTCCAGTGTCTATTATTCTCTGTATGTCTGTGTGTACCCATGGTTCAGGTACCATTTATGGATGAAAATGTGTAGTTTTTGAGTTTCTGTTTCTGAGTAATTTCATGTAGAATAATGCCTGCTGTGCACATTGCTGCAAAAGACATGATTTTATTGTTTTTATGGCTGAGTAGTACTCTATGGTAACTAAATACCACATTTTTAAATGTAATCATCTGTCGATGACAATTAGCTTGATTTGATAACTTTGCTATTATGAAAAGTGCTATTATAAACATGAATGCTGTTGTCTTTTTATATAATCACTTGTTTTCCTTTGGGTAAATATCCAGTAGTGACATTGCAGAATAGAATGGTACTTCTATTTTTAGTTCTTTGAGAAATCTCTATACTGTTTTCATAGAGGTTGTACTAATTTACATTCTCACCAAGAATCGCTGTAAAAGAATTCCCTTTTCTCTTTATCTTTGCCAACATCTGTCATTTTCTGAATTTTTAGTAATAGCCATTCTGATTGGTTTAAGATATTATCTTATTGTGGCTTTAATTTGCATTTCTCTGATGATTAGTGATGGTGGTTTTTTATGTTTGTTGGCCACTTGTATGTCTTATTTTGAGAAATGTCTGTACTTGTCCTTTATCCACTTTTTAATGGGGTATTTTTTTTTCTGGTTGAGTTTCCTGTAGATTCTAAATATTAGTCCTTTGTAGGATGCATAATTAGCAAATATTTTCTCCCATTCTGTAAGTTGTCTGTTTACTCCCTCTAGAGTTTCTCCTGCTGTGCATAAGCTGCTTAGTTTAATTAAGTCCCAGTTGACTATTTTTGCTTTGTTGCATTTCCTTTTGAGGTAATCATAATATTTTTGTCGAGGCCAATGTCCAAAGAGTTTTTCTTAGGTTTTCTTCTAGTATTTTTTATAGTTCCTCATCTCACATTTAAGTATTCAATCCAGCTTGTGTTAATTTGTGTGTGTGGTGAGAGATAGGGGTCCAGTTTCATTCTTTTCCATATGGCTATCCAACTTCCCCAGCACCATTTATTGAATAGGGTATCCTTTTCTCATTGTATATTTTTGTTGAGGTTATCAGAGATCAGTTGGTTGTAGGTATGTGGCTTTATTTCTGAATTCTCTGTTATGCTTCATTGATCTATGTGTCTATTTTCATACCAGCACAATGCTGTTATGGTTACTATAGCCTAGTAGTATCACTTGAAGTAGGTAATGTGATACCCACAGCTTTATTGTTTTCTTGAGGATTGCTTTGGCTATTTAGGATCTTTTCTGGGTTGTTTTTTCTAATTCTGTGAAGAATGGCATTGGTAACTTTATAGAAATTGCATTGAATCTATAGATTGCTTTGGCTAGTATGGTCATTTTAACAATGATTATTCTATCAGTCCATTAGCAGGGAATGTTTTTCATTTGTTTGTGAGATCTATAATTTCTTTAATTCGTGTTTTGGTGTTTTGTTGTTCTTGTAAAGGCCATTCTCTTCCTAGGAAAAACGTATTCCTAGGTATTTTATTCTTTTTGTGGCTATTGCAAATAAAATTGAGTTTTTGATTTGGTTCTCACTTTGAATATTACTGGTGTATAGAAATACTACATATGATTTCATTTTAATTTGGTATCCTGAAATTTTACTGAATTCATTTATTAAATATAGGAAGTTTTAGAGGAGTCTTTAGGATTTTCTTGGTATAAGATCATATCATCAGCAAAGAGAAAATTTGGCTCCCTGTTTTCCAATTTGGATGCTTTTTATTATTTTTTTCTTGCCTCGTTGCTTTGGCAAGGTCTTTCAGTACTATGTTGCATAGGAGTGGTGAAAGTGGGCATTCTTTTCTTTTTCCAGTTATTAGGAAAAATGCTTTCAATCTTTTTTCTGTTCAGTATAATGTTGGCTGTGGGTTTGTTGTGTATGCTTTTTATTGCTGTGAGGTATGTTCGTTCTATGCCTAGTTTGTTGAGGGTTTTTTGTCATGAAAAGATATTGAGTTTTATTAAATGCTTTTTCTGGATCTATTGCAATGACCATATGGTTTTTGTTTTTAATTCTGTTTATGTAATGAATCACATTTATTTTAATATGTTTAAATTTCCTTTATTCCTGAAATAAAACCCCTTTGATTGTGATGTATTATCTTTTTTATGAACTATTGGATTGGTTTGCTGATATTTTTGAGGATTTTCTTCTTAATTTTTGTCTGACGAGGTTAATTCAAAAGATCTGTCTTCCAGCTCTGATATTTTCCTTCTGCTTAGTCTATTCTATTGTTAAATATTTCAACTGTATTTCATAATTCCTTCAATAATTTTTTTATTTCAAGTAGTCTGTTTGGTGTTTTAAAAATGTGTATCTATTTAGGAAATTCTTTAGATCCTGAGTTTTTTTTTTTATTTCTTTGTTTGGTTTTCAACTTTCTCTTGGATCTCATTGAGCTCTTTTTTCATATTGCCTGAGTTCTGATGCTATTTCCTTCTCATCTGGAAAAACTGTCACTTCTTATTTTTGAATTTACTCTCATTTTGATGGTACTCCATATGTATGTTGTGTATGGTCATTTCCTTCAATTCTAGGTGCTTTCAGGGGGCCAAAGCTCTGTATGAGTTGCTTCTTTATAGATAGTGTTTGTGTGGTGGCTTTCTCAAACTCTAGTTGCAATAGTGATATACTGTGCATATCAGCAGGTTCACTGCCTGCTGTGTGACTGGGATTGTGTAGGTCTCAAGAAGCTCATCTCATTCACCAGTAATGTGCACTTGTGTCACCAAGTTTTGTATTAGGTTATGCAGTTCAACCTCCAGGCCAGCAGGTGAAATATTTTAGAGCTTTCTATGGCAGAAATGTATGGGTATGTACTTGATCTTTGTCCACTGGGAGGTGCTCTCTGTTTAAGGTGATGAGCTGGTTTGTGCAACATCTAATGCCCTGAGTTCACTGTTCAGCCTGGAAATATGGGGGAGAAAGCTATGTGGAGCTGACCTAGCAAGCTTGCCCATGAATTTCTCAGGGTTGAGTACAGGCATCAGCCCTAATGGAGGTGGCAGGGGGATCTCCTGGTGAAATGCACCAAAGTATTCACATGGGGTTAAGTGGCTGCATCATCTCCACATCCTAGGCAGGAACATGATCCATTTCCCTGTTACACCCTTGTTGCAGGGCTCATGGCTTTCAATTCAGTCAGACATTCTCAGTTGTCTCCAGGCAACCATGTAGCTGACAGGCACAAAGAACACCTGTCCCTTGGTTTTCTGTAGAAGTGGCTATCAGGAGGAGCCTCATCTCTCAATCCAATACAGACAGCTTCGCTGCATGCCTGCTCTCCAATGCTGGAACACTGCTATTCGTGTAAAGTCGGGGAGGCGCTGTACCTTTCAGTGCATGTGGGTGGGTGCCAGCTGTGGTTGTGTTGGCTGGTTGGGTTGGCTTAACTTCAGACCCTCTGGGTATTAATCAGGTGTCGGCAGTGGTGGATTGGGCTAGGCAATGCCCAATACCCTGGCCCCTAGACAGCACCCTGGATGATGTACATGAGTCTTGGAGGGAATGGATTAGGACTCGACTGGTGGCCTTTCCTCAGTTCCCCAGGACTAGTTACTGGTTGTGATAGGAAGGGATGGGATGTTCTCCAGGCCCCCAGCAGAACACTAGGGTGGGAACAGAGCAGCTGTGCTGAGGGCCTGCCCCCAGGGAAGGTTGGACCCTCTCAGCAGGAGCAACAAAGGCATGCAGCTGCAGGGTATGCAGCCTGCTCATGACTCCATCTCACAGCAGAGGTGGTGATATCATCCCTGGGGTGTGTGAAGGTGCCTGGTTTCCCAACTCCCTCCTTGATTTGGCCCCAGGGCAGAATGCAGCCCTCTGGGTGCTTGGCTCTCAGAATAGTGCCATGCCACAGCTGAAATGCTAATTCAGAGCAAGGTGACTGGTGTGGCCTTCTCACCAGGGATGACAGCACTCCCTCAGCAGAAGCAGGGAGCCACAGGGCACACAGTCTGCTTGCTCCTCCATTCTGCAGTAATGGCAGCAGTATCCATCTTTGGAGTGTGCAAAAGTGCCCAGCCCCCCTGCTTCCTCCCTGGTATAGAGGTGGCAGCAACGGTGGCAGTGCAAGGGCAGGACACAGGCTTCTGGGGACTGGGAGCTAAGAATAGCATCAGCCTGCAGCTGCTCAGGGTTCAAAAGCCTGTGGAATTCCACACGAGTTCAAGCAATGATTCAGCACAATCTCAAGGCAGTTCCTTGTTAGTCTGAAAGCCCAGGGATATCCAAGGACTCTACTGTAGTTAGGACTGTAAAAGTCCATGGCAGGAGTGTGGAGCCCCAGAGGTCTCACTCACCTGTTCCCCATGTCAGGTAGCTTCTCCCAGCTTCACACTGATCCCAGCTCAGCAGGCTACCTGGCTTCACTCTCCTTTGCATTTCATGATTCCCATTGTTTCTCTGATGAACTGCAGTGTTCTCTCTTAGACAATCTATTTGAAGTGTGAATATTTATTCCCTATTTTGATTCCTCTCTAAGGAAGAGACACCCACTAGCTGTGTCTAGTCAGTCATCTTGAACTGGAACCCTGGGTTAGTTTTTAAACACTTAGGTATTGTTTTAGTGTGAAGGAGGAATAAAATAAGATGATTTGACTGAGAACGCTTAACCTCCCCACATTCGTCTTGACTTCATCACCCTCAATTCTTATAATGTCATATTTTTCAAGTGAACTTTATAGTTACAAGTATTTTTACACATAATTATCTCATTTTAGTCTCACAGCACCATGGAATATATATATTGTCACTACTGAGATGAAGATATCAAAATTTAAAATTTTAAGAAGAGAAAGAAACTGGCAGTGAGCAGAAGGAGAAAGAGATGATGTGTACACATTGCTACTGCAGCAAAGACATGATTTATTTTAGAAGAGATAAAAGAGCATCTGCCAGCTTCTCTTTGATTTCTGCACCTCAGGTCTTTTAAACATTTGAAAGCGAAGGCTTACACAACATAAATGTTTAGCTTTCTTTCTCCTAGACGTGAGGTCGGCAATTCAGGGTTGGCATAGTGACCACGTGGGTATTCAGGGACACAGCCTGTCACTACCTTTGTGCTCTACTCTTTGTCCAAGAAAGTTCTTCCATGTCAATGCAGCATTACAGTCTTATATGACTGCTGAATTCCAGAAATCTTATCTGAATTTTGATAATAGGTGGGGAAAGAGGGTGTCAAAATAGTTCATATGTTAACTGTGTGGCATCCCTTTTAATAAGCTTTTCTTAGAGTCCACCCAACAATTTCTAGTTGTATTTTACTTTCCACCTTGATTTACAAGACAGGTTGGAAAATTGTCATTTAACTGAGCACATTGCTCCCAGAATAAAGTCAGAATCATATAACTAAGAAAGATGGTACAGTGAATCTTTTAAAAGCAACAAGACTCTGCCTCAGAGGACCAATTTTTATTTACCTGAATCCTGAGCTACTGAAGGACTTAAAATGGTGACATGGGAAACTTCTATCAAATAACAGTAAGAGAAAGTATAGTTGACAACAGCAACCCCGATCAGCCAAGTCAGGTACTTTACCTAACTGGTTCAGACTTCTCTATTACTTCTCTTCACTATTTAAGCTTATTTAATGAAATTGACAGGCAAATTTTATTAACTTCTATTTAATTAACCTTATCTGATAATTAATTAAAATGTTTCTTCCTCCATTTATAATTTAATTATAGAATTAGAACATAAAGTTCACTCTGATTTTTATTACTCCATACCGACACAATTTAGTTTATTTAAATACTTCTAATAATATACATTTGAAATTAAACTGAAACTTTTAATTATTCTAGAATTTAAATCAATGACTTAAAATTTGTTTCCTTGTTTGGTAATTGCTACGTTACTCACTAATTAGCAATCTTTAGTTGAGCAATATATTTATCTAATAATATTACTACTAATAATAATAGAAATAGTTATTATTTGCTGCTTGTATACGATTTGCCAGATGTTTTTTTATTAATCTTTACAAAAACCTTAAGAGAATACTGTTACTATCCTAATGATATAAATAAATAAACTGAAATTTGTAGAGATTAAGTGATCTATCCAAAACCACACATGCATAGTTGGGGCCAAGTTCTGAGTACAGGAGGATCCATACTTTTAAAAACCATATGATTTATCTCAAGTCCTGCTGTCATTAAATCCCTAATACAACTCTAGAACCACTATCCCTAAGTTACTCGTAACATGAAAAAAGAAATCATTATTTTCCAGGTTATATTGCTGGACATCTTGTTAATTATAGCATGCTAAACTATATACAAACATCTGTGGACAAAATTCATTTTTCACAGTAGACAGGGTAAAAGGTACAACTATAGAATGGTGTAAGGCAAACAGTTTTTGTCATAAATTTGATAAAAACTATAGAAACAGACCAGGTGTGGTAGCTCACGCCTGTAATCACAGCACTTTGGGAGGCCGAGGTGGGTGGATCTCCTGAGGTCAGGAGTTTGGGACCAGCCTGGCCAACGTATAGTGAAACCCTGTCTCTACTAAACATACACACACACACACACACACACACACACACTTAGCTGGGTGTGGTGACGCATGCCTGTTGTCCCAACTACTTGGGAAGCCTGGGCAGGAGAATCACTTGAACCCGGGAGGTGGGGGTTGCAGTGAGCCAAGATTGCCCCACTGCCTGGGCAACAGAGCAAGACTCCATCTCACAAAAAATAAATAAATAAATATTGTCAGTTTTCTAAATAATATTTACCAAGCCAAAAATGGGAATACTCTTAAACATATTTGAGCCAAGCATTTTTTATTTTTAAATTTATTCATATTAAATGTTACAAGTTTACAGTTATTACATATGCTTATCAGCATCCATCTATTTTTAATTAGAGCTTGATAGTATTAATTGAGTAGTTATAATCTTTAATTAATTTCAATATATATTGTCAGTTTTTTTACATCTTTGCTACCTTCATTCTTGAGATATTTTTTGATTGACAATCAGTAATCACAACACAAATGTCTTTGGAGCCTTTTTAAACATGTGACATCAGGATGGTAACTGAGCTGGATAGGAAAAACTTAGATCACAGTCATTTTTCACTAAAAGCATGAAAACAGTGCTTTGTGCTTTGTCTTTGTCATTTATTGTTTAAAAGGTTCTGTCTGTATTTTCTTTTCCTTGAAGTAACCTTTTTTGAATTTAAACTTTTAAAAAAGTCTTCACTTTTGATTGTGTGTGTGTGTGTATGTGTGTATTCTAATTCTTTTGATCATCTTTTAGCAGTGAAACTTGTTCAGAATCTATCTGGTCTTTGTAAGACTTGAAACACAGTTAAATGTTATTTTTATTAATTTAACTTGGTATAAAATGTACGTTCTGTGTTTTCACTTTGCTCATTATATAACAGCTAATTCTTATTATTTTATCTTCACGTATGTTATCCATGTCTACTTTCTCCACTCTATTCTTTTTTGCTATTTTTCTCCACTTTTCTGTATTCTTGAAGGATTCCCTGAGTTTATCTGTGTATTGTTAGACTGCTATTTACTACCTCAAACTTTAGCTTCTGCCTTGTTGGGTTCATTATTCTGTCCCATTATCTAACCATATTTTATTTTATTTTAGTCTATTGTTTAAGAATGGGCAGGCAACATACATAAGGGTTAAGCAGTTTCTGGAGTCATCTGTACTTACTAGTTGTATCCTAGGGCAACTTACTGAACTTGTTTGTATATCAAGTTCACATTTGTAAAACAGAAGAGCAATTTATTGAAGTATGGTTGGGGGATAAATGAGTTAACATCTGTAATGTTATTAGAAGAATGCCTGGAATAACATATTGCTATACAAATGTGTATTATTAATAGATACAATGAACCCTTATATTTGAATAAGGATATTATATTGTTCACATTTAATATTTCTTATGTGTTCTGAAATACCTACAATTGAAAAAGACTTTCTTAATAGGGCGTTTAAAAATTATGCATCTTTATCGTAAGCTGGAGAATGTTTTAATTTTGCCATGTGAGCCAAGAAATTCACCCTGGATAAGGTGAACGCTAACCAATATGAGTTTAGAAGGCATAAGAAAACCTGCTAACTTTTTTTTTGTTTCCAACTTTTATTTTACGTTCAAGAGGTACATTTGTAGGTTTGTTACATGAGTAAATTGTGTCACAGGGGCTTGGAGTACAGATTATTTCATCACCTAGGTAATAAGCATAGTACCTGACAGGTAGTTTCTTTTATCCTTACCATCCTCCCAGCCTCCACTCTCAAGTAGGCTCCAATCTCTATGCTCTTCTTTGTGTCCGAGTGTACTCAAAGTTTAGCCCTACTATTTATAAGTGAGAACATGCAGTATTTGGTTTTCTGTTCTTGCATTGATGATGGCCTCTATCTCCATCCACGTTGCTGCAAAGGACACACTTTTACTCTTTTTATGGCTGTGTAGTATTCCATGGTGTATATGTACTCCATTTTTAAAATCTAGTCCACCATTGATAGGTATTTAGGTTGGTTCCATGTCTTTGCTATTGAGAATGGTGCTGCGACGAACATATGCATGCAAGTTGCTTTATAGTAGAATGATTTATATTTCTTTGGGTATATACCCAATAATGGGATATCTGCATCAATTGGTAATTCTGTTTAAAAGTCTTTGAGATATCTCTGAACTGCTTTCCACAGTGGTTGAAATAATTTATATTCCCACCAAGAGTGTATAAGTGTTACCTTTTCTCTGCAAACTTGCTGGCATCTTTATTCTTTGACTTTTTAATTATAGCCATTCTGACTGGTGGGAGACGGTATCTCATGGTTTTGATTCAGATTTCTGTAATGATTAATGATATTGTGCATTTTTTCATATGCTTGTTGGCTGCATATATGTCTTCTTTTGAAAAGTGTCTATTCATGTCCTTTGCCCATTTTTAATGAAGTTGTTTGGGTTTTGCCTGTTAATTTAAGTTCCTTATAGATTTTGAATATTAGACTGTTGTCTGGTGCATAGTTTGCAAATATTTACCTCCCATTCCATAGATTGTCTATTCTGTCAATAGTTTCCTTTGCTGTGCCGAAGCTCTTTAGTTTAATTAGGTCCCATTTGTCAATTTTTGTTTGTGTTACAATTGCTTTTTGAGTCTTCATCATGCAATCTTTATCAGGACCTATATCCAGAAAGGGATTTCTTAGGTTTTCTTTCAGAGTTTTTATAACTTTAAGTCTTATAATTAAGTCTTTAATCTACCTTGAGTTGATTTTTGCATGTGGTAAAATGAAGGGGTCCAGCTTCAATCTTCTGCATGACTAGCCAGTTACCCTAGCACCATATATTGAATAGGGAATCCTTTCCCCATCTCTTGTTTTTGTCAACCTTGTTGAACATCAGATGGTTGTAGGTGTGCAGTTTTATTTCTGGTCCATCTAGCCTATTCCCTTGGTCTGTGTGTCTGTTTTTGTACCAGTATCATGCTGGGTTTTTTGGGGTTTTTTTGTTTTGTTTTTTTTTTTACTGTGGCCTTGTAGTTTGAAGTTGGGTGGCGTAATACCTCAGGTTTTGTTGTTTTTGCTTAGGATTGTTTTAGTTATTTGGGTTTTTTTTTTTTTTTGGTTGCATATGAATTGCAGACTAGTTTTCTCTAATTCTGTGAAAAATGTCATTGGTAGTTTGATAGGAGTAGCATTGAATATTTAAATTGCTTTGGGCAGTATGGTCATTTTTACAATACTCATTCTTCCTATCCATGAATGAATGGAATGGTTTTTCTTTGTTTCACATCTGATTTATTTAGCAGTGTTTTTTAATTCTTGTTGTAGAGATGTAGAGATCTTTCACCTCTCTGGTTAGCTGTATTCCTAGGTATTTTGTGTGTGTGGCTACTGTGAACTGGAGTGTATTCCTGAATTGGCTTTCAATGTGGATCTTATAGGTGTGTAGAAATGCTACTGATTTTTGTACACTGACTTCATATCGTAAAACCTTGCTGAAGTTGTCTGTCACATCTAAGAGGTTTTGAGCAGAGACTGTAGGATTTTTGAAGTATGAAATAATATTGTCTATAAAGAGAGATAAGTTGACTTCCTCTCTTCCTATTTGGGTGCCTTTTCTTTCCTTCTCTTGCCTGATTACTCTGGCTAGGACTTCCAGTACTATTTTGAATAAGAGTGGTGAGAGCGGACATCCTTGTCTTATTCCCTCCCTCAAGGGGAATGCTGGCAGCTTTTGCCTTTTCCCAAGATTAAGAAACCCAGAGACACTTCCACAGAAGAAAGAAATCTCAGAGTTTTAACTCAGGCCTCACAATATTCATTCTTCTTTTGAAATATTCTTGATGAACTCTGCCTTCATATGCCTACTACATGTCAAATGTTGTTCTAACCGCTGATGTCCCTCTTTCTTGAAGCCTAAACATTTAAGTTTGGAGATACAGATAATGACAATAACAATAGCACAGTTTCATCAATGATAAGTGCTTCAAATATATAACACCAAGCCAAACATGAGGCTGTGCATCTGTGGTCCCACCTTCTTGGGAGGCCGAGACAGGAAGATCATGTGAGCTCAAGCATTCAAGGCCAGCCTGGGCAACATAGGGAGTCCCCATCTCAAAAAACAAACAACTGATATCTACATATATATTTGTATCTATCGATATATATATCTAGATATATCTGTGTGTGTGTGTGTGTGCGTATATATATATATATTTATGTCGATATCTATAGGTATTGCTAGATATAGATATAACCAGAGAATTACTCTGGGGGAGGGGATGAGTACTTTAGAAAAGAAGATGAAATAAAATGTTTTGAAGAATCATCAGTTGAGCTGAGACCTAAATAACAAGAAATAGTAAAATCATGGAACCATCTTAAGGCCTTTCATTGTCTGACATCAGAATAAGTCTGTTGGGCTCAAAAAAGCAAGAGAAGCCTGTAGGGATATAGATATAATCAAGGGAGAGAGGCTTGGGATGAGGTCAAAGAAGATGTTGGAAGGAAGCAATCATGTAGCAATGTGTAAAGACAAAATATATATATTTTATTTAAAAGCTTATGGGAAGTTTGAAGCAGGAGTATGATATGATATAGTCATTATTTTTATTGTTTAGAAATTTGATTATAGGGAGAAGCATGTGTCTGGTAGCACACGGTGCCACCCCAAAATATGCCCCTTTGAGCTGAAGCAATTGAGAAAAAGCAAAAATAGGAAAAGCTCTCTATCCTCCTCCATTTGCCTAAAAGTTGGATAAAAGTTTGAAATGCTTTCCTCCGTATTAGGAAAGACAAAAAATAATTGCCAGAGATAGATTTGGCACTTATCTAACTCAAAATAATTTACCAACTAGACTTTGTCTACTGTTAAATTCCTAGATATTTGCCTTCCTACAATTTATTGTCCTAAAAAATCTCAAAGTTCTTTCTCTTTGCTTTGTCACTTCTCTAAAAATTGTTTTTGTTTTGTTTTGTTTTGTTTGTTTTTTGTTTTTTTTTAGTAAAATGCTATATAAGCCCTTGTGCTAACTCTTTAAGTTACTTATTTCTAAATGCTCCCGTGTGTAAAGGCAATACGCATACTCATAAATTTTTGCTTTTTTTTTCTTGTTAATTTTTCTTTCATCAGTCCAATTCACAGGACCCCAGCAAGATAACCTGTGATGACAGTAGGAAAAATAATAATTTTTTTTTCTTTTTTTGAGATGGAGTCTTGCTCTGTCCCCCAGGCTGGAGTGCAGTGGCGCGATCTCGGCTCACTGCAAGCTCTGCCTCCCAGGTTCACTCCATTCTCCTGCCTCAGCCTCCCCAGTAGCTGGGACTACAGGCGCCGCCACCATGCCCGGCTAATTTTTTGTATTTTTTTTTTTTAGTAGAGACGGGGTTTGACCGTGTTAGCCAGTATGGTCTCCATCTCTTGACCTCGTGATACGCCTGCCTTGGCTTCCCAAGAAAAAGAAGAATTTTTTTTCTCCACTACCTGCAGAAGCATGGAAAGCCATTAAGAAGAATATTGCAGGCGTTGAAATGAGAGAGTATGGTAATGTCGATTAGTGATGACTGTAAAAATGTTGAACTGTGAGGAAGAAGCAAGCCTATAGGAACTCAAACAGACTACAACGGGAAGTGAGAGAAAGACAGGAGGCCCGGGTGACTTACATATAAACACACATAATGCACACACACAAATATGTACATGTGTATGCATGTACGTATAAATGTATCCATGTGTACATACATATTTCTTATTATTAGATATTCAAGCTCCTTTATAAAAAATTGTGATCAAGCTTTATATTCAACAGTACAATCAGCTTTTATTTTTCTGCTTTTCCAATTGTTTGAAGAACTTCCTAAATAAGAATTAAAATTGTAATAGAAGCTTTGAAGGTTATATTGTGAATGCATTTTTAGGACATTAAAATATTCTAAAATATAATCGTTTCCATGTAACCTATCATTTTAGCATTTGAAAGTAGTCTAATTTATTCAATTCCTTTCTAAACACATAAATTGTTGCCAGTTTTTGCTGTTTCAAGCAATAATGCAAAACATTCTTGTACTTAATTTGCGAATATCTCTGATTAAATCATTGAAGAAAGGTGTGGATTCTTCAATGTATTAAGACTTTTAATACATTCTGACCAATTGTTTTCCAAATAGGTTTTGTCAATTAACTCTTGTACTGAGAATATTTATATATTTATTTACTTACTTTATGTTCTGGGATACAAGTGCAGAAGGTGCAGGTTTGTTACATAGGCATACATGTGACATGGTGGTTTGCTGCACCCGTCAACTCGTCATCTAGGTTTTAAGCCCCACATGCAATAGGTGTTTGTCCTAATGTTATCCCTCCCCTTGATCCCCACCCACCCCACCCACTGACAGGCCCCAGTATGTGGTGTTCCCCTCCCTGTGTCCACGTGTTCTCATTGTTCAACTCCCACTTATAAGTGAGAACATGTGGTGTTTGGTTTTCTGTTCTTGTGTTAGTTTGCTGAGGATGATGGCTTCCAGTTTCATCCATGTTCCTGCAAAGAACATGAACTCATTCTTTTTTATGGCTGCATAGTATTCCATGGTGTATATGTGCCACATTTTCTTTATCCAGTCTATCACTGATGGGCATTTGGGTTGGTTCCAAGTGCACTAAGAATATTTAAAGTGACATATTCCTTGAACATTTGACAAACTCAGAAATATCATTTTCTAATCTTTTCCAATGTAACTGATGAAAATTGCGTATCACTTTACAATTTTAATATAGTTAATCAATAGTCATGTTGAGTGTTTTTATTTCTTTAATGACTATTTTTATTTTTTGTTTATGAACTTTGTATTTTGTTACTCAGATGCTCTAACATATTTTACCCTGGGTCATATATGTTTCAGGCATTTCCTCAGTTGGTATGTCTTGTAATATGAAAATATTTTCACATATAAAAATTGTCTATTTCATACTATCATGAATGGGGACTAACTTTACCACATATTAAAACATTACAAAGTCTCTATAACTAAAATGACATGGTACAAACTCATGAAAATACAGATAAGTAGAAGAGAATGTAAGGCCAGAGATAGATACAAGAACATACAAAACTTTAGTACATTAAATGTGGCATGTTAAATTATTGTTATAAAGGTGACATTTTAGGAAAGTATTCTAAGACAATAAATTAAAAGATAAAAATAAATAAAATATTAAAACTATTTTAAAAAAATAAAATTAGATCCTTGCTTTACATCAACATGTAAATCAGAATTCTAAATGTAAAGAAAAAAATTATACCATATAACTAGAAGAAAACAACATAGGCACATTCCTCTTTAACCTGGACACTAGACATGGAGAATATCTTTCTATTTGCAATTAAAATTCCAGATACAAAAAAATGACAAATTTATTTAAACATTTTTAAAATTTGTAAAGCAAGAAAAAAACACAGACAAAGCCAAAACGACTAAAAAAAAGAGGAGAGATGATATATATAACAAATAAAGCTTGGCTATTCCTAATATATGAAAATCTCTTAAAAATTGAGGGAACTATCTAAAAGAAAAATAGAATGGTCAAATGACATGAACAGACAATTCACAAAACATATATAAAAATGACACTTCAATCCATGAAATTATGCTCAATTTTAATCATAATAAAAGAAATGCAAACAAAAATTACATTGTTGCTAATTTTCACCTATTGGGTTAGAAAAAATTAAGTATAACAACACAAAATATTGGTGAGGCTTTGGGGAAATGGATACCTTCATATATTGTGATGAAAATGCAAACCAATGCAACACTTATGGAGGAAGTTTTGATAATATCTAATCAAACTATGAATATATTAATCTTTGAAACAGCAATTCCACTTCTAAAAATTTACACTGAAGGGAAACACCACCAATGAAATTAAAGTGTATATGTACTTTGCTGAGAGGAGCTCTCTGAACCTTTTCTGATTCCAAGTGCTGCCCGATTTATGAATTTTTCTTTGCTCAAATGAACTCTTAAATTTATTTTGTATAAAGTTTTTTTTCTAACATAGGCAAGCCAAAACAGGTGTCAGCTGAGAGGCAGAAGATCATGAGTCTTGATTTAAAGTACTGAATTTGAAATAATAGTTAAGCAAGTAGAAACACCTAGTTATCCTCAGGGATGTGATATCATCTCTCAGAAAGGAAGAAAATTGTAGATGCAGATTGGAGAGTATCTGCACAGAGGTAGTGACTGAAGCTGTGGAAATAAATAAGATCCCTAAGAGGAGAAAAGAGAAATGATCAGAGAAAAAAGACAGCATTTAAAAAAATACTCTGCCTCTTTCAGTTCTATCATGTTGTGTGTGTTCATACATATCTAAGAGCAAATAAGGGAGTAAACCTGGCAGAAGTTAGCCATTTAAAAATTCATGTTTCTAGCTTCTGCTTATGCCATAGCTACCACCGGAATGATGTTCTTCATAGTAAGGACAAGACAAGGTATGCTAATGGATTTTTCTTAGTAATTTCAATATGAGTAAGTTATGTTTCAGAATCTTTTTTATTCAAGATATTTCTATTTCGCACACCTTCTTTAAAGTCCATTTCTCTATGATAGAAACCTGTAAAGTGGGAACTATATTGGTGTACACAATTTCATAGTTACCCATTTTTACTCATCTCAAAATTAAAGAGAGTTTTTTTTGTCTGTTACTTTTTTTTGTCTATTCAAGTGAATTAAAATAAGAACTCATTATTGGAATAAATTTCATAACTTTTTCTTAGCTTAACTTCTTCAATTGCTTAGAAAAATTGTTAACAATCCCTTCTCAGGTTTATGACTTTAAGTAATACTTGTGTCTTGATTTCTCAAGAATGATAGTGTTGGAAGGAATCAATACAGATAATCTGGTCTATAGCCTGTCTTCTAAAGTGAAATCTCTCAGACAGTAAGCATTTATTGTGTGGATTTCAAATTTGAAAGTACCTCAGATCCATTTGAGAGCCCCTAAAAATAGAGATTCTGGCCCCTTTCTCCTTAACCCTGAGTCAGAATCCTGGATTAAGGCAGTAATCTGCATTTATCACAACCACCCCAGTTGATGCTAATGCATATGGTGAACCACAATCTATTAAACTCATTCATTGAGTCTTCAGGTTGCCTAGCAAGGTGTTCAATGATGTAATTAAAAACCTAAAGAGATGATTTTGTTTAGTCAAGAATTCTGAAAAGATATTCTGCTTAATTTGGACAGAACAGACTTAGGTCAGATTAAAGTACAATGTTGAGTACTTTTTATACACTGACAAAGTAGAGGCTATCATCCTGATATGCATTTTGTTCAAGATAGATTCTAAGTTACCTTCACCTTCGTAGAACTCCTCAGTCTAATTTTTTCATATAACTCATTTCTCAACTATTTAATACATTTCTTAAGTTTTTTACTTTCACCATCATATATATATGTGTGTTTGTATGTGTATAGTATTGAGAGTAACAGTAACAGATTATGATCAATATTCATAAGCTTATCATGTATTACCAAAGATTTAGGCTTTGTTAACATTTTAAGTCTTCTCTAGTTTCAAAATATTCAATAATTAAAGTAAGTAGGTTGGAAAAAAAGAGATTATCAGTCTTCTAGAAGATTTTTCCTTAAGGCTTTTGAAAATTCTTTTTAGAAATCTATCCTTTCAAAATCATATCTCTTACAATGAAAACCAAACTGAAATAGTCTCTGGCAGCTCTCTGAAGTTGAAAGCAACTACGTGAGGAGAAGTGTGATTTAGGAGAGTCAGAGAAAGTTGTATTTGACATAACCTAGATTCATTAAGAGATGCTCGGAGTGGGTAAAGAAAATTGCCATTTGAAATTTGAAAACAAAAATACATTGACTTAAAGCTAAGTTATTGAAAAATCTCATTCACAAATTTCACTCCAAATTGAAGCATGCCAGCAGATTTCTAGTAGACGTGAATCATACATTGTAACAATAGACAGTTGTGCTTGACTTTTTTCAGAGCAATATGCATTCTGAAAAACCCAATACAATTGGAGGTGCACATAATGCTGTTAAGAACAATTCACTTGAGCCTAAGCTCAATTTAGAGATTTTGAATATTTACACAGAAATCTCATCCTAGAGTCCCTTCTTACTTTGCTTCCAGAAGCTTCTGTGGATGTTTATAAGAACAGTATACTTCTGGCCAAGCACGGTGGCTCACGCCTGTAATCCCAGCACTTTGGGAGGTGGAGGCGGGCAGATCACCTGAGGTCAGGAGTTCGAGACCAGCCTGATCAACATGGCAAAACCCCATCTCTACTAAAAATTAAAAAAAAATTAGCCAGCCGTGGTGGCCAGTGCCTGTAATCCCAGCTACTCCGGAGGCCGAGGCAGGAGAATTTCTTGAACCCAGGAGGCGGAGGCTGCAGTGAGCCAAGATCACAACATTGCACTCCAGCCTGGGCAACAAGAGTGAAACCCCGTCTCAAAAAAAAAAAAAAAAAAAAATCAGTATACTTCCGAGAAATGCCTAGATTACATGCACAAGGGATGATGAAATCAAATCACCTGTCTATGACATCTTATTTTTAATTTATTATCCAGTGTTGTCATGGAAATGTATAGCCAAGTGAAACAGGGAAATTAACTACAGAAATTTTCCAGGTATTATTTCTTTGGATTCTTAGAGCATTCCACTTATCTGATAAACATCTTTTTCATAAGAATACAGGGAAAACCTGACCTTTACCAATGAAACCTAATTAGAATTTGTATTTCAAGATGTAATTGAAGGATATCCAACAGGATCCGTGATGATAAACCTTAAATGTATATTCTGTAGGGATAGCATATTATTTTGGAACTTTACATTTCATGCAGCTAGAAAATGTTGGGGTAAATAAAAATGAAGAATGTATGTTAATCTTTAAGTATAATATATAATTTTCATTTTAAGATTGCTTTAAAAGTATTTGCCTGATTTTTATAGTAAAATGCAAGTTTATATATAATCCAAGATCTGGTTAAAAATCTGCAAAATGCATTTTAGATATAAAATCATTGAACTAATTATATGGCATAAGGTTAATAATTCTCACAACGGAAAATACAATTTTTCTCCTGACGATGTACTCTGTTTCCTTGATAGAAGTCTTAGTGTTGTGTTCAGGTCTCTCCTATTCTCTGTCATAAACCTACATAAAAATCTGGACCAACAAACTGGCTCTTGTTCATATGGTCCTGCCTTGCAGCTATGCACTCTAATTAGCCAAGGTCATTTAAATACATTTTGCATGAAGCATCTAAAGCTCAATGTGCCATTTTGTGTATTTATCAAATTACTAATCAATATGCTACACCACAGTTACCACCAGCCTCTCAGATACCAGAGAATGCCACATGAATTAAAATTGTCCAAGCTGTCATCTGCATAAACAAAATTCGTGTATGCCATTATTTCTTACAGTACAGAGCAATGGAATGTTTTCTAAATAAAAAGAATCACCATCCGTGTATTACTTAAGCCTAAAATGCTTTATTTTAAACTTTAACAAACCTCGTATTCAACTGGCTTCGATTTCACTTTCTTTCTCCAACATATTACCTCCACTCCGTTGGTAAAGTAATTTATTCCATCCTCTGTGGAGAGCCAGGATCTTATTTGCCAGCATATTTATCTTTCCTGCCACTGCACTGTCATTCATCTGCAATCTCCACAGAGGAGCAGACCTGTGCTGAATTGCAATTAGGATTGATTCAACTAAATCCAGGCCACAGGACTGATGCTGACAGGGTGACCTCAAGAGAATTTAAGATGCTGGGTTAGAAAACACACACAGACGCACACACAGAGAAAAGGGAGTGTGTAAGTCCGCAATTCATTAAGTTATTCACGTACTTATTATGATTTGGACCAGAATATACATTTTTTCCATTTTTTTTGTACTACAGTAAAAAAATAAATGTTTTGTGAGCAAATTTGAAAATGTTTAAAAAAATTCCATGCAAATCTCTATGTTGAGGTTTAAACAGTTTGTAAAGACAGAAACATGATTTCCCCTGAGGTTGTCTGTCTTAAGCTTCCTCTTTCCTCTGTGTAGAAAGGAAGTTGAATCCAAAGCAATCCAGATAAAGTTGCTGTGCTCTCACATCTTTGTTGCGACAGATCTTCAGCAGTTCCATCATAATCACCAAAAGAGTATCACCTGTGTGTCAGTTAAATGGTCTAATAGAATTTCCTAAATAATTCTTGGTTCAGTGGGACAGTTTTGTGATTTCAAAAGACAGTAGCCACAAGCCCAAGCAATAACCTAAGAGTTTTTCTGACCTATTGTATATAACATGTCATATCAATCCTGAATTTCTGCACTTCACATTAGGCTTCATCTATTATAAATGGCCTGTCCTCATCCTTGTTACATAGTAGAAGAGAGGAAAGTTTGCCATTGGGGAATGAGTCAAACTTACTCTGTAAAGTAAAAAGGAAATTGGAAATGGGTAATAACAGCAGCTGAGTAATCTTCTCTAAGTAGATTTTCTTTACGTTTTTCTCTCGGGAGACAGAATTTTGCTCTCCCAAAGGGGTAATGTTGGATGGGTAAGAACAATTTGATTTAATCTAATAAGGGAAATGAGAACATCACAGAAAGCAAAATTCAATAAAGGAAAATCAAACTGAGCAAAGGAGAGGATTACGTATTTTGGTGAATAGAATAGGGGATGAGGTGTCAAAACTCCCTCATTCTTTTTCCTGCTTAACCAAATCACTTCATGCAAAAAGAGCAACAAAAAAAGAAAGCTCTCCTCCTCCCCCACAACATAGTGACAGTCTGTCAAAAAGTGTCACAATGGGCATTAAGGCTTTAAGGTTTTTTCAAACTTTTTTCATTTGTTTGTTTTTCTTTTTGAGATGGAGTCTTGCTCTGTCGCCCAGGCTCGAGTGCAGTGGCGCGATCTGGGCTCACTGCAACCTCTGCCCCCTGAGTTCAGGCAATTCCAGTGCCTCAACCTCCCTAGTAGCTGGGATTACAGACATGCACCAGTATGCCCGGCTAATTTTTGTATTTTTAGTAGAGACGGGGTTTCACCGTATTGGCCAGGCTGCTCTCAAACTCCTGTCCTCAAGTGATCCACCTGCCTCGGCCTCCCAAAGTGCTGGGATTACAGGTATGAGCCACCATGCCTGGCTTAAGTTTTATTTTTAAATGTGCACTGCCATTAATTTTATGAAGAAAAGAATAATGAGTTCTATTCTTCCCACATGAAGACCACATTTTTCCCTGTAGTTGAAATAATCTGTACTAAGCAATATACCCCATCTTTCCATCCTGGGTTAAGAAAACCACTGAGATGGCAGCTGACATTTTGCACAGAATTTTCAGAATTGTTTATAAGAATTCAAAGAGAAGTTTTCATCCAATTGCTCTGAAACTCTTTCAGTGTGGGTTTACTGATACCTTAGTTTTCATACTTTTAGTAAAAGGCAGACTCTACAACAAATGTCTCTCATATCTGCAACAGTATTATACATACAAACACTCGTTGGAGAATAATGAATTAGATTGCTTTTTATATAAATTGAAAAGTGACCGGGTGCGGTGGCTCACACCTGTAATCCCAGCACTTTGGGAGGCCGAGGTGGGTGGATCACAAGGTCAAGAGATGGAGACTATCCTGGCCAACATGGTGAAACCCTATCTAAAAATGCAAAAGTTAGCTATGCGTGGTGGCTCTCGCCTGTAGTCCCAGCTACTCGGGAGGCTGAAGCAGGAGAATCACTTGAAACCAGGAGGCAGAGGTTGCAGTGAGCTGAGATCCCACCCCTGCACTCCAGCCTGGTGACAGAGCAAGACTCCATCAAAAAAAAAAAGAAAAGAAAGAAAAGCATGGTACTTGTTACCGTCATACTGCCTTCCATATTTTTCCAACATCAACCAGAAAAATTGCCTAGTAAATACGCAAAAAAAAATTTCATATAACTGCTTCCTTGATAGCTAAAGTAGCAAGAAGAGAAGGAAAATATGAAGTATTGAAAAGTGTTGTAAGAATTCATAAAAGCAGTTGAAGAGGTATTATGACCCTACTTACAAAAGGTAATTATTTCCTGTTTATGTTTATAACTATTAAACTGCTTTTATAAAGTATTGAGACGCTCCACTGGAAATGAAATTACAGAGCAGTTATGACTCAGGAAGTTAAAATGATTAGCAAGGAACAAAGAAAAAAAAATACTCCATGTAATATTTATGGCAGTGGGGGTACTACACAAAATGTGATTCTCAGCTTTGCACCATACAAGCTAAGTTTTATAACTATGAGATGATTTAGGATCTAAGTAAGTGAGTCACACTAACCAAACTGCCAAAACATTGATTTACTCTCCTAAACACTAATTTTTAAAGTAGAGAATATATACATAGTTAACAAAATGCATCAATTTGTTTTTTGTAACACTATCATCTCAAAACTAAGATACTTGCAAAACTTGAACTTAGAATGATAAAGCAGTTTGTGTGCATGAGAAAAGAACAAAGGTAGTCTGACAGTTTTGCCTGCTGTTCAATCTCATCTATGGCAAAGCCTGAAGAATTTTTAATGGTAGTGTTGATCAGATATAGAAGCTAAATAAATCTGAAAAGTACTTACTATCTATCTCCAATATTTCTTATTATTTTAAAAATCTATCATTAGAACACTTCCATCTACTGGACATGTTTTCATTATAGATTTTTTTTTATTAATTACACTCCAATAATTACTTTTCTTTTTATAGGCATTTTTAAAGTTCCTTATGAGATTAAATAAGGGACTCTGATCTAATCCAATCACAATTGTTAATTACTTTATGGTCTTTTTATGCTTCACAAGTTTTTCATAGATGGTTAATCTTATCCACTTTATGTTAAGTGTTTTTATTTTTAACTTCTGATATACCTTTTTAATTGTGAGGTGTTCACCCTGTTAAACCTACAGACCCCTAGCACTGACTGACAGAAAATACTATGTGTATGAATAGAAAACTCCACTTAAAAATTCTTATGCATCAATGATTTTTAAATAGCATTTATTATTTTATTATTGACTATAAAAGGGACTCATGATGTATAAGTTGAGACATTTTTAACTGCGGATTACAGAAAATCCAACATAAATTGGCTTATTTAATAAGGCCAATTCTATATAACAAAAAACCCAGAACAATACCATGCCAGAGCTGGTTTATTCTCTGACTCAGTGACATCATAATGAACCTATATGTTTACAATCTTTTAATTAAACCAACCTCAACACGTAATTCTGTGTCATGATGGTAAGATGGTTATAGCCAGTCTTGGAACTGTATGTAATATATCAATACCCCACCATGAAAAAGGTCTATTCCTTTTTGTTTGTTATTTTATAATAGCAAGAATATTGTTCCAAGAGGCCTCCCTGACATATTTCTCTCATATCTCATTGACTATTACTGTATATCATGCCCATATCTAAATCCAGCACTAGAAAGGAAAATGAACTTTTAGTAATTATTTTAGACAGACTAATAATTTCCGAAATTTACCATGCATCAGTCAAAATTGTTAAAACACAGATCACAATTCCCAGAAAAAAAGCATTACATTCAATAGGTCTTTCATGTGGTGAGATAATTCACATTTTCATAAGTCTACAGGTGATACTAATATTGTTGCTCATAGAAAAACATTTGAGAACCACTGGTTTAGTGTATATACTGATTAGTCCTCTTATACAACCAGGGAATATATTTTACATCAGAAGAATCAAATTCAGGGACCATTATGATGACATATACACAAAAGTTAAGTTATATTAAGAAACTTAAAAACAAATTTGACCCAAGATTCACACATGTAGAAATATTTTTGTTATGAGAGATTACAGCAATTGATTGAATGTAGATTAAGAAAAAAACGTTGTATTTTGAGCTTGTGCTCAATCTCAAGCTGGGCCCTTTTGACACCTAGGAAATGTTATATATATATATATATATATATATATATATATATATATATATATATAATATATATATATAATATATAGTGTATATATATTATAAATATAGATATATAATCTAAATCATTTTAAAGCTTCGAGTATTTTTTCTAGTTTACCAAAAGAGAAGAATCTATTGAAGACCAATAATTTGTCAGGGAGAAATAATCTTAGTGGACCATGGATAGGATTTGCAATGTAAATGAGATAAAGGTATAGGGAAAAAATTGAATTGAGTTTTCCCTGAACTCTACAAAATAGATACAGATACCCAGGTAGCCCCTAAACCCCCGGACTTGGATTGGCAGAGCTTGGAATAGAACCAGCGTACAATGCTTCTCAAACTTGAGTGTGCTTGTGCAGCAATGGCGGATGTTGCTACAATTCAGGTTACAATTTAGGATCTCTGAAGCAAGATGGGGGATTCTGTGTTTCTAACAAGTTCCCAGATGTTGTCAATGTTGCTAGAACCAGAGCTCATTTGGAGCAGCAAGGTTATATAATCAGTTTCAAATGTAAGTCTAGGTAGACCTTGTTACAATTGGCTGGCCACATAAGAATTACCTAGGAAACTTGTAAAACAGCAATGAAGAACTAGTAAATTGCTTTAAGGAAGGAACTGAAGAATGGATTAAGGAGAATATGATAGGTAGCACGGAGAGAAGTAAAGAGAATATCTCAATAGTCCATGAAAAAGCTGATGAAATTCTGAACAAACCACGAAGTTGAAGAGGAAGAAACATTTTTCAAGAGATATTTATGATATAGAAAATAAAAATTGGTAAATATAATTTATTGCGTGTATGCACAAGGAAAACACAAACAGATCTGACTAGGAATAAATGGGCTGATAAATTAGTATTCACAAAAATAAGGTACAAAGATGGGGGAAAAGTTTAGAGCAAATTAGAGTTCAGCTGCAAACATATTGAATATTTGAAGCTTGAAACATACATATACTCAGGAGAGAATTGCAGGGCAGTGTCTGAAGCAAGGCTGAGATCAAGATTTTGAAAGTATCTGTCTGCAAGTGATAGTTGAAACTATTGTGTTAAGATTGCCCAAGCAAGAAAAAAAGAGAAAAGAGATAAGAAGAAAATTATGATCAATACTAACATTCAAGGAACCCATTGAGGAAAATAATCTGACAAAAGAGAATGAGAAAAATGTGATCAAAGAAGTGGTGAATATTGAAATGCAAGGATGGCAATTATTTCAAAGAGGGCTCAGAGGTCAAATAGATAGGAACTGATTATAACTCACTGTGTAAGATTATAAAAAAAAATCACCGGTGACCTTGGCAGTGGGGGGAAAAATAGAATAAGAAAGATAGAGAATTTAAGCTTTTTTAAAAAGGGATATTAGTGTGAATATGAAAAAAATATAGTGAGGACTATCTACACAAGGTATTGTGGCATCCACCGAGAAAAGCAATATGTGGTGGGAACCTAACAGATAAACTCAAGGGAAATATTTAACCTAGTTCAAATTCCCAGGAGCAAAGAATTTTGCTAACAGTTCCACATTATCAGAGCACTTGGATTTACATTGGAAAGTGTGTCAAATAGAATATTAAAAAAAAAAACTAAAACTGCTAAGAAGATGTTTGATAAGCCCACTGAGCTAAGACCTTTCATGAATAAAGTCTGAAACAAGCAGCAAAAGCAGGAGACACAGTGACTCAATTAAAAAGATATTGTGAAATAGTAACAGCCTCAGGAAAGTGTCAGATTGGTTTGGATTTCATATCAAAGAGAGACAGAGACAGAGGAATACTCCACCCTGAATATGAGACAATGGGTCTAAGTAACTGCCCCATGAATTTGATTTAGAGGTGGAGAAACACTTTAACTGATGTAAGGGACAGCTGAGCACTTGCCATAAATGTGGTTCAAGAACTCCACAGAAGGTAATGTGTAGTTAGAAACAGCTCCAATGTTCAGGATATTGACAGAGTAATGTCATTCTGTTATCAGGAAGAGGACAAGAAAGGACATATTAGTATTAATTGCCCATGAACAAGAAGATATTAACAGGAGACAAATAGAGCCAAACCAACCTCAAAGACCCAGAATTAAAATTTAAAGTGGAAAATCTGGACTTTTAACATTTGGTGCAGGGAAATACAGGTAAGTGGGAGTAGGAGAGAAGACTAAGAGGAATAGAAGACAGTAAAATTGAGCTTCCACAGAAAATAATGTTGGGATTCAGAGACTGGAGCAAAGGAAAACTGAAATTAGCACAGAATAACCCAACACAGAGTCTGAGCCTGCTTGAGAAAATATAATTATACTCCATGCTTCCAAATAATAGTTTTTGTTTTGGAAAAACATCTAAAGGAATTAATGAGGGAGAAGAAAAGCAGAGAATTATAAATTCCCCAGAAATTTTACAAAAGTAGGGGGAAAATGGAAGTAGAAAATAGCAGAGCAGACCAGGCACAGTGGCTTGTGCCTGTAATCCGAACCCTTTAGAAGGCCGAGATGGACGTATCACTTGAGCCCAGGAGTTTGAGACCAGCTTGTCCAACATGAGGAAACCTCATCGCTACAATAATTTTTAAAATTCACTGGGCGGGAGGCTGAGGTGGGAGGATCACCTGAGCCCGGGAAGGTGGAAGCTGTAGTGAGCTGTGGTGATCACACCATTGCATTGCATCCAACCTAGGCGACAGAGTGTGTCCTTGTCCGCCCCCGTCCCTGCCCCCCAAAAAAAAGAAAATAGCAAAGCACGCTTCCCCTCTTCCCTTTTGTGGCCATCACCAAAGCAGAAGCAGTCAAAATGAAGGTCAATCCCTTTGTGACTTCTGACCAAAGCAAGAACTGCAAAAGATGTTTCAATGCCCCTTCCCACATTCTCAGGAAGAGTATGTCTTCCCCCCGTTTCCAAAGTGCTGAGACAGAAGTTGAAGGTTAGATCTATGTCCATCCAAAAGAATGATGGAGTTCATGTTGTGTGAGGACACTAACAGGTCAGCAAAGCAGTCTAGATTTACAGGAAGAAGTATGTCATCTTCACTGAATGAATGCAGCAGGAAAAGGTAATGGCACAACTGCTCATATGGGCATTCACCCCAGCAAGGTGGTTATCGCTAGGCTAAAACTGGGCCAAGACGGCAAAAGGATCCTTGAATGAAAAGCCAAATTCACCAAGTAAGAAAGAAAAAGGGCAAATAAAAAAAAGTAAATAAATAAATAAATAAGAAAAAAAGAAACTGAGAAGATGCTGGAATAAAGTAATCCCATGTACAACTTTCATTAAAAACTTCCTAAAATGAAAAGCAAAAGAAAGAAAATCACAGTGTGATGGAAGTAAAAGAGTTAAAGAAAAGATCACCTAAACCCACAAAGAGATCCTGCAAATCATAAAAGAGGTACATAAAATCAGTTAAATACAAAGAAGCCTGGAGAAACTGCTTGCATAATTAAAGGAAGAACTGAAGAAAAGAAAAAAATGGATGGAATTAAGTCTATTGTTGTCATGAACCACTGCAATATGATTGAATGCACAAGTAAATTTGTTTTGCTTCTATGGTATCTGTCTTCAGAAAGAATTGTAAATGAGTTACATTAAAATGGCATTTTTATTTTTTAAAATATACAGTGAAAATCAAAGGAGATAATGCAAGCAAACGTGTTTTGATGAAGTTAAGTACTCTATGTGGAAGGTGTTATTATTATTATCTTTATCTTGTGATTCCAGTGCTGATTTTCAATGTTTATACCCTTGCTCCATAGCTAAGCAATTTTAATTCATTCTATGCCTAAGATGTCATTATCTTGTAGCTAATATTCTACCAAGTTCTAAATATATTTTAGCTAAGTGTTTACCTTCTGTCAACTAATTTTCAATGCTATCAAGAAAATCCATCAGTTTCTTAATGGAAAAAATCAATTTTTCCAGTTTAACTTATTTTTGATTAAAAGAAAACTAATTTCCCATGTACTCTTTTTTAAAGGACATGCTTATTTCTTAAATATTTGTGTTTCTACCTCAAAAAGAAAAAGAGGCTATATACAAAGGCATTATTTTAGTAGACTTAAAAATGCAAGTAAAATGAAGTGGTATTCTGCATTTTAGAATTTCGTGTTATAGATAAATTCCTACTAAAACATAACTGCCTGAGCCCTAGATTACTTGAGGCCAAGAGTAAGACCAGCCTGAGCAATAGCCCAACTTCATCTATATAAAATATTTTAAAAATAGTCAGGTGTGGC
Organism: Homo sapiens; assembly: GCF_000001405.40. NCBI lineage: Eukaryota > Metazoa > Chordata > Mammalia > Primates > Hominidae > Homo > Homo sapiens. Next base: position 28,491,346 of record NC_000014.9, read on the forward strand.
GGTGCATGCCTGCAATCCTAGCTACTCAGGAGCCTGAGACAGGAGGATGGTTTGAGCCAAGAGTTCAAGGCTGCAGTGAGCCGTGATTGTGTCATTGCACTCCAGCCTGAGTGACAGAGCAAGACCCTTTCTGTAAATAATTAAAATAATTAAAAATAATTAAATAATTAAAAAGAGATAGCTGAATTCTGTGTGGCCTTCATCCCATTCACAAAGGAGGAGTCCTCATTACCTAATCACTTCCTAAAATGCCTCACTTCTTAGCTTAACCACAATGGGGATTAAGCTTCAACATAAATTTCAGAGGGGACACCATCATTCAAACCGTAGCATTCTGCTCCTGCCCCCTTCCCAAAATTCATGTCCTTCTCACATACAAAATAGTTTCATTCCATCCCAATAGCCCCAAAAGTCTTAACTCATTCCAGAATCAACTTTAACGTCTAAGTCCAAAGATTCATCTAAATATTGCCTAAATTAGATATGGATTAGACTCAAAGTATGATTCATCCTGAGGCAAATTTCTCTCCATCTGCAAGTGAAATCAGTTTATATACTTCCAAATAAAATGATAGGACAGTCATAGGACAGACATTACCATTCCAACAGGAGGAAGTAGGAAAGAAGAAAGAGGCAACAGATTCCAACAAAATCTAAATCCCTATAGGGCAAACATTTAATCTTGAAGCTTAAGAATAATCTTTGACTCCATGTGCTGTCTTCTGTACAAACTGCTGGAGTAGGAGTAGAGTGCCCAAGGCTCAGCAAGAGCCTGCCACCATGGCTCTGCTGGGCTCGGCTCCCACAACAGCTTTCTTAATTTGGAGTCAAATGCCTGCAGCTCTCCCTGGCTGATATGACACTCTGGTGTCTCTATAGTTCTTGGGTCTTGGAGATGGGCCCTCTCTCATGGCTCCACTAAACACTGCCACAGTAAGGACTTTCTGCAGTGGCCGTACCTCGGTTGCTCCACTAAACATTGCCCTTATGGTAATCTCTGTGCTGGCTCCCACTCTGTGGTATTTTTCTGCCTGGGCCCTGAGGCATCCTTTGAAATCTCAGTGAAGATTGCCATGCCTCCACAGCTTGTGCACTCTGTGTACCTGCAGATTTAGAACCACATGGATGCCACGAAGTTGTATGGCTTGTGCCTTCTGGAGTGGTAGTCCATGCCACACCTGGGCCCACTTGAGCCACAGCTGAAGTAGCCAAGGAGCACTGTACTAGAATGCAGTAAGCAGAGACTTGAGACGACCCTGGGCAGTCAAGGAAGGAGACCTAAGGATGTAATTAAAAGGACTCACTTCTTAATACCACCACAATGGGGATTAAGTTCCAACACCATCATTCAAACAATGGCAGTTACGTTCAAGATAAATCTGGAAACTTAATTTTGTTTAAGTGTGATGAAATCATTCTGGTAAAATTTTAAAATAATCTCCTGATACACACAGACGCACACACACACACAGCATTTCATTTTTCAATGCATTTTAATTTATTTGTATTAAATATTTTTCTTAGTATTATCTCTCCTTATGACAAATTATTCATATTACTATGTATGAGAAACTCAACTCTTAAAAAAGTGAGGCTCAACGGGTATAGAACTGAAACTCAAGCCTCTACTTTAGGAAAAAGGGCCAAAAGAGCCAACTTGCTAAATTTCCTTTATAATATACGTATGACAATGAAACTATCACCCTAAAACTGGAAAACCTGAGAAAGGACTCTGCTACTATAAACATGTGAGATTACTAAGGTCATTTTAAGGTAATTAGAAAATGAGCTCATTCAGTGATCATACGTTACTTCTCAAACAAATGTTGCATATAGGACAAAGGTAGATGATTTGTTTTATGAGATATATTAAAATGAATATACTACCAATTTTATGACACTTTCCCCACAACTGTTTGGAAATATTAATAATAGATCTAATGGCTATTTGAAATTCCTTCAGAACAATCTAAATTTTTTGAAAGTATTCTCATTAAATTCATTATATTTCATTGTGACCAAGAGGGATTTATTCTAGATATGTAAGGCTGGTTCAACATCGGAAAAAAAAAATCAAAATAAGTCACCATATCTCCAAGCTAAAATGTAAAAATATGCCCATAAAATTTACTCAGAGAAAGCATTTGATGAAATATGACACCCATTTTTCAGCAAGTGGGGAATAGAAAGGAATTATCTCAATTTCATGGAGTGTCTACATAAGCCTGTATCTAACATCATACTAATGATAAAAGACTGAATACTTTCCCTTTCAAACAAGGAATAAGTCAAGAATGTCTGTTTTTTCTATTGAACAGACATTCAGACAGAATTTCCAGTGAGTTCAATAAGGCAAGAAAAGCAAACAAACAAAAAGAGATATCGTTTATAAAGGAAGAAATAAATCTGCACTACTTGAAGATGGCGTGATCATTTACATAGAAAATTCCAAGGGATTTAAAAAAACAAACAAACTAAATCTTTTAGACCAAATAAGTGAGTCTAGCAATGTCATAGAATCAACACACAAAAATCAATAACATTTATATAGACTAACAATAAACACGTAGAAACTTAAAAATGCAACGCCATTTACAGTTGCTCCACAAATAAATTCCTAAAGAAATCTATATTAGTCAGGATTCTCTGGAGAAACAGAAATAATGTATACATATGTATAAGATGATTTTTTATGGGAATTGGTTTACACAGTTGTGAAAAATGAGAAGTCTCAAAATGTGCTGTCTGCAAGCAGGAGAACCAGGAAAGAAGGTGGTAAAATTTAGTCTGAGTCTGAAGGACTGAAAATCAGTGGAGCCAAGGGTGTCATTCCAACTCTGAGGCTGAGAGCTTGGGTTTGGTAGTGGTGACACTGGTGAAAATCATGGAGTCCAAAGAGTGAACAACCAGGGGCTCCAACCAGGAACCTGTTGGAGGCAGGAGAAAATGTATGTCCCAACTCAAGAAAAGTAAGCAAATTTGCCCTTCCTCCACCTTTTTGTTCTATTTAGGCCCTCAAGGGACTGGATGATGCCTCACCTCGGTGAGTAATCTTCTTTACTCAGTTAACTGATTCAAATACTAATCTCTTCTGGAAACACCCTGACAGACGCATCTAGAAACAATGTTTTGCCAGCTATTTGACCATCCCTTAACCCCATCAAGGTGACACATAACAATTATCACAGGTCTATGTGTGGGATATGTAAGTTTAAAATTACAAAATACTGATTGATAAAATTTTAAATTACCTAAATGAATATGGAAATGCATAATGTTTATAGATTGGAAAACTGAACAGAATAAAGAGATAATCTCTTCCCTGATTGGTGTATAGGCTTTAAACAATTTCTACCAAAATCCCGGCAAGATTTTTGTAGACATAGACAAGTTTCTTCTAAATTTTATATTGAAAGGTACAGGCCCTAGACCAGGTAAAATAATCTTAACAAAGAAGAGTAAAAAGGGAACATTTACTTCACTTGATATAAGGCCTACTATATATCCAAAATAATCAAAATAGTGCAATAATGGCAGAGGGCTAGACACGTAGGTCAATAGGACAGAATAGAGAACCTAGAAATAGACCCACAAAGCTGTGCCCAACTGAATTTTGACAAAGGGGCAAAAGATATTCAGTAGAAAAATGACAGCCCTTTCAACAAGTGGTGATGGAGAAATTAAACATCCACAAGAAAAAATATTAACATTGACCTAACTAAAAATGATCACCAATTTAAATACAAAATGTGAACTCATAAAATGTTTAGAAAAAATATAGGAGAAAATTTGAGGGTATAGGGTTAGCCAAATAACTCTTAGACATGACACCAAAAACACACCCCATTAAAGAAAAAATTAACAATTTGGATCTCATCAATATTTTTAAGAACTTTTAATACATAAAATCACATGTGAAGAAAATGAAGTCAAGGTATGGAATGAGAGAAAATATTTGCAAATCACATAATCAGCAATGAACTAGTATACAAAATATGATTTAAAGCTTTTAAAACTCAACAGTTAAAAAATTTAGTAAGAAAATGAATAAAAATATTGAGACAGTTTACCAAACAGGTTACAGAGATGGCAAATAAGCACATGAAAAAATGCTCAACATAAAAAATGCAAATAAAAATCACAATGACAAATCACTACACACCTATCAAATGACTAAAATTTTAAAAAAATAGTGAAAACACCAAATGTTCGCAAAAATTCTGAGAAATTGCACCATTCTTACATTGCTGGAAATATAAAATGATACAGCCACTCTGGAAAACAATTTTAACAGTCTTATAAAAGTAAATATGCAATTGCTGTATGGCAATTGTACTCATGGGCATTTATCACAGAGAAAAAATTATGTTCATCCAAAAGCTTGTAAACAAATATAGCACTTTTATTCATAATAGTGAGAACACAGATAGTTAAACACTGAAAATAGCACAGATACTCTTCAACATGTTAACATGTGAACAACACATGACCGGTGTACCAAACTGTTATCTACATGCCATTGATTACTATTCAGCAATAAAAAGAAGCTCTATTAATACCTGCAGCAACTTTAAAGGATTTTCAGGGAATTATGCTAGGTGAAAAGAGTCAATCCTAAAAGGTTGCCTAGTGTATGACTTCATTTATATAATGCTTTGAGATAAAATTTTATTTATTTGTTTGTTTATTTTATTTATTTATTTTTAAGACAGAGTCTTGCTCTCTCACCCAGGCTGGAGTGCAGTGGCACCATCTCGGCTCACTGCAACCTCCATCTCCCAGGTTCAAGTAATTCTCGTGCCTCAGTCTCCTGAGTAGCTAAGATTACAGACCATGTGCCATCACACCAAGCTATTTTTTTGTAGAGACAGGGTTTTGCCATGTTGGCCAGGCTGGTCTTGAACTCCTGGCCTCAAGAGATCCGCCTGTCTCCATCTCCCAAAGTGCTGGGATTACAGGCTTTTGCCTGGCAAGATAAAATTTTATAAATGGAAAACAGAGTAGTGGTTGTATGGAGTTAGACAACCTGGTAAGTGGTGGTGTGCAGGAGGGAGGTGGGTGTGATAATCAAAGAGTAAAACTATGTGAGGTGATATGGTTTGGATCCCCAAATATGAAATTTCATGTTCAATTGTAATCCTCAGTTTTGGAGGTGGGGCCTGGAAAGAGGTGATTGGATCATGGAGGTGGATTTTTCCCTCTGTATTGTGTCGCAATGGTGAGTGAGTTCTCACATGATCCTGTTGCTTAAAAGTGTATAGCACCTCCTTCCTCTCTCCCTTCCTCCTGCTCCAGCCATGTGAAGTGCTGGCTTCCCCTTCACCTTCCACTATGATTGAAAGTTTCCTGAGGCCTCCGCAGAAGCCAAGCACATGCCAGCCTCATGTTTCCTGTACAGCCTGCAGAACTATGAGCCAATTAAACCTCTTTTCCTTATAAATTACCATCTCAGGTAGTTCCTTATAGCAGTGCAAAAACGGACTAACGCATGAAGGATCCTTGTGGTGAGAGAACTGTTCAATATTTTTATTGGGGTGGTGGATACACAATCTACACCTGTGAAAAAATTATATAGAGCTAAACATACATACTCACAGTCACAAACAAGTATAGGAAGAACAAAGGAAATTTGAATAGGATCATTAGCTTGTATCAGTGTGAATATCTTGGTGTGATATTGTGCTATAGTTTTGAAAAATGTTACCATTGTGGAACACTGATAAAGGAAAAATAGGATATCTCTGTTACTTGCATGTGAATCTAAAATTATCTCAACAAAATCTTCAATTAAAAAACTATTATATTAGAAAAAAGAAAATTTATATTTAGGGCAAAAGCTCAATAATTTTTTAATCATATTGCCATTTTTCCACTGTTGATAAAATATTTTCTTATTGTGTCTTAATTTGCAAAAAAAGTTTAATATTGGGTAATTTTGTCTTGGAGAAAATCATTTATTTACAGGTACATATGCAGCCACTGTGTTAGATATAAAACCCTTAAAACAATATTTACAATCATGGCAATATGACCTACTACACTGACTGTAAGTTACAATTTCAGTCACCTATCACCAAAACCTATATATTATTATTTATTGGGCACTAACTTATTCAGTGTTTTACAGACATTTTAAACCATTTCACCTGAAGAAAATCTTTCCTAAAAGACCATGTAGTATAAAGTCAGACTGTGAACTGGTACATCAAACAGCCTGTTCTGACAAATGAAATTGCTAAGCATTGTAGTAAGTATATAAATGAGCTGGAGCCTTGTTGAAGGCTGTACAATCAATCTCACTTTGAAATGAATGGGTTATCTTGATAATAGTTTTGTTTGTGTGTTTGATACTCAGCTGAATCTGTTAGTATAAGTAAAACTTGGAAGTAGACACCAAATCTCTTTTTTTTTCCTTGAAAATCAAACATCTTGTTGATGAACTGGCTTTCAGAACTAAATTTAATTTATTTAGTTTATTAGCATCAAACTTATAACTCATAGGAAGAAAAAACAAAAAAAAAGTCAAGACTGCTTACTTCAGTTAAGGTTAAATTATATATAGGCAAAGCATCTACAGTGTGGGCTATGCAGGCATAATGCAGACTCTATTTATCTCCAAAATCTCCTTCTTTCTCCCCTACAGTAAACTCTAAGACCTTTTTACCAAATGTTAGTGGAAAGGAATATCAAATCATCAACAACTTTTAGTTCTCTGTGTCACTGCTGTACCTTTATCATTATTCTAGTAATAAGTACACTAGTGGGGAAATCTACATTCATAATGAATGATATAGTTTCTATATTGGGGAATGTGGGCAAAGAATACAGTGAGCCAATTAACCTATTTCTATTAGTCCACTTTCATGCTGCTTATAAAAACATACTTGAGACTGGGAAGAAAAGGAGATTGAATTGGACTTACAGTTCTACATGGTGGGGAGGCCTCAGAATCATGGTGGGAAGCAAAAAGTACTTCTTACATGGCAGTGGCAAGAGAAAATGAGGAAGATGCAAAAGCAGAAGTCTCTGATAAAACCATCAGATCTCATGAGACTTATTTACCACCACGAGAACAGTATGGGGAAACTGCCCCCATGATTCAAATTATCTCCCACCAGGTCTCTCCCACAACAGGTGGGAATTATGGGAGTACAATTCAAGATGAGATTTGGGTAGGGACACAGAGCCAAACCATATCGATTCTCCCCTGGCCCCTCCAAACCTCGTGTCCTCACATTTCAAAACCAATCGTGCCTTCCCAACAGTCCCCCAAAGTCTTAACTCATTTCCACATTAACCCAAAAGTCCACATTCCAAAGTCTCATCTGAGACAAGGCAAGTCCCTTCTGCCTATGAGCCTGTAAAATCAAAAGCAACCTAGTTATTTCCTAGATACAATGGGGGTACAGGTATTGGGTAAATATAGCTGTTCCAAATGGGATAAATTGGCCAAAACAAAGGGGTTACAGGGGCCATGTGAGTCCAAAGTCTAGCAGGGCAGTAAATTCTAAAGCTCCAAAATGATCTCCTTTGACTCCATGCCTCATATCCAGGACAAGCTGATGCAAGAGGTAGGTTCCCAAAGTCTTCGGCAGCTGTGCCTCTGTGGTTTTGCAAAGTATAGCCCCCCTCCTGGCTGCTTTCACAGGTGGGCGTTGAGTGTCTGCAGATTTTCCAGGCCCACCGTGCAAGCTGTTGGTGGATCTACTATTCAGGTGTCTGGAGGATGGAGGCCCTCTTCTCACAGCTCCGCTAGGCAGTGTCCCAGAAGGGACTCTGTGCGGGGGCTCTGACTGCACATTTCCCTTCCACACTGTGCTAGCAGAGGTTCTCCATGAGGGCTCTGCCTCTGCAGCAAACTTTTGCCTGGGCATCCAGGCATTTCCACACATCTTATGAAATCTAGGTGGGAGCTCCCAAACCTCAATTCTTGACTTCTGTGCACCTGCAGGTTCAACACCACATGGAAGCTGCCAAGGTTTGGGGCTTGCACCCTCTGAAACCACATGCCAAGTTGTACCTTGGCTCCTTTTAGCAATAGCTGCAGCAGCTGAGATGTAGGGCACCAAGTCCCTAGGCTGCACACAGCATGGGGACCCTGGGCCCAGCCCAGGAAACCATTTTTTCCCTCCTAGACTTCCAGATTGGTGATGGGAGGTACTGCCATGAAGACCTCTGACATGCCCTGAAGACATTTTCCCCATTGCCTTGGTGATTAACATTTGGCTCCTCGTTACTTATGCAAATTTCGGCAGCTGGTTTGAATTTTACCTCAGAAAATAGGATTTTCTTTTCTATCACATTGTCAGACTGCAAATTTTCCAAACTTTTATGCTGTTTCTGTTTTAAAACTGAATGCCTTTTACAGCACCCAAGTCATATCTTGAATGTTTTGCTGCCTAGAAATTTCTTCTCCCAGATACCCCAAATCATCTCTCTCAGGTTTAAAGTTCCACAAATCTCTAGGGCAGGGGCAAAATGCCACCAGTTTTTTTGCTAAAACATAACAAAATCACCTTTGCTCCATTTCCCAACACATTCCTCATCTTTATCTGAGACCACCTCAGCCTGGACTTATTGTCCATATTGCTAACAGGGTTTTGGTCAAAGCCATTCACTAAGTCTCTAGGAAGTACCAAAATTTCCCACATTTTCCTGTCTTCTTCTGAGCCCTCCAAACTGTTCCGACCTCTGCCTGTTCCCCAGTTCCTAAGTCACTTCCACATTTTCTAGTATCTTCTCAACAATGCCCCACTCTACTGGTACCAATTTACTGTATTAGTCTGTTTTCATGCTGCTGATATAAACATATCTGAGACTGTGAAGAAAAATAGATTTAATTGTACTTAAAGTTCCACATGGCTGGGAAGCCTCAGAATCATGGTGGGAGGCAAAAGGCACTTCTTACATGACAGCAGCAAGATAAAATGAGGAAGATACAAAAGCAGAAACCCCTGTTAAAACCATCAGATCTCATGAGACTTATTCACTGCCATTAGAACAGAATAGGGAAAACCGCCCTCATGATTTAAATGATCTCCCACCAGTTCCCTCCCATAACAGGTGGGAATTATGAGAGTACAATTCAAGATGAGATTTGGGTAGGGACACAGAGCCAAACCGTATCATTGTTAAAGGGAAAAATCTTAGCTAAAATTAAAGCAATCCTAGCTAAACTTTCTAAAAATCTACAACCAAAGGCACAGATTTGTGCCACAAACTTCAAGAAAGAGAAAATGAGTATTAATAGCTTCAAACCAGTTGGAGAAACTAAGCAGATAATACGAATTCAAAAATATTTTTAATTAGATAATGCAGGACTAAAGTAATAATAATGAATTAATTAATTAAACCATACTGTAAGTGGCTTAACATTTCATAGAAAGTTTTTATTTTTCCCCCACTTTGGCTAATTGGATCATTTCCACATGAATGAAACACATGCTAAATTATTTATAGATAATTACATGGCTGTCCTCTTACTAAAATATTAAGACACAGTTGTCCCACAGGAAACATTGCAACTGACACAGGGACATCACAAAATGAATAGCTGAGGAAGTAATGAAGAGAAGTTATAAGAAAAGCCCACAAAACTAGAGATATGTTTATTAAAATTAATTTATTTTTTAGAATACTACAGGTACTTTTAAAAACTGTTTTCATCCTCTAACCTTTCTCTTTCAAGAAAAATGGCTCGTCAGCTTTTTAAATTAGCTTTATGTAAAAATTTCTATTAGAAATTAGACAAGAAATATATTTTGATTAAATTTATAAGCAGTATTCTACTCCTCAATGATCATGACTATAGAAAAGAGGGGCACCATGATCTGTAGTATAACTGAAGTAAGCCAGCTTTTTATTTAATTATAACATGATTAATATCTAAATAAAGTGCTTCAGGTCACACTAGTTGACACAGGAGCTGAGTATTTTCACCTAAGACTAATCACAAATGAGAATTTTCGGTACTGCTCTCTTCAGGCACTGTGGGCACAAATTAAGCAAACTTTTGCACAGTTAATCTGCAGTTGCCAATTCACTTGATGACATTTTGGCTAAAGAAATTGCCCATTAAGTCACACATGTGACCTAAGTAACATCCTCCTCTCAAATATTAAGTTACTATGGGCCAAATAAAATGTATTTAATTACATGTGTTCAACCTATTCTTTTTATCCTCTACTGCCGACTAATAAAAATCATTCTGGCTTTTGTCTCTGCACTTCACTCCATGCCTCCATCATTTAGGAAAAGTTCTGGGCCAACCAGTCTAGTTAAGGAGTTTGTGTGATCTAGAATCAATAGAATGGAGAAAGATAGATATCAATAGATAGAGATACACAATGGATATCTCTCTATCAATAGATAGAGATACACAATCATCTAAACTGGGATATAGAATATTTTTTCATAGATATGGAGAGAAATGTGTCCCCAGAATAAGAAATAAAGAACTATAGAAAGAACAAAAGTGGAGAAAAAGAGGAAAAAAGCCTTAAATATAAATTTTGGGGGGATTTTTAAGGGTTTTTTTTGTATGACATTCATTATTAATTTGAGAACATAGCTTGAACAGAGAAACTTTAGTAAATCTGCAAGATAAGAAAGATACTAAGGAGTAGGTGGAGAAAACTTACTTTAAGAAATAATACTATGAATTAAGCTTAGGATTATTTTAAGTAATTTTTCAGACATACCAATTAAAGATTACAATGTTTTTTATGTACTTTGAGGCCCATTGCATAGGTTCCCAGGCTGTCACCTGAAATTCCAAATAATTTCTGTAGATAATCTACCTTTAAGGAGGTAGAGCAGAGCCTCTATTCTTTTTCTTATTATTTTTTGAGAGAGGGTCTTGCTCTGTCATCCAGGCTGAAGTAAAGTGGCACAACTCAGCTCATTGCAGCCTGAACCTCCCAATCTCAAGCAATCCTCCCACCTCAGCCTACTGAGTAGCTGGGTCTACAGACGTTTGCCACCATGCCTGACTAATTTGTTTTTATTTTTTGTAGAGAAGGTGTTTCGCCATGTTGCCCAGGCTGGTCTCAAATTCCTGGGCCAAGCAATTCACCTGCCTCAGCCTCCCAAAGTGTTGGGATTAAGGCATGAGCCACCACTAAGAGCCTCTGTTCTTTAAGTGAGAGCTACACAGAGTAATTTCCTTCTAAAGAGTACAGGATGGAAAAAAATAAGTTTACTGAGGAGAAATCTGAAAAACTAATTCAGCCATGTGATCAAAGTCAGTATTAGCAGTCACAAGTCATGTTGATAGTATAGATCCTTGGCATGACTTGAAGAAAATGATATTTTATTTCTGTGATCTTCCTTTTTGAAGAACATAACCACAGCCTAATCATGAGAAAAACAGCAGACAAGCCCCAACTTCTACAAAGCATGACTAGTACTTCTCGGCACTTTCAAGGTCATTAAAAGTAAGGAAAGTCTGAAAAACTGTTGTAGCCAAGAAGCATCTAAGGAGATATAATAACTAAGTGCAATGAAGTGTTGTAGATGGAATCCTACACAGACAAAAAAGATATGTTAACGATTAAGAAAAGCCGAATAAAGTGGGGGCTTTAGTTAATAATATATTAATATTGGTTTAATTATAATAAATTAGCATATAATGTAAGAAATTAACAGTAGGAGCAACCGGGTTAAAAGTATATGGCAACTCTTTGTACTATCTTCACAATTTTTCTTTCAATATAAACTGTCCCAAAATTGTTTACTTAAAGTGTTACATTACAAAACTTTAACGTATTTTCTGTTCTTGTCAAAAAGGGACTAACTTAATTAATATGACTCAGTACTGTCCATATTTTTCTTTTGTATTTATCTGTAACAAAGACGTAAACTTTAAGGCACAACTTTTCTCTTGCCCCTACGTTAAAACAGGCCTGAAAATACATGCCAACACATAAGGATGGAGAAGTAGAAAGATGAGAACATGGATTCTTGATGGCATTGTTAATGCTGCCTTTTAAAATTTCTGAGCTGCTTAACATCAGACTTCTTACTGCAGGAAATAAATAAGTGCTCATTTTTTTAGTTTTCTAATACACTGAGGAACCAACAAGAGTGCCCCACAGGAAGAAAGGTCAAAAATGTTGCTTCTACCATAAACATCATATTACAACAATACCAGCATTGCTTTGCCTTTCTTCCACATTATGCCCTTTTGTAGAATCTTCAATGCAGCAGTTAGCTAGTGCAGAGGAAACGGATTTAGGTGTGGGAAAGCAGCTGATCCTGCCTTCTAAGCTTCTCTGAAGGCATCCAAGGCTTCAGCAAATCTGTGTTAGGGAAAAGGAAGAAGATATATTTGGTTAAGTTTTCAAAATTGATGTTATAACATACGGTCTGGAGCTATATTATACTGGACTAGACTTTTGTCATCTCAAAGTAGACTTTATTTTATCTCAAAGGCATAAGAAATTTATAAGGTTTTCCCAAATTTTAAACCAAGAGGAAAAGAATAATAAGTTTCAGGAGAGGAATTGAAGGGACAATGAAAATCCAGTTAAAGTCATTCATTTCTTCACTACCAAGTCCGGCACATTGAATAAATCAGTTTCATAGGTTTTTACAAAATTTAAGAAGATCCCTGGTCTCCAGTAATTTGTGCTTTTCAACCAACAAAAGCTCTTAAAAAACAATAAGAGCTTATCTATTTTGCACACAAGGGAGAAGACATATTTCAACAACAATAACTGCAACAATAACAAAAGGTCTTGATGCATTAGCATAAAGTCAAAATTTAAAATACTAAAAATATAACTGTCTGCGCTTCAGGACTAAAATGTAAACCATAAAAACCCTTTCATTTATTCTTGAATGATTTTTCTTTTGTCAATACCTTTTCATCTTCTTTTTCCACATCTTTTAAAATTATTGTTCATGTTTTCTTGGTTTAAATTATCTAAATATAGATAAAGGCTATATTTCTCTAATAAGGTGAGAGATAGGTTAATAACATTACATGAATCATCCTTCAATATGATAGCAAGAAAGAGTAAATAAGTTGGCAAAGTAGCTATGATACAAACCAATTAGAAACACTTGCCATGTTTTATTAAATCTGAAATCAAACTGAAGTTGTTAAAACAAAGTATAGTATAGAATATTTTAATAAAATACAAAGTATATAGTACTAACATATAAATTGCTAATAAGAAAATTAAAGTTAGTTAATGAAAACACTACCTCAGAGCTACATTATATACTATATGCGCAAAAGTAATAAAATCATGGAAATTTTAATATTCAAGAATGTGTTAGAATGAACATTTAAAGAAACACTGAAGAAACATTAAGTTTCTTGAATATGGTTTTGAAGATATGAAAGGTTTGTTGTATTATAAATAAACATATAAGTGCACAGGCCACAGTTGAGTAAAATTGCTGAGGCAATATAAAAATCGAGAATTCCACAAGCAAACATAAAAAAAAGTGTTAAAGATTAAATGTGCATTACAAGAATTCCATAAGCAAACACAATACAGCACAACAAATGTAATAATTATGTTTCCTTATACCAAGAAGTAACTTATACCTTTATAGCACTTTCTACCAGTATTGACCATGTTACTTAATAAGGTTAAAGTTTTCTTGATTTTCTGGAGAAGCCACATTTACAAAGTTACTCCAGTGATTTTTAACATATGAATTCTCTGTACAATGCTAAAAAGTGGTTATCAAATCTTGCACATAGTTATTCTTTTCTACATGAGCCAAGAAACATCATTATTACTTCTTAACTAAGATTTATATGCCTCAAACTCCTACTCTGTTATAGAAACATCCACAAGTTTGGCATTGCATTCAGAAGTGTTTAATTCCTTCAAGTTTTTGAATATTGAGAAATGAAGCTGTCACTAATATTTGGCATATATACCATTCTCCACAGTTCTTATAAGTTACCAACAACTGTCTATTGATTTCACCTGGAAGATCTCCATCTCTTATGCTGTGAACAAGATGACAATCCATAGTTACTTTACCTAACCAGAGCTTCTACTCTATTTGACCAATATTTTGTTATTTCTTCCCAATCTCCCTTGCAGAAAAGAGTAAGATAAAATGAACTTTTAAAATCTCTAACATCCATTAATATTTTTCCATTAGTCCCAAGTCTCCGGCTCCTCTTGCTCTAAATTTAGATTTAAAATATCATGGCTGCTCCTAAGCATTTTTGATGCATGTGCTTCTTATCTGGGCATTAGCCTTCCTGACATTATTCTTACAAGTCTGTGAAACATTTTATACACCTTGCTTTCTGTCTGTCATTATCTGTCTGTCCCCTCCTGTGTACTTTTGCTTTTTATATTTATATTAAAAAGTTTATATAAAAAACTAATTTATTATAACTACTTTATATAAACTATTAGTTTATATAAAAAAACTAATTTACACTCCCACCAACAGTGTAAAAGCGTTCCTATTTCTCCACATCCTCTCCAGCATCTGCTGTTTCCTCACCATTTTAATGATCACCATTCTAACTGGCGTGAGATGTTATCTCCTTGTCGTTTTGATTTGCATTTCTTTGATGCCCAGTGATGATGAGCTTTTTTTCATACGTTTGTTGGCTGCATAAATGTCTTCTTTTGAGAAGTGTCTGTTCATATCCTTCACCCACTTTTTTATGGGGTTGTTTTATCTTATAAATTTGTTTAAATTCTTCGTAGATTCTGTATATTAGCCCTTTGTCAGACGGATAGATTGCAACATTTTTCTCCCATTATGTAGATTGCCTGTTCAATCTGATGATACTTTCTTTTGCTGTGCAGAAGCTGTTTAGTTTAATTAGATCCTATTTGTTAATTCTGGCTTTTGTTGCAGTTGCTTTTGGTGTTTTAATCATGAAGTCTTTGCCCTTGCCTATGTCCTTAATGATATTGCCTAGATTTTCTTCTAGGTTTTTTATGGTTTTAGGTCTTATGTTTAAGTCTTTCATCTTGAGTTAATTTTTGTATGAGGTGTAAGGAAGGAATCCAGCTTTAGCTTTCTGCATATGGCTACCAGTTTTCCCAACACCATTTATTAAATAGGGAATCCTTTGTTCATTGCTTGTTTTTGTCAGGTTTGTCAAAGATCAGATGGTTGTAAAGGTGTAGTGTTAATTCTGAGGCCTCTGTTCTGTTCCATTGGTCTATATATTTGTTTTGGTACGAGTACCATGCAGTTTTGGTTACTGTAGCCTTGCAGTATAATTTGATGTCTGGTAGTGTGATGCCTCCAGCTTTGTTCTTTTTGTTTAGAATTGTCTTGGCTATGTGGGCTCTTTTTTCATTCCATATAAAGTTTAAAGTAGTTTTTTCCAGTTCTGTGAAGAAAGTCAATGGTAGCTTGACGGGGATGGCATTGAATCTGTAAGTTGCTTTGGGCAGTACAGTCATTTTCACTATATTGATTCTTCCTATCCATGAGCATGGAATATTCTTCCATTTGTTTGTGCCCTCTCTTATTTCCTTGATCAGTGGTTTGTAGTTCTGCTTGAAGAGGTCCTTCACATCCCTTGTAAGTTGTATTCCTAGGTATTTTATTCTCTTTGTAGCAACTGTGAATGGGAGTTCACTCATAATTTGGCTTTCTGTTTTTCTGTTATTTGTATATAGGAATGCTTGTGATTTTTGCACATTGATTTTGTATCCTGAGACTTTCCTGAAGTTGTTTATCAGCTTAAGGAGATTTGGAGCTGAGACGATGGGGTTTTCTAAATACACAATCATGTCATCTGCAAACAGCGATGATTTGACTTCCTCTTTTCCTAATTGAATACGCTTTATGTCTTTATCTTGCCTTATTGCCTTGGCCAGAACTTCCAATGCTATGTTCAACAGGAATGGTGGGAGAGGGCATCCTTGTCTTGTGCTGGTTTTCAAAGGGAATGCTTCCAGTTTTTGCCCATTCAGTATGATATTGGCTGTGGGTTTGTCATAAATAACTCTTATTATTTTGAGATAATTTCCATTAATATCTAGTTTATTGAGAGTTTTTCGCATGAAGGGCGATTTAATTTTGTCAAAGGCCTTTTCTGCATCTATTGAGATAATCATGTGTTTTTTGTCATCGGTTCTGTTTATGTGATGGATTATGTTTATTGATTTGCTATATTGAACCATCCCTGGGATGCAGGGCTGGTGGATAAGCTTTTTGATTTGCTGCTGGATTCAGTTTGCTAGTTTTTATTGAAGATTTTCACATCGATGTTCATCAGAGATATTGGCCTGAAATTTTCTGTTTTTATTGTGTCTCTGCCAGATTTTGGTATCAGGATGATGCTGGCCTCATAAAATGAGTGAGGGAGGATTCCTTCTTTTTCTATTGTTTGGAATAGTTTCAGAAGGAATGGGACCAGCTCCTCTTTGTACCTCTGGTAGAATTCGGCTGTGAATCTGTCTGTTCCTGGGCTTTTCTTGGTTGGTAGGCTATTAATTACTGCCTCAATTTCAGAACTTGTTATTGGTCTATTCAGGGATTTGACTTCTTCCTGGTTTAGTTGTGGGAGGGTGTATGTGTTCAGGAACTTATCCATTTCTTCTAGATTTTCTAGTTTATTTGCATAGAGGTGTTTATAGTATTCTCTGATGGGAGTTTGCATTTCTGTGGGATCAGTGGTGATATCCCCTTTATCATTTTTTCTTGCGTCTATTTGATTCTTCTCTCTTTTCTTCTTATTAGTCTGGCTAGTAGTCTATTTTGTTGATCTTTTCAAAAAAACCAGCTCCTTGATTCATTGATTTTTTGAATTTTTTTTTCTGTCTCTATCTCCTTCAGTTCTGCTCTGATCTTAGTTATTTCTTGCCTTCTGCTAGCTTTTAAATTTGTTTACTCTTGCTTCTCTAGTTCTTTTAATTGTGATTTTAGGGTGTCGATTTTAGATCTTTCCTGCTTTCTCTTTTGGGCATTTGGTGCTATAAATTTCCCTCTACATACTGCTTTAAATGTGTCCCACAGGTTATGATATGTTGTGTCTTTGTTCCTATTGGTTTCAACGAACATCTTCATTTATGCCTTAATTTCCTTATTTACCCAAGAGTCATTCAAGAGCAGGTTGTTCAGTTTCCATGTAGTTGTGCAGTTTTGAGTGAGTTTTTTTATTTTTTGTTTTTTTTGTTTTTTGTTTTTTGTTTTTTGTTTTTTTGAGACGGAGTCTCCCTCTGTCACCCAGGCTGGAGTGCAGTGGCAGGATCTCAACTCACTGCAAGCTCCGCCTCCCGGGTTCACCCCATTCTCCTGCCTCAGCCTCTGGAGTAGCTGGGACTACAGGCGCCCGCCACCACGCCCTGCTAATTTTTTGTATTTTTAGTAGAGACGGAGTTTCACCAACTTAGCCAGGATGGTCTCAAGCTCCTGACCTCGTGATCCACCCGCCTAGGCCTCCCAAAGTGCTGGGATTACAGGCGTGAGCTACCACGCCCGGCCATGAGTTTCTTAATGCTGAAGTTCTAATATGATTGTACTGTGGTCTGAGAGTGTTATGATTTCTGTTCTTTTGCATTTGCTGAGGAGTGTTTTGCTTCCAATTATGTGGCCAAGTTTACAATAAGTGTGATGTGGTGCTGAAAAGAACGTATATTCTGTTGATTTGCCGTGGAGAGTTCTATAGAAGTCTATTAGGTCCACTTGGTGCAGAGCTGAGTTCAAGTCCTGGATATGCTTTTTGATTTTCTGTCTGGTTGATCTGTCTAATATTGACAGTGAAGTGTTAAAGTCTCCCACTATTATTGTGTGGGAGTCTGTCTCTTTGTAGGTCTCTAAGAACTTGCTTTATAAATCTGGGTGATCCTGTATTGTGTGCATATATATTTAGGATAGTTAGCTCTTCTTTTTTTTTTTTTTCTGGAGATGGAGACTCACACTTGTTGCTCAGTCCTGAGTGCAGTGGCATGATCTCGGCTCACTGTAATCTTCTCCTCCCTGGTTCAAGCGATTCTCCTGCCTCAGCCTCCCGAGTAGCTGGGACTACAGGTGTGTGCCACCACACCCAGCTAATTTTTGTATTTTTAGTGAAGACCTGGTTTCACCATGTTGGCCACACTAGTCTCAAATTCCTGATCTCAAGCAATCCACCCACCTCAGCCTCCCAAAGTACTGGGATTACAGATGTGAGCCACCATGCCCAGCAGCTAGCTCTTCTTGTTGCATTGATCCCTTTACCATTATGTAATGCCCTTTTTTATCTCTTTTGATCTTCGTTGGTTTATAGTCTATTTTATCAGAGACTAAGATTGCAACCCCTGCTTTTTTTTTTTTTTTTTTTGGCTTTCCATTTGCTTGGTAAATATTCCTCCATCATTTTATTTTGAGCCTATGTGTGTCTTTGCACGTGAGATGGATTTCCTGAATACAGCACACTGATGGGTTTTGACTCTTATCCAATTTGCCAGTCTGTGTCTTTTAATTGGGGCATTTAGCCTGTTTACATTTAAGGTTAATATTGTTATGTGTGAATTTGATCCTGTTATTATGATGCTAGCTGTTTATTTTTCATGTTAACTGATGCAGTTTCTTAGCGTTGATGGTCTTTACAACTTGGTATGTTTTTGCAGTGCCTGGGACCAGTTGTTCCTTTCCATGTTTAGTGCTTCCTTCAGGAGCTCTTGTAAGGCAGGCCTGGTGGTGACAAAATCTTTCAGCATTTGCCTTGTCTGTAAAGAATTTTATTTCTCCTTCACTTATGAAGCTTATTTTGGCTGGATATGAAATTCTGGGCTGAAAATTCTTTTCTTTAAGAATGTTGAATATTGGCCCGCACTCTCTCTTGCTGCAGAGAGATCCGCTGTTAGTCTGATGGGGTTCCCTTTGTGGGTAACCCAACCTTTCTCTCTGGCTGTCCTTAACCTTTTTTCCTTCATTTCAACCTTGGTGAATCTAACAATTACATGTCTTGGGGTTGCTCTTCTCGAGGAGTATCTTTGTGGTGTTCTCTTTATTTCCTGAATTTGAATATTGGCCTGCCTTGCTAGGTTGGGGAAGTTCTCCTAGATAATAACCTGAAGAGTTTTCTCCAGCTTGGTTCCATTCTCCCTGTCACTTTCAGGTATGCCAATCAAACGTAGATTTTGTCTTTTCATATAGTGCCATATTTCTTGGAGTCTTTGTTCATTTCTTTTCACTCTTTTTTCTCTAATCTTGTCTTCTCACTTTATTTCATTGAGTTGATCTTCAAACTCTGATATCCTTTCTTCTGCTTGATCGATTCAGCTATTGATACCTCTGTATGCTTCATGAAGTTCTCATGCTGTGTTTTTCAGCTGCATCAGGTCATTTATGTCCTTCTGTAAACTGGTTATTCTAGTTAGCAATTCGTCTAACCTTTTTTCAAGGTTCTTAGCTTCCTTGAATTGGTTTAGAACATGCTTCTTTAGCTTGGAGGAGTTTGTTATTACCCACCTTCTAAAGCCTACTTCTGTCAATTCGTCAAACTCATTCTCTGTCCAGTTTTGTTCCCTTGCTGGCGAGGAGCTGTGATCCTTTGGAGGAGAAGAGGCGTTCTAGTTTTTGGATTTTTCAGCCTTTTTGTGTTGGTTTCTCCCCATCTTTACGGATTTATCTACTTTTGGTCTTTGATGTTGGTGACCTTCGGATGGGGCCTCTGATTGGACATCCTTTTTGTTGATGTTGATACTATTACTTTTTCTTTGTTAGTTTTTCTTCTAACAGTCAGGTCCCTCTGCTGTAGGTCTGCTGTAGTTTGCTGGAGGTCCCCTCCAAACCCTCTTTGCCTGGGTATCTCCAACAGAGGCTACAGAACAGCAAAGATTGCTGCCTGTTCCTTTCTCTGGAAGCTTTGTCCCAGAGAGACACCTGCCAGATGCCAGCCAGAACTCTCCTGTGTAAGGTGTCTGTTGACCCCTGCTGGAAGGTGTCTCCCAGTCAGGAGGCACAGGGGTCAGGTACCCACTTGAGGAGGCAGTCTTGAGGAGCAGAGCTTGAACGCTGTGCTGGGAGATCTGCTGCTCTCTTCAGAGCTGTCAAGCCAGGATATTTAAGTCTGCTGAAGCTGTGCCCACAGCTGCCCCTTCCCCCAGGTGCTCTGTCTCAGTGAGATGGGGGTTTTATCTGTAAGTCCCTGACTGGGCTGCCGCCTTATTTTCAGAGATGCCCTTCCCAGACAGGAGGAATCTAGAGAGGCAGTCTGGCTGCAGCAGCCTTGCTGAGCTGGGGTGGGCTCTACCCAGTTCGAACTTCCCAGTGGCTTTGTTTATGCTGTGAGGGTGAAACTGCCTACACAAGCCTCAGCAATGGTGGATGCCCCTCCCTGCACCAAGCTCAGGCATCCCAGGTTGACCTCAGACTGCTGTGCTAGCAGCTAGAATCTCATGCCAGTGGATCTTAGCTTGCTGGGCTCCGTGGGGGTGGGACCCACTGAGCCAGACCACTTGGCTCCCTGGCTTCAGCCCCCTTTCCAGGGGAGTGAATGGTTCTGTCTTGCTGGCATACCAGGTATGAAAAAAAGAAAAAAAAATCCTGCAGCTAGCTCGATGACTGCCAAAACGGCCATGCAGTTTTGTGTTTGAAACCCAGGGCCCTGGTGGCATAGGCACTGGAGGGAATCTCCTGTTCTGCCAGTTGCAAAGACTGTGTGGAAAGCTCAGTATCTGGGCTGGAGTGCACTGTTCCTCCTAGTACAATCTCTCACGGCTTCCCTTGGCTGGGGGAGGGAGATCCACTGACCCCTTATGTTTCTCGAGTGAGTCCATGCCCCACCCTGCTTTGGCTTTCACTCCATGGGCTGCACCCACTGTCCAACCAGTCCCAATGAGATGAACCAGGTACCTCAGTTGGAATTGGAGAAATCAGCTGCCTTCTGCATCAGTCTCGCTGGGAGCTGCAGACCGGAGCTGTTCCTATTCAGCCATATTGCCAGCAAATCCTACGTACGGTATTATTTAAATGTTCAAATGAAGAAATAAAAAGCTACACGTACAGGATATGAGATACAATTCTGAAACTTTTGTACATGTATATCAGGGTTAATAATTAAATTCTTAATTATGAGATCCAAATTTCTCATTGTCAGAGAAGAAAGTTACAGAAAAGTGTAAAAAGAAGGCTAGAATGAACTCCTTGGTACAGGATTAGATTTGGAGACATTAGTATGAATTTATGGTTAGATTAATATACATTCAGATGGTTAGATACAGATACCTGTGTATAAATAGATATGTCTGTATATACAGGTTACATTATATACATTTATTACCTATCTCTTCTTCAGAGAGTGATTAGAAGCAATGATATCTAGTAAAATCTAGCACAAACAGTGCCCAGTTCATATGTTTAAGCCAAAAGTATTTGACTAATACATACTTTTGACCCTGAAATCACTTTTTTGGATACTTTATACATAGCTTCAATATGTGAGAATTACATTTTACCTGTAGTATTCTAAATTAGCACAGTGCAGTAGGACTTTCTGTGATGAAAATATTCTATCTCAGTGCTATTCAATATAGGAGAATATAGGAGCTACTAATAATAACACCTAACTCTTGAACAATTGCAACGTGACTTATGAAACTAAAACACCTAACTTAATTGATTTCATTGTAATTTAATAGCCACAGGTGGCTAGTGGCTACTGTATTGGATAACAGAGTTTTCAGATAATCCTTCAGATGGTATGTTCCCTCAAATCAAGGGACCACCATCCTAATTTTATATTAAAATAGAGCTGTTAAATACACTGCACTATATAAATATATTGAGCAAATAACTATTATAGATAAGAAATACAAAAGGCATCGCTTTAATATATATACAATAGAAAAACAATTATATTGTTGCAAATGTGTATTTGAAATTCAGGTGATTTTTAACCTATAAGTGGGTTTGAGTTTTCTTTCTCTAATCCTAAGCAATTGATGTTTCCTTTCTTCTGTGCTCTGGATGAGGCATGTCTCTTTGAACTGGCTTATCTTATATTGTCTGTTTTCTTGAGACACAACCTGACCTGATGAAATGTGACACGCTTGTCACTTTTTGTTAAAAGTGAACAAATATTTGTTAAATGAACAAATATCCATGTAACTAGAATGTTTTCCCATTACTGGTTCCTGGCAGGTATTTGTCTAATGGCAAGGCCCTAAATGAAGGAAAAAAAATCATCAGCATTAAATAAGCAGCTGAGGCCTCAACAAAAACAGTTAAAACATTAAGTCCAAAAGAAAAACATATATGTTTTCAGGATTTCGTTGTCTTGCATTTTCATGGTATCTTTTTGCACTGTTGAATAATAATTATTTCTAAAGTAAATGATCAGAACACATATTGGTTTGGAATGAGGAATAGATAGCAGGAAGTGATGAACTAAATACTGTATTCCTTTTTTGTGGAAAGCATATTTAGTGAAAAGGGAGAAAAATAGTGCAGACAGTGCATGATATATGACTAGAAGTTTTTCTTATGAGAATAATTTTCTGAATTGTCCAGGAGGCATTATATTGTAAGCCATGTTCTTAGTGATGCAGAAAATTTCTACTTATAATGCCATATGAATTCCACCTTCCACTATTATGAAAATGAGGAGTAACAAAAATATTCTCCATTTGCTTTCTGTTGCTCTCAAAATTATTAAGTTAATAATATGAAAAAGTATTTATCTAAATGGCTATCTTTTAAAACGTCAATGCAAGGCAAAAAACAGTGCAATACCATTTGATTTAATTTCTACATGCTTAACAAAAGATAACATATGGTTGAAAGAATGTAGTTTAGCAAGTAAAAGTAAAACTAGAAATAATTTCAAGGAGGCAGAATATTCTAGATTTACCTTTAGCTGTCACAGATAAAAAGGATTAATTAATGAAGTCTGCACTCCATAGATAAAGAACTCCATTGGTACTTTGTTAATTTTCTTGAAAGAAAGATAGTCCAGGTTGAATTTCCTCTTTAGCTTGAAATGGATTCCAGTTTTTCTTTCTTAATATCAGGAGAAAAAGAAAAGCAGAGTATTAAAGCTAAAATTTAATCATAAATATTACATTAGTAATATCCTTCAAAAATTTGCCTAAATATGTAATATGTGTATATAAAGTCATGAATATCATAAACTTCACAAGAAATCATCTAGATTTTTCTTTCAATCTAAGAATCTGGAATCTTTTATATTTCATATAATTTATGACATAATAGAATATTAACATTACAAAGTGCTAAGTTAATCAAATTAGATTTCATGTGCATGATGACAGAATATAATTTTTCATATTATTTATTCATTATTCATTTTTATGAGTAAAAACAATGCAATGCTGCCATTTATTGTAAATGCCTTCTCAATGCTGTGCCAGACAACTTTGATGATACCTACGAGATAAGTAGAACAAACATAACAAATAAATAGTTATATTCATGTATGGACACAACACATAACTTTGGAAAGATTTACTAGGAAATAGTCCTGCAGATATTATGAAAATGTCAAAACCCACAATGATCAATAACAACCTATAATATTACATTTGAGGTTTGACCAAAAAATAAAAGTATATCCCAAACACTCAGTGTTGTAAAAGTTTTAAGTGATTTTATCAAATGAGTTAAAAAATTAATCTGTTATTCAAAGCAAGAGAAAATTATTTTTTAACGGAATATTTTCCTCACAAAGTGTAGAATATTTCCGCATGTTGAAATGCAGACTTTGACACCACTTCCACAACAATTTCTCAGGATTAAGAGAACGTTTTGTTTGCTAGGTGCACATTGACAGTGGGAATAAGAAAAGTGGTTGAGAAAATAAAAGTAAGAGGAAAAAATCAATAGAAATAGAATGAATGTGATTATAAAGCTCCAAAGGAGGATCAAAGTATGACTTCAAATACAAGAGAACAAGAACTAGTATTTGCATGGTAAAAGTGAGACTGTAAATACAGGAGACCAGTACAGGAGCCCAGATTTAAAGCCTGTCCCATTAATAGGTCAATTACATACTATATTCTAAAAAACATGAACAATTTTGAAATTTAAAAGGGTCATTAGTAATTCTGGTGAGCCAACAGACATAAAACAAGGCATGTGATAACCCTAACCATATGCAAGTGATACGGTTTGGCTGTGTCCCCACCCAAAATTTCATCTTGAATTGTAACCCCCTTAATCCCCATAATCCCCACTCGTCAAGGGCTGGACCAGGTGGAGGTAATTGAATCCCAGGGGTAGTTTCCCCGTGCTGTTCTCATGATAGTAAGTGAGTTCTCATGAGATCTGATGGTTTTGTAAGTGCCTGGCATTTCCCCTGCTTGCACTCACTCCATCCTGCCTCCCTGTGAAGAAGGTGCCTGCTTCCCCTTTGCTTTCCGCCATGATTGTGAGTTTCCTGAGGCCTCCTCAGCAATGCGTAACTGTAAGTCACTTAAACCTCTTTCCTTTATAAATTACCCAGTCTCGAGTATTTCTTCATAGCCCTGTGAGAATGGATTAGTACAGCAAGTTTCAAGAATCTTAGAGAAGGGAGAGGTGACTCACTAAGCAACCAAAGCTGGCTCATTTCCCCAGCAATTTGATATGCAGAATTAGGAAGGAGAAGGGATTTTCTCCTTCCATGAATTTTCTAACTCACTATAATTGCTGAATAAAACTAAATTAAAAAAATTTTAAGCTTTACTAACAGTTTTAATTGGTGAAGAAATGTCACAGGTAAGGTGGCACAGATAATAATGGATACATGAAGAAAGTTAGTATGGTTAGAAAAACAAAAAGAACAATAACAACCATTCAAGGGCTGACTATATTCTGGGTAATAAGCTAAGCATGTACCGAGTTGAATGAAACAAATTCAGAAATGTGAGTTAACTTTTGCAAACTAACATAGGTGTCATTCTAATCCAAGACTTTTTGAAATGAAGATTTAATAAACTTTTTCTCTGCTATAATGGCTCTCTTTACAAACCTGATGCTGTTCCATTTCACTATGAGCATAAGTTGAACTTAATTCCTCATTAGAAATCTGACTGTATTCTGCTGGAGATAAGTCAAAATATATATGTTAAATATTGATCCATGGGTTAGTACTTAAGTATCATAAATCAAATGTTTCTGTACTTACTTCTTCCAATTTTTCCATTCTCATTCTCTGGGATATCCACCCCTCTCTTTCCTACTGAAACTTTGCTAATTCCAATGGCTAATTCTTCATCCCATCTTAGTTGCCTATTAATAGTAACTTACAACTGATAATTCTCTCCTTTATGAAACAGCTTCTTCATTTGTGACTCTTTCTCAGTATGCTTTGCTTGTTCTTTTTTATCCTTCAACCTTAAATGTTGCCATACTTAAGGGCTTATTCACTCATCTTTTTTCTTCTCCACTCAGATCTTTAATGATCACATCTCATAATATACACCATACACTTGAGAATTACTCCCAAATTTGTATCTCCATTCTGGATCTTTTTTTTCCTATCAGAGTCATAAATCCAAATCCTTGTTTTTAATGGGTAGCTCAAATAGATACCTTAAAGTGTCCAAAAACAAACTTCTGATTTAATCCCTGAAACTTGCTCTTCTTGGAGTCTTGCTTTCTCCTGTTGTGGACAATGGCAACCCTGTCAGGTTGTCCTCAAACATTTGACTTCCTTCTCAGGTTCACATCGAACATCCAATCCATCAGCAAATTCAAGGCAAATGGTATTGTGAATTCAATCACACCTCCCAACCTTCACTGCCTATACTATTATCATCTCTCTCTTGAATTATAAATGGTCTCTTTGCTTTATTTTTAAATTTTATTTTGGATTCAGGGGTGTATGTGCAGGTTTGTTATATAGGTAAATTGCACGCCATAGGGGTTCAGCATATAGTTTATTTTGTCACCCAGGTAGTAAGCAAAGTACCTGCTAGGTACTATCTTCACCCTCTTTCCACCTGCCAACTTCAGGTAGACCCTGGTGGCTATTGTTCCTTTCTTTGTGTCCATGTGTATTCAGTGTTTAGCTCCCACTCATAAGTGAGAACATACAGATTTGGTTTTCTGTTTCTGTGTTAGTTCGCTTAGGCCAATGGCCTCCAGCTCCATCCTTGTTGCTGCAAAGGATTTGACCTTGTTCTTTTTTATGACTATGTAGTATTTTGTGGTGGATATGTACAGTAGTTTCTTTATCTTGTCTATCATTGATGGGCATTTAGACTGACTCTATGTCTTTCTACAGTGAATAGTACTGTGATAAGTGTATGTATACATTGTCTTTATGGTAGAATGATTTATATTCCTTTGCGTATATACCTAACACTGAAAGCAGTGGAGGAAGAACCTCTATCCAGTAAATGGTACTGGAATAACTGGCTAGCCTAATGCAAAAGATTGAAACTGGACCGCCTCACTTATATCATATTTAAAAATTACCTCAAGATGGATTAAAGACTTGAATATAAAACCTAAAACTATAAAAACTGTGGAAGATAATCTAGGAAATACCATGCTAGACATAGGCCCTGGCAAACATTGCATGATGAAGATGCCACGAGTAATTGCAACAAAAACAAAAATTGACAAATGGGACCTGATTAAACAAAAGAGCTCATGCACAGCAAAAGAAGCTGTCAACAGAGTAAACAAATAACTTACAGAATGGGAGAAAATATTTGCAAACTATGCATCTGACAAAGCTCTAATATCCAGAATCTATAAGGAACTTAAATAAATGAACAGGCAAAAAACAGACCCATTACAAAGTGGACACAGGGTATGAACAGACACTTTTCAAAAGAAAACATCCATGTGGCCCACAAGTATATGGTCTTTTGCTTAACTTTTGTTTCACCCTTCATAAGTAGTCCATTCTCAACACAGAGTAGTCCTTCTAATGCACAAGGCAGATTCTTGTTATGCTTCTGCTCAAAACTTCCCAGTGGCTTTCTAACTCCAAAACCCAAAGTTCTTATGATGGCTTACAAGCACTTACATAATGGAGCACCCCACTCCTTTCTAGTCTCATTTACTACTATTTCTTCCTGTACCCATTTACTTCTGACACACAGGCCTCTTTGCTGTTCCTGGAGCACAGCAAGCATATCTCAAACTCAAGGCCTCTTCCTTTGCTATTCCCTCTGCCTCGAATGATCTTCCTCCAGATATCCTACATGGCTTGCTTCATCACAACCATAGAGCTCTGCACAAATGTCACTTTATCCATAATATCTTTCTTAACAATTTTAAAGACAGTACCAAACTTTCTATATCTTTTGTTTTATTTTTCTTTTTGTTCCAGATTTATTGAAGTATGATTAACAAATAAAAATTGTATGTATGGCCAGGCACAGTGGCTCACGCCTGTAATCGAAGCACTTTGGGAGGCCGAGGCAGGTGGATCACGAGGTCAAGAGACCAAGACCATCCTGGTCAACATGGTGAAACCCCATCTCTACTAAAAATACAAAAATTAGCTGGATGTGGTGGTGCGTGCCTGTAGTTCCAGCTACTCGGGAGGCTGAGGCAGGAGAATTGCTTGAACACGGGAAGTGGAGGTTGCAGTGAGCTGAGACCATGCCACTGCACTCCAGCCTGGTGAAACAGCGAGACTCCACCTCAAAAAAAAACTTGTATATATTTAGGGGTACAACATATGTTGATATATGCATATGTTGTGAAATAATTTTCACAGTCAAGCTAATTAGCATATTCATTACCTCACACAGTTACCTTTTCTGTGTGTGTTTTTGTGTATGTGTAGTGAGAACACTTAAGATCTACTTTCTTAACAAATTTCATGTCCACAATACATTATAGTCACCATATTGTACATTAGGTCTCTAGTACTCTAATATTAATCTTACAACTGAAAGTTTGTATCTTTTCACCAATATCTCCCCTTTTTCTCCACTCCGAGGCCCTCGTAACCACCATTTGACTCTCTGTTACAATTAGTTTGACTTTTTTTGATTTTACATATAATTATTTGTCTTTCTGTGTGTGGCTTTTTTCGTTTAGCATAATGTCCTCCAGTGTCATCTGTGTTGCCATAAATGGCAGTATCTCAGTATCTTCTTTTTCTTTTCTTGGACTTTTATTTTAAGTTCAGTGATATATGTGCAGGATGTGCAGGTTTGTTACATAGATAAACGTGTACCATCGTGGTTTGCTGCACAGATCATCCCATCACCTAAGCATTAAGCCCAGTGTCCATTAGCTATTCTTCTTGATGCTCTCCCTCCTGCTGTCCTCCCAAAGCGCCCCAGTTTGTGGTTGTTCCCCAACAATGTATCCATGTGTTCTCACCATTCAGCTCCCACTTATAAGTGAGAACATACAGTTTTTGTTTCCTGTTTCTGTGTTACTTTGCTGAAGATAATAGTTTCCAACTCCATCCATGTCCCTGCAAAGGACATGATCTTGTTCCATTTTATGGCTGCATAATACTCCATGGTGTGTACATGTACCACATTCTCTTTATCCAATCTATCATTGATGGGCATTTAGGCTGATTCCATATCTCTGCCTTGTGAATAGTGCTGCAGTGAACATACACATGCATGTATCTTTATAATAGAATGATTTATACTTCTTTGGGTATATACCCAGTAATGGGATTGCTGGGTCAAATGATATTTCTGCCTCTAGGTTTCTGAGGAATCACCATGCTGTCTTCCACAATGGTTGAACTAATTTAAACTCCCACCAACAGTGTAAAAGCGTTCCTTTTTCTGTTAAACCTTCCCAGCATCCGTTTTCTTCTGACTTTTTAGTAATAGCCATTCTGACTGTCAAGAGATGATATCTCATTGTGGTTTTGATTTGCATTTCTTTAATTATCAGTGATGTTGAGCTTTTTTTCATATGTTTGTTGGCTACATGTAAGTTTTCTTTTAAGAAGTATTTGCTCATGTCCTTTCCCCACAGTTTAATGGGGTTGTTATTTTCTTGTACATTTGCTTAAGTTCTTTGTAAATTCTGGATATCAGACCTTTGTCAGATGGACAGATTGCAAAAATTTTCTCCCCTTCTGTAGGTTGTCTCTTTACTCTGATGATAGTTTCTTTTGCTATGCAGAGCTCTTTAGTTTAATTAGATCCCATTTGTCAATGTTTGCTTTTGTTGCAGCTGCTTTTGACATTATCATCATGAAATCTTTGTCAGTGCCTATGTCCTGAATGGTATTGCCTAGATTTCTTCTAGGATTTTTAAAATTTTTGTTTTACGTTTAAGTCTTTAATCCATGTTGAGTTAGTTTTTGCATATGGTGTAAGGAAGCAGTCCAATTTCAATTCTCTGCATGTGGCTATCCAGTTCTCCCAGCACCATTTATTAACTAGGGAATCATTTCCCCATTGCTTGTTTTTGACAGGTTTGTCAAAGATCAGATGGTTTTAGGTATGTGGTCTTATTTCTGAGTTCTCTATTCTGTTTTGTTGGTCTTTGTGTTTGTTCTTGTACCAACACTGTGCTGTTTTGCTTACTGTAGATCTCCTTTTTTAAGGCTGAATAATATTCTATTGTGTATATATGCCCACATACTTTTTATTCATTTATCTGTCAATGGACACTTATTTCCATAATACAGCAATGAAAATGAGAGTGCAGATCTCTTTGGTATAGTGACTTTGGATATATGCTCTAAAGTGGGATTTCTGAAACATATGGTAATTCTATTTTTAATCTATTGATGAACCTCCATATAGTTTCCCATAATGGCTGTATTAATTTACATTCTCACAAACAATGTACAAGGCTTCTCTTTTCTCCTTATGTTCACCAATACTTTTTGTCTTTTAGCTTTAGATAATTGCAATCCTAAGAGGTTTCAGGTGATATTATTATAGTACTTATTCTATAATTACTTCTCTTTTTTACTCTCTGTTTCCACAGTAAAACGTAAGTTTCATAAGGGCATACATTTTTATTCTTTTATTTACCACTCTATCCCTGGCTCCTTCAACAAAGCATAGCCATACTGGGTGCTCGATATGGTTTGGTCATGTCCCCACTCCAAATCTCATTTGGAAATGTAGCTCCCATAATCCCCATGTGTCATGGGAGGGACCCAGTGGGAAGTAATTAAATCATGGGGGGTGTGTTTTTCCCATGCTGTTCTCATGGTAGTGAATAAATCTCATGAGATCAGATGGTTTTATAAAGGGCAGTTCCCCTGCACATGCTTTCTTGCCTGCCATCATAGAAAACGTGACTTTGCCCCTCATTCGCCTTTCCCCATGATTGGATTTTAAGGTCTCACCAGCCATGTGGAACTGTAAGTCCATTAAAACTCTCTTTCCTGTTTAAATTATTGGCAATGTGAGAATGGACTATTACAGTAAATTCATACTGGGAGTGGGGCACTGCTGTAAAGATGCCCCAAAATGGGGAAGTGACTTTTGAACTGGGTAACAGGTAGAGGATGAAAAAGTTTGGAGGGCTGAGAAGAAGATAGGAAAATGTGGGAAAGTTTGAAACTTCCTAGACACTTAGAGGACTCAGAAGACAGGAAGATGTGAGAAAGTTTGGAACTTGCTAGAGACTCGTTGCATGGTTTTGACCAAAAGGCTGATAGTGATATGGACTAAAAAGTCTAGGCTGAGATTGTATTAGATGGAGATGAAGAACTTACTGGGAACTGGAGCAAAGGTGGTTCTTGCCATGCTTTAGCAAAGAGACTGGCAGCATTTTACCCCTGCCCTAGAAATCTGTGGAACTTTGAACTTGAGAAAGATTATTTAGGGTATCTGGTGGAAGAAATTTCTAAGCAGCAAAGCATTCAACAGATGACTTAGGTGCTCTTCAAAGCTTTCAGTTTTATTCATTCTGAAGGATATGGTTTGGAATTGGAACTTATGTTTAAAAGGGAAGCAGAGCTTAACAGCAGAAAATTTGCAGCCTGACAATGTGATGGAAAAGAAAAACCCATTTTTGGAGGAGAAATTCAAACTAGCTGCAAGAATTTGCATAAGTAATAATGAGGAGCCCAATATTAAACTTCAAGACAATGGGAAAAATGTCTCCAGGGCATGTCAGAGGTCTTCATGGCATCCCCTCCTATCACAAGCTGGGAAGCCTAGAAGTTAAAAATGGTATTGTGGGCTGGGCCCAGGCCCTTAGTGCTTTGTGTAGTCTAGGGACTTGTTGCCCCAAATCCCAGTTATGGCTAAAAGGGGCCAATGTACAGCTCAGGCCATTACTTCAAAGGGCGCAAGCCACAAGTATTGGTGGCCTTCACATGGTGGTGAGCCTGTGGGTGCACAGAAGTCAAGATTTGAGGTTTGGGAACCTCCACCTAGATTTCAGAGGATGTATGGAAATGCCTGGATGCCCAGGCAGAAGTGTGCTGCAGGGGTGGAGCTCTCATGGAAAACCTCTGCTAGGGCTGTGCATAAGGGAAATGTGGGGTTGGAGCCCCAACACAGAGTCCCACTGGGTTACTGCCTAGTAGAGCTATGAGAAGAGGGCCACAGTTCTTGATTCTGTAATGGTAGATCCACCAACAGCTTGCACCATGCACCTGGAAAAGCCACAGATACTCAATGCCAGCTCATGAAAGCAGTCAGGAGAGGGGCTGTACCCTGCAAAGCCAGAGGAGCAGAGCTGCTCAAGACCATGTGAACCTACCTCTTGTATCAGTGTGACCTGAATGTGAGAAATGGAGTCAAAGGAGATCATTTTGGAGCTTCAGGATTTGATTGCCCTGCTGCTGGATTTCTGACTTGCCTGAGGCCTGTAGCCCCTTTGTTTGGCCAATTTTGCCCATTTGGAACAGGTGTATTTACCCAATCCCTGTACTCCCATTGTATCTAGGAAGTAACTAGCTTGCTTTTGATTTTACAGGCTCATAGGCAGAAGGGTCTTGCCTTGTCTCAGATTAGACTTTGCACTGTGGACTTTTAAGTTAATGCTGAAATGAGTTAAAACTTTGGGGGACTGTTGGGAAGGCATGATTGGTTTTTAAATGTGAAGACATGAGATTTGGGAGGGGGCAGGGGCAGAATGATTTGTTTTGGCTGTGTCTTCACCCAAATATCATCTTGAATTTTAACTCCCATGATACCCATGTATCATGGGGGGGATCTGGTGGGAGATAATTGAATCATGGATTTGGGTTTTTCCCATGCTATTCTTATGATAGTGAATAAGTCTCAAGAGATCTGATGGTTTTATAAAAGGAAGTTCTCCTGCACATGCTCTCTTTTCTGCCACCATGAAAGATGTGCCTTTGCTCTTCCTTTGCCTTCTGCCATAATCGTGAGGCCTTCCCAGCCATGTGAAACTGTGAGTCCATTAAACCTTTTTTTCTTTTTAAGTTACCCAGTCTTGGGTATGTCTTTATTAAGCATATGAGAATGGACTAATACAGTGCCAGTAAATATTTGCTTATTAAGTCATTGATGTGTAAACAATACTTAGAAACACTTGATTGTAATTTTGTTTATGTAAGATATTCTATACCTACTGTGTTCTCTTCAGACAAGTGTTATATTTACATTTCTAATTCAGAATCTACAGTCCAATGGTTATGTCTTTTTGTGGTATTTTAAATTCAAAAAAATCAACACACATTTATTTTGTTGTTACTCTCTAACATCACTGTGCTAGATATTCTGTAATAAAAATATAATAAAGATATATCCTCACTTTCAAATAGCTTATTTTCTAACTTAAAAATACAGTCTTATCATCATTTATCTTACAGACAAATATAAGGCAACAAATGTATAATTGCAATTGTTATTAGTACTTTTTCACAGGTACATAGGATGGGTAAGAAAGCTTCCCATCATTGTCATATGCTAGCTTTCAGAATATTGTTAATATGTAAGTGTATTTCCAGGAAGATATGCCTGCAACATAATGATTGAGACATATGATCACAACCTCAAAACAATGAGGTCCAACATGCAAAATAATATATAATTATTATTAATTATATATTATATAATAGTTTATTATATAATTTCATATTATATAACATACAACATATTATATATTAAATAATGTATAATATATAATATAAAACAATAAACATAAAACAGCTTGAAGTTCAGTTTAACATGGTGACTCCCAATATATATTGCTTTTGAAGACACATTGCAGATCAAATCAAACATAGGAAAAAAAACACACTCAGACAACATATACGGCATGGTTAGGGCTACCAATTTGTCATTTCTGATCTAAGGAAATTGTAGCATACTTAGATTTTTCTTCTTTATTGTAAGCCATCATTTATATTGAAGGAATAATAATTGACTAGTGGTTTATATTGTAACCCAAGAAAATAGACATGGGCAAGGACCAAATGTATGCCAGTGTTTATCTTTATCATGGAGAACAAGAAGTTATAATTCTAGGCAACCAAGTATAGTTTTTAAGGAAGAAATATTTCTGTTGTGGAGCACTGTAATTTATCTACTTGCCATATTTTAAAATAAAAAAGGAGAAGGGGAAGTATGATGAGCAGGAGGAGGAGTGGGAGGATGAGGGAAAAAAGGGAGGAAAAGGAAGAGGAGAAGAAGGAGAAAGAGAAAGATGGGGAGAAGAAAGAGTAGGAAGAGGAAGGAAAGGAGGAGAAGGGGGAGGGAAGGAGAAGAAGAAATAAGAAGAAGAAGGAAAAGAAGAAGGAGGAAGAGGAGGAAACAGCAGCAACCTTGATAATTTTCAATCCCTTTATTCTCAAACTCTCACCACCGTATATAGCAAAAAATTGGCTTTTGGTTTGCACAGGGCCATAGTAATGCCTTTTTAATCCTTTTTATTTATTAATTGATTAAACAAATATTTTTGAGCACTTGCTCTATGCAAGGTATTGTGTTCATCTCTGGGACATCTAGTGAATATTACACACATAGTCCCTGCCTTCATGTAGCAACACTAAAGCAGACATTCTCCTTAGGATGATGTGCCAAATCCTGAATGCTAAGTGCTGCCCTGCATTTTTGAGCCAAGTATTTAATTACCTATGAAAATAAATTGATTTCTGATTTACAAAACATCAGCTGCTTATGAAATCATTTTGTATAAGTCAGTTACATGCAGTCAGATTAATTCTGGATAAACTTTTATTTAAAAAAACTTATTTCTGGAAAAGCAGCTCACTAATCTGTTGATAGCTTCATCCAAGCCTTGTGATAGTCTCTTCTAAGCACTAGCAACTTTTGGAGCTTGACCAGAGCAGTCTTAGTCTTCCTTTGTCCTATTATTCTCTCATATTGTGCCTTTGATATATTATAAAACAAACCAACTATGGCCATAAGTAAAAAGAAGTTATTAGTTTTATTATGAAGATAAGGAAAAGCCTATTTAAGACAGAACATTTGAACTGGACTGGATTGGTATATGATAGGAAGAGCATTTATCAATATACTTCCTGGCTTGGAAAATAATGTATGGTGCTGGTAAGTGTCTGATGGTGCCATGGTATTGGTAAGAGCAGGGTGTAGCAAAACACACACTACGTATGGAAGCTATGAGTGGATGGGAGATTTGGTTTATACTCTATAAGAATTTGAATGTCATTTACAAGTATTTTAGAGATGACAGTGGTCCGATTAAATGTTTATAAATGGAAAGTAGCAATACTAATTAGAATAAATGTGATGAGCAAGAGATTAAACACATGATGGTCAATTCAGAGAACAAACTAATTCTCTGAAATATATCTAGTTAAAGGTCACTTTTGGAGGCATAACAAAATATAGTTTACCAAGTAACCAGTTCACTTAATGACTAATTCCAACAAATAATCAAGGGACCAAATCACTTTACTTTCACAACTCCCCACCAAAAAAAAGCTAGATTTTACTGATTTCTTACAAAATATACAGTAATTTGTGTTGCACTGGAATATTTCAACAGTCTTTGCAAACTTTTTTCACCAAAGATGAGGTTTTTTTGCAGTCATTTTGTCCTACCTGTTTTGTTCTAACTATTGCATCAGAACAGTAGATATGAAGTACATTTCTGTCTTTCCCATAATTAGAGACTACTATTCTAAACAACAAAGTGGGATCTATCTCTTGTAGATATTTTAATTCATATGCTATCTTTATCCCCTTTCTTAATATACAGATTTTTATATGGGTCAATCAAATGAATTCTTCATGTACTCCTTTTCGTTTCAGGAATTATCTGCTATATCATTCAGTACCATGTACATGAAATAATAGATGTAATAATAATAGATTCTATAAATAAAGTTCATTAGCTATTTTTATCAGTTTTTAGATTTTTAGATTTATCAGTTTTTAGTTTTTAGATTTTTTAGATTTGTCAGTCTGCAAACAAAAGCATATGTGCATGTTCATTTTGGAATTGCCAAAATTCTTTAACC
The DNA here is from genome assembly GCF_000001405.40 of Homo sapiens. Taxonomy (NCBI): domain Eukaryota; kingdom Metazoa; phylum Chordata; class Mammalia; order Primates; family Hominidae; genus Homo; species Homo sapiens. The sequence continues at coordinate 28,526,609 of NC_000014.9, forward strand.
AAAGGAGTTATGATACAAATTAGATGCATTGATCACGTAGCTACTGTAGACAAACGTAGACGTAAGATACAACAATTGAGAAGATAACAAACTGTACTTAAGGGAAATCCTATCCATTTTCATAAAAAATGTTGGTCATTAAAGAAGTGCTCAGTGTCTGAATTTTGAAACATACTGAAAATTAGCTTCAATTGAACTGAACCCACATAAAGAGAAGTTGAAACATCAAGGCACTGGATTGAAAATGTGATGAAAGTGAAACAACCACTCCAATGTTTATCAATTTCTTGTTATATGAGATATACTTAATATATGACTTTAAAATATTATTATTTCTTTTTAAAAAATTAATCAACCCAAAGAATGGAAACACTATGGCTAATTTGCTGCAATGAAGTAGCAAAAATAAAACACAAATTTCAAAAAAAATGCTCAAAGGCTATTGAAGCAGCTCATGCAAAAAAAAAGGGGCGGGGAAGTTTTAGATAAATAATTTTTTCTGCTAATTATAAATTACAAATTTTATAATTAGTCATTATGTTAGTTCTCAAGAGGATTTTTAAATATCACAAAGAAAATATAACAGGCTCTTGAATTATGTTCGAAGCAATTAGAATGAGTACTAAAAAAGCCTGTTAACAGGACCTATTAACATATTGGTTGGAAACAATGATTGAGGAATAAAAATTATAGTTTTCATTCCTAGGTGGCTGATGAATCAGTTACTTTTCAAAGGTCGAAAGTACAGGAGCAAAGTATGTTTTTCAGGGACAATAATGAAAAATTAAGGATTTGTGGAGTATGATGTGTTAGAAGCACTGGGCAAAATTGTCCTTAGACAACGAAATATCTGGTTCCTAGAGCTCAAAAAAATTATTTAGAGTAATTAGAAAAAGGAGAATGGAATTAACCAGTATTTATTAAACATCTACAATGTATCAGATGCTGGGGCAAGTTTTTAAAATACATGTACTCATTTAATCTTAAAAACAACCTGTGGAATAAATATTGCTATCTTCCATTTATCAATTAGTAAAATGGATCTAAGAAAATGTACAATTAAGTTATTACTGTTATAAAAGCATTTTTTAGATAGATTGTATTATTTCTCCCAAGTTTGTGTCTCTTTCCCAGTAGAAATAGTATATGTCCCTGTCCCTTGCCATGTGGCTCTCTGTGCCTCCCAGGTGAAGGAATATAGTTCACCAGATCACTGATATCATGCTTGTCTATATGACTTCCTCTAGACATTTATGTATGCTATATCCCATCAGAAACTTCAAGAACCATCACATGGATATGACATTGTCCTTTTCATTTTTCCAGGAAACAAGGTTTGCTCCTTCAGCCTGGATCTAAAATAAAGACATGTAAAACAAAGCGGACCACACTTGACATGAAAAAATATATATGAGCAAGGAAGTAAAACTTTAGTGTTGCAACTCTCTAAGACTTGGAAGTTGTTTCTTATGCAGCATAATTTAATGACAGTCAACTAATGCAGTGTAAACCATGGAGCTTAGACTCAAAGTAAGTTCCATCTGGCTTTAAAGTTCATGCACAGTATACTACATCACTCTCTTTCTCACACATCATGTGATATATAAAGCCATGGGTTGATTATGTAATTCAGAATTGAGTGTAAACGGCCATGAAAATGCCTTGAGAAATCTCCATTTGGGGACTATACAGAGTATGAGGAAATAGAAAGGAGAACTAAGAAAAAAAATCAAAATTTTAATGGTGGTACAGTCAATGCAGAAAGGAATTTCAATACGGAAAAAATCTAAAATATCAAATATTGAAGAAAAATTAAAAGGATGAAAGCTAAGAAATAAAGAAAAACTTACTGGTCTTAGAAATCTGGAGATCATTCATCATTTTTTGTCAAAATCTGCTTGGCATATATGAGGACTAAGATTTAAATATAAGACAGGAGTCCTTAACCTTAGTACAAGAATCGTTCAGGAGAGAGCTGTGGATTACATGAAAATGAATCATCAAGCGTATTGATTTTCTATTGCTATTGTAATAAATTGTTACAAACTTAGCAGTTTATAACAGCACAAATTTATTACTTCATAGTTTCGAGTGGTCAGAAATCTGACACACATCTCATCAGGCTAAAATATAGGTGTCAACAGGATTGCATTGCTTATTGGAGGTTCTCGCAAAGAAGCCACTTCCAGGTTTATTCAGGATATTGGTCAAATTCATTTTCTTACAGCTGTAGGAATGAGGACACCATTTTCTTCCTAGCTGTCAGTTAGGGGCTGTCATTAGCTCCTAAAGACCTTCTCTAGTCCTTTCACATGGCTCTCCACTTACAACCAGCAAGGCACATCAAAGCCTTCTTACTATAGGAATTTCTCTCAATTCCTCCTTCTTTTGGATCTCTTTTCCCTTATTCCTCTGCCCCAACTCGCTAACTGACTCTTCTGCTTTCCTTTTCTGCTTTTAAAGGCTCATGTGATTACATTAGGCTCACTCCAATAATCTGACATGTTATCTTTATTTTAACAGCAGCTGGCTGGGTGCAGTGGCTGAGCCTCGTAATTCCAGCATTTTGAGAGGCCCAGATGGGAGAATTGCTTGAGCCCAGGAGTTCAAGACCAGTCTGGGCAACAGAGTGAGACCACATATCTACATTTTTTTTAATTAGCCAGGGATATTGGCGTGTGCCTGTAGTTCCAGTTACTTGGGAGGTTGAGATGGGAGGATCGTTTGAGCCCAGAAGGTTGAGGATGCAGTAAGCCATGCTTGTGGCACTGCACTCCAGCCTGGGTGACAGAGCAAGACCCTGTGTCAAAAAGAGAGAAAGAGAGATGGAAGGAAGGAAGAAGGAAGGAAGGAAGGAAGGAAGGAAGGAAGGAAGGAAGGAAGAAGGAAGGAAACAAAAAAAAATTTAGGTTTGGCTGACTAGTAACCATGCTTCTATCTGCAGAGTGTCTTCACAGTAGTTCGTAGGTTAGTGTTTAATTGAATAAACAGGGCATAGGAAACTTGGAGCAGGGGAGATAGCTATAGAATTCTGTCTATCACATCAGAGACACTTGCCAAAAAAATTAATTCTCAAGGTGTCTCCCATAAAAGCCTGTTAAAAAAAGCTCCAGGATAAGACATTGGTCTATACTTTAATAAGTCCTATAGGCAATTATTTTTTTTAATATACTTTAAGTTCTAGGGTACATGTGCACAACGTGCAGGTTAGTTACATATGTATACATGTGCCATGTTGGTGTGCTGCACCCAGTAACTCTTCATTTAACATTCATTCTCAGCAAACTAGCACAAGGACAAAAAACCAAACATCGCATGTTCTCACTCATAGGGGGGAATTGAACAATGAGAACACATGGACACAGGAAGGGGAACATCACACACCGGGGCAATTATTTTCAGAATACTTGAAAGCACCTTCTTTCCAGGGTCAATGATGAGTTTGTTATATCTAATGCCCTGAAATGTTATGAAAAATGTTGTAGGCATTTTCATTTTCCTGGGGCTAATTTATTAATTTATGAAAAGCTAGAAGAGTTCTATGACTCAGAATACTTAATTTAAGGAATTAAATTTAAGGGCATGTATATGAAAAAAATGCAAGAGAATGGCCTACCCTTGACATTTTGATAGTAAAGTAAAGAAAATGTATGGGATGGTAGTTTGAGAAAAAAGCTGGTTTTAGGGAATTTTTTAGGATACACAAGAATTGAGCATATGGGGAAGAAAAGAATTTGTGGATGGCAGTATTCCAAGGCAGGATGGGGACAACTGAAGTGGCAAATTATTTGCAGTAACTAGATAAATAGGATGGTTGGGAATTTTAATCTTGTAACAAAAGTATATTGTTCTGTTAAAGGAAAGAAAAAGAAGAAGGGATAAGTAAAGGTGAAGAGAAACTAAGATGGAATGGCTTCCTTTTCCCCAGTTAAGTAGGAGTTATATCCCTTACTCTTTTAAGAATTAGATGGCTTGAGCACTGTGGAATGAATCTACGGAAAAAACAAAGAGATAGAAAAAAAGGTAGATATTAGCAAAAAATAAAAATAAAATAACTGGATCCTCAATGCTGCCCACTAAGAATATATTTTAAGGATTTGAACAAAAATTATGATAAAAATATTTTTAGTAATTGCATCAAGTTTTCTTTTTATTTCACCATTATTCTTCTGTGGTCACATAGTTCAAATGAGTAGAGCATTTAAAAATCCAGTATATGTATGCCATTCCCGAATTGGCATTTTAGATAATATTAATAGGATACACACTTTGCTGAGATGCAGGAGGACTGTATTTAAATCCCAAATTTATTTTTAGGTTTGTTAAGGAACTTTAAGCAAAGCCTCTTATTCTGCATCAGCTTCCTCCTTGGCCAAATGGAAATAATATTGTTTGTCCCATGTAATCTACACAGTATGCAAAGAAAATAAAATAAGACCAATATAATATAGTTTTTGAAGTTGAAAAAGAAATAATAAGCTGCATTTTACAAATTTATTGGTAGCTCTGAGAAGTACCAGATAATAGGGTATTAATCTAACACCACAAATCATTCTCCACTCTCCATCAAACAGAAGCTTTGCTTTTGAAATTAAATAAACTTTTTTAAATTGAAAGGAAAAAAGAAGTGGAACTTCCACTTCCAGCAACATGGCAGATCAAATAACTTTAAATGTCTTTATTTCATTTACCAAAAATACTGGATAAAATATAAAAACACCCAACGTTTCTGGTAAACTAGTTTTCAGTTGGCTACACTCATACAAACATTTTGAATTGTTAAAAAGTAAAAGATTATAATTTGCTTTACTGAAGAAGAAAAGGGTGTCATTTAAATGCAAAAATAGATAAAACCTACAAAACTGACCAAATATTAACGATCGTTAGATTAATCCATTAGACCAAAAAATACCCATCACAGAATCTTAGAAAAATAAATAAAAGAACAGTTAACAATCTAATTGTATTTAGTTTTTCTAAAATGAAGGAAAACATGTGTGTGAGTTTTTTTTTAACCAGACAAAATTGGACATAAAAACATAACAATTTTTTTTCAATTTCTATTTTAAGTACAGGGTGTACATATACAAGTTTGTTCTGTGGGTAAATTGCGTGTCACTGAGGTCTGATGTGCAAATGATTTCGTCACACAGGTAGTGAGCATAGTACCCAATAGGTATTTTTTCAATCTTCACTCTTCTCACAGACTCTGCCCTCAAGTAGGCTCTAGTATCTCTCATTCCTCTCTTTGTGTCCATGTGTACTCAATGTTTAACTCCCACATATAAGTGTGAGAATATGTGGTGTTTGGTTTTCTGTTCCTGTATTAATTCATTTAGGATAATGCCCTCTAGCTACATCCATGTTGCTGAAAAGGACATGATTTCATTCTTTTATATAGCTGTGTAGTATTATACGGTGTATATGTACCATCTTTCCATTCAGTCCACAGTTGATGCACATCTAGGATGATTCCATTTCTTTGCTATTGTGAACAGTGCTTTGATGAATATATGTGTGCATGTGTATTTTTGGTAGAATGACTTATATGCCTTTGGGTATATACCTAGCAATGAGATTGCTGGGTTGAATGGTAGTTCTAAGTTCTTTGAGAAATCTTCAAACTCCTTTCCACAGGAGCTAAGCTAATTTACATTCCTACCAACAGTGTATAAGCATTCCCTTTTCTCCAGTACTTTGCCAACATCTGTTACTTTTTGACTTTTTAATAACAGCCTGGTGTGAGATGGTATCTCATTGTTATTTTGAATTGCATTTTTCTGATGATTAGTCATGATGAGCATTTTTTCATGTTTGTTGGTTGCTTGTTTGTCTTCTTTTGAGAAGTGTCTGCTCATTTCCTTTGCCCATGCATTCATGGGGTTATTTGTTGTTTGCTTGTTGATTTGTTTATTATAGATTCTGGATATTAGACCTTTGTCAGATGCATAGTTTGCAAATATTTTCTCCCATTCTGTAGTTTGTTTATTCTGATGATACTTTATTTTGCTGTGCAGAAACACTTTAGTTTAATTACGTTTCATTTGTCATTTTTTGTTTTGGTTGCAACTGCTTCTTGGCATCTTCATCATGTAATCTTTGCCATAGCCTGTGTCCAGAATGGTATTTCCTGTGTTTTCTTTTGGGAATTTTATAGTTTTGGGTTTTATGTTTAAGTCTTTAATCCATCTTTAGTTGATTTTTGTATATGGCATAAGGAAGGAGCCCAGCTTCAATCTTCTCCCAGCACCATTTATTGAATTTGAAGTCCTTTCTTCATTGGTTGCTATTGTTTGACTTTTTCAAAGATCAAGTGGTTGTAGGTATGTAATCTTACTTCTGAGTTATCTATTCTGTTCCATTGGTCTATATGTTTGTTTGTGTACCAGTACCATGCTGTTTTGGTTAGTGTAGCCTTGTAGTATATTTTGAAGTCAGGTAGTGTTTTGCCTCCAGATTTGTTATTTTTGCTTAGGATTGTTTTGGCTAGTTGGGCTCTTTTCTGGTTTCATATGAATTTTAGAATAGTTTTGTTCTAATTCTGTGAAAAATGACATTGACAGTTTAATAGGAACAGCATTGAATCTATAAATTGCTTTGGGCCGTATTGTCATTTTAACAATATTGATTATTCCTATCCATGAGTGTGGAAAGTTTATCCATTCGTTTGTGTCATCTCTGATTTTTGTCAGCAGCGTTTTGTAATTCTTGTTGTAGAGATCTTTCACCTCCCTGGTTTGCTGTAATCCTAGTCATTTTATTCTTTTTGTGGCTATTGTGAATGGGATTACATTCTTGATTTGACTCTCAGCTTAGACATTATTGGCTTATAGAAATGCTACTGATTTCTGCACATTGATTTTATATCCTGAAACATTACTGAAGTTGTTTACCAGTTCAAAGCGACTTATGCAGAAACTATGTGGTTTTCAAGGTATACAATCATATCACCTGTGAAGACAAATAGTTTGACTTCCTCCTTTCCTGTTTGGGTGTCTTTTATTTCTTTCCCTTGTCTGATTGCTCTGGCCAGGACTTCCAATACTCTGCTGATAGGAGTAGTGAGAAAGGGCATCCTCATCTTGTTCTGGTCCTCAAGGGGAATTGTTCAAGCTTTTGCCTGTTCAGTATGATGTTGGCTGTAGGCTTGTGAGAGATGGCTCTTATTATTTTGGGGTATATTCTTTTAATGCCTAGTCTGTTGGGTTTTTAACATGAAGGGATGTTGAATTATATTGATAGCCTTTTCTGCATTTATTGAGATGATCATGTTGTTTTTGTTTTTAGTTCTGTTTATATAAGGAATTATATTTATTGATTTGCACTAATCTTGCATTCAAGGAATCAAGCCTACTTGATTGTGGAGGATTAGCTTTTTGATGTGCTGCTGGAATCAATTTGCTGGCATTTTGTTGAAAATTTTTGGGTCTATGTTAATCAGGGATATTGGCATGAAGCTTTCTTTATTCACTGTGTTTCTGCCAGGTTGTGGTATCAGAATAATGCTGGCCTCATCATATGAGTTCCTCTTCTTCAATATTTTGAAATAATATCAATAGCATTGGTACCAGCTTTTCTTTAACCATGCAGTAGAATTTGGAAGTGATGCATCTGGTCCAGGGCTTTTTCTGGTTGGTAGGTGTTTTATTAGTGATTCAGTTTTAGAACTCTTATCGGTCTATTCAGGATTTCAACTTCTTCCTGGTTCAACCTTGGGAGGTTGTATGTTTCTAGGAATTTATCTATTTCTTCTAAGTTTTCCAGTTTGTGTACATAGAGGTGTTCATTATCTGTGAGGATATTTTTTTTGTATTTCTCGGGGGTCAGTGGTAATGTCACCTTTGTCATTTCTGGTTGTGTTTATTTGGATCTTCTCTCTTTTTTTCTTTGTTATTCTAGCTAGACATCTATCAATCATATTTATTCTTTAATAAACCAACTTTTGGTTTCACTGCTCTTTTGTATGGATTTTTTTCTCAATATTGTTCAGTTCATCTCTGACTTTGGTTATTCCTTGTCTTCTGCTAGCTTTGGGGTTGTTTTGCTCTTTTTTTTCTAGTTCCTCAATGTGTGATGTAAACTTGTTTCTTTGAGATCTAACTTCTTGATGTAGGCATTTAGTGCTACAAACTTTCCTCATAACATTGCTTTAGGTGTGTCTCAGGTTCTGGTGTGTTTTATCTTTGTTTTCATTAGTTTCAAAGAATATTTAGATGGCTGCCTAATTTCATCCCTAACCCAAAAGTCATTCAGGAACAGGTTGTTTAACTTTCATGTAATTGCATGTTTTTGAGAGATATTTTTGGTATTTATTTCTATTTTTCTTGTGCTGTTACATGAGTGTGTGTTTGGTATGATTTCAGTTCTTTTGAATTTGTTGAGGATTGCTTTATGATCAAGTATGTGGTTGATCTTAGAGAATGTGCCATGTGCAGATGAGAAGAACGTATATTCTGTTATTGTTGGGTGGAGTATTCTGTAAGTGTCTGTTAGGTTCATTTGGTCCAGTGTAGAGTTTAGGTCCCAAATATCTTTGTTACTTCTCTGCCTTGGTGCTCTGTCTAACACTGTCAGTGGGATGTTGAAGTTTTCCACTCTTACTGTGTGGTTATCTAAGTTTCCTTGTAGTTCTCTAAGAACTTATTTTATAAATCTGTGTGCTTCAATGTTAAGTGCATATATATTTAGGATAGTTAAGTCTTCTTGTTGTATTGAGCACTTTATCATTATGTAATGTCCCTCTTTGTCCCTTTTAATCCTTGTTGGTTTAAAGCCTGTTTTATGTGAAATAAGAATAGCAACCCCTGCTCTTTTTTGTTTACCATTTGCTTGGTAGATCTTTTTCCATCTCTTTACTTTGAGCCTACAGGTGTAATTGCATGTGAAATGGGTCTATTGGAGTAAGCATATTTATTTAGCTAACTTGCCACTGTGTGTCTTTTAAGTGGGGAGTTTAACCCATTCCCACTTAAGGTTACTATTGACATGTGAGGATTTGATCCTGTCATCATATTGTTAGCTGGTTGTTATGCAGGCTTGTTGTATAGTTGCTCTATAGTGCCAATGTGCTGTGCACGTAAGTGTGTTTTTTTCGTGGCAGGTCTTGTGGTGGTCTTTCATTTCTATGTTTAGCACTCTCTTAAGGAATCCTTGTAGAGTAGGTCTGGTAGTAATGTTTTTCCTTAGGATTTGCTTGTTTGAAAAGGACTATTTCTCCTTCACATTTGAAGCTTAGTTTGGCTAGATGTGAAAGTCTTCATTGGAATTTATTTTCTTTTATGATGATAAATGTAGTCTCCCAATCTCTTCTGGCTTGTAAGTTTTCTGCTGAAAGGCCAACTGTTAGCCTGATGGGGTTCCCTTTGTGCGTGACCTGCCCCTTCTCTCTAGCTGCCTTTAAGACTTTTTCTTCCATGTTGACTTTGGAGAATCTGATGACTATGTTTTGAGAATGGTCATCTTATTTAGTATCTCACAAGAGTTCTTTGAATTTCCTGAATTTGCATGTCAACCTCCCCAGTGAGGCTGGGAAAATTTTTACGGACAATATCTGCAAATATGTTTTCCAAGTTGCTTGCTCTCTTTTCATCTCAGGAATACCAATGAGCCATAGCTTTGGTCTTTTTATAATCCCATATTTCTTGAAGTTTTGTTCCTTTTTAAATTCTTTTTTCTTTATTTTTGTCTCCCTGCATTGCTTCAAAGCTGTGAACTTCGGGCTTTGCAAATCTTTCCTGAGCTTGGCCTATTCTGTTATTAATGCTTCCAGTCGCACTCTGAATATTCTGTAGTATTCTTTTCATTTCCAAAAGTTCAGTTTGATTATTTCTTCAAAAGGCTATGTCATTGTTCAGCTCTTGGAAAATTGTGCTTTTTTTCTTGGATTGGCTGTCAACCTTCTCCTGTATCCCAGTGAGCTTCCTTACTATCTATACTGAATTCCATGTCTGTCATTTCAACTATTTCAGTCTGGTTAAGAACCACTGTTGTGGAGCTAGTATGGTCATTTAGAGGTAAGAAGTCGCTCTGGCTTTTAGAGTTGCCTGAGTTCTTATGTTGGTTCTGTCTCATCTGTGTGGGTTGTTGTTTCTTTAATCTTTGAAATTGCTGTCTTTTGGATGGTTTGGATGGGACTTTTTGCTTTTATATTCTTTGATGCCCTTGAGGGCTTGACTGTGGTATAAGTTGGGCTTAGTCAATTGGCTTTGTTCCTAGATGCTTTAAGGAGCAAGGCTCAGGTCAGCATTCCTGGGCTGCATGCTCTAACCCTGAAGGGCTGGGACCAGGCCCAGAGCTTTATTCTCTAGCTCCCTGATGTTAATCGCTTGATGCACTGGAGGGGCCAAGGTGTTCTCAGTCCACTGACAGAAAAACTCCAACGGGGGCTGCTGGAACAAGTGCTCCAGTATGGTGATGGCAGGTCCCTGTGTGCATGTGCGCCAGTGGGGCAGTAAGGGAGGCTACGGATGAGTGCACACCGCACACACTGATGAGGGAAGGCTGTGGGCTTGTGCATGCTTGTGAGGATCTGTCTGCAAAAGTGTTCCAACAGGGTGTGCCAGTGAAAGAGCTAGGCAGTGACTGCTGGCAAGCACCTTGGCTGGGCAACTGAAGCTGCACTCTAAGCAAATGTGGCCAGACAGGACCCTGGGAGATGCTAGCAGACATGGGGACACTCAGATCAGACTGGCCCCATCCACAGGCAAGACAGTCCTGCTCTGTCCAGGTATGGCAGCTAACAAAGCCTAAGCTTCCTAGAGGAGTTTATTGAGCCTTAATGGATGGAGACCCATGGCCATGCTCCACTGCCACAGTTCCCACACCAAACCCTCTGGGCTCAATGTAGGCTGGAGTTCTGTCTCCCCAACCCTCTGGGCAGTTCTCCCAGCCAACTCATATGTATGTGGGGTCAGAGGGTCTCCCACAGCTATGATCCCAGAGGTATGTGGCAAAAGTGGGTTACTCCATGTCTATTTCACTCACCCCTTCCCTAGGAGCTACTTGGCACCAGGAATGATTCCAGGTGCTAGGCAACCCCATGCAGGGTACCCAGCTTCCTCCCCTTTCAGTCCAGGGTCTGCATCCTCCCTCTGTCCACTTTCAGTTTTTTCTTTTGAAGATCTGTTCGGCGTATACCACTCTACTTATGGTCTGGTCCCCATGGGAGAAGTTCCTCCTGGCTGCATCTAGTTAGCCTTCTTGGCTTTTTTTCCTACACCATCACAATTTTATTTCCTTGTACCTACCCTCTCTATACTGAAAATTACAGATTTCCTTTTGGTTTAACTCTTGCAAGTATTTGTGTGTATTTACCGCTCTAAAATTCTATAATTCAGGTAATCCTAAATTCTTTGTTAATCAAAAAAGTATAAATGAAAAATATATTATTCAAAAATGTAATAAATGAATATATGCATATGATAAAATATTGTTGATATTTATTTAAAGCTTTATTCATCTTACAGAGTGAAGTGCCTGATCCTAAGATATGGTGGTCAAAGAGGATATCTTTAAATATCTGCCCTTTCTCTTTTGAAGATACACCTAGGCAATGTCTGCCTATGAGCTTTAAGTGTTGATCACTGATCTCCATTTTACCTGCACCCATTTCCATGTAGAAGTCTTCAAGGGACAAACACAATAGGCTGTAGTACATTATGAGACAGGCAATTCGGCTGCACTTGGAATTGCCAGAGGCCCAAGGAGGAACTGGAATGTAAATATGGAACTCCAGTAATTACTAAACCCAGCAAATTATTTAGCTATGGCAATTTTTTTAAAAGATAATGGAGCTCAATTTGATATTGAAGAAAATAGAATATTTTCAATAAATTCTAAGAGGAAAAATTACCATTTTAAATGTATTATAATAAAGATAAATATTGTCACTTCGTAGTCAAATTGTCCTCCTTCTGATAATTACTGAGTCACGGATAGTGCTGATAAATCAAGGCCTTTATTCAAAATTTGAGTACACATCAAAAAATTGCAATTGAAATGGAAGCCCAAGGTCTCACTGCCTTTTTTTCTTTTTTCTTTTTTTTTTCTTTCCTTTTTTTTTTTCTTCTTCTTTTTTGAGACAAGAATCTCACTGTCACCCAGGCTGGAGTGCAATGACACCATCTCGGCTCACTGCAACCTCCACCTCCCAGGTTCAAGCGATTCTCCTGCCTCAGCCTTTCGAGTAGCTGGGATTACAGGCGTGCGCCACAACTCCTAGCTATTTTTGTATTTTTAGTAGAGATGGGGTTTCACAATGTTGGCCAGGATGGTCTCGAACTCTTGATCTCAGGTGATTCGCCTATCTCAGCCTCCCAAATTTCTGGGATTACAAGCATGCGCCACCGTCCCCAGCCCTCACTGCTTTTGTTTCCTAGTAGAGTGACCTTGAGCTATTTGTCAAATATTTCTTAGATTTTTAATCTTTAAAATCAGTTGGCCAAGGTAAATAGCATTTAGCATTCTTTACAATTTTTAAATTCTATCAACTTAAATTTAAGCTCCTATTAATTAACAAATTATAAAATCAAACTAATCTCTATGATTCTATCTGATCTGGTTTGGCTGTATCCCCACCCAAATTTTAACCTAAATTGTAGCTAACATAATCCCCACATTTTGTGGAAGGGACCCAGTGGGAGGTCATTGAATCACAGGGGCAGGCTTTTCTCATGCTGTTCTCATGATAGTGAATAAGTCTCATGAGATCTGATGGTTTTATGAAGGTCCATTCCCCTGCACACACTCTCTTGCCTTCTGCCATATAAGGTCTGCCTTTGCTCCTCCTTTGCCTTCCACCATGATTGTGAGGCCTCTCCAGCCATGTGGAACTGTGAGTTACTTAAATCTCTTTCCTTTATAAATTACACAGTCTTGGTTATGTCTTTATTAGCAGCATAAGAATGGACTAATACATAATACAGTAAATTGGTACTGGTAGAGTGGGGTGCTGCTGTAAAGACACCTGAAAATGTGAAAGCAACTTTGGAACTGGGTAACAGGCAGAGATTGGAACAGTTTGGAAGGCTTAGAAGAAGATAGACAAATGTGGGAAGGTTTGGAACTCCCTAGAGACTTGGAGGGCTCAGAAGACAGGAAGATGAGGGAAAGTTTGGAACTTCCTAGAGACTTGTTGCATGGCTTTGACAAAAATGCTGATAGTGATATGGACAACGAAGTCCAGGCTGAGATGGTCTCAGGTGGAGATGAGGAACTTGTTGGGAACTAAAGCATAGGTGATTCTTGCTATGATTTAGCAAAGAGACTGGTGGCATTTTGCTCCTGCCCTAGAGATCTGTGGAACTTTGAACTTGAAAGAGATGATTTGGGGTATCTGATGGAAAAAATGTCTAAGCAGCGAAGCGTTCAAGAGGAAGCAGAGCATAAAAGTTTGGAAAATTTGCAGCCTGATGGTGCCATAGAAAAGAAAAACACATTTTCTAGGGAGAAATTCAAGCCTGCTGCAGAAATTTGCATAAGTAACAAGGAGACTAACGTCTCAAAGGTATGTCAGATACCTTTGCAGCAGCTCCTCCCATCACAGGCTGGGGGGCCACCTAGGAGTGAAAAATGGTTTCCTGGGCTGAGTCCAGGGACCCCCTGCTGTGTGCAGCCTTGGAACTTGGTGCCCTGCATCCCAGCCACTACAGCCATGGCTAAAAGGGGCCGAGCTATACCTCAGACTGTGGCTTCAGAGGGTGCAAGCCCCAAGCCTTGACAGCTTCCGTGTGGTGTTGAGCCTGCAGGTGCACAGAAGTCAAAAAATGAGGTTTGGGAACTTCTGCCTAGTTTTCAGATGATGTATAAAAATGCCTGGATGTCCAGGCAGAGGTGTGCTGCAGGGGTGGGGCCCTCATGAAGAACTTCTGCTAGGGCAGTGAGGAAGGGGAATGTGGGCTTGAAGCCCCCAAACAGAGTCCCCACTGGAGCACTGCCTAGTGGAGCTGTGAGAAGAGGGCTGCAGTCCTCCAGATCCCAGAACAGTGGATCCACTGACCACTTGCACCATGAGCCTGAAAAAGCCATGTACACTCAATGCCAGCCCATGAAAGCAGCCAGGTGGGGGGCTGTACCCTGCAAAGCCACAAGAGTGGAGCTACCCAAGGCTGTGGGAGCCCACCTCTTACATCAGTGTGCCCTGGATGTGAGACATGGAGTCACAGAAGATCATTTTGGAGCTTTAAGATTTGACTGCTCTGTTGGATTTCAGACTTGCATGGGACCTGTTGCTCCTTCCTTTTGGCCAATTTATTTCATTTGGAATGGGTGTATTTACCGAATGCCTGTACTCCCATTGTATCTAGGAAGTATCTAACTTGCTTTTGATTTTAAAGGCTCATAAATGGAAGGGACGTGCCTTGTCTCAGAAGAGTCTTTGGACTATGGACTTTTGCGTTAATGCTGAAATGAGTTAAGACTTTGGGGGACTGTTGGGAAAACATGATTGGTTTTGAAATGTGAGGACATGAGATTTGGGAGAGACTGGGGTGGAAAGATATGGTTGCTGTGCCTTCACTCAAATCATATCCCATAATCCCCCTGTGTCAGGGAGGGGAACCCGGTGGGAGGTAATTTAATCATGGGGGTGGGTTTTTCCCATGCTGTTCTCATGACAGTGAATAAGTTTCAAGAGATCTGATGGTTTTATAAAGGGCAGTTTCCCTGCAAACACTTTCTTGCCTGCTGCCATGCAAGATATGCCTTGGCTCTTCTCTTGCCTTCCACCATAAGTGTGAGGCCTCCCCAGCCATGCTGAACTGTGAGTTAATTAAACCTCTTTCCTTTATAAATTATCAGTCTTGGGTATGTCTTTATTAGCAGTATGAGAATGGTCTAATACACTATCCTAGTTTTTACCTTTGGTTATTGAAATTAATTCAAGATAGTCTTTTGAATACAATTATTATATTATACCTTTATATACCTTGTCAGCTAATCTCTGAATATCTTTACTGGCAATCATATGACAATTGATTCTATGTGATCATTTATTATATCATATATAAATGGCTAATTTACTACCAGAGTGATAAATGATTTTACCTAGTTATTGTCAATACATTATAGAATGCTGAATTGTTTCAAATGTTATCTGGAAAATAATAAATCGTCTTTACTTTAGATAAGAATATTTCATTCATTTTTGGTTTTCTGTTAGAAATAATCTAAGACTTTAAGAGCAACAAGAAGTTGACACATGCTCACCTAACCCTGTAACAAATGACTTAGCACTAGATTCAAAATTTATCATCAGAAGCTGCTCTGAGCCATGAATTCATCAAAATGAATGTGAGAATAAGTAAAATTTCACAATTTTATTCCCTTTGTTTTGGTGTTTAGCCAAATATTTTAACTGCAACATTCCTTTTTTCTCTCCATCTTTTAAGGCCACTCACATGAAAACTTTTAACTGAAGTCTTTGGTTGTTAATCTGTTTTTTCTCTTTATTCTTCTAAACACATCACTTGAAGTCGTGTTCTTTTTCTCATTTCACTATGCTTTGCAATGAAGTGTATATACACATAAATCTTTTCGTATACTGCAACCTTCTTGAGGGTATGGGATACTTCAGCCTCTTAATTCAGAGGTTAACAAATCAGATCCATGTGCCAATTCTATCCAGCTGCCTCTTTTGCAATGTCTTATTGCACAACCATTCCCATATTGTCATGCCTTTTACACTACAAAGGCAGAGGTGAATAGTTGCAACCAATACAATGTGGCCAGCTAAGCCAAAAATATTTACTACCTAGACCTTTACCAAAAAAAGTTTGCCCACTCTTGCCTTAAATAATCTAGCACACTGCCTTGCATGGCATAGAAGGTCAATAATTAGCTAGTAAAAGAAATGATAGAAAGGAAACAGACAACAGCAGAATGCTCAAGAAGGAAACTAAGATTGATAAGGAAAAAAAATGAGGCTCCTAGAGCTGAGGTGTCATCTTAGAGGAAAAGTAAGATAAGTTAAGTGTAAGTACTTGTAACAGTGTTAGTCATGTGGTAGAGATAAAATAAGTGTTTATTTTTAAAAGGAAAAACAATAGAAAGAGACTTTATGATTCCGATAGCACCCAGAATCCAGGTGAGCAGTTTTGGTTGCATATTCAGGTATCTAATGGCCCATGGTCAGGTGCTCCATCTGTGCCAGGTCTCAGGAGCCTGCCATGAGCTGGATTTCAAATGTAGATATCTGTGCTGCAGATGTCAAGGTCTTGTACGGATTTCCAGAGCTCTCTGTCTCTTTCCACCTCTTTCTTCTCCATGTAACACTTTCCTGTATCATACCCTGAGAATTCTAACCGCCCAAACCTCCCAAATTCACAACTTGTCTCTTTACATCAGAGAGACCACCAGATTCTGTTTGACTTTCCCCTCATATGGTGCTTCCTGGAAACTCGCCAGTGATATGCTGGGCAATTTTAAGGAGCACTTCATTTGTTTTCCTTCTTTTAGCAAACTTCGTTTTGTGTTACCTATTGTCCAAAGTCTAAAAAATGTTAGCTCATATATTCTGTCTGATTCTTTCATTTGTTTAAGGTAACAGTAAATCTACTCTCTGTTACTCTTTTATGCATAGAAGTAGGTGCATTTCTTTTTTTAATGGTCCAGAATCATATGATCTTTTTTGTTTGTTTGTTTGTTTGTGACAGGGTCTCCCTGTGTCGCCCAAGCTGGATTGTACTAACAAAGTCTAGGCTTCACTGAAACCTTTGCCTCCTTGCCTCAAGCAATCTTACACCTCAGTCTTCCTAGTAGTTGGAACTACAGGCATGCACCACCATGCCCAGCTAATTTTTAAATTTTTTGTAGATACGGGATCTCCCTATATTGCCCAGGCTGGTCTCAAACTCTTGGTCTCAAGTGATCCTTTCTTCTCGGCCTCCCAAAGTGCTGGGATTACAGGTGTGAGCCATTGTGCCTGGCCTACGATTTTAATTACGGTAGATTTATATTACACTTAAACCTACAGGTGCACAAATTCCCCATTATTATAATTCTTCAGACTACTCATATGCAAGGGGACCTGTTAAGATATTCAGTGTTCAGGTGAACATTAGAATATTATCACCATGTTCCAATAAGATTTAATAACATTCCCAAAAGATTTCGATGGGAATTGCAACAGGGTAGCAACTTCAGTAAAACTGACAAGCTTGCAAGAATAAGCTTTCTAATTGTTTCTTCAAATATTTTATATCCATCAAAATATTTTTTTCTATTTTTCCAGACAGTTATTTTTTTCCACTTTTTTCTTGTCCTTACTTTGTTAACTTTCCACTTTTACATTTATTTTGTGCTGGGTGCAGTAGCTCATGTCTGTAATCCAAACACTTTGGGGAACTAAGAGGAGACGGATCACTTGAAGTCAGGAGTTCAAGACCAGCCTGGGCAACATGATGAAACCTTATCTCTGTAAAAAATACAAAAAAATTACTCAGGTATGGTGATGCGTACTTATAGTCCCAGCTACTGGGAGGCTGAGGTAGGAGAATCACCTAATCCTGGGAGGTGGAGGCTGCAGTGAGCCATGATTACACCACTTCACTCCAGCCTGGGAAACAGGAGTGAGATCCTGTCTCAAATAAATAAATAAATTTATTTTGTTGCTAATATGAATAAAAATATTTTTCATGTGTGAAGGGTTATCAACATGAAATGAATTGATTGATTACCATCTTTGTCTACAGAAACTGCTGAACTTAGTTAATTTTAAGATTTATAGTTTTTCCCTCTCTCTAGATTCATACATTATACTTTTTACTTTTTTTTCAGAACTAGGTAAAATCATAGTCTTGTTAATTTTTTTTTATTATACTTTAAGTTTTAGGGTACATGTGCACATTGTGCAGGTTAGTTACATATGTATACATGTGCCATGCTGGTGCGCTGCACCCACTAACTCGTCATCTAGCATTAGGTATATCTCCCGATGCTATCCCTCCCCCCTCCCCCTACCCCACCACAGTCCCCAGAGTGTGATATTCCCCTTCCTGTGTCCATGTGATCTCATTGTTCAATTCCCACCTATGAGTGAGAATATGCGGTGTTTGATTTTTTGTTCTTGCGATAGTTTACTGAGAATGATGATTTCCAATTTCATCCATGTCCCTACAAAGGACATGAACTCATCATTTTTTATGGCTGCATAGTACTCCATGGTGTATATGTGCCACATTTTCTTAATCCAGTCTATCATTGTTGGACATTTGGGTTGGTTCCAGGTCTTTGCTATTGTGAATAATGCCGCAATGAACATACTTGTGCATGTGTCTTTATAGCAGCATGATTTATAGTCATTTGGGTATATACTCAGTAATGGGATGGCTGGGTCAAATGGTATTTCTAGTTCTAGATCCCTGAGGAATCACCACACTGACTTCCACAATGGTTGAACTAGTTTACAGTCCCACCAACAGTGTAAAAGTGTTCCTATTTCTCCACATCCTCTCCAGCACCTGTTGTTTCCTGACTTTTTAATGATTGCCATTCTAACTGGTGTGAGATGGTATCTCATTGTGGTTTTGATTTGCATTTCTCTGATGGCCAGTGATGATGAGCATTTTTTCATGTGTTTTTGGCTGCATAAATGTCTTCTTTTGAGAAGTGTCTGTTCATGTCCTTCGCCCACTTCTTGATGGGGTTGCTTGTTTTTTTCTTGTAAATTTGTTTGAGTTCATTGTAGATTCTGGATATTAGCCCTTTGTCAGATGAGTAGGTTGCGAAAATTTTCTCCCATTTTGTAGGTTGCCTGTTCATTCTGATGGTAGTTTCTTTTGCTGTGCAGAAGCTCTTTAGTTTAATTAGATCCCATTTGTCAATTTTGTCTTTTGTTGCCATTGCTTTTGGTGTTTTGGACATGAAGTCCTTGCCCATGCCTATGTCCTGAATGGTAATGCCTAGGTTTTCTTCTAGGGTTTTTATGGTTTTAGGTCTAACGTTTAAATCTTTAATCCATCTTGAATTGATTTTTGTATAAGGTGTAAGGAAGGGATCCAGTTTCAGCTTTCTACATATGGCTAGCCAGTTTTCCCAGCACCATTTATTAAATAGGGAATCCTTTCCCCATTGCTTGTTTTTCTCAGGTTTGTCAAAGATCAGATAGTTGTAGATATGCGGCATTATTGTCTCAGCCCAAAATCTCCTTAAGCTGATAAGCAACTTCAGCAAAGTCTCAGGATACAAAATCAATGTACAAAAATCACAAGCATTCTTATACACCAACAACAGACAAACAGAGAGCCAAATCATGAGTGAACTCCCATTCACAATTGCTTCAAAGAGAATAAAATACCTAGGAATCCAACTTACAAGGGATGTGAAGGACCTCTTCAGGGAGAACTACAAACCACTGCTCAAGGAAATAAAAGAGGATGCAAACAAATGGAAGAACATTCCATGCTCATGGGTAGGAAGAATCAATATCGTGAAAATGGCCATACTGCCCAAGGTAATTTACAGATTCAATGCCATCCCCATAAAGCTACCAATGACTTTCTTCACAGAATTGGAAAAAACTACTTTAAAATTCATATGGAACCATAAAACAGCCCGCATCACCAAGTCAATCCTAAGCCAAAAGAACAAAGCTGGAGGCATCACACTACCTGACTTCAAACTACACTACAAGGCTACAGTAACCAAAACAGCATGGTACTGGTACCAAAACAGAGATATAGATGAATGGAACAGAACAGAGCCCTCAGAAATAATGCCGCATATCTAGTCTTGTTAATTTTAATGAAACTTCTGCATTGTTTTATGACCATTCAGTTTGACTTTTACTAGTGGTTGGTATAGATATCCTTGATCAAAAAATAGGTATATTTTCTTGATAGAAAAGTACACCCCTATTTCTGTTTTACCAAAAGATTTTTAAAATATAGATGTGATTTTCAGCAAATATTATTTTTGCATCTATCAAAATAATCCCTTTATCTTTTATTATCATCTTTTATGATATAATCTTCAGTAATACAATGAATTATATGAATTTATATATTGAAATATTCTTAGATTAATGGAGAAATTTGTATTTGGTAATATTCATATCATAGTAACTTTTTAGAAAATGTAATATAATTTTAAGACAATTTATACCATTTTAATACAGTTTAATGCCATCAGATTTGAGATGCTAATAATTTAAGATTTTTCCACAAAAGTGTATAAAATATACTTTTTCTTTTTTGCTGTATTTACTGTATTTTGAAATCTGAGATTTTCTAGATTCATGCAATTATTTTGTAACTTTTCCTTTAATATAGGTCATTTTGTGTATAGTTTATAAGTTATCTGATTCACAATGGAATTATTTCCATCAAAAAGTTTCTTGATTCTAGCAACTTCTTTGGAGGTAATTATTGAACACTTTTTTCATTATTTTCATGATTGTTATTTTTCTTCACTTGGAGCCACATTTACATATCTCACACAAAATTATTTAATTGATGTTACAAATTTATTTCTTATACATACACTAGGCCATTCTTAGAGAACTTTTAGTTATATAGAAAAATTATGTGGAAACTATAGTACCCCCTTTACACACAAATAGTTTCCCAATCATTAACATTGTGAATTAGCGTTGTGTATTTTTTATAATCAATGAAGCAAGATTTAGACATTATTTTGAATTGAAGTCCCGAGTGTACATTTGAGTACACTCTTTGTGTTGTACGTTCTGTGAGTTTTGACAAATGAATAATGACATGTACTCATCATTAGAATATCATATAAAATAATGTCACTGCCCTAAAAATCACTCATTTTCCACCTATTCATCCTACCCTGTCTCCTCCCAAACTATTGGCAACCATTGATCTTTTACTGTTTTCATAGTTCTTACTTTTAGAGTGTGATATAATTAATTAGAATTACACAATATGTAGCCCCCTCAGACGACTTCTTTCACTTAGTAATATGTACTTAGGGTTTCCGTATACCTTTCCTTGGCATTCTTGCTCATTTCTTTTTTAGCTAAATAATATTCCATTGTATGGCTGTACCACAGTTTGTTTATATCTATTCACCTACAGAAAGATGACTAACACTGCAATAAATATCTGGGTACATGTTTTGCATGAACAAAAGTTTTCCTTTGATTATATACCAAGGAGCACTTTTAGAGTCCACATATAAGCGAGATCTTGCAGTACTTGTATTTTTGTGCCTGGCTTGTTTTACTCAGCATAATGCGCTTCAGGTCCACCTACATTGTCACAAATGACAAAATTTCTTTCTTTTTTATGATTGTGTCTAAAAAGTCATCACCATACCCAAGGACATCTAAATTTACTACTATCTTACCTTCTGGGAGTTTTATAGTTTTGTGTTTTGCATTTAGGTGTATGATCTATTTTCAGTTAATTTTTGTGAAAAGTAGAAAGTCTGTGTCTAGATTTATTTTTTGCATGTGGATGTCCAGTTGTTCTAGCACCGTTTGTTGAAAAACTATCCTTTCTCCTTAAATTGCCTTCCTTCTTTTTCAAAGGCCAGCTGAGTATAGTTA
The DNA here is from genome assembly GCF_000001405.40 of Homo sapiens. NCBI lineage: Eukaryota > Metazoa > Chordata > Mammalia > Primates > Hominidae > Homo > Homo sapiens. The sequence goes on from NC_000014.9 coordinate 28,548,117, forward strand.
TATAGATGTATTTCTGGGCTTTCTATTCTGTTCCATTGATTTATTTGTCTACTTTTCATACCACATTGTCTTGACTTTTGTAGCTTTATAGTAGTACATCTTGAAGTTCAGGTGGTATCACTTCTCCTTGTTCTGCTATTTTGTCTTGGCCATTTTGAGTCTCTTTTCTCTATATATAAACTTTAGAATCCATTTTTTCATATCCACAAAATGACTTCTTGGGATTTTGTTTGTTGAGATTTTGTTTGAACCTGTAGATCAACTTGGGAAGACATATTTACAATATTGGGTTTTCTTATCCATAAACATGAATACCTCTCCATTTATTTAGATTTTCTTCAATTTTCATCATGGAAGTTTTTTAGTTTTCCAGATACATATATGTCCATAGATATAGATATAGATATAGATCTATTAGATCTAATAATCTAATATATCCAATAATCTAATTCTTCCCAACTTGATCTACAGGTTCATACAAAATCACAACAAACAAAATCCCAAGAAGTCATTTTGTGGATATGAACAAACTGATTCCAAAGTTTATATATAGAGAGAAAAGAGACTCAAATATCTAATAGACATAGATCTAATTAGATATATATCTGAAATATAGATATTTTTATATATATGGAAATACATATATTTTTATATATCTAATATATATATATATATATATCTGGAAATACATATATCTGAAAAACTAAAAACTTCCATAGTGAAAATATATATATTTACTATATAGTATATATAAATATATGTATTTCCATATATATCTTATATATGTTTTGTTAGATTAATATATTTATATATTTCATTTTTGATGCCAATTTAAATGTTAGTTATTAACTTCAATATCTAATTGTTCATTCCTGGTTTATAGAAAAGCAATTGATTTTTACGTATTAACCTTGTATATTATCTTGCATTTTTATATGTTATCTTGCAACATGCTGAAATTATTTATTAGTTCCAGGAGTTTTTGTTGAGCCTTTGGATTTTCTACATAGACAATCATGCTGTCTACAAGCAAAAGTAATTTTATTTTTTCTTCCTCAATATGTAGAGCTTTCATTTTCTTTTTATGTCTTATTGTGTTTGCCAGGACTTCTGGTACATTGTTGAATAAGAGTGGTGAGAAATTATATTCTTTCCTTGTTGCTGATCTTAGTAGAAAAAATCTTATTTCTCACCACTGTGTATAGATAAAATTTTTATATTAATATTTGTAAAAGTTATGTTTTCTGTGTTAATATTTGCTCTTTTTTCTTCATTAAGCCAATTAGAAATGTATCACATTATTCTTAAACCATTTATTTTATTTATAAATTTGTGTTTTTTAATTTATTTACTTCTTTGTTACTACCAGTTAGATGACATACAGTACTAATGAACCTATACTGAAAGTTTTTAAGAATGTTATTGATTTTCTTTAAATAAAGACAGTTTAAATGTCATATTAATGACTAGTGTCACATTCTAAACCTTTATAGAATTATGTATTTTCCCAGGACCTGCACTATTTGTGGTTTGTAGCATATTTGAAAATTGGTCTTTAATGTGTTCCTTATATCTTCAGGGTATAACAGTTATTCTTGATGTTTCCCATCTGTGAGTTGCAAACTCTCCTAGATTCAAAGGCAAATATAAACTTTTCCCATGTTATCCTTCGATGATTTCATTGGTGACCTGAGTGGGAAAAAATTAAATTTCGAGGAATAGGTTGCTTCCTCCCTCATAAGGCTCTGCTTGCACTTATGACCTGTGTTATGTGGGAAGATAATAACAAACATGGAATACAGAGAGATAAATATACTTTATTTTCAGACACAGACTCCATTCATTCCTTTATACAGAAGAAAATACTGCTTAGCTTTTAGAATAAGTTAAGTTTCATGTCTAGGAATAGGCAAGTTTATACTAATCCAAACTCATTTGCTAAGGAAAAAAACTAAAATAGACCATTTCATAGTGCAAATTATCTGTCCTTTTCATGTGAATTTTAAGGCAATATTTTATAAAATATGTTAATAACTATAGAAGCTATTATGTCTGAATACTTCCTAATCTTCCCTAAGGCAACATTAGAAAGCCTGTTTTTTATAGATATGAGTGAAGTCTTTATATAGGGCTTATGGAAAAAGAGAAAGTAGTCATAAAAACTTATTTAAAAAGGGAAAGAAAATTTAGTTAAGAAGAACATGTATTTCAGCAAGGGGAAAAAAAGAGGATTTTATAAATGGAGAAAATTTAAACTTTTTAATGGCAACAATAAGCCCCGAAATATTCTCCATGGTATAGGTTCACTGAAGTCCTAAACATGTGTAAAGTTTAAGAACCCAAAACTAAGTAAAAATAGGTAATAATTAATATGACACTAAAAAAATTCTCTATGGCTATTAAAATTTTGGAAAGGATATTCACACTTTTTTGACTTGTACAAAAGAAATGGTAAATGTTCCTGAGTTTACAAATTAAAATTGTGAAAATTGGCTCTCTCTTCACGTGTTTTGCCACAAGATTATATAATCCTATAATATAAATACCATGGTAAATTGCAGCCCTAGTGTAATTTCTTAGAATCTTATTTACAAAGTTACTTTGTGGTGACATGTTTGTTTATTTTCAGCACTTTTGATAGCACCTCCAGTGAAAATATAAACTAGAATTTTCCTAGAATAAAAATATTTTATCTTTCAAAGCTATACCTGGGAATGTCTTTGGAAATACGATAGGTCAGTCATCATGCTTCAGTAGTAAATTGTTATTGAAGCTTCAGTCAATAGCAAATTGCTATTAAGGCAATTTGTCATAATAATTTTATTTTTGAGGAAACAAATTCTTTGAGAAGATTTAATTATAAATTTAATATCTGCAAATGTGAAATCTTGTGTGAAAACCAAAACTGTATGTAACTGTGATGACTATATAATCAGGTCCATGTGTTCAGGATAATTGAATTTGTATGTACATTACAGATTGATACCATATTCAAGAGAAGTACACATACCAGAAAAAAGAAACAGCATAATATATTAGATTTATGTTTTGTGGCAGAGGAAATATAAATGGGCCTGAGGGTATCTGAATGAACACTAATCTCTGTTTTAAAGTGAAAATAAAAATAATACAAACTCTTTTTCTGGTACAGGATATGAAAGAATATTTGGGCTTTTTAATAAATCTGTGATGTTTCTGCTGAAGTCAGTAAGCTCTTAAAGACTGCCAATCAATAGTTTCAAAGCAATTTAAAACTTATGTATGGCAAACATGTATTATAAGATCGATTTTTACAGCAGAAATCTATATATCAAGAAGGTTCGTTGGAAGCAAATGATAAAATGAATACAGCTTTAGAAGGAGAGTACTCAAGATGGTGTGCTATCAGCCAAGGTGATATATATTATAAAAGACAACTGAGGGGCAAAGCTACAGAAGGATAATCAATTTTTCTGATAGTGTACAATGACCTGTCTGTTTTCTTCTTAATACATTGTCAAATAAACAATGAATATTTGTTAGTGGATTTTTTTGACCAGTAGAAGTATTCCAAGAATCATTAATTGCCTTTCCAAAATGTTTAAGGTATGAGTACCTAACAAGTAGGACAATTATTTCTTCTATTTGGATTAATCATTAATCAAAATGCAATGTAGTTTTGAGTCTTCCATAATGTCTTTAATTTCTAGATAAAAGAGAATGAATCTAACTTTCTGACTTAATCTTACATCTACTATTTTGTTTTGGTTTCTGAAATAGGGTCTCACTCTGTCACCCAGGCTTGAGTGCAGTAGCAGGATCACAGCTCACCGTGCAGGCTCAACCTCCTTGGGCTCAAGCAATCTTCCCACTTTAGCCTCCCAAGTAGCTGAGACTACATACAGGCACTTTCCACCAGACCCAGCTAATTTTTGTATTTTTTGTAAAGGTGGGGTTTTGCCATACTGCTCAGGCTGGTCTCGAACTCCTAAGCTCAAGTGATTTACCTTCCAAGGCCTCCCAAAGCATTGGAATTATGGTCGTGAGCCACCGCTCCTGACCCCTACAATATTCTTTATTTTATTATCATAACAGAACATCCAAAATTTCTATAAGGCATCGATATTTATTTAGCATCTTTAAAATTTTCTTTCTTACCCTTAGACAGGAAACCTTTATCACTAATATTAAATTTATCATAATGCACTCTAGAAAGTCATGAAATTGTGCACTGTTTTCTATCTTTAAAACTAATGACAAATAAATAAAGCATTTATAGTCAAAGAAACCAGCACGCTGATTTCAGAGCAAAGTTTTTTCTTTTGTAATTTATTTCTTTTTAAAGTGGAAATTAGAGTGTTAGTTCAGCATTTGAGAAATGTAAATGCAATTGCAGCATTAAATACTCATTGGCTCTCAAGCTAGTAATCTCCATTCTATATGAAATATCTATTTATTTATTACAGAAATTCCTAAGCTCTCTGACTTGTCAATAAGTCAACGTTATAAAAATATTCTTTGTCATATCATGCCCAAGTCTGTAAAATCATTATGACATTTTTTTCTGCATGTTGATTTATTTCCATTTATACAGTAAAAACTTTGTGGCAAGCTTTTATTACTAACCTCACTCACCGCTACTAAAAAGGCACATACTGGATTTGGGGCTGGTTACTAAAGCCAATAAATATATATTTTAATTAGACAAACCTTGATTGTTTGTAGAATTTAAATTTATTACAAGAGGCAACCAGTCTTAGATGGTCATTCTCTTATATAGAAATCATCTAAAATTAGTTCTCCAAATTTAATCCATAACTATATTTGGAAACTAGCAAAGACTATTTCTCAGGTAATCTGTAGATTCAGGACAGAAGAATGTTGTTACAGCATATTTTTAAGTCCCCTTTTCACCTAACACTTTTATTTTTCAATTGTCAATGGATGAGAACATTGCTTTAGAAAGCTCTTTGGGGTATTCAAGTTTGATTTAGATTCTGGCGAAGTACTATGGGTTACAGTTCACTAGGAAATAAAATATAATCATAATTTAACCAAATACATGAGCCATGAATTTTTGTTTTCTGCTTTAATTAAAACATGGCCTTCTAAACTTCCTGTGTGAGTGATACTAGCAAAATTAATCAATATTTCCTTTTACTTCAAAGAATTTGAAATAAACTTATATCACAGAATTTTTAAAAAGTAAGAAACAGAGCATAGTTAAGAATGTTGAAATTTACTAGTTGCAGAATTATCTCTTATTTGTTATACAATCCTCACTGTCACTGGTCTTAGGACTTAAGCATCACAAAAAAAAGGAATAAATTTAGGATTTTGTTATCACATTAAAAATTTGTGTCTGTCTTCTATCAGTTCATAACTTCTTTGCCAAGTACTGCTACTAGATTCCATCTGATTTATTCATCACCCAAATTTAAAATCTGCAGAAAGATTCCAGTCAATGATGAGAAATAAAGTGCACTGATATTTGTCTTACTTCATCTTAATTGTGATGCTCATTACCAGAAATTCCTGACTGTCTGTTTTCCTAGGCTACAAAATAGATTAGATATTGCAAAAGTTCTATATTTTTCTTTCATAAAAAGAAGAAAACAGCATGCAGTGTTAAGCTAAAATGGATGGTAATATAATGAACACACTGTCACAGAATATTTTTAAACAGAGGTTATATGGCCATCTGTTAGAACTCCTGTACTGGGTTTAATGTTTTTCACTATGCAAATATCTAAACTAACTTCAAAAAAAAAAAAACCAAAAAACCTCAAAGATTCTAGTGACAGAGTAATCCCTGTCTGTTAATACTGTAGGGGCAACATACATGAAAATAGTGCCTAAAACACAAAATATTATGAAAATATGAAATTTTCAAAATTAGTAAATTTTTAGTTGGCATTTATGACAATCAGTAATTGTTAAGTCTCACTTATGATTGCCTAAATGCACAAATCATCTATTGTTACATATTTAGGATTATGTACTACTAATGCAAACCAATTTAAGTTACTTGACATTGCACTCAGTGGACTCTATGTCCTAAATAAACAACTTACACAATAAATTGTATACTACTCTAGAAAGACATCCTAGTTGGTTAAATCTGAAACACGATTCCCTATTCTCCTAGGTAGAATGAAGCACCACCTTCCACTAGGTGATATAGTGCAACAAACACCTCACCTATAAGACATCTGTTTTCCAGCTGACAATGGGCCAAAACAACACTTCAGACTCAGAAGGAAAAATATATGCCTTCCTTTCAGAGCGGTGCTGACATAAATCCTAATGACCTGATACTTCTAACTATCTACTTTAAACGTGTTTTTTGCTATTCTCCAGCAGGGTTTTGTAATGAGCTGAGAGTAAAATGCTACCCACACACTTAAATCAGGCTTGGGGCTTAATAACATTTTTTTCTCAACCACCCATTTTCTACTTTGTCTTCCTAATTATTGTCATCAGTGTGCACATTTTTTTTTCTTTGAGAGAAAATATTGACATTTTTGGAGTGACATGCTGAAATGGTGTATTCGTTTTATTGATGACACTGCAGCATGTAACATTCACAGAACAAAAACTTTGTTGATGAGACCAGAAATTAGGAGAAAATTAAACAAAGAAGTAAAACAAGACTTCCTAATTAATCAGTAGATTTTTCTCTAATCTTCCCTGCATGCAAACCTAGGTGTATAAAATAATGCTTTATATCTGGCACTGATTAAAGTTCCAAGTTACCAAACGAAAGTAATAATGTTTTACTCATGCACATTAAATTGGTCTTTAGAAACTTCTGAAGCTAAAAGAGAGTTAATTTTTGCAAGAATGAGCAAGCTTTTAACAGTGTAGCTTCCACCTCCTCAGCCTGATTAATGAGCAAGTTTTAGGAAGGAATTGTGATAAGATACATATTAGAAGAGATTCAGAAGCCCTATTAGCCTCTGGTCTTGAAGTCTATGTATGTCAGTTTCTTTATGCAATGCTTTCTAACACCAACATTGCTATGATGGCATTCCATTTCCAAAATTATTCTGACATAATCATATAATAAATAATGATCCTAAACTTTTTCATGTAAAAGAGGTCTTACAACTCCCATCTTCCCCCAACTTTGGGGTTTTTTGAAAATTGTTCAGTTTTTAACTGAAGCGAAACTGTGGAAGTAACTAAATCTTCTTGATCTTGCCTACCCCAATGCTTAGGTGTTTTATTGTATGTTAGCAAACTGATAACTTTATAGCACATACTACCTAAAGAAATTAAGCTTTCATCTAGAGTGTTCATAGCCAAAGTGGTCATATTAACCACAGGTGTTCATTTACCACAACAAGTTTATTTCCATTTATTCTTCAAAAATGAAATAATTATTTTAACTGCTGGCGCTAGAAGTGGCACAGCAGGAATGAAATTATCATTTTTTAAAACCTTCCTTTAAATAATTGTATTTACAATTAAAGTTTTATACATTATAAAAATACAAAAAAACATTAAAATAATGAGATCCTGTCATTTGCAAAACATGGCTAGAACTAGAGGATATTATGTTAAAAATTGTGCATGTTCTCACTCATTTGTGGGAGCTAAAAAATAGAATAACTGAACTCATGGAAATATAGAGTAGAATGATGCTTACCAAAAGCTGGGAAAGGTAGTGGGCATGGGGGAGGTGGAAGGTGGGATGGTTAACAGGTACAAAAACCTATTTTATTGATTTCAAAGCTTCTTTCCATGCTTTTATGCTGTTACAACAGCATAAAAGGAGAGCTTGATACATTGACTTTTTAGGTGCAGTTTCAATACAAATCTCTTCGCTCAACTTAGTTTTCCGGGAAAAGTGGTCATTTCATCTCAATATCTCTCTACAATTGTGGATATAAAGGCTGAAGTGAGAGAAGTAAATACCTACAAATTCTAATCCTAAATCATTAACCTACTAATGGCTGCAGTCTCCCCCGAACGGCCTTTCAGGTAGCTACCCAGGCTCTATCTCTCTTTAAGTAATTCAGCCTTGGTTTGCCCAATTTTCTTGAGACTCCATGATTAAATTCATTATATAGTTAGATCTTAAACGTTAAAACCATGAGATGCAATAATTAGCTTTATGCCACTGTTGACTAAATCAATTTGCTAAAGGAGGAAATGTGAAAAGGGGGATATTAAATGTTGGACATAAACTGATGCAGAAAGGAAGTAAGTAGATAATTCTCCTAAAAAGTAAACATCTATCATGGCAAAGTCATAAGGAAGATAGACAGGTTAGCATCCAGAATCTCTATCCATAAAGACATGAAAAAGACCACTTTTATGTTTTTCTCAGAGCCAAAATGACCCTTGTATATAGCTTGAGATTTTTTAAGACTGCTTCTACTACCCTTCCCCTCTAGTAGTCTGGAGCAAGTTTTTTTTTCATAGAAGTACGCAGAGCATCTTAAAGTATACTCACCAACCTTTCAATGGAGGAAGGGCACCTTTCTTAAAGGAAACAGTATACCACCTCCTCCTACTCTCTATCTCTATGTATCTAGGATTTTATGCTCTCTTAAAGTCATCATTCTAATCTAGAGATAAGAGGATTTAAATCACCACAGAACCATGAAAAGAATGATGTGTTTAAAAATTGCTTGCTAGAGAAACATTCTAGTAATTATAATCTTCTCAGATCAACTAAATCAGAATCTCTGGAAGAAGGGACTGAAAATCTCTAGTAGTATTATTAAGAATCTATACAACATCAGAGATCAAAACTGAAAAAAAAAAAACAGGCAGGTATTTAGAAAAAAAGTCCTATTGATCACCCAAGAGTGAACAAACTTGATAATAGGAATTGGGAACAAAATGTAAAATTGTATAGTATGTCCCCTGAGTCAATCAAAATCACAAAATGTGACTACAGTGCTTCAGCCCCCCCCTTTTACTTCTCTCCTTCACCAGCTCAGATTTCATGTTCTATTATTTTAAAAAAGCTTTTGCCAATAGTCTCTCCTGTCTCAGTCCCTCTGTCTCTTCGTCATTCCCATCTGACAAAACTCACCCTGAATGATTCTACTGTCCACTTTCTCTAAATTAACACCAAAGTTGCTAATCACTGATAAAAACTGTTCTGTAAGTAAGCAGTGTTAAATTTCTTGTAAGAAAATCCAAATAGACTGACATAAAGACCCAATAATCACTGGATCATACAACTATCCTTGCCACTTCCTCTGCCCTACCTCCCATATTCAGTGCATCAGCAACAATGCATTTACTTCCTCATATCTCACAAAATCACACTTTTTAGCTTTTCTGTCAACACCACTCTAGGCCAAGCTACCATCATCTCTCATAAGCAACTACGTACTGTCTATCTACGTTCATTCTTGCTCACCCAATCCATTCCCCACACTGGAGTCAGTGAGCCACTTGAAATGCAAAAAAAAAAAAAAAAAAAAAAAACCAAAAACAAAAAAACAAAACTCTCTCACACAGACACCAACATGCATACCACCAACACCAAAACACCAACAACACAACTTACTTTTATTGGCTTCTCATTATTTTTAAGATTAAGAGGAGGTTCCATTTACAAGGACTTGTATATTTTGGTCCTTACCCATTTCTCTGCATGAAAATTTGCTTCCACAATAGGACATTTACATATATGTCTTCTTTTTGTTGGAAGTATTATCTCTCCTCTTTGCTTAGTCAACTCCTATTCATTCATCATAAATCAATAGAATAGATTTTATCCTGATTGCAGTTTTGCATTCTGTTTTTGTGGTTGTTTGATTTAAATCTATTCCATTCCCAAGACTACATTATATCATTAAATAATAATATAAATATAAAAATGAAAAAAATTATTTAATCAAGTGTCTTTGCATTTAAGTGTCTATAATATAAAAATGGGGGTTATATTGCTAACCAAGAAAACAATGCAGAAATTATTTTTAAACAGTTATTTTTAATATATATAATTTGGACAGGAAGATAAAGTAAAAACTAAGCAATTGTTTGGGAAATAAAACTTATTGAAAATGATGAGATCTACTATATATATATATATATATATATAAAAACATTAAAGTTTATATCTATAATGTAATATAATTTTCTCGTCAATCAAATTGACCAAGAAGGAGCCAAAAACAAACGAGAAAATTCACAACAAATAAATGGGCAAACTACACAATGAGGCAAAACAGAAGTGTACACTCAAGTGGCCAAAAACATAGGGAAAAACAAGATGCTTTAGCATCCCATTAATCAGGGAAACACAAATTAAGTAACTATAAGAAACATTTGCACACGTCAGCCTGACTAAAATGTTAAAGTGTGATAGTATCTATTGTTGTTGGAATGTGGGGAGAGTATTCCCTCATACATTACTGAAGAAAACATAAATTTTTATTGCACTATCAAAAGTAATCTAAAAACACCTATTAAAATAAAAAAAATCCAAAGATCCTTTGACCAAGTAAGCTCATTCTTGAGAATCTATTCCATACTAATAAATCACTATCAGTAGGGGAAATATATACAATAATGCAGCTTTTTCATACTGGGAGAAACAGCTGCTGTAAAGTGAATACTAAGCAATTTGGAGTACAGAACAAATTACTTTGCTTCCACAAAATGGGCTATTATGCAGCCATTGAAGGAATGATTTATAGCTAAATTATTTAGAGAACTTTCTGTGATATACTGTTGAGAAAGAAAACATGATGCAGTAACTAACATATCATACTTTTGTAAATAACTGACACAAATCGCTACATATATGTAAATGCATAGCAGAAAATAATTAAAAACATGTAACATGTTTTTAACATGTGATAGTGACAGGAGACAGACAAATTCCTAGGCAGACAGGGACAGGTGACGGTAAAACCCGACTTTCAAGCCAAAGACAGCCTGGAGCCTGAAAACTGAGCTGCCAGTTCTGGATAGAGTTCACGACCAGAGTGAAAACTTCCTTGATGGCTGTTAGCCAATCAAATGGTGCTTTTACTAGGCCCACCCTTGGACTAATCAGCATGCAGTCCCCCATTCTGAGCTCACAAAAACTTCAGACTCGGTCACAGAGGCAACTACCTGCTTTCAGGCTCCCTGTCACACAGAGGGCTACCCTCCCAGGTCCTTTCTCATTGTTGAGAGCTTTTCTGTTGCTCAATAACATTTTTCTCTGCCTTCCTCATACTCCAGTGTCTGAGTACTTCATTCTTCTTGGTTGTGGGACAAGAACCCAGACCTGAGGGAACAGCGGGTGTGAAAAGAGCTTTAACACTGTAACCCTCCCTCCTGCTCACCAAGCAGTGGGGGAGAAAAAAAAACCAGTGGGCACCACAAGCCCTCATTCACTGACCTGTGGGTAGCAGGACCAAACAATCTGTGACACAACCCTGTTCATGGAAGCTGCGGGAACAAACAAGATCTGTAACACTTGCTGGGAGCTCAGGCCTCAGGACTCTTCTAGCAAAGGCTGTGACAGCCCTTGGGCTCTGCAGTTGGTGGCGTCTCTAAATTTTTGGGCATCGCTACGCACCCCCTCATCCAGACACTGGTGCCCAAGGTGGAAGCCATCTGTGGCACGCCTGGAACAGCTGTGGGCTGAGCACAGAGCTATGGAGGGTGCAGAATGTGGGCTGGTGGAGCGAGTCAAACACAGTCTCCCAGGCGGAGTGGGCAAAGAGAGCCCAGAGGGCCTGAACAAAACCTGGGCAGAGGTGCCACCAGCTGCAGAGATTTCTGGCTGGTGAAGTAACACCAAAAGAATCCTGTGTCACATAGGTTTCTAGAATTGGAGTGTGGATGGAGGATGTGGTAAGACCAAGTTATAAAGCAAATTAAAATATAAAATTTCATTAAAAAATAAGTAAATAGGCCAAGTGCATCATTTATGCCTGTAATCTCAGCACTCTGGGAGTTTGAGGCAGAAGGATCACTTGAGCCTAGGAGTAGTGAGGCTCCAATCCTATTATTTAAAATATAAATTAATTAATTAATTAAAAGTAAATAAATACATCTTTAGAAAAAGTTTATATGACTTTATCACATTCAGATATTTTGAATATGTTTATTACATATGTTGTTAAAAACTAATAATATCAAACAAAAAAGAAATAATGTTTGAATACATCATCTTTATTTTCTTTTTAAGTTGTACTTTACCTTTGAGTGCAGAGGCCACAGCATTCATGGTCTGCCTCCCAACCTGGAAAAAAAGAAGCTATGCTTTAGTCATTTGCCTACTGAAATGCCCTAAATGGTCCTTTGTGAATGATTATCTCTTCTTGAATATATTTTTAATCAACTTCACTTAATAATATGTATCTAATGCCCACCGAGTAGGCATAGCTTTAGGACCTGAGGATAAAGAAATAAATAAAATAAGTAGAGATCCATTAGAATAAAATAAATACAAACAAAAACTGAATAAAGAGGCAGTAGATAATCCAAAATAAGTAAAATAAAAACCAAATGAAAAAAAAATAAAATTGCCCAAATGATTTTTAGAAAAGATAGATATAGAAAACATTTCTGAATAAGTTGGTATTACTGAAAAGACACAATAAATAAAAGAAAACATATTGCTAAACAAAAGAGAAGAAAACTTTCCTGAAACAAAACCTAAGTCTACCAATAGAAAAAAATACCATGTTATTGGAAAAATTAGCACAAAATAATTAATTAATACCAAGCTCTAACTTATGTGATGTTATGTGATGTTCCAGAAACATATAAGCATCCAAGTAATAACATAAACTTACTTATAAAGAGGACAGGGAGAGAAAAATTTTATTGTCCTATGACTTTTCCAGAGACAGCTTTAATACTAAAAGATAGGTATCAATGTCTACAAGTTCTGATGATGAGGATACAACCCACAAATGTAATGTGCAGCCAAGTAATGTTGCAGTTATAAAACCAGCGGAAAGATAACTTTAAACACACAAGAACTGCAGGAATATGTCCCTTCATAAAACAAAACAAAAATAAACAATCAAATAATAACCAAAACCACTTACTGAAATCTGGTCAAACAATAAAGATTCAATATAAGGAACGCAAGAATAGAGAAACTATGCCTAAATGATTGGAGACAAAAATTAAATCAGGTTAAGAATTGATTTGTATCTAGATAAAATGAAATCAACTGTGATAATTATAGTTTCACAACCAAAGGCAAGCAGTAAAGAAGTTCTTAAAAGAAACTGCAGATTAAAATGGCTAAAATTTAACAATCTGACAATTCTAAATGCTGGAAAGCATGCAAAGCAGCACGATTTATGATTCATTTTGGGAGACGGTGCAAAATGGTACAGTCGCTTTAAGATATGGTTTGGCAGTTGCTTACAAAGCTAGATATAGTCTTATATGATCCATCAATCACACTCCTAGTTATTTTCCTGACTTGAAATTTCTGTCCACAAAAAAAAATCTACACAAGAATAGTTATAGCAATTTTATTTATAATTGCCAACACTGGAAACAACTGAGACATTCTTCAATAGGGGAATGTATAATCAAATACTATTTAGTGAAATAAATAAATGAACTATCAAGGTACAAATATACATGGAGAAATCTTAAATGCATATTGCTAAGTGAAAAAAAGCCAGTGTGGAAAGGATACATACTTTATGATTCCAATTATATGACACTCTGGAAAAGGCAAAATTATAGAGACAGTAAAAAGAGAAGTGGTTTTGGGAGTTTAGGGAAGAGGGGAGGGATGAAGAGGTGAAATATGGGGCATTTTAGGGCAGTGAAACATTTATGTAAGATACCATAAAAGTAGATATATGACATTATTTTTGGTCAAAACCTATAGAATTTTACAACACAAAGAGTGAACCTTAATGTATGCAAAGTGAAAAATAAATAATTTAGAAAGTCAGGGCCTCAAAAGAAGGACCAAGTTACGAGAATCTAACTGTATTACAAGTGTATAAAAAACTCACTGAAGACAGTGAGGAAAAAGGGCTGACCTAATTAACTTGGTGTATGAATGCAGTCTGTGGGTATCATTTAATAATTCTGATATTGCTATAGGTCTATGCTAGAATTGAATAATTAAGTAAATGCATGGCAGATGGTAGGAGCCAAACTTCTCACTCTTGGAATTTACAAGTAAGCAAGGGGGAGAAAACTAGAATGACTTGTGTGGTAATGGATTAAAATTGAAGAAGAATATGAACAAGAACTCATGTTTAACTTAATATAGATAGATGGTTACATAAAGAAATAGTTACAGGTGTGTCTATATACATGGGTTACTACACACACATATATTTATTTGCTCTGTTACCGGAGAGGCCCTAAAAGAAACATCTGAGTAGCAAAAAGCAAACCTAGCATCCAGATCATGGGTTTAGTACCATTCTTCAATTAAAAACATTCAGGAGGGTTTGGAGAAATAACTGATTCTAACACTGGACAGATATTATAACAACATAAGCCTATACAAATAATATATTTGATAAAGGATTAACATGCAAAATATATAAGGAACTCCAATAATTCAATAGCAATAGAAACAAGTAACCTTATTTTAAAATAGCCAAAAGACCTGAATAAACATTTCTCCAAAGAAGATGTACGAATGTTCAACAGATACAGGAAAATGTGCTCAACATCACAAATCATCAACAAAATGCACATCAAAACCACAATGACATATCACCTCACACCTGTAAGGATGGCGGCTGGGCGCAGTGGCTCATGCCTGTAATCCCAGCACTTTGGGAGGCCGAAGCGAGCGGATCACCTGAGGTCAGGAGTTCAAGACCAGCCTGACCAACATGGAGAAATCCCGTCTCTACTAAAAATACAAAATTAGCTGGGTGTGATGGCACATGCCTGTAATCCCAGCTACTCAGGAGGCTGAGGCAGGAGAATAGCTTGAATCCAGGAGGCAGAGGTTGCAGGGAGCCAAGATAATGCCATTGCACTCCAGCCTGAGCAACAAGAGCAAAACTGCATCTCAAAAGAAAAAAACAAAAACAAACAAAAAAAACAAACAAAATTACTAAAAATAGCATGTGCTGTTGAGGATGTGGAGAAAAGGAAACTCTTGTGTACCACTGGTGGAAATGTAAATAAATATAGCCATTATAGAAAATTGTACAGAGGTTCCTAAAAAATTTAAAATAGAACCATCATATGATACCAGCAATCCTACTTCTGGGTATATACCAAAAATAATTGAAATCGGTATCATAAAAAGATTTTCTGCATTTCTGTGTTCACTAGAGCATTATTTATAAAAAGAAAAACATGAAAACATCTAATATATTCATTGACAGATGAACGAATAAAGAAAATGTTATGTGTACTTAAAATGGAATAGTATTAAGACTTAAAAAGGAAGAAAATCCTTTCATTTGTTACAACAAAGAGGCACTTGGGAGACATTATGCTAGGTGAAACAAGACAGAAAAAGCAGAGCAAATGGTAAATGATCCAAGTTGTATTAGAAATTTAACATAGTCAATTTCATAGACGCAGACGGTAGAATGGTGGTTACCAGTAAGTGGGAAGAGAGGGAATCAGAGAGATTTTGTTCAGAATACATAGTTTCAGGTATGCAAAATGAGTAAGTCCTAGAGAGCTACTGTACAGCATGGTGCATACAGTTGACAATAGTGATAGTATACTTAAAAAGTGTTAATAGGCAATATGTATACATTAAATATGTACAGCTTTTTTGTATGTTATTTATATTTTAATTTAATTTTTTAAAGCTAGACATGAAACATCTTGCAGTGCCAGCAGTTAAGTAGGCATAAAAAAAATTCACACGCATGTTAGTGAGAGTATGTCAAAAGGGCACAGGAGCCAACCAGGAACTCCCAACAGCCTAAACTGGAATGATTTCAGCAACAAAATAATGTAAGTAGTATTGGATTAAAATCTGAAATACAAAATAAATATCGAGTCTATATTAATGTAAATAAATGATTGAATAAACTAATAAATGGAGAAGAGACAAATCTCCCATGCAGAGGAATTCCAAATAAATTTTATAGAGACTCCACCCTACGGACAGCGGGGAGCATAATTTCCTGCTTCTTAAAAATTACACTGCATGAAGTTACTTTCTTCCAAAGAGTAGAATACAGGAGTAACTTTACAGTTAAGAAGGCTAACAACCTGTATTTCAACTGGGTGACCAAGGCCAACATCAACAATCAGAAATCAAGTTGGTAGTATGATTGTATTTCATACAATCTGATGAAGATGGCGCTTTAACTCTGGGATTTTCCTCCTGAAAACCCATAACCCCAATCTAGTTATAAAAAAAATTTTTAGTAGAACGACATCCTGCAATACACATGACCAGTACTCTTTATAATTGTAAAGGAAGTTCATTAAAAACAAGAAAACAGGAATATCTGAGAAACTCTCAGTCAATAAGAGCCCAAGGAGGCACGATAAATAAATGTAGTATGGAATCCTGGATGGAACGAGGGAACAGAAAAAGAACATTAAAACTAAAAATCAGAGTCAGTTGTAGATTTTAGTTAATGACGTATCAATATTGGTTTATGATTATAACATATGTACCATACTAATCATATTCATGTAAGATGTTGATCATTGGAAAACAGTATGTGGCTGGGGGTAGTTAATGTGGGAGCTCTTTACTATCCACTCAATTTTTCTGTGTTACAAACTCATTATAAAAATAGTCTATTAATAAAAATGAAAGGTAAATATCTCAAGGCAAATGATCACAGGTTGGAAGAATAGTTTGCTGTAGAATTCTGTGGAATACTGAGGGCTCTTGGGCTCAAAGAACTATAATTTGGCATTGTCAGAGAATGAGGGTTTCCTGATAGTTGCATAATTATTGTAATGTATCACCTATACATGAATTATTCATTTTTTATCAAAGTCTCTATATTTAATTAAAAATTCAATGAATTTTAAAATACCAATGATTAGCATAACTGCCACCTTTAAGTATAGTTTCTGTTACTCACAGCTGGACTCCACACATGCAAAGTACTGGACCCTTCCTTTGAATCCACCACTGTTACCCCTGGAAGTTGGATGTTTCTGCTGGCATTCTTCCCATCATGGACTCTGTGCAGAAGTTGCCTCCTATGGTTTGAATGTGTTCCCCATAGTTCATGTGTTGGGAACTTAATGACTAATGCAACAGTGGTGAGAGGTAGGTCCTCCCTTTAAGAGGTGATGCGGTAATGAGGGCTCTGCCCCCATGAATCGATTAATGTTGTTATCATGGACATGGGTACATTATCTCAAGAGTGGATTTGTTATAAAAGTGAGATAAGCCCTTTCTTGCTCCCTCTTGCTCTTGTGCTCTGTTGCCCTTCCACCTCTCACCATGGAATGAAGCAGAAAGAAGTTCCCAGCATCAGGCTCTTGAACTTCCTAGCCTCCAGAACTGTGAGTCAAATAAACTTCTATTGTTCACAAACTACTAAGTTTCAGGTATTCTGTTACAGCAACACAAAACAGACTAAGACACTGCCTATTTGAGTCATCACCTTCTGTATTAAGTATTTTCCAATTAGTGGAACCTAGGTCATATAACTGTGCTCTAGCTATAGAGGAAACTAAGACTTTTTTTCTGACTTCCACAAAAAGAAGCTGGGCCTCTAATAAAAAAGATGTTTTTTTAACACAAGTAGAACATTTAAAGATGCAGGAAGGTTATAGACTGACTATTAAGATGGTTACTAAGAAGAAAACTTCCTATTAAACAAGAGTAATAACTACTAGGTATCTTGAGTTTACCATTTGAAATACATTTTTATACGAATTTTGGAAAGCCTGGAGCTGGTCATTTAAGATGATGCTTTTCTAATATATGCAGTGATAGGAGGCATATCACCTCTGCCAAGGAGGCAGTCATAACATTTTGCATTCTCTGTAATGTGAATTGTCATGAGATGAATCATTATTATGGGATAAATTGATAATCATATTTTTTGCATCACCAAACTTGTTTAGCTCACTACTTGGAAGCTGTTTCACAGTACAAAAAAATCCATTTTCTCAACCCTAGACACCTTGCACTGCTATAACCTAACAATTCACTGCAGCATAAATCTGCCCAAGTCTATAATGGAAAATAACTGGAAGAACAAGCATCAAAGTAAGAAAATCAAGAATGATATATTGTATATGACTCTATAGAGTATATGAATAATAAGAACAAAGGTGATTTACATAAAAGGGAATACTCCCCTCATCTCCCTGCATCTTCCCTCCTCTCTCTCTCTTTAACACACACACACACACACACACACAAACACACCAAGCTTGATAATTTTGAGGGTTTGGAAAGATTTTGGAAAACAGTATTGTTCAATATTGTATTGTCTTACAGTCTATTCTGCCAGCCAGTTCCTTGGAGTCACACCTGAGTACCAGAGAAAAGGGAATCCCCAGATTCCCTTGGGATCTGTAGGAAAGAGAAAGTGATTTCTATCTCGGCTTCTTCTGTTACTTCAATGTCTTTTTTTTATTTCAGCTTTTAGGTTTTGTCAGTGCATATGCAGATTTCTTACATGGGTATATTGTGTGATGCTGATGTTTAGGGTATGAATGAGCCCATCACCCAAGTACTGAGCATAGTACCCAATAGGGAATTTTTCAACCCTCACTACCCTCCTTCCCTCCCAGCTCTACTAGTCCACAGTGTTTATTGTTCCCATGTTTATATGCATGTGTACTCAATTTTTAGCTCTCACTTATAAGTGAGAAAACGTGGTATCTGGTTTTCTGTTCTTGCGTTAATTTGCCTAGGATAATGGCCTACAACTGCATCCATATTGCTGCAAAGGACATACTTTCATACTTTATATTGCTGGGTAGTGTTCCATGGTGTGTATGTACCATTTTCTTTATACAATCCACCATCGATGGGCATCTAAGTTGATTCTATGTCTTTGCTATTGTGAATAGTGCTGTGGCGAACATTTGAGTGCATGTATCTTTTGGGTAGAACAATTTATTTTCCTTTGGGTATATACCCAATAATTAGATTTGAATGGTAATTCTGTTTCAAGGTCTTTGAGAAATCTCTAAACTGCTTTCCAGTGACTGAACTAATTTACCTTCCCACTAACAGTGTATAAACATTCCCTTTTCTCTGCAACCTCAACAGCATCTGTTATTCTTTGACTTTTTTCATTTCAACCAAGGTCGTGACCCCTATCTGATGTTGACCTAAATTATTCCCGTAAAAGAAAAAAAAAACTCAGAAAATTAATAAGTCCATCTCATCTCTTCTTTAGGACTTCGATATTAGAACATCTCAAGGTTGTTTTCTTATTAGCAAAATTAAAACATAATCTTACTCTCATAGGGTAACCATGCAAATTAAATAAAATAATGCCTCTAAAGGGCATGGTCAAGAATTTGGTACTTCACATCCTGCTCCTTTCACCTGGAACCTGATTCATGCTGCTGGAATCATTAGTTTAGTTGTTTCGAATACTGTTTTCAATTTTGTTCTTGTCGTTCCTTTGTTTCCAACTTGCTTCCCTCCTTCCTTGAACATCCCTTTCCTTCATCAAAATGACATTTCTGTTTCTGTTTAAGTTTCTGTTTCTTTATGCTTAATCAGTGAGTAATTTTCTATTGAAGACTCAATTTTTTGGGTGTTTTGGGATGATTTTTAAATGCCATGAAGAGCTAAAATCATTTTTACTATGATCCTTTTCACTTTAGTATGTCTATTATCTCACAAACTATGCTTAAAATATTTGCATTTGTACCCCTGAACTTAAAATATAAGTTTAAAAGGTACGTTAAGTGAAGATAATTTCTTCACAATATGAGACTAGAAGGGTTGCTGAGAGCCCATAGTCTGATTCTTCTTATTTTAAGCTAAAATTGAACTGTGTGCCAAGTCCTTTAATAAAAATTTTAGGAAGCTGTAATAACATTTTGATTCTCACAATAATGTAAGTATTTGTTATTGTCATCATCATCATCCATATTGTTTTCCCAGTTGTGAAACTGAAATTTTTAGTGTAAGCAATGTGCCACAGAACACACAATAACTAATACAACTGGCTTTCAAACATGCACATATGTGAAAATAAAGCCCACCACACTATACAGTATCAAAGAAGAAGTCACAAAACTAGGTCTACAGCTGTCTGCTCTTGTCAGGAAATTTTTCGCAAGAATGTAGAACCAAAAAAAAAGACAGTACTGAGAATTCTAGGATCAATTTAAAAATAATGCCTCCCATCTTACCAAGTGGCTGCTTTCACAACATATAGCTAATGATATGGCCATTACAGCAGCAGAGACAGAGCCAGCAGTAAATCTTTCCTTTTTACATTTGGTTCTGGTTTAGGAAGATTTACTTTTATATTAGCTATGAAGATTTCTACCTTATCAGCCTCTATTCCCTTAATACCTTTCTCCCAAACCTTTTTTACAGCCTCTTTTAGTAATGACAGGTCCTAAGGGTCACAACTAGAAATGCTTTCTTTGTAACTCTAAATGTGTTTGATTTTGACAAATTACTTTTATTGTCTTTGCTCAGTTTTGGAATATCCTTAATTTCACTTTGGAAAGACTTCATGAAGTGAAATTAAAGTGGCTTTATTTTTTTCTTTTGGCTATAAATTTCTAATTTCCTTATTGGTTCTCTTGTCTACATCAATTCAAGTCCCCTTGCTTGCACAGTCTGAATTCATAGGTCATGTGAATCTGATCCAAGCCAAGAAATTTGAATAATACCTTAATGAGAGATTAATTCTGATTCCATAATTTGAGCTGGGTCAGATTTTTTTTCCTCTACATAAGTGTCACTGTGACACTTCATTTAGAGACATATATTTGTTAAAAAAAAATCCTTCCAGGAAAAAAAAACACACACAAAAAAACTTCCAAATAGAGAAGTTACAAGTTTCATACCTTTAAGTAGTTTGCTAAAGCATAAAGGGGGAATGAAGAGGTGAAAGCCAACCAGGAGAAACAAGAAGAGAGACGCCACTTTTTACTGCATATCAAAGTAGGTAGGCTATGTGTTAAAGACATGCCCTGTTGGTCTGATGTCTTGGAAAAATAATTGAACTATTCTTATCAATGGGTCTATTGAGTACATACTTTGCTTTTACTGAAAGCAGTCAGGATAGAAGGAATAGAAGGCAGAGGAGAGCCTAGTCATGTTCAGAGTGAGCAGGGGTTTAGCACACCAATCATGGCCAGATATTCAGGGACTGGAGCTCCACAGTAAACATAAACTACTAATCCTTTTCTAACATGTAGCATGAAACCCTACACCCACATACATTTTGACCCATACATGAGTAATAAATGCAAATGGATATATTAAATAATCAAATTGTTTCAAATCTATGGCCTATAATCCTTACATACCTTAGGAGGCAGTCTGGTAACTAAAGAATTACTTTCTCATTACAAAGTGATGTCTCCGTGGGAAATCATAGTCCAAAGGAAGGAGATTGTCTCAAGGACAACTTAGCAAGACCCCAAGCATTAATAAACATGTGGTTGATTGTTTGTTAGTATTTATTTTCTACTCTCTCTTATTAAAAATATAAAACATCCCTTGGTTGTCAATATTTTTTGTTAAACATACAGAAGAGACTGAAACAACACAATATAATGTACCAGGAGGTTCTAAACAATGATGGAAGTGTGTATAATAATTTTACAATGACCAGCATAAAAATAACACTGTAACCCGCCAATTTTTAAACATTAAAAACAAATAATAAATCTAGGCAAAAATTTGATGTGTATACTATTTAGATAATATTATTCCTTCAGCTCCATTCAATGAAATACTCAATTTAAGAATAGGTTGTATTCATGGAATACAAATTTCAAATGTATGGGCTTTTCTGAATTTAAATGAAGACACACTACTCTTTTTTTCAAAGTTCTCAGTTATAAAAGTTAATATGAATGTCTAACTACCTAACCTGACACTTAAATCAGTGACTTAGTTAATATTTATAAATCACTTGGAAGACCTACTTTGTTTAATGCTTTAATTTGTAATTGTATATTTGAGCCTGGTGGTCAATATTCAGTGGGAAAGCTTTCACTTCCTTAATTCTAGGAATTATGAGGCAGAGAGAAAACAAAAATATATCATGTTTCAGGCAAAATTATGTAGCAGATGATATTTACTGTCAGCAGTCATTGTAGAAAGATGTTCGTGTTGCTCAGACTTTGCCTGGAATCAAACCACACATAGATGCCTCTGAAGACATTGTCCATTTTATCAAATATCTTTCTACAACACATCTGTGCCATTCACACAATATTCTGATTGCCTAGGATTTTCTGCAAGCCATCCACTTTCTTTGTTTAGTAGACTCTGGTACATCTGTCATAATCCCACCCATTCATTACCTTTTCTGTGAGTCTTTCTTGACAGCATTGAACACTCCCTTTTCTACACTGCCTCAATACTTTCCACATGAGTCTTGTAAGATACATCAATAGTACTTACTGATTCAGTCTGTCTTAGTATAGCATCTGCTGTTAATAATTAACGTGATTGGGATGTTTTGAGGATGAAATCTGTAACTGAAATAAGAATGTAATGAGTTTGATATGAACCAAGACATGCTAAACATTTTATGATGATTACTTCATTTAATCCTTACAACAAACCCATGATATTAGTAATGACATAATTTGCTCCTTTCAGATGAGGAAACAAATTTATACAGTATAAGACAAGGCTTTCAGGTATATCTGATTGCAAAGTCAGTACCATTTTACAGTGGTGTGCTGAATAACATTTAGCAACTGTCTTCTGCCATTTCTGAGAAGAAAACAAGAACAAGAAAAAACATCTTCATATTTGTAACTCTGCCTTCTCTGCAGTACTTGTACTATGTCTGGAATCAGGTAGATACTCAAAAATACTTTTGAAGAAATGAATACATTTATTTATATTTATAAATTACCAAAAATGTAGTTAATGTACAAACATCTTTGTAAAATAATTTCCTATATTTTGATATTTCTTAAGCCCTGAAAAGAAATTTCTGAGAGTTAATAATTTGGTGGTGTAAACAAATAGCATTTTAAAAATAAACAGAGTAAGACACATTTTAAGCAATAATTATTTAAAAATATTGAAAACATTTTCCTTCAGATTTTGTGCACTCAGGCAAAATTAACTGAAGGTTTTCATAATTTATCAGATAATTCAATAAATGTTAACTAACAATATTCTTATATTAGTTAAAACATCCCTGTTGTCCTTCATATTTCTTTATACTTATGGAAATTTTGCCAATATATACAAATACAGTAAATCCATTGAACCTTCATACTACTTTCATCATCATAATTAAAGCATTTTCTATAATATCGAAATTATTTAGGTAAATCTAAATGCCTACAAAAAGTGGATCATACCGATCAAGCTCCCACTCTTAGGAAATAAGAACCTTTTAATATCATTGTAATTTCTATATTTATAAGAAAAGTAATCTGAAAGTTAAATAAAATTCTATTTAAATTTGTAAAATTTTTAACAAAAAATGCTTTTCCATTAAGGGATTTCAACATTTACTTTATCGAAAACTAAGCCAAAAAATAATTTTCTCTTAAACTGAAAATATGAACATGTTTTTCTGCTTCTTCACTCTTCAATATAAAATCCATTCTAGTGTGTCAGTATGAATAACTGTGTATTTCCTTTTATAGTTCATTTAGAAAAGTTGGGTGATGAGCATTGAAAAAAAAAGGCATACACCTTGGAGCTATTGCAGTTTGGTACCAGACAACCACAGTAAAGCAAATATTGCAGTAAAGTGAATCATATGAATTTTGTGGTTTTCCAGTTTCCATAACCAAGTTATGTTTACATTATACTGTAGTCAATTAAGTGTGCAATAACATTATGTCTTTTAAAAAGTACGTATCTTAATTAAAAATATATCATGGCTAAAAATTGCTAATAATTACTTGAGTCTTTAACAAGTTGTAGTCTTTTGCTGGTAAAGGGTTTTTTCTCAATGTTGATGGCTGCTGACTACTCAGGGAATTGATTGCTGAAGTTTGAGGTGGCTGTAGCAATTTGGTAAAATAAGACAAGAATGAAGTTTTTCTTCTCAATTTGAAATGAGAAAAGTTCCCTTATCCCCATCACAGGATGTGCGATGGGGGTGTGGCTGGCTTCTTGGGTGCCTGGCTGCTCATACCCCTGGGGGAGCTTGCAGACAGGCAGGCACATCGCAGGGAACACCGACCCCATGGCAGCAACTGGGATTGAGCCCCAGTGGGCATGTGTTACAACGTGCTCTTTCAGTTTTGCCCTCTGCAAGTGGCTTGTGTTAATCAGCTTAATTAGACTTTCTGCTCTATCGCAAGGACAGAGGACTTTCTGCATCCTGGGTTCTTGCCTTAGGGTACCGGAAAAATCAAATAACACGTGGGCTTGGAGAATGAGTGCAAGGTTTTATTGAGTGGAAATAGCTCTCAGCAGGTGGATGGGGAACCAGAAGGGGGATAGAGTGGGATGGTGGTTTTCCCCTGGAGTGGGGCCACTCAGTCCTGAACTATCCTCTGAACTATCCTCCAACTGAACTTTCCACTGAACTATCCTCCAACCATCCCAACCAATTTCCCCTAAGCCTCTGCCTTGTTCCTCTGGTCGATGGCCTGCTGGCATCTGCTGGTGCCTGCAGGTGTGTTCTTCCGCTCCTCTCCATGTCCAGCTGCCTGTATGCTCTTCTGCCCATGCATTTCTCTTGACATCCAGACAGTTGTGTCTGTGCCTGCTGGGTCTTGGGTTTTTATAGGCACAGGATGGCAGGGGTGGGGGGACAGGGTGGTCTTGGAAAATGCAACATTTGGGCATGAAAACAGAAATGCCCATCCTCACCTAGGTCCATGGGCACAGACCCAGGGGTGGAGCCCTGGTCAGAGACCATGCCCTTCTCTACCCAGCACTTCCCTGCTCCCCTCCCATATCAAATTGACTCTCACTTTCATGAAAGATTTTTCTGTAACATGAGACACTATTAGATAGCATTTTACCCACATAACTTCTTTCAAAATTTGAGTCAATCCTGCTTTATCATATAAGTTTATGTAATGTGCTAAATTTTTCATTGTCATTGCAACAATATTGACCTCCTCCCATGAATCACAAATGTTCTGAATGGCATCTAGAGTGGGGCAAATACTTTCCAGAAGGTTTTCAATTAATTTACTTTGCCCAGATTCATCAGAGGAATCACTATCTATGGCAACTATAGCTTTATGAAATGCATTTCTTAAAGAATAAGACTTGAAAGTCAAAATTTATTGCTGATCAATGGGCTGCAGAATGAATGTTGTGTTACCAGCTATGTAAACAAGAGTAACCTCTCTGTACATCTCCATCAGAGCTCTTGGGTGAGTAGGTGCATTGTCAATGAGTAGTAATATTTTGAAATATTTTTCTGAGCAGCAGGTCTCAACAGTGGGCTTAAAATAATCAGTAAACCATGCTGGTCATGGATATACTGTCATTTGTCTTTGTTGTTCCATTTATAGAGCAAAAGCAGAGTAGATTTTGCATAATTCTTAAGGGCTCAAGATTTTTCAGGATGTAAATGAGCATTGGCTTCAACTTAAATTCACCAGCTGCCCCTAGCAAGAGTCAGCCTGTCCTTTGAAGCCTGAATGTAGGCAGTGACTTCTCCTCTTCAGCTATGAAAGTACTAGATGGCATCCTTTTCCCATGGAAGGCTGTTTTGTCTACAATGAAAATATATTAGTTAATGTAACATGTATTAGTTATCTTAGCTAGCTCTTCTGGAGAACTTGCTGCAGCTTCCACATCAGCACTTGCTGCTTCACCTTGCACATTTATGCTATAGAGATGGCTTCTTTCCTTAAATCTTAAGAACCGAATTCTTCTGGCTTCCAACTTTTCCTTTGCATCTTCCTTCCCTCTCTCTGCTTTCATAGAATTCAAGAGAGTTAGGGCCTTGTTCTGGATTAGGCTTTGGTCTAGGAGAATGTTGTGGCTGGATTGATCTTCTATCCACACCACGAAAACTTTCTCCACAGGAGCAACACAGTTGCTTTGATTTCTTTTCACTCATGTGTTCACTAGAATTGTAATTTTTATTTTCTTCAAGAACTTTTCGTTTGCATCCACTATTTAGTTAACTGACTGGTGCGAGATGCCTAGCTTTCAACCTACCTCAGCTTTCGACATGCTTTCCTCACTAACCTTAATCATTTCTAGCTTTTGATTTAAAGTGAGAGATTTGTGACCCTTCCTTTTATTTGAACACTTAGAGGTCATTGCAGAATTATTAATTTGGTCATTTGCAGGGAATAAGGAGGCCCAAGGAGAGGCAGAGAGATGAGGGAATGGCCAGTTGTTCGAGCAGTCAGATCACACTCAACATTTACTGATAAAATTCGACATCTCATATGGACATGGTTTATGGTGCTCAAAACAGTTATAATAGTAACATCAAAGATCACTGATTATGGACCACCATAACAGATATAATATTAATGACACATTTGAAATATTCCAAGAATTACCAAAATATGTCACAGAGACACAAAATGAGCACATGCTGTTGGAAAAGTGGTGCTGATAGACTTGCTTGATGCAGGGTTGCCACAAACCTTCAATTTGTAAAATAACACAATAAAGCTAAGTGTAACTTGTTTCTAAAGTTAAAATTATCACACTTTTTAATGGTTTGTCTTTCTTTATATTGTATTTATGTTAATTAATTGGTTTAATATTTCTATTGATTCTTTAAAGATACTCCACAACATTCATTACTACATGCCCCTGGAGCATTAATAAGTAACAAAAGTTAACCCACAACGGTGCCTTAGTCTTAATCCAAAGGAATAATCTAGGAACATAAGAAAATGAGTTGCCTTTAGCTGAATTCTATAGCTTTGACCAGACTGCAGTATTAAGGGGAGCCATAATTCATGGTGTGACCAGGACATTGACACAGGAAACAAATACGGTAGAATGATGGACAAGATGACCAGGTAACTGTCTTCCTAGACTAAGCTGTGTAATCCCATAGACTGACACTATAATTACATGGAAGTAATTGCCATGTATTTGCCAAGAAATTACATGGTTGACAGTACTCTGAAAATTGTTCTGTATTTCTAGTGCCAACAGCTATGTTAACAGAAAATGAAATTAGAAACAACCACAGGAGGTGTTTTCTACTCATTTAGAAAACTATTTCATTTGACAAGTAAAATTTAATTTACAAGTAAATATTATAAAACTAAAAATAAAATAGAATGACTTAGAAATGTTTCTAAGAGTTATTGTTATTTGGCATAATGTTGGCTTTATGGAAAAAACAAAGTCATTTACTACATCTCAAGCTAATTACATTTTCTATTTCGCAAGTGCCAGTGCTATAAAGCCGTATTTCCCAGGTTATTCCTCACAAACAAATGAATGTCAGATTCCAACAGGCCAAAATAGGAATAACTATATTTTGTAATCCGACAACTTTTTCCAAAATAATATAAAAGCTATCTTTTATGTATTACAAAAGCTAAATTGTAAGATAAGAATAGTTTTGCAATGTAAAATTATGTCCAAATTAGCAAATGAGTAGTTTTATGTTCTCACATTTTGTGGCATAAATGTGAAACTCTTAGAGATCAAAATCACCAGCTTAAACCAAGAAACCTTACAAATGATCATTATGCTAAAAACTACTGACTCTCTTATTTGGCAAGAAGCTTGACTGATTAATCACACAAATTTTGTGAAAATAAATACTATGAGAACTGATCTCTTACTAAATATATCTGATCTCTTAATAAAGTTTAGCGCTACTCTAAAGTCTTGTCTACATGAAAAAAATTTAAAATCAAAAAAAGATTCACTTAAACACATTTTTCAGAATTTATTTTAAAGTTATATAATAAATTATTTTATCTAACTATGCATTTAATTAATACAAAATTTTGTAATGTGACCTATACATATACATATTTCATTTGCTGGTTAAGCCAAAAAGTGAAATTTAGGCAACCAGAGAAGATAACCAGTGTCAAAGGAATCAAATTCTCTTCTCATTTTCTATTTTACATTTTACTAAGGAAGTTAGTTTTACAGCAGATGTTAAGATTTAAATGTTCTGTACTGTGGGGAAAAAAGCAGTATATATATATTAGTATTTATAGTAACTAACGTTTGTTAAAGAAAACAGATATACAGAATAATATACATAAAAATATACTTCCACATAAATAAAATATCGGAAAAGTTACATAAAAAATTAATAATGCTGATTACATCAGGGCAGAATTACTGAGTGTTAAATTCTATGAAATATCTTTTGTAACTTTTTGACTTCATCTTGTTTTTATAAATTGTCTATTCAAAAATCAATTTTAAAAAGCAAAAAATAAATATGATCTTTTATTTGATGAAAAAGGACTACAGAACTGGGACCATAGGCTGAAAGTAGAAGACTAGAACTATAACATAGACGAAAATCATTCCTTGGATTATAAAGAAAGTTACTACTTCTCATTTTACAGAGCATAATAAAGAGCAAAGTTTATTGAAAGAGGGTTTGGCTCTGTTGCCCAGGCTGCAGTGCAGTGGCATGATCACGACTCCCTGCAGCCTGGACTTCCTAGCCTCAAGCAATCCTCCCACCTCCGGCTCCTGAGTACAGGCTCGGACTACGGGTTCATGCCACCATGCTCGGCTATTTTTTTGTAGAGATGGTATTTCTCCATGTTATCAAAGCTTGTCTCGAAATCCTAGGTTCAAGGTATCCTCCCTCCTCCACCTCCCAAAGCGCTGAGATTATAGGCACGAGCCAGCGCACTTAGTCTAAGAAAAGCAAATCTTCTAAGAATACATGAGCAGTTTGAAAATGCGGGCCTTACATAAGAGTCATACAGTGGATTTTAGAGACTCAGGGGGAAAGGTGGGAGGGAGGTGAGGGTTAAAAGACTATATGTTGGGTATAGTGTATACCACTCAGCTAATGGGTGCACCAGAATCTCAGAAATCACCCTTAAATAAGTTATCCATATAACCAAACACCACTTGTTCCCCCAAAACCTACTGAAATATATTAAAAAGAAAAATAAAAGAAAATGGGATCCTTGGAAAAAATAATGTGTCATGTAAGTCCAGAGCCATATGGGACAAAGATGAACATGGGACAAAAACAAAGAGGACGAGTAGCACATGTATAACTCAAGAAAATGAAGAAACAAAGCTAACCTTCCTCTATACTCAGATACACACGTACACATACAGACACACACACTTTCTATTCTATGCCCTTCTGGGACGTTGGCTGGGTCATAATGATCCTATTGGCTAATCCCCTAGCAGGACTCAGTGTTCAGCAGCCAATTTTTGCTGTTTGTCACCAATTCTTTGAAATAGCCTGATTAAAACTTAATCTGATTCTTTGGCCAGGAAATGTCAGCTTCCAAAAGACTAGTTGTACATTTTTTGCCCTTGATTTCTGTGAAATAGTCCTAAATAAAGCCTGTGATGTACTCTAGGCCTTCCTTAACTGGGATTCCATGAAAAATTAAGCCCCTACCAAATGCACTAAAGGCCTCCATTTTATGTATGAATTAACTTATTTTCCTATGCATCTAGAATGAAATTGATATGTGTTATTCTTCAGAGAATTGTGAAAAGAGTCATGAAGACTATTTTCTGTTTCCTGTGATTCACAGGGGAAGAATCCCATTGAGATTATGTTACACAAAAGAAGCACAGTTTTTAGACCAAAGAGTAAACTCAGGATAACTCAATTTTCTATTTCAAATTCTCAAACACTTTGCAAGAGGATCTGCAGACCACAAAAATATTTCTTTGAAATTATGCCATCTTTTCCAGTGCTTTGTTCCACACCACAGTTGCTTCACATTTCTTTTATCTCAAAACTATTCTGAAATATTTCTCTTCCTCTCCACACAATTCCATCCTGTCTCCCATGCCAGAGGGCTAGTGGGATACTTATTTATACCGCTGCAGCAGTGCCGTACTTTAAGATTGCCAAAGAACCAGGCAACGTGAGTATCCAGGTGCACAGAATCGTCAGGAATTGTGGTAATTCTATTACTGTAAATACTTTTTTCATGAGAATTGTAGTTTGTATTTTTGTTCTGTCCCCAGCCATTTCTTCCTTTCAATTTTGGTCCTATAACTTCTGAAATATGAATATAAATTGTTTTGCTTGATTTGATTCATTTCTGTTACTGACAACAAAAGTTCTATCTAATATACTTTATATATTTTCTAAAAACTTTGCTCTAAAATATTTCAATATTTTCAATGTTCATGTTTTTTGTGTACATGCAAAGAACAAAAAACTAAATTAACTTTTTCTGAATGTTAAATAACTTTTTTAGAAAATTTGGTGAGTTAACTAGATGAACAAATGCGTAGCATTTATGGGAAATAAACAGAGCATATACATTATTTTCAAACACCAGAAAAAGTATTTATAACAAAAAGTTTTATGCCTAAAAATGAAGCTAACATCGTGAAAGTAGAAATCCAGCAGATCATATTTCTTGTTTAAATTTTAGTTTAGGTTCAGGGGTACATATGCAGGTATTCATGTGGGTGAATTGTGTGTCACGGGGGTTTGGTATACAAATAGTTTCATCACCCAGGTAATAAGCATAGTACCTGACAGGTAGCTTTTCAATCCTTACCCTTTTCCCACCCTCCCCAGTGTCTTTTACTTTCTTTGTGTCCATATGTACACAATATTTAGATCCAACTTATAAGTCAGAAAGTGCAGTATTTGGTTTACTGTCCCTGTGTTAGTTTGCTTAGGATAATGGCCTGCAGCGCCATCCATGTTGATGCAACGGACATGATTTTCTTCTTTTACGGTGGTGTAGTATTCCATAGTGTACATTTACTACATTTATTTTATCCGGTCTACCATTGCTGGGCTAAATTAGGTTGATTCCACATCTTTGCTATCATGAATAGTGCTGCAATGAACATATGCATGCATGTATCTTTATGGTAGAATGTTTTATATTCCTTTGGGTATGTGTACCCAGTAATGGGACTGCTGGTTCTAAGTTATTTGAGAAATCTCCTAACTGCTTTCCACAATGGCTAAACTAATGTACATTCCCACCATCAGTGTACAAGCATTCCCTTTTCTCTGAAACCTCACCAGTATCTGTTATTTTTAACTTTTTATTATAGCCATTCTGACTGGTGTGAGATGGTATCTCACTGTGGTTTTGATTTGCATTTCTCTAATGATTAGTGACATTAAGCATTTCTTCATATGCTTGTTGGCTGCATGTATGTCTTCTTTTGAAAAGTATCAGTTCGTGTTTTTTGCCCATTTCTTAAAGGGGTTGTTTTTTGCTTGTTAATTTGTTTCTGTTTGTTATTGATTCCGGATATTAAACCTTTGTTGGATGCATCGTTTGCAAATATTTTCTTCCAATCTGTAGGTTGTCTGCTTACTCTGTTGATAGTTTTTTTGTTTGTTTGTTTTTTTGCTGTGCAAAAGCTATTTAGTTTAATTAGGTCCCATTTTTCAATTTTTGTTTTTGTTGCAACTGATTTTGGCATTTTCATCATGAAATCTTTGCCCCCAAGTCCTATGTCCAGAATGGTATTTCCTAAGTTATCTTCCAGGGGTTTTATAGAAATAAATTAACTTTTAATATTAGTTAATACAATTTAAGAAAATAAATGGCAATAGATATTTATATTACGTGGGTTTAGTCACTCTCAACTAATATTTCACATACATCTGTAAAATCTTGAGTGTAACATTGCTGTTAGATGAGCATATTCTGATTATTGCTTTTTTCTGGCTTTTTTCTTACTTTTTTCACTGGGCAAAATCATTTTGTACCAATGGCTTATTTCTCTTTATTATTGAGTACTATTCCATTGTATAGATATATTACCATTTGTTTATCAGTTCATATGTTGAAGGACTTTTCAACTTTACCTATTAAAAATAGCAATTAAAAATAAACTGTTTTTAAAATTTTATGAATATTCATATATGTTTTTTCGTGAACATAGGCTTTCACATCCTAATGACAAATGACTAGGAATAAAAAGCCTGCATCACATGTTAGGTACATGTTTAACTTTTTAAAAAAAATTTTGTGGGTATATAGTAGGAGTATATATTTATGGTGTAACTAAGATTTTTCTGATACAGGCATGCAACGTGAAATAAGCACATTGTGAAGATGTTTAACATCTTAAGACATTGCCAAAGTGGTTGTACCATTTTTTTTTTTGCAACCAGCAGTGTAAGAAATGCCCCTTCCTCCACATCCTTGCCAACATTCGATATGATCAATCTTTGTAATTATAGCCTATCAATAATTATGTAGTGGTATCTCATCTTGATTTTGATTTGCATTTCTCTAATGACTAAATGATATTGAGCATCTCTTTTTTTGCTTATTGCCATCTCTATATCATCATCTTTGATGACAAGCATGGTCATATATTTTGCCCATTTTATTCAGTTGTTTTGTATTGAGTTTTGACAGATCTTTATATATTCTATTAGACATATCTTATTCTATTTATATATATTCTATTAGACAGATATTTATATACTCTATTAGACACATATTTTTCAAATATTTTCTCCCAGTCCATAGCTTGTCCTTTTTGTTTTCTTTCCTTTCGTCAAACTTTATTTTAGTATCAGGGGTACATGTGCAGGTTGTTTATATAGGTATATTGCATGATGCTGAGGTTTAGAGTATGAATGAGTCTGTCACCCAAGTAATGAGCATAGTACCCAATAGGTACTTTTTTTCAACCCTTAACCTGTTCCCTCTGTCCTCTCTCCTGTATTTCCCAATGTCTATTGTCTCTTGTTCCCATTTGTATGACCATGTCTACTCAATGTTTAGCTCCCACTTGTAAGTGACAACATTTGGTATCTGGAGTTCTGTTTCTGTGTTAGTCCACTTAGGATAATGGTTTCCAGCAGCATCCATGTTGCTGCAAAGAACATGATTTTGTTCTTTTTATGGCTGCTTAGTACTCCACGGTGCATATGTACCACATTTTCTGTATCCAGTTTCCCATTGGTGGGCACCTGGGTTGATTCCATGCCTTTGCTATTGTGAATTGTAGCTTGTTTTTCATTCTCCTCACAGTATCTTCCAAATAGCACAAGCTTTTACATTTTGATAGAGCCAAATTTGTTAATTTTTCCTTTTGTGATTGTGCCTTTGGCTGTTGTGTCTCAGAAATTTTCACCTTATACAAGGTCACAAAATTTTTCTCCTGTGATTCCTTCTACAAGTTTTGTTGCATTCAGACTTATTTCTAGGTCTGTAATACATTTTGAGCTTACTTTTGCGTATGCCGCAAGACATCAATCAAAGTGCATTGCATGAATGTTTATATCCAGTTGTTGCCAAATCACTTGTTCTTTAAGACTATCATTTCTCCACAGAATTATTTTTCACTTTTGCTAAAAATCAATTGTACATGTTTGTATATGTCTAAGTTATCTATTCAGTTCCATTGATGTATTTCTCTATATTAATGTCAACAGCATACACTCTTGATGACAAAGCTTTATAGTCAACCTTGAAATAAAGGTACCTCTACTATTTGTTCTCCTTTTTCCCATATATTCTTTTTCCTATTTTTCAGACAACTTTTGGATTATCTTAGTATTTTTTATAATTCAATTTAGATCCTTTGTTGACTAATAGTATAAGAACTTTACAGTAATATATCTCCTTCTAGCTTTTGTTATTATTTTCATCCATTATATTTACATACATATTATAATAATATATTGTTATTTTGTTTACTTAAACAGTTCATATCTTTTTCACAGCTTGAAATATAATTCACATATACAATTAACCAATTTAAAATATCTAATTCAGTATTTTTAGTGTATTTACAAGGTTGTGTAACTATTATCACAATCTCATTTTAGAATATTTTAGTTCCTCCTTAAAAAAAAAAAAGAAAAGAAAAACATACCCATTAGTTATCACCTCCCATTTCTCAAGGTTGTCAAGGTTCATCCATGTTGTAGCATGCATTGGTACTTCATTTTTTATTGCCAAATAGTATTCAACTGTGTGTTATGCAACATGTTATATTTGAACAGTTACTTCTATCTTTCAATTATTATGATTAAACCTACTATGAACATTTGTGTAGAAGTGTTTTGTGGGTATATGTTTTTACTTCTCTTAGTAGAAATGGAAATGCTTGGTAATAAGGTATCTTCATGTTTAATCTTCTGACTGTTTAACTAAGCTGTTTTCCAAAATGGCTACGCCAACTTACATTTTCACCAGCAATGCATTAGGGTCCAATTTCTCCACATCCTTGACAATGATTATTATCTGTTTTCTTGATCATAGCCATTTTAGTGGATGTGAAGTGGTAGTTTTGATTTTTATTTATCTGAAAAGTGATAAATGATGCTCAACATCTTTATTATCATTATTATTATTTTTGCTTATTGGCCATTTGTATATCTTTTTTGAAGAAATGCATATTCAAATTCTTTGCTCATTTAAAATTGTTTTTATCGTTCGGTCATAGGCATTCTTTATGGCTTCTGAATAGAAATCTCTGATCAGATACAGATTTGAAAATTAATTTCTGTAAAAAAGCCAGCTGGAGTTTTGATAGACACTGCATTGTCTATAGTTCAATTTAGAGTACTGACATCTTAACAGTATTAACTCTTCCAATCCATGAGCACAAGATGTTCTTTCATTTTTGTAGATCTTTTTTAATTCTGTGAGATTAGGTTTTATGGTTTTCAGTGTATAAGTTTACACTTCTATTAAATGTATAACTAAATATTATTTTTGATGCATTATAAATGGAATTATTTTCTTAATGTTATTTTTACAATGTTTATTGGTAATATATTAAAAGCAATTGATTTTTATGTATTGATCTAATGTTCTGCACCCTTACTGAACTCATTCATTAGTTCCAATAGTTGTATGTGTGAGTATATGTGTTTCTTAGGATACGAGGAAACATACAAGACCATTAAATCTGCCATTAAAGATAGTTCTATTTCTTCCTTCATGATCTGGATGAACTTTGTTTCTTTATCTTGCCTAATTATCCTATCTGGGATCTCCAGCACAATGTTAAACACAAGTGGCAAGAGCAGATATCCTTGCCTTGCTCCTGACCTTAGAAGTAAAGCATTCAGCCTTCCACTATCAAATATAAGGTTATCCGTGGGTTTCTTGTGAATGGCCTACACCAAGTTGAGGAGGTAGTTTTCTATTCCTAGTTTGTTGGGTGTTTTTATCATGAAATGGTATTGTATTTTTTAATGTTTGCTGCCTATATTGAGATGATGATATGAAGTTTATCCTTTCTTCTATTAATATGGTTTATGATACTAATTGATTTTCAGATATTAAACAAACCTTGCATTTCTAAGATAAATCCCACTTGGTCATGTTGTATGTGGTATAACTTTTTTCTTTTTTTCTGAGACAGAGTCTCGCTTTGTCACACAGGCTGGAGCACAGTGGTGAGATCACAGATCACCGCAGCCTGAGACTTTCCAAACTCAAGTTATCCTTCCACCTCCTGAGTGGCTGGAATCACAGAAATGTGCCACCACACCTAGAAATTAAATTTTTTTGTAGAGACAGGGTATCACTATGTTGTCCAAGCTGGTCTCAAACTACTGTGCTCAAACAATCCTCCCACCTCAGCTTCCTAAAGTGCTGGGATTACAGGCGTTAGCCACTACACCCAGCCTGTATGCACGCTTTTTATAAGTTGCAGGATTCAGATCCACAGTATTTTGTTGAGGAGTTATTTTATATATTAATATCCTAATATTCAGCTGGTTTATTGATCTGTAGTTTTCTGTAATGTGTTTGGTTTTGGTATTAGAATAAACGTGACATTTAGACTGAGTTAAGAAATGTTCCCTCCTGCATATTTTGGAAGAGTACAGGAAAGATACTGATCTCTGAATGTTTGGTAGATTCACATTGAAGCCATCTGGGCCTGGGTTTTTCTTTGTGGAAAGTTTTCAAGTTACTATATTGATATATTTACTTGTTTTAGTTCTCTTAATATTTTTAATCAAGAGACAATTGAAGAGGAAATATGCAATTATGTTGCCTTTTGTAATTATCTTTATATTACCTTTATGTTAATTATGTTTTTACATGTGGACTCAAATTATTGTCTAACATCTTTATTTTCAGTATGATAAATTTCCATTTGCATTTCTGTAAGGCATGTCTTCTAGCAATAAATTCTCTGTTTCTTTCTCTTTTTTATTTTTGAAATGTCTTTATCTTCATTTTTGAAAAATAGGTTTTCTGATATAAGCTTCATCTTACTGGTTGTTTGTTTTTATTTTGTTTTAACTTCATCACTTTGTCATCTCATTGCCTCTGGCCTCTATTATTTTCAGAAGAATTTACTATTAATCTTATTGTGATTTTCCTGTACATGATGAGTTGTTTTTCTCTTAGAGCTTTAAAGATATTCTCTTTCTTTTTGACTTTTAATATTTTGGCTGCAGTGTATATAGTTATGATTTTGTTTTTTGCATTTATTCTGCTTGGAGTTATTTAGCTTCTTGGATATGTAAATTACTAGTTTTCCTCACATTCAGGAAGTTTTTAGCCATTTTTTTCATAGAATGTTTTCTTCTGTCCCTTTCATGCTCTCTCTTTTGGTACTCTCATTACGCATATATGGATGGACTTAATGGTCCATCCCACATTTCTCTGAGTCTCTGGTGGGTTTTTTGCAAATTTCTTCTTTATTTTTTAACTTCTATTTTAGGTTCAGGAGTACATGTGCAGGTTTGTTATACAGGTCAATTGTGCATCACAAGGGTTTGCTGTACAGATCATTACCCAAGTGATGAGCATAGTAACCTGATTGATAGGTAGTTTTTCGATCCTCACCTTTCTCCCAGCATCCACCCTCAAGAAGGCCCCACTGTCTGTTGTTCCCTTCTTTGTGTCCATATGTACTCAGTGTTTAGCTTGCAATTACAAGTGAGAACATGCAGCATTTGGTTTACTGTTCCTATGTTAGTTCACTTGGAATAATGACCTCTAGCTCCTTCATGTTGCTGCAAAGGACATGATCTCATTCATTTCTTTGGCTGCATATTATACCATGCTGTATATGTACTACCTTTTCTTTATCCAATCTACCACTGATGGGCATTTAGGTTGATTCTCTGTCTTTTCTATGGTGAATAGTGCTGTCATGAACATACGTGTGCATATGTCTTTATGGTAGAATGATTGTGTCTCTGTGAACAAGTTTTCATTGTTTTTTCTCTCTCCTACTCACATGGCCTCATTTCTAATCATTTATCCTCAAATTCACTAATTATTTCTTTAATGCTAAAACCTACTATTGAGGTCATCTAGTGATTTTCTAATCACTCTTATTTCACTTTTCAATTTCAAAACTTTCACTTGGTTCTTTCTAACAATTTCTGTCTCTTTGTTGACATTTTTTATTTGATGATATATAGTCACCATACTTCCCTGGGGCTAGGGCAGGAGGAGATGGGGAATTGTTATTTAACAGACATAGAGTTTCAGTATTGTGAGATAAAACAGTTCCAGATATTGGATTGCACGATAATGTGAATATATTTAACACTACTGAACTACCCACTAAAAATGGTTAAGACGATAAATGTTGTATATATTTTACCACAACTTTTAAAAATTTAAAGGCTAAACATATCTTTCATGATCAGACCCATTTGTTTTATTTAGCTTCACTTCTAACCACCTCTGGGACCCTTCTCTAACCCTATGTGCCAGCCATCTGGAGCTACTTACCAGTTTCTAAACTCTCCTTGCTTTCTGAGATTTCTCCCTCCAGATACAGTGCTCTCACTCATCTGGTCTTGCAAGCCTACTTGTTTTTCAGAACAACTTTATTGAGATATATTTCACAGGATGTATAATTTGCCCATTTAAACTGCATAATTCAATGGTTTTTAGTATATTTACAGATAAGTTCAACCATCACTTTTAGAACTTCGTAATCACTACAAAGTGAAACTCTGTACTCATTAGCTGTTACTTACCAATCTCCCCATACCCCTTACAGCCCAGTTCTATGCAACTGTTAATCAACTTTCTGTCTCTATAGATTTGTCTCTTCCAGATATTTCATATAAGTGGAATCATATAATATGTGGTTTTCTGTGACTAAATTCTTGTGGATTATTCATACCATGGAATATTATTTGACCATAAAAAGGAATGGAATACTGACATGCGTTTCTGCACAGATTAACCTTGAACCCCAATTTGCATTTCATGCCAAAGATTTGTAGTCTCTTTCCCCAGGAAGTATTCACTGACACCACCAAGATTTAGACAAGTGATCTTTCCAAAAAACGTATTTACCTCTGTTGTAGTCTTTAATTACCTAGTGTACCTCCAATAGATTTGAAACTCTTTTTGACAACCATAAAATGTTACACAAATGTATGTGAAGATATTTTATTAACTGTTTCTCATAAGATCTCATCGATATAAGGAGAAATGGCTCCAGTTAACCCAATTTAGGAACAGAAAAATGAAGATAATTATTTCTCAACCCTGGCTTCACAATGTAATGACCAAAAGAGCTCTTAGAAAATCAATGCCTGTTCACCTACAGAATGGGAGAAAATTTTTGCAGTCTACCCATCTGACAAAGGGCTAATATCCAGAATCTACAAAGAACTTAAACAAATTTACAAAAAAGGCAAACAACCCCATCAAAAAGTGGGCAAAGGATATGAACAGACATTTCTCAAAAGAAGACATTTATGCAGCCCACAGACACATGAAAAAATGCTCATCATCACTGGCCATCAGAGAAATGCAAATCAAAACCACAGTGAGATACCATCTCACACCAGTTAGAATGGTGATCATTAAAAAGTCAGGAAACAACAGGTGCTGGAGAGGATGTGGAGAAATAGGAACACTTTTACACTGTTGATGGGAGTGTAAATTAGTTCAACCACAGTGTGGCGATTCCTCAAGGATCTAGAACTAGAAATACCATTTGACCCAGCCATCCCATTACTGGGTATATACCCAAAGGATTATAAATCTTGCTACTATAAAGACACATGCACACGTATATTTATTGTGGCACTATTCACAATAGCAAAGACTTGGAACCAACCCAAATGCCCATCAATGATAAACTGGATAAAGAAAATATTTCACATATACACCATGGAATACTATGCAGCCATAAAAAAGGATGAGTCCATGTCCTTTACAGGGACATGGATGAAGCTGAAAACCATCATTCTCAGCAAACTATCACAAGGACAGAAAACCAAACACTGCATGTTATCACTCATAGGTGGGAACTGAAGAATGAGAACACTTGGACACAGGGCAGCAAACATCACACACCGGGGGCCTGTCGTGGGGTGGGGGGCTAGGGGAGGGATAGCATTAGGAGAAATACCTAATGTAAATGACGAGTTGATGGGTGCAGCAAACCAACATGGCGCATGTATACCTATGTAACAAACCTGCACGTTGTGCACATGTACCCTAGAACTTAAAGTATAATAAAAAAAAAAAAGAAAGAAAATCAATGCCTGTTCAAGTCTTTGCCCACTTTTTTATGGGGCTGTTTGTTTTTTCTTGAAAATGTGTTTAAGTTCCTTACAGATGCTGGATATTAGACCTTTGTTGGATGCACATGACATAAGCTTAACTAGGTAAAGAAACTGTACATGTACCCATGAACTTAAAATAAAAGTTCAAAAAAAAAATTAATGCCTGGGCCCCACCTCAGGTCAATTGTATGACAATCCATGAGTGGGAGGGTGGGGATACGGGAGCTAGGCACCAAGACATCAGTATTGTTTAAAAGTTTCCCAGCTGATACACAGTCAGAATTTGAAACTACTGAATTTAAACAACTACAGAATCTAAAAAGTCTTTAGTCATCCACTATAATATGTTGCATCTGTAATTACACAGTAATGTAGTCATTAGGTCATGATTTTATTATTTTTAATATATCTACTCTGAATATTATAAAATAACACTGATAAGATAAAATGTACTATGTCCAGAATTGCATAAACTACATCAATTTTTCTGAACACTTTTAATTTTTTGACCTCAAAACAGGAATTTATAGCAAATACATAATTGCCCTGAAATCAATCACTGTTTTGGCCCTCTAAATGGATGGGACACTTGCAGATCTCTCATCTATTTATATTAGTTTTCTCTTCCTTTTTGTATATCTGTTAAATTTTTACACTTCCTTGAGTGCAAAGAGTATGACAAAATATTCTCATTATAAACTATAATGCCATTTACCCACTAGAGTTTTTGGATAATACAAATTCTGTCAAATCTGGTACTGCATATAGACTATGTTGAAAGATGTTTCTCTAGTTTTTCTGATTATAAGAAATGGCAAGCAAGGAAGACAAAATTTTATTTATTTATTTATTTATTTATCTATTTATTTTATTTGTTTGTTTGTTTATTTATTTTGAGACAGAGTTTCACTCTTGTCACCCAGGCCGGAGTGCAGTGGCGTGATCTCAGCTCACTGCAACCTCTGCCTCCCAGGTTCAAGCAATTCTCCTGCCTCAGCTTACCAAGTAGCTGGGATTACAGGCACCTGCCACTGCACCCAGCTAATGTTTGTATTTTTAGTAGAGAAGGGGTTTCGCCATGTTGGCCAGGCTGGTCTGACACTTCTGACTTCAAATTATCTGCCCACCTCGGCCTCCCAAAGTGCTGGAATTACAGGCATGAGCCACCACACCTGGCCAACAAAACTTTTTAAACTTCTTGGATGTTTCCGATAGCATTTTACCCAGTTGATATCTTTGACAAGAATATATCTACAGTACTCTAAACTAACCTGTGTTCTTCTCATTATGAAATTTGAAAACCTTATTTGGAGGGAAATTATTATACAAAAAATCAAATAAATTAACGAATACAAAACATCTCCAACAAACACATTTGAAGATTATAAATGAGCTAGAAGACTGGTTTCTCTATATTAAGATATAACAAAATGATGTTTTACCCTTATAATGACAAAGGCTTTTTAGGTTAAGGATTGGCTAAATATCCAGAGGATGGCAGAGACAACAGAGAAAGAATGGCACACATATACCCAATTTTGTTAATAAATTTAAGTAAGAAAGTATAAAGAGTACAGACAGGATGGATATTTTTAATAATACATCTATAACAATCTGTCTTTAAAACAAACAATGTTTATGACCACACATTAAACTTTTCTTATAACAAAGAGGCAGATTTATTATTATAGTACTGATATCTCCTTCTACCTTAAGAAAAAATAAAATTACCCCTTAATGATGTACAGTATAATCTTTAAACCTGGGGCATATTCTGTCAAGAAAAAAGTATTTTCCCCATGATTTCAAGTGATAAATATTCACAAAAGCCTAGTCTTACTTGGTATTGGATATATGGAGTGCCCCTAGGCATGAACATTATAATATTGGAGTCTCTTTCCATCTTTCTTCAGTTTAGCATTTTAAAAAAACTCCGATTGAGTTAATTTATACAAGATTTGTTGATGTTAGAAAAACAAAAACAGTTTGAATCTATTACACACTCCTGACCTTGAAAATCTCTTTATGAAGGTTTCCAAATTATCTCCAATGAAAGGCATGTAATAATGTTTACATCTCCTCTAGACTTTCTTTTATTTTAGCCTTTGGTGTGCTCTGTCTTTTTGACGTTAATTGTTACATAGAAGAACAAAAATTGATCCAGAATCCAATATATTTTCTGTTTCCTAACCTGTATGCCTTTCCAAATAGCTAGTGTTATGCAGCCCAAGTGAAGCAGAGCTGGACCCTAAACAGGTGGACACATCTGTTCTAGTCCATCAGACTTACACTGACTGTGTTCTGTAATCATTATGGTTTTTATCCCAAATTACAGTGTCAATCTGTTCAGAATTAATATGTATTACTCTACCACTTGTTACAAAATTTTCAGTTTATTTATTGGACCATATCCTTTCCTAATCACTTAGGCACAATTCCCACTGAAAACCTAAAAGAATGACTGTGTTCAGAGGTTATGTTTTCACCTCATGTCAAAAGATATTTTTGCATAAGTGAATAATACTGCTAATCCCAATG
This sequence comes from Homo sapiens, assembly GCF_000001405.40. Lineage (NCBI taxonomy): Eukaryota > Metazoa > Chordata > Mammalia > Primates > Hominidae > Homo > Homo sapiens. Next base: position 28,590,263 of record NC_000014.9, read on the forward strand.
TGGATTCCTTATGTATCAATAGTGGGAATTTGTTTGAAATTTTAGGGCACTGATTTGAGTCATTTGTAATCACTTTTCCAACACATGTTATATCCTAGTATGGTTACTTTCAGTATGAAGAGGAAATTGACAAATTATTTAATTCACTTAGAATGAAGCTTATACTGTTAATCCTTGGGAAATTATAATTTTAGTTCCCTTTTATCTTTTGTGTGGGTAGTTTTAAAGACTGCGGGTCCTTGAAGCCATAATTCTGTTTTATTATAACATGATGAAGCACTTGTGATGGTTAATACTGTCAACTTAATTGGATTGAAGAATGCAAAGTATTGTCCCTGGGTGTGTCTTTGAGGGTGTTGCCAAAGGAGATTAACATTTGAGTCAGTGGACTGGGAGAGGCAGACCCACCCTCAAACTGGGTGGGCACGATCTCTAATCAGCTGCCAGAATAGCTAGAATAAAGCAGACAGAACGTGGAAGGACTAGACTGGCTGAGTCTTCCGGCCTTCATCTTTCTCCCATGCTGGATGCTTCCTGCCCTTGAATATCGGACTCCAGGTTCTTCAGCTTTTGGACTCTTGGACCTATACAGTGGTTTACCAGGGTCTCCCGGGCCTTTGGCCACAGGCTGAAGGCTGCACTGTTGGTTTTCCTACTTTTGAGGTTTGGGGACTTGGGCTGGCTTCCTTGGTCCTCAGATGGCAGACGGCCTATTGTGGGACTTCACCTTGTGACTGTGTCAGTCAATACTCCTTAATAAACTCCCTTTCATATATATGTCTATCTTATTAGTCTTGTCCCTCTAGAGAGCCATGGCTAATACATCACTTCACTGTCATTTTCTCTTGCCTCTTCTATGTTCTCTGAAGCTCACTAAATATGTGGATTTTATGGAGGAGAAACGTTACTAATTCATAATTATTATGTAAAGATTAATCTGGCTAACATCCTCTAAATAACTTTCCCAACAGCTGGTGATTTTCTTCTACTTTTTTTTCCTGGTTGATTTGGAGATAGATGAGCCTCAGAAGCTGATGAAAATTAAAAGCAAAATATTTTTTCAAAAGTTAGTCCAGAAATGTGATGGAAGAAAAAGACACTAAGTAATATACTCCATGGATGTATATGTTAAGTTTTCAAAACCACAGAAAATAAAAAGGACAAACAACCGCCAATACTAGTGAGTATAATAACAAAATCATGAATGCATTTCCCTTCCACTCCAAGGTTAATTTAGAAAGAAGAGGAAGTTGCATTATCACTTTTCTAATCAGCAACTCCGCTTCCCTAATACAGCATATGAAATGGCAATAGTGCCTATGGCAATACAAATCCTATTAACTTGAGGCATCAAATATGAAGAAATTAAGACACAAGTTGAAAACAAGATCAGAGAAGAATGATCAGAATTCCCCTTATAAAAAAAAGATCCCTCATCTCTGTGCCTTTTTTAACTTCTTCTTGGTTGCAACACAAAGGCAATGTTCTCCTCAGGTGTTACTGATTGAATGCCAGGCACTGCCCAATAACTCACTTCAGAGTCAATCATGCTAAGTATGCAAATCCTGACTAAATTATTTGAACAAACTGCATTGCAATTATTAGACATGTTATGAGAAAATGTGAACAGCTTGACCAGCAAATTTCCAATATATTTCCCCCCTCAGGCAAGCCTAAAACTTAAAAATAAGACTCCAGAGACTCTGACATTCTTCTCATCACATAACACATACCAGCAGAGAATAAAAAGGAAAAAGAAAAAGACATGAATATTTGAAAAGGCCTTTTGAATCTTGCAGGCATAAAGTAGAAGTATATATCATTCTCTCAGACCCGGAGTCCATGCAGATACACATTGAAAGACATGCTTTGTAACATCATCCTCAGCTGATATGTCAAAGGAAAAGAATTCATTCTCACCTTTTCAGAGTGCCTGTCATTAGGTACATTAATATGGATGAACCACCACAAAATCAAAAAGCAGTAAGAGTGGTGAGTTTAAAGGAAGAAAGACCTTAAACTATATTTAAGTTGGGCTTAAATTTGAGAACGAAACTTGGGGTTTCCATAATTACCTTTTTTTCTCTACTTACCTTAGAAGAAAAAACATTACTAATTAGACTTTCTCTTGAAGTCTATTTGCCAGCATTTCACTAAACATTCCTCAAGCTTCCCTATAAATGAGGGAATGGAACTGATGTGGACAAGTTGAGGAAGATTTGTTTTTTCTGTCATAACATCCCTTATTTGAATGCATCACATTTGACAGTAGAACACAGAAGTATTTGCTTTTCCAATTCATTCTATAACACAAATAATGTTAATTCACAATCAGTTAAGTAGCAACCCAAATGCATTTTATTAACAAAAATTCTTACCAAAAATGTCAATAAGCATAGACATTTCTATAACATTGAATATTCAAAATAAGTTTCTGTTAATTCATATCCCATTCCTATATATGATCTCTACAACACCTAGTTCAATATTTAAGTCATAATTGCACTGGATTACTGTGTATATAATATCATCACTTGGGAAAGAATTTGTCATTAATACACTAACAACGTATTTAGTATCCAGACAATAAATTTGATACCAATTATTAAAGGCAAAGAAAAAAATGAGAGAACAATATAATGTTATTGATAGGGCAACAGCACATAACTTGAGATTTTATTTAAAATTTTTCTTACTTGTCAACCAAGGTATTATCTGTTACTATTGAAATTTTAAGGTGAAATTGTTCTATCAAACCACTACAGAACTTATGTTTTGCTGACCCCAAAATTACTTTAAAAAAGAGAAAAGAACTTTATATTTGTTTACTTCTTGCTAATTTTTGAATCTACCAAATAGTTTTCAACTTTTATATTTCTTTTTTTGGTTTTTTTTTTTTTTTTTTTTTTTGAGATGGAGTCCTGCTCTGTCGCCCAGGCTGGCGTGCAGTGGGGCTAACTCTGTTCACTGCAAGCTCCGCCTCCTGGGTTCACACCACTCTCCTGCCTCAGCCTGCCCAGTAGCTGGGACTACAGGCGGCTGCCACCACGCCTGGCTGTTTTTTGTTTTTTGTTTTTTTGTTTTTGTATTTTTAATAGAGACAGGGTTTCACCACGTCAGCCAGGATGGTCTCGATCTCCTGACCTCATGATCCGCCCACCTCGGCCTCCCAAAGTGCTGGGACCACAGGCGTGAGCCACCGCGCCCAGCCTCAACTTTTATATTCATAATTAATATAATGTCTCAGTGTTAATTTTGAGGTTTCAATCTGAAAAGTGAGTTCATTTTAATGTCTGATCCCAACAGCTAATTTTGGCAAGAATTAGAGAATTACTCAGAAATCTCTCGTAAATTATATTTTTAATACAATTACATCTGATACACTAAATATTGAACAGATGTACAAATATTACATTTCTCTCTCTCCTTGACTGGGGGTTTTAGAGTATTTTATCTGAATCAAATCCAAAATTTTATTTTAGACAATTTTCTTGTGTTAATCGCAGTTTTAAAGGTGGTCAAGGTGGCCGGTTTGGCCATAAGGGTGTGGCTATTAACATGGTGACAGAAGAAGACAAGAGGACTCTTCAAGATATCGAGACCTTCTACAACGCCTCCATTGAGGAGATGCCCCTCAATGTTGCTGATCTCATCTGAGGGGCTGGGGGCTGTCCTGCTACCTAGCCACATCCAGAGTGAATCTTGGGGTGGGTTGAGGTACAGCATGAGGGGGAGAGAAGGAAGCCAAGGGATGAACATCTTATCATTTCTTTGTCTTTCAATAAATGTCACTTTTTGAGGCAAAAAAAAATTATTTATAAATAATTTATAAAGAAAAGAGGCTTAATTGGCTCATGGTTCTGCAGGCTGTACAGGAAGCATGGGGCATTTCCTTGGCTTCTGGAGAAGCCTCAGGAAACTTACAATCACGTTGGAAGGCAAAGGGGGAACAGGCATCTCACATAGTCAGAGCAAGAGGAAGTGGAGGGATGCTACACACTTTTAAACAAACAGATCTTGCAGGAACTCACTGGCTTTCATGAGGACAGCATCAAGGTGTTGGTGCTAAGCCATTTTTGAGAACCCACCCCTGTGATCCAATGACCTCCCACCAGGCCCTGCCTCTAACATTGAGGATTACAAATACAATTCAATATGAGATTAAGGTAGGGGCACAGATCTAAACTACATCAATAGTATTCATCACCTTCCAACACAAAGTAAAATGCATTTATTCACTATACTTATTGTTTATTGTCTGCCTCACCCCAAGAGGGCTGTACTTTTTGTATTTTTTCACTCGTGTATTCCAGAAACCTAAAATGAAGACTTGCCTGTCACAATCATTTAGTTAATGTGTGTTAATTTGAAGTGTTGAATTACAATTTTTATTTGCAGTGAGTCTAAAATAGTTTATGCTAAGTAACACAGACCTTTAATATTTTAGTAAACTTTTAGTGGGGAATAATTTCAGATTATTATTTTTGATAATATGGAGAATCGACATATATACTTTACCCAGCTTTCTTTAATATTAACATTTTACGTAACTATGGTACACTTGTCAAAATGAAGAAATTAACACTGGCTCAATGCCACTAAATGACAGACTTCATACCAGTGCTTTCATTAATGTCCCTTCTCTCTTCCGGGATCTAGTCCAGTATATCACATTGTCCTTCGCCATATGTATGTCACTATGCCTTCTCAACTCTCTAACAGTTTCTCAGTCTTTCCTTATCTTTCACAACCTTGGCACTTTTGAAGAATTCTGGCCAGAGAGAATGTCACTCAATTTGAGTTTGTCTGTTTTCTCATTCTTAAACTGGCTGATAGGGTGTTCGGGAAGAACACCACAGAGGTGTGACACTCTTCTCCTTACATCAAAACAAGGGGTGGATGATAGCAACATGATTTATCACTGGTAATATTAACCTCGATCTCTTGGTTCACATGGTGTCTTCCAGGTTTCTACAACATAAAGTCATTGTTTACCCTTTCCATACTCTATGTTTCGTAAGCAATTTCTTAAGTCTAGTTCACACTCAAAAGACATGAAATTAAGCTCTACCTCCTGGATATGAGCATCTACACATATTTTTTGGAATGCACCTATAAGGAAGAATGGTTTCTTCTCCTTCATTTACTCATTTATTATTTATGTAAGTATGAATTTATCTGCATTTATCATATTCTTTGGATTATAATTCTATATAATCACTATTTACTTTGTTGCAAAAATAATTCCACCTTCTGCCATTGGGATAGTCTTTTGAGTTTGCTTCTGTTCATTAAAATATTAATAATTTTTTCACATACTCTACAATATTTCCGAAAATTTCCATAAGATTTTATCAGAAAATAGTCACTTTTCTTCTTAAATTCCCCACAATACTTATCACAAAACATTGTGTCTAGTACATCTTTCCTGAGGCTTCAGTAGTGGAGTAAATCACTGCACAGTACAGAAGGTAACTTAAGATGGGTTATACACACTCATGTTTCAAAATAAGATCCCCTCAGTCACAGTCAGTGTGACCACTTTCTCTCTTAACATTCTGCAGTCTCCTGTGGCCTCTTGATCCCTCATGAGTTTTCTCACAGTTGTCCTCCTCTTGTGAACCTTGCAATCCCCAAATATACAATTTGTTTTTTAGATAGTCAATTCAGCTTTCTCATGGTTTGCAGTGAACTTACAGATAATTCCATGGGGCTTTATATTTTGCAATAAACACAAACTACCAATGTATTTTGCCATAGAATTCAATTTTCTTCCATGGGGGTAGAAGATGTTGCTTGTTACAGGTTTAAATTTTTTTCTCTCATTTATATTTTGAAATATTCAGTGAAAAGAAGTTTAAAGAGTCTCCAGCAAGAGGCCGAAGACCTATGGCTTCCTAAAAAGATTTTTTTAAAGGAAAAATATATATAGTTTAGTCTTCTTTTAGCTCGATGCTAAAGAGATAGCTCAGCAGAAGTACATGGTAGAATGTCTTCGAAATTAGTTTTCAGAGTAATTTCTTTGGATATATGAAAGACTATCACTGGATTTTTTACATATCTATGGCTTTTTCCTAATTTTCGATTCTTAGCACTGCAGCGAAGTAGCATGGAGTAAGGAGCTTACATACACCTCAGTGAGGCCTAAATCTTTCCAAATCACATTTCCTATTTAATTCAATAGATTTTTCCCATAAGATGGACTGAAAGCACAGCCTAGTGGAAATATAGGATGGGACATGCTTAGGAAAAAGTGCAGACTGAGCAACTTTCAAAGATTGATGAAGTAATTCTTGGAGTGGATTATACTTTAAGATCTATTGCAAGCCAAACTGGCAAAAGGAAAATAGGTCTGGGAGAGATGCCAAGCAGAGTGAGTACTAAGGTGAATTTGGGGTCAACTCACAAATAAGGGAAATATAGGTAAGAATGTAAAGACTTTGCATTTTTAAAGTACTTGGCAAGAATGCAGGAGATGGATTTGGAATTAGATTTCCTTTATGAACTATTTTGGAAAGATTGTAGAGAAAAGCATCCATAACCAACAAAACTATTTAGCAGAACCACGAATCCATAGCAACGTCCTACTAGCAGTATCTAAGGCAGCCTATACAACTTCCGATGAAAGTGCCTACAAAGATTCAGTAAATCATGAAAACTCACACACAATTAAAAAGTAAGACTGAGAAGCAGCCTAAAGACATCTTCAGTAGTTTAAGGTAGTTGGTTCAGATTGAAAAAAAAATCCATCTGATTTCATTTAATGAAAAGTAATGACGATCTAGAAAAATGAAGAAAGCTGGTTCTCACTCCTTCAATGACCTGCCTTTCATACAGAAAGCAAGGGTCTACACACAAAAGGTCTTCCAGAAACCATGTGAGCAGAAGACGAAAATGACTCTTGGAAATACATTATGTGCTGAGATGTGTAGCTCATATTAAAGTGGATCAGGAGATTTTAGGAGAGTATAAATCCCATAGCAAAGAGCCAAACAACAAAGGAAATGAAGTTCTCTTGACTACCTGCTAAACATCCCAAAGGTTTGTATGTGCTTCTAAACACTTAAGAACTATGGCAAGCAAAGTATTATGATACTTAGAAAGTATTAATAGTACTGGAAACAACTGTGGCTGTAACTGTTTTACAGACCTCCTTGAGTTACCTAGAATGTTGTGCAGGGATGAAGGGGAAGAGCTGATACCTGTTTAAATTTGGAGCCTACCGGAAAATTCCCCTCACTTTTTGGAGCAACAGAGACATATTTACCACGTGGCTAATAATACTGCAGTTACAGGACCCTTTACTCTTTTGTGTCATTTCCAAACCCCCATGCCAAACTTTACATTAATAACTTTGCATTACTTTTTATAAAGGACTGCCAAAATTGTATAAGCCTGAACCTTCACAAAACTTTGATCTGCTCCTGGGAGCAGAGGAGAAAGTTTAAGGCCGTATGTCATGGCCCTACCATTGAACAAACACACAGAAATCCTCCCCCTCTCACTATATTAGAGGTCATTACTATGTTGGATTTTAACCCAAACTCCAAAGCAAAGGCCTCTCTATTTTGTAAGAAGTAAAATTTAAGTATATTTCTCCTACAGACTTCTATGACTTATCACAGCCCCTTCCCATGTGTCTTCTCATTATTCACACAGAGGCTTATGCATGTTATGTGGATATTAGTATGTTTACTTTAAATAATACTTTTCTTATTATGAATAAAGGGATAGATACATGTCCAATAGAGAAAAATTCGAGAAGTGCAAAAATCATACCATAATTTCACCTCTCTGAGATAACCACTACTAAAACGTATTTCTTTCCAGTTACTATTTGGATTTACATTTTCAATTGAATTATATTTTGTATACAATTTGGTATACTATAATTTTTACTTAGCATTGATTTAGCTTTAAATATTTTTACTTTAAATATTTTACTTAGCATTGATCTGCTTTAAATATAATTTTTACATACTGAAAAAATATTCTTTCACATGGATGTAGTCTAATTTACTTAGCCAGCCCCTTACCGTTGATTATCTAGGTTGTTTCCACTTTTTCCTTTTTACAAATAAAGCTCTGTTAAGCATGCCTAATTGAAATTTTTGTTCTAATTATTCTCTATGAATGCATTCCTAGGAGTCCAAAGTTATTAATTTATTTAACTTTTATTCTAGAAATATGCCAATTCAGATCCCAAAACAGTAAGAATTTACACATGGTAATGTGTATTTATTACTACTGAGTATTAATCTTTAATTATTTATTTGAATACATATAATTGTATCTGTGGTTTTTGCATCCATATTTATTAAATTCCTGGAAAAATTAAATATATAATTAAGTTTTGGACTGTTTATTATCTTATAAATTGGTTGATCATATTCTTTCATATTCTAACAGAACCTTCATATTTTCATATTAATGTTTTGACAGCTCCATAAATTAACTTGATTGTTCTCATATCTCACATGTTCTCATATGTGCTCCTAATTTTCCCTTTGCATTATCACTTTATGATCTTCTTTGACTTTTTAAAAATGTCTCCATAGTCAAATCTGTCTACCTCTTTGTAGATTCTTTATATGTCAATGCAAGATATAAGGTCTTTGGAAAAATTCAAAATTCAATGGTGAAATTCACTATAACTTTCCTGAAATCCAGCCCTTCTCAAAAAATTATTCAGTGTATGCTATGGCTTAGCTGTTTGCCCTCCAAAATGAGGTTGAAACCTAATCCCCAGCAAAACAGTATTAAGAGGTGGGGTCTTTAGAAAATGATTAGGCTCCACTGTCATTGATAGGATTACAATCTTTTAAAAGAGCTTGAGAGGGTAAATCCTTCTCTTCCATTCCTTCATCATGTGAGAGCACAACGTTCATCCCCTCCAGAGAACACAGCAACAGGACTCTATCTTAAAGCAGAAAGCAGTCCTTGGCAGACATTGACCCTGCTGGCCTTAATTGATCCTGAATCTTGGACTTCTTAGCCTCCAGAACTGCGAGAAATAAATTTCTATTGTTTGCAAATTACCCAGTTTCAGCTATTTTATTACAGCAGCACAAATGGACTAAGACAGTGCATCTAGTGTTTGAGAGTATCTTATGGCGATGATATATATTCATTGTTCCCTATTTTATGACATGTAACAAGATAATAAATTAACATATCTGAATCATAACTCAGGATTGCACATATTTCAGAGATGAGTTGATTTTAAGCTTTAAGTTTTATTTTTAATAATCTCATTTCTTTAGAATAGCTTGGGATTTAAGAAAATGTTGCAAAGACAGCCCAGAGAGTTCCCATATACCCCACACCCAATCTTACATTAGCCTCTTGCATTTGTCATGATTAGCTCATCAATATTGACATACTGTTATTAATTAAAGTGCATACTTTGTTCAGATTTTCTTATTTTTTACCTAATATTCTCCTTCTATTCCAGGATTCTATCAGGATGCAACACTGTATTTAGTCATCATGACTCCTTCATCACCTCCTGCTTTGACACTTTCAGAATTTCTTCATTTTAGATGACCTTGGCAGTTTTTAGGAGTGCTGGTCAGGTATTTTGTAAAATGTTTCTCATTTGGGATTTGTCTGATTTTTTCTCGTGATTAGACTGAAGTTAAGAGTAAGAAGAAGACAACAGAGGTAAAGTGCCATTCTTATCACATCATATTAAGGATGCATATGACATCAGGGTTGTGTTTTGATCTGAACCCCTTGGAAGAGGCAGTGTTTATCAGGTTTTTCCACTATAAAGTTAGTATTTTTTCTGCCTTTCCATACTGCATTCTTTGGAAGGAAGCCATTTAATCCAATCCATAAGAAAGGAATGTAAGCTTATGTTCCACCTCCTTGAGAGCAGAATATCTTCATAAATTATCTGGAATTTCCTATGCAAGAGTATATTTGTGTATTCTTCTCCATGAACCTATTTATCCAGTCATTTGTTTATATCAGGATGAGCTTATAAGTATTTATTTGATACTCTGGGATATGATTAAATATGTTCATGATTCTTCGACATGTACTGGATTTTGCCATTTTAAGAGCTTTCGGAAGGTTCAAATGTCCCTTTGACATACCCCATACCCTCATTATTGGGTGAGTGATCGTGTATGTATATGGGTCTTTGGATACTTCTTTAAATTTTGACACCACAAGATGCTCCAGGATTATATTATATATTTCCTGCCCAACAACCAGTCATTTCTTCAGGAAGCCATGGTTCTTTTCATTGGACGACGGTTTTAGAAACAAGGTCTAGATCCCAAATATGCCTGTTGCTGCTGGAATATCTTTGTTTCTTGGCCCTCTCAGAGTAAAAGAATATATGTGTGTATACTAACCAGTATACACACATATATTTATAAATATTTCTATATGTATCTATTTTTATCTATATTGAGCTAAACATAATTTATACTGATATCTCCAACTCTAATTCATTAACTACCTTATAGGTAAGTAATGCATCCATGTTTCTCCCCTTGTTTGTTTGTCACCTCCCACTTCAAAAGTGAGAAAACTGGCTCTCACCTTCAGCCATCTATTACTTAATTTTTCAGTTCCAGGATTCATGTATAGTTGGTTCAAAATAGTTAATCCATATTCCCGTGGAAAACAACTTTATGAACTAGAATATAGTCTTCATCAGCTCATAGAGTGCTTATAGGGCTTTTGCCATCAGTCTTAGTTTCCATTCCTTTCCAAAGTTGCTTAGAGTGGCACCTTTTTCCCGCAGTGCCTTTTCATTAGGTTTTTCAGAAATTTGTAATAGCCCTCAAATTTCCTAGAGGACCAACACAAGAAATGTTTATTCGAGCAATTATATATCTTGCTTATTTATAAACATGAAATAAACACCTTCCTAATTCAATAACAGATTAAAAAATTCAATACCCAGAAGAATATGTGTGCTTAATTTTATCTTTAAAGGTATATTCTCAGAATAAAGTAACTACATACCTAAGTACTTTTCTTGTTTTACCTTACTTTCTGAACCAAAGCTAAATTTGAATCTCAAGCACAGTAATTCATTCTGCAGTGTCCAATAGTAGCTATCCCAGCTTCTTTTCATTGGTTTTGATTTCTCTTCGATTTAGTAAATCATGTTGTTTATATCCTATTTATTTTTAAGATGCCTCGGTAATTTTCATGAATTAGCAGCATTAAAAACATAAATAAATAATCTGAATTATTGAGTCTCCAAAGTTCTGAACATACTGAACTCTTCATGTGTATATGTATGTAAAATATGTACTACATGAAAACACTAACACCATGAAAAAATAAATTTTCCAAAATTATACACTGTGTGCTTACTCTGGGTAAAGTATGCACTGTGGGATATATATAATCATCAATCTTCAAGTTCCTACAATTTAGTTAAGAAAAATAACATTAAAATGAAAAAAGACTTTAAGGGGGCATGGTGGCTCACGCCTGTAATCCCAGCACTTTGGGGGTCCGACGCGGGCAGATCACGAGGTCAGGAGATCGAGACCATCCTGGCTAACATGGTGAAAACCCATCTCTACTAAAAATACAAAAAATTAGCCAGGCGTGGTGGCAGGCCCCTATAATCCCAGCTACTCAGGAGGCTGAGGCAGGAGAATGGCGTGAACCCCAGAGGCAGAGCTTGCAGTGAGCCGAGATCGTGCCACTGCACTCCAGCCTGGGCAACAGATAAGACTCCTGTTAAAAAAAAAAAAAAAAAGAATTTAGAGCCAGGTGTGGTTGCTCATGCCACCAGTGACTTGAGAGGCTGAGGCAGGAGGATTGCTTGAGCACAGGAGTGTGAGGCTGCAATGAGCTATGACAGCCACTATACTCCACTGGGGCAACAGAGTGAGACCCCAACTCTAAAAATAAAAATTAAAAAAAGAACTAAGTCTACGTGTGTATTACTTAGCTTTTATGCTACTAATAAAGATATATCCAAGACTGGGTTATATATAAAGGAACAGAGGTTTAATTGACTCACAGTTCCACATGGCTGGGGAGGCCTCACAATCACGGTGAAAGGCAAATGAGGAGCAAATTCTCATCTTACATGGGGGCAGGCAAGAAAGAGCATGTGCAGGACAACTCCCCTTTAAAAAACCATCAGATCTTGTAAGACTTATTCACTATCACAAGAACAGCACAAGAAAGACCCAACCCCATGATTCAATTACCTTCCACAAGTCTCTCCCATGACACGTGGGAATTATGGGAGCCACAATTCAAGATGAAATTTGGGTGGGGACACAGCCGAACCATATCAAGATGGCTATATAAAAAAGCTAATCAAAAAAGCAAATGGCTATATGAAAGCTAATAGAATGATATTTGGAATGTGGGAAAGCGGTATTGATTGGGTGTATTCTGGAAGGTTTCATTGTGAAAGGCCATTTGTTCATTTATTTTACAAGTATTCATAAGTACTTTTGACATGCCAGAGACTACACTAAGTGTCAGCAATCTAAAGATAAATGAGATACAGTCCTTGACTTAAGTAACTTAAGTCTAGACCAGATTTTCTCGTAGATCTGACATTAAAAGTTTGGTAAAATTGAAGGAGGTATAAAGGCAGGAGAAAGAGCTTGAGACATTTTATAGATACCTGATTACAAAATGATAGCTGAAGAACAGTAAGCAGACCGACCTGCAAAATGTCAAAAGTATCAAAATACAGAAAATGCGTAACTCTAGGTTGAACTCTAGGCTGAATATAGAAAACTCAATAAGTAGTTCAAATTTGTACTAGACTTTTAAAAATGAGTAGGGTTAATAGACACAGAGAAGAGTGTCAGGATAATTACAGAGAAAGAATTATGTATATATAGATAAAGGTATGAAGGCAAAATGCATTGATTAAGTAAATGGGATACTCTGTCTGAAGTGAAGAAATTAAAAAATATTTTAGGACTCGAAAAATAAGCTGAAGCCAAAATGAAGATAAACTTAAATATCCTGATGAAAGTTGTAGAAAAACTGGTTGGCTACACTTGTCTACTAGTTGTCTGATGTACAGAATGATATTTCAAAGAGGAGGGAGTACAAGTTAAGATGGTTTTCACAAACCCAGGCACAAAGTACTGAATGTGAGAATAAAAGAACAGGCATAGTAGCTATCAAAAGAGTTAATTGTATAAAATATAATTTGAAGATTTGAGTCTAAGTGACTAGAATGAGAGAATTAGAAAAAATAGAAATTAAAGATTTTTGTTAACAAAAGAATGTCATTTATAAGGTTTAATTTTATATCCCTACAATACCATTCTGTAAATATACAACAGTGCTTGTTCTAAATATAGATAAGGAGATAGGAAGAATTGATTTGAGATCGACTTGGAAATCAGCTTCATGGAAGTGAGAGTTGATACTGTGAGAAACGAAAGTATAAAGAGAGATGAGAAGTACTTGGACTAAAGTTCAAATAATACCGACTTCTGGCAGAGAGCAAAAAGAATGAACCAAGCAGAAGGGAACAGAATCCGGAATTGGCACTATGTCAAACTGCACTGATCCACCTCTCCAGGACTGGGAAAACTAGAAATGAGCCGATGAAAATCAGGAGACTGAAGTAAAATTATGTCATTTGCTTTTCTTAAATGTCTAGTCAATCGTTGTCTGTTTTTCTTGACCTGATATTTACAGAGTTGCTCAATAAGTTCTAGTAGTTAATACAAAGTCTTTTTGTTTGGTTTTTTTTTTTTTTTGGTCTATGGACATGAAATATGGATAAATGTAAGCCAAAGACTTTACAAGGAAAGGAGTTGTTTGTTCATCCCAACTTACAATAAAACTAAACAAAAAGTTATTGACTGTCTTCCATTAATTAAAGCAGTTTCATCTCCTATGAGCACCCACTAAATACCCTGAATTTATTCTAAAAACTTCAAACACTCAGCTCACCAGCTTTAGCCTGATACTGTCCACCACCTGAACACATTGAATTTTTACCTATTCCTGAAGGACACGTCCAACTCCCCTGGTTTTCCTGCTTACCTTTGTTTCTTTCTCCTTTCTCTTTCCTCATCTCTTCCTCCTTCCAATCCCTAGTATCTTCTCTGATAAAATTAATTGCTAGTAACATTTACTGTCACTTTCAAACTGACCCTTTGGGCACCTTTATCTGAGTAGAACCAGTTTAGTAAGTGTAAATACAATCATTCAATGAACATATATTCCGAACCTACATGTTACAGGGCACTGTACTAAGCTACAGAAAAACAAAGTTACAATGAAGTGTTCGGTCTACTGCAGGATATCCCATTTTTCCTGAATTCAGTTTAAATATTCAGATAACTATGGCCATACAAAAAGTATTTCCCCCTGGTAGAGGCTGGGAGTGTAAGAACCAGCCTATACTCTGTAGCTAAAATTTGAAGATATAACTTCAAATTTTAAGTTCAAGTTATAGCTCCAAATTTTAGCTACAGAGGAGCCATTTGGAGTCATCTGTCACACCTTAAAAACTCTAAACTCAATAGCTTATAAGATCCTCAAGCGACTGATAAAGAAGGCTGGACAAATCAGGACCCCACTGAAAGGACTACAGTTTGATATAGTTCATGTTTAATGCAAAAATGCATGGCTAAATTTTGTTGCCTAGAATTTTATAGACATGGATAGAAACATTTTATTATTAAGCCACTCATTTCAAGCCATATTGCCAATGGCTTGCAGTCTCTAAAGGAAAACTACATATTTCAAATCAGTTTAATCTAAAATACTCTCCGGCCTTGCTAATTGTTTTTTAGTTTCTTATTTTCTGTTCAAATAAAACAGGATAATAAAGTACTGGTATCTTAAATTCTTATAAAAGTCATAATAGTATATCTTCTTTTTTTTGTCAGTGGATCATTTCAATACTGGCAAGTAGGTCATATAAATGTCATATATCTGGCCAATATCTAAAGTTATTTTTAATATTTCCAATTGCTAAAGAAAATTATATCTGAAGAATTGTTATTGATAGAAATTTTGCCCTCTACCAATACTAAATTGTGTCATCTATATAAAACTACTGCTTTTCTTTAAAATAAAAATTTTAATAACTTCCAGTTCTTATTTGTTGTTCTTTTACATAAGCTACGAGTAATTATTTTGCCTGAATATTTTAATCTTGTTTTTACTCCTAAAATTTACCCAGTTAATAATGCATGTATAGTGATTTTAATTGGTATGGTTTGTAATTATGCATATTCAGATTAAACAAGACAAATGGCAGGACTCGTAATGGCATCATATTAAAAATATAATACGTTTAAAATATATTTAAAAGTATAATTATAAAAAAGAATGAGAGCTATTTTAAAATGTTTTCTAGATATAAATAATCACATTTACTAAAGGGTATTACAGAAATCCCATAAGCAAAAGATATTACAAAGGATTATTTAGAGAAACAATTGGAACTCAGACTTCTTGATAACTACTTGCTACTGCTGACCAAATACAAACTGAGTGTAATCTACCATGATTAATTGCTTGTGTTTTTTTCAAAACTGTGTAATTGAGAAACAGTGTAATCAATGATATAAATGTAACTCCAATGTATCTTTTATACACAACTTTAATGGCTTTTATTCTCTCTAACTTTTCCTATACATAAGAGCAAACTGTATTTGCAAAAGATCAGTTTCTTTTATTGCCCTGATCCCAGATAAATTGTAATTTTTTATCACATAAAGCATAGAAATATATATGAAGATGGAAAATTAAAACATGTCTTATTTGATAGTCTGACTGAATTGAGGTGGCAAATGGGCTCTTGAATATAACACACTAAACAAATATAAGAAGTTGTTATTATATCTTAATAAAAGCCCAAAATAAATAAATAACCTGATTTCCTGTACTTTGTGCAGTGTCTGAACTACTACAGAAAAGAACTGGTCAGGGAGTTGACTTCTGCCTGGCTGATTGATGCACCCCAATCTACATCATCCTTCAGAATGAGCTTAGTAGCCCACCTGGAGTACTACTCAGGAGCCATTGACATCCGGTTCAATGACCCTTCATCACCTCGAGTCCTCTCTTAAAATTTCCATTAAAAGAGGTCAAATGCTGCCTGGCAGCCTGTTAGTAGTTCCCGCCTTAAAGGCACCCAATTTTCATTTATGGTTTGTTAGTTATTTATGATGTATTCTTCATCAGGGCTTTTACTATAGCTTCCAATTCTTTTAGTGTCTTTTCTTCACCTGCTCAAAGAACTTCTGATTGAAAAAATTAACTTGATACCAAGGAAAATTGAATTTACTTCTACCTTTATCCTTTAAGATTTCTTTTATTTCTGGGTGATAGGTGATAAAACAGGATTTCCAACAACTACAAAGCTCCCCTTTCTGTGGCTGATAAATTTAATATTATCCCAGAATACTTGTTTAAATTTAAAAAGCTAACAGAAATCTATGCTATCAGAAAAGATCCCTCAAGTAAACACCTTTTTTTCAAAATAAACCTGCGTGTTTTTATCTTTTGTATTCTGATTACCATAAAAACAGACAATCACACATACAGAATTGTTTCAAAATATTAATGCTTTCTTATTCCAGGGCAAGCAGAGAAAGCTATAAGAACATCACATAGAGACTGGTATATAGATTATTATTGCAAACAATTTTTATACTGATCTAAGATTCATTACTGAAGCACCTAGCATAAAAATGTTTACAAAATAAAAGAGCTCCCTCTCTGCATAAAAAAGATCTCCGTATTTATGCCAGCAAAAATAAAATTTATGATGGCTCTCAATTGTAAGGCTCTGAAGCCAGCACTCAGAGTCAATTGCACTTTTCAACCAATGATCTCCAAGTGCTTTACCAATAAGGGTTATTGAAAGTGTTTCACACAAGAGCAAATACAGATGACCTATCAAAATCATGGAGCAAATTTCAAACCAGCTCATGAACTAAACACTATATAATGTATGTGTATTTATTTGTTTTAATGTTCACATCATGGTGTCTACTCCCTCGTTTTTGAAAAGTTTAGGACTACTTGTGTTAATTAACAAGCACCACAAAATTATAGCATATGGTTATGTATTCGTTTTAAAGGACACAAGTATTATATATGAGGCTCATTATTTCAGATTAGCATGTCATTAAGATATGTATGAGTTTGTTTCAATATACAGGGAGTGAAAATCAGTTGTGAAATATAGTGAATTCTCAAATATCTGTTTGAATGGAGAAAAGAAAGTACATGAGTTGCCTAAACTGGCTGTTTTAACTATTTATGTTTCCCTTAAATACTTTTAACTACATTTTTGTGTTTGGATGTGAAAATATTTTCATCCCAGAAAAACATAATTCATCAAACTGAACTGTAAAAACACATTATAAATATATGATGCGAGAACAGCAAAACACTGGTTAAGCTTCTCTGTGCACTCTTCTTTCCGAGTTCCATCCCCAACCCTCTTCTGGCCAGAAGGGAATAATCTCTCAGACAAAGGAAGCACACTCATGCTCTTTCTTTCTAAGCTTGCATCTTTCCTAGCTTATCCTGTCCCCGCAGAGAAAATGATTTTTACATATTTTTGGTAGTAAGTTAATCTTTAATTGAAATATTTTAGGCTAATAACTATGATTGAGCTAAATGCCACTGTTCCAATTCCACCACAGTTCATGTAATACTGCACTATTGCAGGTAGAGTCATATTCATTTCTGCATCTTTGTGGGAAGGAACTGTGATCTCTTTCCCGCCTTTATGCTCAGCGTCATGTACTGTGCCTAGTGTAAGGTGGCACTCGGTGAGAGTTTGAAAATACATAAAAGAACAAATAGAATAAGGTATAATCAAAATTGACATTGGCTCATCATGTCTGCTTTGACTTTGTTTTCCACAATAACACTTCCAAAGATGGCAAAGAATAGAAAAGCTATTTCTGCTGCTTAATCCACATATATTAGAAGAAGCAGCTTAATGTACCACTAATATGTATGCTATTTCTATAACAAAATGCCAAGCAAAAACAAATAGTAAAGCTGCAACCAGTGTAGATGTTTTATATAGTGCAAAGCTTGATAAAAAGAAAACTTCACATTTATTTATACAAAAACCTGGTGTGTGCGTGTATATATGTGTATATATTTACACATATATAGTTATGATCCCATTTCATTATAGTACATGTATGTCTTGCTTTTTCTTGTTCTTTTTCTCCTGCAGTTGAGAGAACTCTTCCCTCTATCCTTCTACAGGAATACCAGCAAGCAGACAACCCCAGAATCACATTTCATAACACAACTCCAGGAACCCAGTGGCCACAGAAAAGCCTTCTTTCATTGTGACTAGTTTTAGGACCTCTGGGATATTAATTCATCATTGTGCCCTCTCATCACTTCATCCATTATGCCTGTCTATAGCTCACGGAGAGCAAAGAATGACGCAGACGCCTACTGAAGCAATAGCGTGAGATTACCAACACAATGACTTTCAGTGTGGGTAGGGAATTGACGATACCGGCAGAAATGACTACAATCTGCTTTAGAAATATCCGTGTTGGTCTGGCCTTTTAAGGCTGCTACATAAGTGAGATTAGTAATATTAATCTATTCTTCAGCGAGGAAAGTTATTGTATGTGGAAAATTAAATAGGACCATCCATTTTAGAATTGAAATGCTAAGCTAAAACCTTCTTCTGCAGCCTCATCCTTTTTCTAGAGAGTGGTACATGTGTCAATGTTGCAGGAAAGCATCCTTGCTCTCTTCCTTTGTTTGGATCCGGTTTTACAAACAACCGTAGTATCCATTTCCTCGGCTTACAAAACCTGTGAACAAGCACAGCCGAGAACCAGCCATTTTATTCTTCCTTCAAAATGCATGAAAATGTCAACTGCCTTTTCCATGCTTCCCCATAAAACATCAATGAACTGATAAAAAGCAAATGAGTGTGCCTAGTTAACCAATAAATGTAGGATTTTTTTTTCATGTTCCTGTGAGTTAACTTGCAAAATTCCGAGATTAGCAACTAGTCTTTGAATGAACTAGAAACATAATTTTGTCTCTCACAAATGTAGACGCTTTGTGCTAACAAAGATTTTTCTCTGAACACTGTTTTTCACTCCTTGAAATGAATGGTAATAAGTAGGGGCTGAAAAACATGGAACTCACTTCTTTTTGAGACGGAAGCTGAGCGCCATCTCGTGGTGACAGGCCTCTATGACTCTCCTAGCATTGTAACTCAGAGGAGGAAAAAAAGGGCTGTAATGTTTTCCTGTGTTGTTCTTTTTAGCAGCAAAGACCAGTCTTGACTTTTGTAAGGAAAACTTTTGAACACTCACATCATATCTGAGGGAAGCAATACACTAATGCAATAATCCCAAGGTAAAGCAGATTTCTAGGTCACTGAATTTATTGTAATCTTTTTTAGACATTTACAAGTTATATTTGCTTAACTATAGTTCTATGCATTTCCTTAGAAGAGTAGGTCATTGGGGTACAGGAGGATGAAAAAAAAACGTTTAATTAGCCTCCTTGCTCTGCATGTGGATATTAATAGCTCTTATATTTGAAACCCAGTTTTCACAAATTCTTTTATCTATTTAACTTTTGAAATAAATTACTAAAATATTATCACTCTATTGAGAAAAAAATTGGAATACAGTCTTACTACTTACTGATACTTACTAGTACATTTGTCTTTATTTAGTATTTTATTCTATTACCCATTTAGTCAACTTGGACTGAGTCTAGCTATAGATTTGTGCACCAAATTAGCACTTTCAATATTTTTCCTACAGTAAAATTCTACTCTTCATCTCTAGCAAAGCAGCTGTACAACTGTCTTGCTTATCCCACATTACTCACATGGGAGTATGGTTACAAAGACAAACTGTATAAATTGAAATCTCTTTGTTGCTCCATTCCTTACGTTAGCAAAAAATAAAAACATTCTAGTCATGTCAACATATTAAGGATCAGAAACTAAGCAGATGGGTATCTTTTAAATAAGCATGAAAAAGAAAAGTTATGATTTGTTTTTCAGTTGCTTTACCAAATGAGACTTCTATAGATTTAAAAAAAACGTAAAGCTTTAGATCTCAACAAGAAAATCCATTCTTACAGTGGATTTACCTTGCTATCATTCTAGAGTCCAAGCCCGTCATAATAAGCGCAACCATAAATCCTTGGTCAGTGACTCTGAACCTATTGGCTTCACAAGGAATCATTTCCCAACCATAAATATAAGCTGATTGAAAACCAAGGTCATGTCTTCATGATGATTTACAGAGCTATTTAGGGAAACTGTCTAGGACTTAATCCAAATGAACAGGAACAATTTCCACAAATGTAAAAGTATGTTATATGGAAATATTCAAATAAATAGATAGACACATAATAGAATTTTTAAACTATGTTCTCTTCATTTTGTGGACTAAAGGCAGTGGGAAAAAAGATAAATAACTGATTGTAAATACCACCAGAGAAAGGCTGGAGAAATGAAAAAAATAGCAATGTTTAAGGAGAAAGCTGGAGTATATTTCTGGGCATACATTATCATACTGTGAGAGCTCACTCATCCCTGTCCTCTTCAGCCCTGAAATTCCTTGTGATATTATCCCTATCACTATTCCTTCATGGAAATCTCAACTGACCTCTCTGACTAGGTCAAATTGCCCTATTATGTACTTCATAGCACATGTATCTCAATTTCATAGCTTTTATCACAAAGGCAGTTTTATGTGATTATTTGATTAATTTGTGTCTCTTATATTGAACAGTACACTTCATAAGGATATCATTATATTGTGAGTGACACAGATATGCATGGTGTTTAGAACAGAGATTGGCCTCGATGAATAAATGTTCACTACATAAATGAATAAAAGAATGAAAGAAAGTAAAGAATTTGACAGTGATTCAAGTTTATATCTTATTTTGGATTTGTATCTGTATGTATTATATGTGAAGCCCTTGTTCAATCTACAAATAAAAAAACTAGCAATAACAAATGGAGTTGAGCAAAATTCTCAAGAATGTAAGATACCCATTTGAAATTAATTGGGTTCTTGAGGAAGCCTTGCAAACAACGTTAGGTCATTAAGTCAGTAGCATTCCAATATTCTCATAGACTGCATCTTGTCCCTTTCAATCCTTTCCCTTATTGCAATATGTCAGATGTCTGACCAACTTTTTTGTTGTTTGCTTGCTAACATTAACAAAGATAATAAAGTTTCTATTTTATATAAAATGCACTGCTAAGCTAAACTCAATACTCTAAACAGATGAGTGACATTGACATTTGCAGAAAATATTGCTTTCATAGTCCCGAGGCAGAGGGTGAAATATTTTAAAGCAGCTAAGGGTTAGCAGCATTGTTTCAAAGCTGAAACAGAATAGAATTAAACAGAGGGAAAAAAAGGGCTTGTTGAGTAGCAACTATTGCATGAAATGTCTTCCCAGATATATTCTTGTATGTGGGTGCTCATGCACTGGTGACGATGTAAAATATATTATTCCCTTAGGATAATCAAAATATGTGAAAGCCATTGTGCTTGAGCAGAGGCAAGCAAAAATTTTTCCCTAAAAAGCAGATATTAGAAAATTTAGGTTACACGGCCATATACTCTCTGTTGCAACAACCCAACTTTGCTTTTCTAGCATGAAAGCATCCATGGGCAGTACACTAACAAACACATGCATCTATGTTACAATAACTTTTTTTTTTTTTTTACAAAAACAGGCATCCAGTAGGCTTGGCCCACATGCCACAGGATCAAAAGAAGTGAGGCTCTTCTCATTTAGAATTTCTACAAATAAGAAAACTATGTATTAATTTGGCATCAAAAAACTCCAATGTCAGTGATAACGTGATTCTCATTTGAACAAAGGGACAGGATATGACATTTTTACAGTGTCCTAACATGCTCTCTGATGGCCACCTTCCATTTTACCTTTATTGACACAATGTTTCACACTGGCTTCCAAAAGATTTATAAAATAATTTCTACTTTTACCTATTGAGAGCCATTTGGATGAATAATTTCCAATTAATTCTCTTAATCTACTTCATATGCTTTTTTGAAAGTCTAATACGTTTACCTTCTTTCTCTTTCAACTGATTCTCTTCAGCATTTCACAGCCAGTGATATTGCCTTGACTGGGCCCTCAGTACTTTTATGTGTCAGATTCATCATCTTATTTACCAGACATCATTCATTCTCTGGTAGAGTATATGACTCAGGGACTGCTCAATCCACTGTGGAAAAAAAATATGATAATAAATTCACAAACATGAAATCTTGACTTTTCCACGTCTCTCTTTTCCAGTTGAGACCTTGATAGTTGAGAGCCCTGTATCTGCATAAATTCAATAGGCTCCAGAGAGTTAAGCCATTAACCTGGTATGATTCTCTAGCAAATTACAGTCACACATCAAAGATAATCTGTGACACTATTTCATGGATCTTTGAAAAGTCACTTGATTTTGTGTCAATGTCTTTTCTGGGGCTTTAGTAATGAGGTCTTATAAAGGACCCTAGAAAGACCACAAAAAGAGACAAGAAATAACTCCTCCTGGAAACCCTTTAGAAAATGGCTGTTTTGGAAAAGGAATCAAGAAACTAAGTTTATCTTATGAAAATTAGATGGTCTGTGAAAACACGGCTTCGTAGACTTAGAAGGGTTGATAAAGGATCTAAGCATAATCTGTTCCTCATATTTAAAAGACCAAAACTTAAGAACCAATTTAAGAGTAAGCAAGGAAAAGTCTGTGTGTCTCAAGATGCACCTCCAGAAATCTTGTCCAAAGAAGATTTAATCAGAAAGTCGTTTCAGACAAAACCTAATTTCTATCAAATTAATTTATACACATTTCTACTAATTTTCTACTTTTAAAAGACTTCATTTCTAGTAGCTAATTTCTGCTATTTAAATTCTACTGAGAACTGGAATATGTCTAACAACAAACTTAAGATCATTTTGATATTTAAATAAAGAATCCCAGCTTTCCCAACACATAAAAGAAGTCCTTTGTAACTATGATCTAACACTTCTTCAAAACACTTAGCCCAAAGCTCACTAGCTAGGAAGAAACTAAACCTCAGGGTTATGATTGGTTTTGTGATTATAGACCTGGTTTCTAGAACGGTTGTATGTTAGTCAGCTATTTCTATGATGATGCTGTGTAACAACCTTAAAATCTCAGTAGTTTACAAAAAGCAAGTGCACATATCTTACTCATGTATCTGCAGATGTTCTCAGCATCTCTGCTTCTAGAGGTCCAGTTCAGGTCAGCTCCAAGCGTCTCTCATTCCAGGAGCCTGGTCAAAAGAACATGATGACCTGGGACATGCTCTTATGGTGCAGGACAGGAGCACAGAACAACGAGAAGAAACACTCATTGCATCTGAAAGTCTGCACTCCTCACTGTCACACTGAACTTCTCCTTATATTTCACTGGACAATGTAAGCCACATGGTCAAGATTCAGGTCAGTGGATTGAGGAAGTATGCTCCACCTATAAGGAAGTCTCAGCAAGGGTGTGGAATAGTTACAGACAACAAACACCATTTACCGCTCACTGCATCAAAAACCTATTAAAAAAGACTTTGTATAAGCTCTTAAAGTCAATATCCGATGTTTACAAAAGAACTTTTGTGGCAAGAAAATATAAAAGCAAGTGAAAGGAAGGCACCCACATGATGAATTGCCGTGAAAGCCAGGCAAAGACTTTTGTATTTGATAATGACAACTCTAAGGAGCACAGAGAGCAGAGAGTTATTGCAGCATGTAATTCCTTCAGCCTGAGCTAGTGTGTAGAGAAGAGAGAAGAAATGTAATTTTCATTTCACTGGGAAACTTTATGACAGATTTGTTTTTCAAAAAAGAGGAAAGAAACAAAAATGTTTTCAAGATGCATTAGAGTGCTGACGAATTAGGAGAGCCATTGGGGCATACAAAAAGATGGCAAGTTCAATTTGGGACACATAAAATTTGAGGCAATGTCAGCTCATAGGAATCAGAAATCTAGATGTGATCATTAAAGCTGTAGGCATAAAGGGTGTCATCAAAGAGTATGGAAAAACGAGGGAAGAGTACAGAGCCATAGACGGAGGTCTGAGTGACGTCCAGTCTTAAAAATGGGCACAAAGGAAGATGATAAACATGAGAAAGGGAAGAAATCATTCAAGTAAGTGTGTCCTAGAAGAAGGTATTTATGAGGCAGCCTAGGAAATGGGATCAAGCCAACTGTGGCATCAGAGAGACCTGAGCGATGAATCCTAACACTGCCTACCCAGGAAACACTGGAGAAGTAACCTCACTGAGCTTCAGTTTCCACATGAAACTGGCCTGATAGCATCTGCCGAACAGTGAGGTTTAGAGATATATCAACTTTTAACTAATATCATAGTGCTTGATTGTGAAGGTAGAAAAACAAGACTTCATCCCAACCCTCCAGTAGGACCTTAATACAAAAGGAAGTGAATGCCATTTACATGATCATTAATAATCAAGTATCACAGTTCCTTTTGCTGATGTGATAGGCTGTCTGCCTTTTTCCTAATTCCTGCTCATTCTTTAGGCATCAGTTGAATTGAAAGCCTTCCCTAATGCTCAGTCTGAATTATGCAACCTGTTATTCTCTTTCAAAGTACCTTATTGTCCTCCATAGCACTTATATTTCTTTATCTATTTGTATGTTTCCATAATGTCTCTTCCCTATTAGTCAACAGTAAAAGTCATGCCATTTTTTGATACTGCCTCCCTTTCAGGATAAGTCATGTCTCTTACTTCAGAAAAAAATCAATGTTATCGGAGGCAAAGCCTTTCAAGTTTTCATTTTACTGTACTATTTACATTTTTACCTTCTTTCATCTTATGGAAAGTGCATTTCCTCTGAATCAAAGTTAATTATTTGCAGTTCTCACATGTGCTGTTTTTATCCTGTAAGACTTTGTAGCCAGTCTCTCTCTCTCTCTCTCTCTCTCTCTCACACACACACACACACACACACACACACACACACACACACACACATTGGCAACCTCTTCTAGATCATTTCTAGAGATTAAGAACATTCTGGCATGACTAGTCTTTGTCATCTTAAAATAATTTCTCCTCACAATTTACTTCTCTCCAGTCATATGCTCTTCCTTTTGCTGTTTCTATAGCTCCACTCCTCTCTAGAGCACTCCATGGTTACTGTGTCTACTTTCCAGTTATTCATCCTTCCTCAGGCCACTACAATAGTTTAAGAAAATTGCTGCGGCAAATACCACCCATGATTTCTTGATTAAAACGAAAACATATAATTAATCTTTATTTTAACTTTTATTTTAAGTTAGGGGCCCAAGAGCAGGTTTGTTACATAGGTAAACTTCTGTCATAGTCTGTACACAGATGAAATAATCTGTACCTAGGTATTAAGCCTAGTACCTATTAGTTATTTTTCCTTATCCCCTCCTCCTCCCACCCTCCACCCTCCAATAGGCCCCAGTGTGTGTTGTTCCTCTCTATTGTGTTCTTATTTAGCTCCCACACCTTACAATACTGTTTGACAGTTAACTGCCCCATTTTTAAAAAATTTATTTTATTTTACTTTAAGTCCTTCGATACATGTGCAGAACATGCAGTTTTGTTACACAGGTATACATGTGCCGTGGTAGTTTACTGCACCTATTAACCCATAATCTAGGTTTTAAGCCCCACATGCATTATTTGTCCTAATGCTCTCCCTCCCCTTGCCCCCCACCCCCCAACAGGACCCGGTGCATGATGTTCCCTTCCCTGTGTCCATGTGTTCTCATTGTTCAATTCCCACTTATGAGTGAGAACACACAGTGTTTGGTTTTCTGTTCCTGTGTTAGTTTGCTGAGAATGATGGCTTCCAGCTTTATCCATGTCCCTGCAAAGGACATGAACTCATTCTTTTTTGTGGCTGTATAGTATTCCATGGTGTATATGTGCCACATTTTCTTTATCCAGTCTACCATTTATGACTGCCCCATTCTTAAAACTCAATTTCACCTGACTTCTGAGATACTCATCTCTCCTGTTCTCTTACACCGCTGACAGTTTCTACTTAGTTCCCTTTGCTGATTTGTGTTCTACTTGTTCTTTAATATTAGTAATTATCAGAGTTCTGTTTCTCCTTACTTTAAAGAAAAAAAAAGCCTTATTTCTGAATGACACTGTGGTTTCAAAGATGTATCATGAAAGAGTTTCCAAGCAAGGAATGAAATTAGAGCTGCTTTCTGAAAATTGCACATACATCAACAACATTTATTGTCTATGTGCGTGATGGTTACTGAGGACATGGTATTTATTGATCATAAAAAAATACTACCACACTTGCATTTCTAAACCATGTCACTATAACCCACTATAACCTATATCTGATATATAGACCAATATTTTCAAAGTCTATTAGATATATGCCACATGTTTGCCTCAAAAACAATATGTCCAAAATGAGCTCATCAAATAGCCTACCAAATTTGTTCTTTCTCCCTGTATTAATCTGTTTTCATGCTACAGATAAAGACATACCTGGGACTGGACAATTTTCATAAGAAAGAGGTTTAATGGACATACAGTTCCATGTGGCTGGGAAGCCTCACAATCATGGTGGAAGGCAAGGACGAGCAAGTCACATCTTACATGGATGGCAGCAGCAAAAAGAAAAAGAGCTTGTACAAGGAAACTCCTATACAAGGTTTAAAACCATCAGATCTCGTGAGACTTATTCACTACCATGAGAACAGCACAGGAAACCCCCACCCACCCCCATGATTCAATTATCTCCCACCAGTTCCCTCCCACAACATGTGGGAATTATGTGAATTACAAGATGAGATTTGGGTGGGGACACAGAGCCAAACTATATTACTCCTGTATGCTTTCTCTCAATAAATGGACCACAACCTACCCAGGAAGCAAAGTAAAACACTTGGTAAAATATAGTCTGCTACTTCCCTCTCCTTCTATACTTCTAACCAGTCAGAAATCTAGTTAATTAGATTTCCTTAATATCTCTTATATTTCACTATGTGGACATGGGCTATTTTTGCTTATCCAACCAATATATAAGAACCATCACCTTAGATAGTAAGGAAGCCATGAGTTACAAGTTTTACACTTTGTGCTGACAAGAAGACATTGGGTTTGGCAGAAGATGATCAATAAAAAGAAATATTTAACTTATTGGTGGAATCAGATTCCACGAATGAATTTTGCCAGATTCAGCTAACAGTGAATGCAGTGAGCATAAACCACATTTCTGTGGTAAAGAGTATCTTTGTAAGTAAAGGAAGTTGGTGGTCCCTGAAGTCGCATAAAATGAAGAAACTTGATTATATTTAATTTTGTATATAAGAATGAAATAATATTAGTGACTAATTCCCATTTTAAGTTTTTAAAATCCTATTCCAAATACAATTTTCCTATTAAGATCACATGTAAATAAAATGTGTAAATGCTAATTTATTCAGATTTAGAATGTATAATTATGGTCAAATACAAACTGTAAAGTTCAGATTAATGTATTCTCTGAAACATTTCTAGAGTTTGCTAATAAGTGAATCCAATTGCTGTTATTAGTCTAGCACTTATTATAAGCGAGGCATTTTGCTATGTACTATCTATGGATTATTTTCCTTATTCCCTATAAAACTTTATGAGTTAGATATTGTTTTATCAATATTATTCTCTAATACAGATGAGGAAACTTAGGCTTAGAGAGAAAGCTAGAGCTTCCCTAAATATGTACAATCTGAAATTCTAACAATCCTGTATCTACCACATTGCTCACCTCTGTTTTGATATTTTCACTTATCTAACTAATTTTATATTGGCATTTCCTTTTGGGTATGTAATAAAATAGCATTGATTTTTAAACTATTTATAGTTCTTGTTTTGGTTAAAATAGACTAGCTTTTATCTTCTTAATTGTCTCCTTTACATCTTCCTTTTTGTTAAAATTAGTCTAATTTTACTATACATATTACCATGCTACTCATCTTATTGACATCCAGCATTCAAATTTCATAGAATAAAGACTCCAAATAGACAGAGACTTTATCTCCTGCAGTATACTCTAAGAAGATACAAACCTGATCCCAGAGGTATTAATATTTGTATTTAAAATTAACAATTAAATATTTGCTTGAAGCGACTATAGCAGATAAAGATTGAAATCAATTGAGACAGATACAGAGATAATGACAGAATTATCTAAAAGCATGGTGCTATCAATTAACCTGAATTAACTAAGATAATTTTGTTTACTCAGTTTTACCTTAGATATCAACAGTGATAGTAGGTTCCCTGCTAACCTTCAAACAATGACACAAGCATAAATATTAGCTACGATATTTTTTCATAAGCTAAAAAAAGCATGATAATTCCATGTGGAACCTAATTTTAAAAACATTTTATCATCCATTCTGAGAATCTCCCACATTTCCAAACAGAACCCCCAAGCCCCTCTCACATCATTCTTTCCTGTTAAGAAAGTCATGAGCTCCTAAACACTTTAACTGGTTTTCTTCTTGAAGGACAGAGACTCGTGGAGGGAAATCACCATAAGCAAAGTAGCGCAGAGTGAAACACCATTTTTCTTGCAGGTGTCAGAGCAGAGAGATTTGGGGCGCTTGCCTGACTGGAGCTGCGTTGTCTGTGACAGTAAATATCCTGGCACAGCAGTGACTACAAAATGCAACCTGTTTTTTCTCTGTGCATTGTGTGGGTTGGGATTTTTCATTTCATACTTCATTTGCACCTGCTGAGTGATGCCACAGAATGGCAAGACTCCATCTCCTCCCACTTAGGAAGCAGCACATTACGCACAGCAGTGGCACCCATGCCAGTCATCAAGGCCCTGGCCTAATCCTTGTTGTGAGCGCAGAACTATCTTCCTTTTGCAGTCCTGCATAGGTGATAAAAGAAAAGTACTAAGATTTGATTAATAAGGATACAAAACAAAAGTAGCCTGCAATTCACTCTCTCACTCTCTTTACTTTTTAATTATATCTGCTCACCAATGCTTGGTTTCCATCAAATGCTGTTTTTCAAGAAAAAGTAGTGTCCTTTAAATATAGAGTATAATTAACAGGCAGTCAGGGAGGGAGAGATGTGAATCACTTTTAAAATTTTGGGATTACCCCTGTTTTGCCTTGTATGATAATTATTTTAAATCTAAATATTTATCAAACATTTCAACATGATTTGAAAACATGCACACGTCAATGTTTAAACAACCTGTCTATACTTAGAAGGCCTACTTTTTACTGAGGACATGCTCACATTCACTAGTGGAAAAGTATGCCTGGAATACTAAACACTGATTTAAACATAAGCTTAGTGGAAAATACATATCACATTCAAATTAAGTAATTTCTGAAAGAAAATCAGAAATAAAAAAAGAGAATCTGGATTTATGAAACGTTCCCTCAAAGAGACCAAAGACATATTGGACTCTTGAATGAAATTGATTAACCCATCATTTCTAAGATATATCTGGAAATATATACATATATATATAATTATATTAAGGAAAACAAAACAAACACCTAAAAATAATAAGGATCTACTTAAAGCAAAAATGTCCTATTCAGAATATTAAGTGTACTTAAAAGCATGGTAACACAGTCAGGAACTGTACTGAGTCCAATTCATCACAAGATTATACTAGAAAGAATGCTATTGAAAGAGTCTATGCAATATGTGATTGAATAACAGATGATTCTCACAGTTACGAAGGGGTAGATCATTTCATAATTTAAAAGATCCTGCATAATTTTAGGAACAAGGGTGTAGAGTGGACTTAGATCTTCTGCAGAGTACTCTGAGAAGAGACTAAAATGTTAGTAAATGTAATAAGTGAACTTTTCTTCTTGTAAATATGGTCTTTCTTTAGAGATCTTTGAACAATCTGGAAAAGTTAACTATTGTGACGTGATATACTTTGGATGTCTGCTCCAAGTAGCATGTGGAAATGTAACCCCCAGTGTTGGAGGTGGCCTGGTGAGAGTTGTTTGGATCATGGGGTCAGATCCTTCATGAATGGCTTGGGCCATCTCCTTGATGATAAGTGAGCTCTCACTTTGATTTCACACAAGATCTGGTCAATTAAAAGTGTGTGTTACTTTCCTCCCCCACTGCTCATTCTCATTCTCTCTCTCTCTCTCTCTCACTCTCCCTTGCTCCCACTTTCACCCTGTGAGCTGCCTGCTCTTGCTTCGCCTTCTGCCACAATTGAAAGCTTCCTAATGCTTCACCAGAAGCCAAGCAGATGCTAGCACTGCACTTCAGAACCATGAGCCAATTAAACTTCTTTTCATCATAAATTACCCAGTCTTAGGTATTTCTTTATAGCAATGCAAGAACAGCCTAATAAATGATGTTTAGTGATTACATAGAAGCCAATTCATTGCTAATCATGAGATTCAAGTTAAGCTTTGAAAAATGCTGATACAAAATAGCTCCTGTAAATGAAAATACCCCTTCACCATTGCAGTCTAATATTTTCCATCCTACTGAAAATTAATCGTAAGCATATGTGGATGAAAACCTCATTAAAAGAGCATAGTTCTGTCACAGAAGCATTCTAGTCAACAAAAAATTAACTGTGCTGGCAAAATTTCATAAAATTCCATCAAATATCCATAACTAATATTAAGAAATTAGAATTAAATACAGTATATGGACAATTTATGACAATCATAGTTGAAACTGCCTTTGATGATTCAGAAGTTGCCTTATCATTGTGAAAGTGATTAGGAGCAGTGTTATAGGTTGTTTTGCAATGGAAAGCAATAAGGCTAGGTACTATATTAAGTTACAAAAATTTATTCATTTTTTCAAAACAGTATATGGAAGAACTGCTCTATCTCATGCACTGGGCATGTGTGTGCAATAGGTAACCATACTGACTCTTCTCTGACCCTCCCCTCAAGGACTTTACACTTTAACACTGAAGATAAATGAAAACCTCAATCCACGACGTAAGTTTTATAGGCATCAAGGGATGTTAACAATCTATACGCCCTTCTCAAGAAGACTCAAACCAAGACATCATGACAATCACCACTTTTGATAAATGCCTGGCTATGTTGCAAAAGCAAATTGACTAGGGAATTACTCTGAAAATAAACAACCCAGATATACTTACAGCAGGTTAATTTGTTAAGCTATTAAATTATGCTTGCTATCTTGATATATTTCTCCCATCCTTTTTGATAAGACTGTTCAATTTTGCCTAGGGATTTTTGCCAGGCTGAAAGCAGAAGCTTCTGAGACTAAACATTTCTCACTGCTTTTTACAAACATCTAAACTTCTTGAGGCAATTAGCCCAAGAGTGCTACACAGGAATGAATAAAATTTATTCTTCTAGGGACAGCAAGAGAGAAAAAAGACATGACCCTGAAATTGGGAAATGTCCTTGAAAAGCCTGTGTCAGTTATTCAGCAAGGTGTCTGTTTTCAGTAGATGGGAGCTGTGTCATGCACATAAGGAAATTCTCCTGGTCGGGGGGAGGAAACAATGGGAGATCTGAACAGGCCATGCGGGCTCCGTAAGTAACGTTTCAGAAGTGAAAGATGGGGACCTAAAACTGGAGGAGATTCTACCATGTTTAAATATTTCATAGAAACCAGGGAATTTGTACAATATTGCAGGGGAGAGAGAATCTCAGTAACAACTGAGGTAAAATTTCCTTCAGAAAAGATTTGAGTTGATTTAAAGAAAATGATGTAATTTGATAATTCTTGTTTTGCTGAGTTTGTAGGTTAAAGTTTATTCTTCATATGGAATTATAACTCATTTCTTCTGGTTCTATTCCCCAAAAGGAATAACACATTAACCATGCAACATTTTCAAATTTTCTATTTTAGTAGGCAATGCATATACATGGGACGACATTTAAGATATAGCAGTAATTTAAAATAATGTTTTCCCCCAAATAAGCCCTAGTGGAAGAGGGAACTAAGTCAGAGAGCAATGGAGAAGGCTCTCTTTTTTGTGATGCCGGTTTTGGAAGTATAGATAGTTGCTGACTATCTATACTCTAGTCACAGTCACACCATTATTGTGTGTGTATAGTGTTTGCTTTCTCATTATTTTATTTCTTTTTACACATACCTAATGAGAGTATTTACTCATTCTCTATTGTTTTGTCATGTCAGGCAAGACAATTTCCAGACAGCTTTTCCTTTTGACAACGTAGAGTTGCCAAACTTAGAGAGCCTAAAATGACCTATGACTGTATTGCAGTCAACAAAATATGCTAATATAATGGGATTCTGTGCAAAATATATATTTCAGTAGTCATCTATTTTAAACAGTTTCTGGTAGCTTAGTAAAAATTTGAGTAACAAAGTTGGAACTATATCTAGACCATCAGTCTACATAATAACAGCTACAGATATCAGGAAATAAATTTATTGAAAAGGCAACAGATATTGGTTGTCTGCAGAGAGTTTAGGCAAATTAAATGTCCAAGTATCTATAAGTTATAAAAGCTGTCTATAAGTTATAAGTTGTCCATAACTAACTACGTAGGTTGCAATGAAATTGCATTGTAAATAATTCCAAAGAGATTGAGAAGAAAATATTCACTTTGGGCTATGGTTTGAAGACAACTTCTACTAGAGTTACCAAGGAGCTGGAGTTAACTTACCAAAGAAGAGGATGAGGGCAGCCAGTGCTCCCTGAAACAGTTTGGAAAAAAGAGGCACTTGGCAGGGCCAAATGCTAACAGTCTGAAGTGTCCACATTAGGGGAAATGTGAATGGAATCTTCCTATATACAGTTCATACCCCCAGTCCACATCAGGAATTCTAGTTGTTACCACTATTAAATGAACCTGGAGTCAGAAAAAAAAATCCATTTAAAGACAACTTGGTCATCAGAAATGATTATGAACACCACATCCTTGTGTCTTGAAGGGAAAGGCAGTCCTGTTACCATCCTTTCAATGGCTTTAGTCTCAGAGAAAAGTCAAATGCAGGAATGCAGACCCTTCTCTAAGAAACCTGGTCTCGAAAACATGCCCAGCCCCAGAGTCCTGGAAAATAACTTTGGACCAAAATTATAGGTGTTTCAGCAAAGTGTCTTATCATTGATTATGTCAAATATTAACTTTTAAGGCTTGCCTATTAGACCGACTTTCAGTATATAGTTTTGAGCAAAAAGAGAGATGTTTCCATGTGTTTATATTAAGGCTCTTGGGACAAAGATCCATGCAGGCACTGAACAATCTGATCTGGACATGCACACATGATTTCCACACATAGCGCCAATGGGAAAACTGGCAAATTCTGCAAAGAGATGTCCTATGTCCTACACAGTCGTGAAAGGAAAAATACAGAGGCAAGGTCACCTCTTGCCTCCTCACTGAGCTTTTTGTTTTCCTTTACCTGGGTTGATTCATAAGAAACCTGAAAAGGATGGCTTAGTCAAAATCATTCTTAGTATACAAATTACAAAAGAATAAGGGCCCTTCTACTTAAATGATATGGAACAATTAGCACTTGGTAAATATAATCTAATAATCCATGAGAACATCAATACATAGTTGTAATCATTTCAGCTTTCTAACACTAAGATGAAAACTGTTTATACAGAATACCTAATCTAATATATGGGAGTCACATACAAAATAATTAACATCAGGCCTTCTTTAGAGGCTTTGAATCTAGATAAAATACCTGATAATAAAAGCTTTTGTTAAGCCCTTGGTACACATATAAGAAAAGAAATGTCATATTCATAACAGAAGTTGGATAAATTATTCTTACATTTGCTGTGAAAATTGTAGCTTCAGGAAGAGAGCTAATCTTCAGAAAAGTTCCTGCTGAATTACAATCAGCTCTATCCTTAAAAAAAAGATACGCATGTTTTTGCTGCATAGCATTTTTGTTCAATAAATAGATTTCTAAAATCTACATTAGAAGAGGCACTGAGAAAAAAATAATGGACCTGGCCATAAAGTGACAAACGTAACTTACAGAGTAGCCATTTGTGTTCCTAGTCATATGACATTTCATGTTTATATTTATATAGCATTTAATTTAAAGAGTTAATGAAAGAAGGATTTGCTGTATAGTCCTTGAGCATTGCAGTCTCTAGCAATAATTTCTGACATGCAAAAGAATTGGATAGAGATTTGAAAATTATTGCTTGAGCTGAACGGGGACAGAGGAGGAAGAAAGAGAGAAAACAATCTAAATGTGATATTTGTAGAAAATTTTTAGTCTTTCATAGGTAAAATCTCTGACCGTAATCATCAGGTATTCATCAATTCAAAGCTCTTGCTCTTTCTGTCTCTCTCTCAAAATACACACACACACAGACACACACACACACACACACACACACACACACACACACACACATACAATATGCCCAATATATGTGCCCTCTGTTTGGCATCAAATAGATTTGTTAAGATTATATTTGCCATTAAAAAGGCAGTCGGCATTCAGGAGTCAGGGACATTTGTCTTTCCCTAGAAACATAATTTTATTCTAATTTGGTATGTGATGTATAGGTCTTAAAAATAAGCACTATTAAAAATGGCTAGATATACTTAATAGGTACATTGCACCTAGAGCTAATTTTACTTGTTTTCATTTTTGTTTTGAGGATTTTCTTAAATAAACTAATTCAGACATATCCAAAAATATAAAAATAGTAAATAATCACCCATAAGCCCAAAATACAGCTTAAGAAATGTAATACCGTAAGTATAGTTAAATGCTCTCTGTCCCTCTTCCCAATTATATCCTTCTTCCTCCCTAGAAGACAGCACCATTCTAAATTAAATGTTTATTATTCTCGTTGTCTACCTTTATACTGTCACTACTTATATACTTCCAATTAAATATTTGGAGTAATCCTGTGTGTGTTGTTCCCCAAGAAGCTTTTTCACTCAACACGTTTGGAAGATTTACTCACAATGACACAAATGGTTCTAGCATAGTTCATTCATTCTTATTACTTGAATTCTACCATACGACTTTTCCACAATTTATCTATTCATCCTGCTGATTATAGCTATTTACATTATCTCAAATATTTCCATTTCAAACAATGAACTATGAACACTCTTGTGCACATCTCCTTTTTCTTTTTAAATTATTTTATTTTATTTTAAAGTTCCAGGATACATGTGCAGGACATGCAGGTTTGTTACATAGGTAAATATGTGCCATGGTGATTTGCTGCACCTATCAACCCATCACCTAGATATTAAGCCCCACATGCGTCTCCCTGTGCCCACAACAGGCCCCATGTGTGTTGTTCCCCTCCCTGTGTCCATGTGTTCTCATTGTTCAGCTCCCACTTGTAAGTGAGAACATGCAGTGTTTGGTTTTCTGTTCCTGTGTTAGTTTGCTAAGGATAATGGCTTCCAGCTCTATCCATGTCCCTGCAAAGGACATGATCTCATTCCTTTTTATGACTGCATAGTATTCCATGGTGTATATGTACCACATTTTCTTTATCCAGTCTATCATTAATGGGCATTTGGGTTGATTCAATGTATTTTCTATTGTAAGTAGTGCTTCAGTGAACATACACATGCATGTATCTTTATAACAGAATAATTTATATTCCTTTGGGACTATACCCAGTAATGGCATTGCTGGGTCAGATGGTATTTCTGGTTCTAGGTCTTTGAGGAATTGCCACATTGTCTTCCACAATAATTGAACTAATTTATACCAACAGTGTAGAGCATTCCTATTTCTCCACATAAGCAATATTATACCTAGGATACATATCTAAGAATTGCTGGGTTTAGTGTATGTCCATTGTCAGGTTTATTAGATAATAGCCACTCTCTTTAAAATTATTTTATCAAATTTTCAATCATAATAGCACTGTGTAAAAGTTTCCTTTGCTGTATATACTTGTCAACATATTCAACTTTTCACTTCATGCTAAGCTGTGACATAGAATCTCATTGTGGCTATAATCATCATTTTCTTAGCTATTTATGAAGTTGCATGTCATTTCATGTATGTATTGGCCAATGATATGTCTTTCACTCTTTCTATCTCTTTTGCCCACTTCCCACTGGGGTATTCGACTGTTTTACTATTGATTCATAGAAAGCATTGAAATATTCTTGGTAGTGATCTTTTGTCATCTCTATACACTGTCTCTATACACTACAAATATCTTCATCTAGTCTGTTCTTATGATTTTTCTCTTTTTCACAATGCCTCTTAATGAACAGAGGTGTTTAATTTTACTATAATTCATTTTATTAACAATGCCTTAGACTGTTCTAGACTTTTGTGCTTCAAGAAATTCTTTATTATCGAAGTAATATCTTTCTTTGTTTTCTTCATAAAGCCGGAAAGTTTTGGATTTTTTAGATCTTCTATTCAAAAGAGCATTTTTGACATTATTGTTTATAATTAAAGATAAGGATATTACATGGATAATTAATAAAAGTCCATCCTTCCCCACTGATTTTAAAGGCCTCATCTCACATGTATATAGTTGTATGTGTGTGTTTGTTTGTGCATATGTGTGCGCACATATCTATGTATGTTATGTGTATCTATATGTATAATATATATAAAAATATATATTTGGCTTTCTATTTGTTTTAATTGGTTCATTAATCTATGTTAATACCAATACTTCCTTTTCTTAATTACTATTACTTTAAAATTTCTTGATATATAAAAGGGGTATCTCTTTGAGTTGTTCTTTTTTACAAAAGCTTTTCTGAAAAAGCTGTCTCAGCTTTTTTCCCCTTTGCTCTTCTATATGAATGTTAGACTCATCTTGTCAAGTTCTATATAAATACCGGTAAAATTTGTATTGGAATATTGCTTTGAATTTATACATAAATTTTAAGATAATGTATATCTTTCATATTTTGACTTTTTCTATTGCATACAATATATCTCTCCTTTTATTTAGTTCTTCTTTAATGACTTTCAATAGTTTCATAATTTTCTTCATAAAAGGCTTGCACATCTTTTGTTAAATTTATTCCTACTGTTTTACATTTTAGTTGCTATTGTAAAATGCTAACCTCTTAAAATTACATTTCAAATGTTTATTACTGGACCTTACACATAATAAATATGTTGAAACCCCCTATTTTAAATAATTTAGTTGTAATTTCTCTTGAGTTACCTATTAACCTCAAATATAGAGAAAACTGGTTATTCCTTTTAACCTTTATATTTGCTTACTCCAGTTTCTGGGCTTACTGGTCTGGCTGGTACAATGTAAAATGAGACATTCTTTTCTTATGATTATTTTTAATGGGATTATATTTAATCTCACTGTGTGAGATGTTTGGCAAATTAAAATCTTTTTCTATTCCTACTTTTCTAAGAAATATTATCACAAAAGATCATTAAATTTTATTGATTTTGTTTTCTCTTTTTATTGAGTTTATCGTGTGATTTTTTCTTTATTAATCTGTTAATGTGATTAATTTCTTTAATAGTTTTTTCAGTGGTGCATTATCCTTGCATTTCGGTGATAAAACTCACTTGATCATGATGCATTTTTTATCCATTGTAGATTTTGTTTGCTAATTGATTCGTTTCTAATTTTTTTTTATTCTAAGTTGATGTAGTGGCCTGGCTTCTAATTTTCTTTTTACGAATTTTCCTTGCAGCTGTCTGATTTTAGTTAAGCTGTTCTGTTAAAGATTTGGAGAATATTCTTGCTTATTCCATTCTCTGGAACAGTGTATTCTATATATGGCAATACTGAAGTTACGTGTTACTTGAATATTTGGTATAACTTTGCCTGTAAAATCAGTTTGCCTAGATGGTGGTGGTTGTAGAGGGAGGGGAGGAGGTTGATTCATGGTAGACATTTTAAAAACTGTTTCAATTTATGAAGTAGTTAGAGATCTTTCAATGTTCTCTACTCCCTAAGTCATATTTTTACAAGTTGTATTTTTTAAACAAATCATGCCTTTCATCCAAGTTCTCAAAATTATTGTCAAAAAGATGATCATATTTTTAATGTCTGCTTTGTGTG
The DNA here is from genome assembly GCF_000001405.40 of Homo sapiens. NCBI lineage: Eukaryota > Metazoa > Chordata > Mammalia > Primates > Hominidae > Homo > Homo sapiens. The sequence goes on from NC_000014.9 coordinate 28,628,244, forward strand.
TGATTAATTCACCTCAGTTATTGTTTATTCCTGCCTTCTCTCTTTGTCAGTCTTGCTTTTTTCTACTACTTTGAATTTTTCCTGTTGTTCTCTTACTAAGTTCTTAAGTTAGTAACTGAGCTCATATTTTTCAACCTTTTTTTGCAATAAATCCCATTTTGAACATTGTTTTAGTCATAGCCCATAACTTTTGATATATTGTATTTTCTTTATTTTTCAGTTATATTGTCTAATTTCCACTATGACTTCTTTTGTGAGTTATATAGAAGTGCATTATTTCCAAATACACAAAGGTTTCTTCTCCCATAGGATGAAATTTTTTTCTGTTCAGTTCTTTTGTTGAGAATTCAGCACTCTGAGGACACTGGCTTTAATCAAGTAGTTCGATGCAAGTCTCACCGTGTTCAATTCAAAGTCCTTGACTCCTGTTTCTGTGCAGCAACCAAAATCCAATCATCTTGTGATTGGCAATGCCCAAAGCCACAGCTTTTTATTTGCTTCCCAGTTCTTTCTTCACTTTCAAGCATTATGGTCCTTTACTTTCTTTCAAGTTAAGTTATATATTTTAAAAATGTTTTGTAGCAGGAAGTTTTCAGACTATCCAGTCAACCATATTGCCAGAAACAAAAATCTGAACATAGGTGTTCATTTTCACATGGTAGGTTGGAAAAAGTGTAGGGGTGTGAAATTTTTTCCATACTTGTCCTTTTTGCTAAGTAAATATCATTCTCAAGGGAATATTAATTTGTCAAAAGGGTCTTCATGCAGGAGAGTACATCCATTTCAGTGTAGATTACCGATGGTACTGATTCTTTTGGCTCTTCGGTGTATCTATCATTTTATCTATAATGCCTTTAGACTCTGGGACTTGGACATCTCTCCCCAGTGCCATAGTATGTCATGTTTAGACGTCAAAATGGTATTTATTCAGGACCTATATCATTACACAAAAGAGTAAAATTACTTAGAAAATATTCATATAAGGGAACAGTAAAAATAAGTAATTGAGAACAATTAGGAAAGAGGTGAGGAAGAATTGGGTAGAAAAATAATAAATCCAAGCAAAAAATTTACCATGCCAAATTAGTATCATACAGCATTGTGCAATTACTGGAGGTGAACCAAATTTGCAATTTCAAAAGAACAAAAAGCAAGAGAGAACCATTATCCATTACAAGGATCAAAATGTCCCCAGGATTAAAACAGACCAGTTGTCAAGGTATGTGACCAAATATGATATTATAATAAGGTAAAGCCACATTTAGTCCTGTGTAAACTCTAACACAGTATTACGTAAGCTAAAACATGTGCCCTGGGCAAAAGCAAACAAACCCGCCAGAAAGTGTTGAAGGATGCAATTGAAATGAAACTTAGGAATAGTATAGAATTTTCCCTATGTTCTGCATACAGGCTAGACAAAGTGATTTTTTTTCTTTCTCTCTTTTTTTTTTTTTTCTTTTTTGAGACAGAGTCTCTCTGTAGCCCAGGCTCAATTGCAATGGCACAGTCTTCGCTCAGTTGAGGTGAGTACTCAAGAGGAATGTTTCCAGCTTTTACCCATTCAATATAATGTTGGCTGTTGGTTTATCAAAGATGACTCATTATTTTGAGGTACGTTCCTTGCATGCCTAGTTTGTTGATGGTTCTTGTCATAAAGGGATGTTGGATATTATTGAATTTTTTACTGCATCTAGTGAGATGATCATATGCTTTTTGCTTTTAATTCTGTTTATGTGGTAAAACACACTTATTGATATGCATAAATTGAACCACCCTTGAATCCCAGGAATAAAACCTACTTGATCATGGTGTATTAATTTTTTGATGTGCTGCTGGATTTGGCTTGCTAGTATTTTGTTGAGGATTTTTGCATGTATTTTCATAAGGGATATTGGCCAGATGTTTTCTTTTTTTGTTGTGTTCCTGCCAGATTTTGGTATCAGGCTGATGCTGGCTTTATAGACTGAGTTAAGAAGGAGCTCATTCTTCTCAATTTTCTGGAATAGTTTCAGTAGAATTGGTACCAGTTCTTCTTTGTTCTTGTGGTAGAATTTGGCTGTGAATCCATCTGATCCAGTGCTTTTCTTGGTTAGTGGGCTTTTTAACATTATTACTGATTCAATTTCAGAGCACAACATTTGTCTATTCAGGATTTCAATCTCTTGCTGGTTCAATTTGCACGCATAGAGTTGTTCATTGTATTCTCCGAGAATCTTATGTATTTCTGCGGGATCTGATATAATGTCATCTTTGTCATGTTTTGTTGTACCTATTTGGATTCTCTTTTTCTTTGTTAATCTAGCTAATGGTCAATGTGGTTTTGTTTTTTTTTTGAATAACCAAGTCATGGTTTTGTTGATGTTTTGTATGGATATTTTGGTCTCAATTTCACTAAGTTCTGCTCTGCTTTTAGTTATTTCTTTTCTTAGGCTAGCTTTGTTTTTTTTTTTTTTTCAAGTTCCTTTATGTGCTAAATTAGATTGCTAATTTGAGATCTTTCTAACTTCTTGATGAAGGCATTTAGTGCTACAAGCTTTCCGCTTAACACTGCTTTGACTGCATCCCAGAGATTTTGATAAGTTGTATCCTTATTTTCATTAATTTGAAAGCATTTTTAAATTTCTGCCTTAATTTCTGTCTTTGCCCAGGAGCTATTCATGAGCAAGTTACTTTATTTCCACATATTTGTGTAGTTTTCAGAGATCTTCCTGATATTTATTTCTAGTTGTATTGTACTAGGTTCTAAGAGTGTGCCTGGTATAATTTCAATTTTTTTTAAATGTATTGAGACTTGATGTATGTCTAAGCATGTGATCAATCTTAGAATATGTTCTGTGGTCAGGTGAGAAGAATGTAGTTTGTGGATATCGAGGGGCACATTCTGTGGATATCTATTAGGTCCAATTGGTCAAGTGAGTGTCAAGTTTAAGTTCAGAGTTTCTTTGTGAGTTTTCTTCCTTGATGATCTGTCTGATGTTGCCAGTGGAGCGTTGAAGTCTCCCACTATTATTATGTGGTTGTCTAAATCCTTTCATAGGCCAAGAAGTTGTTTTATGAATTTAGGTGTTCCAATGTTGAGTGCCTAAGCCTTCTTGTTGGATTATACCCTTAATCACTATGTAATATCCTTCATCCTTCCTAATTTTATTGGGTTAACATCTGTTTTATCTCATAGAAAAATAGCGACTCTTATCTTTTATTGTTTTCTGTTTGCATGGTAGATCTTTCTCCATTCCTTGACTTTGAGCCTGTGGATGTCATTACATGTGATATGGGTCTCTTGAAAACAAAAGATGTCTGTGTCTTTTCTCTTTATCCACCTTGCCACTCTATGTCTTTTAATAGGGTGTTTTTCCCATTTACATTCAGGGTTAGTATTGATATGTGAGATGTTAATCCTGTCATGCTGGTTGTTTTGTAGCCTTGATTGTGTAGTTGATTCATAGTGCCTGTGGGCTATGTGCTTAATTGTGTTTTTGTGATAGTAGATGTCATTCTTTTGACTCCATGCTTAGCACTGTTTTAGGGACCTTTTTTAAGGCTGGTCTAGTTGAAACGAATTCTCTCAGCATTTGCATGTCTGAGAAGAATTTTATTTCTCCTCCACTTAGGAAGTTTAGTTTGGTGGGATGTGAAATTCTTGGCTGGAATTTCTTTCTTTCTTTTTTTTTTTTTAAGGATGCTGAAAATTGGCCCCCAATCACTTCTGGGTTGTAAAATTTCTGCTAAAAGGTCTGCTGCTAGCCTGATGCTTTCCCTGTGTGCATTACTTTACTCTTCTCTGTAGCTGCATTAAAGATTATTTCTTCTGGGTTGACTTTGGTGAATCTGATGATTGTGCACCATAGGATGGCTGTCTTCTATAGTATTTAGCCAGGGATCTCTGTATTTCTTGAATTTGAATATCATCCACTCTAGTGAGATTAAGAAAACTTTCAAGGACTGTATGCTCAAATATATTTTTCAAGTTGCTCATACTCTCTCCTTCTCTCTCAGGAATGCCAATGAGTCATAGATTTAGTCTCTTTACATAATCCAATATTCCCATTTTTCTTTATTTTTGTTTGTCTGACTGACTTGATTTGAAGGATTGGTCTTTGAGCTCTGAGAGCCTTTCCTCAGTTTGTTCTATTCCAGTTGTATTATGAAATTCTTGTACTGAATTTTTCAGCTCTAAAAGTTCGTTTGGTTCTTTCTTAAAGTGGCTGTTTTCTCTTTTAGTTCTCGGATTCCTTGGATTCCTTGGATTGGGTTCTAACTTTCTCCTGAATCTCAATGAGTTGCCCTGCCACCTAGAATCTGAATTCTATGTCTATCATTTTAGTCATTTCAGACTGGTTAAGAACCATTGCTGGACAGCTAGTATTAATAGACTTGTTTGGAGGTAAGGGTGCACTCTGGCTTTTTTATATTGCCAAAGTTATTGCACTGATTCTTTCTCAACTGGAAGGTTTGGTGTTTCTTTCTTTCTTTTTTATTTATTTATTTATTTTTTTTGAGACAGAGTCTCCCTCTGTCACCCAGGCTGGAGTGCAGTGGCGTGATCTCGGCTCACTGCAAGCTTTGCCTCCCAGGTTCACGCCATTCTCCTGCCTCAGCCTCCAAAGTAGTTGGGACTATAGGCACCTGCCCCCACACCCGGCTAATTTTTTGTATTTTTAGTAGAGATGGGTTTTCACCATGTTAGCCAGGATGGTCTCAATCTCCTGACCTTGTGATCCGCCCGCCTCAGCCTCCCAAAGTGGATTTGCTGGTTTTTTTACCTGTGGTGTAATTTGGGTGTAATCAATTGGCTTCATTTCTGGACATTTTCAGAGGTCCAAACCTCTGTACAGAGTCTTTATTTGTGGCTGAATTCTTCCCTTTTGTTTCATAGGGGGATATATTGTTAAAATATTTTTGGTGGTATAGTTTGGGCTGTAATCCAGTAGACGACACTTAGATTAATGGGTGGTAGACAGGCTCTTAGCCAAGGAGCTCCTCTATATTTCCTCACATTTGCAGCCATGCTCTGTGATGTGATGGGAAGAGAGGTAACCCCTTCACCAAGTTTACTCCTGGCCCTTGGGGGACACCCCCTCATCACTGACACTGTGCCAGCATTTCTTTTATTAGGCATTATCAGCCACAGGACTCCCTGGGTGGAGGTCTTGACAAGGAGATAGGCCACACCCTTTCCAGGCCAGCCCTCTAAAGGGAGGCATGCCCTGCTCCCACTCCAACCCATGACCTATGTATTTCACGCCTCTTAGTGCTCTGAGAGTGTGGGCTTCTCTTCTGCTCAAGGGCCAGCCATAGATTTTGACTCAGCACTCCCAAGCTGCACACTATAGACTTGGAGTCCTGGGAATGGCTTGTGGCTCCACCCTCCTGACCCTCAGAGTCAGGTTCCAGGTGTGCTGGGTGACCCAAAGTACTCCCAAGCAACCAGGAATGTAATCAGGTGAAGCAAAGCACCCATGCTAGGCAGTGGTGGCTGCACTGTTCACATGCGCCTTGCAGAGTGGCTAGGCAGGGGTCCTGGGAGGGGATGGCAGGCAACAAAGGCTGTAGAACAGACATGCCCCAGTCCTGTGTAGAAGTCAGCCCCACTTTCCCCTGGTCCAGCTGTCAGCAGGGACTCAACCTGCCTGGGGAATGAAAGGGGTATCCCTGGGTGACGGAAGCCTATGGCCACACTCTGCCAGAGCTACGCCATGCACAAAGGCCCCTAGTTCTGTGCTGGCTGAAGCCCCATCTCTGTCTATTCTCAAGGCAGATCCCCCACCAACTCAAGAATCCATGGAGGACATGAGGTCTCCTGTAGCCAAGATTCCAGAGGTCCGCAGAGAGCATGGGTAGTCCCACAGGGCTTTCACTCATTTGTTCCCCAGAAGCCATTCAAGGCCGGAACTAGCCCCAGCATTTGAGTACCCTGTGCATGGTTCCCAGCCCCATCCCTCCTCAGCCTCAGAGCATACCTCACATCTCCATCCACTCTTGGTGTTCTCGCTCTGAAGATCTGTACAAATTATCTTCGTTCACTAAAAACCTTATCTCTCTCTTGGTGGGAATGGCTCTTCCTGGCTATGTCTAGTCAGCCATCTTCAATGTACTAATTTTTATCAAATATCTATAAGTCACATTATAAAACTATAAATGGCTTGGTTTTATGGCAACAGTTGATACACCAAGATTATATTCAGGGCTTCATACATGGAAAGTAAAATCCATTTAATAAATAAAATCTGCCAAATCTTAAATCATTGAGATAGGGTGTTATTAAAAACTGATTGTATTATATTTTGGTGCATATAAATAGATCAAGAATAAGTATTGAGTAACTTACGTTGTATACTAGTGATATAATTTGGAGAATAAATTAAGTGCAAGTCAATAGGAGCCTTACATTTGTGCTGTAATTGATTGATACCTTCTTGGAATGGAAGCAAGAGATATGCAATACTAATGAAATAAGAGGTATGCAAAAAAATTAAAGAATATTTTCAAAAGAGCATACAAATATTAAGTAAATCTATATAGAGAGACAGAGACATATTAGCAAATAGACTAGCCCTAGGGAAGTTTGGAATAAGAAAACAAGGTGACATTGTTGTACTCTGAGGTAAGGCATCCTTTCTAAAGGAAGCAAGTTTTCCATAACCTTGTAAAAAAGAGATGAAGTAGATAAAACAGGTGGAGGAAATACAGGGAATACTAAAAATTATATTTGTGAAGAAAGTCATGAGAATAAATGATCTGCATGCTGGTAACAGCAATAAGACTCACCTTAACAGAGAGAGAATGAGTTGAGAATAATGCTTGGAGAAAAACAAAAAGGGAAAGTGCCTTGGTTTTAGAGATAATGAGGGGTTGAATCAAGGCAGTGATACAATTACAGTAGTCCTTTGTTCTTAACTGTTAAGTAATAGTGGTTTCTTTAGTTGCATTTTGAGTATTTTGGATTCCAGAAGCCAAGTAGGAAATTATTGTAATAACTAAGTAATCATCAAAACTCAAATAAAAGCAACTTTTATGAAAGGGGCAGAGGAAAGAAGAAGGCTAATCTATTTGACATTAAAAACAAACAAAAGAAAAACAAAGAATTTGTTTTATGGTAAGGATTGGAGATACATTCTAAAAGGAAGAAGAAAAATAAATAATGTTGCCAATATTTCAACCACAGAGAACTGCGAGTTTGTTGATACAAATGTCAATGAAGTTGGGAACTCTCGTTGAAGGAAAAGAAGCTAAAACTGTATGTGCAATCTCCAATTAGCTCACATCTATTGCAGCAACTTGCAGGAAACAGAAAGAGTTTAATCTTTCAACCTAGGAAAAGACTAGCCATTTTTAAACTAAACAAAGTAATTTGCCGCCATCTTGTGGCGAGTCTGAAAATTACAATATGTTTTAGTTTTTTTGTTTTTTGGGTTTTTTTTTTTGTCTTTTTTTAAAATATAGTTTAAGTTCTGGGATACATGTGCAGAACGTGCAGGTTTGTTACATATATATTCACGTGCCATGGTGGTTCACTGCACCAATTAACCCGTCATTTACATTAGGTATTTCTCCTAATGCTATCCCTCCCCTGACCCCCCACCCCCTCAACAGGCCCCAGTGTGTGATGTTTCCCTCCCTGTGTCCATGTGTCCTCACTATTCAACTCCCACTGATAAGTGAGAGCATGCGGTATTTGGTTTTCTGTTCTTGTGTTAGTTTGCTGAGAATGATGGTTTCCAGCTTCATCCATGTCCCTACAAAGGACATGAACTCATCCTTTTTAATGGCTGCATAGTATTCCACGGTGTATATGTGAAATATTTTCTTTATCCAGTCTATCATAGATGGGCATTTAGGTTGGTTCCAACTCTTTGCTATTGTGAATAGTGCTGAAATAAACATACATGTGCATGTGTCTTTATGGTAAAATGATATATAATCCTTTGTGTATACATCCAGTAATGGGATTGCTGGGTCAAATGGTATTTCTGGTTCTAGATTCTTGAGGAATTGCCACACTGTCTTCCACAATGGTTGAACTAATTTACACTCCCACCAACAGTGTAAAAGCATTTCTATTCCTCCACATCCTCTCCAATATCTGTTGTTTCCTGACTTTTTAATGGCTGCCCTTCTAACTGGTGTGAGATGGTATCTCATTGTGGTTTTGATTTGTATTTCCCTCATGGCCAGTGATGATAAGATTTTTTTCCAAGTGTTTTTTGACTACATAAATGTCTTCTTTTGAGAAGTGTCTGTTCTTATACTTCGCCCACTTTTTCATGGGGTTTTTTGTTTTTTTCTTGTAAATTTGTTTGAGTTCTTCGTAGATTCTGGATATTAGCCCTTTGTCAGATGACTAGATTGCAAAAATTTTCTCCCATTCTGTAGGTTGCCTGTTCACTCTGATGATGGTTTCTTTTGCTGTGAAGAAGCTCTTTCATTTAATTAGATCCCGTTTGTCAATTTTGGCTTTTGTTGCCATTGCTTTTGATGTTTTAGTCGTGAAGTCTTTGCCCATGCCTATGTCCTGAATGGTATTGCCTAGGTTTTCTTCTAGAGTTTTGATGGTTTTAGGTCTTACTTTTAAGTCTTCACTCCATCTTCAGTTAATTTTTGTATAAGGTGTAAGGAAGGAGTCCAGTTTCAGTTTTCCACATATGGCTAGCCAGTTTTCCCAACACCATCTATTAAATGGGGAATCCTTTACCCATTGCTAGTTTTTGGCAGGTTTGTCGAAGATCATATGGTTGTAGATGTGTGGCGTTATTTCTGAGGCCTCTGTTCTGTTCCATTGGTCTATATGTCTGTTTTGGTACCAGTAGCATGCTGTTTTGGTTACTGTAGCCATGTAGTGTAGTTTGAAGTCAGGTAGCATGATGCCTCCAGCTTTGTTCTTTTTGTTTAGGATTGTCTGGCTATATGGGCTCTTTTTTGGTTCCATATGAACTTTAAAGTAGTTTTTTCTAATTCTGTGAAGAAAGGCAATGGTAGCTTGATGGGGATAGTATTGAATCTGTAAACTACTTTGGGCAGTATGGCCATTTTCATGATATTGATTCTTCCTATGAGCATGGAATGTTTGTCCATTTGTTTGTGATCTCTCTTATTTCCTTGAGCAGTGGTTTGTAGTTCTCCTTGAAGAGGTCCTTCACATCCCTTGTAAGTTGTGTTCCTAGGTATTTTATTCTCTTTGTAGCAATTGTGAATGGGAGTTCACTCATGATTTAGCTCTCTGTTTGTCTATTATTGGTGTATACGAATGCTAGTGTTTTTTGCACATTGATTTTGTATCCTGAGACTTTGCTGAAGTTGCTTATCAGCTTAAGGAGATTTTGGGCTGAGACAGTGGGGTTTTCTAAATACACAATCATGTCATCTGCAAACAGGGGCAATTTGACTTTGTATCTTCCTATTTGAATACAATTTTATATGTTTTTCTTGCCTTATTGCCCTGGCCAGAACTTCCAATACTATGTTGAATAGGAGTAGTGAGAGAGGGCATCCTTGTCTTGTGCCGATTTTCAAAGGGAATGATTTCAGTTTTGCCTATTCAATGTGATATTGGCTGTGGGTTTGTCATAAATAGCTCTTATTATTTTGAGATACCTTCCATCAATCCCTAGTTTATTGAGAGTTTTTAGCATAAAGGGGTGTTGAATTTTACCGAAGGCCTTTTCTGCATCTATTGAGTTAATCATGTGGTTTTTGTCATTGGTTCTGTTTATGTGATGGATTTTGTTTATTGATCTGTGTATGTTGAACGAGCCTTGCATCCCAAGGATGAAGCTGACTTGATCATGGTGGAGAAGCTTTTTGATGTGCTGCTGGATTCGGTTCGCTAGTATTTTATTGAGGATTGTTGCATCGATGTTCATCACGGATATTGGTCTAAAATTATCTTTTTTTGTTGTGTCTCTGCCAGGCTTTGGTATCAGGATGATGCTGGCCTCATAAAATGAGTTAGGGAGAATTCCCTCTTTTTCTATTGATTGGAATAGTTTCAGAAGGAATGGTACCAGCTCCTCCTTGTACCTCTGGTAGAATTTGGCTGTGAATCCATCTGGTCCTGGACTCTTTTTGGTTGGTAAGCTATTAATTATTGCCTCAATTTCAGAGCCTGTTATTGGTCTATTCAGAGATTCAACTTCTTCCTGTTTTAGTCTTGGGAGGGTGTATGTGTTGAGGAATTTATCCATTTCTTCTACATTTTCTAGTTTATTTGCGTAGAGGTGTTTATAGTATTCTCTGATGGTAGTTTGTATTTCTGTGGGATTGGTGGTGCTGTCCCCTTTATCATTTTTTATTGCGTCTATTTGATTCTTCTCTCTTTTCTTCTTTATTAATCTTGCTAGCAGTCTATCAATTTTGTTGATCTTTTCAAAAAACCAGCTCCTGGATTCATTGATTTTTTGAAGGGGTTTTTGTGTCTCTCTCTCCTTCAGTTCTGCTCTGATCTTAGTTATTTCTTGCCTTCTGCTAGCTTTTGAATGTGTTTGCTCTTGCTTCTCTAGTTCTTTTAATTGTGACATTAGGGTGTCAATTTTAGATCTTTTCTGCTTTCTCTTGTGGGCATTTAGTGCTATAAATTTCCCTCTACACACTGCTTTAAATGTGTCCCAGAGATTCTGGTATGTTGTGTCTTTGTTCTCGTTGGTTTCAAAGAACATCTTTATTTCTGCTTTCATTTCATTATGTACCCAGTAGTCATTCAGGAGCAGGTTGTTCAGTTTCCATGTAGTTGAGCGGTTTTGAGTGAGTTTCTTAATCCTGAGTTCTAGTTTGATTGCACTGTGGTCTGAGAGACAGTTTGTTATAATTTCTATTATTTTACATTTGCTGAGGAGTGCTTTACTTCCAACTATGTGGTCAATTTTGGAATAGGTGCAGTGTGGTGCTGAGAAGAATGTATATTCTGTTGATTTGGGGTGGAGAGTTCTGTAGGTGTGTATTAGGTCTGCTTGGTGCAGAGCTGAGTTCAATTCCTGGGTATCCTTGTTGACTTTCTGTCTCATTGATCTGTCTAATGTTGACAGTGTGGTGTTAAAGTCTCCCATTATTATTGTGTGGGAATCTAAGTCTTTTTGTAGGTCACTCAGGACTTGCTTTATGAATCTGGGTGCTCCTGTATTGGGTGCATATATATTTAGGATAGTTAGCTCTTCTTGCTGAATTGATCCCTTTACTATTATGTAATGGCCTTCTTTGTCTCTTTTGATCTTTGTTGGTATAAAGTCTGTTTTATCAGAGACTAGGATTGCAACCCCTGCCTTTTTTTGTCTTCCATTTGCTTGGTAGATCTTCTTCCATCCCTTTATTTTGAGCCTATGTATGTCTCTGCACGTGAGATGGGTCTCCTGAATACAGCACACTGATAGGTCTTGACTCTTTATCCAATTTGCCAGTCTGTGTCTTTTAATTGGAGCATTTAGCCCATTTACATTTAAAGTTAATATTGTTATGGGTGAATTTGATCTTGTCATTATGATGTTAGCTGGTTATTTTGCTCGTTAGTTGATGCAGTTTCTTCCTAGCATTCATGGTCTTACAATTTGGCATGTTGTTGCAGTGGCTGGTACCAGTTGTTCCTTTCCATGTTTAGTGCTTCCTTCAGGAGCACTAGGGCAGGCCTGGTGGTGACAAAATCTCTCAGCACTTGCCTCTCTGTAAAGGGTTTTATTTCTCCTTCACTTATGAAGCTTAGTTTGGCTGGATATGAAATTCTAGGTTGAAAATTATTTTCTTTAAGAATGTTAAATATTGGCCCCCACTCTCTTCTGGCTTGTAGAGTTTCTGCCGAAAGATCAGCTGTTAGTCTGATGGGCTTCCCTTTGTGGGTAACCTGACTTTTATCTCTGGCTGCCCTTAACATTTTTTCCTTCATTTCAACTTTGGTGAATCTGACAATTATGTGTCTTGGAGTTGCTCTTCTTGAAGAATATCTTTGTGGCATTCTCTGTATTTCCTGAATTTGAATGTTGGCTTGCCTTGCTAGGTTGGGGAAGTTCTCCTGGATAATATCCTGCAGAGTGTTTTCCAACTTGGTTCCATTCTCCCCGTCACTTTCAGGTACACCAATCAGACATAGATTTGGTCTTTTCACATAGTCCCATATTTCTTGGAGGCTTTGTTTGTTTCTTTTTATTCTTTTTTCTCTAAACTTCTCTTCTCACTTCATTTCATTAATTTGATCTTCAATCACTGATACCCTTTCTTCCAGTTGATCGAATCGGCTACTGAAGCTTGTGCATTCGTCACGTAGTTCTCGTGCCATGGTTTTCAGCTCCATCAGGTCCTTTAAGGACTTCTCTGCATTGGTTATTCTAGTTAGCCATTCATCTAATCTTTTTTCCAGGTTTTTAACTTCTTTGCAATGGGTTCCAACTTCCTCCTTTAGCTCAGAGAAGTTTGATCGTCTGAAGCCTTCTTCCCTCAACTCATCATTCTCCATCCAGCTTTGCTCCATTGCTGGTGAGGAGCTGCATTCCTTTGGAAGAGGAGAGGCACTCTGATTTTTAGAATTTTCAGTTTTTATGTTCTGTTTTTTCTCCATCTTTGTGGTTTTATCTACTTTTGGTCTTTGATGATGGTGATGTACAGATGAGGTTTTGGTGTGGATGTCCTTTCTGTTTGTTAGTTTTCCTTCTAACAGTCAGGACCCTCAGCTGCAGGTCTGTTGGAGTTTACTAGAGGTCCACTCCAGACCCTGTTTGCCTGGGTATCAACAGTGGAGGTTGCAGAACAGCGAATATTGCTGAACAGCAAATGTTGCTGTCTGATCCTTCCTCTGGAGGTTTCATCTCAGAGGGGTACCCGGCCGTGTGAGGTGTCAGTCTGCCCCTACTGGGGGGTACCTCCCAGATAGGCTACTCTGGGGTCAGGAACCCACTTGAGGAGGCAGTCTGTCCGTTCTCAGGTCTCAAACTCCATGCTGGGAGAACCACTACTCTCTTCAAAGCTGTCAGACAGGGACATTAAAGTCTGCAGAGATTTCTGCTGCCTTTTGTTCAGCTATGCCCTGCACCCAGAGGTGGAGTCTACAGAGGCAGGCAGGCCTCCTTGAGCTGTGGTGGGCTCCACCCTGTTCGAGCTTCCTGGCTGCTTTGTTTACCTACTCAAGCCTCAGCAATGGCGGGTGCCCCTCCCCCTGCCTCGCTGCCACCTTGCAGTTCCATCTCAGACTGCTGTGCTAGCAATGAGTGAGGCTCCGTGGGTGTGGGACCCTCAAGCCATGCACGGGATATAGTCTCCTGGTGCGCTGTTTGCTAAGACCACTGGAAAAGTGCAGTATTAGGGTGGGAGTGACCTGATTTTCCAGGTGCCATCTGTCACAGCTTTGCTTGGCTATGAAAGGGAATTCCCTGACCCCTTGCAATTCCCGGGTGAGGCGATGCCTCTCCCTGCTTTGGCTCACACTCAGTGCACTGCACTCACTGTCCTGCACCCACTGTCCGACAAGCCCCAGTGAGATGAACCCATTACCTCAGTTGGAAATGCAGAAATCACCTGTCTTCTGCGTCGCTCATGCTGGGAGCTGTAGACTGGAGCTGTTCCTATTCGGCCATCTTGGAACCACCACTTTATCATTTTTAATTGTGTCTATTTGATTCTTCTCTCTTTTCTTCTTTATTAATCTGGCTTGCAGCCTATCTATTTTGTTAATCTTTTCAAAAAACAGCTCTGGGATTCATTGATTTTTTTGAAGGGTTTTTGTGTCTCTATCTCCTTCAGTTCTGCTCTGATCTTAGTTCTTTCTTGTCTTCTGCTAGCTTTTGAATTTGTTTGCTCTAACTTCTCTAGTTCTTTCAATTGTGATGTTAGGGTGTCTATTTTAGATCTTTCCCACTTTCTCCTGTGGGCATTTAGTGCTATAAATTTCCTTCTAAACACTGCTTTAGCTGTGTCTCAGACATTCTGGTACGTTGTGTCTTTGTTCTCATTGGTTTCAAAGAACTTATTTATTTCTGCCTTAATTTCATTATTTACCCAGTAGTCATTCAGGCACAGATTGTTCAGTTTCCATGTAGTTGTGCGGTTTTGAGTGAGTTTCTTAATCCTGAGTTCTAATTTGATTGCACTGTGGTCTGAGAGACTGTTACAATTGCCATTCTTTTGCATTTGCTGAGGAGTGTTTTACTTCTAATTATGTGGTCAATTTTAGAATAAGTGTGATGTGGTGCTGAGAAGAATATATATTCTGTTGATTTGGGGTGGAGAGTTCTGTAGATGTCTGTTAGGTTTACTTGATCCAGAGTGGAGTTTAAGTCCTGAATATCCTTATTGACCTTCTGTCTCATTGATCTGTCTAATATTGACAGTGAGATGTTAAAGTCTCCCATTATTATTGTGCGGAAGTCTAAGTCTCTTTGTAGGTCTCTAAGAACTTGCTTTATGAATCTGGGTGCTCCTGTATTGGGTGCATATATATTTAGGATAGTTAGCTCTTCTTATTGCATTGATTCCTTTACCATTATATAATGCCGTTCTTTGTCTTTTTTTATCTTTATTGGTTTGAAGTCTGTTTTATCAGAGACTAGGATTGCAACCCCTGGTTCTTTTGCTTTCCATTTGCTTGGTAAATATTCCTCCATCCCTTTATTTTGAGCCTATGTGTGTCTTTGCACATGAGATGGGTCTCCTGAATACAGCACACCAATGGGTCTTGACTGTTTATCCAATTTGCCAATATGTGTCTTTTAATTGGGGCATTTATCCCACTGTCTAACCACTCCCAATGAGAAGAGCCAGGTACCTCAGTTGGAAATGAAGAAATCACCTGCCTTCTGCATTGATCTCGCTGGGAGCTGCAGACCAGAGCTGTTCCTACTCTGCCATCTTGCCAGCCACCCTGTTTTAGTATTTTTAGAGAACGTTTCCAAAAGATTTGTAAATATATTTCTCTGAACAATTGTTATAAAGGATTCTCACAAGACCATTATACTTGTTTTCCAAAGAAACTACATGATTTGTATATATGTATTAAATTGAATTAAATCATATAAACTACATGATATATATATATGTATTAAATCGAGATTTCAGCTCAACTTATAGTCAAGTATGGAAAATGTTTAGGGATACATATTTCAGTGTATTCCCTTCTTTTAATGGTTACACAAAAATTAATAAACAAAAAAAGTGTTTCAATGACACACTTGTCAACAACTTCAAAATCTGTGGCAGAAAAAGTAAAAGGTACAGGAATCTTTCATTTATGAGATGAGAGTTTATGCTTTTAGAAATTACATAATGGTAATAAAAGAACTGATTTCTAGTTTTTCCTTATATTTGATAGTTCTATGACCAATAGAAATTATTTAGCATATTTCACCTTTTTTCTATGCTAATCTGTATGTCTCATAAAGGAGAGGTCAAATGAGGTGACATATGTGGCAGCACTTTGAAAACTGTAAAGCTCTATTTTAAAAATAAAAGATAAAACATTAGTATATGGACAGGGAAATCATAAACTATAAGCCAGAGGACAGTTCATCCATCTGATCAGGAAAATAGGTATCGTGGGCCCCCAGCCATGACACAGTCTTCCAAGAACCAATGCAATCACCCACAGAAGCATCAGCCAAACCCAGGCCTCAGAAATAACACCACACATCTACAACCATCTGATCTTTGACAAACCTGGCAGAAACAAGCAATGGGGAAAGGATTCCTTATTTAATAAATGGTGTTGGGAAAACTGGCTAGCCATATGCAGAAAGCTGAAACTGGATCCCTTCCTTACACCTTATACAAAAATTAATTCAAGATGGATTAAATACTTAAATGTTAGACCTAAACCTGTAAAAACCCTAGAATATAAAAATTGTAAAAAAAAAAAAAAAAAGTGAAAATGCTAAAGTAAAATATTTACAAAGTGCAGCAAGAGGTTTCAACAGTAGTAAAGCATGGATCCGGTATTATTTTTGTTTAAAATAGATTGTTTGTAACAAAGAATAAATGCTTGAGGCAATAGATACCCCATTTACCCTGATATGATTATTACGCATTGCATACCTGTGTCAAAACATCTCATGTAACCAATAAATATTATACACCTACTCTGTACCCACAAAAATTAAAAATTAAAATTAAAAAATACATAAAAATAAAATTATGATAATAGCTTTAGATGATGGAATAAAGCATAGAAATTAAGTTTATGAAATAAATATTGGCTGTATTAACCTGATGCTAAAAGTTGGAATAAAAGAACACTCAATTTATTATACAAAAATTCCAAAACATCTGTGTATTTCATATTAGCAATGTCAATACTGTCTTCAAGGAAAATCATGAATTTTATTATTTACAGCACATTAAAAGGGGAAATCCACTAGACTAAGTGCATTTGAGAACTCTGAGACTTGCATGTGCCACCTCATTTTTCAACTGCCTCTCCTTGCTGAGTCCCTGAAGCAGGCCTGCTGAGTATAGTTTAAGCCCACTGACTTAGACCCATTCTGAAATAGAACTGGTTAATCTCATCGACTATTTTTAATATCTAAGAGAAAAAAAATTAGGCTATAATTTAAGGGAAGTACAAATAACTTTATTGATCCATTGAGAAGATAGTTTATTTGAGAACGTAAGTCACATCTTCACAATGTCTGCTAAGACTGGCCTTTTGCAGCCTGCCATATGGATGGTAGCTCTTCTAAAAGAAACATAAATCCAAGTCTAATGACTTGGTGAATTTTAACCTAGTTTAACAGTTGTTGAAATGTGTATTTTGGTTCAATAAAAAAATGGATAATAGATATAAGATACCAAAATCAGGTACTCAATCAGGATACAATTATTCAAAGAAAAGAAAAGAGCTCCTGTGGAGCTGTGGAGTCTCTTCTTCTGAAATCCTTGGGGAAAGATCTATTTAATAATTCAATTTTTATAATTTTAGAAAGATAGTACAGGAGGCTGAGGCAGGAGAACCGCTTGAAGGGGAGGCAGAGGTTGAAGTGAGTTGCGATCATGCCACTGCACTCCACCCTGAGCAACAGAGTGATACTCCATCTAAAAAAAATAAAAAAGAAAAGATAGTATACCATATGTTATATCACACCCTCAATGAATATCATATATGAAGATTTCTGCAACAAAATGTATGTATATTCCCAACAAGTGGGTTAAATAAGGTTTATAAAGATTATAAATAGCCTGATGTTAGGTATTGCTGTCAAATAATCATATATGTGTATACATATAATTTTATATTGTATTATAGATATACACATGTATACATGCATACATTCTGTTCTATTTTCTAAGAGCTATTTAGATCTCAGAATTGTAGAGAAAGGATTGTAGACCAGTGGCTAAAAGCCACATACACAATACTGTCTATCTAGGTGGGAAAGAAAAATAAAATTGAAAGGATTTCTTATAAAAGAGAAGATCAAGACATGGGGGAAGTATCTCCTAAAGTCTAATGAGATAAGTTTCCATGGGCACTCTCAGGAGATTGATAGATGTTCTTTTCCTCAGACAGATATGGTGAACTGGTGCCTTGCTCTTGCCTGGAAAATTCAAAAGAAAAAGTAGGGGCTGTCTAGGAGAAGTAGCTGCATGGAGAGTCACCAACATTCCTAAAGTGTGTTGGGACAAAGGATGCCTGATTAGTTCTCATGGGCCACAAGTGGCCATGAGGTTCTTCTAGCTTTTAACCAGTAAAATCACCTGGTGGAGTGTATTCGTGATCTCTCTTGAAATCACCCAAAACTGTAGCTTAAAACAGCAATTTCTTATTTTCTCCCAGTTGTGAATTAACTAGGCAGCTCACCTGCCAATATCACCTGAGCCAGCACAGGAGGGCTCCGTCAGTCAGTTGGCAGCTTGGATGGGGGAGAGAGGTTGGTGTAAAACATCCTCACCGACATTTCAGGAGCATTAATTGGAGAGACTAGAAGAACTGGGATGGCTGAGCCAGTCCCGCTGTCTATCTAAGTTGTTTTTCATCTCAGGCTTCCTTGCATAATGACAGAAGTATTCACATAATGTCGTTTCCAACACATTCTATCATATTTAAGCAAGCCACAAAGCCAATCCAGATGCATAGCTTAATGAAGTGGATTCTACCTTTTGATGAGGGGAGCTATAAAGAACTTGAGATCATCTTTAGTGTGCCACAGGTACACTAAGAAGCCACAAGCAAAGAAGAAGAAGAAGAAGAAAGGAGAAGGAGGAGGAGGAGAAGGAGGGTAAATTTAACTTTAAGTCAGGTTCAAAGTTTGATTATCATATGGTGCGAACTACTTTTAATGGCAAAATTATAGCTGTATTTAAAATGACCATATTTTTTTTCCAGAGATCTGTAAATATGCAGAGCTACCTGAGAGGAAATAATTGCCTCTGTAAGTAAATATTAAAGGGAAGATGAAAGACCAAAGTAATGATATTTTCTGGGTGATTTCTATTGTTATTGATGTTATTGATCTTGCAAGTGGAGCTTCAATGTGTATTTTTGGTAGTGAGAGGAGCAATTCACACTCCATGAAATCTGTTGGTTCAATGTATTGATTTACTTTACCTGAAGAAATGGTGAAGCATGAGAGTACTAGATTGCCTACATACAGCAAATTATTCTAAAAATTATCTTTACCCCTGTCCTTCCCCAGAGTTTCACAGCTCATGGTTCTTTCTCACATCTTTCCTGTTTTCCTTTACAAACACTACAGTTCACTGGCTCTCGTCTAGACTCTCCTGTCCTTACAACTAGTATCTCCCTGTTTCTTCCAGAGATGTCTCCTTGCCAAGCATTCATTCACATACACACACATGTAACACATATAATGGAGAATCTACAGGTATTTCTTTGAAAAGAAAAATTTCTCCTGCATTAAATTTTGAAAGCTAGATCCCTAGGAAACAAATAAAATTGTTAAACTTTTTTTTTTTTTTTTACATCACAGGAAATACAATGAAAATAACAATATTTTGTGTTTTCTTTTTTAACTTTTAAGTTCAGCAGTACTAGTGCAGGTTTGTTACACAGATAAACTTTTGTCATGGGGGTTTGTCGTATGGATTATTTCATCATCCAGATATTCAGCCTAGCACCCATTAGTTATTTTTCCTGATCCTGTCTCTCCTCCCACCCTCCACCTTCTGACAGACTCCCAGTGTCTGTTGTTCCCCTTTATGTGTCGAAGTGTTCTCATCATTTAGTTCCTACTTATGAGTGAGAACATGCAGTGTTTGGTTTTCTGTTTCTGATTAGTTTGCTAAGGATAATGGCCTCCAGCTCCATCCATGTCCTTGCAGAGGACATGTTCTTGTTTTTTCTTATGGCTGCATAGTATTCCATGGTATATATGTAACACATTTTCTTTCTTCAGTCTATTGTTAATGGGCTTTTAGGTTGGTTCCATGTCTTTGCTATTGTGAATAGTCCTGCAATGAATATACACATGTATGTGTCTTTATAATAGAATTATTTATATCCTTTTGGGTACATACTGAGTAATGGGATTGCAGGGTTGAATGGTATTTCTGTCTTTAGGTCTTTGAGGAATCACCACACTGTCTTCCACAATGGCTGAACTAATTTATACTCCCACCAACAGTATAAAAGCATTCCTTTTTCTCTACAACCTTGCCAGCATCTGTTATTTTTTGACTTTTTAATAATAGCCATTCTGATGGGTGTTAGACAGTATCTTGTAGTTTTGATTTGCATTTCTCTAATGATCAGTGATGTTGTTAAAATTAACCTGATGGTTATGAGCAGGATGGATTCAACAAGAAGGGTTTCAAAGGTAACAACAGTTTGAAGTGACCTCAGGGGAATGGAGATAATATTCAGTTATATGGAAATAATAGCAAGTGATAGTTAACATAAGACGGAGAACCATGCTCTGCAGAAGAAAAATGATTAATGGCTATTCACAGTTAAGTTAAAAAAAAGGGCCTACTTTTAAAATATTATGATGTTCATGAGTAAATAGAATTAGAAGTTATATTCGCATCAATCAAAATCTCAGGAATTCAGGCTTTCTAGGACCTCAGTGTTGTGTGATAGATTAGGAAAAGATGGCAAGACTGAAATTTGCAGATGGTATCTCTATTATAAAATGTGTTAAGTAATTATCAAAATACTCCAGATGGGAAAAAGCAAGATTCCAATGTGTTGAATCATCAAGATTGAATATCTACATTGATAAAAGTCAAGCTATTTATTTATTTATTTATTATTTATTTATTTATTTTAAAGTCTTTTTTCATAGACATTTATTCTTTGTTTAATCTAGGTTAGTTATCATACACATTTAAAATGGCTCAAATGTATAGAATAATGTCATATAAATCATTCAACATTTAATATGCTTTAGAAGTATTTATAGAACATTTGGTATATAGTAGGAACTTTATTGGGTACTAAGAGACAGTCAGGAGACAGAAACAGGTCCTGCCTTTATATAGTGCACTGTGGGATTCTTACCAAAGAAACCTAAAAAATTATTAAGCTCCATGATGAGCTATGATAGGAAAAATATAAGATGTAGTGTGGGCTCATAAGAGGGGAACCTAATTCATATTTCCCTAATTCAGGGAAGGAGTGAGAATCAGAAAAACTTCCAGGAGGAAGTGACTTTTGAATGAAAACTTTAAGATTCAACATTAGAAATATCAGTAATACAAATATAAAATAAATCATATTTCATTTCAAATGGGACAGTATGTGCAAATATCTGGCCATAATAAAAAATGTGGTACATTTTACGAATTGAATCAGTGTGGAGAGAACAGGAAGATGTGGCAAGAGACAATGCTGGAGAAGTCTAAGTGAGCCATGTTGTGAAGTCAGGCTGAGATACAATTGCAAAGTTTGAAGCAAAGGGGTGATATAATTAGATTTGCAATTTTGAAATATCACTTTGGTTTCAAAGTGGAGGATAGAATGGAGAGAGCAATGAGAGGAAACTAGAGAACCATACCAGGCTGCTGCAAAAATCAAGGTAAAAGCCTCTAACAATCTGGACTCGGTAGCGACAGTGGGGAAATAAAAGGAAAGTGGAGAGACTCCAAAGATAATCGAGAAACAGACAGAATGGGGAATGATTGGCAGTGGGGATGACAGAAAGGGAAGAGGGGGTGGCGGACTCTGCCTGATTACTTTTTTTTTTTTTTTTTTTTTTTTTTTTTTTTTTTTTGAGGTGGAGTCTCGCTCTGTAGCCCAGGCTGGAGTGCAGTGGCGCCATCTCGGCTCACTGCAAGCTCCTCCTCCCGGGTTCACGCCATTCTCCTGCCTCGGCCTCCCGAGTAGCTGGGACTACAGGCGCCCGCCACCATGCCCGGCTAATTGTTTTTATTTTTAGTAGAGACGGGGTTTCACCGGGTTAGCCAGGGTGGTCTTGATCTTCTGACTTCGTGATCCACCTGCCTCGGCCTCCCAAAGTGCTGGGATTATAGGCGTGAGCCACTGCGTGTGGCCGATTACCTCTAATTTCTTTGAGCAGTAGAGGAGCAGCTTGTCTCTGGGATGATCCTACAAGTAGGGAGAGCAGGATGGCGAGTTTTCCAACACAGGCTTGAGGAGTGCAGTGAATGTTTTAGAGTGTCATCATGAAGAATGTGATCTAGGCCTCCCCACGAAAATATAAAAAGGCTATTGGTCAAATTTCATTGCCCGATTGAATGTGGAGACCAGATTCAGAATGGAACCAATAAAGGGACTGTGTTTTTTGGGGGGTTTTGTCTGTCTGTCTGTTTGTTTGTTTTACCACGCATTTATCCTCTTTACCCTGAAAACATGTTCCTCTTTCGTCAGTGATTCTTTTTCTATTTTTTACATTAATAAAGAAAATTCCATAAAATTATAATGTACAACATGGTGTTATATATGTATACTTTGTGGAATGGCTAAATCAAACTATAATTACTTCACATGCTTATTTTTTGTAGTGAGAATGCTTAAAATCTACCATTATCATTTTTCAAATATATAAGACATTTGCTATTAGCTATAGTCACCATGTTGTACAATAGATCTCTAGAACTTATTCCTCCTGTCTACTGGAATTTTGTATCCTTTGACCAACATCACCTCAATCCCATCCCCTCAACCCTTCTCTTGCCTCTAGACCCTAGTAAGCACCATTCTACTCTGTGTTTCTATGAATTTCCCTATTTCAGATTCTGCATACACATGCGATCATGCAGTACAGTCAGCCTTCCATATCTGTGAGTTCCCCATTCATGCAATTAGTAATCCACAGACCAAAATATTTGGAAAAAATATATATGTGTATATACATATTGTTACATCTGTACTGAACATGTACAATCTTCTTTCCTTGTCATCATTCCCTAAACAATACAGGATAACAATTTACATAGCTTTTAGATGGTGTTTGGCATTATAAATAATCTAATGATGATTTAAAATATATGGGAGGCTTTGCATAGGTTATATGCAAATACTAAGCCAATTTATATAAGAAACTTGAGCGTCTGTGGATTCTGGTGTCCACAGGGGTTCCTGGAATCAATCCCCCATGGATACCGAGGGATGACTGTATTTTGTCTACTTTGTATATGGATAAAGAAAATGTGCTACGTATACACAATGAATACTATTAAATGATAACTTTCTTAATGAATGGCATCACCAAGCATGCAACTGTCCAAGCCAGAAACATGAGATCATCCAGGACTCAAATCCTTACTTTCTACCTCCTTCATATTCCTCAAATTCATCTACATCCCTGCAATTCTACTGACTCTACTTTGTTATGGGACACCTTTAGCACAACCTGGATTCTTATAACAGTTTCATCCTAGAGTTTGCCATTAGCCTTATTCTCTCTAGTGTTATAAGGTAACCCTTTACCTCCAGCACACGTGGCTGCTTGCGACTATTACTGTCATTCCACATGGGATCATTACAGTTAAAGGAGGTAATAAGTGCTCCTTAGAGAAAGTTTGAGAGTCCACTTTCTCCCTCTAACACTTACTATTACTCACTTATCTCTCATCAATCAGTTATCCATGTCGTGACCTGCTTAAGAAGAGGAAGGACTAAAGTAGAATAAGGCAATGAGAGTTGGAGCTAGACCCATTGCTGAGTATGAGTCACAAAAATTTCTTGCTAATTTTTGCTATTTTACAGAAGCCACAGGCAGAAGTGACTGGAGAAATTACTCAATATGCTGAATATTGAGTCGACTGGGAAGCCCAACCAAAAAGACGCATGCAGGGACACCATGGGGAGCAGAGGAAAGTGCCTGCCCGGGCTTTAAAGGACAACTTGAAAGCAGAGAGCTATGCCTAGATGTGCCCGAGTTCAATTTTATGATATCAGCTAAGTCTTTGGTAGTTTGTGGTGAATACGTCTTTATTAGTCTCCTCACATGACTTCTGTTTGTCAGACACATTGCTCTATCGTGAGAATTCAAATATGAGTAAGACACTGTCCCTGCCATCACAGACTTGGTGGAGAGGAAGCTGCAAAAGAGTCAATTCTTGTAGATTCTGCAAAAATATTACAATAGAAAAAAAAATACAGCCATGCTTTGTTTTACTGCACTTCACTTTACTGCCTTTCACACGGTTTACAAATTAAAGGTTTGTGGCAACCCTGCTTCTAGCACGTCTATTGACACCATTTTTCCATCAGCATGTGCTCACTTCCTGTCTGTGTCATATTTTAGTAATTTTTGCAATATTTCAAAAAAATTTATTGTCATTATATCCATTTTGGTAATCTGTAATCTGAGGATCTTTGATATTAACATTTTAATTGTATTGGGGTGCCATAAACCACACCCATAAAAGATCGTGAATTAATTGATAAATGTTGTGTGTGTTCTGACCGTCCCACCAAAGGGCTATTCCCCCATTTCTCTTGCTTTATATTTGGTAGTCTGGAATGGAACACACAGTATGTCAGAGGTATGCCTATAATGTCCAAGCTGAATCCTAAATGATTATTAAGGATTAGTAACTTTTTATCATGAACCTCATGTACCCCATCTATAAAAAATATGCATTTATGAATTATATACATGCATTACCATCAACAATTAATGGATAATAAAACACAAATTACACACAAATAGTGAGGTTAATTGTTAAGAATACTATATATATATATATATATAATCAGGACCAAAAAAGTGACAAATACACATGTGATCATTCTGCAGGTAATAATATAGGAACGGCATTCATAAACCAAATTATCAGTTGGTTGGAAGTGAATACAGATATTCACACCTGCCTTATTTTTCCATACTAAATGACACCATTTTCCCATATCTTAAAACACAGAATGTGAAAAGACAAATTGTAACTTAAATAAATATTATATGTAACAACTTATTCTAATCTTTTTGAGAACTTCTAGTTTCCTGGCCAATATATTGTCTAATTGTCTGTGTTTTGTGTGACTAGAAAACAAAGCTCATACAATAGTTGATATGTCAGTTTCGTTCTTTTTTGTCACTTGCTTGTTCTTGCAATAATAGTATTAAATTGTCTTCAGTTTACAGTTTCTATTTAGAAAACCCTTTATGACCTTTCCCCATTTTGTAAGGATCAATTTATTTAGAATAAGAGTATAACCCATAAACCCACTTAACTTGGCATGCATAAGCTACAAACATTGCTCTGCACAGTGCTAACAAGAAAGAGGCTTCTGCCATGCCCTTTCCCCATTGTGGAACTTCCTTTCTTTTTCAAAATCCCTCAAGGGCATCAGTACTTAGTCAGAGTAAACATTTATAACGTTTTACTCATTCTTACTTCATAGATAGAAATGTATAAATAAGAACTGCATATTTTCTTCCCACTTTTTGATGGATCACCCTGTGCAAACCCTGTGATACACAGCATGAAACCATTATGGTACAATTTAGCCAGGCATTGGACAAAGAAAGCAGGGCATGCAAACTTCCTGAGGCAAGAGGGAACATGGTCTTTTTGAAGAAGCACTACACTGTGAGCTTTGGCGTCAGAGCTCCTGGTCTTTGTTTGGGCTGTTGCTGTGAACAAGATATTTGCATTGTCACTGTGTTAGTTTTGTGTCAATAAATGAGAGTGATAGTGTTTATTTGATAGTGTTAAGGTGGCATTTAATAATAATAATGTAGCAAACTAGTAAATTGGAATATTAATCCATGTTATTTTCTTTTTCTGAATTCCTTATATGTGAATCCCCTCCCACCCCCGTAGGTAAAGAGTTTCACTATTGTGTTAGAGAGAAATAGAATTTTATAGTGCAAAAACAAAACAAAAAAGATCAAAATATAATCACTGTTTGGTTTCTTTTATTTTTTACTTGTAGAACAGACGTTTTAGAGTATTATTTTTAAAAAAAGAAGAAGGTTTTCACAGCCAAAGTAATAAATATGGAAAGAGACTGGAAGAAGAATTAGATCATTCCACCCACACCCCCTTGAGAAATCAAGGTGAGTCACCTGTATTGATGTGGGAGGGATGGAGAGTTGGTGAATAAGGTATGGCCTTATTGGACATCAAAGGTGGGAGAAAAGGGAGCTGAATCTGAGATGAGTAGGTGGAGAGAAGTGAGGTCAGCATGCGCAGATGCACAAACACTCTGGGAGCCGCATGGAAGCTAAGCCAACAGCAAGAAACATTACTCAGAGTAACATTTACTCAGACAGAGAAGACATGCTGGCTGTACCTCTCCTCACAGAGGGGTGTGGGCCTCTGGTCATCAGGTCCCTTCATGAGAATTTTCTGAGCTCAGTGCAGACTTCCTGGGTATTCATGTGCACTCTTTTTTGAAGGCCCGGAATATTCTAAGTTTCCCAAAATTAATCTGGAGGTCTTTAACATACAGAAGGGTAGAAGTGTCATAGAAGGAAAACCCCAGCATTGAGAGCAGTGCTTGAGTAAACTGGACAATGGGACATTCCATTCTACTATGGCAACAATCATAATGAGAAAAGTGACCAGCATTTTATAGAACATCTACCATTTTATCAGGCAGTGTACTATTAAACACGTCATATACATTGCATCTTTTAACCCAGTTCTTAATCTCTACACTACACTGTTCTTAATATCTACACTCTACTGCCTCCCAGATAAAATGACAAAACAGATTTAAAGTATTTATATGTATATGGTGCTTGCTTATGATTTTCACATTAATATCATGGAAGAAGATGGTTGAAAATGGGGAACATACTGGTTATCTGCTGTAATACCAAAAGAGTAAAGACTGTGTCAGAAACTTTTAAGACTCAGATATCAAAGTTCAGAAACGTTTGTTTTATTTTTCTAGATGTATTTTTTTAATTCACAAATAGTTTAATTTTCTTATTTCATGGCTGAACACAAAGAGATAGGTCAGGAATTGAGAGTTTCTCTTCTTTCCTTGTTTTTTATTCTCTAGGTTAAAAGACAATAAATGCCTACTAAGGCTTAATGTTCTCATTCCATTTGTTTCACCTGTCTTCAAGATACTTTGACTCATCTCTAAATCTTTTCTCAGCATTTTCCCCTTTGAGGTGTTTGCTATTTCTCAGGTATCCATTGATGGGAAATAATTTTTACTCCTCTTTGGTCCAAAGCAGGAGCCTGACTGTGACTGAGGGGTGAGGTTAACTGTGTGAGGGTGAGAAATCAGTAACCCTGCGATGGCCACACATCTAAGCCAAGTCCTCCAACCTATATCCAACTTCTGGATATATCTCTCAAATGATTCCAGAGTAGGCATTTATTGATTGATCTGCCAAAATCACATAATACAAAGCAAAAAGCCAGAACAGTAGTGTCTGTTTTAAGAATGTTTCAAAATTATACTTAAACATTATGAAATTGTATCAATATTGTAGAGTAGTGTTATATAATGTGCATTCATTCTTCAAGCATTTATTGGATCACCATCACGTGCTGGACTCCAAGGATATAAGAATGAGAAAACATACAATTCTTATAATTCTGGGGCTTGGTGTGTAGTAGGATAGACAGATATTAATATTAATCAAAGAGCCAAAAATAAATGTGAAACTGCCAATGGCAACAGTCACTAAAAAGCAGTGTTACATGGTACTTTGAAAGCACATCACAGGAGAACTTGACCTACTCAGCAAGGCCAGGTAAGGCTTTCCCAAAGAAATGGAAATTGAGTTTAAACTTGAAGGAAAAATCTTCCCACTTGAGGGGACTAGTATACACTCAGCATCTACGTTGTAAGTCCTATTTAAATCATTTCTTGGCTATGACCACTCCCTTTCTATATAATTTTGTTTAAAATGAAAACAAAGCCACAGATATACACATAGAGATCACAATGGACTTAAGAAGTTCCTTTCCAAAGTAGCTAACATGGCAAAATGTCTAATTCCGAAATTAGCTAAGAAAAATCTTGCAAAAAAATACCATCATCAATTGACCAAAAATCAAAGGTCGTTAGCCTGGAAATATAGGAGTTAGAATGTCAGTGAAAGGAAAGCAGTTAGCATACTATAACTAGCAGCAGACATAAACAAAACATTGGAAAAGGAAATTGTTTGAGTATTTCAACCTTTCTGATATGTGTTTGTTTTTCAGAATTCCTAACTATTCTTTGTGTTTAGGCATAGCCTGAAATAATGTTTTCATTAACTTCCACAGACTTATTTTGACACAAAAGTGCTAAACTATAGTTATTTTCCAAGATGAAACAATTTCTGCATCTGCATATACAGGTGCACCCAGCAAATCACTGAAACCTAAAGCAAACTTTTAAAAGCCATGACCTATGTAAAACAAAACTGGAATCTTTTTCTCAGAAATCCATGCTTACAAAAACAGCTTCTAAAATAAGTGTTATTTATGCCAGGGGAGCACCATGGTGCAACTGTGGTATTTATATGTTCCTTTAAGGTATTGTTAATTTTTCTATTTCTAAACTCCCTACATAGTTGCAGACTGCAAGAAGATTTTGATTATGTAATAATTTGTAAATGTAATAAAATGCTATTTTGAAAGCACTGTGTGCCCCCCGCCCCCCAATTGTTACCTCTTCTCAAATGACCTAAATAAATTTTATCAATGAGCTGTTGCTCCAATTGCTATTTACCAAATGATAAACTTGACCTAAAAAAGAAACTTTAATAAAGCCAAATTTAAAATCGCTGTGTTTCATTCTCATGCAAACATGACATTTAAATTAATAGCATCTATCTCCTTCCCTTAGGACATATAGTATAATTTGAAAAACTACATATGTATATTCATTTCTTCCTTTCTTTTTCTGGTTCAGACACATTGTTATTGAGAATTTAAAATACTGTCCTTGCAGTTCCTTTTCATCTTCACCAAGTTCTATTTAAAAATTAACATGGTTTTAATAAAGCCCATTATGTCTTTAATGAGCTATCAAGAATATAAACAGGTAACATATTATCTTTACTCCATAAGCAAATAACATCTTTGATGCTTTTCTTTTCTAAACCAGTTTGGATCATAAAAAAGGAAGCATGGTTTGCATGTTTCACCTGTGTCAAAAAGTATCTCAGCTTCTGTGACATTTTGAAAGCTTTATAAGCAAGAGAAATGTTGCATATAAATGATATCACACCCTATGTTTTAGCTAGTTATGCCTCAATCCTGTATTGATTATGGGCCATATAACTTCAGGCAGACAAAAGAAAAATAATCCCTATCATGTTGAGTGCCGGTCTGTGGTATTTATGAGTACCCTGCTGGGTTAAATGACTTACACATCTGTCAGGTGTGCTACATTATAGCCACAGGAAAATCTCAGTACAGGTTGTGTGCCAGGCAAAATTCTTTGTCTCAGACCTTGTCAATCCTGCTGATGGATGAGTTCAGTATTCTAATGAATAAGATTCTAAATATGTTTATACTTTGCCAGATCTCCAGATTACATCAGGAGGAACAAAGCTCAGGCAATTGGAAAGAATACAATCATTTTTGAAGGACAGTGCTTCTCCTGACTCATACAAATGTGTGAGTTTTAAGCTATCCTGATGAGATGGTCTCCTACCCCTTTGTAAAGGCTACCTTACTTCTAAAGAGCTTTACTTACTGTTACCTTTATATTGTGCATAGTACAATGTCTACAATCAATGGGTTTGCAGACATATTCCTAGTGAATTATATTTTAAGCTATGCTAACAGTGGCTAAATCAGATGAAATTGTTCCAGTAGGTTGGTACAAATGTGTTCCATTTAGATAATGTATAAGTGATAAATCCAACCACTTTTTCCATGACCTTTCACATTCTAATTTTAAAACTGAATGGTTTTTTAATTGGTTTTAGGAAGAGCATCATAGAAAATATATCCCCTATTACATATCAACTATTTGCCTTTACAGTTATATAATATTCATATCACAGTCTATATAAAGTTATAAGTCCTTCCTCTAATAACAATGTTTTAAAGAGATTTAAGATTTTGTGAAACTAACATTTGATGTTTACTGTTTTTAAACTTCACAGAATATCTACCATGAATTCTTTTAAATTCTATTTCAAATAAGGCAAAAAATCACATCATTAATAGGGTATAGTGTGACAAACAAAGATAATGAAAATGATGAGACATTGGTTAGAAATTGCAAATCAATTTCCTCTTTTTAAAATGTTGTACTTACTGAGTATAACATTTGCAGAAACTCACTAAGAATATAACTTATTTCCAACAAGACAACCATCATTTCCATTAATACCCTGAAAATTATGAAACTTACATATTTAGCCTTTATGATTAAACCAACAGAGTTTTGAGGTTAATAATTTAGCATTTCAGATGGTACCCAACTTACAGTGGTTCAATTTAGAATTTTTCAACTTTACAATGGTGCAAAAGCGATATGCATTCAACAGAAACTGTACTTTGAGTACCCATACAGCCATTCTGTTTTCCATTTTCTGTACAGTATTCAATAAATTACATGAGATATTCAACACTTTATTATAAAATAGGCTCTGTGATTGATGAATTTGTCCAACGGTAGGCTAATGTAAGTGTCCTGAGCATATTTAAGACAGCCTAGGTTAAGCTATGGTGTTCTATAGGTTAAACGTATTAAATGCATTTTTGACACATGACATTTTCAACTTATGACGGTTTTTTTGAGACATATCCCCATTGTAAATGAGGAGAACTTGTACGTGGAAAAACAAAAATTCCAGTAACACCTATGGATAGTAAGTATAGACATTGTTAATCACGAAAGGAGATTTGAGTTATTTATTTATTAACCCATTTATTCATTTATTCATAGTATCATAAATACTGTAGAAAGCAGGCTGAACAAAGTAGACACATTCCTTCCTCTTGTCACTTAAAAAGTTCAAAATCTATAGTGCCACCACCCACATCTATTAAAGGGCATCCTCCTCACTACACTGCAAAATCCTAAATCAGTTGACGTATACGTGTAGTCCAAATCTGGTCTTTGTATTCTGTACCAGTAATAGAAATATGAACAAAATACCCATAATAGAAATATGAATGAATAACTTGATCAGGCACGTCGCAACAGAGGCTATCCACATAGCCAATCAACATGTGCAAATTTCACCAACTTCATTAGTCATCAGAGAAATAAAAGTTAAAACATTCAATATTCTCCAGAATGGCTAAAATGCAAAGGAGAGACAATAAAAGTATTGGAATTGATTTGGTGGAAATGAAACCTGCTTACATTGCTAGTGGAAATATGTATTTGTATATATAATCAGTATAAAAACTTTGGGTAAGGCTTTCTAAAGCTGATTATATACATCTTATGACTCAACAATTTGCTTTATAGATATAAACAGACCCAACAGGAAAAAAAACTCATATATAAAAACTCACTAAGAAGTACTATTCGTAATAGACACAAACTAGAAACATCCCAAATAACCAATAGCAATAGAATGGATAAGTATATAGCAGTATGTTGATAAATGGAATTCGCTTCATCAATAATAATGAACAAACTATACACAGAACATCATACAACTCAATAGAAAAAAAAAAAACCTGATTTTAAAATGAGCAAATGACCTGATCAGACATTTTTCCAAAGAAGACATACAAAAGGCCAACAGGTACATGAAAATATGTTCAATATCACTAATCATCAGGGAAATGCCCATCAAAACCCAAATGAGGTATTGTCTCACACCTGTTAGTATGGCTATTATCAAAAAGTCAAAAGATGTTAAGTATTGGCAAGGATGAAAAGGGAATCCTTGTTCACTGCTGGTTTGAAGATGTTTAATTCTGCCAGGGACTTAGTGTAGACCCAGGTGCCGCCGTAGCCCCAGCACTATGAGGACAGCTGAAAGGAGGGAAAGAGCCCCAGTAGCTCTACCACCTGCATGAGTCCAGTGAAACAGGACACTCACACAAGTCAGTGAATGCAGATGTATTATTTACAGACAGGCAGCAAGAATAAACAGAAGCCTAGGATCCATGGCAAGCCAGTCCCCCAAGACTCAGAAAAGCAGCTCATGGCAGATGAAGCTCATCTGGGCTCACTGAGTGTAAGCACTGGAGAACATCCTGTTCTCTAAGCAACAGAGGCACGGATAAGGATAAGGTTGTTATCCTTATCTGAAGATGTCATATTTTTTGGTACATTCTGCGGTTATTGGGAGAACTGCAAGTGGCAGGGGGAATAGCTGTGTCAGTCAAAGCTATCGGGAATTCGACCTCCTTACTAGGTAGGGATGTAAGTTGGTAGAGCCATTATGAAAAAGAGTTTAGAAGTTCCACAAAACATTACAAATAGAACTAAGATACAATGCAGCAATACCACTTCTGGGTATAAAGAAAATAAAATCCATATGAAATAAAATCATTATATCAAAAAGATACCTGCACTCCATGTTTATTGCAGCACTATTCACAATAGCCATGGTACAGAAGCAATAAAAGTAAATTTTTTTTTCAGTCTTTGAAAAGAAAAGAATCCTATCATTTGCAACAATGTGGACATTATACTAAGTGAAATAAACAAGACACACAAAGACAAATACTATATGATCTCACTCATATGTGGAATCTAAAAGAAACATTGAATTCCTGGTAACAGAATAGGTGGAATAGTGGTGGCCAGGTTCTGGAGATAAGGAAAAGAAAGAGAGATATTTGTCAAAGGATACAAACCTTTGGATATAAGATGAATAAGCACTGGAGATATGATGTACAGCATGGTGACTATAGTTAATAATAATGGGTTGTATAGTTGATTTCACTGAGATATTGTCTCACTCTGTCACCCAGGCTGGAGTGCAATAGCATGATCATAGCTCGCTGTAGCCTCAACCCCCTAGGCTCAAGCAATCTTTCTGCCTCAGTCTCTCAAGTAGCTGGGACTACAGGTGTGTGATTCCACACCCAGTTAATTTGTTAAAACAAATTTAGAGATGAATTCTCACTGTGTGGCAGAGGCTGGTCTTGACCTCTTGGCCTCAAGCAATTCTTCTGCCTTGGCCTACTGGGTCTCTGGGATTATAGGGAGGAGCCACCACAACTGGTGGAATATTTTAAGAGACTAGATCACAAGTGTTTTCACCAAAAAAATAAAAATAAAAAAATAAAAAGTGACTACGAGAGATGTTGGGAGGTGTTGGATATGTTTATTAGCTTGATTGTGGTAATCATTCCCCTATGCCTCCATATATATGTAAATATATACATCACATGGTATGCCCTAAATATATAGAATTTTTATTTGTCGGTCATACTTTCAGAAATCTGAAGAAAACTATATACAAAGCAACATAAAAACATTTCAAACATACTGTAGAGTGAAAGAAAACAGATACAAAATGTACATACTGAATGATTCCATTTATACAAAAAGTTAAAAACAGGCAACAGTACCGCAAGAAAAGCATGATAGGAGAGATTTTTCTCTCTTATTCCCTTTTGAAACAAAAGCCTTAAGCTGCTGGATACAGGGCAGAAAATCCTGTTGCCTTTTAGAGCACTGGTGAAGACATTCCCCGCAAGGCACTGGAACTGCTGAAGGAAGAAAACAGAAAATGCCTTTTACCCCTGAGAAAGGAGAAAAATAAATTCCACGCTGAAACCTACAGGGGGAGGAGAGCAGAAATCCCGAGACAGCCCACCCACCAGAATCCAGGGACAGTGTCTACTTAAGATGGAGGCTTGACCAGAACCATAGAGGGTGTCTTTCTCTTCCAGCCTATACCACCACTATAGCAGCACCAAGTGACAGACGGCTTCTGCTTGGAAAGGGACAAAGAAGGGTGAAGAAAGACCCCGGCTGAGGCACAAGTTCAAAAGAAAGACCTAGAGCAGAGGATAAAGCAAATATTGAGAGAATCCTTGTAGTAAACCAACCCCACCTTAAACACAAGGTAATGCTAGAGGAATTCTAAGTCTGTGGTGGTCAGGGGTTTACCATAACAACAAAAGAGCCCAACCACCATTTCATTCCTAACTGGTTGACTCAGCCTTCCACAACAGAGGACTAGCAAAAGAAAATATATGCCCATTTACCAATTTCCAAGCATAAAGTCGATTTACCTCAGCCTCTATTGTCCTACACAAGATGTGAGCTTTCAACAGAAAATTAAAGCATAGACAAAAATTCAGTAAGTACTTAGTAAACCTGAAAAACATTATAAATCAGCTTCATTTCTTTGCTATTTATAGAATATGCCACTAAATAATAGCTGAATATATAGTCTTTTCAAGTGCAAATGGGACATTCTTCAAGAAAGACCATATTTTAGGCCAAAAACCAAACCTCAACATAATTAAATGATTGATATCCACAAACAATTCTCTAACAATTCCCTAGGAAACATGTTTTGTAACAATAATAGATTAAAATTAGAAATCAGTAGCCAGAAGATACCTAGAAAATCCCTCTGCATATTTGGAAATTAAACAATACAGTTCTAATAGGCCATGGAGGTCAAAGACAACATAACAGGGAAGTTAACAATATTTTGAATTGAATGAAAGTAAAAACATAGCATGGTGGAATTTGGATGATGCCACTAAAGCAGCACTTTATGAGAATTTATATATTAAATATATAAAATGCATATGTTAAATGTTTACATTACGTGAGAGAAAATACCTCAAATCAATATTCTGATTCCATTTTAAGAAACATAGAAATAACAGAGAAAATTAAATCCAAAGCAAGTAGAAGGAAAAAAATGAAAATAATAAATAAAAAATAAAAGCAGAAGTCAATGAGAACAAAAAAAAGAAAAGAAATAAAACTAAAATCTCATTCCTTTAATAACAAATCAATAAAACTGAGGCCAATCAAGAAAAAAGAGAAAATACAGAAATTACGAATACCGGAAATCAAAGAGGGGCTATCACTATGGTTAATAATACTATGTATGAGTAACTCTACATCCATAATTTCAAAAACTTAGATGAAATAATAAAATTCTTCGAAAGACTCCCAACTCTCAAAAATCAATGAAAAAGAAATAGATAAACTGAATATTTCTAAATCTACTAAATAATCAAATTGATACTTAAAAACTCTCCAACAAAGTAAACTGGAGGCTTATATGGTTTTACTGATGGACTTTGTCTAATATTTAAGGAAGAGATAATGACAATTTTCCAAAAATGTATCCAGAGTATAGAGGAGAAGGAAATGCCTCCTCGCTCATTTTATGAGGCCAATGTTACCCTAATTCCAAACAACAGAAAAACTTACAAAGAAGAAAACTAAAGAATAATATCCCTCGGGAACATGCACACAAAAACTTTAAATAAAGTACCAACACATGAAATACAACAAGAAGTAAAAAGAGTAACACAAAATCACCAAATGGGATTCATTTCAAGAATGTAAGAATGTTTCAACATTCAAACTTCAGTTAGTATACAAGTGATGCTCATTCATAGTAGTTATGTTCTATAAAGTGTACATCAACATTGAAGTAACGAATACTGAATCATTGCTCCTAGAAGAAATGCAAGATTAGGTTCCTCTGAGTTTCTGGTCACAACATTTTCAACAACTGATCAAATATAACCCTGTTGGATGTGTGTTTCTGTTTCAAAACACTTTATTTAATATATATTGTTAATTAATTAACATTGAACTCATATCCAAGAGCACCTTAACTCATACCTGAAGAAAGCTTGAACACACGTATTCTCTCTGTAAGGAACGCTAGATAGTACTTCATTGGTATGCTTGGGGGCCCCTTTAAACAGCAAAATAATTAACAAAATGCACAAACATGTAAAAAATGTGCCAATCAATACACCATAAAAAGGATGCTTGGTCATAGTATGACAGCTAAAACAAGGCAGAATATAGCCTTGTCGACCTCAGCTGGAAATGTGCACATTGGGTTACTCAAATTTTTCACTCCTCTGTGCATGTCTGCAAATGCAGCAAAAGCACCACAAGTTTTGACTTGAGGCTTACAAATAAATTTTAGCAAGTAGATATATTCACAAATACAGATCTATGTATAATGAGAGTTCACTGCAATTCATCATATCAAGCAAAAAGAAGAGCTTTATTATTATCTTTTGGCACATGGGAAGTTTGGCAATTTCAACAGCCCTTCATGATAATACTCTCAGCAAACTAGTAATAGAAGGAAACATTGTCAAGTTGATAAAGGGCATCTACAAAAACAAAAAACAAACAAAAAACTACTGCTAAAATTATGCTTAGTGAAAAAAAGACTTAAAGTTTCTCTCCTCTGTGATTGTGTAAAAGACAGGGATTTCTGCTTTCACCACTCTATACAAAATCTTATCAGTAGTCTTACCCAGTGCAATGAAACAAAACCAAAAATAAATAAATAAGAGACACAGACTAGAAAGAAATATAATTGCTCCTTATCGTAAAAAACAAGATTGTCTACCTAGAAAAATCTGGAAGATTATATATATTCTTCAAGATTATACATATATATATAATACACACATATATGTGTATACATATATAATATGTAAATTTTATATATAAATTTTATATCTATTTATATAATATAATATATACATATAATGTATATTTAATGTACATTATGTATATATAAATTATATATTTATCTATAATATATAAATTATAAATTATATATTATATATTTAATATAATATATAATTTATATATAATATAAATTATATATTTAATATAATATATAAGTTATATATAATATAAATTATATATTATATAATATATAAGTTATATATAATATAAATTATATATTATATAATATATAAGTTATATATAATATAAATTATATATTATATAATATATAAGTTATATATAATATAAATTATATATTTATATAATATATAATTATATATTTATATAATTATATAAATTATATATAATACATACATATGTGTGTGTCTATACATACATAACATATAAATTATTCAAGGTTTTATATATATATATATATGTATGATGGAAGAGATGTGTTAAAATCACCATTGTCCATTTTTCTGTTTCTCCATTATGTCTGTCAGTTTTTGCTTCATGTACTTCGGAGTTCTGTAATAAGATATATATTATATATATATCATATACATATACGATATCTATATCTTATTATAGAAGATATCTATATCTTATTACAAAAGATATATATATCTTATTACAGAAGACATATATATCTTATTACAGATGATATCTATATCTTATTACAGAAGATATATATATCTTATTACAGAAGACATATCTATCCTATTACAGATGATTATATATCTTATTACAGAAGATATATATATCTTATTACAAAAGATATATATATCTTATTACAGAAGATTTTATTATAGCAGTTATATATCTTATTACGGAAGATATATATATATATATATATATATATATATATATATATATATATATATATACATCTTCCAGTTTCTTAATGTATTAATCCTAGAATCATTAGGAAATATTCCTCTTTGTCTCCTGTAACTCTTCTTGTCTTAAAGACTTTTACTTACATTAACACAGTCACTCTACCTTTCCTAGACTTACTATTTGTGTAGTATGTTTTTTCCACCTGTTACATTCACTCTATTAGTGTCTTTGTGACTAATTGTATCTGTTACAGAATGCATATAGCAGCTTCTTGTTCTTGCTTTTCATCCACTTGAAAATCTGTATGATTAGAATTTTTTGCCTATTTTATTTGAATATAATTATTGATATTGATATGGTTTATTGAGGTCTGCCATTTTTCAGTTTGTTTTCTGCTTGCCTTATTGATTTGTTGATCTTTATTTCTCTTTTTTGTCTTTTTAACTCAATCTATATTATTTTGAATTCATTTTCATCATTTCAATTCCTGTCTTGGCTTCCTAGCTTTATCTTCTTACATTATATTTTAATGTTTGACAAGACTTACAATATCTATCTTTAATTTATCATAATCTTCTTAGTGTTAATGTTTAATTACTTCAGATATAATATTGGAAATTTGCAGCAGCCTATCTACAGTTATACCCCATCCCTTGTGTTATTATTTCTACATGTTTTACATCTATATGTATTATAAATCCAATAATTTAGTGTTAAAATTTTTGTTTTAAGTCACCATGTCTTTTAAATAATTTAAGATAAAAAGAAAATGTAGTATTTTATTTACCAATGTATTCATTATTTCCTGTAAACTTCATTTCTTCTTATGGATATGAGTTCATCTGTATTTTTTCTTCACTCAACCTAAAGACCTTTCTTCAGAATTTTGTACAGAAGCTATGCTAGATTCATTGTATAAGGTATTCTTGGTAGATAGAAGGTTTTTCCAACCATTTGAATATGTCTTTCTAATATCTCCTGGACTCTAGTTTACATAATAAGTCAGTTTAATTGTATTACTATTTCCATACATGTAATTTGTTATTCCTTTCTGGCTGCCTTCAGGATTTTTCTCAATTTTTTTGACTTTTAGTAGTTTAACTGAAATGTGTATGTGTGGTTTTCTTTGTTTTCATTCTACTTGATTTTTCATTAAAAATTCTTGAATCTGAACTTTACTTTTCCACCAAATTTGGTGAAATTTTTACCATTATAATTTCACATTTTTTATTGTATCTTTCCTTCCTCGTCTCTTGAGAAATAAACTACATATACGTTGGACTAATTGATATTGTCTCACAGGTCTTGAGCCTCTGTTTATTTTTTTAAAACCTTTCCTCTATCTGTTACTCATGTTAGGTAAATTGTAATAATCTAATTTCAAGTTTACAATTTTTTCCACCCCAAATATATCATTGAGCCTATCTATAAATGTTTCCTTTTAGGTATTGTACTTTTCAGCTCTAACATACATTTTTTCAGTAGTTTCAATTTCTCTGTTGATTTCCTCTAACTTTTTACCCAGGGAACCAAATTTTCTTTAATTATTTGAATATGTCTGCCTTTAAATGTTCAGCACATTTATAATGAAAATTTTGATATTTTCATCTGCTAAATGCAGTTTCTGACTCCACTCAAAGTCAATTTCTATTGATTGTTCTTTTTTTTTTTTTAAGTGTAAGTCACACTTTGCTGTTTCTTGGCAGGTTTAGTGATTTTTCATTGAAAACTAGACATTATAGATATTGCAATCTGTTCTGAAGATTTTTTATTGTTATTTGTTGTTGTTGTTGTTGTTTTCTATGTTTATTGTTGTTGTGGTTCTATTAGGCAATTCCCTAGACTGGACTCAAAGTATTAACTCTATATACCCTGCATTTGGCAACAGCTGAGAGCACAATTTGGAAAATGACTAAGTTAAAACACAAATATTGACGAGTGTCTTTCTGTCTTTGAAGATGACTTTCTTCTTTGATATTTGCCTGGTTTTGGAAACTTTCTAGGTTTGTTCCTGTACACATATAGTTTAGCTGTCAATTAGGGATTCAGGCAATTTATACTCAGTTTTGTTCTCAATAATTCTGTAGTCTCGCAGTATTTCTTGCTGAAAGTTCCAGTTACTGTTCCAGCCTTGAGTAGAGTTTATTTTTGTTTGTTTATGTCTTGGTCATCTCCAGCAAGTAAGACTAGTTTTCTGCTGCCATAGACATAGTGGTTGGGAGAAACCACAAGAAAAATAGCTACAAGGTCACGACTTTTATCCTGTTTAGTTATAGTTTTTCAAGAGCATAATCTCCAGCTTCTATCTAATATAGGATGCCTTCCAGTGCTTTTATATGTTTTTTCATATTTTGTAAAGACTTTGCAGTTGTTACTGTATTAACAGTTCATTCTACTAGCAATACTGTATTTAATTCAGACCTTGATTTTTCAAAAGAGCCCTCTTTTTTTTTAAGAAGGAGTTTCTCTCTTACTGCCCGGGCTGGAGTGCAGTGGCGCGATCTCGGCTCACTGCAACCTCCACCCACCAGGGTTCAAGTGATTCTCTTGCCTCAAGCTCCTGAGTAGCTGGGATTACAGGTGTGTGCCAACACAACCAGCAAATTTTTTATTTTTGGTAGAGACGAGGTTTTGCCACATTGGCCAGGCTGGTATCAAACTCCTGACCTCAGGTGATCCACCTGCCTCGGCCTCCCAAACTGCTAGGATTACAGGCATGAGCCACCACGCCAGGCCTGCGAGCCCTCATTTTTAAAAATTATAATTAGAGAAACAAAACGTGTTTATTGTAGTGAATTTCGAAAACACACAATGAGAAGAAAATCAGAATTACTTTTTATCTAGCTCCAGATAAGCATTGATAATATTTTGTAGTCTACTACTATCTCTGCAAGGAGATCACTATATTAGATTAGTAATTTTCAACCATAACATTCTTGAAAAGTATTCTGAAGTAATTTCTGAGAATAAATTTAATATTACAAGATATCAAACCTAGAGATAGTTTAAAAACAACAAGGAAGTATTATGAGCAATGTAATGCTGAAAAGGAACAACCTAAACAAAATTGCAAAATGCCATGACACAATTTATCAAAGTCTCCAAAATCTGTGCAGAGGAGAATGAATCCGTTTTAACCATTTAAACAGATGGAAATGTGTCTGGAGTTTATGAGACAAGATGAGCTGTAATTACAGATTTGGGGAGTTATCAATAGCTAGATAATACTGAAGAAACAGTGACCATATTCTGTTGGTCCTTGTTGGAGCATTAAAATAATTTTCTCTTTATTCTAAGAGCAGGGGAAACAATTGACAGATTATTTGCAAAGAGTTGATATTATGAGGTTTTCCCTTTGAAAAGCTCACTAACTGTACTGCAAAAAAAAAAAAAAAAACCTGATTGGAGTAGAGAGTAAAGGTATGAGGAAAATAAGTTTAATGACTATTCTTTAGTTCAGATGAAAACTGTGGCAACTTGGACTACAGTGGTTTTGATGAAAGAAGTAGAAAGATTTATAAAATATTGAGGAACTATATAAAGTGGCTTTATTGACGGATTGATATTTAAGATAAAATTCACTTTCTTCTGACCTAAGTAACTAGCACATGACAGTGCTATTTTCTGAACTAGGGAAATTGTACATCATATATTCACTAATTTTTTTATTAATGCCTACTTGGTAAGTGTGTAAGCCTTAAAAGAAAATTAGTTTCTACATTTAAAACCTCTGATCTTAACATTAGCATGAATATCCTGTTTAGATACATAAGACTAACCAAGGCACTCCAGTTGTCTAGTACCATCATAATGCCACTTACATTATGACTATGAACAATCATGTTAACATTGTTACTCCTGTCTCACCTCAAATTGTTTCATCCTAAATTGCCAGTATAACTGCAGCTTCAGGTACACAACTCAGCCTTTTTCTGGGCACCATTTTTTCTACAATTTAAAATTACTTTTAGCGTCTTCTGTCACTAAACGAACATCTTCCTTTAAGTCATCCTTATTGCTGATCTTACAGCCTATCCTGAAACTATTCACCTATTATTAGATGAAATATGCCAAGCAATGACCTATTGCTACAAGAGGAGAAAAATGTTAAAATATGTATTTGTAGCATATAAATAGTTAATCATACCAAAGACAGAACATAAATAATATTTAGCATGAGATCTTGGACAAATTTCTTTTTTTTCTTAAAACATTGATAATATTCTGTGATTATCGCTTTGTGTTACATTGACTTTTGTGACACTACCTGCTTTGTTTCATTTGTTTTTTAAAAAGTCCTTCATTTTGAGAGAAATCACATAAACACATTTTGCAAAATGTCTACTCCTAGCAATTTATTCAAGCAGAAAATTTTAAGCTATGAGACTACAAAGGACAGGTTTTTAGCCCTTAAGATTAAAGATAATCATTTAGCAAAACTTAAATTACAATATGCAAGCAATACTAAGGCTACCCAAATGTGATTCTTTAGGCTACATACCAGTTATTAATTATATTTTACTATATGATACACACCACACCTATGTATTTTAGTGCAACTATAAAGGAAATATTCATTACTCCAAAAGATATTTAGGCAATTACATACAAAATATTAAAATAGGAGGCTTGGTGCAAAGTTAAATAAAAGCAAACACTTATTTCTAAGGACTTTAGAGGAAATAAATGATGTGCCAAAATAACTGTACAGTGATTTCAGGCTACATTTAAACTGAGATTTGTGTAAGTAATAAAACAGATTTTATTCTTTCATTCAACAGTTACATTCTGAGTGCTTATTATACTATAGAACATTTCATAGCTTATCTGTTGAATTGAGTTTGACCTCCATGATCTTTTCACTTGAGA
The DNA here is from genome assembly GCF_000001405.40 of Homo sapiens. NCBI lineage: Eukaryota > Metazoa > Chordata > Mammalia > Primates > Hominidae > Homo > Homo sapiens. The sequence continues at coordinate 28,669,846 of NC_000014.9, forward strand.
TAGAAGTCTATGAAATGACTTATATTACAAGAGAAAGAAGACCTAACCAGCTCTATCTAATTACACCCAGAAGACTAGTATTCAATTCTTAGGAAAAGAGCGGGTGAACAGTTTGCAGAGAGAGAGAGAGAGAATAAAGTGAATAAAGGGAGGAGTGGAGGAAGGAAGGGAAACAAATGGGAAAACAGAAAAAATTTTTAAAAAAAATAATATAACTAAACTATTCTGGAAATGTACCAGAGCAAAAAGCCTCCTCTTCGCCAGTCCCTACCTGCAACAGAATAAAACATTGAAAGAGGAGACAATATTTATTTTATTTCTCCCTAGACCACTGAGTAGTTTTGGTTGCATGAAGACTCCAGTTTATCTGTTTTGGTGCCCAGTGGGAAAAGACAAAAATGATAATGTTGCCGGATAGAAGTCTTTGGTGCCCAGTGGAAAACAGCAGCTGGCCTGACAGGGACATCTTGCCTGGAGTGTTTGGTGGTATCCAGGGATGTAACAATCATCAACAGTAGCGCCTGGTGGGCATTTCGTTGCTCAGAAGAAACAAAAGTCGTTCCAAAGAGCACAACAGGATCCAGAAAATACAGTACAATTTAGTAGACATGACAAGACTGCCCACTCCATAACATGTGATCATCCAGTCTATCTGTCAATGAAAATATATAAAACATTCATTGGGAGCCCCCAGAAAATTATAGATGGAGATGAGTCTTTTCAAACAATACAAGATCCCACATGAGCCAAGTGAAATCTTGACTGTTATTATTAATATAACTTCATGATAGACCTGAATAAATAGATGATCCTGATGGACTCTTAAGGGAAAAGCAGAAGGGAGAGTTTATTTCAATCCTTACACAAGTTCTTGAGAAAGATGTTTATACGTTGGGCTTGCTGTCAACAAAAAAGAGAAGTAGCAGCATCCAGTAACTTTTTCATTGATAGTAGAGCAAGAAGAGAAGTGGTTTTGCAATAAAGATAATATCGTGACTCCACTTGGGTCATGATAAGAACATCACTGGGACCTCACCTCAACTACCTGATCAGGGGAAGCTGAGGAACTGAGTCAAGCCTCACAGAATAATCTGAAACAGCAGGATGCTCACCAGACATGGTAAGTCTTCCTGCTGAGTTTGGCAGTCGTTTTATGGTGTTTCTCTCTAGCTCCTGTCTTCACAAATGAGAACTTGTGCTTCACTAATTCATCTTTCCTAAAGCAGCACTTATTTATCAATGTCCCAAGTGCAACTGTATTTCTCAGTGCATCAAAATAGAGTGATACCAAGAACTATCACATTTTCAGTCATTTTGGCAGCATTTTTTAATAAGAACTAATTTATTTTTTGCTTTTGTAAAACATTGAGTACATAAATATCCTGACACTTGTTTTTCTGTCTTCACTTACCAGTGTGAGTAATTATAAATCAATGTTTTAAAACTCTCCTAGGAAGCTGTAACACTGTAAGATAAACTCTATAAGGGCAGAAATTGTTATCTACTTTGTTCACTGCTGTATCCCTAGAGCCTAAAACTGTGTTTAACGCAGGTTAGATTCTCAATAATTTTTAATTAATCAACAAGTGATTAAGTTTAAGGTAGAATTTAAGAAGTGCCACCAGTTTTCAGAATGAGGACAGTTTATTTTCAGAGTCTGCAAATAGTAGAGGTGAGTATTCCAGGCTTAGGAAGGCAGGGATCTCTAAAATAAATCCTGAAGAATAAAGAGGAAATGATTCATTAAGAGATGATAAGAAAAAAAAAACAGTACATGTAGAAGCCAACAATGTAATCTGAGTCCCTGGTGTTAAAGAGTACATCGTGTACAAAGAAGAGCAAGCAATGCAGGGAACGGGTACATGAAAGAGAGAAGGGAAAAATAACACTGGAAGGACAGATATGGTTAAGGTCACTGTAAGGTAGGTATAGAGCCATGAATGGCAAGCCAGGGGATGTGAATTTTATTCTCTCAGTTTGTAGAAGCTGCTTTGTTTCTGAGCATGAATGTGAAAATCATATCCAATTCATAGAAAAATTAATCTAGCAGCACTCCAGATTGATGAGGACAGAGATGGAGGCAGAAAGTACAAAAGGAAAGCAATTCATTCCATTAATGGATGATCTAAAAACAAAACCTGATAGGAGGGGATACTTCCTTCCTATTGAATCCATCTGATTTTAAAGAATGTGAGTTTCTATAGCTCAATTCAAATGAAAAAAAGATTAAAGGCAAAATGCTATAAAACCAAGGATTGTGGTTTTCTTAGATCATCTACGAAAAACTGATTGTTTCTTATTCTTAAAGGCCTTTAGGCACCAACTGTAGAATAGCAAAACAAAGAGTAAAAATAGCTTTTAGTGTAGAAGATAAGAACACAGAGAAAGAAAAAGCCCAATAGCAATAGACTTCAATAATATGAGAAAGGTGTGTTTGGCAGAAAGAGCAAAAAAATACAAGTAGGAGATGAGAATGTACAGTGTGATGTGATATCTACAAGTGGATTCTGAAAGAAATAGTCCAGACTAAACAGTGCACAATCCATTAGGATGCATATATTATGGAAAGAGAGAGTTTACGAAAAAAGTAAAGTTCAGTTATAGGAATTTGTAACAAGGGCAGTACAGCTTTAACAGTTGATTATCTAAATCTCAAGCAAATAAGAGGATTCGTCTTTCATCTTTCTGCAATTCCCAAGAAGAAATCAAAGGAGCCAAAACATTGAGGTCACAAGAGCAGAAATAAAATACTGATCTAAAATAGCTACATCTAGATAGGAAACTATTACCAGAACACGTGAGGTGGTATTAGAGGGCAAAACTAAACGCACAAACATGGATTTGACTCCCATTTCCTGTGATTTTGCTAGTTTAATCTTGTCAATGATCTGTCTTCTAGTTGAAATGCTATTTTGGCATTATTTCATGAGGCAGCAAGCTCCCCTACACGAGTCTACTTTCCATGGTTTTGAAGTATAAACACTGCAATAGGAGTGTAACATCTGACTTAAATACTAAATAATTCTGAACATAATTTTATCTCATACTATTCACTTTTGTTCGAAATTTCAAATGTATGTGTTATTGTTTTCTAAAATTCATTTATATTGTTTAAAGGAGAAATGTCTGAATCTGGCTATGTTCCAGCAAATAATTTTTTTAACCTTTGTTTCAAACTTTATCCCCAGGTTTCTTCGACTTCACTAGCTGCAAAGAATGAATTGTGTATAAGCAAAAATGAAAAACGCTGCAGTGTCCAAGAGGCTTGGACTTAAAAATATTCAAGGTCTAGATTTTATCCGATCCATAAACAATTTTTTTAAAGCAGTCATAATAAAATAGCAGCTCCCAGTAACTTCTGCGAGTTTCACCTTCTTCAGGAATTGACTCAATTCAGTTTGACTCATTCTTGGAAGCCTCATCAAAATTCTCCACAAGATGTGAAACTTCATCACTGTCATCCTCTCCAGTAGCAAGTGGTGCTTTTCCCCCAACAGGTTGTTTGGACAGATCTTCAGGCAGTCTCCCTTACCTAGTCAGTCTGTCTGTACCAAGCTGGTTTAAGATGCTGGGTAGCATTTCTGTCAACTGCTTTGTCTCAGCGTGGCCTGTAATGGGGAAAGCCTTCCCTGACAGAGATGCCCAAACTTCAGGGTTGTTAAAGTGGATCACTGTTCCTTGGTTTGTAAACATATTCACCTCTTCAATACCAGAGATATTGTTTATCCCTAACTTCTTTAAGGAGAACTAAAGTTTTTTCTTGTCATCTGTTGTGGCTGTTCTATGAACCTTCTTCTTTCTGCGAGCAGTTCCTTTCCCACCAATACGCACTTATGCCTGCAGTTTGGCGAGTTTTTCTTGGTTCATAATTGCGTCTTTCATCTTCTCGGAGCCAGTAAGGGTCTAGGTGGGGAATTAGGATGATGCTCAGGGAGTCTGGTGGACCCGCTGAGAGTAGGCGCACGCACGTGGGGATGCAAGAGGGCAGCTAGAGGGGACCAAGTATTTTTTAAACCGAATTGATTTTCAGGTAACGTTGTACGTACATGGTTTATGTTATATCCCGAGGACTCTCAGGATATAAACACCTCCTATTAGGCCCCACCTCCGAACACTGCTGCACTGGGGATTAAGTTTCAACATTAGTTTCGAAGGGTACAAAAACATTCAACCCATAACAGCCATATACTACGATGTTCTGAGAATTGTTCCTATTTACCTTTCGTGAGCCACGCTGCTGTGGTTGAAGGGGAGTAAGGAAAATCGCCATTGTTTAACCACAAAATAAGAGCAGAACATGAGAACCAGCCTCAGGAAAGTGAGCCCTTTCACCTGAAGGCTGAGCAGTATACAAGATGAAGCTGTAAGAAACACGGGCAGGAGAGATGTGTTGTCCAGGGAGAAGAACTGGGAAGAAAAGGATATCCGAAAGCCTGAGTATTTACCAAAAAAGAAATTGAGTTAACCTAAAAGTAGTGGCATTTTAAGCAAGTAAATGATTTGAATATGTGCGTTGAATTCTTTTGCATGCACTGACACATCTTGCCCCATTCTGGAGAAAAATGAACTAATCCATAATATTGGATTATCAAGACAAACTCACAGCAATCAGAAATCATACCCAGTAGCATGCTTTAGTAAATAATTTTAAGTCTATGTAAAATCAAGGGGTTCCAGCAAAGCAAATGGAAGTCTAAATAATCAAACGCAACTCCCCAGGTTCTTCCTTCTCTTCTAGAACGTGAACCACCAGCCCAGAATACATGAGATTCAGAGAGTTCCTGACATAGCAAAAGGGTTTATATCATAAAATATGTCCAGTTTTTCACTCCAGAGTGTTGAAAAGCCTTTGTGCTATTATCCAGGAAGCCATGTCTTAGATCCTGGGTTCTACTTACTATAATCTTTAACCAAGAACATCCTGTTAAGGGCATTTAAGAGATAAAAAAAAGTATTTGTATATTTATTCATAGGTCCAATTGAGATTAGGTCAGGTCACCTGTTTCTTTTTTTTTTTCAAAAGATTTTCTTCTTTGCACCTGTGCAAGATAGATTGCAGGCCAGCTGCTCTAACTCTCTCCCATGCAGTAAGTAGAACTGTTGTAGAAGACTTTAAAAACAATTAATTCCTCCATTAACCCAGATTTGATTCCCCTTTCATGTGATTTTGCTAGTTTAATCTTGACAGATCTGTCCTCTAGTTTAAATACTATTTTGGCATTATTTCATGAGACAGCAAGCTCCCCTAGAGTAGTCTACTTTTCATAAAATTTCTGGGTATTTTTATGTTGATTTGAATGTATATTTTGGAAATCTTAATAATGTCCCCACATGTAAGAAAAAGATTTAAACTGACATCGAGACAAAGAGCATATTTAAATGGATAGAAATTCAGTAACTAATTGTTTAATTAAAACCATTTTTAAATATGCTATATTAAGGATAGAAACGTCACCCAAACAAGTACTATGAACATTTTAATACAACGTAGAAATTGGATGGCTTCTACTATCTACATACACAGGATGCATTTACTTTAAGACTATGATGATTTTAAAAGACCTATATGCTTAGAGTTGTTAAATTAAGTAAGGAGCAGTCACAAGCAAGAAAACTGACGTGTGATCCAAGAAACAGATGCTAAAAATGAACTTTAAAGTAATTAAAAGTCTCTTGTTAAATTTTAATAAAAGCATTACATTTTTCCTGCAATATTTGGAATAAGAATTATTAATTCTTGCTTTGAAACAGTTTTTTTCTTTAACAGTATTCCTTATATAATTCTACGTTGTAAATGTTAAAGAAAACTTCACTACTGCCTATTTGGCTATTTTTTGTATTTCAAAAGAATCTCTTGGGATTGCATGTTTTTGAAATATATTTGAACTTTTTTGAAATATATTTGAAAATATATTATATTTTACCTGAATGCTTAGACTCTAATGTGAAATTATATGATGCAGGGATTTTCTTCAAAATGATCTGGGATAACATAACTCCAACAAGATTTGAAATAAGTTGATAATTATTAATGTGGTTTTGGGGTACTTGAGGTTTATTATATCATCGCTCTACTTGAGAATTTCAACTCCAACAAGATTTGAAATAAGTTGGTAATTATTAATGTGATTTATGGGTGCTTGAGGTTTATTATATCATTCCTCTACTTGAGAAATTTATGCTTGAACATTTTTATAAAAGGCTTTAAAAGTTGAAAGTGGGCTATGATTCCTGTTAGGTACTCTCTTGGTACTTTTGTACCTTCATTCTAAGAAATACCTTCACCATTTATTGCCAAGAATTTTCTTTTTCAGTTCTGATTTAACACTATAAGTTAAAAATATTTGATGAGCTGTTTATCTTGTTTATGAGATTTGGCTTTTTGTCCCATCACTCTGAGTCTCTCAATGCTGTTTACAAAAAAGTAATTTCCTGAACACTTCAGGAAAGAGTTTCGGACATTCCAATTTTGTTGTTACTATTTTAGAAAAAGGAAAGAGATTTAAAAACTTGCTCAAGGTCACAAAGCAATTTGATGTAAAAATCAGCCCAGGAAACCAAAACTTCATGGTCCTGGAAATGAGTTCTAATCATTGAAGGTTGCCTTGATTGAGACTAAATTTGAACTGTTACTTTGATTGAGACAGAATTAGATTGTAGACAGGCCCATGCTTTCCCATGCTAGTGCTCTCTTCTCTGAGATCTTTGGTATTTATGCAGTAATTCAAATGAATCACCTCCAAATTTAAATTGAAAACGTGTTTGGCAAGAACAACAGCTTTATGGATCCATGCAGAAACGTTCTGGGAGTGTTCTCTATCAGTCATAGTCCTATGACTCATATCAGTCATCGTGAGTAATGCCTGTCAAAGTCACCACCATAGACCCTGGCTGAAAAATCAGTGCTATGCACCCTAGTGTGGTAAGTTGCAGCGGTTAATGAGATTGATGTTGTCATATCCATGAGAACAGTTAAGCTCTTACAATTATTTTTAGACCTAATAGGAAGAGTATTTCCTATTCTGGTAGCCATAATTATTCTCTAATAAATAAATGACCAAACTCTGAGTCTATGTATTAAGCTTTGACTGAAATACATATTTTTCAGGGCTGATTTCAAGGTCATTTCATTAAATTAGATTTCCCAGGGGAACAGAATGTCAATGTACTGCCCTGAAAAAAAGGTTGAGATATTAAATGTGTTTACATTTCCCCTTTTGCCCTTGATTAACAAAATGTAGTACAGAACATTTTGATTTAAAGTTCATAGTTCATCCAAGGTTCATAATCATGAAATTATTTCATACCTCACTCTGAAAAAGTAAAATGAAATGGTAATTGTCATTCCTATTTAAACAATGTGTTAGATTTTGTGCTGTGTAACAAATTATCACAAACTTAAAGGCTTATAACAGCACCCATTTATTAGTTCACAGTTCTGTAAGTCAGAGGTCCCTCTCAGCATGGTCAGGTTCTCTGCTCAGAATGTCACAAGGCTGAAATCAAGGTATCAGCCAGACTGAGTACTTGTCTGAGGATCTGGGAAAAATCTCATTTCATGGTCATTCTTTGTGTAGACAAAATTCACCTCCTTGCTGTTGTAGGAGTCAGGACCCATTTTCTTGCTTGCTATCAGCTAGAGCCATTCTCAGCTCCCTGAACCTGCCAACATTCCTCGCCACATAACCTCTTTCACCTCCAAGTCAACAGCTATGGGTCAAATCCTTTCATGCTTTGTATCTCTAATTTCATCTTCTGTGACTAGCCAAAGAAAAGGCTCTGCTTTTAAAGAGCTCAATTGATTAAATCTGACCCACATGAGTAATCGCTCCATTTTAAGATCAACTGATTTGGGACTCAGTATGATTTCTTATGACAAATGGTACTGTATATAGATTTAGAACAGTACAAATCTAATTGATTACTGTAAATACAGCCTACAACTACTAAGTACTATCTGTAAATGAAGACTATGATAATGGTCCTCCAGATCTCTGTGATATTAATACTATATTTATTATAAGAATTTCTAATTTACTCCTGAAATGAAAATAAATCTGATTGTTTTATTACTATCATTCTCCTTTCTAATTATAGGAAGTTTTTTTTCTGAAAAAGTATTAGATAAACTCAAGGTCTATCATGACTCAAAGATCCTTTGACTTATCAAAGTGGCTCAAAAATAATCATATTTTAAAACTGTCATTTTTATTGTGTTTGTATTGATTAGTGGCAGACATAGTTACACATGTAATAATATCTCAGATGAAATGGCATATCATAAAAATTCTTGTCCTTAAGAAATAATGTATTTTCTAGAAAACAAGGTTTTTACCAGGTCCAAAGGAACTAAGTTTTGCATAAGAAAAAAAATTATTTCATAATTTCTGTGTATATTAGAATTTGGTCACGAAAAGTGGTAGGCAAAACTCATTGAGGAGCTGGACCAGAAAAGGTAGATCTAAAATCAAATACAAAATGATTGGTTGAAATGAGTCTGAAATCCAGGGTCTCAAGCCAAGACAGAGATAACACCCAAGACGCCAAATCAATGAATCAGAACCAATATCCAAAGATACAGAATGTGCCAACACCTAGTTAAAAATAGAGTCTGCATACCAGTAAGGCTTCAAAAGCAAGGATCTTGACTGCGTATAAAAAGAGTAATATTATAAAACCATAAATCAGTTTATTCTTAAATTCTTCAAAATCTCCCTATTGTACTTAGAATAAAATTCAGGTTTCTTGATGTATCTATCAGGATTCAGTTGGTAGAATAAGAACCACTCTATAAATATGTTCTGTAAGGATTTAATTTAGGAATCAGGGGTTTACACAACTGTTTCAGGAGCTGGGGCTGCATGAGTCAAAGGAGCTGCCATTAGAGGATGGCGGCTGACACCAAAGCATGGAACACTAATATTCTCAGGAAACTTTGTTCATTGCCTTGAACAAAATGCACTAAATTTTTTTATATTGATCTCGTATTCCAAGACCCTGCTAAACATGTTAATCAGTTATAGTCATTATTTGAGTGGTTTTCTACATAAGACATCATATCATCTGAGAATAAAGACAGTTTTATTTCTTCCTTTTCAATGTATTTAGTACCAACCTCAAACGTTACTTGCTTTATGAGTCAGTCCACTTTTTATATAAAGGGCCAGGTAGTTAGTATTTTTGTTTTTGCAAACCATACATTCTCTATCACAACTACTTTGCTGTTCAACTTAGCTGCTGTATTGCAAACGCCACTATGTAAACAAAAGGGTTTAACCAAGATACAAAGTAAATATTTACAAAAACAGTGACAGACCAGATTGGATCCATAGGATATAGTTAGTTGACTCCTAACTTATTGCACCCACTAAAATCTTATTAAATGTTGAATAAAAAGGGGGAAAAGGTGAAAATCTTCATTTCTAATTTTAGGAGGAAAGAATTTAGTCTTTTACTAGTAAATATGACATTAATTGTAGGTTTTTGGCAGGTGTCTTTTATTGGGTTGAGGAAGTTCCCTAGTCTTCCAAGTTTGCTGAGAGATTTTTGTTGTTGTTGTTGTTAATGGGTGTTGGATTTTTTAAAACTTTTTCTGTGTCTAATGAAATAATAACATGTTTTTTGTCTTTTATTCTACTAATATATTGTATCAAATAAATTGATTTTTGGATTTTAAACTAAACTTGAATGCTGAGATAAGTCCCATTTAATCATAGTATATCATCTTTTTTTAATATGCTGATAGATTTGGTTTCTAATATTTTGTTGAGAGATTTTGGTCTGTGATTTTCTTTTCTGTAACGTCTTTCTCTGCCTTTGGGAGCACAATAATAAAACATGGCAGAATGAGTTGGGATGTGAAGTTTGTGAAGAATTGGTAAAATTTTTCCTTTACATATTTGATATAAATAACCAGTAAGGCATCTGGACCTGGGAATTTATTTGAAAGAGGATTTATAATTACTAAGTCAATCTTTAATTGTTATGAGTTTATTCAAATTTTCTATTTCTTCTTGTGTTAGATTTAGTAATTTCTGTCTGTTTAGGAATTTTTCCATTTCATCAAAACTTATATATTCATAATGTCCTTTATAGCCTATTTAATTTCCATAGGATTCTATGTCCCTTTTTCATTCCTAATTTTGTCAGTTTCTGTCTTCGGTCATTTATTTTCTTGATTACTCTAACTAAAGTTTAACAATTTTATCTTTTCAAATTTTGGTTTTATTAATTATCCCTATTACTGTTCTGTATCCTATTTTATGGTTCTAATTCATACTAGTCTGTATCGTTGCATTCCTTGTACTTGATTTGGGTTAAATTCATGCCTTTTACCTAGTTTCTTAGGGGCAGACAAATTATTGATTTGAATTTTTTTCTTTACTGATATATAAGGTGTTTCAAGCTATAAATTTCTCTAAGCACTGGTTTAATCATATCAATTACATTTTGTGTTTTTATCTTCATTTAGATCAAAATATTTTCTATTTTACCTTGTGATTAATTCTCTGACTCATGAGTTACCTAAAAATGTTTATAATTTTACAATATCTGGCAATTTCCCCATTATTTTATTTTGTTGATTACTAATTTGATCCTAATGTGTTCATTTGATTTGAGACCTTATTACTGAGATTTGTTTTAGGGTCTAGTATATGGGCTATTGTGAAGGGTGATCTACATGTATTTTGAAAGAATGGTTATTATCTTGTCAATCTATGGAGTAATATATAATTTGAGTTGCCAAGATTGTTGAAAATGTTGATCAGATTTTCTGTATACTTTCTGATTTTTGCCCAGTATTCTATATTAATTTTCAGATTTAGGAATTAAATTATCCAACAATTATTATTGAATTCTGTATTTCTCTTTTTAATTATATTTGTGCTTTACTTAGTTTGGGGCTATCTTGTTAAGTGTGTATACACTTATAATTGTTATGTCTTTAAAATATATTGGCCATTTATCATTAGGTAATATCCTTCTCTGTCACTAGTAATATTCTTGTCTTAATGTCTATGTTGTCTAATATAAAAATAGCCGCTCCAGTTCTTTTATGGTGACTGTTTAGATAGTGGATTTTTGTCTTTTTCCATTCTTTTACTTTCTACCTATTTGTGTTTTTTAATCTATTATGTGCCTCTCCTACACAGCACATAGTTGGATCCTGATTTTTTTATTCAGGATGACAATCTCTGCCTTCGAACGTGAGTTCTCAGCCCATTCACATGTAATGTAATTATTAATATGGTTGGATTTATTTATTTATTTTTGTTATTATTACTTCTTGAGACAAGATCTAACTCTGTCACCCAGGCTAGAGTGCAGTGGTGTCACCACTGCTCTCTGCAACCGCCACCTCCCAGGATCAAGTTATCCTCCTTCCTTAGCCTCTCAAGTAGCTGGGACTACAGGCTATGCCACCACACCCAGCTAATTTGTGTATTTTTTGGTAGAGACAGGGTTTCACCATGTTGGCCAGGCTGGTCTCAAACTCCTGAGCTCAAGTAATTCACCCACCTCAGACTCCAAAAAGCTGGGATTACAGGTGTGAGCCACCACTCCTGACCTGATATGGCTGAATTTACACTTGCCATTTGATTCATGTCTTGTTTATTCATTTGTTTCTCTGTTCCTCCTTTTCTGCCTTTTTTTGTGCTAAGTAAAAATATTTAGTTTAACATATTAATATATCTTGATATATTGCTACATTTACTTGTCATTTTCTTAGCAACTAATCTAATTTAGTGACATCATAATCTGCCTGAGATTAACAGTAACTTAATTCCTATAAAGCAGCAGTCCCCAACATTTTGGTACCAGGAACCAGTTTCATGGAAGATGGAAGACAATTTTACCAATGCGGAGATTGGAGATGGAGGTGGGGGGAGGGTTTCCACACAAAACTGCTCCACCTCAGATCAGGCATTAGTTAGAATCTCATAAGAAGCCTGCAACCTAGATCCGTTGCATGCACTGTTCACAATAGTTTGCGCTCCTGTGAGAATCTAATGCCTTGATCTGCCAGGAGGTGGAGCTCAGGTGGTAATGCCTGCTCACCTGCCACTCACCTCCTGCTGTGTGTCCCAGGCTCTTAACAGGCCGCTGTCTGGCACTGGTCTGCAGCCTGGGGGTTGGGGACCCCTGCTATAAAGTACAAAAATTTTGTTCTATTATAGTTTATTTTCTCTCCCATCTATTGCACTGTAGCTGTGTAGGTAAATATAAGTTCTTTCTTAAACTTTTATTTTAGGTTCAGGGGTACATGTGGAAGTTTGTTATTTAGGTAAATGGTGCATCACAGAGGTTTGGTGAAGAGATTATTTCATTGCCCAGGTAATAAACATAGTACCTGATAGGAAGTTTTTTGATCCTCACCCTTCTCCCACTCTCCACCCTTAAATATACCTTGGAGTCTATTTTTCCCTTCTTTGTGTGCATGTATACTCAATTTTTCACTCCCACTTAGAAATGAGAACATGCAGTATTTGGTTTTCTGTTCCTGTGTTAGTTTGTGTAGGATAAGGGCCTCCCACTCCATATTGCTGCAAAGGACATGATCTTGTTCCTTTTTATGGCTACATAGTGTTCCATGCTGTATATATACCACATTCTTTTTATCCAATCTACCATTAATGGACATTTAGGTTGATTCCATGTTCTTGCTATTGTGAATAGTGCTGTGAGGAACATATGCATGCATGTGTCCTTATGGTGGAATGTTTTATGTTCCTTTGGGCATATACCTAATAATGGGATTGCTGGGTCTACTGGTAGTTCTGTTATAAGTTCTTTAAGAAATCACTAAACTGCTTTTCACCATGGCTGAACTAATTTACATTCCCACCAGCAGTGTATAAGCATTTCCTTTTCTCCACAATCTCAGCAACATGTTATTTTTTGACTTTTTAATAATAGCCATTCTGACTGATGTGAAATAGTATTTCATTGTGGGTTTGATTTGCAATTCTACAATGATTAGTGGTGTTGAGCACTTTTTTTCATATACATGTTGGCTGCATGTATGTCTTTGAATAGTTTCTGCTCACATCCTTTGCCCACTTTTTATTGGGGTTTTATGCTTGTAAATTAGTTTAAGTTCCTTAAAGATTCTGCATATTAGACCTTACTCAGATACTGATATGGTTTGGCTGTGCCCCACCCAAATCTCAACTTGAATTGTATTTCCCAGAATTCCCAGGTGTGGGAGGGATCCAGGGTGATGTAATTGAATCATGGGGGCCCGTCGTTCCCATGCTATTCTTGTGATAGTGAAAAAGTCTCATAAGATCTGAGACTTTTATCAGAGGCTTTTATCAGGGGTTTCTCAGGGGTTTCTGCTTTTGCTTCTTCCTCATTTTTCTCTTGCCACCACCATGTAAAAAGCAAATTTCGCCTCCCACCATGTTGCTGAGGCCTCCCCAGACATGTGGAAGTATAACTCCAGTTAAACCTCTTTTTCTTCCAAGTGTCAGGCATGTCTTTATCAGCTGCATGAAAACAGATTAATACAGTAAATTAGTACCAGTAGAGTGGGCGTTGCTGAAAAGATACTCGAAAATGTGGAAGGGATTTTGGAACTGGGTAACAGGCAGAGGTTGGAACAGTTTGGAGGGCTCAAAAGAAGATAAGAAAATGTGGGAAAGTTTGGAACCTCCTAGAAACTTGTTGAATGGGTTTAACAAAAATGCTAATAGTGATATGAACAATAAGGTGCAGCCTGAGGTGGTCTCAGATGGAGATGAGGAACTCATTAGGAACTAGAGCAAAGGTGACTCTTGTTATGTTTTAGCAAAGAGACTGGTGGCATTTTGCCCCACCCTCGAGATTTGTGGAACTTTGAACTTGAGGGAGGTGATTTAGGGTATCTGGCAGAAGAAATTTCTAAGCAGCAAAGTATTCAAAAGGTGACTTGGATGCTGTTAAAAGCATTCCATTTTAAAAGGGAAACAGACCATAACAGTTCAGAAAATTTGCAGCCTGACAATGGAGTAGGAAAGAAAACCCCATTTTTTTGAGAAGAAATTCAAGTCAGCTGCAGAAATTTGTGTAAGTAGCAAAGAGCCTAATGTTACTTCCAAAGACCATGGGGAAATATCTCCAGGCCATGTCAGAGACCTTCCCAGCAGCCCCTCACATCACAGGCCTGCAGGCCCAGGAGGAAAAAGTGGTTTTGTGCGCCAGGCCAAGGGTCCCCGTGCAGCCTAGGGACTTGGTGCCCTGTGTCCCAGATGCTCCAGCCATGGCAGAAAGGGGACAATGTAGAGCTCAGACCGTGGCTTCAGAGGGTGGAAGCCCCAAGCCTTGGCAGCTTCCACATGGTGTTGAGTGTGTGGGTGCACAGAAGTCAAGAATTGGGTTTGGAAATCTCCACCTAGATTTCAGAAGGTGTACAGAAATGCCTGGATGCCCAGGCAAAAGTTTGCTGCAGGGGCAGGGCCCTCATGGAGAACCTCTGCTAGAGCAGTGTGGAAAGGAAATGTGGAGTCAGAGCCCGCACACAGAGTCCCTACTGGGGCATATCCTACTGGAGCTGTGAGAATAGGGCCACCATCCTCCAGACCCCAGAATGGTATATCCACTGCTTGCACTGTGAACCTGGAAAAGCCACAGACACTGAATGCCAGCCCATGAAAGCAGACAGGAGGAAGGCTGTACCCTGCAAAGCCACAGGGGTGAAGCTGCCCAAGACCATGGGAACCTACCTTTAGCATCAGCATAATCTATAAGTGAGACATGGAGACAAGGAGATCATTTTGGAGCTTTAAAATTTGACTGCCCCACTGGATTTTGGACTTGCATGGGCTCTCTAGCCCCTTTGTTTTAGCCAATTTATCCCATTTGGAATGGCTGTCATTACCCAATACCTGTACCCTCATTGTAGCTAGGAAGTAACTAGCTTGCTTGTGACTTTACAGGCTCACAGGTGGAAGGGACTTGCCTTGTCTCAGATGAGACTTTGGACTGTGGACTTTTGGGTTAGTGCTGAAATGAGTTAAGACTTTAGGAAACTGTTGTGAAGGCATGATTGGTTTTGAAATGTGAGGACATAAGATTTGGAAGGGCCAGGGGTGGAATGATATGGTTTGGCTGTGTCCCCACACAAATCTCAACTTGAATTATTTCCCCAGAATTTCCATGTGTTGTGGGAGGCATCCAGGGGGACATAACTGAATCATGGGGGGCAGTCTTTCCCATGCTATTCTTATGATAGTGAATAAGTATCACAAGATCTGATGGGTTTATCAGAGTCTTCTGCTTTTGCTTCTTCCTGATTTTCCTTTGCCACCACCATGTAAGATGTGCCTTTCATCTCCTGCCATGATTCTGAGGCCTCCCCAGCCATGTGGAACTGTAAGTCCAATTAAACCTCCTTTTCTTCCCAGTCTCAGTTATGTCTTTATCAGCTGCATGAAAACGGACTAATATAGATGTCTAGTTTGCAAATATTTTTTCCCATTCTGTAGGTTATCTGTTTACTCTTTCGATAGTTTCCTTTGCTGTGCAGAAGCTCTTTAATTTAGGTCCCATTTATCAATTTTTGCTTTTGTTGCTATTTGCCTTTGGTATCTTCATCATGAAATCTTTGCCAGGTCCTATGTCCATAATGGTGTTTCCTAGGTTATCTTCCAGGGTTTTTATAGTTTGCAGTTTTACATTTAAGTCTTTGATCCATCTTAAGTTGATTTTTGTACATGGTGTAATGAAGGGGTCCAGTTTCAATCTACTGCATATGACTAACCAGTTATCCTAGGACCATTTATTGCATAGGGAGTCCTTTCTTCGTTGCTTACTTTTGTCAACTTTGTCAAAGATCAGATAGCTGTAAGTGTGGGGCTTTATTTCTATGCTCTCTATTCTGTTCCATTGGTTTATATGTCTGTTTTTGTACCAGAACTATGCCACTTTGGTTATTATTCCTCTGTATTATACTTTGAAGTTAGGTAATCTGATGCTTCCAGCTTTGTACATTTTGCTTTGGATTGCTTTGTCCACTAAGGCAATTTTTTGGTTGCATATGAATTTTAGAATAGTTTTTCTCTAATTCTGTGAAAAGTGGCATTGATAGTTTGATAGGAATAGCATTGAATCTGTAAATTGCACTGGGCAGTATGGCCATTTTAACAATATTGATTCTTCCTATCCATGATGATGGAATGTTTTTCCATTTGTTTGTGTCAACTCTGATTTCTTTCAGCAACGTTTTGTACTTCTCCTTGTGGAGATTTTTCGCCTTCTTAGTTAGCTCTATTCCTAGGTATTTTATTTTGTGTGTGTGGCTATTGTAAATGGGGTTGCATTGTTGATTTAACACTCAGCTTGGATGTTGTTTGTGCATAGAATTGCTACTGACTTTTGTACATTGATTTTGTATTCTGAAACTTTGCTGAAGTTGTTTATCAGATTTAGGAGCTTTTGGGCAGAAATTACGGGGTTTTCTAGGTAGAAAATCATATTGTCTGCAAACAGAAATATTTTGACATCTTCTTTTCTTATTTGGATGCCTTGTATTTTTTTGTCTTGCTTGATTGCTCTGGCTAGGGCTTTTAGTACTATGTTGAATAGCAGTAGTGAGAGTGAGCATTCTTGTCTTGCTCCAGTTTTCAAGGGGAATGATTCCAGCTTTTGCACATTCTGTATGATGTTGGCTCTGGGTTTGTCATAGATGGCTCTTACTATTTTGAGGTATGTTTCTTCAATGCCTAGTTTGTTGAGAGGTTTTAACATGATGTTTAATTTTACTGAAAGATTTTTCTGCATCTATTGAGATGATCATGTGTTTTTTGTTTTCAGTTCTGTTTATGTGATGAGTCACATTTATTGATTTGCATGTGTTGAAACAATCTTGCATAAAGCCTACTTGGTCATGGTGGATTAGATGTTTGATGTGCTGCTGGATTCGGTTTGCTAGTATTTTGTTGAGGATTTTTGCATCTATGTTTATCAAGTATATTAGCCTGCAGTTCTCTTTTTCTATTGTGTTTCTGCCAGGTTTTGGTATCAGAATGATGCTGGCCCCATAAAATGAGTTAGGGAGGAATCCCTCCTCCTCAATTTTTTGGAATATGTTCAGTAGGAATGGTACTAGCTTTTCCTTGTACATCTGGTAAAATTTACCAGTAAATACATCTGGTCCTAGGCTTTTTCTGGTTGGTAGGCTTTAATTACTGATTCAATTTCAGAACTTTTTATTGTTCCACGCTGGGATTCAATTTATTCCTGCTTCAATCTTGGGAGGTTTTATGTTTACAGGTATTTACCCATTTATGCTAGGTTTTCTGGTCTGTGTTCATAGGGGTGTTCATAATAGTAGGTCCGAGGGTTTTTGCCTTTCTATGGAGTCAGTGATAATGTCCTCTTTGTCATTTCTGATTGTGTTTATCTGGACCTTCTCCCTTTTTTCTTTTTAGTAGTCTAGCTATGGTCTATCAACCTTATTTATTCTTTCAAATAATCAGTGCCTGGATTTGTTGATCTTTTGAATGGTTTTTCTTGTCTCAATTTCCTTCAGTTCAGCTATGATTTTGGTTATCTTGTCTTCGATAGCTTTGGGGTTGGTTTGCTCTTAGTTTTCTAGTACCTCTAGGTGTGATGTTGGGTGCCTAACTTGAGATCTTTCTAACTTTTTGATGTGGGTGTTTGGTGCTATAAACTTTCCTCTTTATGCTGCTTTAACCATGTCCCAGAGAATCTGGTATGTTGTAAATTTTTTCTCGTTAGTTTCAAAGAATTTGACTTGTCTTAATTTTATTGTTCACCCAAAAGTCATTCCAGAGCAGGTTGTTTAATTTCCATGTAATTGTATGGTTTTGAGTGATTTTCTTAGTACGACTTCTACTTTTATCACGCTGTGGCCTGAGAGTGTGTTTGGTATGATTTCAATTCTTTTGCATTTGCTGAGGATTGTTTTATAGGTGATTATCAATTTTGAGTATATGCCATGTGTAGGTGAGAAGAATCTATATTCTCTTATATTTGGGTAATGAGTTTTGTAGATATCTGCGAGGTCCATTTGGATAAGTGTTGACTTCAGAGCCTGAATATCTTTGTTAGTTTTCTGCCTCGATGATCTGTCTAATTCCGTCAGTGGGGTGTCTCCCACTACTATTTTGTGGTTATCTAAGTATCTTCTTAGGTCTCTAGGAACTTTTTCATGAATCTGGGTGCTTCTATGTTTGGTGCATATATATTTAGGTTTGGTCCTCTTGTTGAATTGAGCCCTTTACCATCATGTAATGCCATTTTTTTGTCCTTTTTTTTTTTTTTTATCTTTGTTGGTTTAAGGTCTGTTTTTTTTTTTCTGAAATTATAATAGCAACACCTGTCTCATTATCTTTTTCTATTTACTTGGTAGATTTTCCACCATCCCTTTACTTTGAGCAAGTTGAGTCTTGCTCCTTTATCCAACTGCCCACTCTGTGTCTTTTATTTGGGCATTTAGCCCATTTGCGTTCAAGGTCAATATTGATATGGGCAGATTTGATCCTGTCATCATGTCATTAGCTGGTTAACATGCAGACATGATTTTGCTGTGGCTTTATTGTGTGAATGATATATGTACTTAAGTGTGTTTTTGTGGTGACCACAGAAACTCTCCTTTCTATATTTAGCACTCCTTCAAGGATCTCTTGTAAGTCAGGTCTGGTGGTAATGAATTCCCTTAGCATTTGCTTGTCTGAAAAGGACCATATTTCTCCTTCACTTATGAAGCTTAGTTTAAGCAGATAAAAAATTCTTGGTTGGAATTTATTTTATTTAAAAATGTTAAATATGGGCCTCCATTCTCTTCTGGCTTGTAGGATTTCTACAGAAAGGCTCACTGTGAGCCGGATGGGGTTCGCTTTGTAGGTGGCTTGCCCCTTATATCTAGCTGACTTTAACATTTTTTTCTTTTATTTTGACCATGGAAAATCTGATGACTGTGTGTCTTCAGGATGATCATTTTGTTAGTCAGGGTTCTCTAGAGGAACAGAACTAATGGTACATATATCTATTGATGGATTCTCCAATTTATTTACTCTTTCTTCTACCATCTCAGAGCTGCTGTTAAGCCCCTCTAGTAAAGTTTTCATTTTAGATATTATGCTCTCCAAAGAGAGAATTTCCTTTTGTTTTTTTTAAATAGTTTTAAAAATAAAAACTATCTTTATCAAGATCTAGTTATTAAACAAGTGCCATCATGCTGTCATTCAATTCTTCAATTGTTTAAACTTGTTTTTCTTTAATTCTTTGAACATAATATAATAGCTCCTTTGAAACCTTTGTCTTTTAAATGCATCATCCAGGTAAACTCACAAACACTCTCTAATTTTTCCTTTTTACTGATTATGGCTGTATTTTTCCATTTCTTTCCCTTTCTCATAATTTTGTTGAAAGTGAACATTTCAATCAAAAATGTATCATAAACACTCCAGATTCAAATACTTCCCTCCTTGGGGTTGTAGTTATTGCTGTTTATTTGTTTAGCAACTTTCCTGGACTAAATCTGGGAAATATGTCTCACTTGCAGTGTGTTACTACTTATGCTTATATTTAATTTTTTTAATTCTGTTTTAATTTTTAAGATTCACTTCTTCTGCACTAGCCCCATGTTTCCATAGATTAATGGTCAGGCAGTTATATGTCATAAGCTGTGCTCAAACACTTTTATCCAAGAAAGCCTTCAACCTTCTTTCCAAGTATATGAGTGCTGGTTAGAGAGCACATTAAAAGTTCAGAAGTTTTCAGGGACACTCCAGGTTTTACTTTCCATCAGGCCCTCTTGCTTTTTACCTGTGCATGCAGACCACCACTTTTCAGATATGTGAAAAGTCTAGACCTTGTTCAGTCTCCCATGCACATTTACAGACTTCCAGTTAATTGAAGATGCAAAAAAGTATAACAAGCCCTCCTACGGCTACCTCATTTTTTGGATCTCACCGTTAAATTTCTGTCTAGTTCACTTGTCTTCTGCTTGCTGCAGCCATGATGATGATCTCAGACTAGCAGAACTATTGGCCTTCACTGGTGCCTTGTCATCAAAATCACTAATTTTACTGACAACACTGCTGAGCATTGGACTTTTCACCTTCCACTCAGAAAAGAGAGGCACCTCCAGCGGTGAAGCTTCTGGTTTTCCTGGCCTTCCCCATAATGGTAAAATTACTGCACCATTCAAACTGAGAGGAAAGGGAATAGCCCCAGGCAAGAATGAGACTGATTCTCACTGTATTTACACAATGTTCAATAATTTTTCATGAATTCACACTTCTCACTTTGTTGTCTTTGGTAGATTTCCAGTTATGAAATGGTTGTTTTTGACAATCTGTCCAATTTTATAGTTACTTTTTGAGGAGAGAATTTGCTGATCTTGTCTTTGAAAATTCTGATCTAAAGATCAGAATTTGCTGATCTTTCTATATCTGAGATGGAACTTTTAGTGTAGCTCCTTCTTGTGCCATACTAAAAGTTCCACCTTAGATATGACATTTTTATCTAAAGTCAAGGGCTATCTTATATTTGTGTTGCTGCTTTCAAGCAAAGTACTTCTATGTTTATGGTTTGTCTTCACTTAAATAAGATTCTTAAAGGAAGTAATTTCCAGTTCCATTACCCAGTTGAATGAGGACAACTCAGTAGTAAAAACAAGCACCAATTATCTAAATGAAAAGTTCAAGCTGTGAACTTATCTTCAGGGCTAAATGCAATGATTTGAAGAGCAGTCATGAGTGACAAAGTATACAAGCAGGACAAAATAGATACTCTGGAGGTGCTTTTATGTTGTTCACTATAAACTAAAGACAGATAGATTACAGATAGACAATATATGTATGTAAAAAAATAACATCTTATGTATGTGTGTATTTATAATATATAATCATATAATTTACTCAGACTATAGCTGGGATTGAATGCAGGTCATTGAATTAACTGGAATAAGTTACTCTGAACAGATACAGTGATTTTATTCTTGAAACAATTATCAAGTATAATCCTATTAACTGAGAATATAGCATGTTTAATATAGTTTTGTTAAACATTGTTGATGTACATTTATCACAACAAAAATGCTGCTCTATAAGAAGTAGATAACGTTATGTGGTTAGCAAGAAAATTAAAGATTTACAGTAATTTGATTTTTTTTAAATGAAAAGCAACTAAAAATTGAGGGAAGTAAGCAATTTGAAAAATCTATTACTCTCACATATTGCTAAGAATGTGGGAAAATCATGAGACCTCTCTATATGCTGGTGGAAGAATAAATTTTTACATCCACTTTAAAGAGCATTTTAGCACTATCTAATGAAGTTTTTTAAAAGCACAACATACAACCCATAATTCCATTTCTTCCAGGGAGATAAATACAAAGAAATCTCAATTAAACTGAATGAACTATATCTAAACATATTAAAACAGACAGATTTAAAACATAAGTGGGAAAAAATAAGTTGTAGAAAGATATTAAGTATGTTTCCATTTATACATTTTTAAATGTATATTGTTTATGGGTATGAACATAAGATGTTAAGGTTTAATAACAGAGAGTGGAGGAACATAGCTCCAAATTTATAACAGAGGTTTACTCTCAAGGAGGACATAAGAAAAATATAGCATTGAAAAGAAGTAGAAAGGGAACTTCCCATGTGCCAGTAAAGTTTTATAAATTAAGAAAAAAATAACCTGGATTAACTCCCACTGATAGTATGGAGGTGTGGGTTATATTTTTACATGTATATTTCTGTATTTTTTAAATATCTAACTTTTTAAAATGTGGTAAGATAATTTTGAAAGCAAATGGCACTATAAAATAAATGACTCTTTGGTGTACCCTTCTAAATTACCAGCTAATAATACCAACTAATACATTTCCAAGGTAGTGCCTTAAGGAATATTAACAGGTGATAGAAATTTTAATAAGCCCATCTATACCAACTCTTCTCTAGCACTTATATTAACACATTACTTACATTTAGCATGTAACTACTTAAGACACTCCATATGATGCAAAAGGCATTTACATAGAGAGCCAATTAAAGCAAAACTTGACATATTATTTCTTCGTTAAAAATATGCCTTCACCACAGTTTAGGAGATCATAGGTTTCTTTTATTCTTTCACTATTTCCAAATAAAATGCTGCACTAAAGTCAGCACACTTTTTGGCTGACAATTTGCCTTCAGTGCCCATGCCTCACCAAAGCCTACCTTACCCTATATACACCTTATTCCATAGCAGTACAGTAACCCTGGATAACAATATGTTTACATCCAAAGAGTTGAAAAGGCAATTTAAACACTTTAGATAGATTAAATAACAGCTTTTTGGCTTTAAAGCATGCTTATTTTTAACCTGATCTAGGAGTCAGGAGACCTAAGTCATAACTCTGGATTTCTAGTTTAGAAACCTGAGCTGATTTGGGACTTGTCTCTAAGGGGGATGGGGGAAGAAGCAGAAGAACAGGTAACTTTAGTTCCCTTCCAGACATAAAATACTTTTCAAGTTATCTGGACAAGTCATTTAACATGGCTGTGCCTAAAGTTCTTTATCTTTAACATACTAGCCAACTTACCTAGAATGATTAGTGTAAAATTAAGAGATAACACATAGAAAGTGCATGGAACAATGTTTCGCATATGACAAGCGCTTAGTAAGTGTTAGCTATGATCATTAACATCATCCTCATCATCACCATCACCATCTCCATCATCCTCACTATTTGTGTTATATCATTAAGAGTTTTCTGTTGCTGTTGTTGTTTGGTTTGTTGTTGTTGTTGTTTGGTTTGTTGCTGTTGTTGTTGTTTGGAGATGGAGTTTTGCTCTTGTTGACCAGGCTGGCAGGCAATGGCGTGATCTCATTTCACTGCAACCTCCACCTCCCAGATTCAAGCAATTCTCCTGCCTCAGCCTCCTGTGTAGCTGAGATTATAGGCATGTGCCACCACGTCCCACTAATTTTATATTTTCAGTAGAGATGGGGTTTCGTTATATGGGTCAGGCTGGTCTCAAACTCCTGATCTCAGGTGATCCACCCACCTCGGCCCCCCAAAGTGCTGGGATTACAGGCATGAGCCACAGTGCCCGGCCACACTGAGAGTTTTAATAACCCAAAAACTTAGTTTTATAAAAATCATTTGAAACATTCACTTATTTATTGCATCTTTCAACATATTAATCTAACTACTTTAAACTTTCCGTATTTTTATTTAGATAAGGGATGCAAATCCAAAGAATAAAATATTTATGATAGCAATTATAACAAACATCCTTCAATTCCTCTGTGGAAAGAAAAACCAGAACATAAATGCACAAATGTATTCAGTATGAAATGATAGTGTTTCACTGGTATGCTTCTAGTAGAGGAAAATAAAGTTATGAGTAAATGGACAATGAAATATACAGGACTGATCCTCACTTAATTCATCAGTTTTATGTTGCTTAACCATTTATTTCACCTTTATTACTAGAACTGTTGTCATGTCACTTCCTATAAAAGAACAAATTTCTTCCATTTTTTCCCGTATTCACAAGTAATCTTCCCTTCATTATCTCAAATTATAATTAGAGGAAGAAATGATATTTCTATAAGAATGTTCAACCTGACCAAGTGCAGGAGCCAGAATCTTTCAACACAATTGACAAAGGACTACAATCCATCTCCTTACTGTACAGTTTATGCTACTTATAATCTGTGTTAATAGGATTGTTTCACTAAGGCTCATTTAGTTGTGTGGCAGAAGCGTTTACTACACACTGCAATCCATGTGAGCCCCACCTTTCAGAGCCCTCCTGCAGTTTGACAATACTATTGAACTAACTCTGGACAACAGACTGTGTACAAAAATGATGTGTGTCCACTCCAGACTGAGGCATTTAAAAGCCAATGTATAGCCCTTCTGCTCCCTTTCTCTGCTGTGGCAGCAGTGGAATCCATTTATTGAGAAGGCAAAGTCACAAGATTAAAACAGCCTTGAGCTCTAGGTTTACCTTTAGAAGGGAGCTATTTTTGATAGCTGCAGATCCTATGTAAGAGAGAAATTAGCTTTTATATGTTAAACCACAATAATTTTAGGTTTGTTTTCCTTTTTTTGTCTTTTTTTATTTTTTGAGGAAGGGTCTCACTCTGTTGTTCAGGCTGGTGTGCAGTAGTGCAATCACTGCTCACTGCAGCCTCAACTTTCCAGGCTCAAGCAAGAAACCCCACCTCAGCCTCCTGAGCAGCTGAGACTACAGGCATGTGCCACCATGCCAACTAATTTATTTTTATTTTTTGTAGGGACGGGGTCTCCGTATATTGCCCAGGCTGGTCTTGAACTCCTGAGCTCAAGTGATCCTCCTACCTCAGCCTCCCAAAGTGCTAGGATTACAGGAATGAGCCACCACACCCAGCTAGGTTTGTTTTCTTAACAGAACATAGTTACAAAGTAGGGAGAAAGATTCAAGCTAGCAGAAGCACAAAAAAGACTTATGATAAGGACACATGTAAATAGAAATTAGAACTGAAAGGTCATCAGTCATAGAAGTAAGTTCTCAAAATCATTTCTAAATCTGTTAATTTCCTTCACACTTATTTCAAGGCCCATAGAAGAAATTTTGAAGTGCTGTAAGTGGCCCTTTCCACAAGCTGCCATTGTCATATACTTTATGTTCATGTCATATACTTTATGTTCATATTTATGAAGATGACATGAACTAGTAGTGTTCCTTGAATACCCTGGATTAGTCACCTTAATGAACTTATGGTGGAACATTGCTATGGAAAGGAGAAAAGAGAATTCAAAAAATATCGTTTCCCATCTCTTCCTCTTCCACATTTAGGTATGGATTGGGAATTAGGACCATTAAATGTAATACAGATATAATATGAAAAAAATAAATGAAAGAAAATAGATTAGCAGATTACATAACTGTGAGTTTTTCTTATATATTATTCTACCTACTAAACCACAAAAAGGATTTGTGGGTGTTTTAATGCTTTCTGAAGATTACTTAAGCACTAACATTAAAAGTAAATGTGTGTTGGGGTCAGCAGTAAGTTATTCTATTCTAAAATAACTTCAACAATTATCCTTTATAACTGTTCTCTGCTATAAATCCTAATTATTAGTTGTCCTATAATTCAATAAAGGTTTAAGAGCAAGTAAAGTTGTCTTTAGATTTCCAAATTAGTATTTGGCGTGATCTGTTACAGTCCACTTTCGACCCAGATCAAAATTTTCAAAATATGATATTAATTTTACTTTTTCTATTTTTAAAATTTATTATATTTTGAATAAAAGGAGAGAGAGAGGAAGAGCATTAGATCCCAAAGACATATTATTTTATCTACTAAGAGGGTTTATATTGTGATGAATACAGTGCTCTATAAATTTTTAATGGGTTACAGGCTAATCAAATGACAAAGATTATGCTTTCTACAAATTGTAGTCATTCTACATGATTACTTTTAATTTATTTTAATAATATGATGTCATAGATATGTGGAGAATTCCAACTTCTAGTCTTCAGAAAGAAGGTATTTCTTGCATGATTAAAGAACAGCAAAACAAAACAAAAAACTTCTGAAGACTTATTTCTACTGGTCCCTTTAGCTAGGAGAAAATGTGTACAATCAAGAGTACATGTAAACATCAAAAGATCTTCAGCTCAAATGACACCTAGTTTTCTGCCAAGATCAATTCTATAATCTTCAAGTCACAATTTTATTCTATTTGAAGAGGGCAGTGCAAAGCACAGTTTGTCTAATTAACATCCTTCCCTAGTTTGGCTCTCAATACTGCTGCTGTCAATTAGCACTTCGATACCCATCACCTCTGCAGGCTCCAGCTAAGCCTAGCCAGGTCCTAATCCCACTGCTCTCCTGAGGACACCGCTTTACTGTGGCTGCCCCCACCATCAATCACTTCAAATGCTTAATGTTAACCACTAAGAGTCACAAACCCTCTGTCTCTCTGAAAGAAGATATTTCTTCTTTAACAAAATGGTTCTTTTCATACATTAAGAGATATTACTCCCTTTTTATTTGGCACCTGAAATGGTAACATTACCTTTTCAGAGTCAGATTTCCCCAGATAATGAGGTTTTATCACATCCACAAGGTACTGGACAAGAAGCATCTCATGTGCCGCCATTTTGTGAAGCATTCTGTTTTTCTTGTCAATACCAACACCCAGAAGAAATCCTCAATCTTTCAAGAGCTCTCTTGTTAAATGATGAATGAACAGACTTCATGTTAATTCATTGCTTTCATGTTCAGGAAACTAGAAAGTTCCTTCAGAAGAAAACCATCTTGTTACCTTCTCCCATGTGATCATTTGGCCTGTCATAGTTTTAAAAGTCTTTACTATGACTCGTTACCTATACAATAAAATTTCAAGTTTAAGATATTTATAAGTCACTGTGAATTTCATCCACTGTCATTAAAATTTTTCAAATGTGGAAGCCTTGTCAAGCTATTTTAGGCTCACCATTGTGTTCCCTATGGTTTTTATGAGGATTATTATTATTATTATTATTATTTATTTTTTGAGATGGAGTCTCTCTGTGTCTCCCAGACTGGAGTGCAGTGGTGTGATCTCAGCTTACTGCAACCTCCGCCTCCCAGGTTCAAGAGATTCTCCTGCCTCAGCCTCCTGAGTAGCTGGGACTACAGGCGCATGCCACCACGCTGTGCTAATTTTTTGTATTTTTAGTAGAGTCGGGATTTCACCGTGTTGGCCAGGATGGTCTCTATCTCCTGACCTCAGGATCTGCCTGCCTCAGCCTCCCAAAGTGCTGGGATTACAGGCATGAGCCACCGCACCCAGCCAAGGATTATTTAAGGTAAAGGAATGTGTGTTAAATATGCCCTAGCATGCAAAAAAAAAAAAAACAATATTAGTTATTACAACTTATTATTATCCCAATCCTACTTCATTTGTAGTGTCAGGTTCTACCTATTATAATCTATATCTAATTTAATATCAATTAGATATTTGATAAAACAAAAAATACTTTTAATTTTATTTCATGCTTTCTTTTAAATATAAAGCCTTAAATGAGCTAAAAACCTAATTTATAAAGCATTTATCAAATGTCTAATAGTATTAGCTAAATTATCCTTAAAGTTTTATTAAATTATATTATTTCTCTCTTGTAGTAGATTGAATGGTAGTCCCCCAAAAGATGCGTCCACTTGTGAATGGTACCTTATTTGGATAAAGGGTCTTTGCGAAGGTAATTAAATCAAGGATGTTGAGATGAGATCATTCTGAATTAGGATGGACTCCAAATCCAGTGACAAGTTTCCTCAGAAGAGTGAAAGATGTGAAGATAGAGGCAGAAATTAGACTAATGAATCTCCAAACCAAAATATACCAAGGACTGCCAGCAGCTAGTGGAGAAACATGGAACAGATTCTCCTTCAGAGCTTCCAGAAACAATGAACACTACCAATACCTTGATTTGAGACTTAGTCTTCCAGAATTATGAAAGAATAAAATTACTGCTGTTCTAAACCACCAAATTTGTGGTAATTTGTTACAGTAGGCCTAGAAAGTGAATACATTAAATTCATGTCATTAAGTGTATGTCTGTTTATTTCTAAGGGTCATATTTTTTTATCTACCCTATCTGTGAGTTTATTATGTGCTTCAATGAAACAAATAAGTGAATTATTATTAATATCATTGTTCTTGTTGTTGTTATAGCTATATTTTACGAAGACTAACCATAATGCAGATACTCTATATCCATGCTTTATTCCCTTAATATAGACAATATTATCCACATTTTACAGATAAGAGAACAGACTCAGAGAGATAAAAATAACTTGCCCAAATTTACACAATTAGTGAGTAATAATCAAATTTCAAACACAGAGCCATCCCTCTCCAAAACGTCGGTTCTATAGTTTTCTCTTTTATCAAATGAATGATGCCTTGATGTAAGTGATCTACAGCAACTCCTAGATTTTCATGTTTAATCTGTGACGTGCCCGTGAATGCAAACAGCAGGCTACACACTTGTTTCCCCTCTAGACCCCAGCCCAGCTTTTCAGCCCGCCTCATATCTGTTCTCCTTGCACAGCAACCTATCTGCAAAAGAAAACTGACCCAATGGTATCACTAACACCTCTTTATTCCCTGCTCAGGGCCATTCTATGCTCGGTTAATCCCATACGTGCACACTCTTTCTTTCCAAATATTTTTGTTTGTGACAAAATAAAAAGAATATCCTTTCATGGATCCCCTGACCTCCATTTCTTCTCTAATGCTTATTCTTCCTTCTTAAGTTAACAAGAATGTAACTAAGGCTAAAAGAATTCTAGCTATCCAACTTAACCATGATCCAATCAGGGCTATGGTATAGCTGAATTGTATCCCCTCCAAAATCCATATGTTGAAGCTCTAGCCCCCAGTATTTCAGAATTGACCTTATTTGGAGATAGAGTCTTTTAAAAACATTTGTATAAATTTAAAGGGTACAAGTGTAGTTTTGTCTTTGAGATAATTCAAGTAAAATGAGGTTACCAGTATGACTGGTGTCCTTATAAGAGGAGATTAGGACACAAACATGTGGCCATACAGAAGAAAGACTTTATGAGGACACAGTGAGAAGGTGACCATCTGCAAGCTAAGGACAGAGATCCCAGAAGAAACACCCTGCCAACCTTGATCTTGGAATTCTAGACACCAGAACCTTGAGAAAACAAATTTTTGTTGTTTAAGCCAACCAGTCTGTAGTATTTTGTTATGGCAGCCCTAATAAACTAGAACAGGCTAGAAGAATTCTAACAATTCACATGTTTTAAGGAATATAAGAGTTATGTTAGAAAATGACATCAAATATATGTATAAAGAGATCATATCTATCTTCAATGTGTAATATCTATAAAAGTGTTCAAAAATCTCTTTCAAAAACTCCACAGATTTCTCTATTTAATTCTGTAAACAAGTTCACTTCCCTTTGAGCACTAAATTGCAAAAAAAAGAAATGAAATAATTCCTTATTCAAGTTTAGACTTTAATTTTAATTTATGTTTCTGACTTAAATTGTTTTCATCTATTTTCTGTTTGACAAGATTTAACCTACATTGTGGACCAAATTACTTTGTGAGTTGGGCTGAAAGACAAAAATCTTAATTATAAAAATGTTTATTTGAAAAACAAGCTGTGAGTTTCAAACAACCAATTCAACATCGATTTTCCAGAATATAATCAAATGTAATTTGGGATCTACCTTATATCTTAGTATGCAAAAAGATGTATATAAACTTATAACACCTTAAAAGTATGCATAGTATATCTTAAAAGCATATTAACTGTGCATAACATGACCATAATTTTTATTACAGGGTTCCTAGATTTCCCTTTTTATTGGCACTCCCTTGAGATAAGCACTAACTGTTAAAAATACAATTCAGGCCTGGCATGGTGGCTCACGCCTGTAATCCCACCACTTTGGGAGGCCGAAGTGGGCAGAGCACGAGGTCAACCTCGTGGGCAGACCATCCTGGCCAACATGGTGAAACCCTGTCTCTAGTGAAAATACAAAAAAAATTAGCTGGGCGTGGTGGTACGTGCCTGTAATCCCAGCTACTCGGGAGGCTGAGGCAGGAGAATCACTTGAACCCGAAAGGTGGAGGTTGCAGTGAGCCGAGATCGCACCACTGCACTCCAGCCTGGTGACAGAGAGAGACTCTGTCTAAAAAAAAAAAAAAAAAAATTCAGTTAGAGACCACATTATTTAGAACGATGGTACTTTGCTATTTATTTTTACTATTATCCTTTAACTTATGGTGATAATATTGTTCTCTGACATTTTTTTGTCAGTCTCTCATCATCTACTACAGCTTTTAAGTTGTCCATCGAGATGTTTCCTGGTAAGATAACTGCTGATGTTACCTGAACTCCTGAATAGTAAGGGCTGAATTTACATTTTACTGTTTAATGCCTGGATATGTGTTTTGTTTCATGATTGATCTGTGGCATAATTAAATACCTAAATTGCTTCAAAAGGAAGTTGCTATCATTGGCATTAGTTACTGAGAACTGAATTAACCTAGGTGACATATGAGCACACTATCCCAGCTGCCAAAAAATTAACAGTGTAAAAGCAAGTCTATTTCAAATGATGAAGAAAAAAATCCCTCTCTATATTTTCTTAAAATCTGTCATTATTCACACATGTTTATAAAAGCCTCCTCCTTACTGAGGTTATTAATCTTGAGAAATCAAAAGGCAGAACATCATGCAGTCAAAGCGTGGAAAAGATATGTTCTTATTTCTCCTCCCTGTGATTGTTATTTTAATAGACACCTACCATTTTTGTCACTTTCCTTGAATGCAGTCAGATTTCACTTCTCTGCTATCACCATGTTGTGTTTTTAAAAGCCACATATTGATTTAACTTCCATGCACTACAGTTTTCAATGGTGGTGGAACTCTTCATTTATCCTCCATGTTTTACATTAATGCATTTACAGCTATAGAAAATGGAACTGCCACAATGGTAATAATACCTGTCTCTGAATTATCTCAAAAACATACTTGTGTAACTCAGAACAGGAGAAAATTTATGTTCAGATAATTGACATTTAAGTATACAGAATGCAAGACTGCCACTATTAACAAGTGGTTTATTACTTTCTTTCCTAAATAAATGTAAAGAAGTTTGTTAATTATATACTGCAAATGTGGGAAAGATATTCTTATACCTTTTGAATGTCCCCTTTTCTCTATAATTACCTTTACAGTAAGACAAGCATCCTAGTACTTCCTTAGTTGTAATAAATGCATATTCTCTAATACATTTTCCATACCCTAAATGCATCACTACTTTTTTAAAACTTACTCATCAGAAATACGCTTTTCTGTTCTAAGAGTTTCATAAGTGTAGGGGTTCGAATGTGTCGTTACATTGTAACTCTTTTCTTAGACTACACTTCCTATACAACAAATAGTCACTGACAGCCTACAATATAAAAGGTACTATTCTAAAGACTTTAATGAACTTGGAGGTAATTGACCTTGTTCCTGCTCTCTGTGGCAGCAAAACTGACACTTTGCATTGCTATCACTATAAATAAAAATGTGCAATCAGGCCGGGCGTGGTGGCTCATGCCTGTAATCCCAGCACTTTGGGAGGCCAAGGCAGGCGGATCATGAGGTCAGGAGATTGAGACCATCCTGGCTAACATGGTGAAACCCCATCTCTACTAAAAATACAAAAAAATTAGCTGGACGTGGTGGCAGGCGCCCATAGTTCCAGCTACTCGGGAGGCTGAGGCAGGAGAATGGCATGAACCTAGGAGGCAGAGCTTGCAGTGAGCTGAGATTGCACCACTGCACTCCAGTCTGGGCAACAGAGGGAGACTCTGTCCCCCACCGCCCCCCAACAAAAAAAAAAAAGAAGTGCAATCATCCCACAGCCAACAGTAGGGTGTGCTGGGCAGATGAACACTGTACTTTGAGATAAACTAAAAATAATAAGTACACTAACTAGTTCTTCAGAATGAATGGGATCTTCAGCACTTCCTATAAGTTCCTGACTTCCTATAAGAACAACTATATCCCTGACTTTTATAATGCTAATGTCTGAAGATATATAATTGTGGAAATGGTAATCATATGATAAAATTATTACATTTTCCATCATGAACAACCTAATAACATTTGGTAACTGGTAATCTGATAGGGTTTATTGTTTTATTTTGTTTTTTTTCTGTAAATGCTTCTTGCACTTTTTACTCGAAGAGCTAGTTCTCCTAAAGTCTGAATTCAGAACTGAATTCTAAAGTAACCTCCATGTACTGAATTATGGACAATCCCAGATACATCAGAAACTCAGAATTCTGTTTACCTGTATAACAATGTAGCATATTAATGTTAAAGAAAAAAAACATTTATGACATTTGTTAAAGATGGAAGGCAGACAGTATTCACGGAGTGTCATGGCCAATAGTTGTAGGGGCCACTGCAACCAGGTCTTGCAGTGGAGGAGAGAGATTGGACTCAACTCCAGCTCTGACAAAGACAAGTGGGGATTTACAACCAAGAAGTAAGATGGGGTCAGTGGATGCAAAATTCCTGAAACATCAAGGATAACTGGTTTCTGGCCAAGCTGACTCGACAGAATTATTGCTGAAGGCTGGCCAGGTTAATAAGGTATTGAGGGTGGTCAGATACTATAGGTGAAGGATTTTCTTATCCAAATCCATATGATTACCATTTCCACATAGGTAATTATTGAACTGGCTTAGTGGGATTCTTGCCCAAACTGGGTTCTATAAGGACAGAGAGGAAAGTCCAAGTTCAGGCCTCACCAAGCAGAAGACTCAGAAGAGACTGACTAAAGTTTTGGTGAACACTATCTTTCTTGGTCATGCACTAAATATGTGTGAAATTGAGAGAGAAGAGGACAGTTATGTTTCTATTAAGAAAGAACAAATAATTACAAACAAATTAACTTAGGATTTAACTCAAAATGTCTGAAAAGTGAAATAAACCAGGAGAAAAACTCAATAAAATTTAAAAATATACTATAGTTATTAGAAGCCAATAAAGCAATAGAACTATAAAATAAAAACCAGGGTCCGATTTTTTGAGAAATCAGTAAACAAACATCTGTTAAACCTGATTAAGAGAGAGGAGAGAGAAGATGCATACACAACTAGAGGAATGAGAACATTTCTTAAATCATAAAATGATAGTAATAAATAAATCTTATATGAAATCAGAAATACAATGGCATTTTCTTAATATTTCAGAAGTATATAAAAATAAAAAGTAAACATTGTTCTTAATAAAATTTTGAGACTTTCTGACTAAAGTCAGGATTAACAGCAGGAGGCACTATTATCAATACTATTCAACAGTTTTCTCTGAGGACTTAATTGATGAAGAAATAAAGGAAAATAGAAAGTATTTTTATAACATAGGGGTGAAAGTTTTACCATCATCATTATTTGTGGATTTCAGGATTTCTACCTAAAAATCCAAAAATAAACACCAGCCAGGAAATTAATGTAGCCAATTAAAAAAGAAATGTTAAAAAATAACTTTAATACATACTACAAATACTAAAAACAGCCATTTATGGAATTGAATTATGGTAGATACTGTTAAGTGTTTCTCACTTGTGTCAAGGTTTGCTATTCTAGTACATAGTAGTGGCTTCCAGATACCCATCTATAACACAGCCTAAAAGGGCCAGGAAATTAACACTCCTGAAACTCAGAAAATGATAGACAGCAGCTGGAGTATAAATAGCCTAGCTTCACATTCCTCTAGTAGGATACCTGCAGTATTTTAAGCGCTGCTTTCCAGATTTTTCAACAAAATTAACTCTGAATTGCCCATAGTAATAACAGACTCAAAAGCACACCGTTTATTAGCTTCCTTTTCTTCCTTGTCTCACTTCTTTTCCTATCAGTGCTTCCTGGGATCAACCCCCAAATAACCTATTTATACTCAAATTCTTATATCTTGGTCTAATTCTGGGAAAACTTGATCTAAGACACATAATAAAAGACAGCTGGACCCTGTGAATTAAATTCTGGAAATTAGATCATTCTGGTCAGATGGTTAAAATGATCCCATTGCCAATAGGAAGCAAGGTGGTAGTAACCCATGGTGAGCTGTAGTAACAAAATGTCTAAGAGTTATACCTATATTGAATTGGGATGAAATACAGGATGAAAGCAACGGTGTTTATTAGGATTGCAGAGTTGATTGGCTGTTTTTAACTGTCATTGAAGCCAGAAAGAACAAAGTGACCAGGTACAGATGGAGCCACTAACCAATTCAGGACGCAGTGTGCAAGTCAAAAGGCATCCATAAAAGCATTTAAGGACATCCGCACTTCCTATAGCCAAAATGCTAACTGTGCTGAAAACCCAACCTAGGAACTGATTTTAAAAGTGGTAGAATTACAAAGAGGGTGAATTCACAACCAAAACAAGTATCTTATGCTAAAGTCACGGAACTCACAGGGAAAGAACAGAAAGGAATAATATAGAAAGAGAAGGACTCTGAGAACCAAAGTGAGAATATTTGGGTGGATACACTTGAAAAATCAAACACATTGGCTTGAAATGTCTAGTCAAGAAGTGCCCATTCCTCTTGCCTTGAGGAATATGTAGCCTGTCCTTGGTTGAAGAGGATGCCTGAAAATATTATTCTCTCTCTTCTCATCAAATACCCTACTTTCCCATTTTGCTTCTAGGAAATAACTAGGGACATGTCTCCGAAGGACTCAAAGATGAAATACGATCTCTGCTATGAGGAAAAAAAAATGTTTCCCAAAATCTTCAGGGTCTGGCTAATAAATGCTAGCAGAAACTGAGTTGAAAATGGATCCAACTGAGTGGGAAAACACAATTGGAAATGCATCTAAAGAATATTGAACAAAGTGGGAAATGGGAAAGAATAAAAGACAGAGTTTACTAATAATTTGGCACTCTCCTGTGACTCAGATATAATGCCTGGGCAAACACAGCTGAGCTGGGAAAGCTCCTTAAAGCTTCAAAGAAAAAAAATATGACTAATGATAAGTGAAGTGAAGATGCAAAAACCATGTTGGAAGAATACTGAAGGAAGAAATGACTCAGAGATGCAGACAGGTAGAAGTGAATGTAAAAGATAAGACCAGAGAATCTTCCAGCTTACTATGTTCCCCCAGGAAGGCCCAAAAGACTCTTTTCACTAAAGCTGTAAGAAATGTACTAGAGAAGGGAAGGT
Organism: Homo sapiens; assembly: GCF_000001405.40. Taxonomy (NCBI): domain Eukaryota; kingdom Metazoa; phylum Chordata; class Mammalia; order Primates; family Hominidae; genus Homo; species Homo sapiens. Next base: position 28,704,545 of record NC_000014.9, read on the forward strand.
CATAAGTAGCTATCCTTTGTAAGCCAGGGTCAATTAAAGGGGAGTCTGCTACAGAAATGAGCTCCGTAGATTCAATGGGAATATAAAAATTTGAAATAGCAGAGTCAAGGTAACAGTATTTAACCATCTGAAGCAAGGTGGCAAGGAAAGACAAAGCTGTGGGACATACACTACCTGGTTTCAAGACATACTACAAAGCGGCCGGGCACGGTGGCTCACGCCTGTAATCCCAGCACTTTGGGAGGCCGAGGCAGGCGGATCATCTGAGGTCAGGAGTCTGAAACCAGCCTGGTCAACATGGTGAAACCTTGTCTCTACTACAAATACAAAAAATTAGCCAATTGGTTATCCACCCAAATATTTTCACTTTAGTTCTCAGAGTCTGTCTCTTTCTATATTATTCCTTTCTGTTCTTTCCCTGTGAGTTCCCTAACTTTAGCATAAGATACTTGTTTTGGTTGTGAATTCAGCCTCTTTGTAATTCTACCACTTTTATAATCAGTTCTTAGGTTGGGTTTTCAGCCCAGTTAGCATGCTAACTAGTGGTGGCGTACACCTGTAGTCCCAGCTACACAGGAGGCTGAGGCAGGAGAACAGCTTGAGCCCAGGAGGTGGAGGTTGCAATGAGCCAAGATCTTGCCACTGCACTCCAGCCTGGGTGACCAAGCAAGAAGACTCTGTCTCAGAAAAAAAAAAAAAAAAAAAAAAAAAAAAAGACATATTACAAAGCTGCAATAATCAACATAGTGTAGTATTGGAGAAAAGACATGCATATAAATCAATTGAACAGAGAGTCCAGACACAGATCTATGCATATTTAACCAATTGATTTTTTTACTAAATTTTAAAGGTAATACAAATAAGAAAGGATAGCCTTTTTGGCAAATGGTGCAGAAAAATTCAGACATACAAAGTTTTGACATATGTAAAAGAATACATGGTATTTTATATATATATATATATATACACACACACACACACACACATATGTACACATATAAATGTTATATTACTAAATGATATATAGTAGTTTTATACTACATGATATATAGTAGTTATCCACAGGGGAAATGCTTCAAGATCCCCAGTGGATATATGAACTGCAGACAGTTCTGAACTCTATATATACTATGCTATTTTCTTAATGATACATACTAACCTAAGATAAAGTTTAATTTATAAATTAGGCACAGTAAGAGATTAACAATAATAACTAATAAAATGGAACAATTATAACAAAATACTATAATAAAAGTTATGTGAATATGCTTATATGCTACCTCTCTCTCTGTCTCTCAAAATGTATTATTGTACTATACTGCAGGTAACTGAAACCACAGAAAGCAAAACCATGGATAAGGGGGTAGTACTGCATACTTCAATCCCTGTCTCACGCTATATACAAAAATTAATTCGAATGGTTCACAGTTGTAAAATCTAAAACTATAAAACATAAGATAAAAATCCATGTGACTTTGGGTTACGCAGATATTTTTTAGATACGATACTCAAAGTACTATCCTTATAAGAAAAAAATGATATTAAACTTCATCAAAATTAAGAGCTTTTGAGCCGGGTGTCGTGGTTTATGCTACAATCCCAGCACTTTTAGGAGGTAGAGGCAGGAGGATCGCTTGAGGCCAGGAGTTCAAGACCAGCCTGGGCAACACAACGAGACCTCTGTTTCCAAAAAGTAAAAATAAACAAGAAACTCAGCCATGGTGGCACACACCTATAGTCCCAGTTACTCGGGAGGTGGAGGCAGGAGGATGTCTTGAGCCCAAGGGTTTGAGGCTGCAGTGAGCTATGATCACGCCACTGCACTCCAGACTGTCTCAAAAAAAAGAAGAAGAAAAAAAAGAACTTCTGCTCTTTGAAATTGTTAAGAGAATGAAAGTAGAAGCCTTTGAATGGAAGAATATATTTACAAATCATTTATCTGATGAAGAATTTGTACCCCAAATATATGAATAATTCTCAAAATCCTAAAATAAAAAAAAAACTCAACTTTTTTAAGTGGGCAAAATATTTTAACAAACACAGATGGCAAATAAGCACAGGAAAATACATTCAACATCATTATTTATCAGGGAAATTCAAATTAAAGCCACAACCACACACCGATTAGCATGAGAAGAAAATATTAACAATACCAAGTGCTGGTAAGAATGCAGAGCAGCTGGAACTATCATGCCTCACTGGTGGGAATGTAAAATTGTACAGCCACACTGGAAAGTTGTTTGTCAGTTTCTCATCAAGTGAAACATACACTGGCCATATGATCCAGCAATCCCACTTATGAATCTCTATCCTAGAGATGTGAAAACCTTTGTTCACAATAAAACCTGTACCTGAATGTTTATAACAGCTCTATTTATAATTACCCTAAACTAGAAAAACCAAATGTCTCAAAAACAGAAAATAAAGAAATTATGGTACATTCCATAAAGAAATAATGTACTATTCCGGATGTGATATCTCTACTAGAACAGATCATCTCAGCTTCTAACACATAATATGTGACTATTAATTCTCAACTACATTATCTTCAATCCCCAGCATAAAGAGGGACCAGGAACTATTCCCATTAATTTGAGACAGACAGCAATGTACATTATCAGTTTTCCCCTAGAGTTACATTGACTCTTTAGCTCTCTATTATACCATAGGCATTAATCATACAGACATTCTGTGGAACTTCACTCTGGTACACAATATTAATGATATTATATTGTTGGGCCTGGGGAGCAGAAAGTAGCAAGACATCTGGATGACCCGGACATATATGCACTAGAAGATGGAAAATAACCCCAACCAATACTTAAGAGAGCAGCCATATCAGTAAGCTTCAGGGGTTTAGTTGTCTGGAACATGCTGGATAAAGAAGAATTTATTGCAAATTTGTACCTCCTGTCACGAAGAAAGAGACAATGCTACTGGTAGGCTTCCTTGTACTTTGCAGACAGCACTTTTGGTACCTGAGAATACTACTTCAGTTCTTTTACCATTTTAAAGAAACAGGTTATCAGTGGGACCAAAAGCAAGAAGGGGCTCAGCAAAAATTCAAGATGCAGTATAAACCGCCCTGAATTTGAGTGGTCTAACCAGTAGTACACTTGATGTTAGAGATATCTGTGGAAATAAGTGTGTTGGATGGAGTCTGTGCTAAGCAACAGTAAGAAAGTCACAGATAAGTCCCCTACAATTCTGGTGCAAGGCTATGTTTTCTACAGTAAAGAATTATTCACAGTTCAAAAGGAACCTTGTGAAATGTACTCGGTCTTAGTAGAATTTAAGCACTTTTTTTTAACATGGGATAACAAGTAAATAGGCAGCCAGGGTGATGAGTCAGAAGCACATTACAAACCCACCAATTCATAATGTCGAGCAGGCAAAGCATCAATTCATCATACCACAGGAAATTTTCTTTCCAGGGTTTAGCTTGAGCAGGACAAAAGGACACACATAATTTAAATGGATTGTCCTAGACACCCATTTTACCAATTTTTTTTAACCAATGTCCCCCTCATCTCACACCTATGACTTCATGGGAAATTTCCAACAACTGGCTGACAAATGAAGAAACAACTCAGGCCTGATTCATGGATCAATCAGCTCAATAAGCTGTGCAGACTAAAAATATACTCCTCCCACACTACAGTCACACTCAAAAGTGATGCTGAAATACAACATTGAAGAGAAATTTTCCCATTGGGAAGAGCTTTAAAGGGTAAAATTGATCATCAGTTTGGTGAGAAAGATGAAGTAACCTGAGGTAAAGATATATATGAACTCCTGGAATGTGACAAATGGCTTATCTGGTTGTTTAAGGGCTTAGAAAAATCAAAATTAAAAGATCAGAGTCAAAGAGGATTGCAGAAGAAGCATGTGGATGGACCTAAGAGAATGGGCACAAAGTGTACAAACGTTTGTGTTGCATAGCAATGACCCTCTAAGAACCTTCATCTCAAACAACCAATTGTATAAGATTCTTCTAGTGAGGCAGCTTGCCTCAATTCTCAGCCACCCCATGGCACAGTAGATACAAAAGAAAATATATATTCAGCTAAAAGTCACTAGGCTCAACTTTTAGTCCCTTGACTAAGTAAATGGATTCCCAAGAAAAGTTCCAATCTTACTAAAGATTAATGACATTAAAGAGTGTAAACATTTTTATTAGGAATTCTAACACTTTACTAAAAGTATGTTATCAATTATAGCATACAAGCAGGTTTTATCATAGACCAAATTTGGATCTTTTTTTCTTTAACAGTTCTTTTTGATCTAGGCTACCATTAATAATCTCTCTTGTTCAGGTAAGGTTTGTCTCATTGCATTTCTACACTAATGTTATTCATGGAATTGTGGTGTAATACAGGACTTAGAAAACTAAGGCTGGCCAGTCAAATGCAGCTAATTACCTGTTTTTGTAAATAAAGTTTTATTAGAACATAGGCCTGAATATTTATTTATAAATTTTCTGTGGTTGCTTTTGAGCTACAATGGCAGAGTTGAACAGTTATAAAAAGAGACTGTATAGTCTGCAAAGCCTAAAATATTTGCTATATGACCAACTACCAAAAAGGTTTGCCAACCCCTCCTGTAAAGCAGAAGTAAATTAGTGTGAGCTTCTTTATACATGTCAGTGTAAAATGTATCACAAAAATAGCGTAGTAGCAGAGAGGAGAAAATAAAAATATACCAGTATAAGATTTTTACACTGTACATGAAGCTTTTGATATTATTTAGAGGTAGAATGTGATAAAGATACATATTGTGAACTTCAGAGCAACTACCAAAACTACAGATGAGTTATAACTAATGAGCCAACAGTAGAACATTAAATTACAAACAAATTAATTAATCCAAAGATACACTAAAGAAGAAAAAAGAACAAAATATAGAAAGAACTACAAGGTGGAAAATCTTTAAAAATGGCAGATTTAAACATAACCTATTAATAATTACACTAAAGACTTAAATAATTACTGCAATCAAAAGAAATAGACTTTCAGGTTGAATTAAAATGTTTTAAATAGTCAAGAGTAAAGCAGCAGCACAGTGGTGTCAGGAAGACAGTTCTCCAACTTTATTCCCTCCTTCCACAGAAATTCAACTAGCAACCAATCATAGGCAAGAATACCACCCTGAATATCTCAGAACACAGGAGGGAGGCTAAGAAACTTGCTTGGACCACAAAACCAAGAAAAGCCACAGCCAAAGAATAAATGGAACAATTTTCTTTGACTGTGTCACTGCTCCACCCAGCCAGCAAAGCATCACACACAGAGAATTTTTCAGTACCCACAGTTTCTACAGTGGGAAAAGTGAATTAGAGGCAGACATTCAGCATGCCCATTATTCTGGAAGTCACTGCAGGATGCTCACTCCTATGTCGTTCCATGAGAATACTTGAAAGTACTGGCAAGACTAGACCAGCAGAGGTCAGTTAAAAACAAACAGTAGTGATGGGGCTCACAGCAACAAGTGTGCAGTTCTCAGTGTTTGCCTTGTGCATTCAGGCCAATGGAAACACCATACCAAGGAAACTAGCCAACAGTACTACACTGTAAGAAACACAGTCTACAGGTCTTCCAAGCTCAAATCTTGGCCAGCTTCTCTGAACAACCTAGGTGGTCTCATTGAGTCTTTCCCAAGTTCATTCTAGTCAGCCACTGCTCCAGCCATGGAAAATCAAAGGATGCTAGCCCAGTCAGCACCAGCTGCAGGAGTCCCGGGCTTAGGGACTACACAAGATGATCTGTTCAGAATTTCTGAGCAGGCTTACTGTTGAGAGACATTTCTAGACAAAGCCAAATTGCAAAAACTGGAATAAACACCTAATTCTTCAATAGCAAACACCAACAAACAACCACAAGGAACAAGAAGCAGGGAAACTTACTGTAACCAAACAGAAAAAATAAGGGACCAGTAGTTACTAACCCTAAAATTAAGAAGATGAGTTAAATTACTGACAAAGAATTCAAAATAGCTGTTTTTTAAAAGCTCAGCAAATGTCAAGAAAACACAAAGAAACAATTCAGAAATTCATCGAGAAATTTAACTGAGAGAATATTAGTTTTAAACATATTAGAGGTCAAAAATACAATGAACAAAATTTAAAAATGCAACAGAGATCACCAATAGCAAAATTGATCAACCAGAAAAAAGAAAATGTGAACTAGAAGACAAATTATTTAAAAATATACAGGCAGAGTATATCTTTTCTAACCACAATACTATAAAACAAGAAATCAATAACAGGAAAACCTTTGAAAAATTTACCAATACATGGAAATTAAACAACATGTTCCTAAACAACTAATGAGTCAATGAAGAAATAAAACAGAAATTTTAGAATGTCTTGAGACAGGTGAAAATGGGAAAACAACATACCACACCCTATAAGATACAGCAAAAGAAGCAAAAGAAGTTCTAAGTGAGTAGTTTATAGCAATACATATCTCCATAAAAAAAGAAGAAAGATCTCGAATAAACACTCTAACCTTGCACCTGAAGGAACTAGAAAAACAAGAACAAATTAAGCCAAAAATTAATAGACAGAAGGAAATAAGGATGAGAGCAGAGATAAATAAAATGGAAACTAGAATAACAATGGAAAAGATCAACAAAACAAAGAGATGTTTTTTCAAAAGATAAATAAAATTAACAACTTTCAGCTAGACTAAGAAAAAAAAGCGACCATTCAAATAAATAAGATCAGACATGAAAAAAGAGACATTATAAATGATAGCACAGAGAAACAAAGGATCATAAGAGACTACTATACATAACTATATACCAACCAATTGGACAATCTAGAATAAATAGGTAAATACCTAGATACATACAACCCAAGAAGACTGAATTATGAAGAAATAAAAAATCTGAAGAGACTAAAAACTTGTAAGGTAATTGAATTGGTAATAAAAAAAAAACTCATAAAAACAAGCCCAGAACCTGGTGATTTCACAGCTGAATTCTACCAAAACTTAAAGAATAACTGATGCCAATTTTTCTCAAATTCCTCCAAAAAAATGAAGGGAAGGAAATATTTCCAAACTCATTTTATAAGGCCAAAATTACCCTAATGCCAAAACTAGACAAGGACACACAAACACACACACAAAAGAACTGTTGGCCAATATCCCTGGTGAACATAGATGCAAAATTCTCAACAAAAGACTGGAAAACCAGAATTTGCTGTTGGCTATAAGGTAAGCACAATGTTGGAAACTCAGGAAAACTCTGTCCAGCAAGATTAGGCTTAAAACTCTGCCCCTTGGCCGGGCGCCGTGGCTCACGCCAGTAATCCCAGCACTTTGGGAGGCCGAGGTGGGTGGATACGAGGTCAGGAGATCGAGACCATCGTGGCTAACACGATGAAACCCTGTCTCTACTAAAAATACAAAAAGCCAGGCGTGGTGGCGGGCACCTGTAGTCCCAGATACTCGGGAGGCTGAGGCAGGAGTATGGCATGAACCCGGGAGGCGGAGTTTGCAGTGAGCCGAGATTGCGCCACTGCACTCCAGCCACATAGAATATAGCCCCATCGGACGCCCCCAGGAGACATACCACCAGGCCAGCTGAGCAGCCTTGTTTCTGTGTCTCGGGCCTGAGAAACAGCCCTGCAGTTTCTCACCAGGCCTGTAAGTGGTCCCACAAGGCTGCTCCTAACATGCACGCACACATGCTGGCTGAACAACAGTGTGCCTGTGCTTTCAGTCAGAGTAACAGCTCCATGGCTCCAAGCCCACAAGCCAGACCTCAAGTTGGCTAACCCACTGTATATGCACATCAACCATGAAAAAGCAAGAAAATATATCACCTTCAAAGGAAAACAATAATTCTCCAGTAAGAGATCCCAATCATAAGGAAATACCTGGAATGCCAGTAAAAGAATTCAAAATAACAGTCTAAGAAAATTCAGTGAGATACAAGAGACTGCATATAAATAAATGAAATCAGGAAAACAATTCATGACTTAATGATTCAACAAAGGGATAGATATTATTTTTTAAAAACTAACAGAAATCCTAGAGCTGAATAATGTAATATTTAAAATAAAAAAATCTATTGAGAGATTCAACAACAGATTAGATCAAGCACAAGAAAGAATTTCTGAACTTGAAGATTGGTCATTTGAAATAACACATGCAGACAAAGAAAAAATTAAAAAGAATGAAGAAGATTTTCAGAATTTATGAGACATCATTAAGCAAACAGACATTTGTTTTGTGGGCACTCCAGAAGGTGAAGAGAAGGAAAAAGTTGAGGAAAACATATTTAATAAAATAACAGCAGAAAACATCCGAAGTGTCAGTACAGTGATGAAGTAAAGAAGCTCAAAGAACCGCCCAGAACCTAAAACAGGTCCTCTCCAACATACATTATAGCCAAATTGTCAAAGTCAAAGACAAAGAGAAAATTTTAAAAGCAGCAAGAGAAAAGCCTTAAGTCACATATTAGGAAATTCATATTAGACTAACAATAGATTTTTCAGGAGAAACCTTACAGGCTAGGAAAGAATGAAATGATACAGTCAACGTCTTGGAAAAAAAAAAAACTATCGTCAAACAAGAATATCATGCCCAGCAACACTATACTTCAAAAAATGAAGGAGAAATATATCTTTCACAGACCAAAAAAAAAAAAAAAAACCACTAAGGGAATTCATTACCACTAGACCAGCCTAACAAGAAATGCTCAAGGGAGTCTTACATCTGGAAATGAAAAGATGATAGCCACCATCTTAAAACATGATAAAGCAGCCCTATTCATAATAGCAAAGACATGGAATCAACCTAGTTGCCCACACAGGGAGATTTGGTAAGAAAAAATTGGTACATATACACCATGTGATACGAAGCAACCATTTTTATGAACAAAATCATGTCCTCTGCAGCAACATGGATGTGGCTGGAGACCATTATCCTAAGTGAATTATCACAGCAACAGAAAACCAAACACTGCATGTTCTCACTTATAAATGGGAACTAAACATTGGGTACACATGGACATAAAGATGACAACAAGAGACACTGGGAGCTCCAAAATGGGGGAGGGAAAGAGAGTGGCAAGGGTTGGAAAACTACCTATTTGATACTATGTTCTCTATTTAGGTGACAGGTTTCATTGAAGCCCAAACCTCAGCATTATGCAATATATCCATATGACAAATCTGCACATGTACCCCCTAAATCTAAAATTTTAATAAATAATAAAAATAAAAATGTGAAATTATAAAACTCACTGGTATACTTAATATACAAAGAAGAAAAGGAAAGGAATCAAAACTTATGACTACAGAAACCACTCAGCCACAAAACTTAACAGTAAGTGAAGAAAAAAAGAAAAAATGATATATAAAACAACCAGAGAAAGTCAATAAAATGACAGAAGTAAGTCCTCATCTACCAATAATAATTTTGAATGCAAATAAATTAAATTTCCCTTTTAAAAGATGTAGACTGGCTGAATGGATTTTTTAAAAAAATTAGATCCTGTAAGAACTCACTCAATATCACAAGAACAGCATGGAGGTAACTTCCTCCATTATTCAATTACCTCCCACCAGGTCCCTCCCATGACACATGGGCATATGGGAATAAGACGAGATTTGGGTGGGAACACAGCCCAAACGTATCAATAAGCATATTATTTATTTCTTTTTAAGACAAGTGATATAACATTATGCATATTGCCCACAATGTTTAGGTAGTTTAACAATATACATGGAATTTTGTTCCATTTCAATATATTCATTTAATTCATTCAGTACCTTAAGTGCCTTCATTAATTTAGTACCTTCATTTCAGCTCCTCATTTTTTAAAAACTGAAGTGTATTATAGCATACTATATAGATGCAATAAAATTATTGTAGCTCTTCTTCCAAAAACAGAAAGAGACCCAACTAGAAAATTATTTTCCAGGTAAATGTAAACGAAAAACCAGCAGGAGTGGCCATTTTTATATCAAACAAAACAGATTTCAAGTTAAAAGCTGTAAAAAGAGACAAAGACATTATATAAAAAAGAGATCAATTCAGCAAGAAAATATAACAATTGTAAATGTGTATGCACCCAATACAACAGTGCCCATATATATAAAGTGAATATTATTAGATCTAAAGGGAGAGATGACCCCAAACAATAATAGTTGGGGACTTCCCCATCCCACTCTCAGCATTGGACAGATCATCCAGACAGAAAATCAACAAAGAAACCTCATATTTAAACTACATCATAGAACAAATGGACCTAACAGACAATTACAGAACATTTCACCCAACAGCTATAGAATACACATTCTTTCATTGATGCATGCAGCATTCTCCAGGATTAACCATATGTTAAAACACAAAATAAGCCTCAAAAAAATTTTAAAAATCAAAATCATATCAAGTATCTTATCTGAGCACAATGGAATAAAACTAAACATCAATGATATGGTTTGAATTTGTGTCCCCACCCAAATCTCATGTCAAATTGTAATCCCCAATGTTGGAGAAGGGGCCTGGTGGGAGGTGATTGGATCATGGGGGTGGATTTCCCCTTTGCTGTTCTTAAGGTAGTGATATGAGTTCTCAGGAGATCTGGTTCTTTAAAAGTGTGTAGCACCTCCCCTTATCTCTCTCTCCTGCTCCAGCCATGTGAAAACGTGCCTGCTTCACCACTGCCTTCTGCCGTAATTGAAAGGTTCCTAAGGCCTCCCCAGCCATGCTACCTGTACAGACCATGGAATGGTGAACCAATTCAACTTCTTTTGTTTATAAATTACCCAGTTGCAGGTATTTCCTTGTAGCAGTGAGAATGGACTAATACAATCAATAACAAGAGGAAGATTCAAAATTGTACAAATACATGGAAATTGAACAACATGAACTCTTAAAATACCTTAACACAAATGAAAATAGAAACATAACATACTGAAAGCCCTCAGACACAGCAAAAGGAGTACTATGAGGCAAGTTTATAGCAATAAATGTCTTCATCAAAAAACTAGAAAGATTTCAAACAAACAACCTAACGATGCACCTCAAGGAACTAAAAAAACAAGAAGAGATCAAACCCAAAATTAGTGGAGGGAAAGAAATAATAAAGATCAGAGCCAATATATGCACAATTGATACTAAAAAATACAAAAGATGAATAAAATATGGAAAATATATATCATGCAAACACTACCAAATGAAATGAGTTACTACATTTTACCAGAAATGTAGACTTCTGAACATATAATATTTTAGGGGAGAAATACAGACATTATATGATGATAAAGGGATTAATTCAACAAAAAAATGACAAATTTCACAGTGTATCACACAAAGCAGAGCTTTGCTATTTTCTTAAAGAGGGCTGTAGAACTGAAAGAATAGAAAACATCCACGAGAAAACACCAATACTCCTCTCTAGGCCGGGCGCGGTGGCTCATGCCTGTAATTCCCAGCACTTTGGGAGGGCGAGGCGGGCGGATGACGAGGTCAGGAGATCGAGACCATCCTGGCTAACACAGTGAAACCCCGTCTCTACTAAAAATACAAAAAATTAGCCGGGCGTGGTGGCGGGCTCCTGTAGTCCCAACTACTTGGGAGGCTGAGGCAGGAGAATGGCGTGAACCCGGGAGGCGGAGCTTGCAGTGAGCGCTGAGATCACACCACTACACTGCAGCCTGGGGGACAAAGAGAGACTCCGTCTCAAAAAAAAAAAAAAAAAAAAAAAAAACTCCTCTCTCAGTGGTAGATAACATAAGCAGACAGAAAATTAACTAGGATACAGAAGACTGGAACAACAATATTGGAACCTGAATTTAATTGAGGTTCAAGTGCACATGGAACTCTACTAACTGCACATGGAACTCTACTAAGGTAGAATATATTGTGGACTATAAAACAAGTCTTAACAAATTTAATAGAATTGAAAACATGCAAAATATGTTCTAAATTCACAAAAATTAAGATAAAGATAAATAACAAAAGTATACCATTAAATATCCACAAATACTTGAAAATTAAATAGCATTTTGAAATAATCCATAAAAACACAAGAAAAAGAAAATATTTTTAAATACATGGAAATGAAAATACAACATATCAACATGTGTGTGATGAAGTTAAGAGAAAGTTTAGGGAACATTTTTATAGTGTTAAATGATTTTATAAGAAAATAAGAATTCCAAATCAATAATCAAAGTGTCTCCTTATAAAAACAATGAAATAAGAACAAATTAAATTCAACATAGGCAGAAGAGAACACTATCAACATGCTCAGAAATCAGTTAAGTAGAATATATAAAACAACATGTAAAAATGAACCAAAAATGATCTTTGAATAAAATGATACAATTGATAAAGACGTAACCACTCTTTAGAGGGAGAAGAAAATAGACAGAGAGCGAGAGGACAAATTACTAACAGCAGCAATGAAAGAGGAGACATAAATACAGGTAAATTTGATAATGTAAAAATGGAATCCTTGAAAGATACAAATTAAACAAAAGACCACATGCATCATGATTCCATTATATGACATTCTGGGAAAGAAAAGTATAGGGACAAAATTATAGCAGTTGCCAGGGCTTTATATTTTGGGAAAATGATTAACAACAAAGTTAATCGCTTTGGACTGATGAAAATATTCTACATCTAGACTTTGGTTGTGGTTTATATGAGAGTATAGATAAAATTACAGTACATCTGAAAATGGTGACTTAAATAAAAAATCCAACGAAAATGCATTGTTATGTCTAGATGTGATACTTGGAACAGTGGAAACCATCCTGCCATTCTAACGGAAACACATCTGAGAAATGTAGTTACATCCAAAGACGAGAGAACTAAATGGGAGGAAGAGTCTGGGTTGTTGATATTTTTGATGCAATTAATTAGCCAACCCTGGAGCTTGTTGGAGCTACTCTTCCCAAGGACTCCTTAATATATGCCATAATAGGTCGGGCACAGTGGCTCACACCTGTAATCCCAGCACTTTGGGAGGCCGAGGGGGGAGGATCACCTGAGGTCGGGAGTTCGAGACCAGTCTCACCAACATAGAGAAACCCCATCTCTACTAAAAATACGAAATTAGCCAGGTGTGGTGGTGCATGCCTGTAATCCCAGCTACTCAGGAGGCTGAGGCAGGAGAATTGCTTGAACTCAGGAGGCAGAGGTTGTGGTGAACCAAGATCATGCCATTGCACTCCAGCCTGGGCAACAAGAGCGAAACTCCATCTCAAAAAAAAGAAAAAAAAATGCCATAATAAATTTCCCTAATTCTAAAATATGTATCTAATCAAATTTAGAAAGCATATATTAAAATATTGTTTATACAGGAATGATTTTACCATCATAATTTGAATGAAGAACAAGTACATTTACATTAGCCAAGAATACATAAGTAAAAACTATTGTGTGGTTACCATGTGTTTCTGCTTTTCTGTCAATACTCATTTTAATTTCTAAGGAGATAAATTTCAAATAACAAAAGATTATTTATTGATTGCTTCAGCTTAGAATTAGTCTACCTTAAAATTAACTATGAATTTTGGAATTACATTTTAAGTTGAAATAACAGCACAATAAAGCCATGTGGATGTTATTAATTTATTAGATAAAAATAATACTCTAAGATTTTACTCTGGTGATGCAATTGAAATAACATTGTAAGTTAATGTAATTGGCAGCATTGCCCAAAGTTTAAGAGGACTATTTCTTTAAACAAAGACAGTGTCTGACATTTATTTCAGGTGAAAACAAATATTTACATTATTTTTCCTTTCTTTACATGTAAATAGCCTTAAATGTTCTTAAATGTAATTACATGTATACATATAAATATATATATTTGTATGATATTATTATATTTGTATGTATACATTTATATATATATGTTTGTAGGATATTTGTTATAAGGCATTGGCTCACATGGTTAAGGAGGCTGAGAAGTCTCATGATTCTACTGTCTGAAAGCTGGAGACCCCGGAAAGAGGAAAGCTAGTGTTACAGTTCTGGGAACCAGAGGGCTCATGATGTTGGTCCCAGTGTAGGGCAGGAAGAGACTGATTGATATTTCAGCTGAAGCAGTCAGGTAGAGATACGAATTTCCCCTTGCCTTTGCCTATTGTTCTAGTCAGGCTATCAACAGATTGAATGTACATGTGTGTGTGGATTGGATGTGTGTGTGTGTGTGTGTGTGTGTGTGTGTATCTGTATGGGACATAGGTAAAGATATAGATATATCCTATTGGTTCTGTTTCCCTAGGGAACCCCAACTGACACAAAGACTAACTAATAAATGTAGAAGAAATGACAGAACTAGAAAATCAGAAATAAATAGCCAACATAGCATTATTAACTCAGCCCAGAAACATCTTTATCAGATAGTCTACAAAAATAGCTATCAAGTTCTTTTTCCCTGTACACAATGCTATTTCTCACATCAAGATGTGAACTAAATATAACTTGCTTTACAGATAGAATACACTGGAAGTAATGTTCTGGTACAAAAAGTAATGCTCTGGTATAAGAAGCCTTGCAGTTTCCACCTCAGTTTCTTGGAATGGACACTCGGAACTCCCCTTCTCTCTCTTGCTCTTCCTTTCTCTCTTCTCTATTCCTCTGTCTCAGAATTTAGGCACATGATATAAGAAGCTTAAGTTACGTGGAGACGCTATGGTTGAAGACCTCTGGCAGCCCCAGGTGAGCTTTCAGCCAACAGTCAGACCAGTCCGACTCAACTTTGGATCTGTATATGTCAGTGAGCACCTTGTACATTCAGCCGAGACAAGTCTTCTGATGACTCAGGCCAACTTTCACTTGATTCAGTATTATGAGAGGCCAAAAAGGAATGATTTAACTCACCCCACTCAACCCAACAGACCTGTGCAATAAGAATAACACAGCACCACTCTAATCTATCAAAAATGCGTAACCTGAATCCAATTACATTGAAAAATGAGACAAACCTAAATTTAGAGATATTCTATTAAATAATTGACATAAAATTTTCAAAATGTAGAAGTTATGAAAGTCTAGGGAAGACTGAGAGACTGAGTTTGAAGAAGATTAAAAAATAACATATGATACCAGCAATGAACAAATGGAATTGGAAATTAGAATTGCAATATCATTTATATTAGCACCAAAAAATGAAATTCTTTGGTAAATCCAACAAAGTTTGTACAACATCTATATAAAGGGAAACTATAAATCTCTGATGAAAGAAATCAAAGGAGAACTAAATAAATGGAGAGATGTTGCATGTTTATGAATAGAAGCATCAATATTGTCAAGATGCCAGTTCTCAAAATTATCTGTACATTAAATGCAGTTTTAATTGAAATCCCAGAAAGGTATTTCGTGAATATCAACAAAGTGATTCTAAGGTTTATATGGAGAAACAAAGGCTCCAGAAGAGCCAACACAATATAGAAAAAAAGAAACAAAACTGGAGGATTAACACTACCTAACTTCCAGACTTACTGTACAGTTATTGTGATCCAGACAGTATGGTATTAGAAAAAAAAAAGAGACAAACAGACCAAGAGAATAGAATAGAAAGCCCAGAAATAGGCCCATACAAATACAGTCAACTGATCTTTGACAAAGAGGCAAAGGTAATACAATAAAAAAAATATAGGTTTAAAACAAATGGTATGGGCACAAACTGGACATTCACATGTTAAAAACAAATAAATCTAAACACAGACATTATACTCTTTACAAAAATTAATTCCAAATGGATCACAGACCTAAACTGTAAAATGCAAAACTATAAAACCCTAGAAGAAAATACAGAAGAAAATCCAGATGACTTTGGGGGTGGTGATGATTTTTTAGATACAAAATCAAAAGTGTGATTTTATGAAGAAAATAATAAATAAACTGCACCTCATTAAAATTAAAAGAATCTGTTGTGCAGAAGACAAAGTCAGCAGAGTGAGATGACAAGCCACAGACTGGGAGAAAATATTTGCAGAAGACTTATTTGGTAAAGGACGGTTACCCAAAGCTCAATAGTAAGAAAGCAAAAAACCTAATTTTAAAAAATGGGCAAAAGACCTGAACAGACACCTCAACAAAGAAGATATAGATGGAAAATAATCATATGAAATGATACATTATTAGGGAATTGCAAATTAAAACACCACTGAGATACCACTACACATCTATTGGAATGGTGAAAATCCAAAATACCAACAACACAAATGTTGGTGAGAACAAAGCGCTACAGGAATTCTCATTTGTTGCTGGTGGGAATGTGAAATCATGCAGCCACTTTGTAAGACAGCTTGGCAATTTCTCACAAAATTAAACATACTCTTACCATATGATTCAGCAAGTGCACTCCTTTGTGTCTATCCAAATGAGTTGGAAATGCATGTATACACAAAATCTTGAACACAGATTACAGCCACTTCATTCATAATTGACAAAACTAGGAGGCAATCAAGATGTCCTTTAGCGAGTGAATCAATATATAAACTAGAGTGCATGCAGACAATGGAATATTATTCAACACTAAAAAGAAATGAGCTATCAAACCATGAAAAGACATGGAGGATACTTAAATACATATTACTAAGGGGGAAAAAAGCCATTATGAAATGGCTACTTACTATGTAATTCAAACTAAGTAACATTCTGGACAAGCCAAAACTGTGGAGACAGTAAAAAGATCAGTGGGTGCCAGAGGTTAGGTGGGAGGGGAGGAGGAATAGATGGAGAACAGATTTTTGTGGGTGGTGAAGCTATTCTGTATACTACAAAGGGGGACACATGTCATTATACATTTGTCAAATATCGTAGATTTCACAGTACCAAGAGTGAACTTTAAGATGAACTACGGACTTTGAGTATCAGTGCAGGTTTATCGATTATAACAAACGCATCACTGTGTTGCAGGATCTCAACAGTTGTAGCACAGGAGATTATCGGGGGAGGATGAAGGTACTTGAGAATTCTGTACATTATGTTCAATTTTGCTGTGAAGCTAAAACTACTCTAAAAACAAAACTATTTAATTTTTTAAAGTGACAGTTAAATGAAATATACAATCTGTCATTGAACTTTTTGTCACTGACATTGGCAAAAAAAATTGGAACTACAAATTAGATGATAGTAATGTTTCAATGGTTTTTTAAAATTTTTTCATTACTGTGTTGGTAGAAGAATGTCTTTGTAAGGATTACAGAATGAAGTATTTGGGAATGATGGGGCATAGCATTGATAATTCACTTTAAGTGGTTTAGATAAAACGTCACTTATACTGGTCTTGCAACTTTTCTATACACTCAGACTTATTTCAGAATAAATCTTACTTTTAGCATTTTAAAAAGTAGAAAATGAAATATTCCTTAAGGCAACACTCTAGCCTAGTCTAATATTGTATAGACATCAGATAAAATATAAGGAGGCAACACAGCCAGAAATTTTGCAAAAATTTTAAAACATTAGCCAGGCATAGTGCACCCTACTGTAGTCCCAGCTACTTGGGAGGCTGAGGTGGGATGATCATTTGAGCCAGGGAGGTCAAAGTTGCAGTGAGATACGATCATGCAAGTGCACTCCAGCCTGGGCAACAGAGTGAGATCCTGTCTCAGAAAAAAAAAAAAAAAAGAAAAGAAAAGAAAAGAAAGAAAAAGAAAAGAAAGAAAGAAAAAAAAATTTGGGGGTGGGTCGTATAACCTGGAAAAATGTCTCCGACAAAAAAGGTTATTTTTTCTTTAAATAATTCAAATAAAAATATTGTTAATGATGTAGTGTTTAGGCTAATATGCTGCATTCTTGTTGTTTGTTTTGTTGTTATGGTTAATAATTTGACCATATATTACATATATTCTTTTGTATGTATCAGATATTACATTGAAAAAAATCTGGGATATGTCCCTCTAAAGTACGCACTGTATTATATAAACATAAGAATAAAGAATCTCAGACAAAATTAATTGGCAGCATCCTCCAGTAAAACACAATTAATGGTTTTAACTTTTAAAACCACATCAAGTTTCCCTAGTTTTTTGTTCAAGTTGTTCAGTTTAGAGCTTATGAAGTTACAATTTCTTCAAAAAGGGTAAACAAATATACTAGCTTTTTTACTATAAAAGAAAAATAACTAATTACCAGTGGCATCTGAAAAATGAACAAAAAATACTTGGAAAAGAAGTGGTGTCAGTGTTTAATAGCCAATATGAAATTTAAGTACATGCACAATGTAGAAGCAAAAAGAAGAGCAGAAATTTTTTAAAATAATTTGATATTTCCCAAAAAAGCAAAAAGGATTTATCAACTGAAATGCGACTTTTTTTTTGAATTGCCACATGTTTCTTTTATCATTAGTACTGATTTAAATAATTGGAATGTGAAAATAATAAGAAAAGTCATTTTGTTAACTATTGTGTCTTCAGTGCCTAGAAGAGTGCCTGAGCAAATATTCAAAAACAGATTTTGATTGAATAAATAAATGCATCACATTTATTATCTGGGGATGAGGGACCATAATCTTTTTGCTACTTAGGGTACCTAGATAATCACAATCCAGGCCTGGCCACCAAAATACACTGTACTCCATTTCAAGCCTCAATTTTAAAAAAATCTGAAATGGTCTTCTTTTTTATTTACAAAATTAACATTTATGTAGGTGAAAAATAATTCCACTTTTCATGGACCTTACTCAATAGTATTTCCATCTTTGTTCTTTCACAAGTTAAGCATTAGGGCTTACAGAGACAGGATCCAGAAAGATGTGAAGTTGATGAAAAGTGAAGTTGATATGTTCATTCCTGCCACATAGATCAAGCATAGTATGATTGTCTTTAAAGAAAAGAAATGTAAGTTACAAGGTGCTGAGGCAGTAAGGAATTGTGGGAAGAGGCGAGAGGGACAAAGAGGCAGGAGATTTTTAATCATAGGCTTTAATTTAAATCAGAAATTTCTGCTGAGAATTCCTTTGATAATTGCTTTTAATTTCTCTATCATTTGTCTTTTATGTTTTTAGCTATGTTCATTATGGGTAAGATTTTAAATTTAAAATAATTGTGCATACTGAATTCTCTATTGCTTCAATTTTCATTTCATTACATGCCTTTAATATTATAATGAACAATGTATTCTGATGCATCCAGTTATTAAGGAACATTTGACTTGTCAAATACAACTTTAGAAACCTTAGGTTCTATTATTTTGGTGTTCTATTTTAATGCATTCTTACAGTTTTTTATTGTTTTTATTATACCAGTTTTCAGATCTAATTAACTCTGCCAGCACAATAGCTTGTTAAAATGCTTTGAGACAGTAAACAGTAGAAATATATCCTGTATATATATACACAAATGGTTTGATTATTTTAAGTAAAGTGATTGGATGTTAATTGCTTGCAATGGGTAAATTCATTCAAAACAGTTAAGTCTTCTGTGTTTATTAAAAAACTACAAAATCAAAATAAGAATGTTGGAAGCTCCATATGATGCTACTCCATTCCTAAAATTATTCAACAACAAGCAATGTATTTTATATTGTACTCAGAAGGATTGTAATCCAATTTCCAGTAAAAAAAAAAAAAAAAAAAAAAAAAATCAGGCCTTGTGGTGTCTCACACCTGTAATCCCAGCGTTTCAGAGGCCAAGATGGAAAAATTGCTTGAGGCCAGGAGTTCAAGACTAGCCTGGGCAACATAGTAAGACCCCATCTCTACAATTTTTTTTTTAATAGCAATGCGTAGTGGCATGCACCTGTCGTCCCAGCTACTTGGGAGGTTAAGCGGGAGGATTGGTTGAGCCCAGAAGTTTGAGACTTCAGTGAGTTATGATCGTACCACTGCACTCCAGACTGGGCAACAGAGCAAGACTTCATCTAAAAGAAAATCAAAAAACAACAGAAAATTATGTTTTATTTCTAGACAATGTATTGATATTGGTTATCTACTGCATTAGGATATAAGTTCAGCCTAAATTTAAAATGGCTTATACAAGATAGACATAATTATGTAGGCTGATACACTAGGTCTTCTGTTTAAAACTTACCAGGTATCTAGGCTCCTTATTGTTGTTTCTTTCTACCAGCCCTAAAGTGTCACACCTTTCCTTTGAAAGCATTGGCTGGAAGTTGTACACATTACTTTCATTTATATTCCCATGAACAGACCTTGATCATATGGCTACACCTAGTTCTAAGGGAGGCTGCCAAGTAGTCTATATGCAGAACAGCCATGGCCCAAATAAAGATTGTGAGAATAAGGAGCAATCTCTGCCATAAGAAATGAATGCAATAAAAGCTCACAAATGTATAAAATTACAATCCACTTAAAAGTCTATTTCACAGCTATATAATTAAGAATTTAGAGCCTCTATGTTAAGGAGTCATAACTGAATTCCAAAAGGGAAGTAATAAATAGAGAACATTTGAATTTTTTTCAATATGACTTTGAATATTTTACAAAGTAATACAAGTTCAGTGGAGCCAAACTTTACTAGAACATGCTACATGCAAAATTTATCATTAAAAAACAGAGGTTTCATTTACTTACACTCTTTCCTGTGTTGGGCATTGATGATTACCCAGTATTCTTTCTTTCTTTTTGCTCTTCCCTTTCCTAAATAACTCCAACTTACTTCACCTATACACATGAGAAGCCCCTCTGCCACACACACACACACACACACACACACACACACACACACACACACTGGGCAAACACAAAGCCATCTCACATGAGAAAGAAACCAGCCTTTGTATAAACTGTTGTTGCAGACAGCAGAGTAGAGAGGCTGAAAGAACTGGAATGCTCGATGACAAGGTTAAGCTGCTGAATCAACTCACCTTGATGCCATCTCTGGAAGATAATAAATTTTCAATCACTTGCTTCACAAACATTCTAACTGATATGTACATATTCTAGATAACTTTTTTCATTACTTTCAGGAACACTGAACAATATGACTTCTAGAGTTCAGATAAGCTATATTTACAACTCTGAAATGCAAAATTTTCAAAAAAAAATCAAAATTTCATGAAACAATCCCATATACATTTTGAATGAGTTTGGATAAGACTAACGTGATACAACTTAAGATTGATCAAATCAAAATATTTTAATTTTTAAAATATAGGTTTCATTAAGAATTCACTAAAACCCACATAATTCCTCATCTAATAATGTAAGACTGTGACTCTGTGAAGTTCAATTGAGTACAAAATCAATGGCAGATGCTTGTTTTTACAGCCCTAGGGAACTGCTAATATGTGTTCTCCTGCTAATATGTGTCTACTAACATATTTTTAAGACTTTTTTTTTCCTTTTTGCGGCACCTGCAGCAGCAACAGTAGTAGCAGCAGGCTTATCTTTTTCATAAGAAGAATCTCGGAAGCTTATCTATTTTCGCCAGGGCAGAAGTACTGCATTTTTCAAATGGAACTTCAAATGTTCTCACTTTGCAACACAAATTATTCTTAAAGGGTCTTGAAATAGATAGATTCCATTGTAAACAAACTGTTATTTCCCTTACTTAAAGAAGAAACCATTGTACACCATTTGACTGATTTTTTCAACTTTCTTCCTTTCATTTCATTCTTATTCTTGACTTGATTATAATTTATTATATTTTATATCACAAGATATAAAAATTGTCAGTGTTAAGTGTTTAAAAACAGTAAAAGGGAAAGATGTTTAAAACCTCTGAATAAAAAATGAAGTAATATTAATGTGATTCAATGTCAATTGCTTGAGTAAAACAGATGATCCAATCATTTATAAACAAAATATATTTTGAGTTAAAATAATTCTAACAGAACAAAATAAGGCCTCCTAAAGGAATGTATAGAGACATGTATTGGCTACTTATAATTTCAGGGAGTACATACAGAGTATTTCTCAACTCATGGCAATTCATTAGAAATGGGTTCCCTACATATTAAATACTAAATGCTAAAAAAGCATTCATACATTCTATTTAATAGCACAAAGGCCAGCAAATCATACAAATGATTAAAACAAAATAAAAATTTGATATTACAGCTTTTCATTTCACAAAGCATAGAGAAATAGAAACTGCGGATGATAAATGAGAAAATTATGCATCTTGTTTGAACATATGGAAAGGTTAACTTTTTCTTTATTAAAGTTGTAAATAAATAAAGACTATTAATACATTTCAAATAAATTAGTAGTGTTTTCCAAAATCATCACAATAAGATACCAATAATAAGCAGCTGGTTAAAAGCATAAAACCAGAATGCCAGGGTTCAAACCTTGGCTCTACCATTTATTGACTGTGTGCCTTTAGTCAAATTAATGAACTTCTCTAGACCTCAGCTTCCTCACCTGCAAGATGGAATGATGATAATAATAGTAGATAGTTCATGGGGCTGTTACAAGGATTAAAGAATAGATATAGGTAAGTATGTAGGAAACTATATGTGCTCAAAAAATTATTAGTAACTTTATATGCATAAATTTTTTAATTCACTCTCTATATATAACAATGATCAATTAAAAGCATACTTCCATGTTTTCTGTTTCAACTTTTAACAGTCATACAAATATATAATGATAAATAATTCTTTTAGAATGACTGTTAAAAATAAAATTTAAAACTTCAGTCTGTTTTCTTACCTGTCTAAATGCTTATTTCTCCAGCTATATGTTTTTAAAGTAATGATTACACTAGTGATATTCATGAAGTATAAATGCAGTTCAACTAGGTGAAAATCTTTTTGAATACATTTATTACATTTAATATATGTAAGCCACTTACTTGGCCCTTCATAAAAAAATAATGCTTACTATTTTCAACCAGTATATGGGTCAGATTGTTTTTAGACAACTATTTCTCTTTGAATTAAATAAGCAGAGAATTCATTTGCATTTGTGACTTAATTACATTTATTCTGCTCCCAAAATTATAAGTGTTAACTTGCTGCAGTATGTCCACACGAGATATTTTACAACCCATTTGGAAGTCAAATATTTTTTCACAATCAACAAACATTTACTGCATGCCAGTCAGATTTAGGACATCTCTTGGGCTCCAATCAAATTATCCAAAGAACTCAGAACTGAAAGAACATCAGAACATGTTGGACAACTCTCTTCTTTCATAGGTGAGAAAATTGATGTACACAAAATGACTTAAATGCAGGGAAGAGCCAAGATTACTGAATCTAGTCAGGGAGATAATTCAGATTGCAGGCAGATGCTTGGTGTTTTCAGGGTCCCTGTCTTTAAGTTATGGCCAAGTTACTAGAAAACTGGCTTCTCTGTAGAACAGTTAATAGATTTGATTTTAAAGGCATTGTTACAGCCTTTTATAAAGTTGTATTGAAACCTGCAGAAGGTCATGTCTTCAATTCCACTAAAGATACAGCACTAATAATAGACAAAAAAAGAAAATTGGTGATATCCATAGCCCTTTCTAAAGTTTGTGATGGAATCATTATGTTATCCTGATTAAAAAAAAAATTGCTCTCCTTTGGTCAATCTGCCCCAGCTATTATCTGAGAACATCTAATCAAAAAGTGCTGGGCGACATGTTCTAACAAGAAAAGATGCAGTTGTGAGTTATTAGCTGTTGGTTGACCCTTTATTTACAGTAAGGAAAAAAAACAAACTGCAGTAAGATATTCTTTGCAATAAGATATCCTTGAATTCAGGCATATTTCTTGGGCACTGGCAATTTTAAACTTTTAATCAATAAGGATATTTGTATAATCTATCTTCATTTTACTTTATGCTCATTGACAATTAGAGAACAATATTTTCATAAGAGCAAAGAAAAGACTTATTATTCTACCTAATGAATATATCTGTGTAGATGTCAAACCCTAGAATTCTATAGGAAATTTTACTTATTTTTTCCATTCCTTTTTTAATTAAAATTTCTGATTAATTGCCTTAATCTCCAATTCTCTTTGTTGATATAAATTCAACCACAGAATAAGCAGGAATTTAGGAGTACTGCAAATGAAGAGAATTTCCATGCCTCCTTGACTCCAATTTGACAAAACGGTTTTTTTTGATATTTCTTAAGATCTACTTATATCAATCCAATTATTAAAAATAACATGGACACCTAAATACAAATTTGGCAAAATATTTATATTCAAATAATCTTAATATGAACACAATTATTTTGTTACTCTCTCTTCTTTTGCCACACTAGAAAGATAGTACACCATTCCCATCTCTCACAGAACATTTTAAAGATTAAGCTCTCCGGTGCAAAAAAAAAGGTAATATCTTTGGTGGTAATAATTCAGATTCTAGTTTCAATGAGTATCAATGTCAAATATGAAAAAATAATAGAAGGAAGGTGGAGTTTAGGACAGGATGTGGAGTTCATTCCTCTGAACATGAAATAAGAAGGGTCTAAGGAGGACCCAGAGCAGTAGGAAACTTGCTGCTTATTCCTGACAGAATTCCTGAAGGAATGACCCTGAAATTGAAGAGAAGAACGGCTGTGTGGTACAACTGAGAAGCCTGGACTAAAGGCACAAATCAGCCAAAATGAGTTGATTGCTGGATTGACCATTGTTCTTTGGCCTAAGAATAACACAGAAGCAGCAATAAGCTGATAGACCTGAAGGAGCCATTCTCACTGGTATTCAGTATTCATAGACGATTAATGGCTTGAAATTCTCCTACCTTCAAACTATGGCACAATCCTCATTGAGGCTTGGGAAGAAGTTTTGTTTCATTGTTCACTGGCTGTTCAGGCTGTGCTGCAGGACAGAATATTACACGAGTGTAGCCAATGTTAAAAGGAGGTAAATGTCACCCGGGGGTGAAAAAAAAACTGTGTATGATTCAAGGTCTCTGAGAACAGACAACACACACTCCCACCAGGTTCAAGAAGTGCAGCATCTACTCACAGTAAGAGAGGAAAGAGTGCACTAAATCCATCCCTTTGTAATGCATCTGTCTCTCACGGCTAGCAGACTCACACCACAGCCCTCATGGGCAGTGTGGCTTTATATACCCCACTTGGTGCTTCAGTGGAAGGACCTCGACCTCTCCTCTATGGTATCTGAAAAAAAATTGTGGGGAGAGGACATGTCTGAGGACTATTGAAACACCCACTTAAGCAGAACAAAGAACTACACGTTGATTCTGAAACAGCAAAAGATATTCCCACATAAGGCCATAAGCCCAGTACTTCCTGTGTGGGCCCCCTTACCTACTGGTAAGGAAGGGTTCCATGCCCATTCTTATGTGGCCCAGTGGGAGTGAAAAGACAGCACACAGGAGAATGTCTTTCCCAAAAAGCTTCAAAAAGCATAGCTTTTGAATTGATATGCCATCATCAATTTAGCTCTTCTTCTGAATAAATTTGATGTCTCCTGCTGAAGTTGAAACCTAAACACACATTCGGAGATAGCTGAAACTAATAACGAAATAGTTTCCCTCTCTAGTGTTTTTATTCTGGTATTTGCTTTTACTCCTTCTTCTTTACAATCAGCTTCCCCAATTAAAATTTAAAATCCATTCTATTTTCCTAAATATCTTTAACCAGTGTCTGTTCAAAGTGCATGACTAACCTTTATTTAAATGTGATGACCATCTACGTCTATTTTACTTCTTTCACAAACTTCTCTACATCTTCACTGCTTCTACTTCCACTACTTTTACAGTCACTTTTACTTCTCACTAGTTCTCCTTGACATTCTGAAATCAGCTTCGGTTGATGTCGATGGAAGCTAATATGTCAAAAAAGATGTATTTGTACAAAAAGGCCACTGATTACATACACCCACATATCCTAAGAATGTTTTGCTTATTATCAGTGACTCTTTATAACTATCTCTTTTTCTCATTCTTCCTTCGTCATCCTGTTTCTGCTAACCTGTTGATTTTCAAAATGTGTGTGGACACACACACAGCTACACACCTAGACACACACACAGCTGTGTACCTAGACATACACATACACACACATCGAACCAGTTCGTCCATTTTGACTTAGTGATTTACTGGGACTATTTTTATATAAAAAATTTTCAAGACTAATCGTGAATCATAAGTGTCTCTAAACTTATAGGTTCACAAGCTCACACAGTTTTATAGCCATCTAAGCTAATTGCTTGATAGACTGAATTCAGAAAATAAATTGTTAAAATGCTGGTAGTTTAAAAATAGTTTTTGTTACTTTATTCTAGGCTATAATGATTATTTGGAGAGCCTACCTATGCTGGTGGCAGTTACTAGTTATCAATAATTAAGCCCCTTTGGGCTATAAGGGATTAACCACTTCTTAACTTCCTCTGAATCATTTATCTTGAACTCTTTTGCTCTACATTTCCTTTCAGAAAAAAAAAAAGTTCTCTTTCTATCACAGAGCAATATTAATCACATAAGAATAGAAAATCTTCTCATTAAAGCTCTGAAGCTCATTAGAGAAGTTTAAGTTATTCTAACAGTTCTCTGATATTGTTGTATCCATGTAATGAAGAGCACTGACTTCCTTGCCAGTTAATTGTCTTGTAGGAGCTGACCTAAAAACTGAAGTACATGTTCTATGCTGTGAGGAGGATAGAGTTTTAGCTGATTTTATTACAGCAATTAATTAAAAATTTATCTGCCAAAATACTATTCTTCTCTTAGTGCTGTTACATTAGCACATACTTGTAAGCATGTTACAGATATGCTTCGTTTTAATACAACTGATGTGTTTCTGAAAAGTCAGGGGATGGAACTAATCTGAAGTACAGAGATTTCAGACTAAAGGAAATCTACGTAAAATACTTTGTTAACTGAAGCATCCCGAGGTAAACAGCTATCCCTTAACGCGTGTTTTCTTGTAAAATCATTGTGGTAGCACAAAAATAATAATATTCTATAAAGCTGAAAGAATATCAGCAAGACAAAATCTAGAATGTCAGAAAGGAAAGGAAGAAAGCAAAAAGGCAGAAGAAAGAGGACACACAGACTTGGCAATGTAAGGATAGGGACAGGGGAAAGAGAGAAACTCACCTTCAGAAAGCAAGCCCACCTAAAACTGATTAGCAAGGAATTTTGGAAGTCATCTGACGCAATGGTGAGCAATGAGGGAAGCCATTTAAGAAAAGGAAAAAGACTCCCATATTATCTACAAAGTAGAATGTTTACAAATGAAAGATTTCCTCTCTTATGTAGTCCCTGAAGTAGAAAAGGTATTCACGAAGCTGAGTATCAATTTTAAAGTTGCAGGTCTCTCAAACTAAATAGTAAATAGTATGACAAATGTTATTCATTTTTTACATTCCATGGGAACTGCTGGATTAAACAACCTGAACAAGTATAATTTTCCACAAGCTTTTACTTTTCAGAGTTTACGTATGTTAGCATGTATCGTGAATCTTCAACAGAAAGATAAAGCATTTCCCAAATGTAAACCACATAAATTTTTGCTAAAATTATTTCCAGGTATTAAAGATCAGAGCACCAAAAATTACAAACAAAAATTGTACTTAAATATAAATTAAAATGATATGAAGCATAATGACATTAGGATAGTGGAAATAATTCTGTACAACAGCCTGATTAAATTTAATTTAAAATTTCAAGATTTTGAGTACTAGTGGGACTGGACATAAATGGCTGGCGTAGAATAAAATGTCTTTCTTGACAATGCTATGGAGAGGAGACAAAAGGTGCTATGCGCCAACTAGAAAAAGCAATAGTCTTGATTACTTCACGGGTTTCAAAGCATTAAGAAACATGCAAACAAATTAAATCTATAAGGCTATTTGATATCTTCAGATTAAAATTTATGGGAAGGTTCTAGTCACAAGTTTCAATAAGCTAGAGCAGGAAAAATAATAGATAGAAAAGGCTTAAATCCCAAGATGTGCCAAACTTTTGTAGTTTGCTTAGCATATCCCAAAAATCAGGCACTTTATAAAATTTTCTGCATTATTTATAATGTATTATTGCTTCATAAAACACAGTTCAGTATCATGATATATAAGCTACATTATGAAAGCCTTAAACTTTGCAATTACCTAGACCAGATCCTATTTTAATGAACATGTGCCAATGTGATTTGTGATGTTAAGCCAGACTTCTTGTTAAAAACCTAGGTTTTGACTTACACAAATAATGGATAGTGAATTAAAATAAGGAAATTTGATAAGGAGCTAAGGGGTTCAGTTTTGACTATGTTGGTCTGGAGGTTCCTGTGGGACGTTAAGATGGGGATTTTCAGTAAGCAGTTGAATGTTCACATCTGAAATTCAAAAATAAGTTGGTCTAAAGGTAAATATTTAGAATTCATTAAGAATTTATGGTAACTGAAACGAAGGAAGTAGTGAAGATCAGTCAGATGGCCTGTTCAGATGGGCAGTATAGAGTGACATGAGAAGGCACTAAGACCAAAAAAAAAAAGAAGAAAAAAAGAAAAAACCTGAAGAAGAAAAACATTTAATTCTTAGTCAGGGAAAGATAACAATTCTGGCTCACGCCTATGATCCCAGCACGATGGGAGGCCAAGGCGGGTGGATCACAAGGTCAGGAGATCGAGATCAGCCTGGACAACATGGTGAAACCCCATCTCTACTAAAAATACAAAAATTAGGCAGAGATGGTGGTGCATGCCTGTAGTCCCCAATACTCGGGAGGCTGAGGCAGGAGAATTGCTTGAACCCGGGAGACGGAGGTTGCAGTGAGCTGAGATCATGCCACTGCACTCTGACCTGGTCAACAGAGCAAGAATCCATCTTGAAAAAAAAAAAAGAAAGAAAAAAAAGAAAAGAATTCTTTATAGAATAATGACTTAAAGCAGCCAGGCATAGTGCTGCGCACCTTTAGTCCCAGCTACTCAGGAGGCCGAGGCGGGAGGATTGTTTGAGCCCAGGAGTTTGAGTCCAGCTTAGGCAACATAGCAAGACCCTATCTTTAAAAAAATGACTTAAAGCTTCTCTTATATGAAAGTGCAGCATATTATTGGCTTTCATTTCAAGTCCATTTAATCAATACTTGCAAATAACATACACAAACATGACATACACAGACACACACAAATGCAGACTTTATAATTGTGGTTATGGTGTAATAATATCATAATAGCAATAACTTTTATAGAATACATAATATGTGCCCAGCGCTGTGCTGTTTTATATACAGCAAATGATTTAATCTTCATAATAGCCTGTTCCAGTTATTTTTTACCATGTAATAAACTACTTCAAAACTTGGTGTCTTAAAACAACAACCATTATTTTATGGTTAATGAAAGTGGGTCAAGAAATTGAGTTGGGTTATAATAGGTGATACTAGTTCTACATATGAAGTCAGCTGAGATCACCAGATGCTATTCACCTGGTGGATGGGCTGTTATAAAGGATACCAGGAGGCTTAACACACGTGTCTCATGCCTTGCCTGGAATGGCCAAAAAGTTTAGCTCAGCTAGTAATGTTAACCAGAGAATCCACGCGTGGATCTCCAGCATGAGATCCCATGTCTCATGAGTCTCAGAGTAGTCAAACTTCTTATATGATGGCTAAAGGTTCGGAGTAATCAAACTCCTTATGTGGAGGCTAAAGGCTCCAACAGAAAGATTTTTAAGAGCAGCATTCAAAAAGAGATCAGCAAAAGCTTCAGAGCTTCATATGATCTAGCCTCAAAGGTCTCACAATATCACTTCCATTATTGTTTACTGGTTAAGAGTGTCACAAATGCCAGCCCAGACTCAAAGGGATGAATATTAGACTCCATCTTTCAAAAGGAAGAGTAGCAAAGTATTTATAGCAATCTATATTCTACCACAGAGCTCTATTAGGTATGTATGAATATTATCCCTTTTTATAGATAAGAAAACTGAGTCCACTGTGGTTAACAAATTGTCAAGATCTGTTAGTCAACAGCTAAACCAGTATTTAAAGATGGCAATTCTAACTCCAGCGCCTTAGCTCTAAACTGCTGTTTTAGAAATGCTTGATTGTGCAGCCTATTCAAGGAGCTATTTCATTTGTTAATCACTAGATTCAACGTAATTAGGAAAACTATAAAATCTTTGATAACTTGAAAGATATAAAGTAATTTTTTAAAAATATTAATGTATACAGAGCACTCATAGACTTAGCAGAAAATACAAGACTTACTAACACATAGCCCTCAAGAAGTTTATAATTTAGTGGATGGCATGAGAGGTATAAACAGTACAAAATAATTAAAACAGTGTGTGACACAAGTGCTGTAAAATAACCATACAAGGTCAGAGATGGAAAACATCTGAATTTGCTCTAATCTTTATAGAATGTGCTCTCTGCCATGACTATCCTCACAATTCACCACTCAGCCACACAAACCCTGCGAGGTTCAACCTCAAATGCCATATCCTACTGGAGGCATTCCTGAATTGCCAAACTGTGTACAAGCGCTCTATCCTTTAAACCTCTATTGCACACCATTTACATTTATCTCAGGGTACTCTTTTACCACCTTATACACACTTGCCCTTGTCTAATCTCTCCTCTGTTCTCCAGCTCATTTGGCTTACCTTTGACTCTTGTTTAGCCTGTATCCTAAAGAAAAAGAATTAATAATTACTTACAAATTAAAATGACAAAGAGTTATTGGACATCCACTCAATACTTATTTACTGTCTACTATATGCAAGCACTAGAAAATAGCAACATTAATAAAATGGCCAAGCATTTACAGAGTTGACAATGTAGTTATCTATTAGATCTAAATCTAAACATTAAATTTCAAGGATTCACAGCAGTAGAGTTATTGGTAGTCAAGATAATGTCTTAAATCAAATTTAAAGTATAAAAAAATGTACCTAATACATTTTCTTTTTTTGGGGGGGATAGAGTCTCACTCTGTCACCCAGGCTGGAGTGCAGTGGCGTGATCTCAGCTCACTGCAACTTCTGCCTCCCGGGTTGAAGCAATTCTCCTGCCTCAGCCTACCGAGTAGCTGGGACTACAGGTGCATGCCACCACGCCCAGATAATTTTTGTATTTTTAGTAGAGACGGGGTTTCAGCATGTTGACCAGGAAGGTCTTGATCTCTTGACCTCGTGATCCTCCCACCTCGGCCTCCCAAAGTGCTGGGATTACAGGAGTGAGCCACCACTCCCGGCCCCTAACACAAATTTTTAAACTTCATTCTTTACAACTTACAAGGACCTGAACATTCAACTAATCTTACAAGCAGGGCCTATTTTTTGTCCAAGTAGGGGTAAAGCTTTTCCCTCATCATACAGCCATGTTGTTTGCAATTTTTTAAAAGGTAGAACTGGTGAGTAGAAAACTAAGTAGTAGCTCAAGGGCTGAAAATTAATGGTAACATTTGATTGCTAATAGCTTCAGAATATCAACAGTAGATCAATATCCTTATTAACACATATAACTTAAATCCTATTTTACTTGTTTGAATTTGTCACCACTACATTTTTCATTAAAATATATTTTTAAAATATATATTAAAATATATATTTTAAAATTTTTTCATTAAAATATATATTAAAAATATATTTCCATTAAAATGTTTAGCACAGATTTATAAAAATTAAATTTCACTATTTCCAATTCATGATGATTTTGTTGATGCTGTCCTTTATTTAAATCAACAACAGTAATTTTCTAATTTGAAGTAAAAACCAAAATATTCAGGGAATGATGTACATCTTTTGCACATAATACGTTTTTATAATGGTCATGATCAGCTCTATTTTTTCCTCTGTAAGACAGCCAGAACTCAAAGTGACCTACAATGGAGAGAAAATTCACAAATTAAATTCATCTTTTAAACAAAAATCTTTTTGTGTTCATTTCCATAGTCAGTGGACCCTCTCACAGCCACCTCAAGGATTCTTCTAGCTCATTTTCAAAAATCTCAACAACAAATTCAGCCAGAACAAAATATAAAATGATTATAAAGTTTAAAAGGTTAATTTTTTCACAGATAATTGGGTTTTAGCAAGGTACAGCCTTAAGCCAAGATAAATAATTTCTAGCAGAGAAACTTAGACATCAGCTAGTAAGTGAGCATAGTAACAGGTGAAAAGGGCCTTTCTGGATCTGCTGGAGACTTGTGACATACAAAACCCAACATTACATCAAAACATAAGTTTGGTCCTAATAGAAAATTAGAAAATAATCACTATCCTACAAGAATGAACATTACTCTCTTCATTTTAAATATAGTATATCTAATATTAAATTGTAGTTGAAGAATTATTCATTAACAATAAAGGCAGCTTTGTTTAATTTCCCTAGTAAATTCCCTGTCAAAGTTATCTGTACAGGTTATTTCAAAAGAAGACACTTTGTAAGCTATTTAGTAAGCAAAGCTTTTTTAATCTAATTCAGGAAAAGGGTAGATTAAAATGTATTCTGATCTACTAAGAATGTATTTTTCCTTGCAGAATTAGAGGTAGAATCTGGCCCTTTTCCTTCTAAGTGAAACTGACTAGAAACAGATTCACAAGGCATAGGTAAATCACAAGACAGCTTTAATATTGGTCCTATTTTCCCGAGACCAAATAAGTTGAAGAAAATAAGAATGGAGAGACTCTTATCCAATAAAAGATTATTATTTTTCACAGTATAGGCAAGTGTAAAACACAGTCTACAGAAAAATAAGGGTGGTATTATTCGTCCAATTTAAGGGTCCATTCAGAAACCGTATCAATCTTTATCCTTTTCACAAAGAAAAGACTGCACATCATCAGGAAACTTCAATAGGGTCAACAAACAGCACAAACCATAAAGTGGAGAGTATTAGTTGTCTACCAAAAGATACTCTCCTTTTATTCCTGCATGCAGGAATAAATGGAATATTCCAGCCTCCTTTTCATAGTGGACTTCTTTTCCCCATGGAATTTAATGTGATAGGTGTCCCTTATGGACCTAAGTCTTAGGACCGTGTGTATGCTTCCATGTTATCTTTCCCCTTATCACCAGCTGGAATGGCAGCTGACCCTGTCTCTGCCATGCAGAAGATGACAGTCCTAGAGGATAATACTGCAATCAATGGAAAGAACCTTAATTCCTGAATAACTTCATGGAGCAGAATTGAACCATTCAATTTGGATTGTTATGTAAAGGACAAAACCAGTTCTATCTTCTTTAACTTACTGAATCATTGTTCCCTTTGTTACACCCTAATTCAGACTAATACTTCCTGTTAACTGAAACTGTCAAAGAAATACCATCATCAGTACTTCCTTTCATTATCCTTGATCAATATAGGCCTGGCTCCAACTAGGAGTGGCCAAACATTCATATCTCCAAGTATAAGCAATCTTTGACAATGCACAGCTAACAGGTATTCCTACCAATGTAGCCCAAACATGGTAGAACAGCAGTTGTACATAATTAGGTTTCATAATTCCACTTTATATAAAAATTTGGAAATCTCTTATTGCTTAGGGGCAGTCTGGTGACCAACTTTTTAAAAAATATTTATTAGAAAGTAACATGTAGCATTTTAAAAAATCATCTAGATCTTTTTCAACAGGAAAATATACATAACCAGTCTAGATTTTTTTATTTTATTTTAGGGTTCACATGACATATAGGTGAATTGCTTCCAAACTAATTGATATTTCAGGAAATGCCTAGCTTTTCTTTAATAGAGTAAAATGTCTTTTATTACCCAATTCAAGTTAGCTTGAGATAATATTCTGAGAAGTAAAAATAATTTGAATTTATATCCAGTTATAAATGATTGGTTTCAGAAGTTTATCTGAAAACAGTTTTTAGTAGAGGATAGAGTGAGAGAAAAAGTAAAAATGAGACAGGTATTTCTTCAGATGAAATGGTATAATTTATCTACTATTCAATTTTGTTAGGATTGGTTGGCTCCACTGCAAATGAAATAGTAGTAAAAAGAAAAGAAATCAGCAGATAGTTGAAATAGCCAAAGAAGGAAGCAACACAGCATTGTTAACAGGAGATTTGTGATTAAATTTACAGGCTAGAATTAGCTAAACATTGAGTATACATGGACACAAAGAAGAGAACAGCAGACACCAGTGCCTACTTGAGGGTGAGGTGAGAGGAGGAAGAAGGTCAGAAAACTACCTATCGGGTCCTATGCTTATTACCAGGGTGATGAAATAATCTGTACACCAAACCCCCATGACACACAATTTATCTGTATAACAACTCCATATATGTACCCCTAAACCTAAAATGAGAGCTTTTTAAAAAATCAGCTTTATATGGAGGCAGTTAACCACCTTTTATGTTTTTTCTAGGACTTACGCAAGGAGCTCAGTTTCTTCCTCTGAAATTTATCCCACTTGATCTTTGATAGCCGAAATTATTTTGTTAAACTGACAATAATCCAGGATATTTAACATCTCTAAGCCAGTTTTCCCGTCTGTAAAATAACAAAAAATAACACCTACATTATAAATTCATTTTAGGGTTAAGAAAATTATATATGTGGACTGTCAACAAAATTCTTAGCATATATTGATAATTTTTTTTGTTTTTCTTTTCATTCTTTTAACATTACATAAAACGTAAATATTTTCAGATACTTCCTTTGCCTAAGCCAAATACCAGAATCCAATAAAATATTAATAAATACATTACACAATTACTATGAATGCATCAGCTTTGTTTTGCCAAATTTTCATTATTATAATAAAGGCTTAACATTTGAAGTATGCTTACAAATTTATGCCACAATCTTGAAAAGGTTTTACAGATGCAGAAAGTGAAATGCAGATTCATTAAGAAACTTGTCCAAGGTCACACAGCTGGTAAATTGAAGAGCTGGAGTTTTTACACAGGAAATCTAACTCCAGAGCTCATGGAGGTCAATTTTATTTTCATAATAGTCTATCTGGACATAAAATTGCACAGCCCTAATTCTATATTTGCTATCCCACAGTTCTTACAAAGATCCACTTGGCCGGGCGCGGTAGCTCACACCTGTAATCCCAGTACTTTGGGAGGCCAAGGCAGGAGGATCACGAGGTCAGAAGATCGAGACCATCCTGGCTAACACGGTGAAACCCCATCTCTACTAAAAATGCAAAATGTTAGCTGGGCGTGGTGGCGGGCGCCTGTAGTCCCAGCTACTCACAAGGCTGAGGCAGGAGAATGGCGTGAACCCGGAAGACGGAGCTGGCAGTGAGTGGAGATCGCGCCACTGCACTCCAGCGTGGGCGACAGAGTGAGAATCCGTCTCGGGGAAAAAAAAAAAAAAGAAAAAAAAAGAAAAAAAAGATCCACTCTACAGCTGGGTGTGGTGGTGCCCATCTGTAGTCCCAGTATTTGGGAGTGCGACTGTAGTGCGCCATGGTCATGCCTGTGAATAGCCACTGCACTCTACTAGGCAACAGAACCAGTACTCACCTATTAAGTAAATAAATAAAGGTCTGCTCTGAACCTACGTCTTTATAATCCCCTTATTACACACAGCCTTCTATTCACAATTATTTTCATTTCATCTAATATTGGCATTATTATGTTTATCAAATATTGCCACAATTAATCTGAGTCAACTTTCTTAGGGTAAGTATAATAAAGGAGATGTTTTTGAAACTATTAAACTTCAGAACTGAAGGGAGTTAAAAACAAATCTGCAATTTTACTTTTTGCTTCTAAATTGGGCATTACCCTTAACCAATTAGAACAGATTAAACAGCAAGGATTTAAATCTCAGTTACTCTGCCAAGCCCATCATCTTACAAAATTAACTATTTAAATGATGCATTTTATGAACATCAGCTCCACAAAATTATAAGAGAATAAAGTATTTTCTTATATTTTCTTAATGAACAGGGACATTTCATTAAGACGAAATATTGCCTTAATGAACAGGGACATAGTACATTAGGCAAAAGTAGAGAGAGACTAGGCTTTAATTATAAGCTGTCCCGTATTTTATTTTAGCTTTTTTAGGATTATCATTCTATTATTTTCTGGATTTCATTACTAATTTTGAGAAGAAAGGTAACACTCTTATTTTGCCTTTAATTGCTCCTTTGAAGGTAATATATATTGTTTGATTATCTGTTGGCTGTTTTTAAGGTTGCTTTTTTTCATCTTTGGTTTTTGGAAGTTTTATTGTGATGTGACTACATGTGGTTTTCTCTGCCTTTATCCTATTTGGCGTTCTTAGCATTTCCTGTCTTCATATTTTTACTCAATTTTGGAAATTTATTCTGTAGTATCTCTATTATTTTTGCCTCATCTTCTCTCTGATCTTTCTGCTTTGGATCAGATCTTTATCACTAACATAAATTCTTTCAACAGGCTTCTAACTGTCCTCCTGGCCTCTAGTCTTTAAATATACCTTCTTTACAAGATCATACTATTTTCACAATTAGAACATTCAGTGCCTCTAAGATAAAAGTCCAGTGTCCTTAGTAGAGTGTATCTACAAGACCCTCCATGATATGACACCTAGAAATTATCTCAGCAGGCTAGACACAGTGGCTCACGCCTGTAATCCCAACAGTTTGGGAGACCAAGGAGGGTAGATCACTTGAGGACATGAGTTCAAGACCAGCCTGGACAACATGGTGAAACCCCATCTCTACTAAAAATCCAAAAATCCAAAAATTAAAAATTAGCTGGTCATGGTAGCGTGTGCCTGTACTCCTAGCTACCCTGGGGGGCTAAGCAGGAGAATCGCTTGAACCCAGGAGGCAGAGGTTGCAATGAGCTGAGATAGCACCACTGTACTCCAGCCTGAGTGACAGAGCGAGATTTGAGACTCCATCAAAAAAAAAAAAAAAAAAAAAAGCAAATTGTGGCCCTACTGTTTCTAGTTTGTTACTTTAACCCTAAAACAACCTGTTGCTGCTTATAGTTCTGACTCAAATTCATACTAGGTCTTAGCGATACATCTTATCTCTCCTGAGACAGCACTAAAATAAGAACATAAATGCACAAAAATAGAATTAATACGTAACTAAGAAGAATGTAGGAAAGAAGTTTTCAAAAAATGAGGAATAATAACAGATTTCTAACAACTGGAAAATGCAGAACAAACTACTAAACGGAATTAACAGTAAAGATCTAGAAAATAAAATAGAGAACTCTGTTACAGTGTAAAGCAGAAATGCAGAGTCAGAAAGCATGAGGGAACAGATAAAAGACCTATAGAAGTGGTATGGACGCCCCATATCTGAGTAATAGAAACCCAAAAACAACGTGAATACAGAAAATGGAGTAGAAGAAATCAACAGAGAACTGATAGAATCAAATTCTTCCAAGTTGAAAGACATGAGAATTTAAAGTGAAAAATGCCAAGTGGAATGTAAAGACCCCTACCCAGAGATAATCATAAAAGCTTCCAATATTAAAAACAGGTTATCTAAAAATAAATGAGTTATCCAGGTGTGGCTTACACCTGTAGTTCCAGCTACTTGGGAGGCTGAGATGGGAGGATTGCTTGGGTCCAGGAGTTCAAGGCTGCAGTGGGCCATGATCACACCACTGCATTCCAGCCTAGGGGACAGAGTGAGACCCAGGTTCTATTAAAAAAAAGAGAGAGAGAGAAAGGATTAGTTTAAACTTATCACCAACACTGAATGCTAAGAAAATAGACCAAAACCTTACAGTTTTTGAGAAAATATTTTTGACTTAAAAATGATATACACAGTTCAATCACACGCATACAGATACACACACATACACACACACATACACACCAGAATAAAAGCATTTGGTAATATGGTATGTATTTACCACATACCTTTTAAAGAAAATAAATAAAGAAATTAAAGAAAATAAAGAAAAATAAGAAACGAAACAAGAAAAAAAAGAAGAAAATAAAGAGAAGAAAGAAGAGGAGAGACAGGAAAAAAGTGTGGGTCACACCCAGGAAAGCAATGCAGGATATTCCTGTATGGCAGGAAGGATTGATGGTGTCAGGAGGAAGGCATGTGAGAAAAGACCTCCCCATTTGAGAATCACTGGGAGAATGTGTGAAAAACGCAATAAAGACATGTTACCTCTTTAAAACAATAATGTGCTAATATAGTGAAGCCAAAAAAGACAGAGACAGAAAGAAAGAAAAGTTGATGGCTAACCTAAAGAAAATAAAGGAAGAAAGTTGTGTAAAAGGCTACGATACAAATGGAAAAAAATTAAATCTCTGGCATGGTTTTAAGCAATTGATAGTGAGAAAAGAGAATGTATTCTGTCATAGCACAATGCATGACTCAGCATAGTCATAAAAATGTAAATTTCCAGACTTAATTCATGGAGAAAGGGTGAGAGATTTGGTTGCTGTTTAATTTCAAAGTACAAATTATAATAGTCTTAATAAAATAAAACTAGGTTAGCTAATAAATGGTGGGAACTAAGGGAGGTAAAAGGTGGATGAAAGAGTGGGGATGATAATATCTCATAATGTGTTAGGGTATTACTATTATCACAAAAGTAACCTGTGGAAGTAATGAAATGATAAATAACTCTAAACCACCCATAATAAGTATAATATAATTAGTATCATGAAGGAATCACAAAAAGAAATGCAAACGAAGTATTTAAAACTCTAGCCTGGGCAACATGGCAAAACCCTATCTCAACAATTTTTTTTTAATCAGCCAGGTATGGTGGGCTGCACCTGTGGTGCCAGCTAATCAGGAGGCTGAGGTAGGAGGATCAGTTGAGCCATGAGGTCGAGGCTGCAGTGAGCTGTGATCGCACCACTGCACTCCAAGCTGGATGATAGAGTGAGACCCTGTCTCAAAAAAAAAAAAAAAAAAGAAAGAAAATTTTAAAAAGGTATTTAAAAGAGTTCACAGCCGGGAATCCAAACAGCTGTTGAAGAGAAACAGTTCTGTTATTTTTATCGTAAGCTCTTCTAAATTATTTATTATTATGTTTTCATGTACAATATCGATAAATTTTTAAGATAATTTTTGAAGACAGAGATTTAATGACATTTCTTCCATGAAACAATCTGAAGACTTAAGTGGCTTTCTTCTGTACTTCCATAGAACCCACCCAGTACATACCTCCAGTGTGGCACTGATTTTATGCTATACATATGACTGTGTGTTCATCTCCTCCACCAGACTGTGAGTCCCATTGGAGTAGGAACTAAATTTTATTCAACACTCTGTCTTCATCACCTCGTGTAGTATCTTGTACAGAGTAGATAATGATTAAATGTTTAGTTAATGAGTAAATAATCAACCATATTGCACAGTCTATATTAAAGTTAATATTTAAATCCGTTATGGGAATTAATAGATATTCATCAGATACACTACTGAATTCCTTCTTTACATCATTGCATGTTTTAACTTTCTAATAACAGTATAATGGGATAGAGATAATGTAAAGCTACATGTTTCCAAGCCACCAGCATTTTATCAGACACCCCAAACTTGAACCATTAATGTAATATTCAAAATTCTTCACAACTAGATTTTGAACACTATTCTGAAGTTGGTTACAAGTCCATCTGGTTTTAAATCAACTTATCATGTTCAAAAATGTTAATATCTCTCACTAGCTCACAGCATGACACTATCAGCTTTAATTTGGTATTATTTCATAGCAATGTTGCAATTAAAATTTGGTCCACATTGATCAGTAAAAGTTAAAGGGCTAAATTAATTAATGGAAATAGTAAAAGGGCAAAATATTAATATGATGACACAACCTAAATCCTTAGAGTGTAGAGAGGCACTGTTATTTTGAGATTATCCATGTTGATTTGCAGAAGAACAGAAGGAGAAATCTGTGAATAGAACTGAATTTCAACACACAAAATTGTATGTCAACATTTTTTTAAATAATTACTAAAAATGATGACCACAAGTGAGTCTCATTATAGATGTGAAACTTCTGACTAACAGACCTAACAATGACTAAAGACATTACAAATAAGCTGTGAAGAAAATGTACAGCAGCTGTATTAGAACTATGCCTTCCAGGTTGGTGTGTGGATTTATCTCAAAACCTAATAAAAAACCATGACTCATTTTCTGTTAAAGTGCATAAAAAGCTTTATACACCATATCATATCAAGTAGATAATTTTTTAACTTTAAAATATTTTTCTGATAAATGATAAATTTTATTTGAATACATAAGAAACAATATAATATTCAAATAATTCAACATATTTGAATAATATATGGCAACTTAAGATCAATCAAAGCAGTTGGTGACAGGGAATATTCTTATCTTTGGAGGGTTTGCCTGACTTTCAGAGTTCCAACATAAACCCAATCCAGAAATAAAATTAGAGAGTCTTACATTTGCTATTTATAAACCTCCATTACTTACAGTTCACTTGCTCTTGAGAATAAATTTCAGGGTTACACGTAGCAGGTGTTTTGAACTCCATTTTAGATAGACAGAACATGAGAGAGGGTAGAATAAGAAACCAATGTCAAAGTTATTAAGTATTAGAATGAAGTATAGGATTTGGGTCTTTTGAAGTTCTATAGTCTTTCTACTAACTGCTAACTTCCAGCTCTTTTCAGCTACTAAAATACACATATCCTATCAGGTCTCAATTAGGAGTTATTTTGTAAAATACTTAAATGTGTTATGAGCCATGATTATAGCCTACCTGCATTATAAGCATCAAAAGCCCCTTTTATTGTCAAACTGCAGTCCATCAACCATTAGTAGTTGGTAAATAGCTTAGTGAGTCTCAACCAGTAAATTTTTAAATAGAATATAATAGAATAGAAACTATCAGAGTGTATCACAAGTAATAAGGGTATTTTGGAAAATTTTTTGTTTCAGCTGTGTATGTGTGTATGTAGATACATGTATTTGTGGCCTAGGTCATGATGTGTGTTTCTTACTGTGGGTTGAGGGAAGAGCATACTGAAAACTACCACTCTAAGACAGATAACAAGATTAAGAACTTAGGTCAAGTTGGAATTCGTTTACCAAAGTGGTTAATGGGTTACTCAATAGAACTGAGAACTTCACAGGAAGTTTTCAATGAAGGAAGCCTGGGAAAAGAGAAAATTACAGTGCATGGCTGCTGACTAAAATCCTGAGAAGAAGATTGCAGTGGGGAATGTGGAACAACCATAGGGCAGCATGAGTTGCTGAGGACTAGAACTAAGGAAGCTGAAAGCAGTCACACAGAGAAACAGTGATTTGAGTTAGCAATAATTTCACCTCTGTATATTATAGAACTGTGTCAGCCGGGCGCAGTGGCTCACGCCTGTAATCCCAGCACTTTGGGAGGCTGAGGTGGGTGGATCACAGTACAAGAGATCAAGACCATCCTGGCCAACATGGTGAAACCCCATCTCTACTAAAAATACAAAAATTAGCTGGGTGTGGTGGCATGCGCCTGTAGTCCCAGCTACTCAGGAGGCTGAGGCAGGAGAATCACTTGAACCCAGGAGGTGGAGATTGCAGTGAGCTGAGATCATGCCACTGCACTCCAGCCTGGCGACGGAGCAAGACTCCATCTCAAAAATAAAATAAAATAAAATAAAATAAAATAAAATTAAATTAAATTAAATTAAATTAAAAACTGTGTCCAGGGATCCTCTCTTTATGCATATCTAGATATAAAATAAAGATGTTACATCTATATAAAAAGCAAAGATATTAGTTCCTGCCCTTGCTTTCTTCATAAGTGTACCAAGGGATAGGAGCTATGAAAGTGCTTTGAGTTTGTCAAAATAAGTCATTGTGATGGGAGTTACCTGCAGCTCATGAGGAGCTAAAGCTCAGGATCACTTGACCTCTCTATACAGCACAGCCTTAGAGTCATCAGAAAGCCAGTTTTAAAGAAAAGCTTGTATTACTTTATTCTAATAATTTACCATAGTGCTTGGTAGGTCTTCAATTTATGCTTTTCACTTTTCTCTCCCCCTTCTCTCCTTTTTCCCCCCTTTTTACCTTAAATTCCATGACCAATCATTGCAGTGACTCCTTTTTGCATCCCCAATTCCCTTACCTGTCTTGTTCAGAGTCATTTGTCTGAATCACAACCCTGGTTACATATTACTTTCTGTCTTGCTAGTTCTGAAGGCCCTGAAACTAACATGACTTAGGAAAACACACAGCATGTAAACTGGTTTCATTTACATTCATGAGCATGCATTTCATGTATGTCCATAACACTGTCTGGCAATCATATTAAATTTGCCTGGTCTTTTACTCTCCCACTCTTCTTGATGGCGTTTTCATGCCTAATCTTTCCTACTCATATTTCAAGCACTTCCATTATCATGCTCAGTTTTAGCTCGCTTCCTAGTCCATTGAGAAAACTGAAGTAATCAGAAGAGAATACCCACAACCTACAGAATCCATGTACTTTGCTGTCCCCCTGGAATGAAAGATGATTATCAGTACTCCCACCTAAGTCCAACCATCTCACTTGGTCACTTGATCCCATCTCACTTCCTCCAGCAATTCTACCCCTTCTCTCCTATGCCATCAGATTTTACTTTTACCTCTCTACTGTATCATTTCCATCAGCAATTAAACATACTTTTCTCCCATTAAAAAAACCCTCTCTTGGCTCCACCTCCTCTCTAGCTAATGTTTCTTCTCTTGCTTCCCTTTCCACAAACCTGCTCAATAAACTGTCTATACACTATCTCAAATTTTTCTTCCCATTCATTTTTAATCATCACCCAAGAGGCTGTTACCTCCACCATTCTAACAAATCTGTTCTCCTCATGATTACCAATGACCTTCGTATTGCTAAATCCAGTCAATCTTCTCTTCTCATTTTACTTGGCCTATCAGCAACATTTGATGCAATTGATCACCAACACTCCTTTCTTTAGCTAATCAAAAGGGTGATTATTCAGATTATGATGGATGGATCTGTCCTATAGGAGCTGAGAGTGACCTTAGTTGAGAGGCAGCAAGAAAACAGAGGCCACAGTCCTACAACCACAAGGATCTAAATTCCATCAACA
This sequence comes from Homo sapiens, assembly GCF_000001405.40. Taxonomy (NCBI): domain Eukaryota; kingdom Metazoa; phylum Chordata; class Mammalia; order Primates; family Hominidae; genus Homo; species Homo sapiens. Next base: position 28,747,353 of record NC_000014.9, read on the forward strand.
ACCTGAATTCCAGATGAGAACCAGAGCACAGTCAATACCTTCATTTCAGTTTTGTAAGTCTTTGAGCAAAGGACCCAGGTAGTTTGTGTCTAGACTCTTGATCTGACCCACAGAAACTGGAAAAAAAAATAAATTTATGTTGTTTTAAGCCTTAAATGTGTAGTAATTTGTTAGGCACCAACAGAAAACTAATACACTCAGTGATCTCCCCTGGCTAACATATTTGAAATTGCAAGCACTTTTTTTGCACTTCTTATCTCCTTTATTCTTCTCTATTATATTTTTCATGATACTAACGTATTTTGTTATGGTTTCTCCGTCAATTGCAGAAAAGCAAAGGTTTTCATCCATTTGTTCGCTATCTTGTTCAACTACAGTTTCTGGCATGTAGTAAAAGTTCAACAAATATCTCTTGAATGAATAAAACTAGTATTAAGTACATGAATAAGACATAATAGTATTTTTCCTCAGAATACTCAAGTTAATCATTTATATAATTTAAAAAACTAGGTATACAAAATTCTTAGCTATATTTGATATTTAGTTAATAAAACTTTACTTAGTATTTAACTCATTTTAGATATGTAAAATACTAATATTAAAGTAATAAAAATCATTTTGCATTTGTAAATTTGAATACTGTAAACAATAATAAAAATGTTCAATCTTAATTTTGGGCTTACCATTTGCCTGGTACACTTCAAACTATATTCCTTATAAATTTAATGCATTTTATCCTCAGAAAACATTATGAGAGAATTAGCATTATTAACCCCATCTTATATCAAATAAAAATAAGGTACAGAGGTTTAATAATTTACTCAAGTTCACATAGACACAAAGTGATAGATTCAAACCCAGGTTTTAAGTTTCAAGCTCATTACATTTTCAATATCTGAATATGCATAAAACTTACATTTGTGTATAACTAAATATTGTAAATAGGCTAAAAAGACCAATAAAAACTATAAAAGATATTTGAGCCAGATGACAAACGGTTAATATTTTTATCTAGAAAAGCCCTTAAAATTAATAAAAATAGCACAAAAATTCAAATAAGCAATGCACAAAAGACAACAGAAAGATCATAAAAGATGAAATTTAAAATGTAATAAATATTTGTAGAAACTTCTTTCAATCTTGCTGGTACATAAAGAAAAGTACATTAAAGCTAGTTATAGGTATTATATTTCTCCTTTTAAACTGGCAAAAGAAAATTTAAAATTTGGTGAGGGTTCATTAAGACAGATACTTTTTTTTTTTTTTTTTTGAGACAGAGTCTCACTCTGTTGCCCAGGCTGGAGTGCAGTGGTGCAATCTTGGCTCACCGCAACCTCCACCTCCCGGGTTCAAGTGATTCTCCTGCCTAAGCCTACCGAGTAGCTGGGACTACAGGCGCGTTCCGCCACTCCAGGCTAATTTTTTCTATTTTTAGTAGAGACGGGTTTTCACTGTGTTAGCCAGGATGGTCTCGATCTCCTGACCTCGTGATCCACCCGCCTCGGCCTCCCAAAGTGCTGGGATTACAGGTGTGAGCCACCGTGCCCGGCCAAAACAGTCACTTTTATAGATCACTGCAAATGTACACTAATACAATCTTTGTTGCTGTTGTTGTTGTTGTTGTTGTTGTTGTTGTTGTTGTTGCCAGAGTCTCGCTCTGTTGCCCAGGCTGGAGTGCAGTGGCACTATATCAGGTCACTGCACCCTCTGTCTCCTGGGTTCAAGGGATCCTCCTGCCTCAGCCTCCTGAGTAGCTGGGATTACAGGCATGCAACCCTACACCTGGCTAATTTTTGTATTTTTAGTAGGGTTGGGGTTTTGCTGCATTGGCCAGGCTGGTCTTGAACTCCTGACCCCAGATGACACACCTGCCTCGGCCTCCCAAAGTGCTGGGATTACAGGCGTGAGCCACCAAGCCCAGCCACAGTAATGAAATTTTAAAGAAATACAATTCACCAGTATATGGTAAATGTTTATTACAAATTCATACTATGTGATCCCTCCCCACCAAAAAAAAAAAAAAACCTTGCCCTTAAAAAATCTATTATAAATGATCAAAGTTGGAGAAAAAGCTTATGTGCAAAGTTATATATCTCAAGTCATTTTAATAATGAAAAATTAGAAACCACCTAAATGTGAAGCAATGGTTAATGGACAGTGGTTAAATTGTTTATCATTATCCATAGGTTAATATAGATATTTGTAACTATAGGTTTTAAAAATAGTTATGTGGAAATGCTCACAGTATAACAATAATGAACAAAAGGCTGAACACAAAATATACCCACAAGATGATCCAAATTATTTAGAATATAGGTTTTACTTTAATAGATGATTTATGTTTATTTTCTTCTTTATAATATACTAGAAATTTTTTACAGCAAGTCTGTGATATATAAAATCAGAAGTAAACAAAAATTAAAGATATTTCAAGAAATGTGTTAATAAATATAAACATTTCTAATTCATATAAGGATAGGTACGTCATATTTTTAACCCTGTGCTGACCTACATGGTTCACTGAGATGGTGTCATGTCTGCCTAGCAGAAGACGTCTGCATCATAAAAACAAAACTGGAAAGTTCCACACAGAAAAATTTTTCACGGCAAGGATGAAGCTTCTCACCCAGCAACTCAAACTCAGTTTTATATTATAGGGTTTTTTTTTCAGAATTTGGACTATTTTATTTATTTAAATACAAACATATTACTTAGAAGCTGTGTATCTGTAATTGCCACTACCACTTGGTTATTATTTGATTAATATTTTGGTTTCTTCCAAATCAGCTGCATTTTACCTAGGACAAATACCCATTTCAAATAGACCTGGTAGTGAAAAGAAAATCAGGTGATTAAACCTCCCTAGTTATGACTGGTAGTTCCACCACATAAGAAAGGGAAAACTTATTCTATTTGGTCAGTGGTATCTATCAGAGTTTATCTGAGAAGAAAGCAAAAGACATAGTAAGAGAACAGAATAAAAACAAAGAGAAAAGTAAAGATAATAACCAGAGACCATCGTCAATAGCAGCAATAGCAAGGACTTTAGTGGCAGCTATTACAGGGGGTGACAAAGTGATATTCCAACCACAAGGCAATTCAACAGGAGAGATTGGTATAGAAACAAAAGACAAAACGTCTCTTCAGCTGAAAGGTTCAAACACTCATCTGCATCAAACACTTTCATATATCTACTCTATATTCACAAGAAATTTATGAATTCATTAATAAATAACGCATCCAATATTTATATAGCATGCATGGTCCCTGTATAAACTCTAGTTATGCCTCTTTAACTTTACTACAAATGTTCTTAAAAACATGGAATCGCGGCCGGGCGCTGTGGCTCACGCCTGCAATCCCAGCACTTTGGGAGGCCGAGGGGGTGGATCACGAGGTCAGGAAATCGAGACCATCCTGGCTAACACGGTGAAATCCCGTCTCTACTAAAAATACAAAAAATCAGCCGGGCGTGGTGGCGGGCGCCTGTAGTCCCAGCTACTCGGGAGGCTGAAGCGGGAGAATGGCGTGAACCCGGGAGGCGGAGCTTGCAGTGAGCCGAGATCGCGCTACTGCACTCCAGCCTGGGCGACAGAGTGAGACTCCGTCTCAAACAAAACAAAACAAAACAAAACAAAAACATGCAATCGCTACAGTACTTGGGGTAGGAAATAGATATGGAAATGTTACATTCCCTTAAAATGTATTTTACCTATTTACTTGTTTAATGTCTATTTTCCTTAACTGGGAAGTTAGCTTAATAAAGGCAGAAGAGGTTTTTGCCTCCATTATCCAATGCTATATTCTTAGCACCAATAATAATGTCTAGCGTACAGTATGTGTACGCTATGTATTTATTGAACAAATGAGAAAGTTTACAAGTAATTCATGGATTTCATATGATTCTCTATATCTTGTTTACATCAAAGACAAAATGTTTCGTATTTCTTAAGACTAACTGCAACATGTTCAAAAATTTGGTCTATCAGCTGAAGTGTATCTCAATTTGATAATTAAAGAGAAAGTTTACATTTTCATGTAAGCCCTTCCAAATACTCCAGCACACATAAGTGAAAATCAGATATTCTCCTTCATGGCCCATCTGCAAACTTGTAGAAAGTGAGAACCTGAGGCATAAGTGGACGTGAATGGGCCTGGGTTCTATTTTTCCATGCTATAAAAGCCATAAACAGTGTGGTTAATGATGCTCCCATATCTGACTTGAAGCCAGGGTACGGTGGATTCGTGTAAATGCTGAAGGCTAGCTAGCTCTGGTGGCTGAACACCAGTTGAGGGCAGCAGAGAGCTACTTGAGAGAAAATAGATCCAGGAAGGCTTAACAGCTCTCAGCTTAAAGTGCTTGGCTAAGTCCACAGTGTGCTGCTGAAAATGCAGCCGCTTGGAAAACTAGTCCACAGGGTGGCCAGCAAGAATGAAGTAACCAAATGTATTAATGCATAAAGCCAAAAATCCAGGGAGATGGGTAGGAAGCAACACCAGAGAACTGACAATAATTTGGACTCCCATTTCACACAGTTCTCAGGAGCCATTGATTCGGACAATCATCTTACTCCAGAGCTGCTGAATCACAAAATGTCTTAGATTCCCTCCAACTCTAAAATCTTAGTTCCCAAGATAATTAACAAAAATGTTTAGAGTACAACCTTTTTTCCAAAGATTATCCTTCCTGTAGAAAGAATATAAAATTGTTAGTGTTAAGAGGAGAAAATCATACATGAATGAGGAGTAGCAAACACAGACTAGGGGTCCCAAAATTCTTTAAAAGTTGAGATTTCTCAAATATATGCGGTGGAATCCTGGTGAAGTTTAATGAACAGCCTCAGTCAATCCCCTTGTTTCCCAGTTTGAAGGCTCCAACCCTAAAAATGACCAAGTGTAAGTTGCGGCCTGTCCAAAGCCAGGATTCACACTCCTTTTCTGTGTCTTCCTAGTGGAGTGATCTTAAGCAAGTAATTTAGTCTGTCTGGGTCAGCCTCCTCACTTCTAAAATAGAATAATACCTGTGTTTATGAGGTCTGTGAAAAATCTGCAGAATAAAACATGTCTTATGAACTTCGTACAGCATAAGGAATTTTAAATAAAAGTCCAAGTAGTAGGAACTAAGAAGTTTTCTAGGGAACAACAAAAAGGCATCTAAGAAAGAAACCTTTGATATATTTAGAATTTTCCCTGTAACAAACTTGTTTGTTTCTATCAACCCAGGTCAATGTAGATATGATACTCCATATACATATATTTATACACATATGTGTGTATATGTATATACACACACACACTTTATATACAACACACACACGCATGCATGTGTGTGTGTGTGCATGGGTATGTGTGTGTGTCTTCAGCTTCCCTGAGGTCTATATTAAATGCTGAGCATATTTGCATCACGGAGTGATATTTGCCTTCTGTGAACACTCTTATTGCTAAAAGTGTGTAATGATGTTCCTAGTCAGATTGAATTTGGAGACATTTTACTGCATCCTCCTGAAGAAATTTATTCACAGGGACACAGAAGCAGAGAGAAAAATGTGGGCTATCTGCAGCCAGAATACTTTGGCTCTGGTTCCTAATAATAATAATAATAATAATAATAATTAATCATCACCATGAGGATATGGGAACATGTTAGAAAACTTGAATACAGCTGCCTCAGCTTTGTGTTCAGTTTGGTCCTATCTCACATTATGATTTTTCTGGATGGATAGCAAGGGAGAGCTGAGTGCATGCCAATGAGTTAGTAAATGGTGACTAGAGTGTCTGAGATTTTTGTTATTTTTAAAAGCAGAAAAAGGGAAAGAACAAGACAGGAAGATAGAGAAGATGGAGGGCTGGCTCATCAATTCTCATTTCTGATGAGATGCCTAACTAGAGAACTCAGGAGTGATAGAGAAGAGTTGCAAATAACAATGAAGACACCACAAGAGAGTCTTCTCAAATGAAGGTTGATGATTTATTGACTTAAAAATCTTTTGAATTATAAGGGATAGCAGATTCAACTTTCTGATTTTGTGCATAAGAAAACTAAGGTTCAAGAGAAGTGTTGTGACTACCTCAAATTCCCCTAGGTGTTAACAACTTGTATATTTATCTTACTATTCTAGAACTAGCTAGATAGCATGCCAGTGACCAAATTTTATAGTAAAATCTAGGAAATATTGGTGAAAAATAGAATAAACAAAATTGGTTTCCCTTAAAGTTACAAAACATGAATCCATATACCAGTAGTCATCAGCTGCTTTGCTATTAGGAAATTAAACACACACTTCAGCAAGTGCATGCACAAACTACACCCACGCACATGGCCAGCTTACAGTCACAGGGAATGAGAAGAGGTCTACTCTCTCTCTCTCTCTAACATCTTAAATGCCAAGCAAATGCCGAAATTGTTATTCTGAAAAGTTTGGGGCTCTGCAGTCTACCATTGCTAAGATTTTTCCTGTGCCCAGATAGTTCATTTAATCTTTGCTGTAAGAAGAAGAAACAGAATCCATATAGACATAGGAATTCCATTTCTTTGAATTATAAAATATTTTCAGCCAAGGTAATATAGACAGGGCATATATGTGATTACTTAAAACATGGTGTTATTTTTAGTATGTTCCCTGCTATTCACTAGATAATTATCTCCAATCAAAGTGGTTAGTTCAGATAAAAGAAAATATCAAAAATAAATTTTTTTCAATTTTGTTAAGTATTTGTGTAGAAACATATTTAGTGATAATTTGGAAAATTAGGTAAATAAATTGCAACCCCCCTCAAAATAAAATTACTTTTTAGAACTAGTTCCTTGACATGGAATTTAAAGCATTGGAAGAATACTCATAACAAACTTTAATTGCCCTATGTGCAGATTTGAGGTAAAAACCGTTGTCTCTCTATGTCTTATTACCATAATCAAAGCTTAGAATTTTTTTTATTATCAAAAGACTATTGTGTGCCCGACAGACAGTCAAGATTTATTAGAAAAGCCTCCATGGCTCTCCCCTCCAAAAACTCAGTAAACAATCCCACACCTTCACTGCTACTATTGAGCATTATGGGCACTAGATGTCGCTGCTGCTGTTAGAATGAGATTTTCTTCCTGCTTCCCAGCCCCACCTCCCCAAAAATTTTTTCCAAAGATTCTTATGGTTTTTAAAGTTATATTTTAGTGGTAGTGTTGTTGGGAATTTGATGAATGAATGATATTTTATATATTAGTGATTGCAGGTCACTTATTTTCCAGATTAAGAAAAAACTGGAAAGATGAAGTAACTTGCCTAAGGATCCATAGGAAAAGAGTGCTAGAGCCAGAGTCGGGAAAACAGTTCTCGTGTCTACACTTCACCAGCTTTTAAGAAGTAAACGTGTTCCAGCTGTGAACAATGACGATATTCATCTTTTTAAGTCAAAACCCACTGGGTAATATTTATTACCCTTTAAGTCAGTTTCAGTTTGCATTGCCCCTGATGGTCTTCTCCTTGGACACTAGGTATGTATTAATCATGAGGGCAGATGATTTTCCCAGGCTAAATTTACTTGAAAGGGTAAGAAGCCTAATAGACGGTCATTATCTAAATTAAGGTGATTCCGTGCTCCAGAAAATCTCCCCATAGAAGAAAAATGTCAACAAGCTCAGGAGACTCTCCCTCATAAAGTTATTAAAACTAAACAAGCATACACAACACCCACACACAATCCAATACAGAGGAGATCTCCAACCCAGCTTCCCTGTCAATACAAAAGAAAGCCAGTGGAGTTTTCTTCAGAAGCCTGGGGCTAGGAAGGGTGCAGAAGGACTGTGAGGGCAATCCCCAACTGCTTTCACCGACTAAGGTGAGGAGAAAGGAAAGTCATGACTGGGGGAAAAAAAAAAGAAGAAGAAGAAGGCAAGTTAACTAAGAGAGGCAACCAATCTACGCTGAAGCTTCCATAGTCCTGCTCTCTAGAGAAAACCAAAAATTCACCACCCCGCTTGACGGATTGGCAGGCAAGAGAAAGAGGGGAAACTTCACACACTCGCTTAGAGTTGTTGGACCCCTTTTCCAGTCCCCATCTCAAGAAAAGAAGAAGGGGGCAGGGAGGAATGGACGTGCCCTGAAAAGAAAAGAAAAAGGAGCCAACATTGCAGCTAGCCTTGGGAAAATCTCCACAGATGAGCATTTTTGTTGCGTTAAGTGGCCGGCATTAGCAGCCTAAACACGTAGGGGAAGGCTAACATCGCCGTTAATATAATGCGGGAGAGGAATGATAGACCTGGGAGTAGAGAGTGGAAGCGCTAGTTTTGCATAAAACAAAACAAAACATTTCTGAGGACTTAAGCTCCTAGGGGGTTGGGTGGAGTGAATTTAGGGAGCGCCTCAATCCATAGAGGAAGCATGCACCGGGGCATCAGTTTCAGAGGCTTATTTTAAAAATATATATTTATTTCAGCTGCCTTAAAAAATAATTTCACAGTCAGAAAAATAGCTTCTTAGACCATGGTTCTGAGGTCGTCTCTGGGAGGGAGAAGAATCACCTCCGAGATGTCTTTCAAACTCCAGCATTGAGACTAAGAATTGACAAGTAAGGAGGTTCTGGAAGTCAGAATGAAAATGGTCACCTCCATCACCTTCACGAGGCTTCATTTCTCTCACATTTAGGGAGGTAGATGAGATACAGTTAGACGCACATAGAGATAGTGAGAGAGAGAGGGAAAGGGAGAAGGAGAGAGAGGAAAGAGAAAAGGGAAGAAAAAGCAGGGAAAGAAGGAAGGAAGGAAGGAAGGAGGGAAGGAGGGAAAGAGGGAAGGAGGGAAAGAGGGAAGGAGGGAAGGAGGGGACAGGAAGGAAAATTAGAAGAAATGAAACCCAACTGAAGTCTTATGATTAATAACTTTTTTTTTTCAAAACTAAATCAACTCTATCTTCCTCGCCTTTCTAGGAAATCCTCAACTTGAACAATATTCTAAGTGCCCTAAAGCAATTAAAACAAAACTTTGGAGGAGTGGGGCGGGGAGACATTCCTGGAGGGCCAGAGCGGGGATCGCAGCAGAATCTGCAGCACTGGTGTTAAGGAGAATTTGAGCGCTCGAATGCTGTTGTTAAATTTCTTCCCAGAGCCCCATGCTCCCTCGTTTAGCATCTCCCTTCCCCAATAATTACTTGAGAGGATGAGCTCGAGATTGAAGAGTGAGGTTGGCTTTTCTGTGTGAGGAGCCGATAGGATCCACCAACACTAAAATCAAAAAGACTCCTGGTGCTTGCGAGTACAACCCCAAATTCTCTCGCACACTGCCCAAGTTTCTTGAAACTCGGAGGCTCAGCTCAGTGTAAAAACATGGGGGTTCTCCTGAGTCGGTTTCCCTGACCACAGGGGGACCCCTGCAAACACGGCCTCCTCTTTAATACCTTTGTAACTCAGTTCTTCAAGCAACCCACCTAGGAGAATAAAAGGACCCACTGAGCTCCAATAACTGAGTAGATGATTAAATAAAGCCGAGATCTCAGATCTTCGCGTTTGGGGTGGGGAGTGGGGGCGCTGGGGAAAAGTCGGGAATAGCCCCGCGGTACCTGGGGATCCCAGTTGTTTTTTCTAAGAAAGCCCGGGGTTAAAAAATGCATTGGAATGTGGCGATGCCTCCATCAGCCGTCACTTTATAAGTTCCCAAGTCACGCTGCTCTAGACCATTGTGGATGAAAGTGGATTGTCTCTCCAGAACCAAATATTCCCTGACCTGCTTCCCCAACGCGCCCTCACGCTTTCCTGGGAGAGCACAGCGCTGCCGGAGACGCGGCGCTTCTGTCAATTGTGCAGAGCAATTACTAAGAAAATATTGTGACGATGTTGTAGGGCGAAAGGGGACGTGAGGAGGAAAGGGAGGGGGAGTTAGTTTGGAGAGCAATTTGCAAAGGAATATTAACTTTGATTCCCGAGGTCACCGCGGGAAAAGGGGTTCTGGGCTGCAGAGCTCTTCCTCTAGGTGGCGGACTTTGGCACCAAACAACCGCTAGATGAGCGCTGACTTCAAACACAGGATTAAGCTTCTTGCTGGTTAAAAATAATAACAGTAATAATATAGAGGTGTGGGGCTGTTTTTTCCCCCTTTTGGATATTTATTTATTGCAGGGAAAAGTCATTGATTTTCCTAAGCAAACTGTGTTTCTCCTTCACTTGGTGGAAAATAAAAACTGTTTGAATAAATAAGTTATTTCTGAACATTTTGTTGTCAAAGTGTTAAATGTTCCCGTCATTTTTATTCAAACACTAACATGATTACAGCCAATTATATATTCACCAGTGTTCTTTATTTTAGAGTAATTGTACTTGTCACTAATAAAACAGAGGCATAATGGATCGCTACTGTTCTAGATTTTCAAGCAATTTTGTGTAATTTGATTGAATTATACATCTTATCTGCTACTTTTTTATTTTTATATTTGGGGATCCTATTTTCTTGAAAATTGCAGCTCTATGCTTGTTTTGTTGTTTCTCCAGTAACGTACACTTCGGTAACACTGATAAATAGAAAGAGTCCCTTTGAAATGTCAAAAATCAGCTGTTTTTTTCCACACCTCCTCCCTGCTCTTCAGCATGGGGAAGACCTGAACTCTGCGCAGCAAGGGAGCCTGAGCGAGTGGGTGCACTTCCCAGAAAAGTTCAACGTCAAGATAAATTCCCCATTGGCCCCAAAGGCAGTCACCTTCCTGCCTGCATGCAGTCTTTGGGGGCTCTGTCTTTTTCCTGTAATGATACTGTTGGGTGTCTGGGGCTTCAAACATGCTAAGACAAGTAGACCATGGGTTCATTTCATGTGCAATATGTATCAAGGGAAAGAATATATACGGCGGAGCTAAAAGATAAACTGTATTTATTACTCCAATTACACAAACCCCAAAGGTCCTACCTACCAACCCACCCCCCACCCCGACAATTAAAACAATTATCTATTTGCCTATGTTCTTTTGGTTCCAAATATACGGAAAGAACTGGGATCAATACTTTCTCCCCTCCCCCACTTTTAAACCATTTCAATAATTGTTTTAAAAAGATAGGGGGAAAAGATGCACACACCTTCCCATTGTTCACATATCAGAACAATCAAGAAATAAATGTGACAGCAAGCAGACAGACGATATGATATGATCTTAAGGGACCATCTCCAAAACTGAAGGAGCAGAGAATGTGTAATTCTTTTCCCAGTAAATCCTTCCAGTTCCTAGGACAAGACTCAAACGTCCCGCTAGGAGCTGCAGCTGCGAGGTGGAGCCAAAGGCTCTGACAAGTGGCTTGTGTATGACCCAATATTTATCAATAACAACAACAAAATCAAGTGAAACCAAGGCTGCGGATTTTGAAATGCTTCTGCAGCCCTGGCGTGGATATGCACGTGAGCGAAGTAAAAGTCGCTGGAGATGAGTTGGCTCCACTTGTCCGCCCTGGGGAGCAATCCTGGGGCAAAATCCAGTGCTAATTGATCCCAACCAGCCACATTATCAGCTGTAAATGTTCAAGGGGACAAAGAATGAGCATTGTGTACTAAAGATACTCCAAGCATTTTTTCAAGTAAATAGGGACGTGTAATCAGTAGCGTGTGTATGCATATAAATAGGAAAAGAGAATTATTTTTAATTAATTAGGAAAATAATGTTTCATGTGTAATTCCAGAATTCTCTAGCGTCTCCCACTGTCCGACTGTTTTGTGATTGGGACTTCCTCTAGGAAAACCTGCGGGCCCTGTTTTGTGTTTCGAGCGGGAGAGCAGACACTCAGCTCAAATAGAGGCCTTTCTCTCGTCTTTCGGGGTGTTTATTCTATGGCCAAAAGGTAAGATGGCCAAGGCAGCGATCTGAGCGTGATGTCTGGCCCCGCGGGGGGCCCAGGAGGCCCAAGTTGGGACAGCTCCGGAGCTACCCCGGTGCCCCTCAGCTGGGGGAGGGCGCGCGGCAGCCGCCTGCCAGCCCCACAGGCTGCTCTCCAAAGGAGCTGGGCTTTTTCAGCGTTTCTGTTTCCTTGTAGCCTCATCTATCTTATCTAACAAGTTCACGCTCCGGGAGAAAAGAAGAGGGTGAGAAAAAAAAAAAAGAAAGAAAAAAGAAAACCTCTTCACCGCGGTGATTCATAGTTCATAGGCTCCGGAGCCAAACTTGCCGACCCAGCTTTTTTCTCGAACATTACTTTCTCTCCTACGTGCCTTAGGACAAACCCAGAAGGAAGACACTAAAATTGCCGAACAAGAATCTAGGATTGTTTTAAAAATAAAAGTGACCCCCCACAGACACCTTTGATGTTGTTGATTCTGACACAGAGGAGTCGAGTTGTTTTGTTTACACATGCTAACGGTAACTTGCTCCTGATGCCGCTCTACGCGCAGCTTAGTCTGTCTTCTCCTCTCCTCCCCGCAGGCGACTCCTTCCAAAGAGCGAGAGAGAAATACGGGTATTACTGTTATCCCCCACTGGGTTCAATACCCCTTACATGTAATTGAATATTCGAATTAACGTCACCTGCATGCACCCCAGTCTTTTAACTCTGAAATGTGCTTTATAGCAATACAGACTTGAAACCTTTAACTGTTTTCTATATCCCCGCGTTTACCGTGGCAGATGACCTCTTAGCCCAAAATTGATTTGGTGTGTATCCGGTCTTATGTGCCAAAAAAAGAGATACCTAGGCTGAAAAGGCAACTTTAAGGGGGGACATCTAGAGAGATGACGCCTAGAATCAAGGCCTCTGGCTCGATTGCGTTCGGCAAGCGTCTGCAACAAAGGAGCGTCGGGCAAGCTCGCGGGTATGCGCAGGGAGCAGCGGCGCGCAGACCTGGGAGCCCCAGCTCCGCGAAGCTCCTCGAAGGGAACCCTCGCAGTTACAGCCTCAAGAGGCAAGGCAGGGGAGGGAGAAAAGCTGGACCTCTTGAGAAACGCTCCTCCAACAGATTTTCCATGGCCTCGTGTTGGAGAAGGGGCGCGGGGGAGGAGCGAGGGTTGGGGTAGGAAGACCTACTGGAACCGACTCCGGAGAGTGAGGGCCAGGTGGGTGTAAGATGAGCACAAAGTAAAAACTTGCCCATTGGTTTGTCCACGCAGGTTTCTTGAAAGAAGCAGATAGATCTGATTAGTAGATACTACTTTCCCCACGCAAAGGGAGACTTTGGGGTGAAGGGTTCTCTGCGTGCTTCCTGGCTTGCTTACCCCACTCATGAAGTTTTCTCTCCTCTCATTCCTTCAGACCTTTAGTGGGTGCAAGCATTTCCTATAAGATACTTATTAATCTCATATACGGACCTTGAACTGTTCAATGTTTTCCGTGTACATTTAAATATTGAGCGGTGACTAGTTCGAAGGTGACCGGCTAAAAATTGCGAAGGAGTCAGACCTTTCCATCTTTTCTCACACAACTGGAATTTGGGGGACCATTTGGAGGTGTGCTTCAAAAGAGAAGTCTTGGTTCACCCGCCACCCACCCCCACATACACACACACACACCCCTTCTCTAAAAGGTCCTGTAACACTTCCAGAAGAAGATTGAGGCTTCTACTAGAAATCACATTGAAGCTCCAACTAAGTAAGAACAATGATGGGATAGTTAGGAGTTCCAGCTCTTAAGAGTTCAGCATTTTTAGCCCTGTAAGTTTTTCTTTCAGCTTGATATATAGATATATCTATATATAGATATATATATATATATAGATATATATAGTTATTTTCTTTTTTCCTGTTTTGGTGCCCCACTGATGGAAAATCCGAGGTAATATTGTTTGTGGGCTGGCTTTTGCCAAGTCTCACTTTCTTCCTTATGGGATAGAGCTGGGGGTTAAAACTAAGAACCTGAGCTCTAGCCTCCTTCATTCTAGTTCACCAACACCCCTTCAGCTCTTTGTTTTGTTTTGTTGTGCTGTGTTATGGTTGTTTGTGGAGCTTCCCCTATCTCCTTTGAAAGACTGACTACACCATTTCCTTGGGTAACTAGAGGAAAAATAGGAATCGGCCTCTCAGGGGCACTTCCCCAGGCTGTGTGGGACCATTTCTCACAACTGGATCAGGTCTAAAAATGGAACAGGTCCGCCCTCACACTATCAGGGACTCAAGTCCTTCAGCAAATCACTCACCCTCTGGAGGGCACTGGCAAAGAACGCGAAACAAGTAAAAGGGTAGTGGACATTATGTTTACAATGTTTACAAGAGATGTACAGAGTATTCGACTGAGAAGTTTTTCCAGAGACTAAAGTCCCTTGGCCCTCTGGTGGTATTTCGTCATGGATCTTTCCACGCCTGGCTCTCCCTTGGCTAATGTCGGGACAAAGCTTCTCCCATGCACATTTTGCTGAAGATCACGGGACTTTTCTTTTGGCTGCGTACGTACTTGGCTTCAGAGAGCCTGGAACACCTGGCAGCGTCACAGAGACTTGCCTGGAGAGTCCCAGGGGTCTCTGTCAAGGCCTTCTCCTCATCCTTGTCCTCTTCCTCCTCCTGCTCCTCTTCTTCGCCTTGGACTTTCTCCCTTTTAAAGTGGCTCCCTAGCTTACACAAGCTAAACATTTCCACTCTCATAGACGAGGCTCTCCCATAGATTTTTTTACTCGAGGTTCTCAAGCAAAATTGCCGGTGCCACAATGTTATGATGGAAGGATGCTGAAATGACAGGCCTAGTAGACGCTTGTCTTAATCATCGGCTTCTTAATTTAGTTTTAGTGCTGTGTGTGTGTGTGTGTGTGTATGTGTGTGTGTGTACACACACGCGCGAATGTGCGCGCCCCCGGGGACGTTGAGGGTGCGCGTGCGCGCGCTGAGAGCAGCCACTGACAACCTGCAGCTCCCTAATGAGTGACGAGGCAGGGCTGCTGCAGAAAAGTAACACTTCCCTGGTGTGAAGACCTCTTACTGAGAAGTTTAGTTCACTACTGTTCTCGCAAACCTAATCGTATAACCTGTAACCAAAACCCACAGAACGAGGATACAACACGCTAAAGAGTAACTTCTAATCACTAAATGTTAGCACCATTACCTGCTGTTAGGAAGATATTATAGACGAGTTGGCTCCAGCGAGGGCAGACCTCACCTGCCACAGGATCTCTGGAAATACCTGGATGCCTCTGTATGGGATCTCCTCACTCCCAAACGTCACAAGGTCAGAAATTCTCTGTGCATCTGCAGGAAGAGAACTTTAGCTAGAGCTTGGCGCTGGGTGCCACTCCAAGGACACCCTGTCCAGGGAATGGAGAGCAGAGTGGATTTTAGGTAAATGGGGCCCACCTTCCTTTAACCAGCAGCTAGCAAGAAGAAAAGAGGCGGATCACTGACTGAAAACAGGAAAGAGGCCCTAAAGAATACTTAAATAACACCGCCAAATGGAAAAATGAAATGTTCTGCTCCCTACTCGGATGAAGTATGCTGTGTAGCCTTGGTTATTAATTAAAACTCCAGAAGGAATAATCTAATTCATTTCCTAACCAATTCTTCCATTGGAACTGCTCACTCTTTACGGGGCCTGACCTCTTTGGGAGAGCTGGGGGACTGCAGACAGAGCAAGAGAGAAGTTTACTGTGATATATACCAGAAAATTACATTTACTTTGACTTCTGCTTTTATTCATTAATAGTACACATTTGTAGATGTCTGTGTGAGAGATCAAGGTTAGATCCATCATGAGAAAAAAATTAGAATGATAGAGAATTTGTTTCAGGTCTGAGACAACTGAATTCCCTCTGTCTTCTGAAGGTAATCACGGTGACTGAGTGGGGCTGAAGATTGGGCTTCCAGTGCTTAGGGAAGAGGCCCGAGGTGGACAGAGGCAGGCCTTCAAATCCAATTTGCACCCAAATTGGCTGGTAGGATATACAAAGCCCCATCCAGAGACTTTCAACTTGCACAATACTCTGTCCAGGACCCCCCTCCCCCTCCATTTCAAATAGTAGCAGTTCTTTAAAAAAGCTATTGCTGAGACAAACACGGGGTGCTGAGTAAACAGTGCATGTTTTGTTGAACAAGCTATATATATATACATATATACACACACACACATATATATGTGTGTGAGTATATATATATATCACCATCTCGACATAAAGTGCAATTGAAATTATTAAAAGGAATTAAAACTCACTTCTTGCCAGATTACAAATAACTTTTGTCATTAGGAAGAATAGATTTTTAAATATTACATTAAACTATATACTATTTATGCCCATAAGAATATCCTATTTTGAGAGACTTGCATTCATGCAATCCTTAAACTATATAACATAGCCTTAATTTGAATGAAAAACATTTTCCCAGTCAATATGAGCTCCTAGCATATAAAATCAGATTATTACAGTGCTCATTAGCAAACCCCAGTTTTTGCTATTTGAAAGTAAACAGAAGAAAAACTTATTTCCACCTGCTAAAATTTTATACAGGATTACAAAACAATGCACGCTCAGATTTGACCTAAGAAACACCTTAAAACATTAAAAATTCATCAGTCAGAGCTGGTGTTGTATTGAAGGAAAGCTCCTCCAGTTTGCTGCTGAGCTCGGATTTGAATAAAATGTCCAATGTTAACAAACAATACCCACGTTTGGCACTTTGTGTATTAAATTGATCAAACAGATTTTAGGAGGCACAATGCACAATTTGTACAGACCTGATTGAGTTAATATAATATCAGCAAATTTTACATCGAAATGATTCTGTTTCTTTTCTTTGTGTTTAAAACCAGCACAGATTACAAATTTTAATGATCTGAAAATGTTTGGTATACAAAATCATGCTTATTTCAGTATTAGCAAAAACACAAGAAATTTTTCAACACAAACACCCAGCTGTGTCTATTTTAAAAGCAGTTCAATGACAGCTTGCACTTATGAGCATGCAATCAGCTAATTTCGTTTTTTTTTTCTTCTGTGTTAATCAACACTTTCCTTCCTGCATATCAGAGTACAAATAGTATAGTTACTCCACATCAGTAAATGTTTACGTAACCTGTCCTTTCCCAAGAATCCGGTTACACCGAATCATTTCACGCTAGACCGACTACGAAAACGTACCGGGCCGTCCACCTCAGAGGGAGCCCTGTGTGCCATTATAAGTGGTGGTGAGAAGGGGGGCTGTAAGAGGAGAAATTGGGAGGAGTAGGTGGAGGAATGGAGAGACAGAGGAATGGAGGGTGGGGGGAAGGGGCGGGGGGAGCTAAGGGAGAAGGAGGGAGGAGGGAGGAAGGAGAGTTGAGGAAAAGTAGGAAGAACGGGCCTGAAGAGGGGAGAAGAGTGGGAGGAGGAAAAGTGAGTAGGAAGGGGAAGGCCCACAAATCTCTCCAGCCGGTAGGCAAAGCCCATTAGCTCACCCGGCCCTGCGAGAAATCCAGAGCTTGGAAATAAATGTTTGGGACCATGTCACTATCAACACTGATTGTTGGAACCCTTGAATTTTTCCACATGTAAATACAGTTTGTTTTAAAGTGAGAAGATATGTAGACATAGGTAAAGATACATACATACAGTGGAAGGACATTTGAGGTTAGTCCAATATTCAAAGCTCCTTTGTGGCATTCCTAATAGATGCATATTTAAAATTCACTAGCTATTTGTAATTATCTATTATTCTCTCCAGTTTCCTCCCCCCCCCCCAACCTTTTCTCTCTTTCTCTTTCTTAAGACTGGGGGTGGGGAGGATGGAATAACCCCCTATTATCCTGAGTATTCATCAACCGCATTCTTTATGTTACAATTTAACTTTAGGATCAAGCATAAGCACCAATTTTCCTTCCTTCGTTTTCTTAAATACCAAATCTGCCAGATATCTTAATGAAAGTTTATCCAAGTGAAGAAATGCTTACATTTTATAATTATTTACCTTCTAGAGGAAGGAAAAGGTGCCTTTCATTTATGCTTCTCCACCTCCCTCTTCTCTGGGGCTACATCCTCCGTAAAATGTGGTATGTTTCGTGCCCATGTGGGATGAAACAGCCTTTGATCAATGTGCTCCCCACTAAATTCCAATCCCTGGGAAATGCTGGGCCTTAGCCCTGCCCCTGGCCACGGGATCCTTTTAAAGCCCCCGATTCGCAATTTCCCCATTCACTTCAACCTCCAACCGAACCTTCCCAGTTCCAAAGCCCAAGAAGCTGGGACTGTGAGATCCACGTTCCCAAGGCTCCCCGGTGCTTTCCAGCAGCACTCAGGGTTGGCAAGAGCTGGCTTCAGTATACTGTTATTTCAGGAATGAGGCCCGCACAAAATAAAAGCATTTGAGAAACGGAAAGGAAAAAAAAGGAGTGAAAATAGGAAGGCTTAAAAAAAAAACCGGAAAGAAATAGACGCCCACCCTTATTTTCCCTCCAATGTCAACAAGCAAAACGAAAATATTTCCAGGGTGATCGCTCGCAGCTACCCGCTTCCAATTCGGATTAGAAGCTGAGGCTGGAGCGGCGAGGAGAAAACGACATCGAGTCACCCCGCGCGTGAGCGACGCTCTGGAGCAGGAGAGAAGGAAAAGGAAGAGACACACGTATATAGCATGTGTTACCTGATTTATTTCGAGATTGTTTGGTACTGTTTTCTCTCTGGGCACCTCTCATTTCGGAAGGCCATCAGAGGCGCCCACTACTGAGCGGCCCCGGCCGCCGCAGCAGCACCCGGAGCCCCAGTCCCGGTTTCCCCGCGGTGCCGGAGCCCGGAGCTCGCCGCCGCCCAGGCCTCAGGAATCGAGTAAGTAACCCCTGTTTGGCCCCGCGCTCCTCTGCCCACTTCCTCCTCCTCATCTCATCGCTCCCAAAGCTCTCCCACACCCTCCTCCCCCGAAGTAAAGGACACCCCCGCACACACGCCAGCGGTGGGCCTTATCTCCCCCCTTATCCAAAGCTGCGCTAGACTATTACCTACAAAGGGCACAATTTTCCTGCTGGCTCAGAAATGCCAGACACTGGCCTGCAAGGCCGACTCGGAAAAGTAGTGCCTCGCCTCTACCTCCTCCATTTCCTGCCCTCTCGCATCCTCTCCCTGCACTCCCACTCTTCCCACTACCACCACCACCCCCGCTTTCAAAAATAAAATTGGATACAAACTTTAATCACTAAGGACAAATATTGACGCTTAAACGAAAATGACCCAGTACAATGAGGAGGAAGCCGGAAATGTGAGCTATTGGCCCTAGGAGGGGAATTTCGGTGGAGCGGAGCCGGCGGGGTGGAGGGGGTGGCGGGGGCGCAGGGAAGGGCTGCGGCACCGCGTGCTCCCGCCGGCGTATCCCTACGCGGCTCCGCGCGGCCTCGGGGTCCGAGGCCCGCGGAGAGGGGGAGGCGAGCGCCCGAGGGGGCGGCAGCCGGCGGGCGGGGCGGGGGTGGGTGGGCCCGGCCCCTCCGATTGGTCGACGGCGAGAGAGACGCTCCCGCACGCCGCCAGCTCTGATTGGCCCAGCGGTAGGAAAGGTTAAACCAAAAATTTTTTTACAGCCCTAGTGTGCGCCTGTAGCTCGGAAAATTAATTGTGGCTATAGCCGCCTCGATCGCTGTCTCCCCAGCCTCGCCGCGGCCGCTCCGGGACGCGCCCGCCCGCCGCCCGGCTCTCCCCCCCTTTGGGCTGCTGCTGCTGCTGCTGTGACTGCTGCTGCGAGAGGAGGAGGAGGAGGAGGAAGCAGCGGGGGGGGGAGCGGGGGGTGGGGGGGGAGACCAAGAAGTACAGTTGGGAGCGAGGGAGCTTCACCCCCGGGGCGGTGGTTGTTTCTTTTTTCTTTCTTTCTTTTTTCTTTTCCTTTTTTTTTTTTTTTCTAATTCCTGAGGGGTGGTTGCTGCTTTTGCTACATGACTTGCCAGCGCCCGAGCCTGCGGTCCAACTGCGCTGCTGCCGGAGCGCTCAGTGCCGCCGCTGCCGCCCGCGCCCCCCGCGCCCCGTTCGGCACCCACCGGTCGCCGCCGCCCGCCGCGCCGCTGTCCCGCTCCCGCGCCGCCGCCGCCGTTTCCCCCCGACGACTGGGTGATGCTGGACATGGGAGATAGGAAAGAGGTGAAAATGATCCCCAAGTCCTCGTTCAGCATCAACAGCCTGGTGCCCGAGGCGGTCCAGAACGACAACCACCACGCGAGCCACGGCCACCACAACAGCCACCACCCCCAGCACCACCACCACCACCACCACCATCACCACCACCCGCCGCCGCCCGCCCCGCAACCGCCGCCGCCGCCGCAGCAGCAGCAGCCGCCGCCGCCGCCGCCCCCGGCACCGCAGCCCCCCCAGACGCGGGGCGCCCCGGCCGCCGACGACGACAAGGGCCCCCAGCAGCTGCTGCTCCCGCCGCCGCCACCGCCACCACCGGCCGCCGCCCTGGACGGGGCTAAAGCGGACGGGCTGGGCGGCAAGGGCGAGCCGGGCGGCGGGCCGGGGGAGCTGGCGCCCGTCGGGCCGGACGAGAAGGAGAAGGGCGCCGGCGCCGGGGGGGAGGAGAAGAAGGGGGCGGGCGAGGGCGGCAAGGACGGGGAGGGGGGCAAGGAGGGCGAGAAGAAGAACGGCAAGTACGAGAAGCCGCCGTTCAGCTACAACGCGCTCATCATGATGGCCATCCGGCAGAGCCCCGAGAAGCGGCTCACGCTCAACGGCATCTACGAGTTCATCATGAAGAACTTCCCTTACTACCGCGAGAACAAGCAGGGCTGGCAGAACTCCATCCGCCACAATCTGTCCCTCAACAAGTGCTTCGTGAAGGTGCCGCGCCACTACGACGACCCGGGCAAGGGCAACTACTGGATGCTGGACCCGTCGAGCGACGACGTGTTCATCGGCGGCACCACGGGCAAGCTGCGGCGCCGCTCCACCACCTCGCGGGCCAAGCTGGCCTTCAAGCGCGGTGCGCGCCTCACCTCCACCGGCCTCACCTTCATGGACCGCGCCGGCTCCCTCTACTGGCCCATGTCGCCCTTCCTGTCCCTGCACCACCCCCGCGCCAGCAGCACTTTGAGTTACAACGGCACCACGTCGGCCTACCCCAGCCACCCCATGCCCTACAGCTCCGTGTTGACTCAGAACTCGCTGGGCAACAACCACTCCTTCTCCACCGCCAACGGCCTGAGCGTGGACCGGCTGGTCAACGGGGAGATCCCGTACGCCACGCACCACCTCACGGCCGCCGCGCTAGCCGCCTCGGTGCCCTGCGGCCTGTCGGTGCCCTGCTCTGGGACCTACTCCCTCAACCCCTGCTCCGTCAACCTGCTCGCGGGCCAGACCAGTTACTTTTTCCCCCACGTCCCGCACCCGTCAATGACTTCGCAGAGCAGCACGTCCATGAGCGCCAGGGCCGCGTCCTCCTCCACGTCGCCGCAGGCCCCCTCGACCCTGCCCTGTGAGTCTTTAAGACCCTCTTTGCCAAGTTTTACGACGGGACTGTCTGGGGGACTGTCTGATTATTTCACACATCAAAATCAGGGGTCTTCTTCCAACCCTTTAATACATTAACATCCCTGGGACCAGACTGTAAGTGAACGTTTTACACACATTTGCATTGTAAATGATAATTAAAAAAATAAGTCCAGGTATTTTTTATTAAGCCCCCCCCTCCCATTTCTGTACGTTTGTTCAGTCTCTAGGGTTGTTTATTATTCTAACAAGGTGTGGAGTGTCAGCGAGGTGCAATGTGGGGAGAATACATTGTAGAATATAAGGTTTGGAAGTCAAATTATAGTAGAATGTGTATCTAAATAGTGACTGCTTTGCCATTTCATTCAAACCTGACAAGTCTATCTCTAAGAGCCGCCAGATTTCCATGTGTGCAGTATTATAAGTTATCATGGAACTATATGGTGGACGCAGACCTTGAGAACAACCTAAATTATGGGGAGAATTTTAAAATGTTAAACTGTAATTTGTATTTAAAAAGCATTCGTAGTAAAGGTGCCCAAGAAATTATTTTGGCCATTTATTGTTTTGTCCTTTTCTTTAAAGAACTGTTTTTTTTTCTTTTGTTTACTTTTAGACCAAAGATTGGGTTCTAGAAAATGCACTTGGTATACTAAGTATTAAAACAAACAAAAAGGAAAGTTGTTTCAGTTGGCAACACTGCCCATTCAATTGAATCAGAAGGGGACAAAATTAACGATTGCCTTCAGTTTGTGTTGTGTATATTTTGATGTATGTGGTCACTAACAGGTCACTTTTATTTTTTCTAAATGTAGTGAAATGTTAATACCTATTGTACTTATAGGTAAACCTTGCAAATATGTAACCTGTGTTGCGCAAATGCCGCATAAATTTGAGTGATTGTTAATGTTGTCTTAAAATTTCTTGATTGTGATACTGTGGTCATATGCCCGTGTTTGTCACTTACAAAAATGTTTACTATGAACACACAGAAATAAAAAATAGGCTAAATTCATATATATCTTGATACTTTTGTCTCTTTTATTAAGTAGAGCTAATTTTTTAAAGACCAATCAACTTATAGGGAATTCAAAGGCTTTTTCAGCCAAACTAAAATTTAAACTGCTCCTTTAATTTGAACTGACTCTAAAAATGAAAATAGTATTTTTCCCTTTGTGAACAAATTTTACAAGGAGCAGCCTATTTAATAAACACTAGCTTTAAACAAAGTATAGGCTTTTCAGCTGATACCTGTAAGTTTCTGTGGATATACAGCAAAAAGAGATATAATTTAATTTTCTGTGCATAGCTCTTTACCCTGTGTTTATTTCCAAATCCATTAATAGAATGCCATTTATATATTTTGTTTCAGGTATATTGTTAATAGAGCTTGGCAAATTATAAATAAATATATGTATATGGTTAGATAGAAGTGACTATAATGCACACATATGTAATATATATAGACACACAGAGCCCTTCAGTTCAGGTACAATTTGCGCTATGAATGCTGCAAACATTTTTGTTTAAATATTTGTATTTATACTTTCTAAGTCAGCATTTATTTTTGTGGCTGTTTACCCACAATGAAAGAGTTCTAATAAAGATGTGCTGAAGTTGCAATATAGATTTTGCTGAAGTGATCACCTGTTTAATGACTTGCAGATCAATGTTTATATTTTATTTTAAAATTATAACAATTTAGAATTCTAGATATTCAGAAGTAAAATGCCTCTTTTTTTAATTTTTACAATGTAGAGGTATTTATTTGATTCCCTTTTAAATGTCTGTGTAATTCAATCTAGAGATTTGTTCCTTTTGTTTAGTCATAATTTTAACTTTCCATATGCATATGTATGCATATACTGTATATGCGTATATATGTGAGACAAAATGAAAACATTTTTTGAATTGTTTCAGGCAGCCCAATCGCTATAATTGCAGAAAATAATTAGAAAACCTTAGTAAAAGGTTTAGTAACTAATTGGATCCTGTGGTGAATCTGTGGAGGACAAGTTGTTCATTTGTTACAATTGTATAGTCTGAAATGTGTTCTGCAGTATTGGAATAAGCTGGTTACTTCTTACAATGGGCCCAGTGAAAAATAATCTGGCCCTAAGATGTTATCAGCAAACACTTAGACAGTTGCTCAGGGGGAGGAAAAAAAAAAAAAGCCTAAGGGAGAAGCAAGCTTACTGGAATAGATTTGAAACTGAAATGCTGAATACTTAATATTGGAAAATAGAAGGGGGTGGACTGTGGAGTGGAGAGAGGGAAAGAGAGAGAGAGAGGATCTTTATGGTGAAAAAATAATTACCACCAAAAAGAATGCATGAGAGAGAGAGACATAAGGTGAATGATAGAGAGAGAGAAAGGCCTAAGAAAAATATATAAGGGCCAGGAAAATTAAAAGAGCTGGAACCAAATATACACAAATGGGGAATGGACAAAAATAAGCCAAGACAGCTAGTTTAATTATCTCCTTTAAGCAATTAGACATGATTTTATTTTCTTAGTATAAAAACAGTTTCACCAGAGGTCCAAATTTTCTTGAAATTTAAGTTCTTCAGAATGAAGCATAAAAATATTTCACAAAAAATTATTGTGTTAAAAGTCAAATTTATGGCTGATATTAAAAATAGTAATAAAGTCCAAGTGAATGGTTTTATGCAAAGGAAATCCCCATTACACATTTTGAACCAAAATAGCTCAAAGAGAGACATGTGTCCAAGCTGAAAAAAAGGTGATGATTTATTGTTTGCTTTTGCCATGGATTTTATTTGTGGAATAAGAATGTATTATCACAGGGGAAACATAGAATTTTGCTTACCAAACGTTAAAAAGAAAGTTGAACTCTTGTGCTAAGGTAAAGGGGTATAGATATAGAAGAAAGTTTTCCTGCATGAGTATTTTTTTTGGCCACATTAAATAAGTATACTTATTTGTATTTATAAGTGTTTATTTGGGTGACAGATAAATAGAATTTTAATGGCAAACATCATACTTTGAAGTCAAGAGTAAAACTGATTTCTTTGAATTCATAGAAACGAAGTATTGGAGTGGGAGTTCTGCTTGGACCCATGTCCAAATTACATATAATGGATATGACTAGAAGTTTGTTAGGTGTACTAGACACGAAGGTGGATATATGGAGAGAGAACTTTGTAAAGGCTTCCTGAAGCCCAATATGAACATCTCATTTCCCTTGATCTATCTTATCATCCCTCAACTTATCTTCTCAAAAAACACATGACAGTCTGGCATGGCATATAATACATTTTTGCATCGAACGGGTTGTAATGTTGTGTTATTTGTTGTCTCCAACTTTGACCGTTAAAATTAGTTTATGTCAGAAATACACTTCAAAACTTTTGAGGATTATTTTCTTTCATATTATAATTGTTTTTAATAAGATGAAGGTTGTCCTTTGTGAAATTTTGGAACTGAAACTGATCACAACTTAAAACTTGAAATCCCAAATTAAAGTTTATTTCCAGGTTTAAAGTATTTTACTTGAATTTGTCTGTTGTAAAGTTAACAAAAAATATTAATATGTAAAACACTGAGAAAATGATGTAATTGAACTAGAGGAGTTAAAGTATTATTTCAAATATGTTTCTTCAGCCTGTTACAAAATTGGGAACCAAGTGAACATGAAGTCTAGAACTAACAAGGTTTAATACAAATATCCTTATGGTCATGGAAGCCTTCATGTAGTTTATGTGACTTGCATAAAATCAAAGGCAGAGAGGCAAAAATTTAGTCTCATAGTGTATTGATTTTAATATATATTTAAGTTGGTGCATATTTCACCCAAATACGTGGATAAATTCAATATATTTAGAAGTCTATAGAAGTGTAGTTTTTTAAAAAGTGTATTTTCTACAACATTGTTGAGGAATTTGCATGCACTGGGAAAATTTTGGTTTTGAGAAATTAATTTTATGAACAGCTAAAGTGGTTGGTTGTGTTTGAGACTAAAAGCCTGTTGGAGAATTAGACTAACAAAGGGTGAAGGTGAAGATCATTAGAGGTTTTAGAACTGGCTGAGATGGGTTGCTGGGGTTGTGTAACTGTGCCTAGAGGGCGGGGTTCCTGTACATTCCTACTTCACCAGATAACCTGCCCCCAACACCACTTCAGCTTCTGCCAGACAGATGGAACTCTCCAGCATGAAAATCTGCGCAGCCATTCCAACAAGCAGGGTAGGTGAAACTTGAATTAAAATTCTCCCCTCTTTATTTTTCTACTTAAGTCCAGATCCTGGAGATATGGAAAGAATAGAGGTCATCTAGATTCTCTCTTTTGGGCACACACGTCTGCATTCTTCCTAAGAGCTACCTACCTGTAAGAGTTAAAAGGTGCTAGAGATCTTTCCCAGTTAGTACTTCATGCTAGATTTTCTTTTGCGTGCATTTTTTTTTTTTTTTTAAGATTTCTTTTCTCTATACCAATCATTCCCCTTTTCTATTCTCCCTTCAGGGCCCTTTCCCCTCAATCACTAGCAGTTAAAATAACCCACCTCAGATTTTGGCTCCCAAAGGCACCCATTCCCCACCCTAGCGGTCAGTTCTAGGGACCTTATCCTGAGGATGTAGGCCAAGGGGGCTCCAGGCTGGCAAATAGATGATGTATTGTTATGTTTTGTGCCTCTTGTCTCCCTCCCGATTTCTACTGTGTTTTGTTTTTGTTTTTCCCCACCACCTAAGGCTCTGCCTGAGGTTGTCCGAAGGATGCCGAGGAAAAGGATATCAGGACTGGAATGGCTCTTACAGCAAGATCCGTAAGTGAAAGTGCTTTTCAGAGGGGAAGGGGTAGGGTAGGGAATATGTGTAACTGACTGCTTTGGACTGAGTTTTAACGCCTGACTTTGGGGTCCTGGCCTTAAGTGTTCATCTTTTCTTAGAAAATGTTAGCAGGCTCGCTACCAACAGACGTAGCTGAAAGGATGCATAATTTTTTTCCACGTTGACAGAAATCACGGTGAATCCCCAGGTCAAAAGGATGTAGACACGGCAAAGGAACATGGAGAGAAAACGAGAAAAAATTATACGGAGAAGGGGTAGTGGGAGACTGAAATAGGTCCTAAAGTGTAAATTAATTCATTTCGTGGAAATATGATTTCTGAGTCTTATGGTTGCTACAGGAACTTCCGGGACGTTCTTAACGCTCAAAGACAGGTTTATTAGCTATCCTTATTTCAGTTAAAGCTCTTTGCTCCAGAGCCAAGAACCTGCTTCTCTCTAAAGTTCTTCTTTGGATCGCCCTTCTCTATTTGCACACTAACATAGCCAACCTTCCCCAGAGCTGGCCCTCCGCCCCCAGCTCCTTGGCCTGGGTCACACCAGGGTCCCGGTCGGATTTAGCCGGGCTGCTCCGGGTCGGGTGAGGCACTGGGTGCGTGTGGGAGTCTTCTCTTCTGTCTCTTCGAAAGACTAGGGAAATGAACACCGTTCTGGGCTTGACTTTGTCCCTGCTGGGAATATCCCAGTTCCTGGCTTTGGAAATCTCAGGCAAATAATTGATTCTTAATGCACACTTAGGAGACGTCGGTAGTACGCTCGAGAGCCTCTCTGTCCCAGAGTGGCTGAGAGCACGCGCCAGACACAGGTTGGCTCGGCCCGAAGCGAATTTGGGACTCTCGTCGCGGTGTCCTATTAATTAGCTTTTCCCGGCGCCTCAGGGACTCCGGGGTGAAGATGGAGAGGTGGCATAATGGCGGGACTTGAAGTCGTTGTGGCAGGGACCTGGCAGCGTTGTTTTCTCGGGTTTTGAACCGGTGTGGAGAAGTAACTTCAGCTGCTGAGTTGGGGCCGCCCTGGCTGCGCGGTGGCGGAGGAGGAGAGGAGAAGCGCTCTCGGGACATTGCGGCGGCGATCCCCGCAGAGGGTGAAGCCGGGCGCTGCGCAGGGAGCAGCAACATGAGGGCGCTCTTGCCCAGGACAAGCAGAGCTGTACGTTTGGGTAGCTCATATTGGCTGATGCCAAGAAAAGTGACTTCAGAACCTTGGCTGGCGCGCTTCCCTACCTTTTCCCTTTCTTCTTAATCTTCTGTGTGCCACCACCTCCCCCCAACCTTTTTTCCCCTCCCAAAGTTGTTTCCTTTTGTTTACCCGGTGCGGTTTCAGATCTCAGCACTTCTCAGCTAGTAGATAAAATTATTTGCTCTGTAATGGACATCTCTTCTCCTCTCCACTTGTTACCCCACTCGCCCTTCGCTTTCTACCCCATTTTGCTTCTCTCTGCCCAAGCCTGTGGTCCAAGGTGCAGGGATCTCACAGGAAAACAGGTAGCCTCGGGGTGGGAATTCCCAGAGCACTGAAGGCGCCGGTTGTTGGCCAGAGGGAGGCCGGGACTCCGGTGGGCAGAGTACCCCGCGAGTGCGGAGATTTTCAGGCTGTAATCTTCAGTCTGGGAAAGGCGATGGGAAGGAAGGGCGATGCAGAATAGAGGTGGTCCACTTCTGACTCCCCCCTCACCCGCCCTCCCCTGCAAGTAAGACTCAATTTCTATGATTCAACACCGCCTTCACCAGCTCCTCTATCAAACCTTGAGGTAGGCAGACATTCTGAAAGTGTTGTGATCAGAAAAGGCATTTAAAATGATAACAAATAACTCACAAATTATGTTTGTGAGGGTGGGAGGGAAAATAAAATGCCCCATGTTTTTTTCGTGGTCTGTTGCTTAGCACATGTAATCTTTTTCCCTATCTTCGGTCCTATCTTCCCTATCTTGCAGAAAAGCCGCTAGGAGGAAAGCATGTTGGACATTTACAGATTTGAGATTCGTGTTGGAAAGAGAGGGAGTGTTTAATTAACAAACATATTTGGGTGTTCATTTTCGGCTTAGGTTGAATTTGCCTACTCCGCTGGCACTCCCAGAAACTGGAGTCCTCGCTTTCAACTTTATTCCTCCTCATCTCTTCCTATTGTCTCATTCTTTGAATCAATGCGTTTAAGGTGAAAACGTATCTTCCTGCGTAGACGTTTTTGATTCCGTTGATTGAGCACGAAGACTAAAATCTGTAATGGGGTTATGGAGACTTGTCTCTCAGTTCTTTCATTTTCTCATTGCTCTGAAATTTAATGACCTGATCATTGTTGTTTGAAGTTAAATTATCTGTTAAATTAGCCCTAAATAATAACTGATGATATTTTCCTTTTGGATTCGGTTGCCCTTGAATTCTTGGCCCTGGATGTGAGAGAAGTCTGAGAGAGTGTTTTGTGATACAATATTATAAAGACAATCAAAATCAATATTTGTGTGCCAGTGATATCACATAGGAAAAAATCCCTTTCAAAGTAGCTGAATTTCATAAAGAAGACATTCTTTTAAAGGCTTGTGCTTGAGAAGCCTGGATTCAAGAATGAATGTAAATAAGCATCTTTGTTGATGAAGAAAAAATATGAGCACTGTATTTTCATTACTCTCCAGAATCTAAATATTCAAACTCATCACATACTGGTGCTTGCTAATCTAAATCAATTCGGCCTTCCAGGGATACATATTCTCAAAAAGAAAATTTAACTTTTAGCAAAATCTAAAACATTGTTTCAGATGTGAATTTCTAGAAATCCAAAGTATATTTATTTCTTTGAGTCAGATACTAGTTTGTTTTGCAATCATTATATGAAACAATATTGAAACAATGCAGTTTTTGTTCTCCTTGCTTGCTTCATGGTGCTTCCATATACAAGTATAAGTGTGAGAGCTTCCATAGTGTACTGAGGAAATGACAACTTATTTTTTTTTAACAAAAGGCCCAAAGAATCTTTAAACCAAAATGTACTACAGTAGTTGAAAAAGATCTTTAAAAATAATAAGCACTATTGTGTGTTTTTCCTATTAAAATGTGCTGAATGAATAATTAGAGGCTGGGATAAAGGTTGAAAAATTCAGAGCAAGAATTAGGTGGTAATTTTATTATTTGATACTTTTACAATTTATATAATTAATGATGTCATTTTAAAGTTTGGCAAAGCTTTTGCAGAAAAAACAGTACTCCTCCCATCCCATCAGAAATACACTAGAAGGAATAAAGTACATTCAGGTAGAACTGGCAGAAAGAATTTTTTTTCCAGTAGTAGTAGTATTAGTGGAGTTGAAAAATATACTTTTAATTATACATTGCAAGCTCTGATTGCAGGTTAGAAAACTAAAATCGATCATTCCTACATCAATAGTGTTGTCTATTACTACATTGATTTGTGTTTATTTATGCAGAGACTTTCAGTTATTTACTTACATATTTCAGCATCTGCCTCTTGATTATTATCGTAGGTTGCTTTTAATGAAAGAGCTTATATAGGAAGCGAAACACACTTGACAGATCCATTTTAAGTAAACCTGATAGTGAATTATGGCAACCCAAGGAGATTATGAAATTACTTATTCATACTTGCTTTTTAGCAATTAGGAATCTGTTTCTGATTAAAACCTCATGCTGCTTGAAAACTTCCATTCTTTTCTTCATACATTGTATTGATGTGCTTCAATAAAATAGAAAAAGATGATTTTGTGATGTCAGATATAATAGAATGAAACTGCTAAATGAGCTTGGTTGTCTTTTTCCATTGGCATGATGAAGTTACCCTCATAACAATAAGCTGGCCATTGGGTTTATTAATGCTGTTTATGAAAAATCAAGTAGCAATCATTTGAATATAGACATGTGTTTTAAAACATCTATTAACTCTAAATTATGCCAGGGGTGCTTAGGCTGAATGAGACAATCTGGAGTTCTTGAGTATATAGTTTATATATATACTCATATTTTGTATTATTTAGCATTATGTGTGATTATAACTTACAAAGATAGACATTTCTCTTGAACTAATATCTCACAGGAATGTTATATATCAGAATTCATTTGAACAAATAGGAAAACTAAAGACCCCGTAATGTGCCTTTTATAAGCACAGAGCAACAGTGGGATATCGAGATGCGTTAATGTCTGTGCCTCTCTTATCACCATTACAATATATTGAAAGATAACTTTAAAATTGAGAGAAAAAAGTGACCTAATTTATTGAGGGCTATTTAATGCTCATGTTATAGGACTTTTATTGAAGTCTGGAGGAGTAATTCTTCCTTGTTAACAGTGTGGATACATTTAGCAAATACTGTTAACAGCCCTATTCTTCATCTTTTGCGCCAAGCAACCACCCCCAGTCCGTGCAGGAATATAACAATTTTTTTTTTTTTTAGAACGATAGGGCCTTGGGAGATGGAAAAGGAATTAATCTTCTCACCCTGGCGAGTTTTCCTGAAACTACTTATCCTTAGCGTCAGCGCTGTAAGAGGTGGAGCCGCTCAGTCCCGCGGGTGGCTGCAGACAGAAGGTGGGCGAGTCCTGGGACTTAAAAAGTTTTGCAGAAGGTTGAAAAGAGGAGCAGAGGGAGAGTTTTGAGTTTATTTATTTTATTTTCCTTTTTTTTTTTTTGTCTTGTGCCAAGCCCTTGAAGTTAACGTAGCGACGACGTGGTCCTTGTAGGACCAAGCATTCTTGGCATTCTGTCGAGATTGAGATTCCAGAGCATCGGATGAACGGGACTTATAGCTAAGGCGTACTCACCCACCCCTCCCTTCGTCTTTTTACGCACGCAGCAACTCGTCCTCACGTGCATAGGGGTAGTGGACAGTGTTGACTTGAATTGCTGTCCCTCGTTCCAAGCCTTTCCTGTGAATGAACCCGAAAACACTCGACAGGTCGTGAATAATCGTTTTAATGAGTGTGCAAAGCGTGCGACGGGGTGCACCGAGCTGTCGGGTTAAACAAACAACTTGTACCCTGACCAAATCCGATTGTTAAAGTGCAAAGTGATGTCAGTACCATTTCCATTGCCTTTCGGAAATCCACAGATCTGACACGCGGGAGTCCAATTTTCCCCATTAAAGAAAAATAACAATATTTTTCGACCGTGTATGTGATCTTCTTTAATATTAATCTGAGCCAAACAAAACCTCATTTGGAGAATCAGAGAATTAGTCGTGTCTCTCTCAAAGAACAAATTGGAAGAAAGGAATAAGGAGAAAGAAATCAGAACAAATATAAAATGTCTGAGGGATAATTTCTTCTTGATAGCTCACATATCACTGCTGATCAATGTTGTAAAAATCTTCCTTTTATATATTGCTTTATAGCTCACTAAAGGCAGATGTCAGGTTACTTGTATCCAAACAACTGGACTGGTAATTTAGTCTTGTACTAAGATGGAATTTGTAGACCTGTAAGGGCTTTTTCTATCAAATATTTAACGAAAATATTTGTTGTTTGTATATTAGCCTGTGAGAGAATAAAGGTATAAGTCGTTTGCACATTTGTGCTTTCAAAGAAAAGAGTTTGGAGGAAAGTAATGGAAAAGGAACCCTATTTGGCTATTATCTAAAATCATAACAAAAAAATACAAATGAGATTTTCACTGATTATACCCTCCCCCTTTTTTTGCAAAACTACACTGGAAAATATTTTCTTTCTCATTCAGTAAGAAGACTTATTTGAAATCAGTCACATGTTCTCCCTTCCTTTTTGATTCTTTTATCTTCTTTCATAATTCCAAATATTAAATATCACATGAAGATTATGAAAAAAACTTCAAAAGATTTTTATAAAATCTTTTACACATTCCCTCTAAAAAATCTGTGGAAAGAAGAAATGTGTAAAATATTTCCCCTACCAGCATTTTTTATATATTCACAATTCAAACAAAATGGCCATGATGCTTGGAAATCAGTATTCTAGTGCCACAGATCTAGCTTCTTCAACTCAGTAACAACATAGGGAGACCAAAGCTTATATTTTTGTTGGATTAAGTATTATATAGTACATATTTTCTATATGAAAGACAGAAAATATATGATTCCCTGCAATCTGCAAGGTTATTTGTTCTCTTTTAATTGTAATCCATTTGGAGAAATGAAATTTTAGGGATATAGTACACTTGAATGTGGAAGCTCAGCATTTACTCACTTAACTCCTATTGGCCATAATGTTATCTACATATCTGTGTCTGTCTGTTGTGACCATCTACTTCACATACAAATATGTCTATATACAACTGATAGCAATTAAGAGAGTTAATTCAACTAAAACATACAGCTGAGGTATTTGAAAGAGTAAGCAATTTTTTATGTAAGTCATTGTAGTTATGTTATTGTGGTTGCTAGTTTTTATACATCTGTCAATTTAGCACCAATTGGATAAAATGGAAGAGATTGAAATTCAATTTCCATCATCAAAACTTGGAAAAGACAACCAGGGTTTTAGGACAGTGTTTTTGTTTATTTTAACTGTTCTCTAGTAAATATCCGTATCAGATTATCAATTCAGAATATCCTTTATTTTGTAGGAAATTTAACAGAAAAATTAGTATTAAATCCTAGGGGCTTACAATTTTTAATTGTTTTAAATATTTTTGGGTAGGCAACAGACTGTGCAGTTTTTACCTAAACAGATTTCTTCTCTGTGGACTGGAGTTGAGGAATTTCAGGAGTCACTCAAAGAACTGCATCCATTTCTGCTTTAGATACACAAACAGCAAAGCTAGAGGGTATGTCTGTTTTTGTGTGTATATATGTAGTTAAAGAACTATGCTATCAAAACATTAATTATATTTGAAAGAGAACAGAGCATGTTGTGAAGAAAATTGCAATATTGAATTTATATTCCACAGAATCTGTCTGAGAGGGCTGAAATTGTATACCTGTCTTATATGATGCACCCTCTTCAGAGAGGTGCCTAACAAGAGCAAAGAGATGAAAGAGTCAAACTTGGAGGGGAGTGATCTTAAATGTTTGGTTGGTCCTGAGCAGCGGGAATCCACATGAAAATGCAAACCACATGAAGAACATACATGGGATCTTTGTTCCCTGTCAACAAAAACAAATAGAATTTTTTTTTCCTCTACCAAGCAAATACAGAATAATCTTAGCTGAATTTGGGGGAGGGGGAGTGACTGAATGACTAAGAAAATTTCAGTTATCATATTTTTTTATCCCCAAGTCCTATTTATTTCACAGCTGCCAAATTTTATGTCCAAAATTTAGGTTCTTTTCCTCCCAAATCCTACATTAGTATGAATCATCCCTGATCATTTTTAGTTTTTGGCTTAATTACTAGTTTTCAGCTTTAAATTACCAATAAACTAATTAATCTGACTAATCTTTCTAAACTTCTGTTGAATAGTATAATAGCTGCAACAACAACAAAAATAAATAACAAAAATTACAATAATGACAAAAATAAACTGTTAATAATAATAATGCAAATAATAGCAGAAACAATTTTAAAATAATTTATCTGGCTGACAGGATGAAGATGTAATCCATTTCAGTCTGAAATTTGTGGTTCACAGCTGCAGTCAGGCATTTCTCTGATTTCTTGTTTCACTGGTTAAATGGATGATCTATTCCAACCCAAGTTTCCTAATAGAGACTCCCTTGGTCTAATATGGTATGTCTTTTTAATGGCACTGAGTATTTTTGTATCCACTCCCCTTTATTGCTATGGACATGCTGCCCTGCAGATGACATTCCCAAATAAACCAACCTTGGCGGGGGGCGGGGACGGGAAACTGGGTGCGGAGGCAGACATGTGAAAGGATTCTTGGGTAGAAGGACCAGGTGCCTTCTGACTGGAGCCCTGCTGGTGAGTGGGCAAGTTGTCCTATTTGGGAAGCAAGTTCACAGAGCTGAGGAGTTTGAGAAGGGCTGAGTCACTGAGGTTCCTGTGAGTCCAAAGTGATCACTGGCCCTAAGGAAGCCAGCCCATAGGGCAAGACATAAGAAGTAGGAATTAGATCCCCCAGATGAACTCTTTTGATTCCTTTAGGGATAGAGAGACATAAAGAGGATAATGAAGTGAAGGCAGTATACCTGGAGGGAAGACAGCAGGTTAAAGATGTTAGTAACTGGTGTTGGTCTGGCAAGTAAATCTCAGCCCATTTCTTCAGGAGAAGGGAAAAATGCTTTTGTGAGCTGTAAACTTGCCAAGGTTTATTGTTTAGGTGAAAGAACAGCCATCAGTTCCTAGGACTAGGCTTGAAAGTATCTGCCAGCGAGTCTGTGTCTGCAGTAATCCAACTCTCCTCTCAGCCCCATGTTCTTCTCATCTCATGAACCCCCAGGCACCATTATCCCCCCAAAAAGAAAATGAACGAAAATTAAAAAATGGATTGGGAGGGAATTAGACTCAATATTTATCAGGAAGATACTGAGGTGAAAGCAGGTTGTTTTATAACTAACTTCCTTCTTTTGTGAGAGGGAAAAGAAAGCTGGTTAGGAGAGGAAGGGTGATTATGAAAGAGAACAGAGACTGAGACAGAAATTCTTTGGCAGTCCAGCAGCTAAGGCCAAAGGGAGAAGGATCTTAGCTATAGAAGGACAATTTTAGGTCAAGGAAGAGTAACCATTGAACATATTTTCTTTGTTCTGTTTACTTGAAAAGTAATATAGCCTAGTAATGTATGTAAAAGCAAGATCTGTACACCTTAAAAATTATAAAGAGAAAGGCATAAATATCAAAAGCAAGTGTTATCCTTTAGAAAATTTTAATGAAGATATTGTCTTCAAACTTATATATACACACTATCCCAAAACCAAACAGTAGTTGAAGGAAGAAAGGGGGGTGAGGGGGAAAGGATACAACTTCCCTGCTGTAGTACCATGCATCTGTCTTTTCACCTTTCACGGCAGGGAGGCTGAACAATCCTCTTTCATTTCATTTCTTCCTAGTCTTTTCATTGTTAAAAGTATGAGAAAAATTCCAGCTCATGAGAATATTATTTCACTAAAGATCAGCAAAGAATGAGGAGCTTTCATGATAAATTCTCTGAGGTGATGTTCAGTCTTATCTCGCCTAAGTCTGCAATGGGAGAAATGCAGCTCTGGCTGTAACTATGTATCAATCTATTCTTCAATGATACCCCCAGGCTTTCTCACTGCACTAATCATAACTACTAAATTCACTCCAACTCTTCTGGAAGTACAGTTCTGCAGCTTGAAATCAAACAGGAGCTTTCCATATAAAATGAAATTCTAATTAAAATAGTATTTTAAGAAAAATACTGTTATTATGATAGTTTCATCTTTGTTTGAATTGTTCCTTTGATTAAGAAACAAACATTTGTTTCAATAAGAAAATGAAAAGAAATCAGCACTGCCAGTAAATGTGGCCTTCAATCCTGTTACATTTACTCCCGACTGGCTTTTGAGAATTTATTTTCCAACATTTTGGTTTTAATAGTATATAACTGAGAACCTCCAACTCAACAGAAAAATGCATAACTAAAATAGTGTAATACTTTTGTCATGACAGAAAAAGAAACAATAAAAGCAGTTATTTCAAAGTAGTAAGTCATGCAGACACTATTACACATGCAGAGTTTATGGACCCATTTAACAAAATTAATATGCTTCTATATCCCAGTATCTTAATGACTGTTTAGCTAACCAGATACTTAAACCATAT
This sequence comes from Homo sapiens, assembly GCF_000001405.40. Taxonomy (NCBI): domain Eukaryota; kingdom Metazoa; phylum Chordata; class Mammalia; order Primates; family Hominidae; genus Homo; species Homo sapiens. The sequence continues at coordinate 28,783,118 of NC_000014.9, forward strand.
ATTTAAATGCTTATGCACCTATATTACATATACCATGCTGCATATGGTTCAAATATGTATGTTCTTTACAGAAACTGAAAGCTGAACAAATAGTAGTATTTCTAAGTTTTTGATTACTCATAATTGGGATTTACATGCGATCTATAAACACTGAAGGAAAGCCAGAACCACTACATTTTGCTTAGATTACATTATGAATCAAATAAAGGGTTCTTTCTGTCTTGGGGTGTGCAAGAGTGAGGAATTTAGGGGTTGATAGAATTAAGATATATATTTTTTTTTCCGTAAGTCAAGATGCAGTAATTTTCTTCTTCTAACATTCTACTACTAAGTAAAATAAACATATACAGTTTCAAAAGCAGGAGCCGTAAGCCCAAGTCAAGAGATGATATTTCAGAAAAGATATTCAAATGAAGCTCAATAACATTTTTTCCAACAAAGAAAATTTCAAGGCAGATACAGCCAGATCTGTTGCACAAGTGGCAAAGCAAAATATTTTAGTAATGGGCTGTAGGGGGATTTAATGGACTGACACTCTGAATATTTAAGAGTAATATTCCTTTGAAGAGAATTGCATGATCGTCTATCAAGCTCCTTAAAAGGGGTGAGGGAAGGAAAGGTTTGGAGGGTGGATTATGTCCAAGCATCTCAGCTATTGCTAGTGGTGAAAAGATATGACCTGGGTAGAATGGGAAAGGTTTTGATGACATGAGAGGATCTGCAAGAGTCTATTGGCCCTATCATGTTTATTCTCTTTTAGGTACACATTTCAAAAACATATCCTTTCCAACAGGCTCTCGTTTGCAGTCGCGGCTTCACAGACAACAACCAGCTTGCATTCAACTGTGGTCCAATGCATCAGTCTAGTTTTAAGAGGAAAACAATGGACAGGAAAAATAAAGTTGCAGTCTTATCAATGAAATTCTTATTCTCAGTTGGAGAATAGGGAAAAGGGAGGCTCCAAAACAGGGTGATGGGAGGGGAATAATAACTCTTTAGGTGAGTTTTGGGAAAATGCTAAGTAAAATGCTGTTCAGAAATTGGGATTAATCGAGCAGTTTAAATACAAATCTGCCGGAAATTGGAAATCGTGCTCTGTGCGAATGAAAATGAAAGACTTTATGCATATTCTAATTTTCTCTCTTTGGCTGCTATTTTAGAGGAAGAGACTTCTTTTGCTGATGGTGGGACTTTTTTGTTCTGCACAGGAAATGTGTAAATGAACACAAATGTTTTTTCTTTTGCCTTTCCATTCCTCTCTTCCATTCTCCCCTCCCCCTTTCAACAATCTGAAGTTGTTAGGGTCCGCAGTTCTGCCGCCACCGATCCCAGTGTTACTTCCCATTCCCAGGATGTTAGAGGGCAGGCAATGTAGGCAGGACAGGACAGTTAGGGCTCCTCCGGAAATTAGACCTTTGGAAATCAATGCAGAGTTTCTATTACATTTCTGGACATTCAGAGAGCTAGAGGATGAGAAAGACTCTTGGTTGAATATGATGAAAAATCATCTAGATGAAAAATCGTCTAGAAAGTCATTTCCTCTCAAACCGAATTCTCAGTGACAGCTAGGTGGAAGAGAGCTTAAAAGTGATTTTATAAACCACGCTGTGAAAACCTACTGACGATCAGTCCCCTGTCCAAACACTTTTCCTCCCACTCCTTTGGGAACATACAGGGATGGTGCATTTTAATTACATTAAAACCAGCAAGAAACTCTTGTTTTATTCTGATGTAAATCAGTCACCTAATGCTGAGAAGGACTGAAGTGGCTCATATGGTCGTTCTGTGTTTTGTAGAATACGTAGGGGACTCCTGAAATGTGTGGGATGTAGGTAGGGGCGGGAGCGACTCTGTGGGGAGAGAAGGGAGAAAAAGATTGAGAGAAGGAAAGAGAAGTGTATTTGCAAGGCAGGCTGACAATTTCTCAATTAATTTGGGGCAGAGACAGAAAGACTCCGAGTTTCTAGCTTCTTTTCTATACCTCAGATAAAAAACTGAAGACAGCCTTATTCTAACAACTCAATTTAAAAAGAGCCCCCCTGCGTACGTCCCCGCACCCCTTTCGCCCCAGCGGCCGCTCACAAAGCGCCACCCGCGCCTCGGGCGCCCGCAGAAGCCGGAGCCAGTTCTCAGCCCTGATCGCCGCCAGCCGCCCAGGCTTCGGGGAAGGAGGGAGGGGAGAATAATGCGCCCCTCTTTCAATAAACGCCACTGCCAACCACTCCAACAGACACACTTTCGGTCCCCCGCCAGAGCTCCGGTGCCCCCGAGTGACCGCTTTCTGCGATCGCGTCCGCCGGGACCCCGTCCCTCTTTCCCCTTCAGTCTTCAGGGAGGGGGAGGCGCTCCGCATTAGCGGGGCAGTTCAGCAACCCCGACCCCACCCGCGTGGCTCCAGGCCCAGGGGTCCGTTCACTTCCCCGTCCGGTTTGGGGGACGCCAATTCGCCTAAGAAAACCCTGGCAGAAGAGCGCGGACCCTTCACTACAAACCTCACGTCAGGGTTACAGCCACATTTAGGAACCTCTTCGGAAAAGCTGAGAAATCACTGTTTTGCAAAAAGCCTTCTGTACTGTGATGGGGCTTTGTGGTGAGAGGAACCTCTGAGAAGCCTCGTGCGGCTTGAGTTTAGAGTCACGCCCTGCCCAGCGACATTCTCCCGCGCACGGGAGAACCTGCACTTCCGGTCTCCAACCCTCGCGGGCCGTGACTCTTCCCCTCCCCCGCGCCGGGCCCTGCATTTCCGGCCCCCTTGCTCTCCTGCACTTCCGCCCAGTCACATGGATGATGGATAGCGTTGGGAGCTGTTTTCTCTATCTTCCAGGTGGCTGCTGGGATCCTAAACTTGTTTCTTTAATTTCTCTTTAAAAATTGAATGTCCTTTAGTTTTTTTCACTTCCTTAAATTTGAGGGTCGAGAAAGCTAGAGGTGGAGACAAAAGGCTCATTGAAGACAAATCTTTTTTGGCTTTTCAGATCACTTACCCCTTTCTGAATTCCCTGTACAAATTCATACCAGTAACTGAGATTTAGGCCTCCAGGGCCTAGGCCAGTGTCTGCACTTAGTAGGCACGCAATACATGTTGAAAGAATTACTGGATAAATGATATTCTGTCTTTAGGCATATCATGCCTAGGGTTAATGGGTATCTTCAAATCAGGTGACTTCTGTTTTTGGCTGAATTTAGTTGAAAAGTTGATAAATACATGGTTTTTACAGGCACTTAAGTGTTATTTATTTAGGGACTCCCCAAAACAGGTGTGGGGGAAAATCACCACAAATTGTTGGAAAAATATATATATAGGGTTTTTTTGTTGTTTTTTGTTTGTTTGTTTGTTTTTTCTGATACATGGTCTTGCCCTGTTGCCCAGGCTGGAATTCAGTGGCGTGATCTCAGCTCACTGCAACCTCTGCCTATCCGGCTCAAGCAGTTCTCCTGCCTCAGCCTCCCAAGTAGCTGGGATTACAGGCGCCCGCCACCATGCCCAGCTAATTTTTTGTCAGAGGGGTTCTCACCATGTTGCCCAGGCTGGTCTGGAATTCCTGACCTCGGGTGATACGCCCACTGGACCTCCCAACGTTTTGGGATTACAGGCCTGAGCCACCGCACCTGTGCTGAAAATATTTTCTTGGACTTCTTTCTACATATGAGGTAAAGTGCTGTGATTTTTAGGTTTTTGAGTTTTATCAACTCTCACCCAGGCTGGAGTGCAGTGGTGCCATCTTGGCATACTGCAACCAACCTCCGCCTCCCGGGTTCAAGCGATTCTCCTGCCTCAGCCTCCTGAGTAGCTGGGATTATATGTGTGCACAACCACGCCTGGCTGATTTTTGTGTTTTTGGTAAAAACGGGCTTTTGCCATTTTGGCCGGGCTGGTTTTGAACTCCTGACCTCAAGTGATCCTCCCGCCTCAGCCTCCCAAACTGCTGAGATTGCAGGCATGAGCCACTGTGCCCAGCATTTTGCTTTCTTTTAAAACAGCTTTATTTGATAAGAGGTCAAGACCTTATGAAATGAATTTAAATTCTTGTAGTGAATTTGAGGCAGAAACGACGACTCCTCTTTTATTTTTCCTGCTGCTGTATTATAGTTTAATTCACTTCCGTGTTGTCTTCTGCCTCATTCGGCAGTTCTTGTTCTCTATAATAACTTTTATGTTTAAATGCCAAAAGAATTTTTTTTGTAACCAGTTAAGAGTTGTGAAGTTGTGAGACTGAATTCAGTTGCTCATCATGTTTTAAATGCATATCTACTCAGCACTGGTTGTGTAATCCACAGTCTGTTCCCTAGAGCATTTAATGACCCACGTTCATTGACTGTAAAATACTCAAAATATATAACCAGTGAGCTAGTAATCATGACAGTGATTTGAAATGTTATAGTTGCAAGTCAATATAAAGCATATTTATTAGCATCATTATTAAGAGGTGTCAGAGGGATACAAATAAGACCTGCTCCTACCCTCTGGGAACTTACAATCTGGTTGGGCAAAATAATGAAATGTAAATTGATAGAAACAGCTACTAACCCATATTCGGTGTCTGGCATATTGAAGGCATTCAGTAAATAATTACCTCACAATAATTGCAGTCCTGTCATTCTTATAGTAGAATATGATATTGATAAGAAGTAAAGGAAGGAATAATTAGTAAAACTTTAGGAAATGAATTTGTCCTGTATATGTCACACGTGGAGATTGGAATATGCAAGTTGATTGTGTGTAAGAAGAATAAAGGGGGCATAAATAAAGATGAGAAAGACGTTTGATGAGATGGAGTTTGGTGGTAAATTGAAGGAAAACTTAAAGACCATTCAGAGGAGTTTCTATTTGATAGTAGAGGTAATAAAGACCCATGGTGGCCCTACGAGCAGAGGATGACATTACTAAAATTGAGTTTTATTTTAAAAATGATTCTAGGCTGGGCGCTGTGGCTCATGCCTGTAATCCCAGCAATTTGGGAGTCCGAGGTGGGCGGATCACCTAAGGTTAGGAGTTCGAGACCAGCCTGGCCAACATGGCGAAACCCTGTCTCTACTAAACATACAAAAATTAGCCAGGTGCGGTGGCATGAGCCTGTAATCCCAGCTACCCAGGAGGCTGAGGCAGGAGAATAGCTGGAACCGGGGAGGCAGCGGCTACCAGTGTATCTGAGATTGTGCCACTGACCTCCAGCCTGGGCGACAGAGCAAGACTGTCTCAATAAGATAAATAAATAAATAAATAAAGATTCTAGCCAGCAACTGAATATAGGGAAAATTGCAGGAGAAAAGATTAGTGCAGTTCTGGAATGTGGTACTGTTAGAGAATGGCTATAGTCAGAGCTATCATTACGTCCCTTCTCCTCAATTTTTATACAATTGAAATTGCATTGAAATGATGAAATCAGGAATGAATCTTGCATAGAACAAAAGCCAGAGTACCACTGGAATCAGTACTACCCCCTTATTCTTCATTATTGATAGTGACAGGGGATGTTAGACATTGAGAGAAGGCAACTAACCCCAAAATATTTTCATCACCAGTTAAGCTCTAGATATTTTTTTTTTTTTTTTGCATTTAGCATATCCACCCATTATGCAATTGCAGTGGTTCTCAACTGGGGTGATTTTTGTCCCTTTCCTCCCCTGGGAGACTTTTCACAATGTCTGGAGACATTTTTTAGTTACAGCACCTCTGGGGCCACTACTGACGTCTGGTAGATAGATGACCAGTGTATTGCTGAACATGTTAAATTCACAGGATGGACCCCCATAACCACAGACTACTATGTCCAAAATGTCAGTCATTCTGAGCTTGGAAAACCCTCAGTTATGGGAATGAAGCATGAGCTCCAACTCTGGAGAGCTGCACCATGAGTCCCAGGTCTTAACTTCTATTATGGCAACAATTTCAATCGAAGAAATGTTTTGCTTAGTGAGACAAATATAACTGAATATCCCAGTAACTTTGCCTACCCCTGAGGCCTTAGAGACAAGAAAATCAGAAGGGTACCTGCTTGGATTTTCTACTTTTTATAAAATAAAGTTAGAAATCTTCTTAAGGATTTGTCTTCATCTAAATGTTATTTATTAAATTAATAAAATGTGCCTTTGGAGTTGCTTAGCAACTTATGGAAAGCTTGCTTTTTAGAAGTTCATTTGTTTGTTTAAAACCTGGATAGGTTGCATATTATTAGCCACATTACATAAATCAACAAAGAAATGTACACTGAAAATGGAATAAGATGTTTCAACACATTTTCTTCTCTCCTGTCTGGCAATTAAAACACTCTAATTGTCTGGTAGAATTGCATCAAGTATTCGACAAACATTATTTATGTATGAAACTTCAACATAATATTGAGTATGTAAGAGAACCAAAGGGGAAAAATTAAACAGGTTTGTCATAAAGTATGTGTTTATCTTAACCTTTCTTCTTCAAAAACCTTATCTACTAAGTAGTTTTATCAGACACTAATTATACGCTTTCTGAATAGAATTTCTCCAACACCCTTCAGTGCCTGCACCCTTTAATCATATCTCATTACATCTACCTAATCCATATCTTTTTCGCATTGCCAGGGCTCATTAACAGTTTTAAAAGCCAATCTTGGACATTATCACTCCTTGTAATCGAAATGAAAATAATGCCAATAATGTTGTATTTCTAAAATAAAATGGATTATTTAAATTTTGTTCTGAAGCCATTTCTTCTTTAAATATTAATGAGAAATTAACTTTCAAACATGCATTAAGCTAGCAGGACTGGTAAGATGTGTCTGAAAACCCTGAAGCACCTTTTCAAAGAAGTTATTTTTATAAGCTGTTTTAACAGTGGATCATCAGTCACTTTGAAGGGAAGTGATCCTTGATTAACAGTTGGCTGATATTGTGTTTCCACAGATGTGTGGCAGCAATACAGGTGCTATGCATGAAATAGTACAGGTAATTCACAGGATAAATGCATTTTCTTTTTCTGATGGAAAAAGATGAAATGCTTCTTCGTCTTTATATACTGCCCCCATTTAATAGTTATTGACAAGACAAACCAAATGTGTCACTGAAATAATGAACTACAGGCACTGCGTTTCCCATAAATTTAAAGAAATCATTGTCAATTTGGCTAGTACTTTATTCCTTTTGATTTCCTGTTTTTAAAAAAGAAAACTCTTACAAATCTGCAGTTACATGACTAAAGTAGAGCATCATGATAATGACTTTTTGGGACTTGAAAGTCAAATCTTGTCTCTCAGAATATAATTACATAGGACTAACAAGTTATTCTCTAAAATGGAAGCTTCCTCCACCATTATAATCAAGCTTCAGATTCTTTCTTGAAAGTAATCAGGAAAAGTTTACTGGCCCATTATTTATTTATTTATTTATTATGCACATACTATTAAGTTACAGAGTTCAAAACAACCACTAACCAAAAGTCATTGTCCAAAAGTACAGTTTTTTGAGGTGGTGTGCACCTGTGATCCCAGCTACTGCAGAGGCTGAGGTAGGAGGATCACTTGAGCCCTGGAAGTCAAGGCTGCAATGAGCTATGATTGTGCCACTCCACTCCAGTCTAGGCAACAGAAAGAGATCCTGTCTCAAAAAAAAAAAAAAAAAAAGTACAGTTTTTAGACAAGTATCCCAAGCTATTGTTCATTAGTAGTGGAGACATAATAAAGTTTTCATTCTTCTTTGAGTTATTTTCCCACTCATTAGTTTAGCCAGATAGCAGTGATCTCTTATTTTAAGTGTTTTGTCAGCTGTTTCTTCCAGTTTTTCTTTGGAGTATATGTATTTTTTCTTTTAGAATTTTGTGTTTCTTCTGATTTCTCTCCATTAATATGGCTCATCTTGTTGCTGACTACAGAAACTTTTTAAGCAGAATCAAATGAAACCATATAGTTGCTGAGTTTGGTTTGTATTGTCATATCTTTTATAGTTGTACCATTGCTAATAATCAAATACAGTAATACAATTAGATGTGTAGAATCTGTAAGATTTTTTTTTTCCAAGACTTCCTTGGAATTTTCTCTTTTAAATTCCTTTTATTTATTTGTTTATTTTTTTTTTAGATGGAGTCTCGCTCTGTCACCCATGCTATTGTGCGGTGGCATGATCTTGGCTCACTGCAACCTCTACCTCCTGGGCTCAAGCGATTCTCCTGCCTCAGCCTCCCGAGTAGCTGCAATTACAGGCACCTGCCATCATGCCTGGCTACTGTGTGTGTGTGTGTGTGTGTGTGTGTGTGTGTGTGTGTGTGTTTGTGTATTTTTGTAGAGATGGTGTTTCACCATGTTGGCCAGGCTGGTCTCGAACTCCTGACCTCAGGTGATCCACCTGTCTCAGCCTCTCAAAGTACTGTGAGCCACTGCATCTGGCTCCTTTTATTTATTTAATCATATTTTTGTGTGTGTGTGGGATAACATTGCACCTGCTCGGTTATGCACAAGTAATTTACCTTTCTTTGCTTTACTGAAATAGCTTGAGTATTCAGACCTTACCAAATTTTTATGGTGACATGATAGACAATACTTATTTAAATAAAATTTCTTTCATTTTATTATCAATTAAATTAACTCTATAATAAAAAATAAAACTTGGTGAACTTAACAACATAGCAAATCACCATAACAATTTTAAAATTGCAAACGTGGTATTAATATACCTTAAAATTGTTCTTGCTTTGGTAATCAGGTTTTTATCTTTATTTCTCTTATTAAGAAATTTTGCCTTTTCTATACTGATAATCTTTTTCCTTGTCCTTTTCATGTTGTTATTTTCAGAGGTTTTTCATTAGTCAATACAGTGAAGGCTGGCATGATCATCAGCTTCCCATCCAATAATATCTACTCATCAGTGTGCTGTTGTCAATCAGAGATTTTCAAGTATGAGTTCTCCAACTCAAAGAAAAGTAGCTGGATCCAGGAAGAAAGGCATTTGGGGAAGAACAACGTTCTTTACAGTGCTCATGATGTGTCTCCAGAGAAAGTTACTTCAGCACTAAAAAAAACAAACAAACAAACAACAACAATAAACAACTTTCCTCTACAGTATCTTCCAGGGTCTAAACTATTAGACAGGTTCCTAAGTTTATCCAGATCTCTCCTATGTCTGAATTCTTGGTCATCTTCCTTGCCTCTGGCTCCACAGGTAAAGAAGAAATAATAATAAAGGAACAAAAATTATATGTTTCAGGCCGGGCGCGGTGGCTCACGCCTGTAATCCCAGCACTTTGGGAGGCCGAGGCGGGTGGATCATGAGGTCAGGAGATCGAGACCATCCTGGCTAACAAGGTGAAACCCCGTCTCTACTAAAAATACAAAAAATTAGCCGGGCGCGGTGGCGGGCGCCTGTAGTCCCAGCTACTCGGGAGGCTGAGGCAGGAGAATGGCGTGAACCCGGGAAGCGGAGCTTGCAGTGAGCCGAGATTGCGCCACTGCAGTCCGCAGTCCGGCCTGGGCGACAGAGCGAGACTCCGTCTCAAAAAAAAAAAAAAAAAAAATTATATGTTTCTGTCGGGCTGACTCATTCCACTTTTGAAGCACCCAGTGGATTAATTAGTCTTATTATTGCATTTACTGTCACCTACACATTTGTTTGTGGGAAGGCACTCCTCTTGGCATTTGCTTAGTTGGAAAAAGGAACACTAAGACTATAGCCACTGGATAATGTTCTTGAAGTTCACGGCACTGTGGCAGCATAAAGCTTGAACAGACCTAGTTTTTTTATTGATGGAGTGCAACTGATGTAGCACCACTTTTCTCTGACACTGTATATTAGCTTTTAGTTATGAACTACTTCCTTCCAGTGCAGCAGTTGTTGCCTACCATTGGTACCAGTTTGGCACCATTATAAAGAAACATTGTACCTCTTATAGGAAGAATTTGGAGAGTTTTGGTATGGTAATCAAGATGTGTATTGTAATAATTAACTGAATTCTGTGAACACACTGTTTCTACCTTAAGTGAAAGAAAAAGAGAACAGCTGCAATTATTTATCTTCACTCATTTCTCATAGATAGCCAGGATTTTTCAGTGTACATTCTCTTGTCCTGAAATTATTTTCAGTTCTTGTTGATTCTTATAGATTATAATGAGAAAGGCACGAGCAAGAAATTTGAAATAAAGAACACAAAATGAGATTGCCCTTTGGTTGTTAAAATTGCAGATTTAACAAAATAGATCAGCAAAATATGTGCAAAGTTATCTTAACAGATTAATTCCTATCCAGCAGGCTTTAACAAAAACTAATAGAAGCTATTACATATTTACAGAAAAAAAAATTTAGCCATGAAAGCTACTAAAGAAAAGCCAGAAACAGCGTAAGAATTCCCTACTCAAATATGATTCAGAGACGAGGGTGGGGACTTTATTCCACTGGACTTCAGTCCCAGTGACAAGGCCACTACTATTGTGAATTAATATCAGGCTAATTAAACTTGATGTTATTAAATGTTCTATCCATAAAATTTTTCATTCAGAATTCTTGTTTTTCAAACAACATTCTGGATTATTATTTAGCTGTCAAAGTAGCTGTGTTCTTAGAAAATACATCAGTCAGGGCTGGGTACAGTGGCTCATGTCTGTAATCCTAGTGCTTTGGGAGGCCAAGACAGGAGGATCACATGAGGCCAGGAGTTTGAGACCAACTAAGTCAACATGGTAGGACCCTGTCTCTATCCCCCTCTACCCCCCAAAAAATTAGTCAGACATGGTAGCACATGCTTGTAGTCCTAGCTACTTGGGAGGCTGAGGTGGGAGGATCTCTTGAGCCCAAGAGTTCAAGGTAGCAGTGAGCTGATTGCACTACTGCACTCTGGCTCATGCAAGATAGGAAGACCCTGTCTCAGAAAAGATTAAAAGAAAATAAACTAATCACACAAATTTCAAATATACTATTTATAATGGTAGAAACATTTTAGTGAGCAATGATCCTGGCCTTTAGTGAGGTTTTTCTCATAACAATTTGTCATAAATGAATAATTTCTGGGTAAAACATTATAATTTCATTTTTTCTTTATTTATTTATTTTTATTTTTATTTTTGAAACAGAATCTCATTTTGTTGTCCAGGCTGGAGTGTCCGCCTCCCAGGCTCCAGTGATCCTCCAGCCTCAGCCTCTTGAGTAGCTGGGACTACAGGCATGCTCCACCACGCTCGGCTAATTTTTGTATTTTTTGTTGAGAAGGGGTTGTGCCATGGTGTCCAGGCTTGACTTGAACTCCTGGGCTCAAACAATCAGCCTGCTTTGGCCTCCCAAAGTGCTAGAACTACAGGCATGAGCCATGGAGCCCAACCTGTGATTTCTTTGCTGTGTACCCCCATTTGATGGATAATTTTTTGGCATGTTGATAAACGTCAGGGTGTAAAGTATCCAGTATGAGGGGTAAAGCCAGGATTATAATAAATTTGTCAACTTCAGGTTTTCTTGCTAGCCTTTTCTGTGATATACAAAGTGCACATACAACTACATGGGTAGGAGAATTGTTGAAATAAGTTATCATTGTTCAAACAATAATTTGTTGGAACCAAATATCACCCACAATGCAATTGTCTACCTTTAAAGAATGGCCATAGAGTCAAAAACTTTCTTTTGAATCCTGGATTCACTATTTATTTGATGTGAGATCACCTTTACTTTTATACCATCAATTTCCTCAGTGTAAAGAGTGTATTATTAAAATTCCCTCGTACGGTCACTTCAAAATTAAAATAAATAATTCACATAAATGCTTAGCACTGTGCCCAGAGTATGGACATGAATGTAAAATAATGCCTCGACATTTTATCACTAAGAGTAATAATATTATTATCATAATAAGATGATGTTGATTCAGGATATGATTTGGGCAGCAAAATTTTCACAGGGACCAATTGCAGAATACTCGAGATCATATAGTTTCTAGAAATTATTTCCACTCTAATATTTAGATAGATTACGGTCCCGCCATTGCCGTCCTCTGAAGTATCAGATCTTATATTTATTTTTTGTAATTCTTTATCATTTATAATATTTGAGGAATAAATTAATGAATGAATAATCTTCTAGACTCTCCCAAATCTCTCTCAATGGCTTAATACTATCAAGACTTATTATTCCCTCATATCACATTCCAGTGCAAGTTGGGTGAAGAGTGGGGTGAATCTGTTTCATTGAGTCCCATTTAGTCATTCAGGAACCCTGGAAGTGACTCTGCCATTCTTTAGGGCTTTGGAGTCTTCCAAAGGATACACAACATTGGGTAAGGAGGGAAGAAAGCTTATTGGAGAGCCAGCAGGATAATTCCTTAATCCCATTAACTTGAAGTCAACCACATGGCCCAACCTAATTGCAGGGGAGGTGTGGGAATATAATTTAGCTGTGTATTTTGGAGGAAAAAGAAATGGGCTGGCACAGTAGCTCACGCCTGTAATCCCAGCACTTTGAGAGGCAAAGATGGGAGGATACCTTGCATCCAAGAGTTTGAAACCAGCCTGAGCAACATAGTGGGACCATGTGTCTACAAAAAATAAAAATTAAAAAACTAGCCAGACGTGGTGACATGCGCCTGTAGACCCAACTACTCAGGAGGTTGAGGCGAGAAAATTGCTTGAGCACGGGAGGTTAAGGCTGCAGTGAGCCATGATGGTGCCACTGCACTTCAGCCTGGGTGACAGAGTGAGATCCTATCTGAAGGAAAAAAAAAATGGGTTTGCTGACCACACAGCATTACTTCTGCCCTACTAATTAACCAAACACTGCCACTAACAAAATTAGTTTTACGATTCTTCTATAAATTTTCAGTTACCTAAAGATGGTGAGGAACTCTTGCCTAGGAAATTAATTTGCACATAGTTTTATAGAACAATATATCTTATATTAGAAAGTCTTTGTCAACAAGGATTGGAAAGTATCACCTTTTGATAAGTCTTTGTTCTATAGGAATTCTCTGGATAACTTTTTGTGAAGCATTTATCCTACCTCATTTCTACTTAAAGCTCGTATATATGACAGAGATTATATCCTTAAATGAGCATTTCCTTGCTTTTATCATCTTGTGTCATTATCCCAACATTCTTTTATTATAGTTGTTATTGAGAGCATACTTTCAGATTTAGCATAGAGATTAACTGTGAAATAAGTAAATAGTGAATTGTTTAGTTGGAATGAAGTATAAAAGTCAATGCTTTTAAGAGGTTTTTTTTCAATTTTAACTGCTATTTCTAAGTGACTACAATACTCGAAAAGAAGTGGATTGACAATCTTAGATTTAAGATTTTTTTCTATGAAGAATTGCTGTGACGTTAAACTTTACAAACAATGTAAAACTTTACTATGATTCTCCAAAATATGCTTTTTCAAAAGTTCCACTTTACTGATGAGAGTTCCCTATATTAAAACCCTTTCAGCTCATGAATTCTTGGGGTCTTTCCAAATGAAAGACTTTTAATGTTTCCATGACAGTGTTTACTCATTATGGTTAAGGAAAGAGATTCATATTGCCTGCTTATTTGACACTTTGCCTAATAAATTCCAAATAATAACAAATAGCACTCTAAACAATTTACTTATTAATACCAATAATCTGTTGGAGACTCGTTGTGTATATTTAATGGTTTCCTTTCCACTGAGAGTATTTTCAACTATATTGATACTACTTTGTAAGAAATCACTATTTTAATTATTTTCTCATAATTAATATGCATATATGAAACTGGCATTATATTTTGATATTTTTAATAGAGATTAAAATATCCCTTATTATCCATATTTAATAAAAGACATGTTTGTGATACATATTTAGATACAGTTTTAAATGGCCATTTTAGTTATTAAGTGAAGTTAAAGACTTTTTTTTCAACTTTTATTTTCGGTACAGGGTACATGTGCAGGCTTGTTACATGAATACATTGCCTCCAGTCAGTGAGCATTGTACCCAATAGGTAGTTTTTCCATCCACACTCCCATCTCGACCTCCCCACTCTGGTAGTCTGCAGTGTCTATTGTTCCCATATGTGTTCAATGTTTAGCTCCCACATAGAAGTGAGTACGTGAGGTATTTGGTTTTCTATCACTGCATTAATTTGTTTGGGATTATGGCCTCCTGAAATAAAAGAAACAAAAGATTGACATTCTTTAGATGATTATACATTCATGTACATACTTCTGCTTCTAGTGATTATAGCACTATTAATTCTTATATAAAATATTTGTTTTTTTCCAACTGCTTTTTAGTGCATGCATTTTATAATTTTTCATATAATTACCTGTTTGCAAATTAAAGGAGGCTAGAGAGTTCATTGTAACATCATAATTTTGTTTTTTATGCCAGCCTAACCAACTTTAGCCTTTATTAAATAAATAAAAGTTGAAAATGAATGTTCATAAATACATTAGTTATTTAATTAGAAATGCATATTTTTAATTGAACAATTCTGTGAGAGAAAATGTTTGCAAATATACATTAAATAGTAAAAAATGGCATTTTACTATTTTGTTAAGTAGAAATATATTAAGTATGTAGCCACATAAGAACTGGGATAAGGCCAGATGCGGTGGTGTGTGCCTGTAATCCCAGCACTTTGGGAGGCCGAAGTGGACGGATCACAAGGTCAGGAAATCGAGACCATCCTGGCTAACATGGTGAAACCCCGTCTCAACTAAAAATACACACACACAAAATTAGCTGGGCAAGGTGGTGCACACCTGTAGCCCCAGCTACGCGGGAGGCTGAGACAGGAGAATTGCTTGAACCCAGGAGGTGGAGGTTGCAGTGAGCCAAGATCATGCCATTGCACTCCAGTCTGGGTGACACAGTGGGACTCCATCTCAAATAAATAAATAAATAAAATAAAATAAAAAATAAAAAGAACTGGGATGAAATATTTTTGGCCTTATGTATTATAAGCTCAGTGATCTTGCATTAGCTATCTTTGTATATAGCTTTTTGTTGACTATATTGTTTGTATTATACAAGTTATTTTCTTGATATTTAAGAATAGCAGTTGATTGATGAAGATGTGGTAGCATTTACTGAGAAAACAATTTGAGTTATTTTACCCTTTACACAACCATCGTAAAATTTTCATTTTCATCTACTCTAGCGAATGTGAGCCTGTTAAAGAATTTTAAAGTTTTCAGTCTACTTGGACATACAAGTTATTGAATATTCATATACAAAATTATTACCTTGAGTGCTGCATGTTCTGTATGAGATTTTATATCATGTGTTAAGTATTAAAAGGGTTTAAGTGCTCTAGACTTTAAACTACTTTATTTCTTTTGTTTCATATCTTAAATCGGCATTATAAATTCTACATTTTTATCATTAAACTTTTATATTATAGAACATATACATTTCAGCTTAAGGTTTTATGCATATTTGTCAAAAATAATTTCAATTCTATAGTAGTTATGCAGAAATTATTTTAGCATTTGAAGTTGTGTGTAATGTAAATGTTAATTAAAATTCATTGGCAAATCATTTAGGATTTTATGTAAGTTGACTTCAAGACATTTTCTTCCAAAACAGTTGTTATATTTCTCCATGTTTCCTGCATGGTGGATTTTGAATTTAGCATCTGACATGTTTTCTCAACTCTAGTTTATAATGAAAACACGTAGGTACTCAAGGGAATGTGTTAAAAGCAAAAATTCTATGATCCTTGAAAGGTAAATGACAGCGCTGAGATAGTCACATCTGGATCAGAAATGTTTCATTTGTTTATCTAACTAAACAAACACAAATAGAGATAATTAGGATGCTAGCAATGCATATTTTAACAAACAACTTATGGCTTTGATTAGGTCAGAATCCAGTTTTTGGTTTTTCTTTATTCCCACAAATTTGTAAAAATGAATTGACCTTCAGCATTAAGTGGCTTTGAGTGATTACAGTAAATCTATTATTTTCTATGTTGAAGTCTGAAGATAAAATTAATTCCTGGAATTCAAAGAATCATGTACATTATATATTTAAATATATATTTTTATGCATACACACATAAACACACACACACATAATCATATACGGTATAGTGTGCCTAATTATTCAATTTACCTCACCTTATTTTTATTCTTATTAGAATTGTACTAACATGTTTCAGAATTGCTAAGCTTTAGCTGTGAAAAATCAGTCACACACACAAAAGAAAAATGAATCTCTTGGTAAAATCACAATTGTTTATATTTAAAATAGGTTTTTAGCATTATAGTGAACTGTTAATTGACTTTTAAATTTAGTTTTGCATGTAGATTAGTAGGTTGAAGAAGAAATTTTAATGTAAATGAATATCTTCTAAATCTTATTAGTTTTCTCTCTTAAAAGTATTTTTTATATCTTGAAGACAGGAACTTAAAATATTCTGTTTACATTCTGATCATATAGCTCAATTTTAAATTAGTAAAATCATATTTCTTGCTGAGTTGAAATGTTTTTTTAAATTCTAGTCAAAAGCTTTTTATTAAATTAATATAATCATACCCTCTTGTTCAGTTAGGAGTAAAGTAGTTGTTTAATTAAACATGATATTTGTTTATAATGTAGTGTTTCAGAAATACTAGTTCAAAAGATAGGATAAGGATTTATATCAAATGTTTCAATCTGACAAGTAAATTACATTTCTTCCACCATAAAAAGGTAAGCAGAAAACTGTAGCAGCAATGAAAAGACATATTCTTACTATCTAGTGATATGATATGCACCAGTCTGCAAAATATGACCTTTTCCACTTTCAAGATTCAGCCAAAGTTTTTACAACCACTATAATAAGGATCTTAGTTTTGGCTTTTAGTACTTTTAATATGATGTTAAAACTGCCATTCCTTTTATTAGTCAACTCAGAGGACAAAAAAAGAACAGGATGGGTTTCTGTATGAAAATCTGAATATATTAAAATCTAAGTTATTACACAAACATGAAAAATGGTAAGTCTCAGTAAATTCTATGCTCAAGAATGAAACATACAAAATGGCCCCCATTTGCCAAAGCAGAATCAAGAGGATAATGTACATTTTTAATAGGTTTTATTTCAATAAGTGGCCTTTGTTGTGATTTCTCCTTTGCACATGCTTTTGCCTTTATACCAATTACCATTGCTGTTACATCAGTAGAAGGTATTCTCTTTAGTTAAACCTATGAAGTGAAAAGAAACTCAATAAGAATTATATATGTAAAGTAAAATATTTATATAATGATTAATTTGCATGGAAGTCTGGATAATCTAAATTTGATGGAATTAGAAAACAGATTTTATATTTTGACTATTTTTGATAGAGCAAAAGTGTTATACATTTTTAGAGAACAATTTCCTGTATTTGGTTTTCCCATTGGAATTAGAACACTGTACAGAAAAACTAAAAGGTTACAAAAAGTTATACATAAATTTGTACTTTATCAGAACAAGACAAATTGACGTTACTATGTCACAAAACATAAACAATTGGACTTTCTTTTTTCCCCCCGCCCTGAGACAGAGTCTTGCTATGTCACCCAAGCTGGAGTGCAGTGGCGCGATTTCAGCTCACTGCAACCTCTACCTCCCGGGTTCAAGCCACAGCCTCCCAAGTAGCTGGGATTACAGGCACCCCCCACCACACCTGGCTAATTTTTGTATTTTTAGTAGAGACGGGGTTTCACCAGGTTGGCCACGTTGGTCTCAAACTCCTGACCTCATGATCCACCCGCCTCGGCCCCCCAAAGTGCTGGGATTATGGGCATGAGCCACTGCGCCCCACCAACAATCTGACTTTCTCATGTTTGTTCAAAGTTTAGCTATCATGAGCTTGTTAAACATGTGTTCAAAATTGCTGAAATATTGCCTCCCTGTTCTATGAAATACAAGGTGCGTATAAACCCTTATTCCCTCAGTCTCTAATTGATTCTCTGTGCATTCCTCTGTTAGGTTTTCAAAATTATTATGATAGAAATATTGATATAACTAATGTTTATTTATTTTATTTTTAAACTAGTATTTATTTAGCGATTATTATGTGCCAGACACTTACGTATGTTCACTATTTGGATAAATTTGGCCACTTCTTTTAGCCAAACACACACAGACAAACACACACACACACACACACACACACAAACAGTTATATTCACAATACACTTGCATTTTATTAAGTAGGTTAAAATTATATATAAAAGAGAAATTGGGGACCAGTCCTTTTGAAATTAAGTTAATGAACAGGGATGTTAAAGTGTAGTAAAACCAATCTGGTATTATTTTATGTTGACAGTTATATTTTTTCTCCCCTCAGTGAACCACAAAGAAAGAAGATGGGTATGATTTGTACAGGGGTGAAATAGGTTGTCTGTCAGTTGGGGTTAGGCGACAGTCTGTCTGCAAGCCGTAAGATGATCTGCAGAGCGCCAGAGGAAAGCAGGCAGGATTCCTGGCTTGTAAGAATAGATATTGATCTACCTTAGCCACCTAAACAATGCCTCACCTGTTTGCCTTGTCCATACCTTATTTTACGCAGTCTAATGCTTGTTTTGTTTGACTTTTCTTTTATTTCTCTGGATCTGAGCTTTGATACACTTTGGGGAGTACATAAACATAGTGTTGTACTTGAACATCACCATACTTCTGAGTCCTCTGGTAGTTTAAGACCACCCCTCCCTCTTGAATAGCTCTGTTATTGAAAATTATGAACCAGAGCTAAATTACTAGTCTGCATACAGAAGTGGCTGATCCAGCAGTCTAGTGTCCAATAACACTGACTGTGAGATGCTGCTAATTACTGCCCTATAGACCTCGTTTAAAATTTCTTAAATTTCAACTAGTAAAGGACTTTATTATTATTAGTTCTTTCTTTCCCCAGCTGATAGTTGAAAGATAAGTTACTATACCATTTAGAATTCTATCCACTTATTTTGGAGCAAAAAAAAAAATGTTACTATGTACTGCCTCAAGCACTAATGAAATACAAAACTACACTCAGCTTCCCAGTAAACTATAATATAAATATTTTACCAGCACTTATTATTAGTTTGCCATTTCCTGCTGACAGCTATTCCAACTTTGCCAGCAGGCACTGGGTCTCACAATTGTATTATGTTTTGAACAAATAGCGACAAACAAAAATTCTCACAAAATAAATGAACAAGATTTCCTGGGGAAAAAACCTATTCCAATGTTAAATGAATATTTCTTTTAAACTCTGACATGTAATATTATTTAATTTTCATATTGTGCACTTCACTTTTACTGGAAAACAATTAAGTTAATGAGGAACTAAATAATGTGCACCCGGAGAAAATTTAATATTACTGGTTGTCTGATTTTAAGTTTGTTTTTTAACTTTCTGCTATTCTAGAGCAGCCACATCATAATACTTTTATTGATAATGGAGGACTCTGATTTTCAAATGAATCCATTTAAAGACCTGCGGAGAATAAAAGCAACTATTTTAGAACCACAAAATGAAAAGTTTCACATCAAACTGTGTTTTTTTCCCCCTATGCTGTTTCCCCATGCTATCAAGGAATACCATAAAACACAGCAACTGATGAAATCCAAAGATGCTTAAAATGTGTCTTGGTTTTAAACTGGTGTGACCTTCTAAAGACCTTATGTCAACAATAATCACTTCCCTGAAAACACCGCCTACCTCTTTGCTCTACTCTTGCTTCATTATGATCAACTGGATAAAATATAACTTTTGTTAAATCAAACCCTCAACCTACTCTGCATTTGCCCACTTGCAACTGAATGCAATTGGAGAAAAAATACAAAACAATGCTGACCTCACCTTAAGTTTAGAATCACTCATCTCAAGTGGCTCCTTTATGCTGTCTAGCAATCACACTATATTTTTCTAGCTCCTTCCTAAAACTTAGATGATTATTTTATACCTTCTCCCATCAAATCTCCTACACCTCTTTCCCCATCCTTATCCTAAGTGGTTGACCATGATTTCCACTTTACTAAGAAATTTGAAGTAAACAGGAGAGACTTCGCATGAGCTTCTGTATCGACATCTATTGACCTAAGTATACTTGTGCTAATTTACTTGAACTTTCATTTCCATACTCCTAACAAAGTGTAGCCTTCAATTTTTGTGCTGGATTCAGTTCCCTTCCCGCCTACCTTAAGATGTAAATCCAGCAACTCTCTTTCTTGCACCACACATATTTTTCTTTCTTACGCTACATATACTGCCCTTACTACTGGATGATTCACATAGCACGTAAACATGTTTCTGTCACTTCCATTTCTAAAGGCCTCCCTTTTGACTCCACTTCCCTTTCCAGCTTATTCCCTTTACAATCTTTCCTCTTCTCTAATTTCATTTACAACAAAATTTATTGAAAAAAGATGTGTATTAGTCTGTTCTCACACTGCTAATAAAGACATACCCAAGACTGGGTAATTTAGAAAGGAAAGAGGTTTAATTGACTCAGTTCCACACAGCTGGGGTGGCCTCACAATCATGGTGGAAGGTGAATGAGGAGCAAAGTCACATCTTACATGGTGGCAGGCAAGAAAGCTTGTGCAGGGGAACTCCCATTTATAAAACCATCCAATCTCGTGAGACTTATTCACTACCACGAGAACAGTATGTGGGAAACTGCCCCCATAATTCAATTATCTCCACCTGGACCCACCCTTGACACATGGGGATTATTACAATTTAAGGTGAGATTTGAATGGGGACACAGCCAAACCATATCAAGATGCTTCTGCATAAAGTTTCCAGTTTCTCTCCTTCTATTCTTTCTTGAATCTATTCCAAAGGAATTTTCAGCACCAAAATTCGACTAAAATTGCTTTTATCCAGGTTACCCATGAACTCCATGTTGCTAAATTCTCAGTCCTCATCTTACTTGAACCCTTGTTAACATTTGACAAAATGGATTACTGTCTACTTGAAACACTTTCTTTGCTTGGCTTCCAAAACAATAAATTTACACCGTTGTTATGTTTTTCCTATCTCTCTGGATGCTCCCTCTTAGATTTTTTAATTTCCTCCCAATCTCCTTGGCTTCTAAATGTCATAGAGTCTCTAGGCTCAGAACTCACATCAATTCTTTTTTCTATGCTTAATAATTATTTTGCTGAATTTCATTCTTCTCAAGACTTTGTCATTGATACACTGATATAATATGTAAGTATATTTAATATGATAATATATAAAATATTCATACTCTATGTAAAATATAGAAGTATAAAATATATAAATCTATACACATATATAAATAAATATATAAATGTGTCATATTTCTTTTCTAAATTCCACTATTTATAGCTGCCAATAAAATACCTCTGCTTGGGTAGCAAATACACATCTTAAGTTCAACATGTGTAGAATTAACTTACTGTTATTCTCCCATAACCTGGTCTTCGCCTAGTCTTTTCCTTTGCAGGGGTAGGCAATTCCTTTCATCCAATTGCTCTAACCAAAATTCTGTCTCTCTCTTTTTTTTTTTTTTTTTTTTTTTTTTTTGAGACGGAGTTTTGCTCTTCCTGCCTAGGCTGGAGTGCAATGGCCCGATCTTGGCTCACTGCAACCTCCGCCTCCCGGGTTCAAGCGATTCTCCTGCCTCAGCCTCCAGAGTAGCTGGGATTACAGGCGTGCGCCACCATGCCTGGCTAATTTTTCATATTTTTGGTAGAGACGGGGTTTCACCATGTTGGCCAGGCTGGTCTCAATCTCCTGACCTTGCGATCCACCCATCTCGGCCTCCCAAAGTGACCAAAATTCTTTAGACTAGTCTTTGGCTGCTAACTTTCACTTAAACACCCACTTTATCATTAGCTTTTGTTGGTGGCTGTTTTCAAAATGTATCCCAAATTCATCTACTTTTTACGTCTACTGTTATTGCCACAACCCAAGTCCACATCATCATATCTTGCCTGGATTTTTACAATAGGCTACTTTCTGCTCTTCTCATTCTTTAGGTTTTATTCAACTGGTAGCAAGTAAATGTTCAAATCTGAAGTGGGTAATGTCATTTTTCTGCTCGACTTCTCACTATTTTTTTTTTCCTCATCTCACTCAGGATAAAAGCCAAAATCATTGCAAAGATAGGCAAGTCCCTACTTACCTTTCTGACTTTGTGTTCATTTACTCTGTCTCTTCATTGCTCTGTCTGGCCACTTTTGCCTCCTTTTCTCAAGGATACGCAAACTGTTCATGCCTCAGGAAACTTGCATTTCCTGTTCTCTCTGCTGGGAACACGTCCCCTTCCACAGGCATACTAACATACACACGCTCCTCCTTTCCTTTATGCAGATACAAATGCATCATTCCCTAACCCACTATCAAATATTCAACCACTCCTTCGTGCTTCTTATGACCTTTCCTGTTTTATTTTTCTTCTTACCATTTAACATATATTTTATTTATTTATCTTGTTCATTTTTGTCTGTCTCACTAGAATGCATGCCCCATGATGTCAATAATTTTGTTTTTTTAATCTTATTTTGTCAGTGATAAACTTCCTTGTTTGAAATACTTGAAATTATAATTGGGGCCAGGCGCGGTGGCTCACGCTTATAATCCCAGCACTTCGGGAGGCTGAGGTGGATGGATCACGAGGTCAAGAGATGGAGACCATCCTGGCTAACATAGTGAAACCCCGTCTTTACTAAAAATACAAAAGTTAGCTGGGCGTGGTGGCGGGCGCCTGTAATCCCAGCTACTCAGGAGGCTGAGGCAGGAGAATCGCTTGAACCCGGGAGGTGGAGGTTGCAGTGAGCCGAGATAGCATCACCACACTCTAGCCTGGCGACAGAGCGAGACTCCATCTGAAAAAAAAAGAAAAGAAAAGAAGAGAAAAAAAATATGTATAGTTGGAAGGAATGTGTGAATATGGCTTTCCCCTCTAGACCTTTGCACCTACTTTTCCCTTGGTGCTGTGTACTTTTACTCCTTTTTCAACTTTTCAACCTCTGTTCTTGAAGTCTCAGCACAGATACTTTCTTAATAGTCTTCTGACCACTTCCATCAACTGCAGGCTTTGTTAAGTGATATACTTACCCGTACTCCGACACTTATCATACTTTGTAAAAGTATCTTTTTGTTTTTCAGCCTCTTATTACAGACACACTTTAAACCTACTGCAGGCAGGTTGTTTGTCTTATTCTGTTTTGTATACACATCATATAATTTAGTCCCCAAGGTATGAACATTAATAAGGGTCTACTCTGCTAGGCATGACCCCAGGGATGGGACTTCAGCAAGGGCTGTGTCTACTTTGTTCATGCTTACATTTTGTGCTTGTGCATAATAAGTACTTAATACATGGATGTTTAATAAATGCAATTTTACATTGGAAAATTAAAAATGAATATAGGCACATAAAAACATAATATTTCTTCCTATGATCTTTAATGGTAAGATTCAAGAGGATTTCAAGAACCATCATCTGATAAACATATTCTGTTAACATAAAGTAAGCATATCCTAGATTATGGATACTGTCCTAGATTACTGATACTAGACTATGGACACTGTCCTAGATTTTTGGTAGTTTCCATCATAAAAATCTTTATTTATTAATTTTTTTGGACTCTTGTTTCCTCCTAAAAGCCTGAGAATGTTTTTCATGAAGAAGTTGTATTCCTCTAGGACATTTTGAGGAAAATCCTTTTCTCAAAAGCTAATCTGAAAAAGCCTGATTTGTCAAATTTACTTGTTTAATTCTTCAGTTTTAGTAGATAATTTTTATTTTGTCATTACTGTAGCATTTTAAGAAATATCCAATTTTTTTTCTCTCTCAGCTCCCTACTATACATCTGTAGAGTAAGGGATAAGGAGTAGAGGAGACAGAGTAGAGAATGTGGAGATACTAAGGGGCATTGAAAATTTCTTTTCACCAACTTCCTATTATTTGTGCTATAATATGAAAACCATCATAGCACTCAATTGCACGAATTATATTTGCTGTTGTTCTGTTCTCAAGTGCAATTAGTTGCTGGATGAGTAAACATCCTCCCTAAATTCATACAAACATTGCACAGACACACACACACACACACATAAAATCACTTCCTACAACTCTAGTCTAAAAATATAACTATATTAAATTTTTAGGTTAAAAGTATATTCTAACTCACAGGTTAGGAGAAAATATTTATCAATTACATATATGTTAAGGAACATGCATCCATAATATGTAAAGAATTTTTACAACTCAACAGTAGCAAGTAACTCAATTTTAAAATGGGCAAAAGATTTGAATAGACCTTTCTCCAAAGAAGATATTCAAATGGCCAATAAGCACATGAAAAGATACTCAATCTTCAACATAAGTAGTCATTAGGGAAATGCAAATCAAACCATAATGAATTATCACTTCACACATACAAGGATGGCTAAAATAAGACAACAATAACAACAAACAATAACAATATTGAGAAGGATGTAGAGAAAGTGAAACTCACACATCGATGGTGAGACTGTAAAGTCATACAACTACTTTGTAAAACAACTTGAAAATGTCTCAAAATACTAAAAATAGAATTATCATGGCACTCATTATTTCCACTCCTAGGTTGTACCCAAAAGAAATAAAAATATATGTTCATACAAAAACATTATTTATAGTAGCCAAAAGGTGGAAACAGCACAAATGTTAATCAACAGATGAATGGATAAACAAAATATGGTGTATCCACACAAAGAAACATTTCGCAATAAAAATAAATGAAGTACTGATATATGCTATGTATCAGTGTCTCAATGTTCAACATGTATGAACATGAAGGCATTGTGCTTAAATAAGCCAGCCACAAGTGACCACACACTACATAATTCCATTTATGAGAAATGTCAAGAATAGGTAAATCTGTAGAGATACTGAATATATTGCTGGCTGCTAGGAGTCAGAAGAGGAGGGAATAAGGAGTGACTGCTAGTGGGTGTGGGTTTCCTTGTGTAGTGATGAAAATTTTCTAAATTTAGATAGTGATGATGGTTGTACACAACTCTATTTGTATACTGGAAACACCAAACTGTACAGTTCAAAAGGATGAATTTTATGATACATGAATTTTATCTCAATAAAGCTATTAAAAAAACAACATTCTGTGGTTATATGTTTTTGACTACAAATACCGTGTATAGCTTTTAAGTGTATGCCCCCTTGATTGCATTTACTTTCTAATACAACTTTTTGTTTTTCCTAGAGCTTGGTTCATAATTACATTACTTTACATTTGTTTAGTTGTTTTTTTTTATGTGACCATTGTTATTTCAGAGCCAACTTTCTACCAAAATTATAAATCTTGTTTTTTATACCCAAATACATTACATAACATATGTATTTCCTTTTTTTATTATTGTTTTCTGAAGATATCTATTCTTCTGGCCCAGACTGCTCTATGGCAGTTTTGTTTAGTTTAGCCAAGGCCTACTGTGTAGCTGTTTTTCTCAAACATTTTTTCGTCATCCTGGAAATTACTTTTTTCTCTTTCCTAAATGTGATTCCCTTTTTCCTGGATTTGATATTCATTGACTTATTTCTTTCATTTGGTGGAGTATATCCTTTAATACCTTCCTGAGAATGAATGGCTACCTAGAAGAAAAATTATTTTAGGAATTACTTAAAAATGATTGTATTCTACTCTTGCTCTTAATTGATAGTCTGGTTGGAAATAATTTTCTCACAGAATTTGAAAATTATTGCTCCATTGTTTTCCACCTTCTCTTAAGAGTGATGCTATTGAGATGTTAGATATGATTATGTTTCTTGATTCTTTGTATATGCTCTATTTTCTGTCTTTTTCTTTCTCGGGGTTGATTCTTTTCTTTTTTTTTTAGGATTTTTTATGGTATGTTTTTCTTTTTAAATTCTATTTTGGATACAGGGGGTACATGTGCACATTTGTTACATGGGAAGATTGCAAGATATTGGGGTTTGGAGTACCGATCCCATCACCCAGAGAATCAGCATAGTACCCTACAGGGAGTTTTTAACCCAAATCCCCCACCCCTACTCTAGTAGTCCATAGTGTCTCTTGTTCCCATTTTAAAGTTCTGTAATGCTATGTGTCTTTGGTGTGGGACTTTTTCATTAATTTTGCTGAATTCTTGGTTGTGACTTTCAATCTGGAACCTCATGTGTTTTGGGTCTGGGAAATATTTTTGTATTATTGCCCTGATAGTTTCCTCTCTCATGGTTTTTTTTTTTTTTTTTTTTTTTTTTTTTCCTGTTTTGGAAATCCTGGTATTTGGTTTTTTACTTTCCTGAGCTGACTCTTTGATTTTAGGATTTTTAAAAAACTATTTTCTATCTCTTTGCCTTTTTGTTATGCTTTCTGAAAGACTTTTTCTTCTTTCACATACATCCCAACTTGAATTTATGATAGTCTATTTTGGCTGTCTTACTTAATATTTCAAAGAACTCTTTCTTGGTCTCTGAATGTTTCATTTTTGGTTTATTGGTGCAAATATTCACTCATCTTTCTCAGGATATTAATTATAGTAAAATTTTCTTCTCCTTGATTTTGTTTCCTCTCAGTAATACTTTTCTCTTTTTGTTGCAATTGTTATATTTAATATCAGAGGCTTTTCATTAATATTTGAGAACTAAAGAGCACCAAAATGCTGTTTGAAAACTGTATATTTGGGGAGTACTGTGTAGTAAGTTTCACATCAGTTGATAATGTAGAGATTAGGGCACTTCTGTGGGAGATCCCCAAATTTTAGTATTCTTTATGGAGGAAGCTTGTAATCTCCTACAAGAAGGGGCCAACCTGGGTTGTCAGCAAAGAAGAGGAAGCAGGTATGCAAAGTTTTAATTAACCAGTCTCTTTTTAGTTCAGCAACTCATCTTGGCTTTGGCTCCGTTGGATGTCATCGCATGTAGTCTAGCAAGTCAGTTTCTACCATCTTATTCTATCCGCAATTTCTAAATTTCATTCGTGTATTTTATCTTTTTCTTCTCCCATCCCATTGTTCTTGTCATTAATAAGATTTTTGAAGGGAGCAGAAATACACACATGAATTCAATCAAATAAACGTGCATGTGTTAACATGAAAGTTTTCAGTTATTTTAAGAAATGAAACCATTTTTAAGCATCTTCATCATCATCCAGAAACATATATTGAAAATTTTCTGTGTGTAAAATCCTGTTCTGGGCAATGTAGTGATGCTAAGGAACAAACATACCATCCCTATTTTAAGGGTTAGGATGACCAAAGTATTAGAACCTAAATATTTATAATAAGTAAATGTATGAGTGTTGTGAGCAATGATACTAGAGTTAGACTGTTTAGGTTTAATCTTTAATTATTAATTGTGATCTTGGACAGATTACTTAAGCTCTTTACATCTTAATTTCCTCATTTATAATGAGAATGTATTAATGCCAACTATTGCTAAGGATACTGATAGTTAACAGTAAAAAAATCCGTTATTCTCACATTCCTTGTTAACAGAGTCCCAATTTTGTTATGGATAGGTACACAGCTAAAAAAATCTGTATAAACTCTTTGTCCCTTACAGCTAGCTGCGACCTTGTGACACAGTTGTGGCCAAATAAATTTAAGTACAAGTCACTAGGCAAGGCTTCTAGTAAAGTTTATTAAAGCAGGAGGGTTTGGCTGGCAAGTGCTTTCTTCTGTCTCTCTTCCCTTCTGCTTGACTGAAATGTTGGATTTTGTATCCAGGCAGGCTCCTTTGGATTTGAAATTTTTCTGTTCAGCCTTTCTTAACATGCCATTTTTGTTCCTGTGTTTGTCAAACTGAATTCTACTTGGTAGAACCAGGGAGTGCTTCCCAAAGAGGATGAAGTGAGCTAGGTCTTAACATCTGAGGAGACATTAGTGAGGTAGACAAGATGAGTAAGAAAGCCCCAGATACAGGGACTGAACATGCAAAGTGGCAGAAGTGTAAGAGCTTTTGGCAGAAGATGAAGCTGGAGAAGTAGTCAAATGCAGTATCACGAAAATCCTCAGAGGCCATTTTAAAAGGTTGGGACTTTTCTTGGAGGGGATGATGAACTATTGAAGTATTTTCAGCCAAAGTCAGAAGATCAAATTTACATGCTTGATGGAAATAATTCTGGCAACTGTGAGGATGTTTGCTAGGAGGTGATTCAAAGCAGAAAAACAAGCTAGATAGCTTTTGTAGTAGACCAGGCTAAACATTTTTGATGAGGGCCTAAACTAAGGTGCTGGCAATGGGGGTATTTAAAGTCACTTTAAAATAAATGTAGAGGTTGATTTGATAACATTTTTGACTTTATGCATTGTGAGTAGGGAAAGGAAGAGGTGTAGGATGACCTCTAGAGATAAAAAACAATTAAATAAAAGATGATGAACTTAGTTTTGTGAAGTTGATTTTGAGATGCTCTTATGATATTCAGGTGTCAAAGCCCAATGAGCCTTTGAACTCAAAAGAGAGATCTAGACTGAAGATAAATGTTTGATAGTGATTGGTAAATAGGTAGTATATGAAGCTATGAGTACGGATAAGATCATTCAATATAGCTTTGTAACACTCCACTTCATATTCTCTGAATTCATTTGTAGTCCCAATGGATAGTTTTTATTATCACTGGCAGGTTTCTACTTCAAACTCCTTAATCTCTGCTTCTCTGACCAAGAGCTTTTTCCAATGCCATAAGAGCTTGCTCAGACATCATACAGGGTAGCCGGAATTTAATGTCCTTAGGGGCAACCTTAGGAAATGAGGATGTGAGGCAGGGGATAAATGCTCAGGTTCTCTCTCAGTTGAACAATTCTGAGACATACTCTACATGATACATTAAAGAGTTTTTAATGGATTCGGCTTCAATTTCCCACAGTGGAAACCCATTCATCAACATATTCTTTTATGTTTTGCTTTTTCCACTTTTTTTAATTTGTGCTTTCTGGCATTACTAACAAAATAATTTGTTTGCCTTGAAGTAGCTGACTTAGAGTCTGCAATGGCGAAAACCAAATTAAGACATAAAAGAAGAATGAATAAACTAATAAGCAAGAAAACCTAAGATGGAACTATAGGAAGTACCAATTGCAGGATGAGCAAAGAAAGAAGGGCCTATGAAGAAGGCTAGGACAAAGCAGTTAGAGTAGAAGGAGAAAAGGCAGGAGAAACATGCATTGCAAGGCCAATAGAGAATTTCAAAAATAAGAGCTTAGTTAGCCTAACCATGATGAGATCAAGAAAAGTGAGGTCTAGAATGATTTAGCTGACCAAAATGAGAGAAATTTCACTGGAGTGGTAGTGAGAAGTGAGGGACATGTCTGGTTGTTGAAAATAAATTGAATTGACCAAAGTATTTTTAACTGTATTAGCCCTATAAGGCACAGGTCATAGGTCCTATAAGCTTTTTAGAAACCTTCCAAAATGTTTGAAACAGAGAATCTGGTAAAAATGTCTACCCATACGCCCCACCAAGTGACCTGTTCTCCTCCAGAGACAATACAAGTTACCAGTTTCATCTGTGAATTTTCACTCAAATTAAGGAGTTTGTACCTAATTCATTTGGAAAACTGGGAGCCATTGAAGGTTTCTGAGAAGGGAGGCAAGATGACACAGACTTCAGGATAAATTAGAGCGATGAAAGAACTGGAGTCACAGATATCAGCTTTAAGGATGAAGAATGCTAGCTGACTACATCAAGGATGAAGCATGAACCCAGAGAAGCATAGAGACTTGAACAATGCAACATGAAAAGTAAATAGCTTAATTGGCTAGAACCACTAAGGCCAACAAATGAAAACTGGTTGGTGGTAAATTATCATTCCTTATAGGAAGAATTTTGTAGAACCAAGATCTGAACAGAAAAATGGAAAAATTTTATGGTGGTAATATCTTCCCCAACATTAGAAGGAATGAGACAGACGATGGGGTACAACCTCTCAGTGATGTTATGTACTAGGAAGTGCTTAAATGAACTTACAATTTCTTTTTTCTTTTTTTTTTTTTTTTTTAGATGGAGTCTCACGCTGTCACCCAGGCTGGAGTGCAGTGGCGCGATCTCGACTCACTGCAAGCTCCGCCTCATTCACATCATTCTCTTGCCTCAGCCTCCCGAGTAGCTGGGACTACAGGCGCCCCATACCAGGCCCGGCTAATTTTTTTTTTGTATTTTTAGTACAGACGGGGTTTCACTGTGTTAGCCAGGAAGGTCTGGATCTCCTGACCTCGTGATCAGCGCGCATCAGCTTCCCAAAGTGCTGGGATTACACGTGTGAGCCACTGAGCCTGGCCCATTTTTTTTTCTTTGTTTACTTGATAATATTGCAAATGTAATTAATGCTCCTAATTCTTCTAGGGCAAATCTACTCATTTAAAGTGAGATGGAGTATTTCTGAAATAATTGGGGACATAGGATGATTTAGAATCCAGTTTAATACTTGAGACAGTGTATATTTCTGAATAAATTTTTCCAATAAAAACAATCTGACTTTACTAAATTTTGCTTAGTTCATTATTAATAGAATTTCTTATGCTATACATTAGATACAATTCTTATTCTTAGAATTGTGGGCATATCCTCAAACTACAAAAATCTTAGAAGAAAACCTAGGAAATACCCTTCTTGGCATCAGCCTTGGCAAAGGATTTATGGCTAAATCCTCAAAAGCAATGAAAACAAAAACTGATAAGTGGGACCTAATTAAACTAAAGAACTTCTGCACAGCCAGAGATGCTTTCAGAGCAGTAAACAGATAACCTACAGAATGAGAAAAAATATTCACAAACTATCCATCTGACAAAGGCCTAATATCTAGAATCTATATAGAACTTAAATCAACAAGCAAAAACCAAATAATCTCATTAAAAAGTGGACAATGGACCTGAACAGGCACTTTTCATAAGAAGACACACAAATGGCCAACAAACATATGAAAAAATGCTCAACATTACTCATCCTCAGAGAAATCCAAATCAAAACCACGACAAGATATCATCTCATACTAGTCATAATGGATGTTGTTAAAAAGTTAAAAAAGTAATAAGTGTTGGCAGAGCTGCAGAGGGCGCTTACACACTGTTGGTGGGAATGTAAACTAGTTCAGTCATTATGGAGAGCAGTTTGGAGATTTTTCAAATAACTACCAGTTGAACTACCATTCAACCTAGCAATCCTATTACTAGGTTTGTACCCAAAGGAAAATAAATTATTCTACTAAAAGGACATCTGCACCTATATGTTTATTGCGGCACTAGTCACAATAGCAAAGAAATAAGATAGATTCAAGTGCCTGTCAATGGTGGATTGGATAAAGAAAAGCAGATATACACACACCATGGAATACTACACAGGCATGAAAAGAACAAAATCATGTCCTTTACAAACATGATGCAGCTTGAGACCATTACCCTAAACGAACTAATGTAGAAGCAGAAAACCAAATACCACATGTTCTGACTTATAAGTAGGAGCTAAATGTTGAATACAGGTGGACATAGAGATGGAAACAATAAACACTGGGGAATACTAGAAGGGAGATGGAGGGAGGGGGCAAGGGTTGCAAAACTACCTATTGGGTACTATACTCACTTCCTGGGTGATGGATTCAATTGTACTCCAAACCATTATCTCATGCAATATACCTTTGGAACAAACCTGCATATGTACCCCCAGAATTTAAAATAAAAGTTAAAAGTTGGGGGGAGGGAAGAATGGTCAGATGAGACTTAACACATAGTGGTGGATCATCAACTAAAATGAAATCCTCTTCTGTAAAACTATTTTCTTTACAATTATAACAGTGTCATTTTGTGAAAAAACAAGCTTTCAATCACCAAAGTAAATGATCATGAAACAGAAGAGTAGATCTCAGCTAAGTGCAACCTCAGCCTCTTGGGTTCAAGCGATTCCCCTGCCTCAGCCTCCCAGGTAGCTGGGATTATAGGCATGCACCAGGACACCTGGCTAATTTTTGTATTTTTAGTAGCGATGGGGTTTCACTGTGTTAGCCAGGAGGGTCTCAATCTCCTGACCTAGTGATCCGCCCACCTCGGCCTCCCAAAGTGCTGGGATTACAGGCGTGAGCCACCGCGCTAGGCCGAGTAGAGCAAATATTATAAAGAGAAGATAATTTTTTAACTGACAACCCATTTGTTTATATTTGTCATATAATTACCTCACTTCCTGCAACACTTTGTGAAATAAAGAATTGAAGAAATTAATTGGATTAATTCAGTCAAGGTAGTTGCCAATTTTTATTTAAATTGTTTCCAAAGGTTTTCTACCGGGTGAGAGGGTGGGTGGGTGAAAAGACATTATTTGTCCTCCTACCCTGAGAGTATATCAGAACCTCAGCTATAATGTTGAGACGATAGCTTTGTATGGGTATGGGGAGATGGGGCATGCATATATTTTGTAAAAGATCCCCAGGGGATTCAGATTCTTCTGTCCTTATCATAATCCTGGTTAGGACCAATGTGGGCTTGACTTTTACTTTACAGTAGCCGTTTTTCTCAGCTTTTCAGTTGCCTTATATCAACCTAGTACCGCTACTCCCCCCACTTCTTCATTTTTGGAAGGGCAAGTGATTGTGATGAAATGAGACATTTTGTAGTAAAAAGGATACAGTTTTAAATACCTTTAAAACATTTCAAAAAGCAATACAATTAGCTAAGCACTTATGTTTTATTAGTAATAGCAAGCAAAATTAATAAGTAAATTCAACTAAAAATGATTATGTGTCAAAGTGTATAGTTTTTACATTGACATTTCACATAATCTGACTTTGCTTAGAAGAGAAATCACTCGGCTGTTAAAATTACTTTTAAAGAGCTGTCAAAATTGGAAAACCTGCTGTCAAAAATATGATGAGAAAAGTTTAAAAATGGTAAAGTATGTTGACTTAGACAAAAAACATTACCTTCATGAAGGAAAACTTGAATATTTATCATTGTCTTCAAAAGAGATGATCTTATCTTCCTGAAATTGGACATCTTGGTTTAAAAATTTACATTCTGGGGCCGGGCCCAGTGGCTCATGCCTGTAATCCCAGCACTTTGGGAGGCCGAGGCGGGCAGATCACCTGAGGTCAGGAGTTTGAGACCAGCCTGGCCAACATGGTGAAAACCTGTCTTTACTAAAAATACAAAAATTAGCCGAGTGTCCTGGTGCATGCCTGTAATCCCAGCTACCTGGGAGGCTGAGGCAGGGGAACTGCTGGAACCCAGGAGATGGAGGGTGCAGTGAGTCAAGATCACACCATTGCACTCCAGCCTGGGCAACAGTGAGAGACTCCATCTCAAAAAAAAAAAAAAAATTCACATTCTGACACTGTGTTTTCATTTTAACAGCAACATGAATGAAACCATTTATACTGGTACCAAATGAGAACATCTTTAAGTGCTAAAAAAAAACCTAAAATATTAATGCCATCTATAAAACAAAACAAAATAAATATTGGTAAAAACAAAGATAGATGGCATACACTTATTTTCAGCTTCTCTTATTTTATGTATAAATATATTAATACTTATTAAGTAAGATATGTTAACTAATGGAAGAATGTAAATCTATGTTTTCTGGAAAGTTTGCTAAGGATTTCATATTTTTATTCTGCCTATTTAAATTATAAGCCATATCAGATGCTCAATTATACGCCATTGAGAATTTGAATTCCAAAATAATTTAGTTTTGAGGCTTTACACTAAACTTCAGCTTCTGAAGTTTATTTTCAGCTTCTCATATATATATATATGCTTATTAAGTAAGATATTTTAACTAATGGAAGAATGTAAATCTATGTTTTCTGGAAAGTTTGCAATGAATTTTGTATTTTTATACAGCCTATTTAAATTATAATCCATATCAGATGCTCAATTATATGCCATTGAGAATTTAAATTCCAAAATATTTTAGTTTTGAGACTTCACACTAAACTTCACTTAAAGATTGATTCTTCTGTCCCTGTCATAATATAATTCCAAAAGAGACAAACCTTAGAGAGCATTGCATTTAAGGACAGATAGATTAGTTAAAAAAAAAAAGCCTCTCTTAAACTCTTTCCATTTTACAATGAGCAAAATATATCAATAATTTAAATCTCAAAAAGTTCCATTTCTCTTTGAAGTAGAGAACCAATAAAATTCTTCAGCATATCCTAAGCATTCAATTGTCAGTTCTCAATAAAAATGCATAGGTGTTTACCTCTAGATGAATAAAATGTGTGAATATGAAATAAAACATAAGATTTCTCCCCTAGTCTTCTTCATCTACTACAAATAATGTAGGACTTTAATGTTAATATCCTGGGTGACCACTATATTGCCAGTTTATCATTGTTGTGTGACCTTATGTGTTTGCATCCTTCTCCATATATAAAATACAATTGTAGTTATCACCCATCTAGCACAGTCACAAAAATCTTATGAATATTAGTATATAAATGATTGTAAAATTCTTTGTAAATGTAAATGTTTAAGTAGCCCTATTTTGTTTATAGAGAAGAAATTCAAAATAAAAATATAGCTATAATGGGATACATTATTTGAGCTAGAATTAGAGAAGAGAAAAATTTTCTTGCAAAAAATAATTGCCCATATTTAACAAAGAATGTTATTGTGTGGCATCTATTATTTTACTGTTTATGTGAAAAAATTTGGGGCTGGCTACTAAATTTCCTAATTTTCAAAGAAGTTTATATTTTAACATCACTATATTTAATCATCAAAGTTTTTAAAATTAAATTTCACATCCACATGACATGTGTATCCTAAAACATGCGAGCTAAAGAATAAAAATGCTTACAAACATTGCCACAAATAAGATCAGTGTGACTTTTAATGAAATTGATCTAAAATGCTAGCATATTTTTAGGGAATGTCAACTAAATAGAAAATTAAGTTTGAAGGTAGCAAATCTAAACACAGCTGAATGTGACTATATAAATCTTATTGTTCTCAGAACCATGTTAATATGCCCTTATTACACAAATGGAAAAGAAACTGTAAATTAAAGCTCTAACCAGTAATCCAATGTATAGTACGTGTACGTTGGAGAAAAGTTTGTGTTGCTATGGGAACTTTGGTTTTTGTTTATATTATATGGGAAGCTATATTATGTGCCTTGGTTCACCTTAATGACTACCTTCATACATTGCTAATTATACTATTTTCCCTCATTCACTCTGATGATTAACTCCTTAAGGTTAATATTGCTCATCTTTATTGAGTTAGTTCATATTTTTCTTGAATACAGAAATATGAACTCACATTTAACTTCATTTGTGAAAATTGCATTATGCATGCCACCATCACCTATTCATTACATTATGTAAAAGGAGTTTTAGTTTTTATGAGATTTGCAAAATTACATTTATGAAAATTATAAGCTTGACCTTGTATGCCTATAGACGCATTTCCAAATGGTGGAAAATAAAATTTGTGAACACATTTTTGTTTTGGGCAAAAAATGTATAATTTTCTTTTCCTTTTCCTTTTTTTTTTTTCAGATGAAGTTTCACTCTTGTTGCCCAGGCTGGAGTGCTATGGCGCGATCTCGGCTCACCGCAACCCCCACCTCCCAGGTTCAAGCGATTCTCCTGCCTTAGGCTCCCGAGTAGCTGGCATTACAGGCATGCACCACCACACCCGGCTAATTTTGTATTTTTAGTAGAGACGGGGTTTCTCCATGTTGGTCAGGCTGGTCTTGAACTCCCAAACTCAGGTGATCCGCCCACCTTGGCCTCCCAAAGTGCTGGGATTACAGGCATAAGCCACGGCGCCTGGCAAAAAAATGTATAATTTTCTTATTCAAAATCGCCTACAGCATTTTAAATGAGGAAACCTAAACTATTAAGAAAAAAATTGTTCACATTTTCAATGCATAGGCAAAGGCATGTCGAAATATTCATTATGTGTGTACAGAATTCCCTGAGTTAGTAGGGCTCTACAGAGCCAGTTAGTAAGTGAATGCATTATGCTATCAATATTAGGACTTTTTTCCTAAAGGATGATGAAACTATCATGTATGATACTCAAGTGATGGATACACAACAGCATGCATTTGTCAAGACCCATACAATTTATAGCACAAAAACTGACTTTAATATACGCAAATTTAAAAAATTATTTGAAAGGTTGGGAGTTCTCAGAATGAAATGCATACTGTGACAAAAGAATCTAACTGCATAACATGTACAAAACAATCTCACTAAAAAAATAAGGAGAAAAGGTTCTGGCTTAAGAAAGTTTGAAAATGAGTGGAGTCTGTAAGACTAACAGCAAATAAACTTCATGTAAGTATTGAACTTTAGTTGATATTTGTTTTCTGTGGTAGAATGGGTTAACGATTCTAAAACCACTACACGTATATATTAGAATTAAACATTTAAGTCAATGGATGTTTGAATGATGGAAGTCATTGTCTCACTGTTGAAGCTAGAGGATACAGATAAATGAGAGAAGACTAGAATGATCCATTGGGTGATATGAACTCATTTTTTAGCTTAATATAGATTCAGATGGATACACCTAGAAATATTTACAGATATATGTATATACAAAGTTCAATATACTCACGTATATTTCCTTATTCTATTAGCTGAGAGAGTCTAGAAACAAGGATACTCAGGAGCAACAAACATACCTCAGATTCAAATACCGGTTTCTAGAATTATCCAATTAGAGGAAGTAGGGCCTCTTAAAGAAACGCCTGATTCTAGGACTGAAGCAGAAAACATACAAGATGAACTGAGAGAACCTTGTAGTGTCAGAAAGTAAGAAAGTGCTCAAGACACACACACACACACACACACACGGTCTATCAGTCAGTGACGGGTTACTCAAGAGGAAACATAAGAGTTCCCAATGGGCAAAGCTGGAATGATTTCAGCAACAAAATTAATAAAATAGTATTGGATTATAGCCAAAAGTATAAGATAAATATCCAGGAGTCCATATTGATATAAATAAATAAGTAAACAAACAAAGAATAAACAAATATTCTGTGCTAATAATTTATGTAGATACTCTACCTTCAAGGAGATGGAACATAACTCTTCCTCAGTCCTTAAGTGTGAACTGTGCATAGCGACTTCCTTCCAAGGGGTACAGTACATAAATGGGGGTAAAAGAGTAACTTTATAGCCAAGAAACCTGACAAACAGCCAAGTGATCAAGATTAACATTAACAGGGACAACTCATGTTGATAATACCTACTCTTGATATGATGTAATGAAAAAGACAGTTCTATGTTCTTCCTCTCCAAAACACATGATTCCAGTACAATTGTAAGAAAAACATAAAGCAAATCCCCAAAGGGCGACATTGACAAAATACCTGACCAGTACTGCTCCAAACTGTCAGGGTCATTGAAAACAAGGAGTCTGAGTAATTGTTGCAGCCAAGAGGCACCTGAGAACATGTGACAAATTAATGCAGCATCTTCGATGGACTCTCAGTCCCAAAAAGATCATTTGATGAAAACTAAGGAAATTTGAATAAAATATGGACTTTAGGTAATAATAATATATCACCATTTATTTATTAATTGTGATAAATGTATCGTACTAATAAGATGCTTATAGTAGGAGAAACAGTATGAAGTATATGGGGGTTCTCTGTATTACCTTTACAACTCTTTAGTAAATTTAAAATTGTTCTAAAATAAAAGTTTATTTAAACAAACTCTTATTAAGCACTCTACTTGCTACAATTCCTGCATTCTACAATGCCAGACTGAGTTTTCCAATTTTTATTTTCAGCAAACCTCTATTACTACAGGTCTAGCTCAGTCAGAATCAACTCTCACCAGCTTAAGGATAATGTGAGAGCAACTTAAGCTGACAGAATCAATTGCTTCAGGTTGTCTTTGCAAAAATCCCTGGTGTTATGTATCTGTCCTGTCTCTCCTATTTGTCTACCCCAGCTGCTATATAATTTCTTATTGCTTATTTACTTGTCATAGAATATTTGCCAAGATCTACATCTACAGCTCAAATAGTGACTATTTGCAGACTTCAAATGCATCATATGGTTTATTTAAGTAGGAGTGTATGTGTGTGTGTTTGTGTGTGTATGCACAGAGGCACACACGTGAACATTTGCCAATGCTTTATTTTTATTTTTGTTTTTAATTTTTATAGATTCAGGAAGGGCTTATGCAGATTTCTTATAAGGATATATTATATAATGGTGAGGTTTGGGTTTCTGGTATACTCATCTCCCAAATAATGAACATTGTATCCAACAGGTAATTTTTCAACCCTCCCCTTCTTTCCGCCCTCCCTCCTTTTGGAGTCAGCAGTGTCTATTATTTCCCTCTGTATGTCCGTGTGTACCCATTGTTTAGTTCCCACTTATAAGTAAGAACGTGAGGTATTTGATTATCTGTTTCCAAGATATTTCCAATGCTTTATTTATTTAAAGTAGGTCTCTCTCCAACCTTGCTCCATGACAAACTCCCACCACAAATATGAAATATTTTTTTCTAATTTTTATCATCTCAACTTTGCCAAATAGATTTGTATCACTCTATGTTTTCATATAAAACTTTATGCCATAGTTTATTAAATTCTTGATATGAAAGAGAAGAAATTTAGTGCAAGTAATTTATGCCCCAAATATTGTTTCACTTCACATTATATTTTTTAGTTTTATTATGTTATTATTATTATCACAGTATTATTTACAACGTTGACTGGTATTTGTCACATATTTGTAAATGACATGATACCAATATATTTTCAATTTTTAAATTTTGAAATAACTTCAAATTTACAGCAATGTTGCAAGAATATTACAGAAAACTCCTAGATATTCTTTTCCAAGCTTTACTGATTTAAGAAATTTTAATAATTGCATCAAAAACAATACATCGGTTAGGACTTAATTTAATCAATGAGGTGAAAGATCTGAACACTGAAAACTATAAGATATTGAAGAAGACACAAATAAAATGGAAAGCTATCCTATGTTTATGGCCTGGAAGAACTACTATTGTTAAACGTCCTTACTACCCAAAGTGATCTACAGATTCAATGCAATCCTTATCAAAATTTTAATGCCACTTTTCATAGATATAGAGAAAACAATTCTAAAATTCAAATAAAACCACAAAAGGCCCCAAATAGCCAAAGCAATCTTGAGAAAGAATAAAAAAGCTGGAGATGTTATACTTCCTGAATTCAAACTATATTACAAAACTATACTAATCAAAACAGTATGGCACTTCCCTCAAACAGATACACAGACCAGTGAAATTGAATTGAGAGCTCAGAAATCAACTCATACATGTATGATCAACTAATTCTTGCCACTGTTTAAAGAATACACAATGGAGAAAGAATAGTCTCTTCAAGAAATTGTTTTGGGAAAACTGGATATCCACAAAAATGAAACTGGACTCTTTTCTTACACTATCCACAAAAAGGAGCTCAAAATGGATTACAGATTTGCATATAAGACCTGAAACTATAAACTTCTAGAAGAAAACATAGGGACAAAGTTTCTTGACATTGGTCTTGGCAATGATTTTTTTGGATAGAATAACAAAAGCACACGCGAGAAAGGCAAAAATAGACAGGTGAGATTACACCAAATTAAAAAGCTTTCGAACAGCAAATGAAACAACCAATGGGATGAAAAGGACACCTACAGAATGGAAGATAATACTTGCAAACCATATATATAATAAAGAGTTAACATTAAAAAAATACAAGGAGCTTATACAATTCAATAGCACAAAAACCACTCATTTACAAAATGGGTGAAGAGCATGAATATACATATTCTCAAAGAAAACATACAAATGACCAACAGGTATATGAAAAGTTTCTCAACATCAATGAGCATTAAGGAAATGCATATCACCTCACACTTGTTAGGATGGCTATTATAAACAAGACAAGAGATAAAAAGTGTTGGTGATGGTGTAGAGATGGTATGTTTCCCTTGTACACTTTGGTGAAAGTGTATATTGGCACAGTCATTGTGGAAAACACTATGGTGATACCTCTAAAATTTAAAATAGAACTATCATATGGTCCAGCAATCTCACTACTGAGTGTATGTCCAGAGAAAATGAAATCAGTATCTCAAAAAGCTACCTGCACTCCCATGTTCGTTGCAGCATTATTTACAATTGCCAACATATGAAAGCTACCTAAATGTCTATTGATGGATAAATGGAAAAATAAATTATGGTACATATTGTATATACAATTGAACATTATTCATCCATAAAAAAGGAAATCTTGCCTTTTGTGACATCATAGATGAACCTGGAGGACATTATGCTGTGTGAAATAAACCAGTCATAGAAAGACAAATTGTATTATCTCATTTATATATTAAATTAAAAAAACTCAAACTCACAGAAGCAGGAAGTAGAATGGTGGTTGCCAGAATTTGTTTGGGTCAGAGGTGGAAAAAGCGATGATGTTGGTCAAAGGGTACAAACTCTCAGTAATAAAAGGGATCTAATGTATTGTGCAATGACTACAATTCATAATATTGCATTGTTTACATAAAATTTGCTGAGAGTATATCTTGAGTGTTCATACACAAGGTAACTGTGAGATGATGAATGTATTAATTAGCTTGATTGTGGTAATCATTTCATAATATATAAATATATCAAATTATCACATTATACATCTTAATTATATGCAGTCTTGTCAATTATACCTCAATAAAACTGGAAAAAAGAAAAATAAATTTTAACATTTTAGTATATTTATTAAATTAGTAAATGTAATCTTAGAACATGTATTAGTATTTGTACAATTAGTAACACCACTTTATCTGTAGAGATATATGTGTATGTATAATTTGTACTTATATGTGATTTATTTTTCTTTTTTCTTTCTATAAGTTTTATTTGAAACATTGTTGATTCTTTACTTAAATGTTTTGTTTTCCAATTTAAGAAAATACTCACTTTTAAGCTATGTATAGTTTACAGCAATTTGATAAAGTATACTTTTGTGAAAAAAGGTGGAAGCATTTTCTTTTTGTCCTGATTCCTTCAAAATTTGAAAATAATTTATGAGTATTCTTGTGGCAAGGTGGTTTATCTGTGTAAGTCCAATAAATAGTTGTGATTTAATTTTCTAACTCCTTTGAGAGTCAGTTGCATGTATTAACACTTTTTCTCACTTAAAACTTCAGTAGTTAGAGTTGATAGCCAAAAAAAAGATATTCTCTTATGTAATCAAGGTGTAGCTATCAAATTTAGAAAATTTAACTTTGATAGAAAATTCTTATGACTTTTAACAAAATATTCCCAATAATGTATTTTGTAGCATTTTAAAATACAAGTACAGTATCTAATCCAGAATTACATATCACATTTAATTATCATTTCTTTATTTTAAGCTGGAAACTTTCTCAAACATACACAAATCTTTCATAACATGGATTTATTTCTTTTTTTCTTTTCTTTTTTTGTCTTTTTTTTTTTTTTTTTTTTTTGAGACGGAGTCTCACTTTGTCATCAGGCTGGAGTGCAGTGGTGCGATCTCAGCTCACTGCAACCTCCGACTCCCTGGTTCAAACGATCCTCCTGCCATAGCCTCCCGAGTAGCTGTGAGTACAGGCACAGGCCACCACGCCCAGCTAATATTTGTATTTTTAGTAGAGACAGGGTTTCACCATTTTGGCCAGGATGGTCTCAATCACCAGACCTCGTGATCTGCCCTCTTCGGCCTCCCAAAGTGCTGGGATTACAGGCATGAGCCACCGCGCCCTGCAACATTGACTTATTTGAAGAGTACAGGTCAGTTATTTTATAGCGTGTTCCTCAATTTAGATATGTTTTATGATTAGACTCAGGTTAAGCACACTTGGCTTGACTAACACAAAAGTGATATTGTTTTTACAGCATCATGTCCATAAGCTCACCTTATTGATGTTAATTTTGATCCCTTGGTCCAGATGTTGTCCAGTCCTCTACTTTCTGGTTACTGTTTCCCCTCATGCAGCTAATAGGCATTCTGTAGAGAAACATTTAAAAACCATGTAAATAACCTGCTTTTCATTAAAATTTTGCTCCTACATTCAGCATCCATTGATGATTCTTGTCTGACCCAATGTTAACTATGATACTTGAAAAATAATGATTTTTTAACTCTATCAATCACTCTCTTCATATTCGTCAGTCAAAGCTTACTATAATGAAGATCTTTTTCTTCTTCTTTCCTTCCTTCTGTCTTTCTTCAGTATAGACTTATGGATTCATATTTTAATCTTTGGGTTACATTCTATTACCACCTTATTTGTTTTGATGCTCAAATTTTCCTGGATTTATTCAATGGAAGACCCTACAGGCTGGATTCTAGGGGTTCTTGACATCACTTTTTAAGCACTATCCCCCTGACTCAACAAGATCATCCAGACTCATGTTGAACTTCCCCTGACCTTCCCCTGGTATCTTTAGTGGAAAATAGCATTTAGAAAACAAGATCTGAGCAGAAATTATGTTCATTGTTGGTGTGTTATTACTTCTTGACCTCTCCAACAAACAGAGCTATGATATTTATATGCATGTGTGTATGTATATATCTAAGTAAAGTAAAAGTTCATATTAATACTTTCACTTGCAAACCAAACCTACAAGATTTTTCTATATTTCTATCTCCCTGCCTCCACAGTGGAAACCCTCACTTGCAATAACATCAGCTCATTTGTTCAATCATCTGTACTACAACAAACCTACTAATAAGAGTTCAAGATTTCTTAACAGTTCTGTTTTTTTTTAACCTGGATTGAGAGTGTATAATCAAAATACTTGTGATCAAAAGTTACTTGTATTAGTTCTTTTATTTTTTCTTTTCAGTGTATTTAGTATTTTTTATTTGGAATTACAGTTGGGTTCATTTGTTTTTGTTTGCATTAGTTTTAGATCTTTTCCCCATTCTTGTTAAATATTGATTTAGTTTAAGTTTTTGAACATGAAGAATACTTCCAAAATGAAAATTATTCAAAAAGACATAGTCAGAACAGTGTTACTTCCTTTCATATCCCTTCCATCTGCTTCTTTACACAACTAAACACAACAGATTTTAATGTTTTCTTTATATTATACTTACGCTGTTCAAACTTTATCTTATACTTACTCTATATGGTTTCTTTGACATGACTGAACCCTGACTGATACACTTTTATCACAGAGTATCTTCAAATAATATTATACCATTTCCATCCCACCCTTTTTTTGTGCCATTTTTGTCTCACATTTTATTTCTACATAAAATTTCAATCAATTTTGTTTCTATATTTGCCTTACATACTCAACTTTAAAGAAATTAAAGA
The DNA here is from genome assembly GCF_000001405.40 of Homo sapiens. Taxonomy (NCBI): domain Eukaryota; kingdom Metazoa; phylum Chordata; class Mammalia; order Primates; family Hominidae; genus Homo; species Homo sapiens. The sequence goes on from NC_000014.9 coordinate 28,826,266, forward strand.
AATCTTTAAAAAGAAAAGTATATTCATCAAAATATTTACCCTTTCAAGTACTCACCATTCTTTTATATAGGTACAAGTTTCCATTTGGTATATATATATATATATATATATATATATATATATATATATATATATGATATAGATATAGATATGTGTGTGTATATATATATATTTAGCTCCCTGAAATCTTTTATTAACTTAAAAAATATATAGATTAACTCTTTGCCTGAAGAAATGTCCATTTTCCCTTTAGTTTTGAAGGATTTTTTTTCTGGGGATATAGAATTATAGCTTGAAATGATTGTTTTTTCTTTCAGCACTTTAAAATGTTTCGCTGTCTTCTGATTTCAATAGTTTCTGACTGGAAGTGTGCATTCATGTTTGTCTTTGTTCTTTTGTATGCAATATGTCTATTTTCCTCTGGGTGCTTTTAAGATTTTCTTTTTATTACTGGTTTTAACAACTCCCTCCTGTTGTACTTTGGTATGTTTTTCTTTGTGTTTATCTTACTGGAGTTTATTAATTTTGTTCCTGAAGATTTCTTATTTTTATTAAATTTGTAAATATTTTGGCTATTATTACTTCCAATATTTTTTCTGACCCTCAGTGTCTCACCTGTTCCATGAATTCCAATTATACTAATGTTACAGCAGTTAATATCGTTTTCCAAGTTACTGGGACTTCATTACTTATTCTTTTTTAGACTTTTTTCTTTCTGATCTGTATTTAGGATAGTTTCTACCACTGTCTTCAAGTTCATTGATATTTTTCCTATCATGCCTAATCTACTGTTAATTTCATCCAGTGAATTTATTCTTTAATACATTTATTTCTCTAGAAGTTTGACACTTTTTGTCCTACATTCTATGTGTTCCTTCATTATGTTCATGTTACTCTTTACATGCTTGAGCCGTGTTTTGGTAGGTTTTTAAATGTTGGTGTCTGCTAATTTCCTCATTTCTGTCATTTGTGATCTATTTGTAGTGACTGGTTTTTCTCCTAGATGTGGATTTAATTTTCCTGCTTTTCCATGTATATAACAGTATTTGATTGAGTGCTGGACATTATGAATTTCATGCTGTTGAGTGTCATATTTTTTGTCTTCCTTCAAAATATGTTGCTCTTTGTTCTGGCAGGCAGTTAAGTTTCTTGCAGTCCAGTTTTGTCCATTCTAGCCCTTCTTTAAGGCTTTAGTAGGGTGAATTTAGAACAATCTTTACTGTATGCCTACTATAGCCCTCTTGGTATTTTTACAGAAAGTTCTGAGTATTCAGTGAATAATGTATACTCTGGCTTCTGAGAACTTGAACTTTTCCCAGAGCTGCGTAAGAGCTGGAAATTGTTTGACACACAGCTTCCTTTTTGCTTTTTGCCTTGGCCTATATACGCATGACTTAGTGTTCAGCAACTGACTCTGAGATGATTGTAAAGATTTCCTGATTTACTTATTTATATGTTCTCTCCTTTCCTGTTGTCTTCCATTCAGAATTTCAGGCTCAAAAACTCTAAGCACTCTGATCTCTGTCTACACAACTCAGTGTAACCACCTAGCTCTGCTTGGAATCTACCTCCTGACAATGTGGTTCAGAAAGTTCTTCGGTGGAGAAATCCAGTTTGATTACAAGACTCACCTAAATTTTTTTTCTTCTCTTACTGACTATAATCATATAATATGTGTTGTAGGATGTCTGCAAACTCTTTATTTGCATTATTTTTTCTATTTTTCTAGTTGGTTATAGTGCACAATTAAGTCTTGCTCCATTCACCCTATCATGACAGAAGCATAAACCCCATGTACTGTACTGAATTCTGTCATAATCAGTGACAGCTTTTTTTCTTCTAATTCTTTTCCAAATCCTGCCAGTTTGCAATTTATTTTCTTTTATTGTTTTGCTGTCTATTCTTTGAGTTCTGTCTTTCTGCTTTGTGTCTTCCTTCATAGTGGAGTTTGCTTTATAAAATATTTTAAAATGCTTGCTAAAATATTTGCTATGATTTTACTTGCTGTTTCATGCTTTCCTGTTAAGTATTCTTCTCTTTTGTTGCCTGTACTTTACTTTCTTCCTCCTTTAATGTCTTCCTATTTTTCAGTATCTATTGTTGAATTATTTTGTATTTCTTAATATGTGCAAGAGATTTTTGTGCTGGAGAACAATAGGAATTGATATGTAATTTTTCTGGCTTTCACAACAAAAAGTCTCCTTTCTACTCAAATACCACAGAAAAACGCCTTTAGAACATGTGCAGTGTCTGTGTCATTATTTGTATATTATTGCTTCCTCTATTCTTGGAACCAGACTGGGTCCAGTAATGCTATTGCTGCCAGTCTATCTTACTCCAGTTCATGCACCCATAGCAGAAATAAGATGATAGATTTTTGCATTTCTGGGCTTATCCCTCCTCTTCAGGAAGTATATCTTTTGCCAGAAAATTTTGAGATTTGATATTATAAGGCTCCCTCTTTGCTTATATTCCTCTCTACGGTTTTTAATTTTTGTTTTATCCCATATAGCTTTTGTGATCTCTTTCATCAATTTGGAAGCTATGATTATAAATGTCTTCCAATTTGCCAAAAATTGGAGTTCCGCATGATTATTAAAAATTTTTTCTATTTTCAATTATTTTTGAGAAAAGAAATGCAGAATCCTGATTTCTGCAGCTATATTCATACCAGAAGTATCATTCTTTTGTTGATTCTTTAATGCCTTTAGAGTGTCATGCTTTAATGCCTTTATACAGTTACAAGTTAGAGAATTTTTACCTCCATGGAACTTATAACTTGAATGTACTGTAGGTACTGGATGATCAGTGCTGTGAGATTAAAACTATAGATTCAAATATCTCAGATAGAGATTTGTAATCATTTGCATAATCAGGATGAGTACATTGTCAAAAATGAGGGAGAATGTTAAGGATACTGGTTAAAGAGGAAGCAGAAGTGTCAGAGTTGAGTGACTGCTTAGAAACTGAGAAGCATGCAGAAACCAGTTATTCAGATGGAGCAATTAATCCAGGGCAGGTAAGAGGCAGAGACACTGTGCTAAAGATGAGAGAATCTTGGCCCAGCGCGGTGGCTCACGCCTGTTATCCCAGCACTTTGGGAGGCCGAGGTGGGCATATAACCTGAGGTCAGGAGTTGGAGACCAGACATGACCAACATGCAGAAACCCCGTCTCCACTAAAAATACAAAATTAGCCGGGCGTGGTGGCGCATGCCTGTAATCCCAGTTACTTGGGAGGCTGTGGCAGGAGAACCGCTTGAAGCCGGGAGGTGGAGGTTGCAGTGAGCCGAAATCGCGCCACTGCACTCCAACCTGGGCAACAAGAGCGAAACTCGGGAAAAAAAAAAAAAAAAGACAGGAGAATCTTAAAACCAAGAGAAAGCCTGCTCTCTCTCTCTCTATACATATATATATATATATATATATATATATATATATATATATACATATTTTTCTTCTTTGAAACGGAGTCTCGCTGTGTCGCTAGGCTGGAGTGCAGTGGCATGATCTCATCTCACTGCAACCTCCAACTGCTGCCCGGTTCAAGCGATTCTCCTGCTTCAGCCTCCCGAGTAGCTGGGACTATAGGCCCGGCCACCACAACCAGCTAATTTTTTTTTTTTTTTTTTTTTTTTTTTTAGTAGAGACGGGGTTTCACCATGTTAGTCAGGATGGTCTCTATCTCCTGACCTCGCGATCCGCCCGCTTCGGCCTCCCAAAGTGCTGGGATTACAGGTGTGAGCCACTGTGCCCGGCTGAAAGCCTGATATATCTTTCTACCATAGCAAGAACTAGCAGCACCTTACCCAGTATGAGACCGACCCAGGTCTGCCTTAATATATATACCGTAATATATACCTAACAGTTTTTTTTTTTTTTTTGAGAGGGAGTCTCGCTCTGTCGCCCAGGCTGGAGTGCAGTATCGCGATATCGGTTCGCTGCAAGCTCCGCCTCCCGGGGTCACGTCATTCTCCTGCCTCAGCTTCCGGAGCAGCTGGGACTGCTGGCGCCCGCCACTACGCTCGGCTAATTTTTTTGTGTTTTTAGTAGAGACGGGCTTTCACCGTGTTGGCCTAGCGGTTCTCCAACTCCTGACCTCATGATCCCCCCGCCTCAGCCTCCCAAAGTGCTGGGATTACAAGCGTGAGCCACCGCGACCCGCCAACACTCTTGACAACAGTGCTGTGCTAAGAACTTGGGGGACTTCAAAAAGTTCACCAGTTCCTGTGTCCATGGTAGGTAAACATTTTTAAAAGTACCTTTTTATTTATCTTTTCATATATTTATTTCGCTCTATCGTAACAATAAGCTGTATACTTCATATGTACAAGTCAGTTGCCTTTTGGTCTGATTTTCAGACTAATAGAGTCATATCAGATTCTTACCTTATGATATTGCTCAGGAAGATTAGCTGAAGTTCAAGGCAAGAGCAACTTAAGTAGGACAGATCTTTGAAAGATTTTTCAAAATCCGTAGGAACAATAACTCAAGTAAGGTAAATCTCTATAAAATTCTAGAAGATGTGTGTCTATAATTTAGGAGGCCAAAGACATTTTTAAGAGAAGGAAATAAAACTCTGTAGCTTGAAGTTTGGAAGCCTCAGGAAAAAAGCCTATAATTTCAATGGGATTTCTTAATAATAGTATTTTAGAGAACAAGTTTACAGCTACCTTTAGACAACATGAAAGAAGCTCACAAGTAATCTCCCAGGAGATGACATTGAATAGATTGGGACACCAAGGAAGATACTTAACTTTAACGAGTTTAAGTATCATACATATTTACTTTTAAGGTGTTCATTTCTTTAAAACAATGTGATGAAAATATAACATAATAGGAATGTATGTCCTATTTTAGAAGTAGGGCAAAGCAGGCTGTTTAATACAAAATTGTGAGTGAGATAATTTGAAGCTAAGAAAACATAAATACAGTATGAGCCCACATACCATGAAAAGGTAACAAATAGGGAAGGGAAACAGCGGGGAAAACCCCAGAGCATTTAATCTTATTTTATGGTGGCATTCATGTACTGAAAAGAGTGAAAGAACAGCCCCCACACTTCCAGAAATGAGTCAGTTTCATGTCTCAAGCTGATTATAAACCATTCAAGGGCGGCAGCCTCCCACAGCTGACTTTAACTGTGATTAGAATAGAGGATGGTCGTTAGTTTGGGCATGCCATATGTGCCCTGAAGTCTCAAAGCCTGATCATCAGGTAAACTTGAAGTTTCTCTAGGACCAGCTTACAAATAACTTCATATATGTATCCTGAAAAAGACAGCTCATCAACAGGCCGGTCACATATGCTTAAACCATACTCCAAACCATTTGGCATGCACTAGAGCAATTTTACAAGTTTAGAAACTCCATCTTAATTTTAAACCACTTCAGTTCTCCAATCCTTTTCCCATCACAAAGAAAAGTATTCCATCTGATGAACGTAGGTCATACTGTTTCGTACAAATCCCCAGATTCTTGTGAGAATCAGAATTTTTATCAAACAGTATGGATTCAGGACCGCTTATGGTCTGAAAGAGGAAAAAAAAGTCCTAGTTAACGTTATTGTCTTTGATTACAAAGCCCCGAGTGGAGGTGCTTGTAAAAATCATTTTTTCTTATTTTTTTCTTCTTTAATAACACAAGGGATTTAATACTTAGAGAAATCCTTTTAATCCTTTCATTTGAACAGAAGTTTATTTATAATACCTATAATAAAGCATTTAAAATTTCTGTTTGCAGGGTGAAAAGATTTTCTACATCTTTCCTTGACTAGAAACAGAAGTCCTGAAACAAGGTATTCCCAGTCATGTTGCGCATTTTCAAGTATTTAGATGCAGCTATGAAATAACTTTTTAAATTCTGTGGTGAAGTTTGATTAAAATAATTATGATAGTATCAGAACCACAAGATAGTAAGTGTGTTCTCTCTTAGCTGGCAGACAATTAAAAACTATATACGGGATGTTTTTATATTAGGTATATCCCAGTATATACAACAGATTACTAAAATTATAAATTGTAGATTTGAAACATTGCAGACTGTGATTAAAGAAAAAAACTTCCTCTTCACAAAGTTATCATCTTATTTAAAACAAAATGTGGAAACATTTCCCAGTATAATTTATGACTACTTCATATTAACAAACAAATACACTTACTTATTTGTGGAATATTCATTGAAAAAATGGAATGTTGAATTTAAGATAAATAGAAGTTAGTATTTTAAATAATTATCTTTTTCCTGAGCTCAATTTAACCTGTTAAACCTCATTTAAAATTGATACATTTAAAATAATTCTAATGGAGGATTTGGAAAGAAAAATCCTTTCCCTCCCACACTTACAGAAGTGCAAACCAAATTAAAAGAGCATGTAACCCAAAGTTGCATAGTGATATATTCAAAAGGAAATTTCAAAATTTGAAGATGTGGATCATAATACAGGAGTTATATGTGTTCATTTTTCACAGTATGTCCTTAGCTTTGCTCTCAGATAGACAGATTTTAAAAGTAAGCTGAATTATTAAGGCTCCAGGATGCTTCCCACTCCTACCTCCACTATCATGACAATAATGAAATCTACTCCAATACAAATTCGCATTCCATTTTCTTTTAGGATGTTTATGGCAAAATTAAATTTTAACTTACTTTTCATGTGAAGTAAAAAGTAAGAATGGTCACTATGCCACTTCATTTTTCTTCCAAAGAAAAACAAATACAGCACATAATTAATCCAGGACAAGTAATCCAGGATTAACATAAGTGGCACTACACATTTCTGAAATGTCCTCCAAACTAAAGGTTTATAATGAGTGAGACAAGAAATTATAATTCACTCTATCAAAAATCTGAAGAGGGAGGGAATATTTTTGCTATGCACAAGCTGAATCAAGTTAATGAGGCATCTAACATTGCAAAAAGAACGTTGTCTATAAATAAATTCAGTCTGATTGGGATGTATTAGTTGTCTGATAATATTCTGTAGCCTACAGATGCTTTGGGTGGAATGTAGATTTCTTAAAAGAGAAAGGCCAATGGAATTACTTCAGCAAAGCTCCAGGTCATTTTCTTTAAATGGCATTAAAAGAAAATGTCCCTTTAAAATATTTTGCAATCACAACAATATTTTCAAAGTAATACATTTAGCATAAGACAAAATATGCTCATCAGCTGAAATCCACCGGAACTTTAGAATTTGGAAAAAATATCTTCTCACTCACTCATATTTTTTTTCCATTGAAATCTGTGTCTTAAGGTACTACTCATGGGCAACATACCTAAACTCTAGAGAATAGGAAGAACATGCACTTAGAATCTCTGCTGTTGCTCAGCCTAGACCTAAACCTAGTACATGTACTTATGCTTATTGTTTATGGGAGGGCTAGACTTTTATTAATGAGTACAAGTTATTTCTGACTAGTTACCAGATGTTCCTACAGAGTGGTGAGAATATAATTGTTCCAATCAAATTTAAAGTTCAGGTTAATGGAACTTGTTTTTTTAATAGGATTGTAGAATCTAGAAGTGGAATACATTTTATATTGTCTATTCTGTTACCTCCTCCTTAGAGAACTCTTAATTTGCTCATTTACTCAAATTTATAATAGCTCTAAAGATATGTCTCCTTTAAATCATTTTCCATATATTCAGCATAAAATTACTTTCATCATTTTTATCCCTCTGAAATTAGTTTTAAATGTAAACTGTATGAATCTTTACTGACAAAAGCTCCAAGAGTAGAGAAAGGTATGAAGTGAAATTAGAAGTACTCCCTTTTCTACACACCTAACCCATCTCCTAAAATTTTCAACTATTAACATTTTCTTGTGTATTATGTCAGAAATATTTTCAGGATTCTGTGAATTCTCAAGGAGCTTATTCTCATGATCATTTCCTCACATCCTGTTTTCCCTAAATTAGTTTCCATGCCTCATTTTCCCAGGCTTCCCTGTGTTTTAGAATGAGTCATTGTAGGTAAAGGTTGGCTGGTTATGTCTCTGCCTACATGAAATCGGGGGACGTATGTATCAACTCTTGGAATTCTCCCTTAATTTTACCGACAGATTTTACAGGTTTTTGACTTGCAGTTCTGGGAGTTTTATGGACTTTATAGATGATATTGTTTTTCTATCATTTTATTATTTTTGTTTGTTTTATATTAGTGTCAGACTGGGGAGTAGAATAATATCTTCATATTGACATCTTACACTTAATAATTACCTTTATTCTCTTAGATAAAAGTTTGCTAAATTACACATTTTTGTTGTTCAGAAGTTCTCTCTGGCCACACTCAATTCACCTACTCTTTTCTGTCTTCAGATTCTTTGCAAATAGAATCCCGGATCTTAGGGTTGAAAGATGTTTTTAAAGTATATAATCCAGCTTTCAACTGATGAAGAAATCCTTCCTGTGATATTCTCCATAACTGTTTTCTATTCTCTGTTGGACAACATCAAGTGATGAGAAATGCACTACTTCATGACATGTGCATTTTATTGTCGGCTTCTCAATAACTACCTCTTATTGCTCCTAGGTACACCTTCTTGAGGCTTACTTGGTGAGTCTAATTTGTCTTCTGGCACCACTGTGAATTTGAAGGCTTACGTCTTCTTCCCTGATCATATGTTTTCTACATGTCAGGGTAAAACATTTCTATTTCTTTTAAACATTTGTCAAATGTAATAGCTGTCTATCCCTTCATGATTTCAATTCATTCAACAAATCCTTCATTGAGTAGCTACTGTTTGAATGGTCTATGCTAGGTGTTAGGTCTATAATGACTATATAGACTAAAAACCCATCTTGGTCACTAACAGTTTCCACCTTCCGGTCTAATGCAAGGGGCTCAGCAGAGTGTAAAGCAGCATAACATGTTTATTTAAATATTATGAGAATAAATAGGATTGCGGCCAAATACATTTATTGTCAGACTGACTATTTCAATGGCTTCTGTTTCTATTTAGAACAAAAATCCAAATTTCTTTTGATGATCTATTAATTCCTGTTTGATATGGCCTTTGCCACCTTCTACAACCTCATCTCTTACTGTTCTTATGCCCCTACTACACTTTGGGACTATTAGCCTTCTGTAAATTCTTCTAACAAGCCAGCTTTTTCTTGACTTGAGGCCTTTGCATGTGCTCTTTCTTTTGCCTAGAACACCTTGAATTTGCTGAGGGTTTAATGCATATTTGTTGAATGAAGGAAAGAATCAATCAATTTAAACATAATTTCCTCCCTTTAAATCCAGAACTTCGCAGAACTTTTAGTATGTAACTAGACAAGCTAAATTTCTAAGAGAATGATACAGTATGTAATGACTCCCAGATTTATTTAACCATAGTTTTTTTCATGCAAATCTCTAAGGACAAATTTATCATGTACAGACTTTAGGAATTATGGCAGAGCAAAAATCACATTTGAATCCTGGCTGCCACCAACTAATTGATGTAATCTTGGGCAAGACACTTAATCTCTCACAATCTCATGTTTGTGCCTCTGACAGAGATCAGCAGAATCTACTTTTATTTTTCCAGGTTTCTGGAAAAAATAATAAAATAAGTGCCAGATAGAAATTAAAACATTTTATTTCTAATGAATGTCAGTGGGAGGACAGAGCTTAGTGTGAAAGATAAATGAACCTGCAAACTGGACCCCAGAGACAGGTATTGATGGACTATTTCAGGCTGTGCACAGTTTTTTCATTTATGAAGTATTCTATCTGTGGCTGGAGAAAATTGCCCATGGGAAACTCCAGCCCAAGTGAAACATTTTATACCATCGCAAGAAAGGAAACTTACTAAAGGGGAAGAGACATTCTATTCTAAGTTTCTCATGTGTACAATGTTGAAACTACCCTATTATACCTGTTCTAAAGAGTAAATAATCTATGTGGAGGACCTGGAATACTTAACAGAGGCTACTTTGTAAGCATCAGTTCCTCTTCCTTCTGATTTTACACATTCAAATACCTCTCTAGGTAGAATTTCAAGAACTGGAAGCCTTTAAACTAAGTCCCTCTCATCAAATACTGAATCTGAACAAGTCTTACAGAAAATAGGTTAGAAGCCATTACTAAATTTAAGTGTGCTGTCCAGAATTTTGTAGTTTTCCATATATATATGGCATATATATGGCATCTGACCTCTCTAATGTACACCCTAGGCACCAAAGTTCCAACTAATAAACAGCTTTTTCTCACCTTCCTTGGGTTTACCCAATTTAGACAATTAACTTTCTGTCTTTATATCTTGTTTAGCACATGTTTTCCATTCTAAAATTTGTCCTGGTATATTTGTTATTTAATGTGGTCTTGATCTTCTTAATCTCCATATCTTTAGATAGTTAGAAAATAGTTTTGAGGAAGAGATGACATAATTCAACTGTGATGTTTAAGTGATAACTGGAAAAGTGGTAGCTGGTAGATGCTGATGGTGAGTAGTAGGTCTCCGTTCAAGTTATCTCTTCAGAAAGGCATTTATGACCATCCTATCTAAAATAGCTCTACGTCTTAAATCACAGTCTACCTGCATGCTCTGTTTTCTTTTCTTTTTAAGAAGATATTCTCTGCCAGGCGTGGTGGCTCACACCTGTAATCTCAACACTTTGGGAGGCCAAGGCGGGTGGATCACCTGAGGTCGGGAGTTCGAGACCAGCTTGGCCGACATAGTGAAACCCTAATATCTACTAAAAATACAAAAATTAGCCGGGTCTGGTGATGGGAGCTTGTCATCTCAGCTACTCGGGAGGCTGAGGCAGGAGAATCACTTGAATTTGGGAGGCAGAGGTTGCAGTGAGCTGAGATGGCACCACTGCACTCCAGCCTGGGCGACAATAGTGAAACTCTGTCCAAAAAAAAACAACAACAACAAAAACAACAAAAAAGAAGAAGATAATCTCAAGAAACATATTTTATTTGCTTTAATTTTTATATCATAATCTGAGAATATATTATTGATTCGTTTGCTTATTTATTATCTCCTGTTATAGAATATAACGTCAGGAGGCCAGAGGCTTTGTCCTGCCTAATGTGTTATTTCCACACTGAATAAAAGCACCTGAGTCCTGGTAAGTGCTCATATGATTGGCTCAATAAAAGAATAATAAATGAATTGGAAAGAGGAGACAGTGAAGGATATAGGAGATGTACCTGATAGCAACTTACTGCCTCTCAGCTCAAAATTCACCCTTCAAAACCTTTTCTACACCAATGGATAGAATTCCTGTCAGCATTTCTCTTTTACGTTGAACACAATGTTAAGCTTCCTCAGTGAAGGACCCTAGATGGACATTGCAGGAAGAAGGGACTTCCCCTGTTGGACCTAGAGGTTGTACCAGCATTGTAGGTGGGAGGACATCCACTGGCTCTTTGCAATAGCCATGTGTCCATAAAGTATAGTTTCTCAGCAATCTCATTGCCCAGTCTAGGCTTGGCAATCACCCTCCTGCAGCCTTATCAACACATTGCTCGAGGCCTCAAGCCCACATGGCATCCTCTCACTCTGTATGTCCTCATACCTGACTGATTCGTCTGTGCCTCATGTGTTTGCTTCCTGCTTGCCTAGTAACTATAGATCAGTTCTGTCTTTGGGAAATCAGAAAACTTCTGTGCCTTCCATTGGGATGCTTCTATGCCTTCTCCAGTAAAGTGTGAAGTGTATTTTTGTGGATAGAGCTCCTTTCCATGCTTTTCCTTATTTTGGTCCTCTCCGTCAGGCCTAGGGAGACTTACGGTATTTTTTAAAATCTTACAGTTACTCCTTTGTCATACCTCAGTAATTATTTATGTTAAACTTATGTTTAAATCACTGCAGGCATTTTTTTTTTTCTGAGACAGGGTCTGGCTCTGTCATCCAGGCTGGTATGCAGTGGCTTCAGTCATAGCTCACATTAGCCTCCAACTCCTAGACTCAAGGGATCCTCCTGCCTCAGTTTCCCAAGTAGCTGGGACCACAGGCATGCACCACAGCATCCAGCTAAATTATTATTATTTTTTGTAGAAATAGAGTCACACTATGTTGTCCATCCTGCCTTGTACTCCTGGACTCAAGCAATCCTCCCATCTTAGGCTCCCAAAGTGCTTGGATTACAGATGTGAGCCACCACCCCTGGCTGTTGTTTTAATCTCCTGAATACATCCAAACTGATTCACATTTGGTATCAGAAGTGGTTGGGTTGCAAGAGGTAGATCTTTGAAAACGGCATTTTGAGATTGTTTGGCCATGCCCTTGAGCTTTAGCATGGTGCTGAGCTTCCTTTGCCAATGGGAAATGGGTGCAATGTCATCACAGTTACTTAAGCTACTAGCTGTGGATTGACATAAAACACCAACTGAAGCACATGCTTTGGGAATTCAAGTGGTTATTAAACATGACCAAATGGCAGGACTGAATCTGATAATGACAGGAATGTGGGATGAAATTTTGTTTTGTGTGCACTTGAGTGCTTATAGAGTAAACACCAATCCCAAATCCATTATTTTTCAGCTTAAATCACAGCCTGAGAACTAGAATGCTTTAATGATATTTATAAAAGCATCTTATTTCTTATAGCCACAGGACTGATATTGGTGAAAACCAAACACAAAATTTAATTGTGTGCAAAGTTACATTGTTAAATTATAACGATAGGTAAATCTACACTATTGTTAACTTTCTCATGTAAAAGTTAGAACATTGACAGGAAAAGAATGGGATTCCAACATCTGCAATGGGGACATTTGGTTGGAACCAAATGAAACTGACAATCTTGAATCCACATGCCATTCCGAGCCTCTCTTATCAGTGAAAGTGGCTTGTCCTCTGGGGTCCAAGGAGACTGGCTTTTTCCTGCTTGAAAAGCCATGTGGTAACCACACTTAGATGCCCTGGGAGGGAATGCTTATTCTCTTCAAGATTGTTTCATAAGATTTCCATTTCACTCAGGCATTAATATAGTGAGAGGAGTACCTACAGCCTTGAAAAGCTTTGTGCTTGGTCTCATTTTTAGACCCAATATGACTGGAAGGAATTTCAACATTGGGATGGGCTCCCTAATTTTAATGGGGATGATGTGAGCCCAGAATAGCTAAGCCTAAGGGGCCACACAGTTGTCAAAGACAAGATGTGGATGTCAGCTAATAAAGGGCAGCAGAGACTTACAAAAAAATTAAAATGTCTTTGCCCATAGAAATCTTTGGTAGTGACTAATTGATCACAGAGTTCCTAGGAAATAAATAGATAGGCATCCTATCAGACTATTTCTTGAGCTATGTAATGGGAAAGACTCTAAGTCTGGTATCCAAACATCTGATTTGAGTTGTCATAGTTTTCTCACCCAGTTTCAAGAAAGAAGTCAGTTCACAGATTCAGAAGCCCTTAATTGAAAGATAAGCCAAGCTCCCTTTGAGGAAGGACCCTGCACCACTGCTACAAGTACATACTGTAAATCTCCCTCCAAGTTTTCTCCAAAGGGATCAGCAGCAAATATCCCTTTAGAAAACTCAAATGTTACATATTTGAAGAACCAGAGGACAGAGTTTAGGGCAACCATGGCTACTGGAAAGTAAGGAGAGAATGTACTAGAAAGAAAGCAGCTGGAGAGGGTAACCCCAAATCAAATTTTGCATAAAATTTGCATAAATCTTTGGCTGATCCAAGCACAAGGCAAATTCCAAGCAAAATGAGACATGATTAAAGGGAGAAATAGACAATTTCATAATCATAGGTAGAGATTTTAACTCTCTCTCAGCAATTGATAAAACAGACAAACATCAGTAAAGACCTAGAGAATTGGAACAACACTATCAATTGCCTTTATCTAATTGGTACAAAACAGGGGCGTAATACCCATTCTTACTACTGTAGAGAATATGTTCACCAAGGCAGACCCAATGCTAGGATATAAAAAAAAGTGTTAATAAACTGAAAAGGATAAAAATCTTACAAAGTATGTAAATAACGAACTATGTAAGCATAGTGCCTAGAACATTTTGGTACTTAATTTTAAAAAATCTGTTGATTGAGTGAATTTATGCATGAATAGATCAGGGATCTTGGTTATGTTAATTAACCTTTTGGCACAATATAAAGACACAATATAAACTGTGGGAGATTTGGTAATAGCAGCCATGCAGTGGATGGTATGAAGTGATGCCAAGATCCCCCTTCTGGAATGAAGGTCTTACTCCCTCTGCTGCTATAAGCGCTGCCAGGAAAAAAAAAAAAATCTCTCAAGAGATCACCTCCACTGTAGAGAGTACTCTTGTTCAAATTCTGATAAACTCAATGACTACTTGAAGTGACTATTTGGGTGTAAAGATCCAAACCCTTCACCTTGTCTCAGAATAATTCTGATGGGTCATCGAGCTTCAGAATTCCCTGTAGTTTTCACTGAGGCTTCCATTTAGACTCCATTAGAATTCAGTTTCTCCCACTGATCAATTCTACTTGCTTCCATTGCCTTCTGCAGTGTGGTTACCAAGAGTACTCCTAATGAACCTTTTGTGCACTAATCTCCATCTCTTTCTTTTTTCTTTTTCTTTTCTTTTTTTTTTTTTTTTTTTTGAGATGGAGTCCCGCTCCCACCCAGGCTAGAGTGCAGTGGCACAATCTCAGCTCAATGCAAGCTCCACCTCCCGGGTTCACACCATTCTCCTGCCTCAGCCTCCCGAATAGCTGGGACTACAGGTGCCTGCCACCATGCCCAGCTAATTTTTTTGTATTTTTAATAGAGACGGGGTTTCACTGTGTTAGCCAGGATGGTCTCGGTCTCTTGACCTCGTGATCCGCCCCCCTCAGCCTCCCAAAGTGCTGGGATTACAGATGTGAGCCCCCGCACCCAGCCACTAATCTCCATCTCTTTCTAGAGACAACTTGCAACAAACCCTTAAAGAGAAAAGTGCTAATTGACAGAATTAATGTATCTTCTTGTGAATTATCTTCCACTTTCCTAGCCATTATGTTGTTGTTATTATTGTTGTAAATTCTTTGCTTCTGCTCTAGATCCTTGAAGTTACCAAAGAATCTTCTGAGCAAGCCTTGCTCTATTGGTTTTCGATCATTGCCATAACAAATTACCACAAATTTAATGGATTAAAACAGTATACATTTATCACCTCACAGTTCCATAGGTCAGAGGTCTGGTGGGCTCAACCAATTTCTTTGATTTCACAAAGCCGAAATCAAGGTAGAAGTCACTCTGGGTTCTTAGCTGGAGACTCTTTCCACTAAGAATCAAATTCCAAGCTCATTTGGGATGTTGGCAGAATTCAGTTCTTTGTGTTTCTAGTAATGAAGTACTGTTTCCTTGCTGGCTATCAGCAGGAAGTGTCTTCTTAAGGCTACCAGCATTCCTTGTCATGTTTCCTTCTCCATCTTCATATTCTGATTTGTCCTGCTGCATCTCCTCTGACTTTAGCCAGAGTAAGTTCTTTACTTTTAAGGACTCATGTGATTAGATTTGACCTACTGGAGTAATTTAGGATAATCTCTCTGTCGAAGTCTGTAACCTTAATTACATCTGAAAAAAATTTCTTTTGCATGTAAATTAACATTTTCACAGGTTCTGGAGATTGGGGCATGATATCTTCCTTGGGCCATTACTTGTCCTGCCACTTGGAATAGGTGCTTATAAGCCACCTCTAAGATAATGAATAACTTGCAATTTGATCCGTGATTTACATAACGTGTATGTTTTTCCTGTTTGCAAAGGCATATGGCAAGGGAGTAAAGCCAAACTTTTTACCACATGGCAAAAATAATTGTATTTTGCAACAGACTAAAAGCTTAATGCTATACAGACTTTGGGTTGGTGGAGTTACTTGAGGATTTACTCCAGCAAAACAAAAAAAAGAATGAAAGAAAGAGAAAGATAAAAATATGAAAGAAGCAACAGACCTATTCCAGAAATGTAATGAAAAAAGGCCACGAAGTTTGACAACTATGTATTAAATTTACAATCAGTCCAAATTAGACTGGTAGTCAGATTGATATGAGAAGTACATTTTCAAAAAGATGTACTATACCAAATAATATGAGTGCAAAACTCTGGATGATTTTAGTAATAATGTGAAGACACATATTTCTTTTGACAATTAAAAAAAAGAAAATGAATTGGAAACTTCAGGAAACGTCAGAAAATACAAAATGCTCTGTAGGAAGTAATTGTCTAAATGAGAGGTGAAGCCAGTGGGACTTCCTGGATTGGATGGGGACTTGGAGAACTTTTCTGTCTAGCTAAAGGATTGTAAACACACCAATCAGTGCTCTGTGTCTAGCTAAAGGATCGCAAATGCACCAATCAGCACTCTGTAAAAATTCTGTGTCTAGCTAAAGGTTTGTAAATGCACCAATCAGCAATCTGTTAGAATGCACCAATCAGTGCTCTGTGTCTAGCTAAAGGTTTGTAGATGCACCAATCAGCACTCTGTAAAAACGCATCAATCAGCGTTCTGTGTCTAGCTAAAGGTTTGTAGACACATCAATCAGCACTCAGTAAAAACGCACCAATCAGCACTCTGTAAAATGGACCAGTCAGCGCTCTGTAAAATGGACCAATCAGCAGGATGTGGGCGGAGCCAATAAGGGAATAAAAGCTGGCCACCAGAGCCAGCCAGTGGCAACCTGCTTGGGTCCCCTTCCACCCTGTGGAAGCTTTATTCTTTTGCCCTTCACAATAAATCTTGCTGCTGCTTACTCTTTGGGTCTACATTACCTTTATGAGCTGTATCGCTCACCATGAGGGTCTGCGGCTTCACTCCTGAGGTCAGCGAGACCACGAACCCACTGGGAGGAACAAACAACTCCAGAAGCACAACCTTTAAGAGCTGTAACACTCACTGTGAAGGTCTGTGGCTTCACTCCTGAAGTCAGCGAGACCACGAACCCACCAGAAGGAAGAAACTCCGGACACATCTGAAATCTGAAGAAACAAACTCTGGACACACCATCTTTAAGAACTGTAACACTCACTGCGAGGGTCCCCGACTTCATTCTTAAAGTCAGTGAGACCAAGAACCCACTGGAAGGAACCAATTCTGGGCACATAAATATGCAGCAAAATACAATATGGTATGATTTTGAGCAATTGATGAATATGTAGAAAAATTATTCAATCCTGATGTTTGAAATATGCTACTTTGAGTAGCAGCCTTGTAGTGACCTAAATGTATTTCTGTAGATAAAATTGAACTATGTGGTACTATAGTGAATAATGTGTGTTACAATATAATAGCATGCACAATTGTATATATGAAGTTTAGAACACTTCTACATTTTAATATCTGTAATATGATTATACTCATATATGTGTACTCAGATTTTAAAACATAATAAAATATAAATGTTATTATTGTCTTTCTAGGAAGATGGTGAGGTTTTTTTTTTTTTTTTTTTTTTCAGTCTCACTCCGTCACCCAGACTGGAGTGCGGTGGCATGATCTCAGCTCAATGCAACCTCTGCCTCCTGCGTTCAAGTGAGTCTCATGCCTCACCCTCCCTATTAGCTGGGATTACAGGTGTGTACCACGACACCCGTCTAATTTTTTGGTATTTTTAGTAGAGACGGGGTTTCACCATGTTGGTCAGGCTGGTTTCAAACTCCTGGCCTCATGTGATCCATCCATCTTGGCCTCCCAAAGTGCTGGGATTACAGGCAGGGGCCACCGCATCTGGCCGATTGTGAGAATTTGAATAGGCCACTGAAATAGATAAACTTTAATAAAACTGATAAACTAAAAACAAATTATTTAGAGTCTGTTCAATGTCAGAATCAAGAATACAGAGGATGAAAACACAGAGCATAAGTTAAGGAATTTACCTGGTACTAATTCTGGTAGGGACTTTGCTTTGAAAGCCTCAGATTTCTAGATTGAAACTCCAATTAGAGTAAAGAAATATTTTGGTTAGTATGAAAAAGTGTTGATAAAATTAAAATAACATTATTGTGTGAGTTAAAATGACCACAGAATTATCAGTATCTGATTTAGGAATGAGAGGAAATTGCTTGTGCATGAACTCTCCTTGGGTGATCGTATAAGCCACTTGGCACATGAGTGTATGGGATTAGGAAGGTCAAGAAAAGGGCAATCTCATTTGCTTCAGTTGAAGTTGGAAATGGATCATGTTGGTGAATGAGATAAACACTAGTATTTAAAAAAAAGAAAAATAAATTCATTTTAAAACCCCTTTATTGAATTATTTTTAAAGTATTCATGGCACTAACCATTTTTCCTTTTTTTCTTTTGACTTATAACTTTTCTAAAACAAGAAGCAATAATTTCAAATGAAAAAGTTTCTGTTTGCAATAGAGGAAATATACCACAGTCTGTTTGGTACAGTGGTATGTACTGTTGACATAAATCAGTGCAACTTCATTCTTTGAAACAAAAAGCCCTGATGGTATTTCTCAATACAGGTTAAGAATTCTTAATTTAAAATCTGAAATATGGCCCACATAGCATATTACGGATTTACTAGCCTCCGTAATAGTGTGAACCAATTCCTTATAATACTCTTACACACATACACACACAGACACACACAAACCCACACATATATCCTGTTGGTCCTGTTTCTCTCGAGAACTCTGTTTAATACAGAAGGTCATATAGGTTCTTGACTAGAAGACAATTCAGAGCAATTGTTGCCCATTAGGATCATCACCTTCTTGAGGTTGGCAATTGGTGTCTTTCTTCCTCAAGTTTTCTTTTTATTCTTTTTAATGCTGCAGCCATCAGCCTTCCAAAACCTCTATGATAAATACAAGAGTAATGTTCTGAGGTCAAAAACAAAACAAAACAAAACAAACCTTCCTTCTTTCCTTCCTTCCTTCCTTCCTCCTTTCCTCCCTTCCTCCTTTCCTCCCTTCCTCCCTTCATCCCTTCTTTCCTTCTTCCCTTTCTAACTTCCTTCTGTTTTAGTTTGTTTTTATTTAGCACTCTGAGACCACAAGGTCTTATTAATTTTCTATTACCCTTTTTTCTACAGAAAGAAATCATTTTAGTGGATATTGATAGCTTATATATAATAATTTATATAGACAAAATATATTCTAAGTATGTGCCTCCTTTTACTTCCTACCTCATACATTTTTGTTTCCTTCTTCAAAATTTTAGGACAAATGCCATGGACTCATTCATGATTTTGAATTACCTGAATTCAAAACAGACTAAAACAAATTTTTGTGTTTTTATTTGTGTGATGAGATACTGCTTTGCCTGGGGTGCATGTAGACAGGAGGATGAGGGAATATGAAGAATATGGGCAGAGAAGAAAGGAAGAGAGAAGAGTTAGGAAGAGATAGAGAAGCAGGCAATTATAAACAAAAACAAGTTTGAAATCTATGAAGCAAAAAAAGGGTATGTGAGTTAGAGATGAAGAGAGAGAGTTTATTTTTCTAAGAGATGGTATCCCTTTGGTAGACATGTGCAGGCTATCCAGAACTGCCATGAGTATCCACTTGAATAAAGCCCCATCCCAGACCCCCTTCCCACTACCATAGACTTTTTCATAGGTGCCTTTGAAGTTTTTTCCTATACTATGTAACCACCTCAAAATGACTTTATCCATTAAAGCGTTTATCCTTCAGTGTTTAAAGAAAATAATAATGATTAAAATTTTAATTTAGTCAAATTTTATGATGTGTAAATTCTTTGAGGTTTCTTTGCATACCATTAGATTGCCCCCAAATAACTTGACATTTAAAGTGTTTATCGAGGTCTGTTCCAAGATGGCTGAATAGGAAGAGCTCCCATCTGCAGCTTCTAGCATGATCGACACAGAAGACGGGTGATTTCTGCATTTCCAACTGAGCCTCCCCTGGTGACACCCACGCTAACCGAGTCTGGAGTGGACCTCCAGCAAACTCTAACAGACCTGCAGCTGAGGGGCCTCACTGTTAGAAGGAAAACTAACAAACAGAAAGGAATAGCATCAATATCAACAAAAAGGACATCAACATCAAAACCCCATCTGTAGGTCACCAACATCAAAGACCGAAGGTGGGTAAAACCACAAACGTGGGGAGAAACCAGAGAAGAAAAGCTGACAGTTCTAAAAACCAGAGCGCCTCTTCTCCTCCAAAGGATCCCAGCTCCTTACCAGCAACAGAACAAAGCTGGACGGAGAATGACTTTGACGAGTTGACAGAAGTAGACTTCAGAAGGTTGGTAATAAGAAACTTCTCTGAGCTAAAGGAGCGTGTTCTAACCCATCACAAGGAAGCTAAAAACCTTGAAAAAAGGTTAGACGAATGGCTAACTAGAATAAACAGTGTAGAGAAGACCTTAAATGACCTGATGGAGCTGACATGGCAGGAGAACTTCATGACGCATACACAGGCTTCAATAGCCGATTTGATCAAGTGGAAGAAAGGATATCAGTGATTTAAGATCAAATTAATGAAATAAAGCAAGAAGAGACATTTAGAGAAAAAAGAGTAAAAATAAACGAACAAAGTCTCCAAGAAATATGAGACTATGTGAAAAGACCAAATCTATGTTTGATTGGCGTACCTGAAAGTGATGGGGAGAATGGAACCAAGTTGGAAAACACTCTTCAGGATATTATCCAGGAGGACTTCCCCAACCTAGCAAGGCAGGCCAACATTCAAATTCAGAAAATACAGAGAACACCACAAATATACTCCTTGAGAAGAGCAACCCCAAGACACATAATTGTCATATTCACCAAGGTTGAAGTGAAGGAAAAAATGTTAAGGGCAGCCAGAGAGAAAGGTCGGGTTGAACACAAAGGGAAGCCCATCAGACTAACAGCGGATCTCTTGGCAGAAACCCCATAAACCAGAAGAGAGTAGGAGCCAATATTCAACATTCTTAAAGAAAAGAATTTTCAAACCAGAATTTCATATCGATTCACACTAAGCTTCATAAGTGAAGGAGAAATAAAATCCTTTACAGACAAGCAAATGCTGAGAGATTTTGTCACCACTAGGCCTGCCTTACAAGAGCTCCTGAAGGCAGTGCTAAATGTGGAAAGGAACAACCGGTACCAGCCACTGCAAAAGTATGCCGAATTGTAAAGACCATCGATGCTAGGAAGAAACTGCATCAATTAACGGGCAAAATAACCAGCTAACATCATAATGACAGGATCAAATTCACACATAACAGTATTAACCTTAAATGTAAATGGGCTAAGTGCCCCAATTAAAAGACACAGACGGGCAAATTTGATACAGTCAAGACCCATCAGTGTGCTGTATTCAGGAGACCCATCTCATGTGCGGAGACACACATAGGCTCAAAATAAAGGGATGGAGGAAGATCTACCGAGGAAATGGAAAGCAAAAAAAAAAGCAAGGGTTACAATCCTAGTCTCTGATAAAACAGACTTTAAACCAACAAAGATCAAAAGAGACAAGGCCATTACATAATGGTAAAGGCATCAATTTAACAAAAAGAGATAACTATCCTAAATATATATGCACCCAATACAGGAGCACCCAGATTCATAAAGCAAGTCCTTAGAGACCTACAAAGAGACTTAGAGTCCCACACAATAACAATGGGAGACTTTAACACACCCCACTATCAATATTAGACAGATCAATGAGACAGAAGATTAACAAGGATATGCAGGACTTGAACTCATCCTGGCACCAAGTGGACCTAATAGACATCTACAGAACTCTCCACCCCAAATCAACAGAATATACTTTCTTCTCAGCACCACATCACACTTATTCTAAAATTGACCACATAGTTGGAAGTAAAGCACTCCTCAGCAAATATAAAAGATCAGAAATCACAACAAACTCTCTCCTGGACCACAGTGCAATCAAGTTAGAATCCAGGATTAAGAAACTCACTCAAAACTGCACAACTACATGGAAACTGAACAACCTGCTCCTGAATGATTACTGGGTAAATAATGAAATGAAGGCAGAAATAAAGGTGTTCTTTGAAACCAATGAGAACAAAGACACAATGTACCAGAATCTCTGGGACACATTTAAAGCAGTGTGTAGAGGGAAATTTATAGCACTAAATGCCCACAAGAGAAAGCAGGAAAGATCTAAAATCGACACCCTAACATCACAATTAAAAGAACTAGAGAAGCAAGAGTAAACAAATTCAAAAGCTAGCAGAAGGCAAGAAATAACTAAGATCAGAGCAGAACTGAAGGGCATAGAGGACACAAAAAACCCTTCAAAAACTCAGTTAATCCAGGAGCTAGTTTTTTGAAAAGATCAACAAAAGTGATAGACAGCTAGCAAGACTAATAAAGAAGAAAAGAGAATCAAATAGACTCAATAAAAAATGATAAAGGGGATATCACCACTGATCCCCACATAAATACAAACTACCATCAGAGAATACTATAAACACCTCTACACAAATAAACTAGAAAATCTAGAAGACATGGATAAATTCCTCGACACATACACCCTCCCAAGACTAAACCAGGAAGAAGTTGAATCTCTGAATAGACCAATAACACACTCTGAAATTGAGGCAATAATTGATAGCCTACCAACCAAAAGAAAGTCCAGGACCAGATAGATTCACAGCCGAATTCTACCAGAGGTACAAAGAGGAGCTGGTACCATTCCTTCTGAAACTATTCCAATCAATAGAAAAAGAGGGAATCCTCCCTAACTCATTTTATGAGGCCAGCATCATCCTGATACCTAAGCCTGGCAGAGACACAACAAAAAAAGATAATTCTAGACCAATATCCCTGAAGAACATTGATGCAAAAATGCTCAATAAAATACTGGCAAAGCGAATCCAGCAGCACATCAAAAAGCTTATCCACCACAATCAAGTCATCCTCATCCCTGGGATGCAAGGCTGGTTCAACCTATGCAAATCAAAGACGTAATCCATCACACAAACAGAACCAATGACAAAAACCATATGATTATCTCAATAGATGCAGAAGAGGCCTTCGACAAAATTCAACAGCCCTTCATGCTAAAAACTCTCAATAAACTAGATATTAATGGAACATATCTCAAAATATTAAGAGCTATTTATGACAAACCCACAACCAGTATCATACTGAATGGGTAAAAACTGGAAACATTCCCTTTGAAAATCAGCACAAGACAAGGACACCCTCTCTCACCACTCCTATTCAACTTAGTGTTGGAAGTTCTGGCAAGGAAATCAGGCAAAAGAAAGAAATAAACGGTATTCAATTAGGAAAAGAGGAAGTCAAATTGTTCCTGTTTGCAGATGACATGATTGTATATTTAGAAAATCTCATTGTCTCAGCCTGTAATCTCCTTAAGCTGATAAGCAACTTGAGCAGAGTCTCAGGATACAAAATCAATGTGCAAAAATCACAAGCATTCCTATAAACCAAGAAGAGACAGAGAGCCAAATCATGAGTGAACTCCCATTCACAATTGCTACAAAGAAAATAAAATACCTAGGAATACAACTTACAACGGATGTGAAGGACCTCTTCAAGGAGAACTACAAACCACTGCTCAATGAAATAAAAGAGGACACAAACAAATGGAAGAACATTCCATGCTCATGGATAGGAGGAATCAATATCATGAAAATGGCCATTCTGCCCAAGGTAATTTATAGATTCAATGCTCTCCCCATCAAGATACCAATGACTTTCTTCACAGAATTGGAAAAAACTACTTTAAATTTCATATGGAACCAAAAACGAGCCCGCATAGCCAAAACAATCCTAAGCACAAAGAACAAAGCTGGAGGCATCACACTAGCTGACTTCAAACTGTACTACAAGCCTACACTAGTCAAAACAGCATGGTACTGGTACCAAAACAGAGGTATAGACCAATGGAACAGAACAGAGGCGTCAGAAATAACACCACACGTCTACAACCACCTGATCTTTGACAAACCTGACAAAAACAGGAAATGGGGAAAGGATTCCCTATTTAATAAATGGTGCTGGGAAAACTAGCTAGCCATATGTAGAAACCTGAAACTGGATCCCTTCTTTACACCTTATATAAAAATTAATTCAAGATGGATTAAAGACTTAAATGTTAGACCTAAAACCATAAAAACCCTAGAAGAAAACCTAGGCAATACCATTCAGGACATAGGCATGGGCAAAAACTTCATGACTAAAACACCAAAAGCAATGGCAACAAAAGCCAAAATAGACAAAAGGGATCTAATTAAACCAAAGAGCTTCTGCATAGCAAAAGAAACTACCATCCGTATGAACAGGCAGCCTACAGAATGGGAGAAACTTTTTGCAATCTACCCGTCTGACAAAGCGCTAATATCCGGAATCTACAAAGATCTTAAGCAAATTTACAAGAAAAAAAACAACCCCATCAAAAAGTGGGCAAAGGAGATGAACAGACACTTCTCGAAAGAAGACATTTATGCAGCCAACAGACACGTGAAGAATGCTCATCATCACTGGTCATCAGAGAAATGCAAATCAAAACCACAATGAGATACCATCTCATGCCAGTTAGAATGGCAATCATTACAAAGTCAGGAAAAAACAGATGCTGGAGAGGATGTGGAGAAATAGGAAAACTTTTACACTGTTGATGGGAGTGTAAATTAGTTCAACCATTGTGGAAGACAGTGTGGTGATTTCCCAAGGATCTAGAACTAGAAATACCATTTGATCCAGTGATTCCATTACTGGGTATATACCCAAAGGATTATAAATCATGCTACTATAAAGACACATGCACCTGTATGTTTATTGCATCACTATTCACAAGAGCAAAGACTTGGAGCCAACCCAAATGTCCATCAATGGAAGACTGGATTAAGAAAATGAGGCACATATACACCATGGAATACTATGCAGCCATAAAAAAGGATGATTTCATGCCCTTTGCAGGGACATGGATGATGCTGGAAACCATCATTCTGAGCAAACTACCACAAGGACAGAAAACTAGACATCGCATGTTCTCACTCATAGGTGGGAATTGAACAAAGAGAACACTTGAACACAGGGCGTGGAACATCACACACTGGGGCCTGTTGGGGGGTGGGGGGCTGGGGGAGTGGTAGCATTAGGAGAAATACCTAATGTAAATGATGAGTTGATCGGTGCGGCAAACCAACATGGCACATGTATACCTATGTAACAAACCTGCATGTTGTGTACCTGTACCCTTGAACTTAAAGTATAATTAAAAAAAAAAAAAGAAAAAAAAAACGGCCAGGCACTGTGGCTCACGCCTGTAATCCCAGCACTTTGGGAGGCCGAGGCAGGCGGATCACAAGGTCAGGAGATTGAGACCATCCTGGCTAACATGGTGAAACCCCATCTCTACTAAAAATAGAAAAAATTAGCCGGGCGTGGTGGTGCGCACCTGTAGTACCAGCTACTCGGGAGGCTGAGGCAAGAGAATGGCGTTTACCCAGGAGGCAGAGCTTGCAGTGAGCCGAGATTGCGCCACTGTACCACAGCCTGGGCAATAGCTCAAGACTCTGTCTCAAAAAAAAAAAAAACTTGGAAAAAAAAAAGAATACCTATTTTGAGAACAAACAACAAAATAAAATGTTTATCATTTAAAATGTTAAAAGGAAAAAAATAATGATTAAAAATTGAAGTTACTCAGATTATAGGAATTACTATTTAGAAATGTATTAATGCTTTGGATACTTTATGTATTCTTAAGACCACACATTGAAACATATTTCTTCCTTTAATACTTACATGCACAGAGACTGTTTTACATAAGAACAAAAATAGTGTAAATTTTTCTTTGCTTTGAACATGGTCATTTATATCAGTCCAACTAAATACGGTAGTGTCATGAGAGTTATGTAGTATACTCTGTGGATGGTAGTGCATATGGCTGGAAGCATTCAGAATCTCTGGTGAGAGGCATGTGGCTGGGCAGACCTCTGCCTCATGCTGTGTTGATCTGGTGAAACTAGCTGGATTCTCTTTCTGCTCTTCTTAACTTACTGTGGTGTTCTCAGGGCTTCTTTAAAGTTCCTGTATGCCCATGGCCAACTGATTGTTGCTTAGGAAGGTCTTTGGTTTATTCCCTGTTCTAGTAGTTTATCTTATTCTGTCAGCATAGAAACACTACATTTCTATTTGGTTTTGCTGGTACTTCTGGGAATCTCAATTGCTGTGGTATGAGGAGAGTTCCTGAGAATATTTCTGCTTCAGCAGAAGTATTGGAGGGAGGGTTAAATAAATTCTGTTGTTTTAGTTTTGTAAAGATAATGCCTCTGACCCTCAAACAGGTGAAACTGTGATGGTGACCATTTTCTCTCTGACATCCGGAACTTCTGCTGTGACAATGTTGATAGAAGCCCAACAAATTTCTTTAAATATTTTAATGTGTTGACCCATTTTTCCCATGATGTTCCCCACAGCCCAGATGAGATGGAGAGATTCCAATATCCCATTCTGGATAGTAGTGATGATGAGGAAATGGGCTGATGTGGTGAGGGGAAAATGGAATGTAGAAGTTTTAGTATATATATATATATATGTATGTGTGTGTATATATATATGTATGTGTGTGTATATATATATGTATGTATATATATGTATGTGTGTGTATATATATGTATGTGTGTGTATATATATATATGTATGTGTGTACACACACACACACACATACACACACATAGTGTAGCATATGAGGTTACTCCAGTCACAGATTTTGAATACCAAAGTCATGAGATTCAACCCTGGGATCAGATTGGCCTGTTGATAACAAGTAGCAGATAGCTTTCAAAGGTTTTATGCAGCTTCTTAATACTGTATGCCTCATCATTGGTGTGGAACTCAAGGATTTTTTCAGGGTTTAAAATGTTCGAATCCTGAAGCAGTGTGGTTTTTATCTTGTCCCAGCATCATGTTCAATTTTCTTCAAGCATCCTTCTCTTTTCTTGATATATCTTCAGACAAGCAACTGTAGGGTGATATTTTCAGAGGAATTTTTGCAGTTGGTTTAGTCTCATCACCCCCTTTCTGCATGATTTCAAGAATTGTAAGGCATGCATCAGAGGTTCCACCTGAGGTGATAGTTCCACCATAACCATGGATAGAGACAGGTTTTCCTAAATTTCAGAATTCTCATTTCTACAGATGCTAATCCAGGACAGGTTTGTTTAATACTAATCTTTTTCATCAAGTCTTGCTTTCTAATGATTGCAACAACCACTCTGTGGGGTCTATGATCTACAGAAGGGGTCCCCAACCCCTGGGCATGGACTGGTAGTGCTGGTCTGTGGTCTGTTAGGAACCAGTCCACAGAGCAGGAGGTGAGTGGTGGGCAAGTGGGCATTACCACCTGAGCTTTACCTCCTGTCAAATCAGTGACAACATTAGACTCTCACAGGAGTGCAAACTCTATTGTGAACTGCGCATGCGAGGGATCTAGGATGTGTGCTCCTTATGAGAATCTAACTAATGCCTGATGATCTGAGGATGAAAGCATCCCCTACACCCTGTGCTGAAAAGTTTGGGGACCACTGATCTACTGGGCAAAGAAATCTGTTTGGAATAAAGTTCCCCAGGAATATGATCTTGCTTCAGGTGTTGTCTTCATACTAGAAAGGATATAAGAAATCTTGACAGAGTAGTTCCAAAACTAATAAAATCTTAGCTTCTCAAGGTATATTTTTTTCTTTTTTATCTGTTGCATATATTATAATACCAGTGACCATTTCTATATATACTGGTACAGATTTGATCGACATTGTTTATTCCATTGAAAGCCATTGCAAGAGTCCATGCAACATATCCCAATTCAGGTAAAGAAAGTTTTTTTTTTTTAGTTTTTTGTTTGTTTGTTTTTGTTTTGTTTTGAGACAGAGTCTCACTCTGTCCCCCAGGCTGGAGTGCAATGGCATGATCTCGGCTCATTGCAACCCCCGCCTCCTGGGTTCAAGCGATTCTCCTGCCTCAGCCTCCCGAGTAGCTGGGACTACAGGCACGTGCCACCATGCCTGGCTAATTTTTTGTATTTTTAGTAGAAACGGGTTTTCACTGTGTTAGCCAGGATGGTCTCGATCTCCTGACCTCATGATCTGCCTGCCTCGGACTCCCAAAGTGCTGAGACCATAGGCGTGAGTCACCCCGCCTGACCTTGAGGATTTTAAAGACAACTTCAGTAGCCAGGCTTGCTGGTGACTGACTGTATTTCCAGCTACTCAGGAGCTGGAGGTGGAAGGATTCCTTGAACCCAGGAGTTCCGTGCTGGCTTTTATAACATTAAAAAACAAAACAAAACAAAACAAAACAAAAACCTCCCAGCATTATTGAGTTATAATTGATAAACAATTGACACATATTTACCGTGTTTGATTTAAAGTTGTTTTTTTTTGTTTTTTATTTTATTTTATTTTTTTAATTTTTTTTTTTAGATGGAGTCTCACTCTCTCGCTGTCAGGCTGGAGTGGAGTGCAGTGGAACAATCTCGGCTCACTGCAACCTCCGCCTCCTGAGTTCAAGCGATTCTCCTGCCTCAGCCTCCCAAGTAGCTGGGACTACAGACGCCCACCACCATGACCAGCTAATTTTTGTGTTTTTAGTAGAGATGGAGTTTGACCATGTTGGCCAGGATGGTCTCGATCTCTTGACCTCGTGATCTGCCGGCCTTGGCTTCCCAAAGTGCTGGGATTACAGGCATGAGCCACCACTCCTGGCAGATTTAAGAAGTTTTAACATAGGTCTGCATCCAACAAACTATCACCACAGTCAGAATAATGAACATAATCCAGCATGACGTGAGGGAGGAAACATCAATCTAAACATTTTCTCATGCCATTTTTGAATCTAATTTTTTGTTCTTTAACTTTTCAGAGACTGAATAATCAACTTTTGTAATTTCTCGTGTAAGTCTACATTATCCAAGAAAATCTTAATAGATCAAATGGTGCAATTCTGATGGACATAGGTAGATTTAGCAGACCTCACTATGCCAACAGAATCTTCCTTTACTTAACTTGGACTCTTTATCTTCTCTTTTGCCCTTTCTTCTTGTTCTCATTCTTGTTCTTGTTGTTGTTGTTCTTCACTTTCTCACTCTTCTCTTCCACTGCTTTTTGTTCCTCTTCTTCTCTCCTCTTCTTCTTATTCCACTTTTTCTTTCTCTATCTTCTCTGCCCACCTTCCATTCTGGCCTTTTGTCTGTCCACCATCCATTCATTACACCTTCAGCCTGGCTATCTCCAGAACAACAAACCAAACCTCTTTCTATATTGACATAGTTTGGATTTGTGTCCCTGCCCAATTTTCATGTCAAATTTTAATCTCCAGTGTTGGAGGAGGGGCCTAGTGAGGGGTGACTGGATCATGGGGCCAGATTTTCCCCTTGATGTTCTTGTGATAGTGAGTTCTCACGAGATCTGGTTGTTTAAAAGTGTGTAGCACCCGCCGCCTTCATTCTCTCTTCCTCCCGCTCCAGGCATGTAAGATGTACCTGTTTTCCCTTTGCCTTCTGCCATGATTGAAAGTTTCCCGAGGCCTCTCCAGCTATGCTTCCTGTATAGCCTGCAGAACCATGAGCCAATTAAACCTCTTTTCTTTGTAAATTACCCAGTCCCAGGTATTTCTTTATAGCAGTGGGAGAATTGACTAATACATATATTTTATACTGTAAGAATAGTAGGTGCTCAAATCTATTTCCAAAAGATAAATTAAAAGTACCATGCTTCCCAGAAACAAGCACTCCTAATACTATTTTGAACAAATGGTGTCATTCTCTATACACAGTTCTGCAACAAGCTTTGCTTGTTTCACAATATCTTGTACACTTATGTTTGTCACAATAAATACAGCTATGTCATTTATAATTTTAAAATAGCTGAATAGTGTTCATCAATTTTGTGTCAAATAACTTTTTGCATTAAACAAAGCTGCTACTAATATATTAAACATATATCTGTATGCATATATCTATTGTATCCAATTCAAACCCCTCTTGAATTACAGTAGAAATATTATATATTTCTTTAGAGATATGGCAGATTTTTCTCTCAAAGATGTTGTACAAATGTTTAACAATATTTGTGAAGAATATGCAGTATTCCATCATTTCAAAAATATTGAACTACATATGGTGGGTGCATCATAATAATTTCCATTAAGATAAAATATTTTGAATAGAAGAAAACGTTTCAATTTACAAAAGCAAGCCAGGCAGCTACTTCACTTTAACAAGTATTACATTTTTGAAAAGGCAGATGAGACCTGGGCAAACATTTCTACTTGCAGGTCTTAAAACGTACCTAAATGGTGGGATTTGTTGGATTATATTTGATGAAACAAATTTGTTTTTTCATTGTTTTGGTTTGTTTCATTTTGTTTTTTTTTGTTTAAAAAAAAGGAATTGTGTTATGGGCAAGTTTTATAAATGAATTTTGGTGAACAGAAAATGTTTAGCTTATGGGAAAGAGGTTTTGGTTGGTAGCAATAGTTGAACCAAAAGTCAACAGTAGGAATTTGATTGTGAACCATCAGGCAAAGGAAACAATAATCTTTGCAGGTGGGTTTGAATTTTCCAAACCTACATGTAGCAAATATTTAGAAGTTCATATTAGAAACAAACAGAAGCTTAAAGCTACTGTAGCTTTCAGCTGTGTTTCCTTTCTTAAGTTGTATTTCAATTTATTGCCTGATTGCAAGCAGCATTTCAAAATATGACAGAAGAAACCATTTGAGAAGTTGATCCAAAGTGTTTCATCTGTTAAAACAATAACATGTTAATAAAGTATGTTATGTATATAAGATAAATTAATATAAACATTAGGATAATATGATTATCCTCTATGTTCCTCAGAATAGAGGTGTAAACTAGGCAGTGTTTCTGCAAGATTTCCTTCTAAATTACACGTATAATAAATTTTGCCCTCAAATACACTCTATGCAAATATAGACCATAACAAGTTCCCAGTATAGACCTTATCTCCAGTTTCAAAGTAGAGACATTTCTTGGAATTACCTTCTACACATTCCTTTAAATGAAAATACTATAGGAGTAACTTTGCTTTATTTCAGGCCTCCCCACATTTCAGAATTGTATTCCTGTTCCAGATCTGGATAGAACTATTATTTACAATTTATGGGGGCTATTTGATTAAATGTATTCACACCTTCAAACATGTTCACAGTCACTTACTGTGGGCTGAGTTGTGTACCCTCAAAAATTTCATATGTTGAAGTCCTAACCCCTACTACCTCAGAGTGGAGAAGAGGCTGCGATGTACTGGAGCATATTCCAGGAAGTCTTGATGTAGAAATAATAGAGCTAGTTCAGAATGGCAATCTTGATCATTATCTCAATGGCCATGTCACAGAGGCGATATTCAGAACTTGCCCAACCCTGTGGTGGTGAAGGGATGAAGTCACTGTGTCACTGGGACCCTTTCAGTGCTGGCTGGAGTGAAGACACAGATGCCTTTACTGAAACTAGGGTCGTAAGAATCGTGTGGACCACCACTGTCTGTGTCTTCCTGTTTTGCTAGGGAATTAGCAGGGTTGGGTTCTGCCTGCCTCTGCAACGCTTTGACTTGTCCAGCTCCATCCTGTTTGGCAGTGACTAGCTTCATCAAGTTCTGGTGGCACACATTAGCCACTCCTTGATGATTTTCTTGAGCTCATTGCAGGACAAACAGGCAAGATTGCAGTCAGGATGCCAGAAGAGTGGGGCAGCATGGTACTGCCAATGTCAAATGAACTCTTGCATTTAGCAATGGCTGTCAGCTGGATCAGATTGCCTGCGATCTGGCAGTGCATCACCAGGATGCTGATCATCTCATCTTAACACGAGGTTCTTTCTGATTTCTTTCAAGAATTCTCCAAACACCACCTCACACAGTTTTGGAATCTCTTTGTCTTCATTTCCCAGAATTTGGAAGAGTTCATCTAGTATCTCTGGTAGGTAATCCAGCAGGTTAAAATCTGGTACAGGCTCCAGAACCAGCATCCAAGTGATGATGAACTGACAGGCCTACTGGTTGTTGGACCAAATCCTCTCCGGCAACAGAAGATTGGAGCCTACTATGTCAAACTTGTTTTTCTCAATCACAACGTGCTTTAAAAACGGAAGTGTAGGAGCTCGGATTTGCTTTTCATATTGTGTGTGATTAGCAGCCAATTTAGCCCATCAGAGAGAATGCTGAGTGTGGCAGCACGGTGCCTGGGACGACCTTGATGGAGTTATATATGTACTA
Source organism: Homo sapiens (assembly GCF_000001405.40). NCBI lineage: Eukaryota > Metazoa > Chordata > Mammalia > Primates > Hominidae > Homo > Homo sapiens. The sequence continues at coordinate 28,858,377 of NC_000014.9, forward strand.
AGCTCCAGTTTAGTAGTGCATTCCACTGTCTACGTCATTGAAGCAGGTCAGCATCAGATCAATCGACTTCTTCATGTAGAACCCTGAGTTTCTGTTCAGTGGCATAGAGCTGGTGATCAAACCAATGGGCCCCTTCTAGCTATGGGGATGCTAAGACAGGGCAAACTCCTGGGGCAGAGGTGATCTGCCCTGTGTTCTGGGCTAGGAACTCCCAGACGACCTTTTAGATGTCCAGTTCTGCTCCCTTCTTCCTTTCGTACAGCTTGTCAATGAGGACTCAGATGATGTTGGGCGTGATTAGTGTGAAGTCTTTTTCTGAGTTCATGGTGTCAGCTCACGGCACACCTGCAAGCCCTCTCAGCAGCAGCTTCCATCTTCCTCTGTGAGCCCCCAGTCTCTCTTCCTTTTTTTTTTTTCTCTCAGACGAAGTCTCGCTCTGTCGCCAGGCTGGAGTGCAGTGGCATGATCTTGGCTCACTGCGACCTCTGCCTCCTGAGACAAGCGATTGTCCTGCCTCAGCCTCCTGAGTAGATGGGACTACAGGCGTGCACCATCATGCCCAGCTAATTTTTGTATTTTTAGTAGAGATGGGGTTTCACCACGTTGGCCAGGATGGTCTCGATCTCTTGACCTCGTGATCCACCTGCCTCAGCCTCCTAAAGTGCTGGGATTACAGGTGTGAGCCACCGCACCTAGCCCCCCTCTTCCTTTTGTTAAAAAAGTTGTTTTATCAGAATGTGTATATCCCTATTTGGTTTTTCCTGCCTTGAGCTTTATAACAATGAAATAATTATGTATATCATCTGCTATTTGTTTATAAAAATTCAACATTATGTTACTCGGAGTTGTTTATGTTGATTTGTGTAGTTCATTTATTTTCACTACAAATAAGTTGTGTGAATGTAACAAATTTTTTTTATCCATACACCTGTTGATGAACTTATGGTGGATTCATATTTTTTGTAAATTTTTGAGAAGTCTCAGCTGTTATCTCTGCAAATTGCCTCTCATCCATTCTCTCTTTTTCTAGGATTCCAATTAGATATGTGATGTAGTCTCATTCTATCCATATTTAAAATCTTTCATTCATATTTTTCTCTTCTGCATTTTAGATAATTTCTTGTGATCTATCCTTGCACTCACTAATTGTCACTTTAGCTTTATCTAATATGCTATAAAACATGATATTTGGGTTTTTAACTACAAAATTATATTTTTTTATTTCTAAAATTTCAATTTGCCCCCTTTCAAATCTATGCTCATTTTTTATTACTCCCCTGCAATTTTATAATTACATCTTCTATTTTCTTAAACATTTTATTTGTAGAAATTTCAGATTTTGATTTTCATAATGTCAATATCTGAAATATTTTGAAATAAACCAGTTATTTGTTTTTTCTACAGACTCACTCGTGATGGCTTGTTTTTTATTGTTGGTGGTGTTTTTTTTTGTTTTGTTTTTTGTTTTATGTCTGGGGATCTTTGATTGAGAGCTCATGTTTGTTTGATCTTAATTTGTGAGAATCTTGGATACCTCTATGAAACCACAACATGTCGTGAGTGTTCAGCTTCTATTAGGGCAGATTGTATTCATGTCTCTCTACTGTTGAAACCTAAGGCTCCACTGTACCAACCTCTTCTTTCCTTCATTAAATAAGCATTTCATTATTTAGGAGAAGATTACTGACCTGAGACCACTCCAGGTTTTTCCTAGAGTCCTTTTATAATATGAGAGTTTAAGTTTCAGGTCCCCTTCCTTGAAGTTAGATCAAGATTGTTTCCTGATGCAAAGAAAGTATCAGCCTGAAACTACTTAAACTTTTCTCTAGAACCTCTGGCTAATACAAGAGCCCCGGGTTCAGTACTGCTTCCTTAAGGCTTGCTCAAGACTTTCCTGATAAAAATGCTAATATTGGCATTTACCTTCAGAAAGCTCCTCAGTTCTCATTTGAACCCAATCCAAGTTTAGCAAACAGATTTTTCTCCCATAGAAGGATGGCCTTGGTAATTTCCCTTATGTATACTGTGACCTTGCAATATATAGAAAACTAGGTTTTATCATGGATCTGGTTGCTTTGTAGGAGGAAGGTTCTTTGGGCTATTTTTGGGCATGATACTGTACATGGACTTGGATTTTGCATTTTAAGTAAGTTCTTCTCCATATTTTACACATGCATACCAAAATATGAGAATCAGTGGTATAGACTAGGCATGAAAATGAATGGCCTCTTCCAGCAATGGTGAATGTTCCAGTCTGACAGAGCCCCAGCCTGTGTACATTAAATTGAAAATGTTGATTAGATTCAGAGGCTTGATGGTCTTTAAATGTAATCCTAAGGAATTTGAATTTTTTCTGGCTATGGAAAGTAACTGAAGTGTTGTAAACAGAATAATTATATTTAAAATTTGTGTTCTAGAAAGATAAGTTGGCTTAAAGAAAATAGAGACTAAAGGCACAGAAGTCAGTTTGAACAGTGTTTCTTAACTTTGGCTTCATGTTAAAATTACCTTGCAAACTTTAAAAAATACTGATTTCAGGGCACAGAACTAAATCAATGATTGTATTGTGCAACAATGGTTGTGAACCACTGAGCTAAAAGTCTGCATGAGATTTGATGAGGAACATCGCAGTGAGAACTGAGAAGTGAGGCACACTGAGGAAGCATGGACAGGACTTTGTGACTGATTACACATGAGAGGGCAGGAGAAATTAAAGATGACTCCAAGCCCATACACTAAAGCTGTTATCAAGCAAGGCGCGGTGGCTCACGCTTGTAATCCCAGCACTTTTGGAGGCCGACACGGGTGGATTACTGGATCACGAGGTCAGGAAATGGAGACCATTCTGGCTAACGTGGTGAAACCTCATCTCTCCTAAAAATACAAAAAATTAGCCGGGCATGGTGGCACACGCCTGTAATCCTAGCTACTTGGGAGGCTGAGGCAGGAGAATCGTATGAACCCGGGAGACGGAGGTTGCAGTGAGCCGAGATTGCCCACTGCCCTCCAGCCTGGGTGACAGAGTGAGACTCCGTCTCAAAAAAAAAAAAAAAAAAATTAAAAAATTTAAAAAAAGATAAAAAGATTTTCTTATGCCTGGACTATGTTTAACACTTCAATCATGACTTGATTATCTTGGGGAGAACTTTGTAATTCCCCTTTTCTCTCAATAAATATAGTCCTACTCAGTTTATCTGTTTTTCCTTAGCATGAGTTTAACTAGCACTTCCAGTCTGATGTTTAGTAAGACTAGTGAGAGAAGACATACTCGTTTTGTTCCTATCTTTGGAAGAAGACAACTAATTTCTTACCACTGTGCTGTTAGCCATAGTTTTTTTGTGTGCATCTGTCTATGTTCCTTATCAAGTTGAGGAAGTTACCCTCTATTTCTATTTTGCTAAGACTTTAAAAAATCATGAATGGGTGTTGGCCATCAAAAAATGCTTTTTCTGCAAGTATTTAAAATTTTTGAAATAGATTTATGGGTTATAAGTGTAGTTTTTTCTAACATGAATATACTGTGTAGTGCTACACTCTAGGCTATTAGTGTAACCCTCACCTGGATAGTGTAAATTGTACCCGTTAGGCAATTTCTCATCCTTCATCCTCCTCCCACCTTTCTGAGTCTCCAGTGCCTATAATTCCACTTTTCATGTCTGTATGTACACATTATTGAGTTTCCTTATATATGGGAACATGTTCTGCATGTATTAATAAGATTATAATAGGATTTTTCTTCTCTAGCCTGTTAAGGTAGATTACAGTAATTGATTTTCAAATGTTGAACCAGCCTCGCATACATGAAATAAATCCCACTTACTTGTAGTATATGATTCTCTTTACATATCGTTGGATTTGATTTGTTAATATTTGACAGTTTTTGTATTTGTGTTCATGAGAGTTAATGCTCTGCAATTTTCCTTTCTTGCAATATCTTTGTCTTCTTGTAGTGTTAGAATAATGCTGGTCTCATAGAATGAGTTAGGAAGTTTCCTTTACTTGTATTTTTTTGGAAGAGATTTTAGAGAACTGGTATTATTTCTTCCTTAAGTATTTGGTAGAATTCACTGGTGAAACCTTCTGAACCTGGTGATTTTTGTTTAGGAAGGTTACTGATTGTTGATTCAATTTCTTTAACAGATATAGAACATTCAATTTATTTTTGTTTCTTTCTGTAAGTTTTGATAGATTTTGTCTGTCCAGGAATTGGTCCATTTTATCTAAGTTATCAAATTTGTGGGCTCAGAGATGCTCATAATATTTCTTTATATCCTTGCTATATGCATGCTATAAGTAATGATGGTCCATTCCTTATTTCAGAAATTAGTAATTGGTGTCTTCTTTTTCCTTGCTTAGCCTGGCTAGAAATTTATCAATTTTGTTTATATTTTTCAAAGAACCAAACAAAAAATGTTGTTTTGCTGATTTTCTGTATTAATTTTTGTTTTTAATTTTTATTGGTTTATGCTCTAATTTCTGTTATTTCCTTCTACTTGCTTTGGATTTAATTTGCTCCTCTTTTTCTAGTTTTCTTATGTGGAAGCTTAGGTTATTGATTTTAGATATTTCTTCTCTTCCAATGCATGCATTCAGTGCCATAAATTTTCTTCCAAACATTGCTTTTGCTGAAATCCAAAAGTTTCTGTTGATTGTATTTTTATTTTCATATTTTATTTAATTTTACTATATTCACATATGCTAGCAAAATTCAGAGTCATTTAAAAATTGTATTTCTAGATCTGATATGATTTTATTATGTGGTCCTGCCTTTACTGGGTGTTGAATTTTTTAAAAACTCTTATATTTTATTCAAATATATAAGCTTTGTCTACTCCAATAATTTAATTCATTTTTATAGGTGTATACTTTGTTTCTGGTTGGTGGAATCTGGTAAATACTATTTTTTTGGCGGGGGGACGGGGATCTTGGAGACAGACCTTCCCCTTCATGATGGAGTCTAGGATTATTAGTACAAGTGTAGCCAGGCCCTTCTGTTTTGAAATTCTTTGCATCTTCCTTAGATTTGGCCGGGATTCACCGGTCTAATCTTTGTGGACTAGGTCCTGCTGAGTCTCAAGTGGTGTCATTCTTGGGCATTCCTTCAGCCTATGTTATTGAATCCTGCCACTAGTATAACTTATAACCTGGTCTCTTAGCTTGATCAGGACTTAGTGTTTCTCCTTGGCTGAACTAAGTTTCATTTTAGTTTTTGCTAGTCCTGTGGACCTTTCCATTTCTATGTCAAAGTCTCCATTCTGCTCCTGGCCTATGATAGCTGCACCATAATCTGTGTTGTGGAGTTACTTTGATTCTCACCACTTAGGCCCACTTGTAGGTGTCTAAGTATCAATTTAGCTGTTTTCTGTCCCTATCCAAAAGTTAAAGGAAACCCTGAGTACTTTCTATGTTATGCAATAGTTCAGAATAACTCCGAGGTATTAGCTCAGGTCTTTACTTCTATGTAGTCCTACCAAGATTTCTTTGTTGGGGCCATCTTAATACTGGCATACTTCCATTTCTTTGTATGCAAGACACTGGATAGAAACTCCAGATAGTTTAGGTGGCTAATAACATCTATGTAACCTATATTTCAGTGTTTTGTATAATGATCCTACAGAGTGTAATATTTTTTAAATGTCTTACTGTATATAAACTGAGAAGTTTATATAATATTTCTAATCTTGCCCAAAGAGGAAAGAAGAGGACACATCTGAATACCTGCTTTCTCTTGCACTTTCTCCTTCATCTCACAATTCATTTGTGTGAGAAGGGGATGATTTATTCGTAATCCTCCTATGAAGATCTCCCTTATATTAAGTTATATGGCCAAGCGGGCAGGCCTGTCTTTTAAAAAGCCAAGAGAGAAAATTGAAAAATTAATAAAACCTTCTCTTTCTCTTAGTGTATTCATTTCAAACCTACTTTAAAACTTGAAAATAGCTTTTAAACACATTTTGAAATTAAAATTTTATTTTAGATATCATCAGCTGAAGCTCTTTCTCTGTGCGTTTCTGTTATTAAAGCTTTTATTTCTCATTGCTCTTTTTCTGTTTATCTCTCTTTTCTCCTTCCTGCAGATGGCTGCCTTGATTCTACTGGAAAGAGATCATCTGCAGAAAAGTACAAAAGAGAAGAGCATATTAAAATATTTTTTAAAAAAACAACCCCATAGTTTAAGCAGGCAAAATACTAAAATTTATGTTCTATGGATGTCATTAGCCCCCTAGACATTATACAGAGAGTGAGAGGAAAAGAGAAGTTTTGGACATGTCATTACGTATTTTTATGTGGTGAACTAATGATTTTTATTCTGTAGCATAGACTTAGATGATCTCACTGTGACCCACCATGCTTTGTGCTAGAAAACAAAGGAAATAGTGACATAGAAGAGATGGGCTGCAAGATTAAGAGCAGCATCAGGTTTTTCCTTCTTTTTTTATTATGTTTTAAGTTCTGGGGTACATGTGCAGAATGTGCAGTTTTGTTACATAGGTATGCATGTGCCATGGTGGTTTGCTGCACCCATCAACCCGTCATCTACATTAGGTATTTCTCCTAATGTTATCACTCCCCAAGACCCCCAAACCAAAACAGGCCCCTTTGTGTGATGTTACCCTCCCTGTGTCCATGTGTTCTCACTGTTCAACTCCCACTTATGAGTGAGGACATGTGGTGTTTGGTTTTCTGTATTTGTGTTAGTTTGCTGAGAATGATGGTTTCCAGCTTCATCCATGTCCCTTCAAAGGACATGAACGCATCCTTTTTTATGGCTGCATAGTATTCCATGCTGTGTATGTGCCACATTTTCCTTACCCAGTCTATCATTGATGGGCATTTAAGTTGGTTCCAAGTCTTTGCTATTGCGAATAGTGACGCAATGAACATATATGTGCATGTGTCTTTATAGTAGAACAATTTATAATCCATTGGGTATATACCCTGTGGATTTATAATATCCTTTGGGTATATACCTGGTGGACCCATAATGGGATTGCTGGGTCAAATGGTATTTTTAGTTCTAGATTCTTGAGGAATTGCCACATTGTCTTCCACAATGCTTGAACTAATTTACACTCCCACCAACAGTGTAAAGCGTTCGTATTTCTCCACATGCTCTCCAGCATCTGTTGTTTCCTGACTTTTTAATGATCGCCATTCTAACTGGCTTGAGATGGTATCTCATTGTGGTTTTGATTTGTACTTCTCCAATGACTAGTGGTGATGAGCTGTTTTTCATATTTGTTGGCTGCATAAATGTCTTCTTTTCAGAAGTGTCTGTTCATATCCTTTGCCCACTTTCTTGATGGGGTTGTGTTTTTTTTTTTTTTTTTCTTGTAGATTTGTTTAAGTTCTTTGTAGATTCTGGATATTAGCCCCCAATTTTTCTCCCATTCTGTAGGATGGGAGATGCCTGTTCACTCTGATGATAGTTTTTTTTTCACTGTGCAGAAGCTCTTTAGTTTAATTACATCCCATTTGTCAATTTTGGCTTTTGTTGCCATTGCTTTTGGTGTTTTAGACATGAAGTCTTTGCCCATGCCTATGTCCTGAATGGTATTGCCTAGGTTTTCTTCTGGGATTTTTTATGGTTGTTGGTCTTACGTTTAAGTCTTTAATCCATCTTGAGTTAATTTTTGTATAAGGTGTAAGGAAGGAGTCCAGTTTCAGTTTTCTGCATATGGCTAGTCAGTTTTGCTAACACCATTTATTAAACACTGTCTCTAATTGATTTCTTTTCAAAAACAGAAACAAACAAAAAGACTCAGAAAGGGAAAGAAAGCCATTTGTCAATCAATTTATGTAGAATAGGGGGGCAGAAATAGTGGTTACAAACACATTATGGAGACAGAAGAGCTGGGTTTGAATCCTACCTTTGCCACTCGCAAAATATGTCACCTTAGACAAGTTATTTTCTCTGTTTCTACTTCAGTTTTCTCATCTGAAAAATTGAAATAGTTTAAGAAAATTAAATGAGCTTAATTTATGTGACACACTTAGAACACAGCCTGACTCAGTGTATGCGCACACACACACACACACACACACTCATATACATAGACAGAGCATCTTCAACTTTACAGTGGTTTGACTTATTTTTCCAAAGTTACGATGGTACAAAACCAATATTCATTCAGTAGAAACTTTTCTTTGAGCACCCACATAACCATTTTGTTTTTCACTTTCAGTACAGTAGTCAATAAATTACATGAGATATTCAGCATTTTACTATAAAATAAACATTTTATAATAATAAATATTTCTTATAAAATAAATGCTGAATATCTCCTGTAATATAAAAGGCTTTGTGTTAGATTATTTTGCCCAACTGTTGGCTATTGTAAGTTTTCTGAGCATGTTTAAGGTAGGCTAGGCCAACCTTTGAGGTTCTGTAGGTCAGGTGTATTAAATGCATTTTTGCCTTAAGTATTTTCAACTTATGATTGGGTTTATTGGGATACAACTCCATCATAAGTTGAGGAACATCTCTCTCTCTCTCTCTCTCTCTCTCTGTGTGTGTGTGTGTGTGTGTGTGTGTGTGTGTGTGTGTGTATCCATGTTTACGACGATTATTACTATTGCTGTCATAATGTAACAAGGCATTTGAGGGATTACTAATTGTGACGGTATGCTAAAACAAGCTAAAGGGATTTTTTTAAATGATGCTATTAAAGATTGTGAGACATCTCTTTAATCATTTGTTGTATAAATTTGGTTTTTTTTAACTAGTAGGAAGAATTCAGACTAGAATCCCTTTGGGTACAGTGCTCATATTTTCTTACTTAAGGCATCCTATTTACAGCACTGAGTACTGAATGATAGCATAATTTAAAGAATAGAGCACAACAACTCCGCACAGGCCTTCTAGTTTGCAATCCTAGATGTGAATTCTACTTTAACTCTACTATTTACCTAATCTTTGAAAAGGTGTTTAATCTCACTGAGGCCCACATTTCTCATCTATAAAATTGGAATAGCAAAAGAATCTACTTCCTAGAGCCTTTTTAAGGATTAAGTGATTTAACATTCATAAAGCTCCAAGGAAGTACATGTTCATTTTATCTACGACACTAATTCTGCTAATAGCAGAAATTGGAAGAGTTTATCAGAGACAACCTGTCAAATGTTAGTTTTCAAAATATTGCTCTCCAAAGTCAGAGTTTGAAGAAAGCTACAGAAATTGAATGGAAAATTGTTACATCCATATTTACAAATTCAGTAAAAGAGCTGCCATACAGTTATATAGTTTGTTTCCATAATGTAGTCTTCACATGGCCTATTTTACCTGTGTGTTAAGGAAATGCCCTTAGAGACCAGATCAACTTTTAGTATTTAGCTTCCTAAAGCAGGAGCTTAGCCCAGCTGGCATTCTGGGACTCCTTCCATCTTTGGTTTGACTTGATGATTCAGTGAAGTACATGCTGTTCTTTCATCAGAAGTAGCAGTGTTAATTTTTTTTTATGCCAAATACTTTAGCAGGAGCTCAGGCTGAGTTCCCTGGATGATAGCTTATTGCAAAGTCATCGAGGCAGCTGGTGAAAATGTCCACGCTGAGCCCTTTGAGACCTGTGCCTTTGCAAAACATTCTGAGTTTTTCTGTATTTCAGAGGAGAAAGTAACATGGTAGAAAACTACCAGGGAATCTTCTTTCGTTTTCACTGGCTTGTAGGAACTCCATGGATAGCTCTGTAGCATCCTAGACTAAAATTGACTATATAGTTTTTCATCTCAGGAGCACTGTTGAGAATGCAAGGGGCCATGGTTGATAATTAAGTTGGGACAATAGATTTAAACCGAGACTGTCTTGAGACAATCAGATTACATAGTCACTCTACTAGACTACAGTTCCTGATCCGGTTATTCCTTTATATATACCTTCAGTTTCAAACTTGAATAGCCCTGTTCCTCTACCTTCTATTTTCTGTGCAAGAATGAATGTCCCAATAGCCTATAGTTAGTTATTGCTTTCCTGCTACGGCCTTAGTTTTGCTATTGCAAAAGAGTATTAATAGTTCATGGTTCTCATCAGCTAGTCAAAAGAGTTCCCTCATTTTAAAAACAGTGCTATGAACATCTTCCAGTAGCAATCCTAATCATTTATTTATTCCACAAGTATTTACTGAGTGCTTATTATGAGGCAAGTGCTGCTTTACGTGCAGGGAAACAATAATGCAAATGACTGATAATGTGCTCGCTCTGTGGAGCTTACATTCTAGTGGGTAGACACAATATACAATATAGAATAAAGCACATATTTTGGATAGTGAAAGTTATAATGTAGACAATAACACAGGGATGATGACTTGGTGGAAGGAAACCACTTGAGATGGGCTGGTCTCTGAAGGCCTGAGAGAGAAGGAACCAGATATATGGGTATAATCTTCTTGGAGAAGAGTGTTGTAGGAAGGGCAAACAGTTAAGTGCAAAGGTACTCAGTGGGAGTGATCTGAATGTACTAAAGAAATAGAAAGTGTACCAATACAGAGAGAATGAGTGGAACCGTGCTGAGGGGTCAGATCTTGTATGACTATGTAGGCCATGATATGGAATCTGAAGGTTTTAACTCTAATTGCAGTAGAAATCTATCTTAACAGTTTTAAGCATGTTGAGTATCAGAATCTGATTTACAGTCTCTAAGAAAATCACTCTAGTTGTCAGGGGGAGAATACATTGTGAGGGATAAGAGTATAGGGTGATCAGGTGAGATACTGTTGTAGTAACCCTAGCAAAAGGCTTGAACTAGGTTGGTAGCAGTGGAGAGGATAACAAGTGGTCAAATTCAAGACATATTTTGCAAGTAATGCTTATAGGAATTGCCGCTGATTGGATGTGAGTATTGAGGAAAGGAAAAAATGAGGACTCAAATTTTTAATTCGAGTGACTGCAGTGACAGCTGAGATGGGGAAGGTGGTATGTCTGTGCATGCGCATGCGTGTCTGCCAGAGGGAAGTTCAGGCCTATTAGAATATATTTCCACTTCTGCACCCATCTCTGTAGTCTCAGAGGAGATGTTCCCATCCTAGTCTCTTACAAAACTTAATATAGAAGAGGGGAATGGGCTGGCCAGGGTGGCTCACGCCTGTAATCCCAGCGCTTTGGGAGGCTGAGGCAGGCGGATCATTAAGTCAGGAGTTTGAGACCAGCCTAGCCAACATAGTGAAACACCGTCTCTACTAAAAATACAAATATTAGCCGGGCATAGTGGTGTGGGCCTGTAGTACCAGCTACTTGGGAGGCTGAGGCAGGAGAATCACTTGAGCTTGGGAGGCAGAGGTTGCAGTGAGCCAAGATCTCGCCACTGCACTCCAGCCTGGGCAACAAAGTGAGACTCCAGCTCAAAAAAAAAAAGGGAATCTACTACCCATGTGTTTTTTCCCACTCAAGCATTTTTACCTTTTTTCTGTTTCAAAGATATCTGATTTCTTTATCTGTACAATTGTACCACAGTCTTTGTGATTCAAACTGGCTGATTGTTAACTAAACATAAATTTAAATAATCTGTCTCTGTCTCTGTTTCTTTCTCTCTCTCATACACACACACACACACACACACACACACACACACACACACAGAGAGAGAGAGAGAGAGAGAGACATATCCTTTGCTTCTTCTATATGTTTTCATTGACAAGTATTGAGGATTATTTCCTCGGGTCATCTCTCAGGTTTACCATTTTCAGAATCAATACACAACTATTTGAATAAAAAATACCTCTGTTGTTTAATTCAATAGTCTAAAACCAATCTTGTGCCCAATCATATTTTTTCCAAAGCTTATATACAATTATTAACATAACTTCTGCCCATTATTCTGTTCATAATGCTTCTTCAGCACTTTCTTGCTTACTTTCAGTGCTTTCTAAATAAGAACTTCTCAATCCTACCCTGGTAAACACAATCTCATTTTCATTCTCATCTTCCTTACTAGGTAAGTCTAATTTGCTAGGTGTGGCAATATGACCAGTGAAAAACAACAAGGGCAGCATTTCCTGCAGTTCGGTGGCACAGTATGGTTCAAAGAGGTATAAAAGGAAGTCACAGGGTGAGTCTTTCATAAAAGCTCCTCAAAAGGGAATGCGAAAATAACACAGTCATATCTTGCTCTTTCCTTTTCTTTTGCCTAGAATTCAGTCCCAGCACTGTATTATGGGTTGAAGACATATTGTGATTATGAGTTCTAGAGCTTTATATTATGAATCATGGAGCAGAAAGAGGGAAGGAACCTGGGACATTGATGATATTTTGGAATTCTTGATTCATAGCTCTCAGGGCTGAAACTGTTTCTAGCTGATGTGTGTGCTTTAAACATCATCTGCCAACTGGTGATCCTCTCCTGCTCATTTCATAAATGGATTCTTATTCTTCTATATGGAATCATTAGTGTAGGCAAACAAGTTTTTTTTTTGTTCTCTGAAATATCACCTGTGTTTCTGCTTGTGAGTCTTGACATATGCCATTGTCATTTGCCTGTGCATTTCCATCACTGGTTGGAGAAATCAGGAGGGCAGGCATAGTGTGTGAATCTTGTGTGTATCAAAGAAGCTCTGAGCCTCTGAGGATAGTGGCTTGCACATTGGAGACATTCAAAATTTCTTGAATGACATTTAATTCCCTTCTGGTGAGCTTATTTAGTCCCTATCCTTCCCATCAAATAGTAATTACTTGAAAATCTGGCTTAAAACTATTTTTTTTTCTGGAAAGTTTTCCATGATTAATCCCACCTGATTCTAATTGTGCTTCCACTTGGCATTTTATTGGTACTTATATAACTCTGGTTAATAAAAGTGTTCAGCTAAGTCTTGATGTATATCCTCGTTCTCCAATACATACTAAAATGCTTTGTGGGCAGGTATCTGGCACTGCACCCCCCCCTTTTATGGACAATTCCTATACAATATCTACATAGTATCCTATTATGAAGTAGGAGCATAATAAATATTGTTGACTACGTAAAACTGGGAGAAAGTTACTTGGGCAAATCTCCTACCTGATGTTATAATTTTCTCCCCAAAGGAATAGCTTCCTGTAAGAAGACTCAATTAATTAGATAACCACATTTTTAATTTATAAACAAATAGTTCAACAAAAATAACAATCTGTGATTTGGACACAAATCGTTCTAAGTAAGTACCATATCCATGGTATTATTATTTGTAATTATGAGATAAATGTATACGTAGGCCAGGCACGGTGACTCACACTTGTAATTCCAGCACTTTGGGAGACCAAGGTGGACGGGTTATGAGGTCAGGAGTTCGAGATCAGCCTGGCCAACATAGTGAAACCCCGTCTCTACTAAAAATACAAGAAATTAGCCAGGCGTGGTCGTGGGCGCCTGTCATCCCAGCTACTTGGGAGGCTGAGGCAGGAGAATCACTTGAACCCAGGAGGTGGAGGTTGCAGTGAGCCGAGATCGCGCCATTGTACTCCAGCCCAGGCGATGGTGCGATATTCCATCTCAAAAAAAAAAAAAAAATGTATAAGTATACCTCATGTAAATATTGCTGAAGCGGGTGGATCACCTGAGGTCAGCAGTTCGAGACCAGCCTGACCAACATGGTGAAACCCTGTCTCTACTAAAAACACAAAATTAGCCGGGCATGGTGGCCGGCGCCTGTAATCAGCTTGGGAAGCTGAGGCAGGAGAATCACTTGAACCCGGGAGGCGAAGGTTGCAATGAGCCGAGATTGTGCCATTGCACTCCAGCTGGTGACAAGAACTAAACTCCCACCTCAAAAAAGAAAAAAAAAATTCCCAAAGCACATCACCTACACTGATGACATTTATATTAATTGGAATGTATATTCTTTGGATGAAGACTGAAATAATTGTATAGCATCATGTGTTTGGCATTGAATAAAAGAACTTTAAAAACAGTGGAAGAATAAGAACAAGCTGAAAAAGCAAAAATAGTTCATTTTGTTCAGGGTATGTGCAAATACACTATGATCGGCAATAGTCTTTATTCACAGACAATTGATCATTAACTTATTTTAACTTTCTGAAGTTACTTGAACTAAGGGCAGCTACAGCTGTTAGTACATTACAGTACGTATCCAATTCACTGGTTTGAATGTGTTTCAGTGAAAAGGTGTAGTACAATGCAGAATAAAGGAAATTGAGGGAACAAAGCATCATTTCCACTTAACACAAATCTAAAGGTTAAATAGATGAGAACTAAAGACTTGAATTCATTTCCCAGAACAGTGCTTTATTACCAAAATAAACTTGAGACCACTACTTAACTGCAAAGTGAAGTCAACAAAGATGTTTGATAGTCATTAATCATCCTAAATAAACAGTACTTTTAAGTGTTTGATTGACACTGTTAGCATAAATTGTGTCCTTCTTTTTAAAATACGCCTCAGATTTTTATCATACACCTACATAATATAATACCTACCACTCTAGAATTTAACATCTGAGAGCAGACATTGATAGGAAAAATTGTCTAACCCTAAGAAGAGTCCAAAGTAACCATGAGGATGTTTTGTGGATGTTCTTCTAGTTTGAATGTGAATAAAATTGTTATTTTGTCCTTTAAGAGGTTCTTAGCAATTTGAAACATTTGACTATTTTTAACTGACTAAAGCTACATAGAGATAGCTTCAAACTTAGTTTAAACAAATTGTATCTGCCTTGGTCTCTTTCTCAGTATACATTTCCATGGTAAATATAAGGCCATGCTGCATACTTACTCAAATCAAATAGTTACATGATTGAAATTTTATATTGTCATATGTAATTTTTAATGAAGGATATGAATTAATACTGTCTCATAAACCTATAGCAAGCATATATTTTATAGCATTCTTTTTATATCTATATTCATGTTCACTAATGTTTCATAGGGTTCTAAACTTTACATTTTTACCACAAAAAAGGCTTAGAATTTTACCCTTTCCTCCCTAAAATATCTAACCTTATGTATATAGGAGTAATGTGACATTGCTTACTATTCTGTTTTTTATTCTTATTCATCTTATATTTCATTAAAAGCACAATGTAGTATGTGCAAGAATTTGTAACTGCAATATGATACTAATCTGAAAAGCTGTCAACATCATTGTCATAAGTGCCAAGAATTAGTGTAATCTGCTAAGATGCCATATATTGGCTATGTATGTCCTGAAAGTTTCAGTTAATTTAATTTAGTGCATATTTACTGAACACTCAATATGTGTTTAATGTGGGTTAAAAGTTAAACAAGACACCCTGTCCTTAGGATGCTACGATCTAGCTAGTAAAACATAAATCTCCACATGTTTACCAGCTCTGGAAATCACAAGACTTTGGCAAGAAATATCAAGGTGTAATCTAAAGTCTAAAGAGTATCGAATTCTTATTTTGACTTAGCCATCAATTATAATTTGTCCATGAAGTTTTCCTCAATTTTATTCTATGTGAGAAAATAATATTTGTTCTCAAAAACCTTAAAATACTAATCAAGATGTATAAGGTTCTTGTACACAATACACTGAATATTTTAAGAATAGGGGTCAACATCAGGCCGGGCGCGGTGGCTCACGCCTTAATCCCAGCACTTTGGGAGGCCGAGGCGGGCGGATCACGAGGTCAGGATTTTGAGACCAGTCTGACCAACATGGTGACACCCCGTCTCTACTAAAAATACAAAAAAATTGGCTGGGCGTGGTGGTGCGTGCCTTTAATCCCAGCTACTAATGAGGCTGTGGCAGGACAATCGCTTGAACCTGGGAGGCGGAGGTAGCAATGAGCCGAGATCATGCCGTTCCACTCCAGCCTGGGCAACAGAGCGACACTCCGTTTCAAAAGAAAAAAAAAAAAGAATAGGGGTCAACATCAAATAACATATATTGAGCTCACTGGAAAAAAAAATGCTTTGATTCACAAATTATGCATATCATTACGTTTACAAGTCACTATTATATGCCTTATGTTACCATTTTTAAAATGCAAGTTAAGTAATATATGCAATAATAATGCAAATCACTACTACCCGCAGTAGAATACTGAAAGACTGTCTAACATTTGGCAAAAATTATTTTTATTAAATCAAAGTAGTAGGGAAATCCTCACTAAAAAGTTAACAGATACTTTAAGCTCTAAAAAAAAATAGAAACATAAATAATTAGGCTACCATGATTTATGTAAATGTGGTATGATAGGAAAGCTCAGGGAATGAAAAAACAGCAGGGAATGCAACTTAACCAACCTTAAAATATCTATGATATATTGTTTTTAATGACTCACATGGCTTTTATTGTATGATCAAAATTGAGCGCAAATGTTGTGGCTATTCAGTAAAAATAAGTGGCTGCCATTGCAACATATGCATTTCCTGGAGTATGTGTTACTTCATAATTAAAAATGCCATAAAGCACTTACAGTACTAACATTATTTTAAGGGGACACATTTGAAGGAGATGGCCATGTTAACAATTATTTTGTTATAGTTCTATCATGCAAATGTCTTTTTCCTTAAGTTTATTTGAAATCCCATAGTTAAGTTTGTTGATGGAAAACATGAGGCAAAAGGTCTTGTTTGTGGAAATAGAAAGTAGTGTACATGAGGGGCAGGGTGTGTTTTGCTTGGCAGTTCTTTTGCTACCATTTTGTTTTTGTTTTTACTGCTTGAGGGCAGCAAATTGGCAGGTGCAAATAAGGCTCTAGCTTGTTTCATACTGTATTTACAATCAGTTATTATGGGTTAAAATGTCTGTGATGCATAGGGAATTAGGCACACAACTTCTGTTAAGAGTAAAGGAAGCTTAATGCCTAATTTCCAACGGGGCAAAAGTGTACTTCTTCAGCCTACTCTTGCAATAATTTCCAATATTTATAAGGTGTATACAATGGATCATTAGGGATTTTTCTGTTTATGTCTTATTTTGTACTTACGTAAAGTTTGAAATTTTGAATATACATATTTATATGCATATTTTTATCTAAAATTCTAATACAGCATATAATTTCCCATAATAACAAAAACTGGAAGATAATGAATAAACATTCCTCCACAATTAACTTGGGAGAAGAAGGAAGAGGGAGAGGAGAAGGAAAGAGAGAGAGAGCTTTCTCAATGTTAAATATTATTTGTTTTACAGTATCTATATAGCATATTGCATTTTAATTTTTGAAAATAGCGAATAGATATTTGCCTATCTAATTTGATGTAAAACAGAATTGTTTTATAATATACTTTGCACTTTGCTGTGATTTACATGTACCACATGGCAAATCATGTGTCAGACACATAGCAACCACTAGCAAATAAAGCTTAATGTCACATGATGACACAGAAAACAAAGGTTATAATATTTGTGCAAATATTGCTTTTTAGCAAGGAATTTTTATGCCAATCAAAGGAGAGTAAGAATATTTTTATAAAACATTTAGAATGGGTATTTCCACAAAACACTGATCCGTAGGAACTTTTTTGAGAACTCCTGGAATAGGGCTCCCCGTTTCTGTATTTGCTCTGTGCATTCAGGCAACGAACCAAGATAATCTTGACTTTGAGGAAGGAGAGTGGAAAAGGATTATAGGAGGGGAGTATGAAATAAATAATAAATAAACAAGTGACTGTTGAATAAAACAATTAGTTTTGCCGCAGGCTTCTGCAATAGCTTATGAATTCTTACCAGCCTTAGTTTACAGCTGTAACTTTAGGATATAATAGGAGATTGAATCTTATACAGGCAATGAAACAGATGATCAAATTCACAAGGGATTGTGTCAGGTTTTTTCCAGTACTAAAGAAACATATTAATCCTTGTCACTGTTTTCAGAAACGCTGTGACAGAAATAAACCTGTACTGTAACTTGGCCCTTTTAATGAGCTTCTGGAGTGTGGGCTTTCCACTCAGCACCTGAAAAACACAACAAAACACCTTTTATATTAAAGATGTGAGGTTTGCTGCTGGCTAAATTTGTACACAGAAGTCTATAAACCAGTGCTCAGCCAGCTGGGAAGCAAGAAAGCAAATTCAGATTCTGCCATGAACTTCACAGACCAATTATCTACTTGGAATCATGGGAGTTTAACAAACAAATACCAGCCCCTGCTGAGCCTTTTCAGGCCAGCAGCTTATGGGTGATTCAGTTGCATCCGAGGCTTTTAGACTGATCAATTCTTAATCACAAAGCACAAAAATTATTCTCAGACTCATGTCAGTTTCTTTGGACACCTTTGTTAACAATCTGCTTCAAATCATTTTTTTTAAAAGAAACCGCAGACACTGTTTTTATTGACTCCCCACTTGTAAAATGTTTATAGCTTGTTAATTTATATTTACCCCTTTACTTTTGCCTGCAAATCAACATCACTTAGCACAGTTTGGTTACACTTTGTCCAAAGGAAATTACAGAAGCCTGCTATGGGGCTAAAATGAAGGAAAGCTGCGGAAAATCAATACACTGCTGATTAAACAGATCGTAGCAAATTCACGGCTGTATGCTACAGTATGGAGACATCAGTGTGATGCCTATCTAGCAGTTAATGTGCTTTCAGTCAGGTGAAGAAAATTTCAGAATAAGGCAAGATCACCCAGAAAAACAAGAACTACCTTACACAAGAATGCATGTGTTTGTATGAAACCTACATTTTGTATAAGGTAGTATTCCACATGGGGAATTAATGGGATGCATTTATTTTAAGAAATTAAATGGTGTTATATCTTTATTATGACATTTACACTGAGTATTGTGAAAGAAACTAATAACATTGCAAAATCATTTCTATTATTTGGTACCACAAGTCAAGTTGTTTTATCTTTTTATGGAATCTTAGGTTTATCGACATTTTCTTGTATAATTTCTATTTGACAATTTGGGAATAGTCAAAATGACTGAAAGATAGAGTATTTGTAGAGGATATCCAAAAGTAATCATGATAGCCAATGAAAATAATCTAAGCAACTCGGAAAGAATCATTTTATTTCCCATTTTAGAGTAGAAAAATGAACACAAAATAAATCAGGTATAAAAAGAAAACGTAGTTCATGCATAATTAATTTTTTTAAAAAAATGTACTGGGAATGCATAATATTAACACAGCACAGTTATAAAGACAAACATTTGTTTTTTGAATCACAGACAAAGAAAAGCATTTGGGTTACAGGGATGATTTGAGGTATCCTGGCTAAAGCAAAGGTACTCTGAGTTAAAGCATAAACTCTCATTTCCATGCTACCCAGTTCTTAGCTTCTTCAAACTTAATGCTTTGAGAACGGTAGGAAAATGAACATGTCCTGAGGCTGGTTAAGAGGTGGTACCTCCTTCAGTCCAACTTGAAGGACTACATTGCATTGTACTGAGTGTGAAATAAGGAAATGAGGAAAAACAACAAAAAAGTTTAAACACAATTTTTTTGAAAAATACAATAAGAGTAATTTTTATCTCAACATCTCGTTAAGCTTTTTACTTGACAAAAATATTTATCCATTTACGTGTTATCTCTTTACCAAGAGTTTTATGTTTTGTTTTGTTTTTTAACTTAATACACTGAAGGAAAGTTTTCAGCTATATTTATCATTGTTCATTCAAGATAACTATGACTTTGATATGTTATGGTATTCTGGCAGATAAGTTTTCATAGTAAATTCTTCTACTAAAAAAATACTTGAGAAAATTATGTTCTATACACAAGAGCCAACTTAAGTCTCAATCTCTGTTGTTTTTAATTCTCTCTTTTTCCAAATATCAAAGTCTTTCAAATGGTAACATGGTTAAGTTCTTTGCCAAATTTCATGTGTTAAAATGAAGGTGTTTTTGAGTCATCAAAGCTTATAAAAAGACCTTTAACAAGTAAACAGCTTTTCTCCTTTTTTTAAAAAAAAACTGGAAGATGTGGTATAAGAAAACACATTCATGGACACCATATGTGAACCAAGTTTCATCCCAAGATTTTGAGATTTTTGAGAATTCCTAGAAAATGAGGGATTTAAATTTTATAGTCTTAAGAGGTCCAGTCAGTAACACTATTTTCATATGTATCTATCTGTATGTATATATATATGAATATAGGTACTGTATATGTGTATCTAAATCTCAAGGTGTTATGCTTTGATTATTTTATATAAAATACTTGTTAATCTTGTTTCGGGAAAAAAAAAACGGGACTAGGTCTTCAATAGTTCAGGAACCTGAAAAATAATAATTATTTCAGCATTTCTAAAAAAATATCATCACTTTCTTATATTATGATAAACTATCAAGTTTTTTCACATGTAAGATTAAAAAAAGAGATCACTCATACTCAACAAAACAGTGTTTTGTAACACTAGAAGAGTAAAGCAATGGATATCAATGGAAATAAAATATGGTTTAGAAAATGTAGACAAATATTTATATTTTAAATCCTTATTGGTTTGCTAGGTTGTGTTCTTGTGGATGTACTTTCAGATTTTTTTTCTTTGTGGCATCAAAGAAAACCTAAATTGAAGTGACATATTGGAATAAAAGGAGATAATGGAAGAAGGAAGGGCTGAATAATGTGAATATAAACTTCTAAGCAAAAATTATTTTTTAAGTCTTACAATAGATGTACATATTTTTATATTTTTATAGTCTAATAACATTGCTTGTTTGTAAGCATACTTTACTTTAGATGAAAATCTGTACTCTCTGTAATTCTGATAGTTGGCAGGGGTTTGAATACTCTTTGGTAGAAACCCACTTTTTCGTATTAATACGTGGTAATTTATCACCATTAAGTATAAGATCCCTCTGGAAAAAAAAGCTGATGCACATTGCTCTCTAGACTATAATTTCAATGTTCATGATATTAATCTTTAATTAAATTATAGTTATTTTAGAAATGTATATCCTTAATTAAATTATACCACGCATATAAAGAAGAAATGACTATGGCACGATTAAAACATGTTTAAAAATATACTACTGAATTTTGAATGCTGTCTGTCATCTCCAAAGTATGACTAACTAGGCTTCAGAAATGACTACAAAGTCAACTGAAAAATTGCCAAGTAAGACTGGCTCTTTAAAGAACTGTGCATTAAAATTTTGGACAGTTTCTCAATTAAATCTAAATATACTTCTTATATTACATACAGTATTACATTTTTAAATTAATTGCCATACTCCCATTTGTTAAAGAATTTCACTCCATGGGAAAAGCAAAGTCTCACTAGACGTGAATTTTACACTGTGCTAGATCAATCCCAATACCAGTAAATGGATATTATTAAACAGCATGGGGTAGTGCAAACTGGGAAAGAAAACTTGTAGTGTGCTGCCTTTGAGCAGACCTGGCTTGCATGCTGTGACAGGGCAATTGTCGACATGCTTTTTCATGCCAATCTGCAGCTTTTTCAACTCTAGATGCTATGGCAACCAGGGTTTAACAGACTAAGCAGCTAACAAGCTTCCCTGATGGAATTGTCTGGTTGTGTGATTGCCTTGTCTTAGGGAAAATATAAAATAGAATGAAGACGCTTGTGGACATTTGTCAAACTGATTATAATTTGGACAGTTGAATCATAATTGTCTGTTGTGTACCGTACAGTAGTGACATGCTATTTTCCACGTTCCTTGCAGAGCACACCATTGCATTCCCGCATAGGCTATGCTTCCCTTGGGAACAATGGGTCCTGGTTGCTGTGGGTTTGGTGCAACATGGCAGTCCACATTGCACACCAGATCATATGGGAAAGAAAAGAACAAGGAACAGTTCTAATTTTTTTCTCTTTGAAAAGTCTTGTGTTTGATTTGAGCTATATTTATATGAAATATAATGAATACAAGTTGATGTGAAAAGATATTTCTCTTTCATAAAATGTTCATGTTCATAGGGTAAGTTGTAAATCAAAATATGCAGGTGAATTAATTTGTTATTTATGATTGGGCATAATTTTAGTTCTTTGGGAATATTGATTTTTTAAATTTGCAACCACTTAAACATGCATTTGTGTCACCAATCATATGCATAATTTAAAACACTGAGAAAATAATCAAGCTTCTCTGATGGAATGGTCTCGTTTTAATATTGCCTTGTCCTATTGAAAATGAATAGAAGACACTCTCTTTATCATTTTAAATGATTAAAAGCCTACTAATAAAATTTAGGACTCTTTAAGCAGTCAAAGGCATTGTGTTTTCAAGATCATTTTATACCAAACTTCTAGTTTTTGCTTAGAAGGGATATGTCTTTTAAAAAATTAAAATAATAAAAAAATTCAAATGAAAAGCGAATTATTATTTTTAAAAATCTGGGTTCCATTTTACAGGCAGACATTTAAAAAATGAACTATTTTGCAAGACAACCTCACTAATTATAGAATATAGATTTTATAGGTTGTCGTGAAACATATTGTTTTGTACTTTCAAAAACATCTATGTTATGTCTTGAAGATAAAACTTGATATTTTTAGAAGGCTCAGAACTAGTGGAAGGTTGTTAAGTTGATGGTAAGATTTTAGCTAGTGCTTGGCCTCATAGAAAGGGTACAAATGATTCCATTAGCACACTCATCTGGGCCACATGTCACCAACCACAGAGTTCTGCTGTTTTTTTATTTTTTGTTTTGAAATACTTATTTAAATTTTGAAATACTTCAAATTGGTGTCCTTGATTTGAGACAGTAGAATAGACCATCGTCCACGTTGCCTTTTAAAAAAAATCTTCAAAATCATATACAATGATTTATGTCTAGATGGTGCGATTTCTAAAGCAGACCCATTTCTAGTTTGAGAGATCTATTTATTTTCTTAAACAGGTCTCAGAGTGAGAACAATGTCTTCTATGATGAGTGGCAAACACAACAAGGGTAAGAAATGAATTGGGAACATAGTGCTCACTATATAAAGAACATCTTCTAGACTAGGTTGTAAAAAACCTATTGCAGAGTTATAGTGTACCAAAATTAATAACCTAGGAATCACTGCCAAGAAAACTTTATTCGATATTAACATTAATATTTTTTCACAAAATAGTTTTAGTCACTGGGCTACCAGGTCTTCTCTTCTAATTTTATTTTAGTTTTGAAATTAGCCTTCTTTATTGGGTACCTTTATGCCTGTCACTTTCCTGTTGTTAGCTAGTGTTACAACAGAGAAACCTTTGTTCCTTCTATCTCCTTGAAGAATATAACTTTTTCCCTACCCTTCAGGGAGCTTAACTGAGTCATAGGCTATGTTAATATCATTTGAAGTTAAGGAAAAGCATATATTTTCAATGATAATGTGGAGTGTCAGTTTTCTTCTGAGTACCAAGACTACAGATTAGGATAACAGAGATGAGGGATTCTGCCTTTGAATTCACTGAAACTCTTTTTTATTCAATGGACTCAAGCTTAGAATGTGACAAATAGTACCTACTTTGGAGTTTAAAGAGCTATACCTGAAAGCAAAGGAATACTTTAAGTCACCATAGAACAGAGGTGAAAGTCAGGGTACTTTATATTAGTTCAATGATGATTTTCCAGAGTATAAGAAAATTATAGTTGAAGGTGCAAGTATTTTTCTTCTTAAGAACTGAAAGCAAATAAGAAAGGGTATTTATTCAGTTACTAAAGAAAATTTCAGCAAAAATGGGAAGCCGCCATGCATTTGTGAAACATTTTGCTTTACGCCCATTATTTAAAGTTATTATTTATCATCTAAAATAGTCAAATACTGACAACCCCACGTTACAGCTTAGAATAAAAGAGAAACCTTGAGTTTATGGGCTTACTCAAGAAGTTGTCAAATTATTAAAAGAGGCAAAGATGAGTTTTAACCTTTTCTTTTTAAAATACTTCCCATATTTTTAATTTTTCTTTTTGCCAAGACATATAATACTTTATTATTTTTGTCACGTTAAAGTCAATTCTCCATTTTGAAAGGCCCCATAAAGCTACACCATCCATAGCATCTCCTGCAGTGACTTTTCAGTGAAAAAATCTCATCATACCCATATTGAAATGGAATTAAAGTACTAAATTACTTCATTTACAATGGAACTATTATATGGAAGTCATTAACATTTTAGTACAAGTTAGTTTCTAGTATTATCATCTTGATAATATTACCAAAGTTCTACTTGGAGTTGGACAGAGGGCTATGTCTGAATCCCCACTTGGCCATAGACTTCTGCACAAAATTCATATCATGAGGGATCTGGGGGAATCTTCCTGAGAAAGAAGAGAATGGCATCAATAATGGTGGTGTGCCATCTTCCTCAAATGGCTTACGAGTCTCTGACTTCTGTGAGGTGAGCAGAGATAAAGTGACACCCCTTCCTGGAAACAACTGAAGCCCTTCCTTGAGAATGCCAGAAGGTGAGCTTTGAGGAAAAGATGAAGTGTAAAATTAAATAAGCCCTTGCAACAATTTGAGTATTTGTGTATGTGTGACCATTCTTATGGTCACAGGCAGTTGAAAAGGTGTTGTTTAGAGTTTGACTGATTTTTCCATAAGCTGTAGTCGGACTGGGCTGATACTTAGATTGCTGGACCTCCATCAGCCAGAAGAGACTACTACTACATTGCCAAAAGTTGTGACTTTTAAAATTTCCCTGCTTAAGTTCCATATTTTCTCAGTGACAATGCATATTTTAAGCTGATTTTGTTTTTGTGTAAAGTTCTCAGTTGAACCAAGCTTTCTAAAAAAAAAATGTATGAAAAAAAGTGTTATTTTCCCGGAGTTTAGAGTAATTGCTCCTAGGGTGTCTCCAAGTTTTCATGGCTACACAGTGCTCCTCAGCCTCTTGGCAGGTTCTCTTAAGTACAGAAACTTCAACCCCTGTGGAAGGTTGCACAGAGCACTGGAACTAAGTGATGGGACAACGAATCGAAAATCCAGGCAAGGCATAGCACATTTGGAGTGATCCTGCCAGAGATGGCAGGAGGATAGGGAACATTGAGGGGAGAAAACTAGAGAGACAGGGTGTGTGATCCCTCTGGGCAAGACCACAGTAGTCACTATAAGCCTTTCTTCTTCCCTGAAGTCTTTCTATTCTATTCGGATTGGCTGCAGCATAAATAACAGAGTAACAATTTCACATTCACATACCGGTTCAGAGATGCTGAGTTTTTGACATCTAGCTCTGAAATTTACCTACCCACAACACTGGGCTTCTTCCTGAGATTCTTCTTTTTAAGTGTCTAGGGGTTGAAAATAAAATCTTTATTTTATTCTGCATGCTGGTAATTTGTGTCTTTCTTTTATTATTTTTTTAAATTTTAATTATACTTTAAGTTTTAGGGTACATGTGCACAATGGCCGGGCTGGTCTCAAACTCCTGACCTCATGATCTGCTCGCCCTGGCCTCCCAGGGTGCTGGGATTGCGGGCATGAGCCACTGCACCTGGCCAACTTACTCTCTATACATTGATTTACTTTTTTATTTTAAAATATCTTTGCATTCCCAGTAGAAACCCTAGTAGGTAAAAAAAAAATTATTGTTTGTAAACCCTACTTCTTTGATGTTATGCATCTACAGCTAAAGATTTCCCATTAAGCAAGGCAGGAGCTGTATTTCACATATTATAAAATGTTTTATTTTACTATCTTTCAGTTCAAAATACATATTAATTATTCCTGTAATTTTATCTTTAACATATGGCTTTTACATAATTTTAAATAATACTTTTTAAATTTTAAATTAAATTTTAAATACTTTTAAATAATAAAAGTATGCTAGTTAATTTAAAAAAAAGAAAAAATATTTGATAATTTCCATGTATTAATGATTTCAGTCTAATCTATTCTGCATTTAACCAACAATTGGTAGTTCCCAAGCTATTCCATAGTTTTAGCTTAAACACATAACACATGCTTAATAAACATTAGTTGAATGAATGAATGAATAAATGAATGAATGAATGACTAAAGACTTTCAGGACCTGGAAGGGAGGATGTAAAGAACCCAGGGCCAAGTATCATGCAAGCACCAGAGCATCTAGATCCCCTCCGGACACCAGCTTCCTTTCCCACAACCCAAATGTTCTTTTCCTTTTATGAATTTTCTTTAATCGTGACAAAATATATATAATATAAAATATTATTTTAACTGTAAAAAAAAAAAGAAAATAAAATCTTTTCTTACAGCCAGGGATTGTGGCATGGCCCCATTGTTCTAGCTGCTTGGGAGGATGAGGGGAGGATCTCCTGAGCCCAGGAGTTTGAGGCTGCAGTGAGCAATGATCATGCCACTGCACTCCAGCCCGAGTGACAGGGCAAGACCTCGTGTCTAATACACTAAAATAACTCAGAAAGAATAACACATAAAAATCACAGGAAATTATTTTAAAATATCATGTATAATTTTAATAATGGTATTTTCTTTTAACTTTCAAAACTGTTTTTGCTCCAAAGAACAAAAGCAAAAAGAATGTAACAATAATAGTAATAGTAATAATCATGTTAATGAAAAAAGCAAATGTCTGTTTAATACTATATTCTAGGTTCGCATTTGTTTTGCTATTTTAATTTATTTAATCTTCTCAACAGCCCTAAAAGATAGGTACTACTATTTTTATTATACAGATGGTAAAACTGAGGCACAGAAAAGTTATTGATTTGCTTGATTTTACACTTCTAAGAAGTTTAGAACCAGTAGTTTAACCCAGGATATCTTGCTTTCAAATAAAAACTCTTTGGCCGGGTGCAGTGGCTCACGCCTGTAATCCCAGCACTTCAGGAGGTTGAGGTGGGTGGATCACCTGAGGTCAGGAGTTCAAGACCAGCCTGGCCAACATGGTGAAACCCCGTCTCTACTAAAGATACAAAAAAATTAGCTGGGCATGGTGGCACATGCCTGTAATCCCAGCTACTCGGGAGGCTGAGGCAAGAGAATTGCATCTCTATTTGCAAATAAGGAGACTGAGGTGTAGAGAAACTTCCACAAAAAGTAGTAAGTAACTAGAAATGAGATTCCAACCAAAGTATACCTAAATCCACATCTTTCTCTTAAGGTTTATTTCGAAACCTAAGTTATTTTCTACTGTAGAAATCAAGAATTGTGAAAATAAAAATTTAAATCTTTCTACAATATTATTTGTGGGAAAGAAAATGGAATAAGTTATGTTATTCGTGGTTTTATGGAGGTTGCATAAATTCAGTCTTTGAAGAAGTTATTTGAGAATGTATGTGGTCTTTTTCAGCACTTCAACTCATAGTGCTCCATATCTACCTCGTATTAAGGGTGACAATTTATACATAACACATTTTTTAAAAAGCAATTTCTTTTACTATGGACTGATCTTGCTTTGGAGTCCAACTACTATTAATGAACAAAAGAAGTTTTAGTTTTTTAGCTATAGATAGTTCATCTCTTCCAGTGTAAAACAGTTGTGGTGAGTGTAAAGTATTTCCTATATTCTTTGGTACTTATTTCTTCAGAAGATGGAGCCTGATTCCCTTCCCTTGAGTGTAGGCTTACTTAGTGACTTGCTTCCAACAAAAGGAATGTGGTGAAACTGACAACGTGTAACTTCTGAAATTAAAACAGAAAAGCATTGTAGTTTCGTCTTTGTGCTTTCTCTGTATCATTCACTTTGAAGAAAGCCAAGTGCCATGTCGTGATCACACTCAAAAAGCCCTATAGAGATGCCCATGTGGCAAGGAACTGAGGCCTCTACCCAGTAACTAGTGAGGAAGTGAGGCCTCCTGCCAACAGCCATGTGAATGAGTTTGAAAGCAGATGTTGAAGCCTCAATTAAGCCTTCAGATGATAGAAGCCCTGGCTAAAATCTTACTTGCCCTTCCGTGTAAAACCCAGAGGCAGAACCACTAAGCTAAGCCATTCCTGAATTCCTGACCTATAGATATTTGAGAAAACAAATGTTGTTGTTATAAGCCACTGAGTTTGGAGGTAATTTGTTGCATAGGAATACGTAATTAATACAATCGTCTTTGTCAGCTAATATCCAGTCAATTCCAAATTCAAAATCCCTAACAGGGTTAGTTCTTCCAATATTCCTCGGAGGGTCTGTTTTTTCTCACCTCCTTTTCAAGTTGGTATATGGCTACAGAGGAAAGCTCATGATGGAGGTGTTTTGAACTGTCTTCTGGTCATTCTCCTTGGCATGAGAGGACCCTCATTCCACTTGGACTCTTTCTTTTTTCACTGAAGTCCACTGAGGGATTGCTCTCATTTGAACATCATCCTGGAATCTACACCTGTTGATTGTTAACTTGGCCATTGCTTCCGGTCATAAAATACTTGCAACCTATAGTCTTTGCTGTGGCCCCAGTTCTCCTTTTATTGACTTGTATTTCCAGCAGTTGTGCATGTGGAACTTTGCATGTCCTTCATAAGAGGTATGGGCCTCAAGGAATCTGATGCTCCACCACCAGCACAGATTATTATTAATTTGTTGCTCTTGAGGCACCATACTCTTCGATGCTATGTTTTATGTGGAGTTTCTCTAAGGTCTTTACAGTTTTTCTTGGCTACTTGAGGACCAAAGAACAAATCTGTTCACTGGGAATCTCTCAAAATTTTCCTTATTATAATCACAAAATATTGGAAGCAGCCTAAATATCCATATATAGAAAGTCATTAAATAAACTATGGCACACAATTGAGTGTCACGTATATTTTCAGAATATATTGTTATATGAGAAAAACAAAATCCAAAAACATCTATACTATGTGACTGTTCATCTAAGAAAGAAAGAGGTATAAGAAAATATGTATTGCTCATTTGTGGAAAAGAACTATAAGAAGGATAAAAGAGAAACCAATGAGATTAGTTACGTATCAGGGGTGGGTGGGAAAGAGGTGAACGTAAGGGGAAATGGAAACATGGTATAGGGTTGGAGGAGAAACAACACTTCGTGAATGTATGTCTCTATAGCTCCTATTTTAAAACCACGGTATTACTTCACATACTCCTCCCCCTTGTACTCTCCCCCAATTTAACATTACAGGGTTCATTGTAGTCTTTTCCCATTCTCATTTGTAACCTCATTCTCTGACAGTCAGAAACAGGGGTCTTGTTATTTACATTATATTTACTTACTTGTTCGAGTGATAGAGGAATCTCAAGAGCCCACAAGAACAAAATTTAAAGAGCTCACAATGGTAATAGCTGGACTAATTTGGAACAACTTAAATAATGCTAGATTTGGATTATGACTCATAGAATAAAATAAAGATCATGGTTTCATATGGATATAAATATATAAATGAAAAAGTAAGTTAGTGGGAGAGAAGACACAGGTCCCTTTTCTGGTAGAATATAAATTAATAATGTAGAAGGAATACCGAAAATAGAAAATAACTGTTAAGCAAATACCGCAGAAATACATGTCATATCTATCTGTCTGTATATATATTGTTCAAACCATCAGCAGATGCTAAAATTAATGAGTGATGACAAACAGGATATTTACACAGTTTCAAAGTATTTTCTCACAAGATATTTATTAATTATGAAGGGAAAATATTAGCATTACAATAGAGAAACCTGGTAGACAATGTTTAGTGATTAGCATTAACATTACTAGTAATGAGATATTATGCCATCATATGTTTCATGATATGATGTACTGAGAATGGCATTACATCACTTCAGTTTTATTTTTGCCAAAAAGGAATAACCACAATCTAATTATGAGAAAACACCAGATTGACACAAATCGAGAGATATTCTAAAAAATATCTTGTATGAACTCTTCAAAAGTGTCAGGAGCATGAAAGACAAAACAATATTAAGGAACTGTCACAGATCAAGGGCCCTAAAGAGACATGATAACTAAATGCAATATGAAATCTTGGATCAGATCTTAGATCATAAAAAAGGATGTTAGTGGAAAACTGGCAAAATTCTAATATGGTCTGTATATTAGTTGATGATATGGTATCATTGTTAATCTCCTAGTTTTATTTATTCAATTTTCAGAGAGGGTCTCACTCTATAGCCCAGGCTAGAGTGCAGTGGCACAATCATGGCTCACTGTAGCCTTGACCTTCCAGGTTTGAGTGATCCTCCCATCTTAGTCTCCTAAGTAGCTGGGACCACAGGCACATGCCCCCATGCCTGGCTAATTTTTGTATTTTTAGTAGAGACAGGGTTTCGCCATGTTGCCCAGGCTTGTCTCAAAATCCTGGACTTAAGTGATCTGCCCGCCTCAGCCTCCCAAAGTGCTAGGAGTATAGGTCTGAGCCACCACACCTAGCCTAATCTCCTGGTTTTAATAATTGCACTACAGTTATAAAAGATGTTAGCATTATGGGAAGCAGGTGAAGGAGGTACAAGAATTATCTGTTGTATTTTGCAACTCTTCTGTAAGTCGAAAATTGTTCTTAAAAATTTGAAAAAAAAACTTGGCAAAAGTGGAACTCTAATGAATTTGCCCCTTCTAAAATAACTCAAGTGTTCTAAGAATACAATTTCAATTTGTATCAAGGTTAGTTAGTTTCAGCGGTTTGAAAAGATATATTGTATCAATTGAAGTCATTAATGATTTCAAACTAGTGTTCTGAATGTAATCAAATAAATTACACACACATACACACACACACACACACACACACACACACACACACACACTGCATTATGTATCATTCCCAGCTCTCCATTCTTTGGAGAAGGGAGAATGTTAAGAAAGGACGCTGATGATTGACCTCATGCCAGTCCCTTAATTCTGTCTGTCCTTCGTAGCTTCTTCCCCTATGGGTGAAAGAGATTTCTATTTCCCCACCTGGAAGGAACTGATACTGTTCATTCCCTTCTCCCTCCTCAAGCAGCATAACCTCAACCTTTACTGGGAATAAAATAGCAGAAGTGTGGAAGGGCAAAAAATTCAGATGATTACTAACTCAAGATGCAGAGGCACTTAAAAATATTATTCCTGGAACACTTATAGACAGCTTAATATATTTTAATACCTGACTATCCTCTCAACTTTGTTCCCAGAAGTTTAACTTTTTTTCTGCTTACATTGAAGGCAAGTTTGATATCTTATACATCATTTGTATCCCCATAACATATTAACAAACACCAACTAGTCAATGCATATTATCTTGATGATTTGAAGTACATTCACCACAAATCATTGAGTATAGTATTAAAGAAATGTAGGGCAATAGCAAAGACATGGAATCAATCCAGGTGTGCATCAGTAGTGGAGTGAATTAAGAAATTGTGGTACATATACACCCTGGAATACTATGCAGTCAGAAAAAAGAATAAAATCACGTCCTTTGAAGCAACATGGATGCAGCTAGAGACCATTATCCTAAGCGAACTAATGCAAAAACAGAAAATCAAATACCGTCTCTTCTCACTTATAAGTGGGAGCTTAACATTGGGTACACATGGACGTAAAGATGGAAACAATAGAAACTGGGGAATACAAGACACGGGAGGGAATGATGTGGGGCAAGGGTTGAAAAACCACATATTGCGTATTATGCTCCCTACCTGGGTGATGGGTTCAATTGTACTCCAAACCTCAGCATCACACAATATACCTTTGAAAAAAATCTGCACATGTACCCTCTGAATCTAAAATAAAAGTTGGAAAAAGATGTGGAGGAGTGATCTATGAATAGCAAAGCCTATGATTCTCCTTCCTGCCAAAAGGGTTTGTCAATCATATGAAAAAGTTTGTCTATAGGTAACTTTAAGTTTGCCACTTTTCCTTTCAGTAGCAAAAATGTTTTCAGCTCTAGAAAATCATCACAAATACCATCTACTTAAAGCTCATACATATTATAAATAACTACAGGATCTGTGGGAGATGAAAACCTGTGTTGGAATTCGAGGGCATCTGATTGAAAATGCTATTCATGACCTAAACTTTCATGCTTCAAAAAATTCTTGAAGAAAACCCAATTTCCAGTGGTGCACGGTGGCTCATGCCTGTAATCCCAGCACTTTGGGAGACCAAAGTGGGCAGGTCACTTGAGACCAGAAATTCGCGAACAGCCTGGCCAACATGGTGAAACCCTGTCTCTACTAAAAATACAAAAATTAGCCAGGCATGGTGGAGCACACCTGTAATCCCAGCTACTTGGGAGGCTGAGGCAGGAGAATCGCTTGAACCCCAGAGGCAGAGGTTGCAGTGAGCTGAGATTGTGCCACTGTACTCCAGCCTGGGCGACAGAGTGCGACTCTGTCAAAAACAAAAACAAACAGACAAACAAAAAATTCACTATTTCTATCATGAAAATCCTATCTCCCTCACATGAAATGTGAGCAATTTAAAGACATTAAAAAAACATGTGGGATCAAAAGATGAGTAACAAATGGTGTAATATATGTGAAGATTTAATAGTAGAAAATAGCTCATACAATATTAGAGCTAGTTGAAAAATCAAAGCCTTAGAGTCAAAGGTATAGGCATTTTGGCTGGTATAGGAAAGTAAATTCTGAAAATGTTGTTTACCTAGAAAATATAATGATTTAATTTTCTAATTTTTATGTGCATTTAATTACATTTTTTAAGCTATGACTTCTGTTTATGTGCTGACATGCTACGAATGAACTTGTATTTTTTACAGGATTATGTTTCAATCTTATTGAAAATTCTATATTCATACTGAACAAAAATGGTAAACTGATTTAATTCATTAGAAAAAGGAGGACACTTCATCTTGAAGGTGTCAGCTGCTTTTACAAACAGCCTTGAGTAGTTGCTATTTTTAAATTTTCTTTTATTCACTATCTGTGGATGAGCAATTGCATTTTTTTCACTTTTCATTATTTTAGAGTTGCAGATTACTGTAAAAATACCACTTTTGGCCCATTTAATTTGGGATAAATAGTTGCAATTGGGATAGTTATTCTATTTTAAAAGGCAAAACAGTTGTTAATTTCTTGTAAAATTCTTTTGCCAAATTATGTGTGGTCATTCTAGAGAAAAGAAAAACAAAAAATCTTCTGTTGGCATTACTGGGTATTCCCCATGTACAGTAATAATAATGCCAAACCCAGAACCATTATTATCTGCTCCGTTAACTGAAAGACACAACCCCTCTATCTTTTATCTGGTAGCCAACTGAATGCTCACTGAATAGTATCTTCTTCTTAAGTATTGAAATATAAATTTTACTATTACTATGTTTATAAACTTCAACTTAGGAAAAGATGTGTTGTTACAGTTTTGAAATAACAATCTAAAGTGGAGTTATGATTAAACTGAAAGGGGACACGTTTGGGTGAACGCAGAGTTGGAAAAAAACAATGATTTGGCATATCGCTAGCATACACAACAAGTGTACCTGTGTGTCTCTTGATCAAATAATTTATACTAAAAATGGAAACAAATATTAAAAATATGGCTTATATAACATAATGGTAACAGCTAACATGTACTAAGATCTTACTCTGTGACAGCCTGTTAAGCCCTTTTCATACATTATCTTACCTATTTTTCATATAGGACTAACATAACATGAAGCTGCTTTCAAAGAGTTCTCTGGAACCCATTCGTTTCATAATTTTTCTAACTGTTAATATAAGTAGCCATATATTTATCTTTTCAATGTAATTCTTTTATATGATGGATGTTTTTAAAGTTATACACTCTTTATTGAGAATCAGATGCTGATATTCCATGAATCTGCTTAAGATTGAATTCATCCTTATATTCCTAAAATTTTTATTTGAAAAGCACATGAGTTTGCATGTTCAAGGTAAATAAGTCCCCAAAATAAACTTTACCTAGCATAGTAAAAAAATATATGAAAGCTTAATGGATAAAAAACAACATCGACACCTTCATTTGCAATAATTGCAAGAATAGTAGAAATGTGCTTTATATTCCAGAAACTCCTTTAACTTTTACAAGGTTTAGTCATCCTGCCTCAAACTTTAAGAGTTTATGTTTTTTCTTCTGTTAAAGTATGCCCCTGGTCCACAGACAAAATGGACTCCCTGTGGCTAACTGAGGTGCTCAAAGTTAAAACAGAACCATATGGCCATATCCGGGTAAGCCAGCAGTCACATAATCTGTGTGTTCAGGAAGATGTAAAAGTATCACAGAATCTCCCTTCTACAGTCAATCTAAACTAGTTTCTATTGGTGCTGCTGGAAACTCCTTCCCCTCATTTGAAAGATAAGTAGGACAGAGACTTCTGGTTTTGGGCCTGGAAACCAACCAACCAGGGTTCACCTGCTCCAGCTATTTGGGGCTCAGTTTTATCAACTAATCAGAGCTCAGCTGTACTGCCTAATCAGAAGTCAGCTGTGCCAACCAGTCAGAACTAAGCAAGCTTCAATCCTTCATGTGCATAAAGGGACCTGATTAGGAACCTGGGTGGGAGGTTTTGCTCTAACATCCTATGGCTCTCTTAGTTCTCTAAAATGCATTTTTGTTTTACATAGAAAGTTGTGTCTCCTGGTTTGCAAATTGTTCACTGGGAAAACTCTTTCCTCCAAATTCTTGTTCAGAGAACTTTTGGTCACACTTCGCTTACGATGTTTATATAAACTTTGTTTCATTGTTATTATGTATCTTATATACTTTATAAATGTATATGCAGTTGTAAGCAACAATTATTGGTTTTAACTTTAAAGCTTTCTTCTGAGGTAAGATACACAATTGTACAATTTATAATTTAAAATTAGTTTTGTGATATTATAAATGTCAAAACTTGTCTTTCAAATAAGATTATTTCCCTGTACTATCTCCTAAACTCAGTAAATTATTTCCTAGTTTCTAGATACCCAAAAGTGTACTGAGTTAAGTAGATTTCTGAGTTACTTTGATAAAGAATAGACTTAATAGGAGATAACGCAAATGATGTTATAAATTATAACCAGCTTGTGTGGAATACTTAATATGTGCCAGGCCCTGGTCAAAGCACTTAAGATTGATTATATTGGTTAAACTTAATCTTCTGTGGTAGTTAATGTCATCATCCCCATCTTGTAAATAAGGAAAAGTATTTAGAAAGGTCAAGTTATTTCCCAAGGTCACACATACCGAAAATATTAAAGCAGCCTTCAAAACTGGGTATTCTGGCTTTAGAGTACATGCTGAAATATTAACATGTGCTGAATATAGTCAAGATAAAAGTCTTCTAGGGCTCAGATAAGATATGCTAGTCAAGTTACTACCTATAGAAAGTCTTAGCTTGTGTTAACTGTGATGTGAGGGGCAACTTAAAGCTGTGGGTAGATTCTAACAGGGTTGAATATTTATTTCTAACGAGGTGTATTCATCTTTCCCTTCAGTAGACAATAGCATTGAAGCGGCTGTTCAAAATGACAGTTTCAGTGAAATGGGTCTTGGATAGGCTGGGAGGAGTGACTTAGCAAACTCCAGAGATGCAGGGTCATGTTTATTTAGTGTATAGGATAGTTCAGAAATCAAAATCTGCATTATTCCTCAGATTTGGGTCAGCCTGATTTTAGACTAGACCAATCAAACCAGTGGGGAATCTTTGGAGGACATTTTCAATAAATTAATTTTGGAGAAATTTCTTGAAAATAGTATAGTGTCTAGAGTTGTATTAAAAATGTATAACACCATGCTAGTAGTTGCCTCATGTAATTTTCCTGCTCAAATTGCCATATTTTGCTCTTCAAGGTTTCTTGCCTAATACCAGTTGATGTGCATCTGAATAATACAAACACTTCAAAATGTAATTTGTTTACATTAATATTTCATGCAATGCAGGTGTGTATAAAAAGTTACCAAAGAAAACTAAGTTAGCAATGTGTTTTAAGGATTAGGGATTCAAGAACATGGTAAATATCCATGGAAAGTTCCTAGTTATATGCACTTAAAAATTACAGTAGAGTCCTCCAGTAGGGTAGTCTAATCTCCAGGTATTGGCTTTGGGTTTAATTAGGATATAAATTCGAGTTTATTGCCTTGCAGCACAAATGTCTGGTCTACTTCCCTTTTGAGAGCAGGACTAGAAAGAGGCTTCTTATTTGCTTAAATTTAGAAGGTAGTAAATTTATTAGTAATGAAGCATGCACATATTAACAGTGAGAGGAGGGAAGTGGCAACCTACCTAAGGCCTATCTGAGAAAGAGATAATACAAACATGCTTCAAGGACTAAATGCTGAAGGGTCTGAAATACCTTAAAGCCTAGCGACAAAGGTAATGATACGTCTGGCTACTTCTTTGTGAAAATTGGGGCTTACCAATATCCACACTGTCCCCCAGTAAGTTTTTCTTTGTTTCTTTAGTAGGAATTCATTACCACTACCATTAAATGCATTCCTACTAAAAATTAGGGAGACAGACACATATTTTGAGATTGAGATTTTAAAGTGTTTGCATTTAATGACACTTAAAAGTTACAGTTTTATTTATTTTTAAACCTGTCAGTGTCGATTTATTTCTTTGTGTTTTAAAAATTCAGTTATGTTTTACAAACCTGCAATATTTTATACCAATTACTAATAAACATCTTAGAAAAGGCAACAGTAAATCAATATTTAATTATTTAAGTAGGACTGTTATTAATTTGATACTATATAAAGGCAGAAGGAAAGAAATGCCTAATATTACCTTCATTTTCTATATTTTCATTATAGATGTGAGTCAGTTTTATATTTTAATAAAGATATCTTGACATTTGTGACATGTAAGTTTATGATAGAATAGTTTTTCTTAATAGAAAATGTGTTTCTTCGTTAACAATTTTTGTCAAGAAGTGGCTGTTTGATTTTCTAAATCAGAATCTAGTGGTTTCTTCTGGAGTATTCTCTGTACATACACTGATAAAAAAAAGTTTGAAATTTAAAATCTAAATAAAAAATAGTTAATGCAGGATTGAAAATAGTTAATTTTAATCAATTCAGAGAGACTCAATTAGTCAACAGATGTCTGTGGTGCACACACTATGTTTCAGAAATGAAGTAATGTGTTAGAGACGTGTCCCTGCCTTCATGGAGCTGGCCTTGTAGAATATCTATTTGTCACAGGTATTTCTTCCAGTAGTAATAAAACAAGGATTTGTATGTCTTATAATATACAACTGTTCAATAAATGTCCTGCATTGCATAATGTAAAAGTAGTTGAGACATTTCAAATTACCCTTTTCTTAAGGCATATTGGTGCCATGGAAGATTGAAATTACCTAAGCCTATTACAGAACTTTTTACAATTTTGAGACAATGGCAGTATTAAAATGTACAAATAGCATTCTGTAAGGATTAAATGTGTGAACATAATTTACAGCCTTGGAAAATTCAATGTTTTCTTGATTTTCTGAAGTAGCATGGTGTACAATGATCCCAGGTGACATCAGTGTGCTCAGTGATAGATAAGAAGATGATAAGTGCGTACTAAGAGAAATTGTGGTGTATTTTGATGATGTGGTCAATTACTTGACCTTTATGAATATTCATGGAATAATTGGTTTTATTTAATAAGTCCATTTGTGAAAATTGCCACTGCTGCACATTGGTTCTTATCAGAAGAATTTTTTCTTTGAGAGATTACACGTTATGTATCAAACTACCAATTAATGTAATTTGTTTAGAGCTGTTTTTCTTTGTTTACCATCAAGGCATTCGCTATCAAAGGTGAGTGGTAAAGTATCAAGCCAAAAATTTGTTGTGTGGCTATCCCAACAACTTAAACAAAGGGAGTAAGAGAGAACATATGTGTTACATTTACCCAGATATTTCCTTTAACTGAAGCTTTTAAACTAAGATTGATAGAAAACAGTGTTTAGGAAGAAATAATGCATACTGATTTATATAAAATGCTATTCACTGTATTTTTCTTTTTGTATTAGCTTTAATGAATAGATATGCCTTTTTATTTTGTGGTACCCCACCATTAAATGATACCATCACTTTTTTTTTCTGCCTAAATAAATTCAAATTCTTGTCACCTGCTAGCTGTACAGGAAGATTTGAAACATTATTCCTGATTGAGATTTTTACTGAATATCTTTTAAAGATAAATTTGTTTTATTCTTTTACCCACTATTTAAAAGGGTTTTCACATTTTTATCTTCTAAAGGAATTGTCAATGAGAAACTAAAACTGCATAGACTATACATTAAAATCACTTTAGTTTTTAAGCTGTCATGAACTGTTTCAAAAAATGCTAAGTTGCTATTGTTTAATGTCTGTCATTTTATAATGCTTTAGAAGTTATCTATCCTGTAAAATTATTAACTGATGCTAAAATTGCCTTGTAAGTATTAGGACAATAGCAATTTTGTAACAGCTGGGGACACTGCCAATGTAAGATAAGTACATTTTGCTCTGTAGATTCATAAAGTGCTTTGAAATGGTTTGTAACTGATGGATGGATGCATTTTCTAAGTGTAGAAAGCAATATTTTGTAGAAGGAAATGGCTTGAAAGCTGACACACATGCATGCAAATGCCATTCTCTTCAGTAAGTAATTTGCTTTTTCTTTCAAAAGCATAAATGGCATAGTTAGACACATTATTTTGTATATTGCACATAACAATACAAGATGCACAAAAACAGCAAGTACAAAACATTTCATATTGATAGAAGAACCCATGGCTGTGGTATATGATTAGCATAAATGTATACACACTGAAGTAATGCCTTCAGGATTAAAAAGTGAAACTGAAAAAAAATGGGAAAGTTCTACTAAACTTCAGGAAATGACAACATATATTATGCTTTCTGTCTTTTAATTTAATTTTGCTTCTTGATTGGAATACTGTGAATCTCATTTTAATTGGATATATTTTCCTTAAAGCACTAAATATTAATTATGTTGCCAATGCAAGCTTACAAAGCAATCACGTTGTTGTGCGTACCTGCTTAGTATGGCTAACAGTTTTCTTTCTTTTTCTTTTTTTTTTTTTAAATAAAAGTCAACAGCATCTTTCCTACATAAAAAGTGCATAGGACTGGTTTGTATCCACTCAAAATTGTTCTGTAACCTAAATTGGATGTTTCAATTCTTTTAAAAAATATAGTTGCTGATGTATCTTCAGTATCTAGGAACAATTGGCTGAGGGTGTGACCAATAAATATTTGTATTATAAATTTCTCAAAGCATTTGCAAGAAAGACCAAGTTTGAATTGAATGTTTTTCAGAGACACTTTATTTTAAAACCACTCCTGGGCCAGGCGTGGTGGCTCACGCCTGTAACCCCAGCACTTTAGGAGGCTGAGGCGGGCAGATCACGAGGTCAGGAGGTTGAGACCAGCCTGGCCAATATGGTGAAACCCCATCTCTACTAAAAATACAAAATTAGCTGAGCATGGTGGTGAATGCCTGTAATCTCAGCTACTCGGGAGGCTGAGGCAGGAGAATTGCTTGAACCTGGGAGGCAGAGGTTGCAGTGAGCCAAGTTGTGCCACTGCACTCCAGCCTGGGCGACAGAGCGAGATTCTGTGTCAGAAAAACACAAAAATCAGCAACAAAAAACACTCTTAGCACCTCTGTACTTGTTGAAGAACACAGGCTTTAGACCCAGGTTGATCAGGTTTGAATCCTGATATAAACATGTCTTAGCTGTGTAAACTTAGGCCAGTCTTCAGTTCCTGTTTGCTGTATCAATATAGAGTTATCTCTATTATTGAAGATATCCTCAGATTCTTCTTGATTTTGACACTTTCTGTGTGAATCACTTAGACAAACTTCACTCAGTAATGGGAATTGAGTAGAAAGAGAAAATCATGCCTTCAAACTTAAGTAAAGCATATTAGAAGTAAAGTAAGTATACTTGTATGATTTTGAAATAGCTACATTATTTAATGCTTAAAAACTTTATGTTTTATTTTATTTGTACAATTTCTCATTTTACTTGGCTATACTTTTCACTGTTGGTGGGAGGGTCTGTGATTATACATATAGTTTTAGTTAAAGCTGTTCTACTTGGTGTTTATGATACCACTAGTGTTAATTAGAATAGTTTTCTTTCAAATCCCCTGTGAGAAATCCTCTGTGACAAAGGCATTTTTCTGACTAACTTCATAGCAAATGGGGATCATATAAATTTCATTACTATAAACCTAAAGCTCCTCATAAAGTATCAAAGGCATTAGTGACATATCTGATTACGGTCTTGGAGACGGGGCCACATCCTATTTTTTCTGTCATCGGTATGTATGGATTTACTCAGGAATAATGTGCTTTTCTGCTGCTCATCTTTTTTTCTCTTGAGGAAATTTCCCCAATAGTGAAAGATTACATTTCTCTCACAGTAGCTTTTTAGACTTTTCATCTCTAAAGCCTGCTACTTACAGGCCAAACTCCTTGGGTATTTATATACTGTAACCAACCATAGGCAGGCTTTTGGCACACTTATCCTATTATTGATACTTTTTATCCTCTATCATTTTCTGAACAAATCTACTAGAACAAGATAAATTTGTTCACACCTTTTTTTTTTAACTTTGAGTCCACAGACTGGAAGTGCCTTTGGAATAAACTGCAAGGACACGATATAAACCTTTAGCCCATGCTTATATACAACCTTTCACCATGGTGTGAGCGGGTGTTGGTAAGAAGCTTAATGGCAGATGTCGTAGTGGGATAAACTAATTTCACATTCTTCCATCCCTTCTCTTTAAGTCATGCCATACAAATTAATGTTTCTTTTGTATCAGTTGGATAAATAACTCTCTTCTATGAACAACAGGAAGATAAACATTTTTCTATATGCTGTCTATAAGATCTTAATTATAACATATT
This sequence comes from Homo sapiens, assembly GCF_000001405.40. NCBI lineage: Eukaryota > Metazoa > Chordata > Mammalia > Primates > Hominidae > Homo > Homo sapiens. Next base: position 28,898,910 of record NC_000014.9, read on the forward strand.
TGTAGAAGCCTTAACTTGCAAACTGCTCTGTATTTACTTCCAGAAATTAAAAAAAAAATTTTAGGAAATACAGTGCCACAAACAAAAATAACCTCCAACATTAAATAATTTGTAACCAACCTGGTAATTTTACTCAAAAATATATCTTGGAAATGTTTCTTATTAATGCACATGACATGGTTCTACTTCATTCTTTTTGACTGGTGCACGGGGTTTCATAATATGGATAGGTGATCATTTATTTGCCATACCCATGTTGATGAATAGTTAGGTTTTTTGCAATTTTGTGCTACAATGCTTGTATTCGTTCATTCTCATCCTGCTATGAAGAAATACCTGAGACAGAGAAATTTATTTAAAAAAAGAGGTTTAATTGACTCACTGTTCCACATGGCTGGGGAGGCCTCAGGAAACTTACAATCATGGTGGAAGGGGAAGTAAATATGTCCTTCACATGGTGGCAGGAGAGAGAAGTGACAAGTAAAAGGGGGAAAACCCCTTTATAAAACCATCAGATCTTATGAGAACTCGCTCACTATTACAGGAACAGCATGGAGGTAACCACCCCCATGATACAATTACCTCTCACCGGGTCCTTCCCATGACATGTGGGGATTATGGGAACTACAATTCAAGATGAGATTTTGGTGGGGACACAGCCGAACCATTTCAATGCTACAGTGAACATCCTCATATACATCCTCTTGTATATAAGTATGGTCTTTTCTTTAGGGAGAATAAAAAAGTTTGCTGGGTGATACAGAGTCTCCCAAATGGAACTTTCAATTTATGCTCTCACACTTAGTGTAATACTGTACTCATTTCCCCATCTTTTAGCCAAACTGAACGAAATCAATGTTTTAATTCCTGCCACCCTGATTTTAGGTTAAGAGAGGTCCTCTTTATGGTTTTATTTCATATTTTCCTGTTTACTGTGGGTTTGATCATCTTTCATATATTTATTTGTCATTTATGTTGACTCTTTTGCTAATTTCCTGTTCACAAAATTTGTATATGTTCTGTATTTATTATTATCTTTTTCCTTACTATTTATAGGGTGGCCTGTTAAAAATTTTTGAGTGCTGACATGATGCTGCAAGTGGAAGATTCCACACCTGACTTTATGTGACAGGTCACACTGAAAACTCAGTCAACACATTTTTCATACACAAAATTATTAAGAAGAATATTGTATAAATTTACCTTCATGCTAAGAATATGAGGTGTATATGAAACATAGATGAATTTTGTGTTCACCTTGAATTCCATTCCTAAAATATCTAATTATGCATATGTAAATATTCCAAAATCTGAAACAAATAAAAATCAGAACCACTTCTGGGCCCAAACATTTCAGATAAAGGATATTTAACCTGTATTCAATTGTAGATCTTTATTATTTGATGAAATGTCCTTTCAACTTTGGTAAAAATAGGTCCTATTAAATCATATAGACAGGATTTCATTTGCAAGATAGAATTGAATTCTATGCCTTTCAAAACTTATCTAAAGCGTATTTCCATGAAAAATATATTTGAACATTTAAATGTTTAATATTTACACCCTCCAACCATTTACAAATACTTTAAATTTTGTCTTTTAATTATGCCAGTCTTTTAGAGAGATTTCTGTGTGGATTGAAATCTTTTGGTCACAGTCATCTGAATTGAGCTCAATTATTTTTTAAAAGTCCTGCAAAAGGTCTTACTTTGATATTATAATTGTAACACCTGTAGAAAAGTTATAGTTATGTTTATTCTATCATAATTTTAAAGTTTATGATCACCAGCATGGGAACTGGTTCCCAAATCTTGCTACCAGAAATAAATATACATTTTCTAAATAATTGCTTGTTAAAAAGTATCCACTGTATAGTTTCTTTCTTTGCATTGGCTGTCACAAAGCTCAGACCAAAATTAATAGCACATCAGAAAATTGGTTCAAAGAAATGATTAACATCCCAAATGTATGTCAAGTTTCATAAACTTTATTTTTTGTACATTTATTTCCCCTATGATCTAATCTTTTTCTTTGCTTTTAAAATTATGTATAATATATAATTATATATATAGTTATATGTAATTATAAATTATATAAGGTTTTTACTAATTAATTTTACATATACATAGATATAATCTGCTTTTAAACAGATGTTATAGTGAAATTTTCTATTGTGCTAAAGATTTAAAGCTTTGAGCTCATGTCTAAATTTTATCTGAGATAAAGTATATAAAAATAGAAAATACCTTTAACTGCTAAATATAAAACCTATAAAACAAACGGTAGTTCGCTTGTTCATTTTCCTAGTATACTTATTTATAAAACATTAAGACTTCTCAAGTGTAGTAGTGAGAAGAAAGAAAGAGTAGAACAAAGAATTTAATCTGTAACTAACTGTGAACAATCAACTGAGATAAATCACCAGCTTTGGACCAGCCTATAGTTACTTTTCAATGCCATGTTAATAAGAGTTTATAAAATGTCCAAGGTTTGTGTTCATTGAAGCTATAAAACTGACTAAAAATTTTGTTATGGAGCTTTCTTCCACAAAATACACTGGACCAGTTACCATTTTTTAAATTAATATTTTAGTAAAAGTATATAAATCAACTTATTAATAAATAATGTTTAAGGTAATGATTTGCAGTGATGAGAAATAGATTTTAAAACTGGTTACTGTAGGTAGTTATGCATTGAATTGTGTCCCACAAAAAGATACATTCAAATCCTGAACCCCAGCACTTATAAATGTGACCTTAATTGAGTATAAGGTCTTTGCAGATGTAATCAAGTTGAGGTCATACTGGATTGGAATGAGCCCTAATCCAATGACTAGTCTCCTTATAAGAAGAGGAAATTTGTCACAGACACAAGGAGAACACCACATGACTACAGAGGGAAAGACAAGAGTGATGCTTCTGTAATCTAAGGAATGCTACGGGTTGCACCAGAGGCTAGAAAGAGGCAAGGCAGGATTGTGCCCTAAAGCCTTTGAAGAGGGCATGGGTCAACACCTTGATTTGGGACTTCTAGCCTCCAGAATTGGTAGACAATAAATTTCTGTTACTATGAGTGATCCAGGTTTGTAGTAATTTGTTGTAGCAGTACTAGAAAAGTAATACAGTGGTCATTATATCTGGACAATTATATTAGAATCTAATAACTAAGAGAGACTGTATCAGGGACCAGTAATATCTTGTCTTCTCCATTTTGTTCCTATGTAAGTTAGATCAGAAAAGATGCTTGTTTGTGAATGATGACAGTAAAATGTTGAATTTTGAAATCTATAAACATCAATTAAAAATTTAAAAATAAAGAAACTTGAGGAAGAATACTTATAGCAGAATTAAGTGCCAAAAGAGCTTCAATAAGCAATAGATTAAAAGAAATATGCAAACATAGGTTTGCAAATATGCAAACATTAGGTCAGAAACATATCTGATCCCTAAAAATTGGGGCTAATTGTTGTTTTAATTTTAAAACAGTTTTAAAACAGGGCTAATTTTAAACAGTGAGTAAGTCCTAGTGCTAATAAGGATTTTGTCCATAACATAACAAAAATAATTTACCTTATTTGTAGCTCTGCATTGATATTTTAAAAATTGACAAAGCTGCTCTTTACTTTCAATTGACTTGTTAAGAGATTATTACATTTTTCACTGAATCATTGAAGTCCAAAAAGCTGTCATGGGCCATTCTCTAATTAAATGTTATAAATGCAATTCTGTTACTTAAGTAAGGAACTGCATTGCTTTATGACTGACAATGTCAATATTCAAACAACCTTAATTACTTCTGAAAGACTGATGCTATTGGGCTTTTAAAGGAATTAATTTAAGGAAGCATGAGTCTCTCACTGACTACTAGAGTATGGTAGTAGCTATCAACGAGATAATACATAGTAGAGGATTAATTAGCTTTTATTTTCCAGGTATAGAGGTTATTGCAATCTTTTGTAATTGTATATAACTACCTTGGAAAGGTGATTTTGTCACTTTGTAACTATATAATTTTTATGTTCAAGATGGCTTTTATTTCCCTAACAATTTATGTGAGATGTGCCACAATCGTTCTTTGCCTCGAGTACTTTTACCTTTTTCTTCACAATGCATCTCAGCCATAAAACTCATTAATCAAATTAGATGGAAGAAGACAAGTTTCCCATGGCTTGATCTTAACTTGTATTCATGATGATTAATCATTGCACAACAGGGGTGAAGTCATTGGAAACATGTCAGTCTCATAGTCCACCATTTAAGTTCAAAGAGAGGAGAAATAGCAAAGTAATGGTCAGGCAAGAAGACCTTTAAAAATGGTTCAATAGTAAGAAGACATTAAATTTTCATTAGAATGCATCAATAAATACTGTAAATTTTTCTATCTTTCTTGGAATTTCTAACTATTTTATTTCCTGCTGAGATATTTGTCACTTTCAGATGCTTTCATAAAAGTTTTACATATATACATCCAGTTTATTCATGTGGTTTTTGCATAATTTCCCTGGAAAGAATTTTACTATAAAACTGGTTAAGATATATTTTATCTTAGTACCTTACATTTATATAGCACTTGCAGATTTCAAAAGCTAATCATTCTATTCCCAAATTTGATAACTTTTTTTCTTTCTCATTTTGTGAGGAGGTCAGAGAGGAAGATTCATAGTTGAGAAGTAATTTTGAATAGATAGTAGGTTGATCCCAGTTTGAATTACTTAATATCTCTGACACAATAATATAATAAATCAAAAGCTACAGAAGATATATTTAATATCTGTGCATTTTACTATATGTAAATTTAATTTTTAAAAATCTACACATGAAGATTTACTAATTATCTGTTCTTACTAAACTTCTGATTTGCAAGGATGAGAGATTAAAATTTATAAATATTATCTATTACATATTCCCATAAAATACTTTAGAAATGAAGATCTGATTTCCTTGCAGGGTTGGTATGCCATTCTGAAATAATAAATTGAGACATTTGCTCACAAAATAGAAATTACTGCAATTATTTTCATGAAGAGATCATGAAAGAGAATCACAAAGAGACCTTTGTGATATGGTACCTAGTATCTCTCTAATTTCATTTTTTAAATGTTCCCTCTTTCTGTGCTTCCATATTATCAAACTACATTCTTACATTTATTTATTCTTTTATTTCTTCTACATGTGTCAAATGCATTAGCATCACAAAGTAACTGTCTATGCAATAGCCTTGTCTTCAAATACTCGACTTTTAGGAACTCTCTGTTGCCACTTCTCCACTGAAATTGCAGCCCAATGTTCTCTGTGTTGTTAGATTCAGGGGTCACTTCATAGTCTGTACTTTATCTTTCAGCAGAATTTAATGTGGATAACCTATACTTTGAAACAAAAAAAGTCATCCCTCTGTGACACTACTTTGTTCTGATTTTCCTTTTTTTCACCCTTTATCATTATTTTTTGCTAGCTCCTCCACCACTTTTTAAGTGTTTGGTGACTTTGATTTCTCAACTGTTTGTTAGTTTCATCCTGGGACTTCTCTATCCTTGCACTTTGGAGAAGATATCTGGCATTCAAATTCCAGCCTTACCACTTACTAGCTGTGTGACTGTGGGCAAGTCTCTTAACACTTTTGTGTTTTGGTTTTATCATCTGTAAAATAAGGGTAATAATACCACATACTTTATGGAGTTATTGTATTAAATGAGAAAATATGAACAAAATGCTGAGAATAGTGCCTGTGACTTAACATGTGTTTTATAAGTGTTAATTATGCTTATGATAAAATTTTCCCCCAGAGTATTTTCTCTAATGGAATGGCTTCAATCCTGTATCTCTATGCTTATAAGAATCAAATTTATATTTATTTCAAATATCGCACATAGATTTCAAACAAATATTTTAATCATAAATTTGATATATCCATATGTATATGTAAAATGCATATCAAACTTTACATGTACAAAATGAAAATCTTTATATCTTCCCTTCAAATTAATGTCACTCCCTGTTTTGACACTACCTTCAATTTGGTAGCTCCAGTAAAAAAATCTTTGGAGCTATTCTTCATTCTTTATTTTCTCTTAATTTCACATTCTATCCATCAGCGATTCCTATTTGTTCTATTCCCCAGCAAATAGCTCAAACCCATCCATTTCTCTGAATACACATTGCTATCAGCCTAGTGAAAGTGACTATTCCTTCTTTTTTAAAATTTTACCAACAATTAAGAACTTTTTTTTTTTTTTTTTTTTTTTTACCAACTATTGTCACATACATATAACGCATATAGACATATGGACACACAGAAGATACTTCTTACCTGGAGTTATATACTAGCAATATTTTCTGCTTTCACTCTTGCCCTTCTGCAGTCTATCTCTGTAAATCAGCTGTAATAAAAGAAAAAAATTGGAAGTGGTAGATACTTAAAGTGGCTGAATAAGTCTACTCTGAATAGGTATATTTTCTTTTATTTTAAATTGACAGATAAAATTGTGTGTATTTATTATGTACAACAAGATTGTTTTGAAGTATATATATTGTAGAATGACTAAATATAGCTAATTTAACATATGAATTACTTCACATAGATACTATTTCTTTGTGGTCTGATCACTTAATACCCGCTCTCAGCATTTTTCAATAATACAATATATCATTATTAATTATAGTCACTTAGTACAACAGATTTCTTGGACTTATTTCTCTTGTCTAACTGAAATTTTGATTCCTTTGACAAACATCTTCTCAGCTCTCTCCTCTGCCACTGCCCTAGCTTCTGGTAGCCAGTATTCTACTCTCTACTTCTATAAGGTCAACTTGTTTAGATTCCACATATTAGTGAAATCATGTGGTATTTGTCTTTCTGTGCCTATTTTGCTTAACACAGTGTCCTCTAGACTCATCCAGGTGTTCACAAATGACAACATTTCCTTCTTGTTTATGGCTGAATAGTATTCCATTGTGTATATATGTATATATAACTTTTCTGTATCTATTCATTGGTTGATGGGGACAAGCTGATTCCATATTTTGGCTACTGTAAATAATTCTATAATAAACATGGAAATGCAGATATCTCTGATAAGATTTCATTTTCTTTGGCTATATACCCAGTAGTGGGATACCTATGTCATATTGTAGCCATATTTTTAATTGTTTGGGGAACCTCCATACTGTTTTTCATAATGGCTACTCTAATTTACATTTCCATCCAATGGGAATATCCTTTTCTCCACCTTTTCACCAACACTTGTTATATTTTGTATTTTATATGATAGACATTCTAACGTGTGAAGTAATATCTCATTGTGGTTTAAATTTTTATTTCTCTGATTAGTGATGTTGACCATTTTTTCATATACTTTTTGGCCATTTTTATGTCTTCTATTGAGAAATGTCTATTCAGGTCATTTTCCCATTTAAAATAAGCTTATGTCTTTTCTTGTTATTGAGTAGAATTCCTTGTATGTTTTGGATATTAACTCCTTTTAAGATGTATAGTTTGCAAATATTTTGTTATATTGTATGAGTTGTCTCTTCATTCTGTTGATCATTTCCTTTGTTTTGCAGATTTTTAATTGGATGTAATTCCATTTCTCTATTTTTTCTTTTGTTGTCTGTGCTTTTGGGGTCATATTCAAAAACCGCCCAGACCAATGTCATTGACGTTTTCCCCTAAGTTTTCTTCTAGAAGTTTAATAGTTTTGTGTCTTAAATTCCAGCCTTTATTCTATTTTGAATTGATTTTTCTGTATGGTAAGAGATAAGGGTATAATTTCATTTTTCTGCATGTAGATATTCACTATTCATTGAAGAGATTGTCCTTTCCTCATTGTATGTTTTTGGCACCTTTGTTGAAATCAGTTGAGTGTAAATGCATGGATTCATTTCTGGTCTCCTTTGAATTGGTATATTTTAAATAGAACCTTGTAGACTGAGAAGGCCCTACTCTGGTGAAGACTGTGTACAAGGAATTCCAGGAGAACATCACTGGGATGGGAAAGCTCTTGCCTGTTTCACAAAACTTAAAGACAGCCAATGTGCATTGAACTTTTATGAGAAATAACTATGTTTGGAAAATTAGGCAGGAAATAGATCTTTGTGGATCTTAGTCCGGTAACTAGTACTGATTATTTTACCAGCTACAATTTTTAAGAACAGATATGACACAAAACAATTTGTGTTTATAGACGATAACTATTTCTTTAGTTTAATTAGATCTCATTTGTCTATTTTGGCTTTTGTTGCCATTGCTTTTGGTGTTTTCGTCATGAAGTCTTTGCCCATGCCTATGTCCTGAATGGTATTGCCTAGGTTTTCTTCTAGGGTTTTTATGGTTTTAGGTCTTATGATTAAGTCTTTCATCCATCTTGAGTTAATTTTTGTATAAGGTGTAATGAAGGGATCCAGTTTCAGCTTTCTACATATGGCCACCCAGTTGTCCCAACATCATTTGTTAAATAGAGAATCCTTTCCTCATTGCTTGCTTTTGTCAGGTTTGTCAAAGACAGATCGTTGTAGATGTGTGGTGTTATTTCTGAGGCCTCTGTTCTGTTCCATTTGTCTATCTCTCTGTTTTAGTACCAGTACTGTGCTGTTTTGATTACTGCAGCCTTGTAGTATAGTTTGAAGTCACGTAGAGTGATGTCTCCAGCTTTATTCTTTTCGCTTAGGATTGTCTTGGCTATGCGGGCTTTTATTTGGTTCCATATCAAATTTAAAATAGTTTTCTCTAATTCTGTCAAGAAAGTCAATGGTAGCTTGATGGGGATAGCATTGAATCTGTAAATTACTTTGGGTAGTATGGCCATTTTCACGATATTGATTCTTCCTATCCATGAGCATGGAATGTTTTTCCATTTGTTTGTGTCCTCTTTTATTTCATTGAGCAGTGGTTTGTAGTTCTCCTTGAAGAGGTCCTTCACATCCCTTGTAAGTTGGAATCCTAGGTATTTTATTCTCTTTGTAGAAATTGTGAATGGGAGTTCACTCATGATTTGGTTCTCTGATTGTCTATTATTGGTGTAGAGGAGTGCTTGTGATTTTTGCACCATGATTTCGTATCCTGAGACTTTGCTGAAGTTACTTATCAGCTTAAGGAGATTTTGCGCTGAGACAACAAGGTTTTGTAAATATACAATCATGTCATCTGTGAACAGTGACAATTTGATTTCTTCTTTTCCTATTTGAATACCCCTATATTTCTTTCTCTTGCCTGATTGTCCTGGCCATAACTTCCAATACTATGCTGAATACGAGTGGTGAGAGAGGGCTTCTGCACAGCAAAAGAAACTATCATCAGAGTGAACAGCAACCTACAGAATGGAAGAAAATTTTTGCAATCTATCCATCTGACAAAGAGCTAATATCCATAATCTACAAGGAACTTAAACAAATTAACAAGAAAAAAACAAACAACCCCATAAAAAAGTGGCTATGAACAGACATTTCTCAAAAGAAGACATTTATGTGGCCAAAAAAATATGAAAAAAGGCTCATCATCACTGGTCATTAGAGAAATGCAAATCAAAACCACAATGAGATCCCATCTCATGCCAGTTTGAATGGTGATCATTAAAAAGTCAGGAAACAGGCCAGGTGCGGTGGCTTATGCCTGTAATCCCAGCACTTTGGGAGGCTGGGGTGGACGGATCACGAGGTCATGAAATCGAGACCATCCTGGCTAACACAGTGAAACTCTGTCTCTACTAAAAATGCAAAAAATTAGCCGGGCGTGGTGGTGGGCACCGGTAGTCCTAGCTACTTGGGAGGCTGAGGCAGGAGAACGGCATGAACCTGGGAGGTAGAGCTTGCAGTGAGCCGGGATCACACCACTGCACACTCTAGCCTGGGCAACAGAGTGAGACTCCATCCCCCGTTCCACAAAAAAAAAAAAAAAAAAAAAAAAAGGAAAAAAAGCTGGGAAACAACAGATGCTGGAGAGGATGCAGAGAAATACGAACTTTTTATACAGTTGGTGGGAGTGTAAATATGTTCGACCATTGTGGAAGACAGTGTGGCAATTCCTCAAGGATCTAGAACTAGAAATACCATTTGACCCAGCAGTCCCATTACTGGGCATATACCCAAAGGATTATAAATCATTCTACTATAAAGACATATGCACACATACATTTATTGCAGCACCATTCACAATAGCAAAGACTTGGAACCAACCTAAATGCCCATCAATGATAGACTGGATAAAGAAAATGTGGCACATATTCACCATGGAATACTATGCAGCCATAAAAAAGGATGAGTTCATGTCCTTTGCAGGGACATGGATGAAGCTGGGAACCATCATTCTCAGCAAACTGACACAGGAACAGAAAACCAAACACCGCATGTTCTCACTCATAAGTGGGAGTTTAACAATGAGAACACATGGACACAGGGAGGGGAACATCACACTCTAGGGCCTGTAGATGGGTGGGGTGCTAGGGGAGGGATAGCATTAGGAAAAATACTACATGACGGGTTGATGGGGGCAGCAATCCACCACGGCACATGTATACCTATGTAACAAACCTGCACATTCTGCACATGTATCCCAGAACTTAAGGTATTAAAAAAAAAAAGATAACTGCTTCTTTGTGGAAGGACTGGAAGAAAACAAGAGTGGAAACAAGTAAACTATAGAAGTAGATTGGAAGAGGTAGTAGCAAGTGGAGACATATTTTGGAGATAAAATGAGTTATCAAAATGATTTGCTGATATATGGCCTCAGAGAATAGGTAAATGATGATTACCAAGTCCCTGATTTGAGCCACTGTGTGGACATTGATGCCAGTTAATGAAATGAATGGTTGGAAGTTATATATTTCTTGATACTAGAATACAAAAAAGACATTTGAATTAGAAATACCAATTTGAGGCCAGGCGTGGTGGCTCACGCCTGTAATCCCAGCAGTTTGGGAGGCTTAGGCAGGTGGATCACGAGGTCAGGAGATTGAGACCATCCTGCCTAACACGGTGAAACCCCATGTCTACTAAAAATACAAAAAAAAAAAAAAAAAAATTAGCTGGGTGTGATGGCACGTGCCTGTAATCCGTTACTCAGGAGGCTGAGGCAGGAGAGTCGCTTGAACCTGGGAGGCGGAGGTTGGAGTGAGCCGAGATCGCGCCACTGCACTCCAACAAACAAACAAACAAAACCACGATTTGGCAATAATCAGCATTTAGATGGCATTTATGACCAAGGGAATAATTGACGTGTCCTAGAAAGAATGTAGAAAAATAACAGAGGAGGATCCAGGATTTGATTTTGAAAAACTCCAGTTTTTAAAAGTAGATAGGAAGAAAGAGGCTAAGAAAAATGTCACCACACATGACGTCTTATTTTTCTACATCTACATTTTGTACGCTAACACCTCCATAATTTGTTTGGCAAACTCTTATTCCTCCTTTGTAGTATAATTCACATATTATCTCCACTGTCATACCTTCTCTGCCTCTATCAGAGAATTAATGGTTTTCTCATATGTAAAGCTGTTACCTATACTACAAATAATGACAATTATTTAAGCAACATTTATCACATGATTATTAAATAACAAATGCACATTAATAGGTGGTTGATGCATTATCTCAACCTTCATTACAACAACTCTTTGAGGGAAGAATTATACTATTTACAGATGAGAAACCTAAAGTAACTTAACAACTAGTTACTGATGGAGCTGGGAGTTGAGTTCAGGTTGTTAGCAGTGGAAGTCTATTTATGTAATAACTACATTGTTTTATACAAACCTAGTATTTTACTTTCACACTGTACCATATTTCTTTACATAAGTAAGTATAAACATGACAAATAAAAAACAGGAATCTAAACAGAAATTTAAATTATACTTATTTGTTTTTTTCTTTGTCTTTTTCCTTTACTAAACAGTGAGCAATTCATGGCTTATTAAGTTTTGTAGGTTCCATACCAGCATGATGACACTAAATTAATATTTGCTGTATGATTAAATAAATATAGATTCTCAATTTTAAGAGTGAATTCTTATAAAATTTTAAGTTCTTCTGCTTAATCTCTTATTTGCATATCTATATACTCACTTGCTCAATGTTAGATGTGGAATCCAAATTTGGTAAATGGAATTTGGGATATAAGTTTTCAGTAAGTTTATTAGACCTGAGCTATCTTTTGTGCATCTTCTGTATACTGAAATTACTTTTTCCAAGATACATCGCTAAAATATCCTGCTGGTTGTTTATTAAATTATTTTCTGTAATTTGTTCTCAGTTGTTGTTTCATGCAATTTGTTCAGGCCTATCTTTTTTTTTTTTCTGGCTTCCCCACCATTTTGAAGTAGTCTTCTGTTACTAAGAATTTAATTTCATGCTGCTCTCAAGTATCTTGAATGGAGACCAAAATGTGTGTGAATTCTGGAATGGTAAAATACTAATTTTGTATAATTTATGAAAGATAACTGTGTTAAATGTTCTTTGCTGTAAAAATTCAATAAAAAGGATAAATATTCTTTTAAAATAATATTAATTCAGCAAACTACCTTTTATTGTTAAAATTATGAAAGACTAGTTTAAAGTGGACTAGAATTATTACTGAATTAAAAGACAAATTGTATCTATTTTAACAATGACTGGGTTCGGCTTCAGAAAGGTTGACATCATTAAAATGTTTTACTTTGTCAGGCAATTTCCAATGAGACTATTTCTGTTATTAAGAAGCTTTCATTGCCTTGACACACTTTCCAAAATGCATGCTAAGTGTTTTCCTCTATAAATTAAATCAAAACATTTCAAAACAAAATATTTCCATGTAATGTAATATTACACAATCACAAGGAATGTATCAATTATTTCAAACTTACAAAGTAGCAGCTTTTTCTATGTTATTTGAAGGACAGTTTCACACCCCAGGGATACTAAGATCTAAGCTGGGATTCCCACTTAGCAGGAGATTTTGGGGTACAGGGATAAGTCATGGAAGGCAATTTTGTATTACTTCAAGTGGGCTTTGATGTGGAAATAAATTTTAAATTGAGCAATCTCATTTTACCAAGTACGTCATTTGATACCAGTCAAATTTCCACATTTTTTTTACCCAAAGAAATGAATTGATACCTGCATCATAACTTAACCATTTTCTAAGGATACTTTGTATCTGGCAAGAGGGGAGTTGCTCCTCATTTTATGTATGCTCTAAATATCTATACCCCAGATAGTTCTATCATCTGGAATACAGCAAGTCATTTATTGATTTTATATTTTGTGTTTTGACAGGATTAATTTTTTTTATTTCACCCTTTTGACCCTTTGCTTACCTTTAAACTAGCTCTCTTACCGGGCACACAAAGGAACAAATGTATTTACAATATCTAATTATTACTTGTTATCCTCTTCCTTCATTTTGTTTGTTTGTTTGTTTTTGAGACAGAGTCTCGCTCTGTCGCCCAGGCTGGAGTGCAGTGGTGCAATCTTGGCTCACTGCAACCTCTGCCTCCCAGATTCAAGCGATTCTGCTACCTCAGCCACCCTCCTGAGTAGCTGGGATTACAGGTGCTTGCTACCATGCCCAGCTAATTTTTGTATTTTTTTAGTAGAGATGGGCTTTCACTGTGTTGTCCAGGCTGTCTTGAACTCCTGACCTCAAGTGATCCATGCACCTCAGCCTCCCAAAGTGCTGGGATTACAGGCATGAGCCACCGCACCCAGGCTTCCTTAATTTCTTTTCACTTTTTTGAAATCTGCTTCACATCCTCACAATGTACTTTCGTCTTCCCATTCGTTGAATACACTGGTCTATGTTTGCATACCTGGAATCTTTATTATAGTCAACCATGTAATGAAACCTTAACATTATAGAATCTATGATCTCTTTAATTTCATGAACCTCTCCAGACCTATTATTATTATCATTACCTGGAAAATTCTCCACTTTTTATGTCCTATACTTTGTGCCCAAGCTGGATAGCTGTGTGTATGAGTATTGTTAACTATGCACATAAAGCCCACTATAAATGCATGTTAACTAATTTTGACTAGATCCACATCGGAACAATTATTTGTATGTCTCAGAAAATGTTCAATTTCCCATTAAATTTTCCATCACAATGAGTTCAAAAATGTTTACAGCCTGAAAAACCCAAACTTATGTTTGTTCTCATCATGCATAGATAACAAAGTATCCATTTCCTGTGTTTAAAATCAAAAGCATTTAAATTATATTCTGCCATGTGCTATTCTCCATTTGTTAAAATATATCTGTGTATTTCACTATTATTTCATACTTAGATTCTTTCTCAGAGGAAAGGGTCTTCCTCCTACCCTGTGAGCTAGATCATGTCCCCATGCTCCTATTATGTTCCCTCTTCTTTTCCTTGTGAATTATTACCTTTCCTTGCATCATCAATCTCACTCCGTTAGATTATCTCCACTTGTCTACAAAGATACTTAAGTATCTTCTAGCCTAAAAATACTTCTATTTCTTCAATTTCCTTCTCTTTTTATTTACTATACAAATATCAAGGAGACAACTTTCCATTTGTAGATTTCTCTTTTCCACACTCAATTGCCTTTCTTTTCCCATCACTCTTCAGATACTGCTTTCTTGAAAATGACTAATGACTCTCTGGAGTGTTTGACCCTTTTCCAACTGAGTCTTCTCCATGCCATGCCTTTCCTTGGCTCTCTAATATCACCTTCTTCCACCTCTCTGATAATTATTTTTTTCCATCTTCTTTTTTTATTCTTCACTACTATTGTCCTTTAAAAGAGGCAAACCATGCAAATAAACATAGATAAACTAAATAAAACAGGCAAACCTTAAAAGAGAAAAACCATGAATCTGTTCTCAGCCCATCTCTACTTTTTTTCATCATTTTTGTCTTTCTTGATACATGACCGTTATGTATATGTGTCAATCATTTCTTCATAAGTAATGTCCAGATCACTAGGTCCAGGTCTAAATGCCAGGCGTGACTCTTCAACTACTTGCTGAATGCATTACACATAGGTTTCAAAACTTCTAACCTATTAAAACATTTAAGGTTTTTTATTATCTGCCTATAATGTGAATGCTATGTACATTTTGTAGTAAGTAACCCCTTTATGCAGTTGACACTCTTAAATTGAATAATTTTGCCTCTCTCTAAGTATGTCTTGTCTTTACTTTCTGTTTGCTCCTGTATTTTCTTCCCTCTGTGATACACTTTAGTATTCCTAGCTTTTCATAGGTGAGTGCACATCATATGTTTCTTACCTTGAATTCTTCCTTAACAGGATGGGATATTCCTTTCCTCTAAACTCTCAAATGTTTTCTTAGCCTTTTCATGCTTCTGATCTGTGCAGACTGGTCAGATCTCAAGGTTTAAGTGAAGAGTATCAGTTTCACCTGCTGAATTCTATTGCTATTGTGTTGTTTGTGTTTGGAACTCAGCCTCTGGAACAGTGATTCCTAGAGTTTAGAAAAAGTTTTCTTACCCAAGTTTATATCCTTCCAAAGCATCTAACATAGCACCTTTTTCTTTCCCAAAGAGACATTTAATATAAATACTCAGAGTACATAAATATTGTTTGCTACGCATGAAATTCTTAGCATTTAGTTTAGAAAAACTAAAATTGTTTTTTCTTTCCTCATCCCTACTTGATGCTTGTTTTGTACATAACTCTCCAAATTTGATATTGTGACTATTCTTTTCCCTCCTACCAATGGAAATGCTATTAAAAATACATCAACACCTATTACCCTTTCCCATAAAACATCCTGAATGTAAGTATGCAGTTAATTGTGTTATCTGGCTTTTCAAATGGAAAATAATCCAA
The DNA here is from genome assembly GCF_000001405.40 of Homo sapiens. Lineage (NCBI taxonomy): Eukaryota > Metazoa > Chordata > Mammalia > Primates > Hominidae > Homo > Homo sapiens. The sequence continues at coordinate 28,914,689 of NC_000014.9, forward strand.
ACAGAGTGTTTAACTAGTTGATTATCTATGGCTGAGTCCTGGAAAGGTATGGGCCTCATCCACACTATGTCTAATAGAACACCGTATTGCGGGAGACATGTTATTTTTAGGTGAGTACAGCTTCACAAGTTTTAATTTAAAGAGTTTTGGTGCAGGATGTCTTAAAATCAATAAATGCTTGCAAATTGTGGAGCTGCTAGTTTGGCTACAGAATAAAAAATGTAATGGGAAAATGACTGTAACAGAGCAATAATCATAAAGTTTATTATATACCCAAAACAAAGTGATGAAATAAGAAAAGACTCTCCAAAATGAAAAGATATTAAAATTTTCATTGACACAGACCTAGTAATAAAGCTTAGAGCATGACTATTGAGGTCTTATACTGACAGGAATACACGTCTTCAAAGAAATTGTGTAGAGGATGCTTTAATAATTGTAACTTATTCTGTAGATGGTACCTGAATTAGGGTTCTCTAAAGGGACAGAACTAATAGGTTAGATGATAGGGAGTTTATCAGGGCAAATTGACTCACATGATCACAAGGCGAAGTCCCACAAGGCTGTCTGCAAGCTGAGGAGATGGGAATTCAGTCCAAGTCCCAAAATCTGAAAGGCAAGGAGGCCGACAGTGCAGCCTTTAGTCTGTGGCCAAACGCCCGAGAGGCCCTGGCAAACCACTAGTGTAAATCTAAAAGTCCAAAAGCTGAAGAACTTGGAGTCTGATGTTTGAGGGCAGGGAGCATCCAGCACAAGAGAAAGATGAAGTCTGGAAGGCTCAGCAAGTCAAGTCCTTTCGTGCTCTTCTGCCTGCTTTATTCTAGACCCGCTGGCAACTGATTAGATGGTGCCCACCAAGATTGAGGGTGGGTCTGCCTTTCCCAGTCCACTGACTGAAATGTTAATCTCCTTTGGCAACACCTTCACAGACACACCCAAGATTAATACTTTGCATCCTTCAATACAATCAAGTTGACACTCAATATTAACCATCACAATACTTTATAAGTTGCTGTGGATTACATGAGAGAAAATGCCAAGTGGTGTACATTAAGGATGAAAAATAAAACCATTTTAATCTTAAAACCATAAGTCATAAAGAAGAACTGATTTCTACGAACTTACTCTTGTACTTAGCAGTGAATAGGAGCATTGCAATTATTACAAACTTTATTTGGTATAATTCCTGAAGTTACTTATACATTGATTGAGAAGCTTTTCAAAAAGTCGGTGTACCCTTGCTGTGAACAAAGTAAACCATTTTTTATTTTTGCGGTTCAATTGTTTCTGAGATTAGGATAATTTTTACAATAATATTATAACAAAAATATTTATATTTTTCTGGTTATCTTTAAAAGTAAGGTACATATACATTATAAAACGTAGTTTCCTTTGGGCTGTTGTGTTAAACAACACAATAGTACGATGAATTCATGACATAGTGGTGCTATTTTTAGGAACTTTGATTTCAGGAATTATATTTCTTAACTAAAATATATTTGTAGGGCCAATTTCTTTCATTAACCATTCCTTTTTAACATTTAAGGACACTCTACCTATTGCTATTTTGTAGACATTAACATGGATCCCATACACTCATTTAAACAGGCGTATGTCAAGTGGCTTTAAAAGTCCCTTTTCCCATGGATAAAAGGGTTTTCTTTTAAATGCAATGATTCAGAAGGCTACCTCCACTCACCATCTCACCCTATATGTGTAATAAGATTTATGTGAGATAGGTATTCTAATATGTTAGCCCAGGGCAGTAATTAAATGATGTTCTCTGGGGTAAGGCTGTGTGGCTTCAATTCGCAGCTCTGCCATTTACTAGTTGTTTGGTTTTGAGAACACTCTTTAGCTTCTTTATGTTTCACTTTTTAAGTCTTTATATTTGTGGTAATGGTACCTGTCTCACAGTGTTGTGGTGAGGACTGAATGAGTTATTGAATGTGTCTGGCCCAGTCTAGCCACTTAATATGTATTAACTATGTTTACCATTATCAAGTGAGAAATGTATAAAATATTTTATTAATTCACTAATTCAAGAAATATTTGTATTCTTGTTAATATAGGTACTGTTCTAGACACTGTCACTGCCCTCAAGATGTCAACAGTTCACAAAAAATGGCCAAGATAAACAATTATAAAAAAGAGTAATAAAGTGCTAAATAAAAGCTGCACTTAGGGTAGTATAGCAGAACAAAGGAATTTTGACTACAAAAGTATATACATTAATAGTAACAAGAATTGGACTGCAAGATCAGAATTTGACACAACTGACATCAATAAATTTTAACAAAAAGAACCAAACATTTTTAAGAAGAGTGTATCTGACAATTTATGCATTTTTTTCTGAGAAAATAGAATAAAAGGCTACAATTCTACTACTTAAGTAATAATGGCCCTCATTATTGATTTATGTAATCCTTACATTAAAGGAAAAAGGCTTTAAAATTTTTAGAAATAGTAAGCATGCATTTTAGATTCAAATCATACACTAATTTCATCTCCTACACATATAATATTCCATACTATGGCAGGTGGATAACAATTATTCTGCCGAGTTCCTACGTACCGATACCTGGCATTATGATGAAGATTTGCTTTCACTTTTTACAAATACCATCAAATCCCGCAGGACAGAAATAAGTTTTCAGTGGTCATTATTGTACTTGCTTCATCACCACCTCTCACATTGTTTATTTAAAGAAGTGGCAACAACAGACATAAATATCAGGGTGATTAAGTGTTTTATATTTTTAATAATTCATATTTGTTTCTCCTTTCTTGGGAAAATAATGTGCCTGTTGTTTGTTTGTTTGTTTGTTTGTTTGTTTGTTTCTTTCTTTCTTTTCTTTCTTTCTCTCTCTCTCTCTCTCTTTCTTTCTTTCTTTCTTTTTTCTTTCTTTTCTTTCTTGACCAAGTTTCACTCTGTTGCCCTTTCTTTCTTTCTTCTTTCTTTTCTTTCTTGACCAAGTTTCACTCTGTTGCCCAGGCTGTAGTGCAGTGGTGTGATCTCAGCTCACTGCAACCTCCACCACCCAAGTTCAAGCAATTTTTCTAACTCCTGAGTAGCTGGGATTGCAGCCACACACTACTATGCCTGGCTAATTTTTGTATCTTTAGTAGAGATGGGGTTTCAACATATTGGCCAGGCTGGTCTTGAGCTCCTGAACTCGTGATCCACCTGCCTAGGACTCCCAAAGTGCTGGGATTACAGGCGTGAGCCACCGTGCCCGGCTGCCTGTTGTTTCTTAAAAACCAAGATGGCACATATACACCATGGAATACTATGCAGGCATAAGACAGGATGAGTTTATGTCCTTTGCAGGGTCATGGATGAAGCTGGAAACCATCATTCTCAGCAAACTATCACAAGGACAGAAAACCAAACACCGCATATTCTCACACATAAGTGGTTATTGAACAATGAGATCACTTGACACAGGGCGGGGAACCTCACACACGGGGGCCTGTCAAGGAGTGGGGGACTGGGGGAGGGATAGCATTAGGAGAAATACCTAATGTAAATGATGAGTTGATGGGTGAAGCAAACCAACATGGCACAGGTATACCTGTGAATCAAACCTGCATGTTGTGCACATGTACCCTAGAACTTAAAGTATATATATAAAAAAATTTTTTTAGAAGCCAGAATTTCAGTAGCTGCCCCTCCCCCCACCAAAAAAAAAAAAAAAAAGCCAAGATGACTACTGTTCCATGGATGGTACATACACATGCTAAAATCGTCCAAAAGTTCAAATGGTGTGCATGGATATTTGCAATGTTTTTATTAAACCTATGTTAGGAGCTTATCTAGTTGAAAGTTTTGTTTCCTTCAAACACTACATTTGATTAGGAATGCAGCCTAATAATATCTCAGTCCAAGATGGATATATAATTTTTATTTTCGGGTTTATTATTGTGAAAAATGATTCCAAACTTTGCCCAAGAAAACAAGCTTTCCTTTAAGATCCCACTGGTTATTAGCTATATGATTTAGTTTTTTAAACATAAGTTTGACTTCAGATTTATTTCAACACACACAAAATTTTTAAATAGAATTAATTTTTTGAGAAGAATCCTCTCAAAAGGCTCAGGAGATAGATGTCATGACATTTTACAAAAATTAAACCTCTGAGTACTTAAGAAACTTAACTCTGATTTTTTATCGCAACACTTTGTATGGCCAAAAATAGAATCTAAGATATGTATAAGTTGAACTTTTAAGAAGAAAACTCACTGTCTAACATGTTCTAGAATTCCATCCATGATATACTTGATTTTTTGGATATTTGTTTGTTTAATTTTGTTTTGTAAACATTGCATTTTTGGCACTTACAGTGAGAACATAAAACCAATTTACATTGTTTATATTATAACTATGAATATATAGTTGACCTGGCATAGGAAAATCTTTTAGGAATGAGAGCAGTTATTATACTTTGCTAAGATGGGAGACAGATTTCTTCAATAAAAAACAAAATCAACATTGCATTGGAAGTGAGATCCCTGGACTGTAGTTACAATTTTACTACAGTATTACTAGGTTCTACTAGCTGAAGAAACTTGTTCTAATTATGTTAGTTTCCTTATTGTACACATAATAAACTTACCTATTCTCCTATCTTTGGAGATGGTTTTAGAAGAAAAGGCACATGCTGTATGTTTCATGGGATAATAATGTAAAAATGACATATTTTTATGATATCTGGAAAAAAATTAAAAAATAGCAAGATGATGATCTAGCCAACAATTAACAATGTGATATCTGTAACAAAAAGTCTCTTAGTGGTGAGCACTTACTTCCTCAATCATATCTTGAAGACAGAGGTAGTAAAATTATAGCAGGGTTTAAAAATTAGCTATTAACAATGAGAAACTGAGATAGTCAATCAAATCTAAAAAGAAGACTTCTCGTTAATTTTAAATGAAAAGCAAGATGTTTGATTTAGTTCCTGTATTTAGTTTACAGAAGTTTTTGTGGGTTGATGAAACTACTCTTTCAGTTATAATGGTTGTGGATTTTTTGTTGTTGTTGTTGTTGTTGTTTCATTTTATTTTGTTTTACCAAGAGCTAAGTAAATGGAATTCATTTTACTTACTTTTTAAGTTGGGGTAAAATCCAATTAAAAATTACACATTAAAGCTTTAAATGAATAATGTCAGTCTTTTCCAGCTTTGACTGGATCATTTAATTAAATATGTAAGGGGATTTAGGAATGAAATATCAAAATTAGCCATTTGCCTACTACAAATCATGTGAAAATAAGTTATTACTTTACATTATCTAAGTGCAAGAAGCAAGAAATGAATTTCAGAAAGATGCAGGTTTCTGCCTCTTGACTAATCTTACCTCCGAAATACAACAATACTTAAAATGACTAAAACAAACAAACAAAAAACAAAAACTATAACCCAGCGCCAGGAAATTAACCTTAATAATTGAAAAGCCTGACAAATCTCAAGTCCAACTACAATATTATTTCATCATAAGGGGAAGATTCTGGTACCCTGTAGAAGTTCCTTCCAAAGGTGGCATCTACGATATCATCTGAAGACAGGAAAACAAAATTACTGTCCTCAAATAAAAGTGGCATTTAAGGCTGGGCGCAGTGGCTCACGCCTGTAATCCCAGCACTTTGGAAGGCCGAGGCGGGCGTATCACCTAAGGTCGGGAGTTCGAGACTAGCCTGACCAACACAGAGAAACCTCTTCTCTACTAAAAATACAGAAGTTAGCTGGGCATGGTGGCAGGTGCCTGTAATCCCAGTTACTCGGGAGGCTGAGGCAGGAGAATCGCTTGAACCCAGGAGGTGGAGCTTGTGGTGCGCAGAGATCCTGCCATTGCACTCCAGCCTGGGCAACAAGAGCAAAACTCCGTCTCAAAAAAGAAAAAAAAAAAAAGTTGCATTTGGAAAACGTGTGTTAAACTTTCATACCCCATAAGTAGCTTAAAGAAATGTTAAAGTGTAGAACAAAACTAATTCTGTAGAGTGAAAAATTAGTGGTGCTATAATCTTACTACCAAGAAGATCTTGAATTATAGTAAAATAAGAGATGATTGCAATATTAGAGAAAATGATGGAAATAGAAAAACAACAAGAAATTTCTTAGGAAATGTAGCAGTTAGTAATTTGAAAATAATAATAAGAAGAAAAATGAAAGTTTTCTTGAAATGAAAGACCCTTTAGACCAAGGGACAGAGAACTTTTTCTTTAAAGAGCCAGATAGTAAATATGTTAGGACTTGTCAGGTAGTCTCTGTCATAACTTCTAACTTCTTAACTCTGCCAATATAGCATGAAAGCAGCCATAGACGACATATTTAAAAATGATTGACCATAGCTGTGTTCCAATAAAACTTTATTATAACAAGAAGCACAAGCTAGATTTGGGCTCAGTCTATATTTTGTGGACTCTGCATTACACAACTATTTCTCAAGTTTTATAGGTTTGAAAACAGCAGTGATAATCCTTACAAGTTACAAAAAGTAAAACTAGTTATTTTACAGATGTAAGAGATAAATTGTGTCTTTAAACCTTACTTGACAATTTTGGAAAAAAAATACCAGTAGTATTACCAGTATTAGAAATATCAGTAGTATTTCTAAGTACTAAATTTAGAATAAAAATTAACTTGACAATTTGACATTAAAGTTTCACAGCTTAAAGATCACTAGAAGAGACAATGGAAACCTAAAAATAAATGAAAAACATCTACAAGAGATAAGGAAATGATAACATTGATAAAAAGTATGGTTAATATAATAAAATAGAATTAATTTTAACTTAAACTAAAGATTAGGTACTTATATGAATATAAAAACCTCAAAAAGAAATTTTCAGGTGAATATGACACATTCAAGTATCTGGATTTCTTATCTCTCTGGGGACAGAATTTAATGTTTTTTAAGATAGTGGAAATGAATGTAAACTATTTGGGACTGATGTAAAATACATTAATGGTAGAAATATTTGAAAAATACTAGATTATTTTAAAATGAACTTTTACACTGCAGAAACCACAGAAATTGTACAAGCAAAGAGCAAAGCAAAAACAAAACAACACAAAACAATAACTATGAGAGAAGAGTGACATAAACCTATCAATTATCCCACTAAATATAAATAGTTCTCTTGGAAGAGAAAAATGATTGACTGAATAGCAAACAAGCTCTAGCAGTCTTTTGCCTTTAAGTGATACTATTAAAACCAAATGGACAAATATTTTTGAATCATCTAAGGTACTTTAGCCTATGGAAATAAAGAAAAAGAGGTTACTATAATCCTTTTTGGTACAGTAACTTTCACTGTTTTAAATATTAAAATAAATATTAAAAGAAATAAATAATTTGACAATATATTAATAGATCATCAAATAAGGAAAACCTAATAATATTGAACTATATGTTCCAGATAGTAGCAACATAAGACATGAAAGTTAAAAAAAAAACGAGAAAGAACAGAAATATAATGTTGATACATTTAATCCAAAATCACAATTGTAGTTTGTGCAGATATAAGCATTAGTAAAAGTATTACAGAAGGCAGCAAACCAAAAAAAAAAAAAGAATCCACAAAAGTAAATAATGGAATATGGCAATAAAAATGCTAATTTTTATATCTAAAGCCTTTGGACTTGAACATTAAAGAGAAAATGGAAATAGAAATAATTAAATGAGACAAAATACAAGAAGGTAAGAAAAGGAGAAGGAGGAGGAAGGAGAGAAAGAGGAGATAGGAAAAGTTGGAAGAAATATAAACTTTTTAACACCAATAAGTACCTTGTGGATGACAAAATTGATGAACTGGCTTGTTTAGTGAAAATAAAAATGAAATAAAGTGTAATGATTAATAGTAGATTCTCTCTCTCTTTTTGTTTTTTTTTGTTTTGTTTTTTGAGACAGAGTTTCGCTCTTGTCTCCCATACTAGATTACAGTGGCGCGATCTCGGCTCACTGCAACCTCTGCCTCCCCAGTTCAAGTGATTCTCCTGCCTCAGCCTCCCGGGTAGCTGGGATTACAGGCACCGGCCACCATGCCTGGCTAATTTTTGTATTTTTAGTAGAGACGGTGTTTCACCATGTTGGCCAGGCTGGTTTCAAACTCTTGACCTCAGGTGATCCACTGTCCTTAGCCTCCCAAACTGCTGGGATTACAGGTGTGAGCCACCAGGCCCGGCCTAAGAGTTGATTCTTATTAGGCAACTTTTCTTCTCCAAGCTTATGTTTTATGAATCTTGCAACAAGTATGATAATAATAATATGATCCCTATCAAAATTCCAACATGTTATTGCAAAAGTGAAAAAAAAAATCCTAAAATTTATGTGAAACCTCAAGGACTCTGAGCAGCCAAAACAATCTTGAAAAAGAAAATCAGAGTGGTCTCACACCTCCTGATCTCAAAACTTATACAAAGCTACAGTAATCAAACCAGTGAGGTACTTGCAAGAGACAGACACATAGACCAGTAAAATAGATGAGAGAGCCCAGAGATAAAACACTCACATATACGAACAAATGATTTTTGACAAGGATGTCAAAATCATTCATTGGGAAAAGGACAGGCAAAAGAATGAAATTTGGCTCTTACTTTGTACCACATACGAAAATTAAAATGGATAAAAGCTCTACATATAAAAGCTAAAACTATAAAACTGTTAGGAGAAAACATAAAGAAAAAGCTTCATGATGCTGAATTTAGCAATTATTTGTTAGATATTGCACCAAACTCACAGGCAACAAAACAATTAACAGATAAATTGATCTACACCAAAATTAGAAACTTGGGTACCAAAGGACACAATCAACAGAGTGAAAAGGCAACCCACAGAATCAGAGAAAATATTTGAAAATTATATGACTGAAAAGGAGTTAATATCCAGAATATATCAAGAACTCCAGAAGTGCCTATGGCTCACAAAAATCATAAAGTATCCCTGTTAGTAAGTCTAAATGGGGTATTTTTAAGAATCTTCTCAAATGATTTTTGAAGAAGGTGGACCCCAGGCCACATTTGAGAAATTGCACTCTTTTTTATTTGTCTTACTTTTGACTCAGATAGATTTATTTAAAAATTGTTACTTAATTTTCTAAAGAAAAAATTATTAAGAACATTATTTCTTTATATAGAAAATGATCCTAATTCAAAGAAAGAATATATAACTTATCTTTGTTACAGTTAGGAATAAAATGAATAAACTACGTTAGAAGATCAAACCAAAGAAAGTGACAAGTAACTTCATTCGTAAATTGAGATATTAAAACTTTAAGTAACATTTTAGCTCATATCACAGAGTAAAAAAAATTAAATTATGTATATTTCCATTATGACTGAATAGAATTTAGCACAGCCAAGAAATGCTAGTATAAAGTAGGAGCAATTATTAATATAGTTCACATTAGTAGGAAAGATAATTCAAAAAATGTATAATTATTTCAATAAATGATGAGAAGATGATTTTTACCTGTTCTTAATTAAAACACTAAAAATTATGTTTGGTGTATTTCATTCTCAGCATGACAGAGTGTATATTTAAAACCTGTAGATAACATTATACTTAATTGAGACACAATATGGTTATTCTCTTTAAAAATAAGAATAAGTTAAGAATATGTTTTCTACTCACTCTTATTTCATAATATACCAGAGCATACTGCGACATAAACTATTCAAAAAGGAAGATAATTAAGAAACAAATATAGGGAAGTAAAAAATACAGAAAACTTTCTACAAATAAAATTATTACATACTTAAACATGAAAAAAATCATTTCAAAAATTTCCAAGGCAATACAATGATAATTAAAACCTCCATAAACAGCTCAGTATTATGGTATGAATGGAAGTGAACAGTGCCTGGAAACAGAAGTACTAGAAGTTGGTAGTTCCACTTTTTTCTGCCCACCCATTTCCAATTTGTGGTGTGTTTGTTTGATGTACTTTGAACTAGATCATGAAGCAAAGATGTAGCTAATGCATAGGCATCTCCAAATTATCAACACAAAATTAATCATCTGTCCATATGCCTTGTGGAAGAGGGGCAAGATCTGTCCCTGAGTGTTTACTCAATTACATACAATGCTTGGAATGTTTCCCTTCTAAAACTCATGTTAAAATTTAATTGCCCTTGTAACAGTATTAAGAGGTGAGAACTTTGAGAGGTGACTAGGCAATGAGAACTCCAGCCTCATGGGTAAGGGTAAGTTTGGATAAGTTTGGACTTCTCTTGCCCTCTCTTGCCCTTCTGCCTTCTGTGATAGGATGGTGCAGCAAGAATGTGCTCACCAGATGCTGGCCCCTCAATCTTTGACTTCCCAGCCTCTGGAACTATAAGCCAATAAATTTCTGTTCATTATAAATTACCCAGTCTCAGTTGTTCTGTTATAGCAGCAAAATGGACTAAGACACACATACTCATAAAAGATACATGTACATACACTCACAAGTACATACATACACTAATTAGGAAGGCACTGATGTTAAACACTCTATGGCAGAGTTTGGCAAACTTACGCAAAAGGCAAGATAGTAAATATCTTGCTTTGTGGTTCAACAGGCAAAAATGAAGATATATAGGTACTTATAAACAAAAGAGAAAAAATTTCCCCAATTTTTACTGATAATTTCAAAATGTAATAATAATTATGTACTTTCTAATAAATTGGATCTGTGGATAGTATTTTGCTGAATTTTGGTTCAAAATCAGTATTCCTCATCAAATCAATTTCACATATTTGTCTGTTAAAGTTGATCTGTAAGAAAGTGTTACATATTTTATCTTTTAAAATATCTTTTTGCCCAGATAAGTATTGCCAAATACTGATAGCAGTCCACTAGTTATGGCCCAAATTAAACATTTTTCACTTATAAGGCATTTATAGAATTGTTAGATTTTTCTGTTGATATTTGCCCTTCAGCATTTCATTACATTGCAGATTAGTCACTTCCAGTTAGAAGTTAGGTGGAAACTCTTTAGCTGCACAGGTAAAAGGCATTTGAAATATATAAATTTCCTTTGCACTTGCATTGAAGCCTGAAAAACACTGCTGGAAATATAGTCTGAGTTCATAAAATACAACCACTAATTTATTTTTTTCTGAGAATGGATATCTTACATCTTGTTTTAACTTGTGTCCTTGTGGGAAATGTATAAAGCAGCTTCATTTACTTGTTATCCAAACAGTATTAGTTGTCTTAACTTTACCATAGTATATTTCTCATTAACTAACCACTGTTTTCCTTGTAATTTTAGCTTGAATTTATTAATAAACACTACCAATTCTGCAGCAAAAGCTTATTTCCAAAGCCATGCCATATTTGATAATATTGGTTGAGTATGCTTCTTCTTATTAAAAAAATTCAATCTTGACCCTGAGGTTAAACAAAACCACAATAAAACTTTACCACTACTAAGCCATGGAATTGTTGTAAACATTGACATTCAAGTATTTGTGTGGACATGGGTTTTTAAAAACATTTGGGTGAATACCTAGGAGTGCAATTGCTGGATTATATGGGAGGTCTATGTTTAATTTAAAAGAAACTGCCAAACTGCCTTGTAAAGTGGCTGTATTATTTTGCATTCTCCAAGTAGTGAATGAAAGTCACGATTGCTCCACATCCTAGTTAGCATTTCTTACTGTTCACTTTTGGAATTTTAGGCATTCTAATAGATGTATAGTGGTATCTCATTGTGGTTTTGATTTGCATTTCTTTAATGAAATTATGTTGATCCCCTTTTCATGTGTTTATTTGCCATCTCATATATCATTTTTGAGTAAAGTGTCTGCTCAGATATTTTGCTATTTTAACTTGATTTTTATTGTTGAGTTTTAAATTATACTTACATATGCTGAGTGCAAGTAATTTATCAGGTATGTCATTTGCAAATATTTTATCCTGGCCCATGATTTGTGTTTTTATTCTCTTCTCAGTCTTTTACAGAGCAAAACTATTTAAGTTTGCCAAGGTACTACTTCTTTTTTTAAATTCAATCACATTTTTTTTTATGAATTGTGCTTTGGGTATTTTATCTAAAAAACCATCACCAAACCCAAGGTCATGCAGATTATTTTTCTAGAAATTTTAGTTTTACATTTTAAGTTAGGTCTATGATCTATTTTTAGTTAACTTTTGTTTAAGATGTTAAGTATGTGTCTATACTATTCTTTTTTGCATATTCATATCCCATTTTCCTAGCAACATTTGTTGAAAAACTATCCTTTCTCCCCTGAGTTACCTCCCGCTATTTGCCAGCAATCAATTGATTATATTTGTGTGGACTCTTTATTCTGTTTTATTGTTAACATACATCTATACTTTTTTAAATAACACACTGTTTTCATTACTGTAGCTTTATAATAAGTCTGGAAATCTGGTAATGTGAGTATTCCAACTTTCTTCTTTTTCAGAATCATCTTGGCTATTTTAGATCTTTGCCTTTCCATATGGAGTTTAGAATGAGCTTGCTTATACCAACAAAAAAGCTTGTTTAGATTTTGATTGAGATTGCATTGAATCTATAGACCAAATTGGAGAGAACTGACATCTTAACAATATAAAGCCTTCCAATTTATGAACATTGTATATATCTCCACTTATTTAGATATTGTGTGTTTCTTTCATCAGTGTCCTGTAGTTTTCTGTATAGTAGATTTATTACTTAAGTACTTCCTTTTTTATTTGTGCTGTTGTAGATGGTTGATGACTTTGAATTTCATACTCTAATTGTTCATTGCTAGTATATAAGAATAAAATTGATCTTTTATGTTTATCTCTATCCTGTGACCTTGCAATTTTCACTTATTCGTTCCAGGAGATTTTTGTAGTGTCTGTAAGATTTTCTACATATCTAATTATATCATTTGCAAATAAAGGCTGATTCACTTCTTTTCCTCCAATTTTATGCCTTTTACTTCTTTATCTTGCATGTTATTCTTGCTAGGAATTTCAGTATAATATTCATACCTTGTTTTTTAACTTACTATTTTTTTCTCCTTATGTCCTTAGTTTGTTGAACAACTGTTCTCGCTAAAAGGCTAATAGTCTTAAATTTATTTTCTATAAACATTTGTATTTGTCTGTTGCAATCAAATATGATTTAATTAACTCGCCATTGGTGAATCACATTCCTTGCTTGGCTAACAAATGAACCTCTCAGAAACTGTAGTTTTATGCTCATTTCAATGTGAGTGTGTGTGTGTGTGTGTGTGTGTGTGTGTATAAAAATGCTGCCGTGATAATAAATTCCATTTTGCATTTACTAATTTTTCTAACCATCATGGTGAATTGGGGCTGCTATGATGAATACTCGCTCTGGTAATGTCAACTTATATTTTGTACTTTTAGCATAGTTATAGTGTAAATAAATTTTATTTTACCAAATTCAATAACAAATCCACACTCCACTATATCTTAAAAGCTTTTCCTTTTTTTTGTTTTGACATAATGGATATGCATGGATAATAAGAATAATAGTAAAATGTCACAGTATGCAGACACATGTGATGCCTGAAATGCTGTCGATTGTTAACTGTAACACTGGGATTTGTAGTGTCCTGGGCATCACTGTGAAACACTGAGAGAGACACATGCAGTCTCTGGAGCAATATCTCTACTTTTGTAGCTCAAAACAGCCTTAGGTAAGTATATATGTGAATGACCATTGCTATGTTTCAAGAAAACTTTATTTGTGGACACTGAAATATGAATTTCATATAATTCTCATATGTCATGAAGTATTAGGCCTCTTTTATTTTTTTCAAACCATTTAACAATGTAAACACTGTTCTTAGCTTGCAGACCCTGGAAAAACAAGTAGTAGAGAGGATTTGGCTCATGGACTGTAGTTTGCTGACCCCTGCTTTAGCGCTGTAAAAAATCTAGAGAAGGTGGAGAGGGGGCATAAATCTTTTATAAAAAGACATCAAACTAGGGCTAGGCCAGTGTCCTGCCATATGTTCTGAGAAAGAGCAAGTCTGCGTGTATATGTGTATATGTACACATATATATGGATGAGTATGTGTGTACATATTTAAGTGAATGAAATTGTATGTATTTGTGCCTACATGTGTGTATTAATATGTGCATATATATGAGTGTATATATGTTTTTGTGCATATTTCTGTGTTTATGTGTGATTAAAGACTCAGGATTAAATCATGTATTTTTTCTTGTAAGATGCATATATATAGATATTTGACTGTTGATAATGTAGAGATGCCAATTTTAGCTGTATCTTGGCTTCAAGATCTAGTTCAAAATTATACTTTGTTACTCAATTACAAAAGAGTCGAGATATGTCTCTTTCAGTAACACTGTTCCTTTTACCAGCTAACCAGAAACTGAATTGCCACATAACTACTCAGGTAATTACACTGCATTTAGTGCCAAAATTTAAGCATCCATGCCACCAAGACATTTTTCCTTTTTTTTTTTTTTTGCTTTTAATTTCATTTAAAATCTTGTATTAAAAGATATTGCTCTTCTTGGGAGTTATGCAACTTAATTTCTTATCTAGTTCAAATTTTATTTTTCTTTTCTAAGATGCTATTCAACATTTGAAGTGTTGGATACATTATGGATAAAGGGGGAAATATCAACTATAACTTTGTTTTTGCTGTCTGTTATGACTATACATGGGGGTGGGGGTAGGGTGGACAGGTCAGCACATATTTCTTGCCAATTCCATATGTGAAATTCATGGGATACTCAGAAAATATTGTGTGCCTCCATCTACTCAGCTGGAAAGTAGGATTTTAAAAAATGGCTTGCAGAGAGAATATGGAAGGTATGGTGTGTGGCAATTGAAGAGGACAGTAGGAGATTCCCAACACATTACGTATCTCAAATGATGAGCACTTCAAGTAATATAACAAGGAGCAAATGGTTATTATCAAACACTGTCTTAGACAACAAGAGGGTTTCCTACTGTCTGTAGGGATGAGACAACATAAAGTACTGTTGGCTCCAAGATATTTAGAAGTCATTTTATCATACAATTTACTTCTATCCTATAAGCTTCCAGAAACATTTGAAAGGAAAGAAAGCCTTTGGCAAAGGAACCGTCACTGGATCCATCATGTGTAAATTATTTTCCTAATTATACAATTTTTATTATTTCAACATCAAATTATTCCATATATGTGGGCTGGTATTTTGGGGAAAAACTGACTATCATTTGATATTTTATTATATTATTTCCAAGAAATATTCTAATGATTGTTTTTCACTTTTTTGAAATTACAGCATTTTAAAAAGGTTGTACATCTAGCAATACCTAACAAAATAGGAAATCAACTTGGTAAGTAATGTATTACAACTTTCATTTTTAATACGCATTTTGCCTAGTTCAAATAGGACATTTATACCTATAATTAAATCTTAAAGAAACTCCTGTCTTCCAAACACATGTATGTGTCTATTCTCTCCAATGGTAGGAAAACAAAATCAGACTCACACAAATTAAAACTAGAGTGAACATATCAATCATTATTTATAAATCCAGAGAATTAGAACACAGAATGTAGAAACAGTATATTAGGTATTACATGAGAATTTTTTTAATCCTGTAGTTATGATGGTGAACTGTCTTTGAATGTACAATTTATGGCTACTAGAATTGTTTTTATGCTAAAATTACTGATAATGTGAATCCTCAGTATCTGTGGAAAATAGATTCTGCATTGCTACTTAAGGTAGATGTTTACTTCTTTTCCTATTTAGAGCTGAAAGTCCTTTCTGCTTTAGTTCAGGCAGGCAAAGCTAAATAAAGTTAATAATGTTTCCCTGCCCACCTATATTTCTTAATTACCTGTGATTCTATGTACCTTGGTAGTATAAGAAGGTTGCACAACTCCACATTTTTGACATCTTGAGAAGAAAAGAAGTGGAAGCAGGAGATCCAAACAAAATCCATGCTAGATAACTACTAAATTGATCAGACATTTGGTGTTTTGAGTAAACTGTGGGTAAATTGCCCTCTTTAACCCCAGATCGGACCTTTGTAATCAGCCACCATTTCAGAAACTTACATGACCCAATTACTGTGTCTCTGAGTGTCTTTCTTTAAATACCTCAGTTTGACTTGAAAAAGAATTGGAGATTACAACAAAAATTAAATCAATATAAAAGTATTTAATTTATATTTGAATACTTGATCTTAACTGAACCTAATTATGAGTTTTCTTTCTGTTTACAGATAAGGACATTTTCTCCTAAAACTGTTAGATTTTATCATCTGTATAACATACATTTTTTCATCTCTATAGTATGAAAACATCCATATGGATATGCATCATTGCTTTTCAGGTGTCAAAATTTGTGGATAAATATATAGTTTATAAGAAGCAAATAAGTGGCAAATAACAAACTGTGACTATTAAAGTAATATGAAATTCAAATTCAAATAAAAATACATGTGTGACTAATAAATAAAGCTGATAGCTCAGGGTTCAAAGTAAGAAAGAACTAGTTATATTAATGAAGTCATTTAACTTAGCTATAAAACAATAAAAAGCAAGAACTTATTGAAAATTATAACTCTGTTTAATTTCTTGATAAATCAGTCAACATCGTTTCTACTGAAATTATCTCTATTCCCAACACATTATTGTTTCCAGTTCACATTATGCTCAGGAAGGATGGATTTTCATCACATAGAATGGTTTAATTTGGTTAATTGTGTTTCTTTCTCAGTATACCATCTGTTTGAATCAGGCTTAAGTTGAAGATATCTGAAACTACTCTGGCTATTTAAAGCAGAAAAGGATTTAATACAGGAATTAAGTTCATACAAATTTATTGGAAGGCCGGGATAACAGGATCCAGTACCTCAGAAGTAACCCACCCGGAGAATTTCTACTTCTGTTGTAATTAAGAATCTGTAGTACTGTCACTGCAACCATACGCTCTAGAAATATATTGCTTTAGGTATGCAACCCATAGATTAGAAAACTATGTACTGTTGACTCCAGAGCCACATTACATCTGTTATATTGGCACAAGCAAAAATGGATGCCTGGAGGCCTTTCAATATTCAGAAATTAATTATTGGGCACTGGGATCTGTGAAAATGCTGTTGTAGAAAAATCCAGGGCCCCTGTGATTATGCTGACCAACAGAAACGGTAGACCTGTGGCTTTCAAACTACCCTCCTTTCAAATATCACGTTACTATATTTTATTGTCCAAACCTAAACCACATTCTGTGTTCATCTGCAAAAGAGACTCAGAAATGTGGATTTTAGCTTATTAGCATCAAAAGTGTAGGAAAGCTTAGTATTGATGGTGGTGTGGACAGTGAGCACAAATCCACCAGAACTCCCACTATTCTTCTGTTTGTCCATTTCCTGACCATTCATGCTTCTCTTCCTGTACATACATTTCCAAACAATATTATCTACAACAATCAATTTTCACCCAATCCAATGCAATGATTCTCCCATACAAATAAAACCTACTTATACTGTTCCCAAAAGAAGCCAAGCTTCTATTAGTCATAGACTCCTCTGGATGACGTCAGTTCCTCTTCCAGTGCACTTATCTTCCCGTCTACATATTTAATAAAGTTATCAAAAAACAACACATACTATGAAGTGGGAGAATGGAATATAAAAAAGGAAATATGTCTACATAGAATAAAATACATAAAGAAAAAGGAAGTAAATATGGCATTTGTTTATCTGAATGGTCATAAGATGATGATTGGTATTCACAGCATCCTTTTTCTACTCTGAATTTCATGCTCCTGTTATATTCTTAGCTCTATGGCATTAGATGGTGAGTGGGTTAAAGCCAATCTTCATTCTTTATGGGTCTGAGCCACTGGTGGCCTTGGCTATCTTGAACTGCTGAAATTGTACATGAATTTTTAACTCTGGACATGGTAATTTGATGACACATCCCAACAAGTCCTGTAAAACACAGATTCTTACAAGCTGCCTGACACACACTTTAATACCAACCCTGAATCCCCTTAAAACCAAGATCAATCTTCTATCCAACAGAGTAACCTCTTTTTTTCTCCTCTTTTTTAAAAAAAGTTTATGGTCATAAGGACACCCAAATAGCCTGTTAGTAGTTTTAACTTCCAGTTGTAGGAACCAGTGTGCTATCTTGTGGAAATATTACTTTCTTGGAAATTATAGCCTCTAAATCAAAAGAGGTCAATGTTGTGGGATGAAGAAGGAAATTTTTGCAAAAGAACACACCCTCAATTTCCAGATCATATATTCTCATTACAGGAGAAAATGTACTAAAATGAATGTGCTCCATTTTGGCTTTCAACACCTATTAAGTTGGTCACTCATCACTGGGACTTCTGCTGATGCTGCCACAGAAAAGTCCAGTGTTACCATGAACATGCCAATAAGCAGAAACAGCAGAATCAGTGGGAGCACAGACCTACCATGCTCCTGCTTCCAAATCTCATGTTAGTTTCTCATATTGCTTGAGCATGGATAACATCTCAACCCATCTGTAAAGGAATCTTGGAAATATAACACGTTGAAAGGAAGATGGAATGGATATTGCGTGCCACTCTCTCCAATCCCATATGCCATCTAACTTTACTGATACAGCATTCTTTTTAACTCAGTTCATGGGTCATCCACTTCTTCCTTCTCCTTGCCTTATTTATTAGTTAATTTGTTATTGTTGTTATTTGTGATAATAACACTTAAGATCTACTCTCTGAGTAAATATTTAAGTATGTAATACAATATTATTAACTATAGGCACTACATTGTAAAGTACATCTGTAGAACTTATTTATCTTGTGCAACTGAAACTTTGTACCCCTTTCCTAATATCTCTCTATTTCGCCATTCCCTAACCCCTGGTAGCCACCTTTCTACTCTGTTTCTGTGAGTTTCACTATTTTAGATACCTCATATAAGTGGTGTCATGCAGTATTTGTCCTTCTGTGTCTGACTTACTTCACTTACCATAATGTCCTTCAGGTTCATTCATGTTGTTGCAAATGGCAGGATTGCCTTTCTTTTTAAGACTTAGTCATATTTCTTGCCTTTATGTACCACATTTTCATTATCATTTTATCCATTTATGAACTTTTATGTTGCTTTCATATCTTGACTGTTGTGAATATGCTGAAATGAATGTAAGAGTGGAGATATGTCTTCGAAATCCTGATTTCTATTCCTTTGGATATACAACCAGACATCAAATTGCTGGATTGTACGGAAGTTTTATTTTTGTTCTTTTGAGGAATCTCTACACCCTTTTCCATAGCGGCTATAGCAATTAATAGTGCCACCATTAGTACAAGAGTTTCTTTCTCTTCACATCCTCACTACCAATTGTTATTTTTTAAATATTAGTCATTATAACAGGTATGAGGTTTGAATTTTATTTTATTGTGATATTAATTTGCATTTCCCTGATGACTAATGATATTGAGCATTTTTTCATATACTTGTTGGCCATTTGTACATATTCTTTGAGAAAATGTCTATTCAGTTCTTTGCCCATTTTTTCCGTGATTAAAAGTGGGATATGAAGTCTTCAACTATTATGGTATTGCTATCTATTTCTCCTTCAGAGCTGTCAATATTTATTTTATATAGTTAGATGCTCTGATTTTGGTGCATATATATTTATTATAAGTTCTGGTCAAATTGACAATTTTATTATATAATGACCTTCTTTGCCTTTTGTGACAGTTTTGGACTAATATCTCTATTTTGTCTTATATAAAAAGAGCCACTCCTGATCTCCTTTGGTTACCATTTGCATGGAGTATCTTTTTCCAGTGAAATTCCTTTACTCTCAGCCTATTTGTGTACCTAAATGAAAAGTGCATCTCTTGTATGGATTATACAGTTGGATCTAATTTTTTAACCCATTTATCTATTCTATTTCTAATTGGTGAGTTTAATTCATTAACATTTAAAGTAATTATTGATAGCTAAGGAATTATTATTGCCATGTTGTTAATTGTTTTCTATTTTGTAGTTCTCTTGTTTCCCTTATCCTCTCTTGTTGTCTTTGTTATTTGATAATTTTTTAAGGTTACATACTTCTATTCCTTTCTATGTATTATTATTACTCGTTGGGATATGCTAGAAGTTTTTCTTTGTAGTTACCATGAGGCTTGCATAAAACTTCTTATAATTATAATTGTATATTTCAAGCTGAAAACAACTTAACTTCAATTACATACAAAACTCTATACTTCCACATCCCTCACATACAGTTGATATTATTGATGCCAGAATTTCTTTGTTTTTATATTATTATTCATTAAAAGTTTTTGTGGTTATAGTCATGCTTAATACTTTTGTCTTTTAATTTTTATGCTAGGGTAAAGTGGTTGCATTATTCTGTATTCGTCTATATATTTACGATTACCATTGAGATTTATACTCTCATGGGTTTTCATGTTGCTGTTTAGTGTTCTTTCATTTCAACTTGAAAAATCCACTTTAACATTTCTCTAAGGCATCTAGTGGTGATGAACTCTCTATTTTTGTTTGTCTGGGAAGTCTTTATTGCTCCTTCATTTTTAAAGGACAGTTTTGCTAGGTATAGTATTCTTAGTTGATAGTGTTTTGCTTTCTTTCACTGACTATATCACTCTACTATCTTCAGGCCTGCGTGTCTCTTTTGAGGAATCACTGATAGTCTTATGTAAGCTTTCTTGAATGTGATGAGTTGTTTTCTCTTGCTGCTTTCAAAACTGTCTCTTCATCTTCGATAATTTCATTAATGTGTCTTACTGTAGACTTTTTTAAGTTTAACTTATTTGAGGACTTTGGGACTTCAATATCTGAATGTCCATTTCCCTTCCTACTTTTAGCAAGTTTTCAGTCATTAATTCTCTAAATTAGCTTTCTATTCCTTTCTCTGTCTCTTCTCTTTTTGAAATTCTCATAATGTGTATTTTAGTTCACTTGACAGTGTCCAGTAAGTTCTATAGAGTTTATTTCTTCTTTATTCTCTTTTCTCCTGTGACTGGATAATTTCAAATGACCTGTCTTGGAGTTTATTGATTATTGATTGAGCTGCTCTTCAAGTTATTTATTGAAGTATTCAGTTCAGTCACTGTATTTTTTAGCTCCAGAACTTCTGTTTGGTTCTTTTGCATGCTTTCTATATCTTTGCCAAAATCTTGTATTGTTTTCCTGATTTTTATTGTTCTTTATCTGTATTTGTTGTAGCTTACCGAGCTTCTTTAATATTATTACTTTGAATTCTTTGTCAGTTAGTTGACAGATCTCTAGTGTTTAGGGTTTATTATTGGGGTTTTATTTTGTCCCTTTGGTGATCTTTTGTTTCCCTGATTCTTTATTATCCTTGCTGCCTTGCCTTGGTGTCTGTGCACTTGAAGAAGTAGTCGCTTCTACCAGTCATTGTAGACCGGCTTTGGAAGGGAAAACCCTTCACCAGTCAGTCTGGCCATAGATTCTGGATGGGCAGGTTGGTGGGGTCGACAAGAAGAGGAAATTGGAGTTGGAGTCCATGAGCAGGAATTTCTATTGTTGGGGTTCATGGGTGGTCCACTTCTGAATGCCAAAAATTATAAACTGCATTCCTGCTTAATATTAAAAATAGCATAAAATCCATGTTTTCCCCCAACAGTTCCCCAATTATTAAATTGTTTTTTTTCTTGATGTACTCTAGATCTTAATTTTGCATCTTCCAGGCAGACAAGTTTTTTCTTAGATTTAATTTCTGTGTTTGATATCCAAGATTGCAATATCATCATGATGTCAGGAATGAGTGATCTCAATTTATCTTGCTTCCGTGGTCCTTACTTGCATCTCCTCACTGTTCTATGCCAAAAACTGTTTATCTATATTTTAATAGGTTTTCAAATAAAGTTTTTATATGCTCACTCTCTGAGAGTCTGGCTACTAATTCAAGGGATTTATATTGCTAATTATTGTTAGCCAAACTTTACATAGATAGAATTTGTTCTAACTAATATATATTATTAAATATTTCTAAAATTTTTACTCTTCAATATTTTTATTTATATTAACTCAGTCTGTTTTTATAAGTATAATTACTGTTTTAAAAAATTCAACAAATGTTTACTCAGTGCTATCTTGTGCCTAGTAAATTACTTGGATCCACAGAGTTAGAAAATGTAAAGCCTGATAAATGTAGAACAGCACTTTCCACATAAAAGTTCACAGGCTGATTATGATTTACTGTATACAAAAAAGACAGTTGAAGGTTTGTCACAGATACACTAATCATATAAATGTAACTCATACATTTACAAGGCTATACATCACACTGCAGACTGAAATCTAAATTTAAAGAAATAAACTGGAGCTTGGTGAGTTCAATATTTTCTTTTACTTTCCATAAAGCATTGAACCTTTTAAATGAAAGTAAATATTAAAGAGGTAGGTATTTTAAAAAACATTTCAGCTGCTAAAAAATTTTTATATTTTATGTTGCCAGTTTCATTGTTTAGTTCATTTGAATTGAAGGATTATTCCACAAAACAAAAAATAGTTTTTAAAAGATTGTTTAAAAAGACATTTAGGCAGTAATTTATTCTTTTATTTTTTCTTCTTGCTTAGTGGGCTTCAGGAAGTCAAATTCCTTCAAAAATGGGAGAAAATAACATAATATATCATAATATTACCATTTTCTTAATATTGCTTCTAAAATATTTAGTAATTTTTACTCCAAAATAATTTGAGTGAAAGTTATTTTCACAAATACTACTTTATTTACATCATGGTTGGTGTTTGTGGCAATTTGGTACAAGACTTTAAGAAAGAAACTGTTGGGGGTTCATATAATCTAAAAAAAATAGTATTTCTCTCTTTATATATGTGTGTTGTATATGTGTGTATGTATATATGTATGTGAATGTGTGTGTGTGGGGGTGTATAACCACTCACACATATGCAGATATAATCAGTAAAAATGTGTAGTTTATTTGAAGACAATGCTTTAGGATGTACTAGTTGATTCATCAGTTGCTGCCTGCATCTATCTAGTCCTTAATGGGAGCAATCTTTAGTAACTTCCCTTCTTGCCCAAATTAAGTGAATAATTGTATGTCTATTGAACTGATTTTTCTGATCTATCAGTCATATTTATTATTCATCTAATTTATCTAGATTGTAAAAAAAATTATTTTAACTTTGGCAAGGAGACACACAGCCTATAGCTAAATACTATGTATGTTTTAGAAAAAGTAATATCAGACATATGATAAAATAGGAGCTCTAGATTTTCTTTTTTTATTATTATACTTTAAGTTCTAGGGTACATGGGCACAACGTGCAGGTTTGTTACATAGGTATACATGTGCCATGTTGGTTTGCTGCACCCATTAACTTGTCATTTACATTAGGTATTTCTCCTAATGCTATCCATCCCCCTGCCCCCCACCCCACTACAGACCCCCATGTGTGATGTTCCCGGCCCTGTGTCCAAGTGTTCTCATTGTTCAATTCTGACCTATGAGTGAGAACATACAGTGTTTGGTTTTCTGTCCTTGTGATAGTTTGCTCAGAATGATGGTTTCCAGCTTCATCCATGTCCCTGCAAAGGACATGAACTCATCCTTTTTTGTGGCTGCATAGTATTGCATGGTGTATATGTGCCACATTTTCTTAATCCAATCTATCATTGATGGACATTTGGGTTGGTTCCAAGTTTTTCCTATTGTGAATAGTGCCACAATAAACATACGTGTGCATGTGTCTTTATAGTAGCATGATTTATAATCCTTTGGGTATATACCCAGTAATGGGATGGCTGGGTCAAATGGTATTTCTAGTTCTAGATCCTTGAGGAATCGCCACACTGACTTCCACAATGGTTGAAATAGTTTCCACTCCCATCAACAGTGTAAAAGCGTTCCTATTTCTCCACATCTGCTCCAGCATTTGTTGTTTCCTGACTTTTTAATGATCACCATTCTAACTAGTGTGAGATGGTATCTCATTGTGGTTTTGATTTGCATTTCTCTGATGACCAGTGATGATGGGCATTTTTTCATGTGTCTGTTGGCGGCATAAATGTCTTGAGAAGTGTCTGTTCATATCCTTTGTCCATTTTTTGATGTGGTTTTTTTTTTCTTGTAAATTTGTTTAAGTTCTTTGTAGATTCTGGATATGAGTCCTGTGTCAGATGGGTAGATTGCAAAAATGTTCTCCCATTCTGTAGGTTGCCTGTTCACTCTGATAGTTCCTTTGCTGTGCAGAAGCTCTTGAGTTTAATTAGATCCCATTTGTCAATTTTGGCTTTTGTTGCCATTGCTTTTGGTGTTTTAGACAGGAAGTTCTTGCCCACGCCTATGTCCTGAATAGTATTGCCTAGGTTTTCTTCTAGGGTTTTTATGGTTTTAGGTCTAACGTTTAAGTCTTTAATCCATCTTGAATTAATTTTTGTATAAGGTGTAAGGAAGGGATCCAGTTTCAGCTTTCTACATATGGCTAGCCAGTATTCCCAGCACCATTTATTAAATAGGGAATCCTTTCCCCATTTCCTGTTTTTGTCAGGTTTGCCAAAGATCAGATGGTTCTAGATGTGTGGCGTTATTTCTGAGACCTCTGTTCTGTTCCATTGGTCTATATCTCTGTTTTGGTACCAATACCATGCTGTTTTGGTTACTGTAGCCTTGCAGTATAGTTTGAAGTCAGGTAGCGTGATGCCTCCAACTTTGTTCTTTTTGCTTAGGATTGTCTTGGCAATACAGGCTCTGTTTTGGTTCCATATGAAATTTAAAGTAGTTTTTTCCAATACTGTGAAGAAAGTCATTGGTAGCTTGATGGGAATGGCATTGAATCTATAAATTACCTTGGGCAGTATGGCCATTTTCACGATATTGATTCTTCCTATCCATGAGCATGGAATGTTCTTCCATTTGTTTGTGTCCTCTTTCATTTCATTGAGTAGTGGTTTGTAGTTCTCCTTGAAGAGGTCCTTCACATCCCTTGTAAGTTAGAATCCTAGGTATTTTATTCTCTTTGTAGCAATTGTGAATGGGAGTTCACTCATGATTTGGCTCTCTGTTTGTCTGTTATTGATGTGTAGGAATGCTTGTGATTTTTGCACATTGATTTTGTATCCTGAGACTTTGCTGAAGTTGCTTATCAGCTTAAGGAGATTTTGGGCTGAGATGATGGGGTTTTCTAAATATAAAATCAGGTCATCTGCAAACAAGGACAATTTGATTTCCTCTTTTCCTAATTGAATACGCTTTATCTCTCTCTCTTGCCTGATTGCCCTAGCCAGAACTTCTAATACTGTGTTGAATCGGAGTGGTGGGAGAGGGCATTCCTATCTTGTGCCAGTTTTCAAAGGGAATGCTTCCAGTTTTTGCCCATTCAGTATGATATTGGCTGTTGGTTTGTCATAAATAGAGGAACTCTAGATTTTCAAACTTACTTTAAAATATTTTCGGTTATAAATAATAAGTATTTGAGTTCAATTTCATTAGAAGTCTTAATACAAAATCAGGGTTGTATTAGCATATTCACACATAACATAATTAACATAGAATTATAGACCTATATCTTTATATTTCTGTAACTGTTAATTATTAACACACGTCACACGGTATGATTGGATCACTTCATGGTGTGAAGTGGTAATGTCTTTTTTTTAGGTCCTTGTACCTGTAAATCATAGCAGGTAACACATCTTTAAATTGAGGTGATGGGACTGACACACACATTCACAAACACTTGGTTTCAGTATTCACACTGTGTTCTATAGAGTGCTATAATATTCGTCAATTAATATTACTGGGACTGAAAAGCTTTAAACATTCTTTGTTTCCTCAAAGCTGCTTGTAAAATTTTTAGAGTCACAGGCAAGAGTTAATTTTTTTTTTTTTTTGAGACGGAGTCTCGCTCTGTCGCCCAGGCTGGAGTGCAGTGGCATGATCTCGGCTCACTGCAAGCTCTGCCTCCCGGCTTCACGCCATTCTCCTGCCTCAGCCTCCTGAGTAGCTGGGACTACAGGCACCCGCCACCACGCCAGGCTAATTTTTTTGTATTTTTGGTGGAGACGGGGTTTCACCGTGTTAGCCAGGATGGTCTTGATCTCCTGACCTCGTGATCCTCCCGCCTCAGCTTCCCAAAGTGCTGGGATTACAGGCGTGAGCCGCTGCACCTGGCAAGAGTTAATTTTTTAGAGATTTTATCTATCCATGGATTTTAAAATTCCTTTCAGATAGGCTCAAGTAACCTAGTAGATGGAGAAGAGACAGCTCTTTTTGGAACCCTTTTGAATTCTACACTTTCCCTCAAGTTCAGAGAGTCCAGTGTCACCTTGGGATCAAATGTCTTTCTGTAACTCTTTCTTTTCTTTTTTTAATTTTTATTTATTTATTTATTTTTATTTCTTGAGATGGAGTCTCGCTCTGTCACCAGACTTGATTGCAGTGGCGTAATCTCTGCTCACTACAACCTCCACCTCCCAGGTTCAAGTGATTCTCCTCCCTCAGCCTCCCGAGTAGCTGGGATTACAGGTGTGTGCCACCACACCTGGCTAATTTTTGTATTTTTAGTAGAGACGGGGCTTCACCGTGTTAGCCAGGATGGTCTCAATCTCCTGACCTCGTCATCTGCCCGCCTCGGCCTCCCAAAGTGCTGGGATTACAGGCATAAGCCACTGCGTCCGGCCTCTGTAGCTCTTTCTAATAGTCTGGTCTGATTCTTGAGCAATGTGATCAGTGTGTAGCTTAAACTCAGAAAGAGATGAAAAAATTATGATTAATTTGCATATCCTCATAAGATGTATTTATTCTATTAAAAATATTTTATGTTCTGGAGTTTCAGGATATTTGTCTATGTGTTGAACATTATTCATTTGCACTGGCATTCCATGACCTATTGGTAAAAATGCAGTGGCTGGGCTGTACCCACAGATCCATGAGTATCAGAATTTCTGGGATTGGAAATTAGTGATTCTTTCATACTCCAAAGTTTGATAATTGCTAACAGAAAAATGAGAGGTGTTTAATTTTTACACAATGGGTTTTTTTAAATAGTAAGTGTAGCTATAGTTTGAAGCTGCAGAGTTTGTTAGTCAAATTTTCTTGGATCTAGTCTCCTGGCCCAACTGATATTTTTCAGTGACAGTAGTGCTTTTTGGTCTCCCTAGTCCAGGGATTATGGAGCAGTCTAAGGATCACTCCCAAAATGGGTCCTTCAATAAGTGAATCTTATTGTATGATACAGATCTGATATCTGATTTTTGGGCTGGATTATTTAATTAAGATTAGAGTCAGGTTTGTCTTTTCCTGACAAAAGAGATACAATATGCTGACTAATTATATTTGCAAAGAAAATAGAGGCCAAAATATACAATGAATTAAGGAGAATATTGAATATTCTGCATGTCAAAGTTAGGAACTAAAACCACTTTTGACAGATGACTGACATAGAGATGCGTTATAATTAGGATTTCTTTTTAAGAACATACCAAACCATATTAAACATTACTGGGAAGATAATTTATAGTTGGTTAGATAATGAATAGAATTAACTAAGTGTATTCTAATGAGAAAAAAATACCCCTTTCTAAAAGTAAATTATTATTTTCTTATTTATAAAATCAAGATTCAATTAATGATGAAATTCTCGTTCTCAAATAATAGAATGGCAAGTCTCCATTAGATAACTCTAATGAAAAATAATCAATATATTGACTTGATAATTAGACATTACCTATAATTATGTGGAAAAGGTCTTTAAAAATAAATGGACATCTCTTTGATAAAATAAATTGCTAAACATAGGTGTCACTTTGAGACATTTATGCCATTAATATAGAATTACAATGGAATTTTATTTTAATGCTGTGGTAATTAATGCTAAGTTATGATGATAAAAGTACAAATGACAATGAATAGCAAATGAGGTAATACAATAAATAGCAAATGAATTGGTCCTGACAGAGAACTTACCAGATTGATAAAGTTATAATATTTTTGGTTACTTTGAAGTATTCCTCAAATTTGAAAATTTTATAGTAGTCTACAGAGTTGGAGGTAGATGCGCCATACAATTCTTGTTTCTTTTGAAGGGCCTATATTTTGTAGTGTATCTCTAAAACACATTCTAAGTCCAACCAAAATCCATCAGAATCAGACTATTTTATTTATTTTTTTATTTTGGTGACTCACAGATTCTTTGCCTCTACTGAGTTTACCTCCTCAATTATCAGTCTTTCAGAGTGTACAGAATAAGTAGAAGTTATCGTTGATCTGCTCACAGGACCAAAAAGAACATTATGCCATATCCATTTTCCTAGTCAGCTCTATATTTTGCCTCCTTGATTTTAAAACTATTGTAGTCTTTATATTTCTACCCATACACAGATTATATTATTTTCTTCTTGCTTTGTTTACCTATCTAAATTCACATTGTTTGTGCAATTTCTTCATTATTTTATTTGAAAAGCATTTTCTTCAAAGATCCTATTTGTTGAAATTGTATTTTTCTTTTTAGAATGCCAGCTTATTTTATTAATTTATTTTTCCGTGTAGCATTCATTAATTTAGTAGGTACCCTACACATACCAGGTCTAAGAACTAGACATTCCAAGTTGTCTAGACTCATAGTTCCTTAAACAATGTTTGTTGGATTCTTCTCTCCACTCAGATACAACCTAAGATAGATATTAATCTTTTGCCTTGGACTAAAAAATGTAGCATTCAATCTAACACATAAGTAACATTTTTATGGAAATGGAAGTCCTGTTGGTTGCCCCTTTTTTTTCTGTAGAACATGTGCACATTTGCCTCGTATGACATTTGCAGATAGCTGTGACACATTCCCTCTCATTCAGCAATGTATGTGATTGAATCACTGAAAATTCCTCAGGCTCTAATCAAGTATCCACTGCATACTCTGATGATGCCCTTGAGATAGTCCTCTGTTTTAGACACCATCCCCCCACCATTTTCCAGAGGCTAAACCACCTGAGAGGTACTGGCACCTGTTCGTTCCTCTATTACACAAGGAAGGACCTAGCAAGGACAAAGTTGAGGTATAAGTGACTGGTTTGAAGTGGGAAGGTCCAATGAAGAGCCGGTGAAAAGATGAGGAGGAATAGTACCTCTTCTCTTACTTATGATCAAAGTTCATAAAGCCACCAGGTAGACAATAGAAATAGCATCTTGGATACTGACATATGTTGGGATAATTGAAACCAATTGACAAACCAAGGAGGTGGGCGGGGACTGAGATCTAACTTGTAACTTTAAAAGAACTGGAGGGTGGAAAAAACAGGAAAGCCAAATGTGGGAATGACAGGACAGAAAAATGAGAAACACAATTGTAATTCTGATGCCAACATCTAGAGTTTCTTCTCATATATCCATTTCTGGGGCACTGCTAGAGTTAGCCAGGCTTACTGAAAGACTAATGTCCTAAGGACCATGACCATTTGACACGTTTTATTGTGATCCCAGATACAATTTTAAACATTTCATGCTCTACTGTAAATTATTGATTAATAAAATTTGGTTACATTCTCTCCCTTTCCAATCTATCTCTCGACTGCAAGGTATTGAAGCATGCAATTAGCAAGAAAAGTTCTAGCCAATAAAGGCATACATTGATTCAGTATGTTTCAAAATGGTGATTTCCATGCTCTTTCCATATTGCAAAGCATTTTTTATAGTTACATGAGTGGGAAGTACAAAATTGCAAAAAAGCCCCAAATTGGTAAGACATTTCCACTTTTATTATCTGCATTTTCATTAAAAAACATTAAATGCTTGCTCCTTTTTGAATAATTCATATTCGTTTTGTATTATTAAACTTTTGCTACTCAGATTGATCTTCATTCACAAAAGCAAATTTATATAATGGCTTGGTTGGTGATATAGCATAATTTCAAAGCCACTTTTCATAAGACTTTAAAAAGAGTTAACCAAGTTCCCTTTCAAAATATAGTTCTCCATGTATAGACTATGTTGATGTTAAATGAAGATGATAGGGCAGTTTTTAATGTAATATCGTAGTGCTAGACAAAACAATGTTTTATGTAATTAGTGTTATATATTAATAACTGCTGCTCATGATGTATCTTTTTATTATTAGTGTCATTGCAAGAGCAGTTTAGACAAGGCTACAAATCTACAAGATGACATCAGTTAATACAGTGAAGACAGCTGGAAATGCAGAGCATTCATACAGGAGGCAATGTATTGTAATGGAGATTTCCGTTTCATTTCTCAGCAGAGAGCAGCCACTGTCTTTTGTGTTTGGATAGACATATGGATATAAGAAAAATTATAGAATAGGATAGAAGACATAGTAATCTAATGAGTGTTCTGACTGAATGTTCTAACCTATGAAATTATCAGTCCAAAACTACATGTTCAGAACTTACGTGCAACATTATCTTGCGTTATATTAGTAAGTACATTAAAGGAAATAGTGGGAAGAATAAAATTAAGAGAAGAAAAAAGGTTTTTTTTTCTTTTTACTTGAAGAGCTTCTTTTCAGGAATGGTATGAGTTTTTCCCCAAGCCACCTTAATTTTAAAGTGGCTATAAGAACCCAGAGAGTGGTACTAAAAGTAACTAAAAGTCTCTTAAGAGGTACTTGCTTTTCAAAGCTATTGCTGAGATTCATGTAAATTAAATGTGTGCAAAGAAAAATGTGTAGAGAATTATTTTAACACTCTTGACTGCTTCCTCCAATTTGAATTTGTTGGATTTCTTTTTACTCTCCCAAAGTCCACTTAAAGAAAGAAATGTTCAATATTAAATTAAGAAACATTAAGAGAAATACATATTTCACTGAATGTGTTCTTCACTTCATTAAGAAAGCATAACGTCCTATGCAGCAGTAAATATTCTTTCAGCTTTTTGATAGTACAGCTCATGTAAACTAGAATCTTCTTATTCTTTAGGGGTTTAGAGGAGGGTGTCATACCGTAGGTTTCTGGGTAATATAACTAGAGAATGTTAATTACTCAAGGGTATTTGCATTCTTTGGCGTACTTATGAATATGTAATTGTGCCGTATTACACTAACAAATTTGTTATTGATAGAAGAACTGTCCAACTAGCTGGACAACAGGAAATATTATAAAAATACATAAGTGCAAAATTAGTGGGTGAAAATAATATAAAGTCAATATCATTTAATAAATATTTGTTACACCTTTGACTATCAGCTCAAACCACAGATAAATTGGATTTTTCTGATGCTATAAGGTAACCATACACTTACTGACAACAAAGGGAGAAAGAGTGTCTCTATACTTGAATATCAGGTTTGGAAGCCAATACTGCTCCATCAAGTCTAAGGATTAACCTACAAATATCACACATTGTATAGCTCTCCTTTGCACATTTACTTTCAGGCTTAGCCATTCTTTTAGTTATGCATTCATTAATTCACTCAGCAGATATTTTTTGAGTTTCATAAATCAGGCATAGGGTAAGCCACTGGAGATGTCAGACAGGTTCCTTTCCCAATAGAACTTCCATTCCAGTGGTACAAGACGGTCAAAACCAAAGTAGATAAATAAACAAGATAATTTTAGAAAGCCACAGTCCTAAAGTAAAAACAAAAGCTATACAAAAGAAAATGCTTAATTTAGGGGAAGGGATACAATAGAGCTTCTTTAGATAAGATAGTAAGGAAAGGCACTAAAAAGTTTATGGGTACATAGTAGTTGTCTATATTTATGGGATACACGAGATATTTTGATACAGACAAACAATGCATAATAATCATATCAGGGTAAATGGAGTATCTATCACCTCAAACATTTATAATTTGTGTTACAAACATTCAAATTATACTTCTGTAGTTATTATAAAATATACAATAAATTATTGTTGACTGTAATCACCCTGTTGTGCTGTCAAATACTAGATCTGATTCATTCCATCTAATTACACTTTTGTACCCATTAACCATCCCTACTTCCTTCCCACTCCCAAATACCCTTCCCAGCCTCTAGTAACCATCCTTCTACTCTCTATCTCCATGAGTTCAATTGTTTTAATTTTCAGCTACCACAAATTAGTGGGAATATGCTAAGTTTTTCTTTCTGTGCCTGGCTTATTTCACTTAATTTAATGTCCTCCAATTCCATCTATGTTGTTGCAAATGAGAGGATCTCATTCTTTTTTATGGTTGAATAGTAATCCATTGTGTATATGTACCCCATTTTCTTTATCTATTCATCTGTTGATGGACACCCAGGTTTAGGAAAGCATTTCTTAAGAGGTGGAATTTGAGCCGAGAAATGAATGATAAGTGGAAGCTGACCATGAGAAAGCCAAAGGAAAGGAAGGATATTTGTGGCAAAGGTAACTGTGGGTGCAAAGTCATTAGACAGCAATAAGTTGGGTCTATTCAAGGAAGTAAAATGTCAGAACCAAGAGTACAGAGTGGAGAGAAGTATAAAAATGGGGAGGGAGAGGGAAGCAGAGAAGACATCATCTGCAGCCTTGCAGACTTGTAGGTAAAAGTTTGGATTCTATTTTAAGGCAGTGGGAAGCTTTTATATAGCTTTTAGCTGGAGAGTGAGGTAATCTGAATTATGACTGTTTTTATTTCTTTAATGAATTACGGAGCTGGGTCATGAGCCTAGAGTTGGGGAGGAATGTTAATGGTTTGAGAAGAGAGAAAAGGATACCAAACGGCTGTTTTGAACTGTGGAGAGTGAACATACTCAGGCAATACTGACATCTAGTTGAGATTTCTAGTTGAGGATCGAATTACTGTCATTTCATGTAACATGATTCAGATTGTAAAGAATAATGTTCTCTATCACTCCGCAGACTCTTATATTCTGTATCAATCACTTGTACTACTTCACATTAAAATCTTTTAATGTAGTCACCTATTTTCTCAAAATTTTACAAGTTCCTTGAAGACCCTTATATGATGTACTTCATCATACATCTTGCTGCCCCTAAAATTCCGTTGAAACAGCAGGCACTCAGTAATTACCTTAAAGAATGACTTATTGTCCCATTGACCTAGGCTGTATGTAACATGTTTCAGGTACAAAATAAACAAGATCAGGGCCAAAATCTAAATTTGGAGTCACCTGGATTTTTCCCCCAAAAGAAATTGATAAATATGCATGCACAGATCGGGGTCCTGGTCTTCAACTGAATACTTGTCATTACATTTTCAAATGAAACCCTAGCAAATCCATTTCATGAGATGTTCCTGCTTTGAAAAACCTCAGCTTAATAACATGTTTTGTGTTCAAACCATAAGTTTTCAAACCCCAGCTGTATTGTAAAAATAGACACTTACCTTACCCCTTTCTGATGTTTAACCTGAACAAATTGCTGGACAGAGGATATGGTAATAACATTAGCTCAAAGAGCATGCATGGCAGTGCCAATTCTTTAATTCTTATTTTAACTTCAACACCTTCCCCTGCCTCCAGCATTTCACTTAGAAATGGAGAAAATGAGAGGGTCAGGTTGTCGTTGTGTTTGAGAGTAATCATGGTTTCCTTCCATTGTCAGTCTCTATTAACACAGTGTTGTTCTTTCAAAGAGTACATCAACCCATTTTCCTGGACAGTATTTTCTTGAAACTTTTTAAAAATTTAATTTAAGTTTCAGAATACATGCACAGAAGGTGAATATTTGTTACATAGGTAAATGTGTGCCATGGTGGTTTGCTGCACCTGTCAACTAATCACCTAGGTATTAAGCCCCTCATGCATTAGCTATTTATCCTGATGCTCTCCCTTCCCCCTTGCACCCTACAACAGGCATCAGTGTGTGTTGTTCCCCTCCCTGTGTCCATGTGTTCTCCTTGTTAAGCTCCCACTTATAAGTGAGAATATGTGGTGTTTGGTTTTCTGTTCCTGCATTAATTTGCTGAGGATAATGGCTTCCAGTTCTATCCATGTCCCTGCAAAGGACACGATCTCATTCCACTTTATGGTTGCAGGGTATTCCATGGTGTATATATACCATATTTCCTTCTTTCCTTCCTTCCTTCCTTCCTTCCTTCTTTCCTTCCTTCCTATTTTTTTTTTTTTTTTTGAGACAAAGTCTTGCTCTGTAACCCAGGCTCAAGTGTAGTGGCATGATCTCAGCTCACTGCCACTTCTGCCTCCCAAGTTCAAGCGATTCTCTTGCCTCAGCTTCCTGAGTAGCTGGGATTACTAATGGGTACGCACCACCATGCCTGGCTAATTTTTGTATTTTCAGTAGAGACAGGGTTTCACCATGTTGGCCAGTCTGGTCTTAAACTCCTGACCTCAGGTGATCCACCCACCTTGGCCTCCCAAAGTGCTGGGATTACAGGCATAAGCCACCACCCCCAGCCCCACATCTTCTTTATCCAGCGTATCATTGATGGGCATTTAGGTTGATTCCATGCCTTTGCTATTGTGAATAGCACTGCAATGAACAATTGCATGCATGTTTCTTTATAATAGAATGATTTGTATTTATTTGGTTATGTACCAGTAATGGGATTGCTGGGTCAAATGGTATTTCTGCCTCTGTGTCTTTGAGGAATTGCCACACAGTCTTCCACAGTGGTAGAACTAATTTACACTCCCACCAACTGTGTAAAAGCATTTCGGGGCCAGGTAGAGTGGCTCACACCTGTAATCCCAGCACTTTGGGAGGCAGAGGCGGGCGGATTACGAGGTCAGGAGATCAAGACCATCCTGGCTAACACGGTGAAACCCCATCTCTACTAAAAATACAAAACATTAGCCGGGTGAGGTGGTGGGCACCTGTAGTCCCAGCTACTCAGGAGGTTGAGGCAGGAGAATGGCGTGAACCCGGGAGGCAGAGCTTGCAGTCAGCTGAGATCACGCCACTGCACTCCAGCCTGGGCGACAGAGCGAGACTCCGCCTCAAAAAAAAAAGCATTTCTACTTCTCCACAGCCTCACCAGCATCTGTTGTTCCTTGACTTTTTAGTAATTGCCATTTTGACTGGCATGAGGTTGGCGTGAGATGATATCTTGTTGTGGTTTTGATTTGCATTTCTCTAATGATCAGTGATGTTGAGCTTTTTTTTCATGTTTGTTGGCAGCATAAATGACTTCTCTTTGAGAATTGTCTGTTCATGTCCTCTGCCTACCTTTTAATGGGGTTGTTTTGTTCTTGTAAGTTTGTTTAAGTTCCATGTAGATTCTAGATATTAGACCTTTGTCAGATGGATAGATTACAAAAGTCTTCTTCCATTCTGTAGGATGTCTGTTCATTTTGATGATAGTTTCTTTTGCTATGCAGAAGCTCTTTATTTAATTAGATCCCATTTGTCAATTTTTGCTTTTGGTGTTTTCATCGTGAAAATTTTCCCTGTGCCTATGCCCTGAATGGTATTACCTTGATTTTCTTCTAGGGTTTTTATAGTTTTGGATTTTACATTTAAGTATTTAATCCAGCTTGAGTTAATTTTTGTATATGGTGTAAAGTAGGAGTTCAGTTTCAATTTTCTGCATATGGCTAGCCAGGTTTCCCAGCACCATTTATTAAATAGGGAGTCCTTTCTCCATTGCTTGTTCTTGTCACGTTTGTCAAAGATCAGATGGCTGTAGATATGTGGTCTTATTTCTGAGATCTCTATTCTGTTCCATTTGTTTATATATCTGTTTTTCTACCAGTACCATGTTGTTTTGGTTACAGTAGACTTGTAGTATAGTTTGAAGTTGGGTAGCGTGATGCCTTCAGCTTTGTTCTTATTGCTTAGGTTTGTCTTAGCTGTACAGACTCTTTTTTTGGTTCCATGTGAATTTTAAAGTAGTTTTTTTTCTAATTATGTGATGTGTCAATAGTAGTTTAATGGAAATAGCATTGAATCTATAAATTACTTTGGGCAGTATGGCCATTTTTACAATATTTATTCTTCCTATCCATGAGCATGGAATGTTTTTCCATTTGTTTGTGTCCTCTCTGATTTCCTTGAACAGTGGTTTGTAGTTCTCCTTGAAGAGGTCCTTCACTTCCCTTGTTAGCTGTATTCCTCTTTGGAAATTAAATGATCCTATATCTAGAAAACCCCATTGTCTCAGCCCAAAAGCTTCTTAAGCTGATAAGTAACTTCAGTAAAGTCTTGGGATAGAAATTCAATGTGTAAAAATCACAAGCATTGCTATTCATCAATAGACAAGCAGAGAGCCAAATCATGAATGAACTCCCATTTACAGTTGCTACAAAGAGAGTGTTTTCTTGAAACTTGATATGATATCAGAGCATCATTGAAAACTTATGGCAGAAAGGAAAGGACCCCTGTTAAGTCACCTATGTTCATCAGCCCCTGTCCAGTGTTGAAGGATTCTGGTATAAAGAAAATAGACTCAATTACTCTGGAAAACTGCAAATTGAAAATTGTAAGTACTTTTTTCTTCCACATATCAAAAATCTTGCTACTCTGCAGTTGATCTTACTTCTAAAATGTTTTCTACTATATAGGCTACTATTCTCTCATCAATGAAGTCCAATGTTTCTGATTATATCATTGCCAGATAATATAATTAATTTCCCTTCACCTAAGAATCATTATTTTATATATTTTATGCTAATATTACACCCATGCCTCTTCTTCTTCAAATTATTTAGGCTACATGTTCAGTTGCCCTGCATTCTTACATTCTATTTTCTTTCTCTCTGTTTGTCATCTTCTTTGTTTACTGATCAGGTTGTACAGCTGCACCTATTAGCATTCTAGGTCCAATTATGACTTTAATTTCAAAACACTCTGTTGCTTTAGCAGGAAAAAAATCACACTGGCTTCTGACATCATATTAGTACTTGTGTGGCATTCTTCTTCCAAACAATCTCATGTTTTCCATCTTTGTGAATCCCAAACACATTCTTGCTATAGCTCATCTGACTATATCATCAATCGATAATGAGAGGAACAAGAAGGCAAAGTAACTTGATGGAAGATGTGAAAATAGCCCCACAACTCACTTACGGAGTCATAGTAGTCAAGGGTGGGCTCTGGAAGAGGACCGACCTGACTCTGACCTCTGGTTCTGCTACTTACGTTTTTTGCAACCTTGGCCAGTGACTAAATTTTTAGCATCTCTGTTTTCTCTTTTATAAAATGTCTGCCCACTGACTAGACCATAATAATACAGAGCTCCTTCTAAAAACATGTAATATTGTGCAAGCATCTGGTAACTGTTTACCTGCTAGGTTCACATTTCTCCTTTGCCTTCTTCCTTATGCTCCATGATACGTAAGGTGGGGGGAGTGGGGAGGGACAGCATTAGGAGATATACCTAATGTTAAATGATGAGTTAATGGGTGCAGCACACCAATATGGCACATGTATACATATATAACTAACCTGCACGTTGTGCACATGTACCCTAAAACTTAAAGTATAATAATAAAAAAAAGATTTTTAAGATGCTGGTATAGTGCTCTTTAGTGCTTCTATGAGTTAGTTCATCCAGTTCTTCTGTCTGGTTTCTCTTTCTAATTTTCTTTATCTATCTCTTATTTCTTCTTTAGTACTCAATGATTAAAGAATCCTTCCTTCTCTGATGCCTTCCTAGATGGGCTAATTGTCCATTCTTTCATGTTCGCATTGCATGGAAGGCATCTTTTCCTAATTGCACTTAGCAGATTGTGTTAGTATGCCATCATTATATAGCTGTCTCTCTCCTTGGAATGCAAACTCCTGATGATCATGCAGCAAATTATATTCATCTTTATATATCTAGTGCCAAGCTTAGAGTGATCTCTATGACTTTTGCTGACATTAGGGAAATTAGTAGAAATCCACCTCCTATTAAGTGACAAACAGATTAATATTAAGTTATTCAGAGATATCCTAAGTGTTTCTACCTTTTAGAGTGAAGAATAACTCTGCATCACCATCCTCTTGAATGGGAAATCTCTGTGTCCCTAGAATTGGATATTGTGAAGGAGCTAGTGGAAAAATTATTAGAGGATATGGGCAACTGCTCTTTTTTCCTGGAATGTGCGATCTACTTTGATCACGCTTTTAACTGTATTTAAAACCTACATATTCTGTCTTATTATTTTCCAGCTCTGATTAGCTTCTCCCTGGCTTTTGCTCCCCAAGTATCTATTTTGTTCATGCTTCTATTTAGGCCTTTACCACACTGCATTGTAATGATCTGGGGATATCTATCTTCTCTTCTGGAGTGTGTGTTTCCTAAGAGCAGGAGGGGGCATGTCTTACTTATTTACAGTTTGCAGCTGTTACTAGGCCTGGCACATCATAAGCACTCAGTAAATATTGAATAAATGATTCAAATCAGCCAAGTGCTGTGTTTGGATTAGGTAACTCAATATAACCTGCTGGTCAGGAGGAATAAGAGTGTATCAAGATGCATTTCAAAGAGCAAATAAAGACAAGGTCTTCACTGTGCTGAGTGTGTTTTCAGTGCCTTCTTAAATGTCAAAGTGTGAGTCAAGTTCACAATGTTCTTGAGATTTAAAGGAATAAACATGTTCTGTCCATGTCTTACATATCCCAGGACTCTTATTTTTCCTAATTTGGATGTATTTTTTTGTACAGTAAATAGACTCCATTGATCTGTGTATAAGACAATCTTCTGTATATACTGGACCCTCCAGCTGCTAGTGGTGCATGCTTGGAGGTTCTTCCTGTTCTCGCTTGCATTTTTTTTAAAGTAGAATTCACCTGAAGCCAGTTTTCACACTACAGAGCTAATTGCTATGCAAAAGTGAATGATGTCTCACATTAAATATTCCTTAGAGCATAAAGCTGACATTGAATATATAATTTTAAGCAGCTCAAGCAATATTCACTAAAGGGTTGACACAAGAGCAAGTATCACAGGAAAATGTAGGTGAGAAGGGAAATGATAAGTATGTTAAGGCTTTTCCTATCACCTCAGTACAGTCATACCTTCATTTATCTTGCTTTTTATATGAGGTTTAATTTTTATTTTAAAGAACTGGGTCAGATCCCTTAGGTAAAGCTAAATTTTTGCACAGAAATTAGGTATATTTGGAGATTCATTAACTCTTCAAGGCTCCCAGGAAAACAATGTTGCAAAAAGGGCAACAATGCAGTCTACTAAATGGCATCTTTATTGTCTGAAAGCAAAATGATAGTTCTTAATTATAAAGGTTTATAATTCAAAGTACTATCTTGTGCTAAAGGCAAAGTTTACATTAATTATTAATCAGACATATTAATGAGGGGACATATTTCTCAGTGGACTCTCAGACTTGTGGAATTCATGAGTGAGCAATTTTTAGCTTGTAGGACCAAGGAAATTCCATGTTTGATAGCATAAAAGTGTTAGATATCCCACATCCAGGGCAATTTTGAACTTAGTTCAGGCAAATGCATCATTTATTTAAAAAAATGATTTGAGACTGTTGACCTTTTGTTAAGCATATTCATTGAAGAGTTTTTAGCATTTGGCTAATTTCACATGCGGTGAGTTATGTAAATGCAGAGTAGAATGCAAAGGCAACCATGAATA
Source organism: Homo sapiens (assembly GCF_000001405.40). Classification (NCBI taxonomy): domain Eukaryota; kingdom Metazoa; phylum Chordata; class Mammalia; order Primates; family Hominidae; genus Homo; species Homo sapiens. The sequence continues at coordinate 28,954,097 of NC_000014.9, forward strand.
CTATTAAATTCATACATAGCACAATATATACATATAGATTGTCCTTTGTATTTGAAGGTGATGCTGCTGTTGTTGTCTCTGCTATTTTCTGTGTGTTCAGATCTGGCTGTTTGATTGGCAATTCCTACTGTGTACAGTCTGCATATGTGTCGAATAACAACTGCAGCCATTGCCTGGAGGGCTTGATTGCTAGATTGTTCAATATTTATTAAGCACCCAAGAAGTGCTAGGTGCTGCACTGAACAGTACAAGTGAAAGACTGCTGCTGCTCTCTAAATATTCTATTCCAAGGTGACTAGTGGAAAGCATATGCTTTTCATCTTTTATGTGAGTTGACTTAAACTGTGGAATTAGAAAACAGAACACCAGTTACCAGTTGTTGTTCTTCAGTAATATGTAAGGTAGGTGGCTACTTTCTGGAAGTGTTCACATTACAAGGCCATATTTGAATAACCCCATTACAACGGCCTAATAAATGTGAAGGTCAGAAAAGGATGATGTGAAAATGTGATATTATTAAGGGAGAATGAAATGAGAAAACAACTCAGGGTTAGGAGAATTTTAGTTTTTACCTAAGGATAGAGAAAAGAATCTAGTAATCATCTCAAAGTTTCATCATAGTAAGACTTTTAGGTCAAATTGAGCAACTACATCTTTGACCATCATTCAAATTGAAATCGGATACACTTTCTTCATACTTTAATCATAATACTTATAATGATAATGGCATTGTAAAACAATGAAAATCAGTAAACTCATATGAAAATAACTGTTTTTAAGGTTTGGCTATACCCTGTTGTATTTCTTAATGTCTTTGACACCAAGCACAGAGTTTCCTTTTAGTAACAATAGGTTTTAAAAATAATTGGAGTGATATACAGATGTGGACCAAGATGGCCAAACAGGAAAAGCTCCAGTCTGCAGCTCCCAGCAAGATCAACTCAGAAGGCAGGTGATTTCTGCATTTCCAACTGAGGTACCCAGCTCATCTCACTGGGACTGGTTAGACAGTGGGTGCAGCCCATGGAGGGTGAGCCAAAGCAGGGTAGGGCATCACCTCCCCCAGGAAGTGCAAGGGGCTGAGGAACTCCCTCCCCTAGCCAAGGGAAGCCATGAGTGACTGTGCCGTGAGGAATGGCACATTCCAGCCCAGATACTACGCTTTTCCCATGGTCTTTGCAATCCACAGACAAGGAGATTCCCTCGGGTGCCTATAGCACCAGGGCCCTGGATTTCAAGCACAAAACTAGATGGCCATTTGGGCAGACACCGAGCTAGCTGCAGGAGTTTTTTTTTTCATACCCCAGTGGCACCTGGAATGCCAGTGAGACAGAATCGTTCACTGCCCTGGAAAGGGGGCTGAAGCCAGGGAGCCAAGTGGTCTAGCTCAGTGGATCCCACCCCTACAGAGCCCAGAAAACTAAGACCAACTGGCTTGAAATTCTTGCTGCCAGCACAGCAGTCTGAAGTAAACCTAGAACTCTTGAGCTTGGTAGGGGGAGGGGCATCTGCCATTACTGAGGCTTGACCAGGCAATTTTCCCCTTACAGTGTAAACAAAGCTGCAGGGAAGTTTGAACTCGGTGGAGCCCACCACATCTCCACAAAGCTGCTATAGGCAGACTGCCTCTCTAGATTCCTCCTCTCTGGGCAGCCATCTCTGAAAGAAAGGGAGCAGCACCAGTCAGGTGTCTCCCTGGGACAGAGCAGCTAGGGGAAGTGGTGGCTGTGGGAGCAGCTTCAGGAGACTTCAGGAGAATGCCACAAAGATACTCCTCGAAAAGAACAACCCCAAGACACGTAATCATCAGATTCACCAAGGTTGAAATGAAGGCAAAAATGTTAAGGGCAGCCAGAGAGAAAGGCCGGGTTACCCAGAAGGGGAAGCCCATCAGACTAACAGTGGATCTCTGCAGAAACCCTATGAGCCATTAGAGAGTAAGGGCCAATATTCAACATTCTTAAAGAAAAGAATTTTCAACCCAGAATTTCATATCCAGCCAAACTAAGCTTCATAAGCAAAGGAGAAATAAAATCCCTATAAACAAGCAAATGCTGAGAGATTTTTGTCACCACCAGGCCTGCCTTACAAGAGCTCCTGGAGGAAGCACTAAATATGAAAAGGAAAAACCGGTACCAGCCACTGCAAAAATGTACCAAATTGTAAAGACCATAGACACTATGAAAAACTGCATCATCTAACAGGCAAAATAACCAGCTAGCACCATTAATGATAGGATCAAATTCACACGTAACAATATTAATCTTAAATGTAAATGGGCTACATGCCCCAATTAAAGGACACAGACTGGCAAATTGGATAAACAATCAAGACCTATTGGTGTGCTGTATTCAGGAGACCCATCTTATGTGCAAACACACATAGGCTCAAAATAAACGGATGGAGGGATATTTACCAAGAAATGGGAAGAAAAAAAAAGCAGGGGTTGCAATCCAAGTCTCTGATAAAACAGACTTTAAACCAGCAAAGGTCAAGAAAGACAAGGATATTACATAGTGGTAAAAAGTACTTAGAGACATACAAAGAGACTTAAACTCCCACACAATAATAGTGGGAGACTTTAACACCCCACTGTCAATATTAGACAGAAATTTAACAAGGACAGAAAATTAACAAGGATATTCAGGACTTGAACTCAGCTAAGGACCAAGCGGACGTAAGAGACATCTACAGGACTCTCCACCACAAATCAACAGAAAATACATTCTTCTCAGCACCATATCACACTTATTTTAAAATTGACCATATAATTGGAAGCAAAACACTCCTCAGCAAATGCAAAAGAACAGAAATCATAACCAACAGTCTCTCAGACCACAGTGCAATCAAATTAGAATTCAGGATTAAGAAACTCACTCAAAATCGCACAACTACATGGAAACTGAACAACCTGCTCCTGAATGACTACTGGATAAATAATGTAATTAAGGCAGAAATAAATAAGTTCTTTGAAACTGTTGAGAACAAAAACACAATGTACCAGAATCTCTGGGACACAGCTAAAGCAGTGTTTAGAGGGAAATTTATAGCACTAACTGCCCACAGGAGAAAGCAGGAAAGATCTAAAATTGACACCCTAACATCACAATTAAAATAACTAGAGAAACAAGAGCAAACAAATTCAAAAGCTAGCAGAAGACAAGAAATAACTAAGATCAGAGTAGAACTGAAGGAGATAGAGACACGAAAACCCCTTCAAAAAATCAATGAATCCAGGAGCTGATGTTTTGAAAAGATTAACAAAATAGACAGCTAGCCAGACTAATAAGAAAAGAGAGAAGAATCAAATAGACACAATAAAAAATGGTAAAGGAGAGAACACTGCTGATCCCAAAGAAATACAAACTACCATCAGAAAATACTGTAAACACCTCTACACAAATAAACTAGCAAATATAGAAGAAATGGATAAATTCTCAGAAACTTATGCCCTCCCAGGATTAACCAGGAAGAAGTCAAATCCCTGAATAGGCTAATAACAAGTTCTGAAATTGAGGCAGTAATTAACAGCCCACCAAAGAAAAAAAGCCCAGGACCAGATGGATTCACAGCCAAATTCTACCAGAGGTACAAAGAGGAGCTGGTACCATTCCTTCTGAAACTATTCCAAACAATAGAAAAAGAGGAAATCCTCCCTAACTTATTTTATGAGGCCAGGATCATCCTGATACCAAAACCTGGCAGAGACACAACAAAAAAAGAAAATTTTAGGCCAATATCCCAGGGGAACATTGATGTGATCATCTTCAATAAGATAATGGAAAAACAAATCTAGCAGCCTATCAAAAAGCCTATCCAACACAATCAAGTTGGCTTCATCCCTGGGATGCAAGGCTGGTTCAACATATGCAAATCAATAAACGTAATTCATCACATAAACAGAACCAATGACAAAAACCACATGATCATCTCAAGAGATGCAAAAGGGTCTTCAATAAAAGTCAACACCCCTTCATGATGAAAACTCTCAGTAAACTAGGTATTGATGGAATGTATCTTAAAATAATAAGAGCTATTTATGACAAACTCACAGACAATATCATACTGAATGGGCAAAAGCTGGAAGCTTTTTCTTTGAAAACCAGCATAAGACAAGGATGCCCTCTCTCACCACTCCTATTCAATATAGTATTGGACGATCTGGCCAGGTAGTCAGGCAAGAGAAAGAAATAAAGCGTTTTCAAATAGGAAGAGAGGAAGTCAAATAGTCCCTGTTCACAGATGACATGATTGTATATTTAGAAAACCTTGTTGTCTCAGTGCAAAATCTCCTTAAGCTGATAAGCAACTTCAGCAAAGTCTCAGGATACAAAATCAATGTGCAAAAATCACAAGCACTCCTACACCAATAATAGACAATCAGAGAGCCAAATCATGAGTGAACTCCCATTCACAATTGCTACAAAGATTATAAAATACCTAGAAATACAACTTACAAGGGATGTGAAGGACCTTTTCAAGGAGAACTACAAACCACTGCTCAAGGCAATAAGAAAGGACACAAACAAATGAAAAAACATTCCATCCTCATGGATTGGAAGAATCAATATCACAAAAATGGCCATACTGCCCAGAGTAATTTAAAGATTCAATGCTATCCCCATCAAGCTACCGTTGACTTTCTTCACAGAATTAGAATAAAACTACTTTAAATTTCATATGGAGCCAAAAAAGAGTTCGTATAGCCAAGACAATCCTAAGCAAAAAGAACAAAGCTGGAGGCATCATGCTACCTGACTTCAAACTATGCTACAAGGATACAGTAACCAAAACAGCATGGTACTGGTACCAAAACAGATATATAGACCAATGGAACAGAACAGAGGCCTCAGAAATAATACCACATATTTGCATCTATCTGATCTTTCACAAACCCAAGAAAAACAAGCAATGGGGAAAGGATTCCCTACTTAATAAATGTTGTTGGGAAAACTGGCTAGCCATATGCAGAAAACTGAAACTGGACTCCTTCCTTACAACTTATACAAAAATTAAGTCAAGATGGATTAAAGACTTAAATGTAAGACCTGAAACCATAAAAACCCTAGAAGAAAACCTAGGCAATACAATTCAGGACATAGGTATGGGCAAACACTTCACAAATGAAACATCAAAAGCAATGGCAACAAAAGCCAAAATTGACACGTGATCTAATTAAATTAATAGCTTCTGCCCAGCAAAAGAAACTGTCATCAGAGTGAATAGGCAACCTACAGAATGGGAGAAAATTTTTGTAATCTATTCATGTGACAAAGGGCTAAAATCTAGAATTTACAAGGAACACAAACAAATTTACAAGAAGAAAACAAACAACTCCATCAAAAAGTGGGCAAAGGATATGAACAGACTCTTCTCAAAAGAAGACATTTATGCGGCCAACAAATATATGAAAAAAAGCTCATCATCTACTGGTCATCAGAGAAATGCAAATCGAAATCACAATGAGATACCATCTCACGCCATTTGGAATGGCAAACATTAAAAAGTCTGGAAACAACAGATCCTGGAGGGGATGCAGAGATATAGGAATGCTTTTACACTGTTGGTGGTAGTGTAAATTAGTTCAACCATTGTGGAAGACAATGTGGTGACTCCTCAAGGATCTAAAACCAGAAATACCATTTGACACAGCAATCCCATTACTGGGTATATACCCAAAGGATTATAAATCATTTTACTATAAGACCCATGCACATGTATGTTTATTGCAGCACTATTCACAATAGCAAAGACTTGGAACCAACTGAAATGCCCATCAATGATAGACTGGATAAAGAAAATGGGACACATATACACCATGGAATACTATGCAGCCATAAAAAAGGATGAGTTCATGTGCTTTGCAGGGACATGGATGAAGCAGGAAACCATCATTCTCAGCAGTCTAACACAGGATCAGAAAACCAAGCACTGCGTGTTCTCATAGTGGGAGATGAACAATGAGAACATATGGACACAGGCAGGGGAACATCACACACCGAGCCCTGTCTGGGGGTGGGTGCTGGGGGAGGGATTGCATTAGGAGAAATACCTAATGTAGATGACGGGTTGATGGGTGCAGCAAACCACCATGGCAAGTGTATTCCTATGTAACAAACCTGCGAGTTCTGCACATGTATCCCAGAACTTCAAGTATAATTTAAAAAATAAAAATAAAAAATTGAAATTAAGAAACTGATGGAAAGACTTGAGATTTGAAAAAAATTGGTTAAAGTCTAATACAGTGCAAATTATAGTCATTGTTAACCCAAGCATGTTATTCATTGTTGAAAACTGTAAGCTCTATAATTTGTCTTTTAAATTTTCATATATATAGACGTACAATGGAGGTTTTATGTGTTTGTTTCCAGACCTCTGCAATATAGCAAATATTACAGTAAAGTGAGTCACACAAATTTTTTGGTCTCCCAGTGCATATAAAAGTTTTATTTACATTATATTTTAGTCTAAGCGAGCAATAGAATTTTGTCTAAAAAAAACAATGTATACACCTTCATTTAAAAATACTTTCTTGATAAATAAAAAATGGTAATGATCATCTGAGCCTTTAGCTAGTCATAATCTTTTTTTTTATTAGAGGGATTTGCCTTTCTGTTGATGACTGCTGATTTGCCAGAATGATGGTTGCTGAAGGTTGACAATTTCTTGAAACAAGAAACAATGAAGTTTGCCCCATTGATTGACTCTTCCTTTCACAAAAGATTTCTCTGTAGCATGCAATGCTGTTTGATAGCATTTTACCTACAGTAGAACTTCTTTTAATATTGAAGTCAATCCTCTTAAGGTCTGAGTCTGCATCAGCTCAGTTTATATAAGATTCTAAATACTTTGTAGTTACTTCAGTAGTGTTCACAGCATCTTCACTAGGAGTAGAGTTCATCTTAATGAGCCATTTTCCTCATCTATAAGCAACTCCTCATCTCTCCAAGTTTGATCATGAGGTTGCAACAATTCAGTCACATCTTTAGGCTCTACTTCTAATTCTAGTTCTCTTGTATTTCTGCCACATCTGCAGTTACTTCCTCCACAGAAGTGTTGAATCCCTCCAAGTCATCCATGATGGTTGGAACCAACTTCTTCCAAATTCCTATTAATGTTGATATTTTGACCTCCTCCCATGAGTCACAGATGTTCTGATTGGCATCTAAAATAGCAAATCCTTTCCAGAAGATTTTCAGTTTACTTCTTTTGACCTCTCCTTCCATGAGTCACGAATGTTCTGATTGGCATCTAGAATAGTGAGTCCTTTTCAGGTTTTCTTTTATTATTATTATTATTATTATACTTTAAGTTCTAGGGTACATGTGCACAATGTGCAGGTTTGTTACATATGTATACATGTGCCATGTTGGTGTGCTGCACCCATTAACTCGTCATTTACATTAGGTATATCTCCTAATGCTATGCCCCCCTCCCTGCACCCCACGACAGGCCCCGGTGTGTGATGTTCCCCTTCCTGTGTCTAAGGACCACAGAAGATTTTCAATTTACTTTGTCCAGATCCATCAGAGGTAACACCATGTGTGGCAGCTATAGCCTTATATATTGTCTTTCTTAAATAATCAGACATGAAAGTCAAAATTACTCTTTAATCCATGGGCTGCATAATTCTTATTGTGTGAACAGGTACTAAAACAATATTAATCTCTTTATACATTTCAGTCATAGTTCTTAGGTAACTAGGTTCATTGTCAATGAGCAGTAATATTTTAAAAGGAATTGTTTTTTTCTGAGCAATAGTTCTCAGTAGGGTTAAGATATTCAGTAAACCCTGCTGTAAACACATGTACTGTTAACCAGGCCTTGTTGGTCCATTTATAAAGCACAAGCAGAGTAGATTTAGCATAATTCCTAATGGTTCTAGAATTTGTGAAATGATAAATAAGCATTGGCTTCAACTTAAAGTCACCAGCTGCATTAGCCTCTAAAAAGAGGGTCAACCTATTCTTTGAAGCTTTGGAGCCAGGCACTGACTTCTCTAGCTAAGAACATCCCAGATGACATTTTCTTCCAATATAGGACTGTTTCATCTGCATTGAAAATCTGTTGTTTAATGTAGCCAACTCCATCAATGATCTTAATTAGATCTTCTGAAGAACTTGCAGCAGCTTCTATATCAGCATTTGCTGCTTCACCTTCTACTTTTACGTTATGGAGGCAGTTTCTTTCCTTAACCTAATTAACCAACCTCTGCTAGTTTCCAACTTTTCTTCTGCAGATTTCCCACCTCTCTTAGCCTTCATAGAATTGAAGAAAGGTAGAGCCTTGCTCTGGATTAGGCTTTGGCTTAAGGAATGTTGTGACTTGTCTGATTTTCTATACAGAGCACTACAACTTTCTCCGTATCAGCAATAAGGCTGTTTCGCTTTCTTATCATTGGTGTGTTCACTGCAGTAGTGCTTTTTATTTCCTTCAAGAACTTTTCCTTTGCATTCTCAGCTTGGCTAACTGTTTGGCACAATAAGTCTAGCTTTTGGCCTGTTTTGGATTTTGACATGCCTGCCTCTGTAAGCTCAATAGTTTCTAGTTTTTTATTTAAAGTGAAAGATGTGAGACTCTTCCTTTCATTTGAACACTTAAAGGCCATTGTCGGGTTACTAACTGCCCTAATTTCAATATTGTTGTTTTTCTGGGAGTAGATAGGTTTGAGCAGAGGGAGAGAGATGGGGGAATGGGAATGGGCAGTGAGTGGAGCAGTCAGACACACAATATTTATTGATTAAGTTTGTCAACTTACATGAATGTGGCTGGGGGTAACATTATGATAGTAACATTAAAGATCATTGAGTACAGATCTTTATAACAGATGTAATAATAGTGAAACATTTAAAATATTTCTAGACCTACCAAAATGTGACATAGAGACATGAAGTGAGTACACGACATTGGAAAAATAGTCCCAACAGACTTGTTCCATGCAAGGTTACTGCAAACCTTCATTTTTAAAAAGTGTGAAATCTGTGAAATGCAGTAAAGTGAAGCACAATAAAACTAGGTGTGCCTGTATACATAAAACACTTTACTGTTAAAGTACTTTAAAATTCTAACCTAAGAGCTTTTATCCATAAATGAATTATTTACAAGTAAAATAGCCAATATATCAGACTGTGATGTGTTTTTATATAAAACATGGTGAAAATTTTGTGTACATTAAAAATTAATGTCATATTGTGTTGCATCTTTATTGGAAATGAGGAAAAGGGTGTATTTTAGTTTAAAGTCTAGAAATTTTTGTTTTGATACTTTTCAAATGACGAAGATGTCATCTACATAATCAAAATGACTCCTTTTTACATTCAAACAATTTGAAGGGATTTACTTCAAAATACCCTTAATAGGGTCTGATCAAGAAAGTGCTAATGCAATACCTTTCTTTAGTTGTCATTATAATAAAATGAACGTTGCACAAAGAAGAGTTGGTCAGGACATGAGTAATAATGTAGTATTGACAGCCAAACTGCTCTATCTTTTGATGATTTCAATTTTCTGAGATTTAAGTAGAGAAGTGTAAGAATGCCAACACCCACTTTGCTGCTATTCATCTAATAGCTGCTTATCTAATGGGATATGCATTAATTCTTTTAACTGATTTAAACATTATCCACATCTTAGTATAATTATATGTCCTGTAACTATGTGGGCAAAGTTAAGAAAAAGTCACTGTAGGTTTTTGTAGAAAATCCAGAAACCAATTAGAACTTTGATACATGAGTGAGCTGGAAAATTCAGTGGTGGAACTGAAGAAAATGAGGAGGAGGGAGGAGCGGAGAGGAGGAGGAGTGACTTTGAGCAGGTGTGAGTGAAAGGAGGGGCAGTAGAAGGTATAAAGGAACCATTAAAGAATAACATATTAAAATTTTGAAATAACAGAAAAGTCTTATAATTTAACATGTCTTTCCTTCCAATGTACGTGGGTTCTGGGTCTATATTCATAGTAACTTAATGTCCTGAGGTATAACTGTTTTTGTTTTCTGACTCATTTGATAGTCACTGGTCATGTTTCTTCTCAGATATTGTGATTTGAAATTACAAATGCAAGAATCAGTTTTAGTTCAGAGAGACACAGCGAGACTTCATATTAGAAATCTATTGGTAGATAATTTTATACATATATATGTGTATATACACATATATGTGTATATGTGTATATATGTATGTGTATATATGTATTGTGTATATGTATATATGTGTGTATATGTGTATATATGTATGTGTATATGTGTATATATGTGTATATATATGTGTATATGTGTATATATGTGTACATGTGTATATGTGTATATATGTGTATATACACGTATATTCTCTTCTTTCTCTCATACATAAAATATGTAGCCAAAAAAAAGCTATGCCTTTACTAAAATAACCAAAGAGGCTATGAGCCCTGACCCCACTGTTCACTATAAACATTATCTCTATACAGCTTATCGCTTATGTATGATTCCCGTTTTACATATTATGTAAATATGGAATATGGAGGAAATGTATTTTGGGAAGTTTTCAAAACCATGTGGTCAATTAAAGAAGAAACCAGGGCTAGAACTCGGGTATCAAGTCTTAATTTTTAGTGCGAAGAGTTTTTTACTGACACTTGGATTTCCTTTGAATTGAATTCTTTAAAAACAGGAATTCTTGCAGGAGATGTTTATTTTTGGTCTTATCCAACAAATCGAAACATAACTTCAGGATTCAGTAATTTTGTTTTTTACTTACTTTTTGATTGAGAAGAAAAAATGATTTCTAAAGCTTGGATCTTAATAATACCTTTTATGGTTTAATGTGGTTTAAAATTATCATTCTATTAAAACTCTATACATGAAAAAAGCTGAATGAAAAGTGGAGAAAAATATTTATTTGATTCATCCAAAATATTCAGCTGCGAGCATCGTGAAGATGAGAATTTTAGAACTGTAATCAACAGAGTTGTGGGATTTTGTGAAGCCCCTTTTAGAAGCAGACAGAGTGGAGCAAATGAGGGTAGCTGAGTAGGTGGGAGGGTGATGTTCCTTGCATTCCTCAGTTCCAAAAGAGCAACTTTACTTTGATTTGCTTAATATGCTAAAGCTTCCCTGGTCTTATCTTATAGAGAAAAAGCAGCAAGGCCAAATAAATTGATACAGAAGAAATGTTTAGATATGTTTTTGCAAGTTTCTGCATATCTGAAATAGAACCAATACATCACATGGTATGTCCAGGAGTTATATAGGGTTGAGATTTTTTATGGGTTCTGATTTGCAGATGAGAAAACAGTGGCATTGAGGAATAAAGTGCCTTTCCCTATGCCTCATGAGGAATCAGAGGCCCAGCTGCAAAGAATTTTCAAGGAAAGATATTTCTAGTTCAATGCTCTATCCACAAGACAACGCTACATCTTTCCTTTCACAGTTGTTTATATTTGGTTTAACAGCGGTTTTTATTAATGCCTTCTAAATGATTGAAATACAGTTTTAAACCTGAATTGTTACAACTGTATTGTTACCTTTGTCTTTATTAGTACAACAATCTTTTTTCTTGTTTACTCTGTTAAGTGCTAATGTAAATAACAGCTTTTATTTAGCATATTTTTGCTGACTGTTTTTACACTTTTTTGCTACCTCTCGCCTAACAATATTTGTCCCATTCTTTTGCAAATCTTTGAATTCTAAATTAAATGAAGCTAGATCTATTCTAAAAGGAATAGTACATCAGTGTTCTTGTTTTTCAATTCTAATTAAAGCCTTCAACTCCCCTGCACTTACACTTTCTCATATTCCATTGCTGCTGCACAAATGCGATTGCAGCTTACACGGGAGTAATTTTAATATAATTAAAATGATCTAATATTTCAATTGTTTGCAGAGAAACTAAGTGTATTCTCTCAGACACTCATCAGTTTAACTTCCAGATAATATCAAAGAAAAAATGTCATCTTTCTAATCTCACTGCTGATAAAGAGAAGTTTATTTTTATTCTTGGTGTAATCATTTAAATATTTTTTTCTCCAGTACTTCCTGATTGCTTGTTTAAAATTACAATTCTGGTGTTAATAAGCTGTATAGTTCTAAGAAAAGTCACTTAATACCCTCAAGGCTTTTGTTTTCTCAAAGGAAGGCTATTAGACAACCACTCCTTGCCTTCCTTGTGGTATAGGGTTCATGGAGGAAGTGAAGGGGGCTTCAGCCTCACCAACTCCCTCCATCTCCAATATACAGAGTGTGAGTCTCCATCCTTCTTCAGTTAAAACTTTCACATAGACCAAATTAGCATCAGAGTGTAGGTGTTTGTGCAGTTGATTTCCCTTACTCGGTGGTCCTGAAGAAGTAAGTGTACAACTGAGACATGCAATTGTTGCACCCTTCTGTTTTGGGCACAAACTTTAATGTCCATTTCTTGGGGTCAATGGCCACAAGAGGTGAAAAGGATCTTCATCTCCTCAATATGATGACAAGGTCTTTAAGCAGTCAGGTCCAGTATAACTGAAAGGTAGATGTGTCAGTTCCTGAACATACAACTACCTCATTTTCAGGAGTAACGTAAGTAAAAAGTTACCAATTATTAACTGACATTTTCAGGAATAACCTAAGTAAGAAGTTACCGATTATTTTCAGGAATAACTTAAGTAAGAAGTTACTGATTAACTGAAGTAACAGTATAAAGAGCAAAGATGAATCAAAGTGAAAATGCAAAGAGTGATTGTTTTCCTGTTTCATCAGACATATCACACAGGTATCACATTAGATGTGGTTCTCAGCTCCTCTTCAGGGGCTGCTGTCCTGGATCACACACAGGATAGGTGCTTAGTATCTTCCACCAGCTTGATGAACATCTAGGCCTTCTGGCATTGCACAGTTGCCATTAAGGAAAGCAGCCCATTCCTAGTCAACCTCTATTGGCATTCCTCTCCTTCAGCACCTGTCATTTATTCATTAACTCACAAGAACAGTTAAAAACAAGAGAAACAGATGTTGTTGAGCTCATCAAACTGTATACTTTTTTTCAGTTGAATCTCACCTAGCTTCAAATGGGAACAAGATGTTCTTTATGCTTTGGATGTTCTTGTACTGCTGATTTCTAATTCTAGGATTTCCCTAATTCAATGACATTAAAAGTTATAAAATCCCTGGTAAACTATGTCTAAGTGAGGGTAAGATCTTTATTTAATGAAGGAGAAGGGCTTTTAGAAATGAATACTGATTCCTTAACAGCAATCCAGACTTCTTCAAAAAAGAAAATAAAAATAGAAGCATAAAATTTTACAGCTGTTATGAATCAGAAATCTTCAGATTTTTTCCCCCATAAACCTCGTTTTTCCATCAAAGCCTTGAGCTACACACACAGTCTAATCTGATGAGTATTATCAACCTTTAATTTTCTTTGCTACTAGTCTGTTATAGTCTTTGATGTAGCCATCCTGATCTTCCTATAATTTGCAGCTTTGATAGCCAAAGGAAGTATATTTTCTCTAAAGCATGAAAATTTTAGAGGAAGCACCCTATGATGCTCTTTCTTATTATCTAATTTAGTAGCATCATAGAAAATCAAATCCAATATAAATAATTTAAGGAATAACAAGAATGATTAGGAAAATTCTTATTTAAGAATGTATAATGTAACCATCATTTATTATACACCAACTACATGCAGATTCTGTATTAGATTCATGCATTCAACAAATATGTATAGAAAATACACTATGTGTCAAGCATTGTTCTAAACTCTTGGGATATAACAGTGAACAAAACAGGCAAAATTCCATACAAGCATGGTGTTTTAGTTAGCTTCTAAAATAGCCCGTAATGATCTTCACTCCCTAGTATTCACCCCCTTGTATAATGTCTTTCCCTTGGGTGTAGGCTAAACCTAGTAACTTATTTCTAATAAATAGAATATCGTATAAGTGTCAGTTCAGAGCATAGGTTACAAACATAATGCAACTTCTGTCTTGGAAATTCTCACTTTGTCTCACTTTCTCTAAGGAAAGCCAATGGCTGTGTTTTGAGTTTATGGAGAGCCATATGTGGCAAGGAACTGAGGGTGGCATCCAGGCAACAGACTTCAAGAAACTGAGGCTGTCAGTCCAACAACCCACAAGAACTGAATCTGACCAACAATCACAGGAACAAACTTAGAAGTATACTCTTTCCCAGACAAACCTTCAGATGAGACCACAGCCCCAGCCATAAGCTTGAAAACAATCTCATGAGGGACCTTGAGCCACAGGCATGTAGTAAAGCTATGCCAGGAATCCTGCCTGCCCCACAGAAAATGTAAAAAAAATAAATTTTTATTGTTTTAAGCCACGAAGTTTTGAAGTAATTTGATATAAAACAATAGATAATTAATACACATAGAGAAAAATTAAGCAGGGAAAGGAGATAGCTAGTGCTGGAAGAATGAAGTGAGAAACATGGTAATTTATACAGCATCATCAGAGAAGGTCTCAATCAGATTTTAACATTTAAGCAAAACTTTGGAGGAACTGAGAGAGTGAGCTATCCATGGGAGGAAGTTTCCAGAAAAAGGAAGAATAGGTGCAAAGGCACTGAGGTAGGAGTAATTCTATATGTTTAGCGAAGGCAAGGATGCTAGCATGGCTAAAAAGGAATTCATAAGAGAGAAAGAGAATTAGCAGGAAATGAGATAATAGACCTAATGAGAAGCTGTGTGTGTGTGTGTGTGTGTGTGTGTGTGTGTGTGTGTGTGTTTTGGGGAAAGCAGAAAAAGTAGGTAGAAATTTCAGTGACAGTGGTTCATTGTAAATATTTTGTATTTTTTTATAAAAGCAAGATGAGAAACCTTTTTATGATTTCAAGTACTACACCAAATGACGAAGCCAATCAGAGGCCTAGTTAGGTGATAATAATACATATCAAATATATTTAATTTACTCCTTAGATCAGCTGTAAGAAACAATTAACACTAACTCTACATGTTAGAAAACAATTCAGAGTAGTAAAGTTACTTGCCCAAGGCCATGCAGCCAATTTAAGAGATAATCGAAATTTAAATTGATCGTCTTCTGTCTCCAAATTGAAGCCTTTATTTTAGATTAATATTCATCATTATCTCCCAATATATAAAATACTAAAAGATATACAAGCTAGGAAATAAAGCCAGAAAAGACAAGTAAGAAATAGGGTGACATAGATGGTGGGGGGAATTATCTAATTATCCTATACAAGAGAAGTAGCCAGATAATAGTTCTTTGACCTATTGTAAAGCAAGAAACATTATATATGAAGAGCACCACCTGTGTTAGGTAAGTTATCCAAAAATCATTGACGTCAATAAAGGAGAAAGAAACAGCCTCGATTTTCTGAACTCTCAATGTCTTATTGAACCACCAGAGAACACTTTTTCCTCTTCACCTTTATAAAGTACTTTGCAGATGAAAAGTGCTATTATTACCTTAGAGCTTTTAAAAAAATTAAGGCAAAAACATTTCTAAAACAATTATAATTGATTATGTCATCCTTTTACTTTGAGCTGCTGAAGTTCACCGAATTATAGTACAACTAATAAATGAAGATAGCACTTCATTAAAGACTTTAGACATTTTCTGAAATGAATTGAAATTAACAAAGTATCTAAGGATGAAGTGCAAATCTTCTGTAAGTCTTTTCTACAAAAGTGTTCAAAAGCCCAAGTGATTAATATAGCATATTAGTATGAATTTAAAACAATACAGGAGTAAGATTTGAAATCAAGTAAATGGAGTTTTCACTTTTTAAATGTGTAGACACTGTTGACTCTGAAAAAAATATTGCTATTAGCTGGATGGACATCTTTTCTTTTAGATAAAACCTCTGGTCAAGTAATACTTGAATTGTGTGTAGCTCTTGACATACATTGCTTCTAATTCTTGCAAACAATGCCAAAAATATCATTAGCCCCATTTTGACAAACAAGGAAACTGAGGATCATAAAAAATTATCACACAATAATAAATGGGACGGGCAGGATTTCTATCTTGATTACTTAACCTCCGAAGTCTACATATTTCAATTAGAGAACAAGAATTCTGGGTCACTTTCTATTTATTTTTCTGTGTTTTGTTTGTTTCATATGTGTGTGTGTGTGTGTGTGTGTATGTGACAGAGAGAGAGAGATTTCAAAATATTTGAATCTTATATAATTGATTGTTTACACCTCCTTTTTCTCAGGTATAATACACAAAATGGTAATCAAAAGATGCTGCCTGAAGCTATAAATCTGGATCATTCATTTTACACTATTATGAAGTTTTGTTGGTTGAAAAAAACCTGTTCAAAGAGTTCTTCCAGAAAGTCACCCTCCTGTGAGCAAATAGCTTCAAGGCACCAGCAAATTTCATAACTTCAAATTTTAGCCTGAATCTTAATTGACATTGATTTCCTAGTCTTCTCTGAAAATGTTTATCATTTATGAATATTCTATATTATCACTGCAATGTGTTATTATTATTATTATTATTGAATCAACACAAGGCAGATCAACCAAGAAAGAGTTACCCAGTGGTTAGCCACGATCCTTTCTATATGCTGCTTTCTCTTCAGAGACCTCTTTGCATCTCCAAAATGATACTCCACTCTAGTCCTAGGCAGTCTTCTTAGCTACATGACTGTCCTCTGAGAAGGGTTGACCGAATAAACAGTAAACTCCCTGAGTTTTCTTAATTTCAAATTTTTAAGTACTTTATTATTTGACTTTTTAACTTTTAAGTTCAGGGGTGCATGTGCAGGTTTGTAATATAGGTAAACTTGTATCATGGGGATTCGTTTTACAGATTATTTCATCACTGTGGTATTATTCCTAGTGCCCACTAGTTATTTTGCCTGATCCACTCCCTCCTCCTACCCTCCAATCTCCAAAAGGCCCTAGTGTGTGTGATTCCCCATTATGTGTTCACGTGTTCTCACCATTTAGCTCCCACTTATAAGTGAGAACATGCAGTATTTGGTTTTCTGTTCTTGCATTAGTTTGGTAAAGATAATGGCCTCCAGCTCCATTCATGTTCCTGAATTTTCATTTTCATTTTATTTATGGGGCTCAGGGGTGATGACTAGCATATTGTGGAGGCTCAAAAACTGTTTGCTAAATGAATACATGGAATAATAATTTAATGTAAATAAAATATATATTTGCTAGGAATCAAGGCTTTGTTTTCTTTATAAAATTTGCTCCAAAGTCACTCATCTCAACCTGCCACAATGAAGAAAAATACTAGAACAAATGCACCTTCTATCCCAAGACATCAGTTCTCTACATGAAGGTATTTAATAAATTTAAGAAGACTTTAATTTGTTTGATGTTATAATATCACTCAACTTGTATCAATGCTAAAATCTCTTTTACAATACCTTGTATCAGTATGTCTGAAAACAATGTATCTATAAGTATATTTAAATTTTGTTCATGAAGGCAATTTAGTTTAGTTAAAATAGTTCCTAAAATTATTAAAGTTTAAGAAGTTAAATAGTTTGAGATTATTCTGACAACTAGTGTAAGATTACCAAAATTCCCTTGTATATATAATAAAATTAAAAGCATACTAACTTTTGTAGATTTGATATACTTTAAAATATATCTTTTGGAGTCTCTCTTTTTTCTCTCACTCTCTCCATATACGCATATGTTTTCTCCCAAAGTTTCTCATTACCCATCCTTTATAATTTAATTATCCTGAGTGCCTCCTGGTTGAGAATAATGTCCCAACAAAGAATATAAGAACCTTTGTTTTTCAGTCCAAAAGCTTGCTAGCTTACTCCCTACTCCATTTAATGCCACAGAGCTGATGTAAAATTAATGTCAAGAGACAAGATAGCACAAGAAACTTCCATTTTTTTTTTTTTTTTTTTGTGGAGAAAAGCACTCATTTACTTATTGATAAATATTTGCTTAACACCTACTGTGTGCCAGGCCATTCTAGGTACTAGTTGTAAGTTGTCTTGTTATGTAATTACTTGTAAAGTTATCTAAAATCTCCTCACCACTTTCCCTATCCTTGACATTTTTCCTGAGCAGGGTGAAATTAGGAGATAGGCAATTTTGGCTCATAAAATCTTTAAAATCTCTATCAGTTAAGTACGAACTGGATCTCTCTCTCTTTTTTTTTTTCTGAGACGGAGTCTCGCTCTGTCCCCCAG
The DNA here is from genome assembly GCF_000001405.40 of Homo sapiens. Taxonomy (NCBI): domain Eukaryota; kingdom Metazoa; phylum Chordata; class Mammalia; order Primates; family Hominidae; genus Homo; species Homo sapiens. The sequence goes on from NC_000014.9 coordinate 28,972,222, forward strand.
GCTGGAGTGCAGTGGCGCGATCTGGGCTCACTGCAAGCTCCGCCTCCCGGGTTCACGCCATTCTCCTGCCTCAGCCCACCGAGCAGCTGGGACTACAGGCGCCCGCCACCACGCCCAGGTAAATTTTTTTTGTATTTTTTTAGTAAAGATGGGATTTCACCTTGTTAGCCAGGATGGTCTGGATCTCATGGCCTCGTGATCCACCCGCCTCGGCCTCCCAAAGTGCTGGGATTACAGGCGTGAGCCACTGCGCCCGGCCTCATCTATTAATTTTTAAGCAGTTTAGCATACTTTATTTTAAGGAAAGCAAGGCCTCCAAAGCACTGGATTTCATTTTATGAGGAAAAATTGTGATAGTTTATAATGTTTAAACATTGACAAAGTCGTTGAAGATGCCGCAGAAATAATCAAAGCCCTAGGGAGGCTATTAACAATTCAGCTTTTCCATGGCATGTGGGAATATTAATTCTACTTTCCTAAGATAATTTTTGGATGTGATTAATAATATAAAAATATCTCTGCTGCCAGTAGGCATCTCTGCTGTGTGTTCCTGACCCTGTCATCTGACATCATTAACACAAGTACAAATCTTTCACAAGGGCCTTCTGTTATTCTTAAATGGTTTGGTAGACCAGCCAATTTATACAGAGGTTGATTACTTCAACTAATAAAAATAGAATTAGTAGAAAGAGTTAATAGAGAGTCCGATGGAACAGCACACTTTCCAATCTCTTAATGTCTTTGAGAGGAAAAAAATGTTTTCTAAGTTTTAGTTTTGGAACCTATGTTTTACACTTAAAAAAAACCCCAACACTGATTTTGGGAATACACTTCACATTTCTAAGCTGAGTCGTGATTGATTATGCAGTAAAATCTCTAAGGTTCCTTTTGGATCTAAAATTATTTGTTATATTGTATATTATATATTATATGTTATTTTTACCTATTATATAATGTCATATCATATAATACCATCTTGATAATCTACTAATTCAGAAAATAATGGGGTTTTCCTGAATTGTAAAGTATGATTATACTTAAGCAAATCTTACAATTTCATGTAAAAGCATCAATAGCAAATGTGAATTTAATAATATTTAAATAATCTACATTGCCAAGATCTTTCCATGTTCATCTGATCTGAACCCCTCAAAAACACTAATGAAATACATTCTGCTATTATCCAAATATTTATAGATAAGGAAACTGAAGCACTGAAAGGTTGGGTAACTCTCCCAATACTTATTCTCAAAGCCATTATTTGATATCTGGTCTCAGACTTCAAAGTCTACACTGCCTATTTCTTGGACCACAAGATATTGTTCAAGATAGTTTATTTCTGGAGCCCGTGTTTCTAGGTCCACGAACCAGGCTATCATCATTATCAAGGTTGGTGGAGCCATTTTTTTCCATAGAGATGGACTACTCTAGCAACCCTTGTTTAGCTTCATGGCATTTAAATACTCTTTATACTTTTAAATCCAGAGGCCAAGTCATAGAGAAGCAATTCCTTCTCAGATCTCAGAAGTGGAAGGCCTCCAAATTTGTAGATGCATAATCTGACTTTGGTGCTCTCTCATGCAGAATAGGTTAAAATAAAGAAAAGACATTTCAGTTTATGTGGATAGTTTTCCAAATTTGCACTCTCTGTTATAGAGTTCTTCATTTAAAATCCTAAAATTACAGGTAATTTCCACTTTCAAACAGCAGTGCCTTCATTCTCTGATTGCCTTGGTAATACAACACAGTTAATATTTTTACCTTCTTTGAATTAATTATCTCCCTCCTAAATATTTTCTTTCCTGGATTTTAGATTGGGGCTAAATTATAGAATTTATACATTACAATTGGGGAGGAGGGATTAAAGCTCAGAATTAAATGAAGAAAAACATCACAAAGCTTCTCATTTTGTAATGTTTTCTACTTTCTGTTAAATAAATTGAAGACTGCATATTGATGATCTAAATATACATATAGTGACTGCTTTAATTACACATTTGCTACTTATAATACATTGTTACCATGGAACTGAGAAATTTTAATTAAAAAAAATTTTTGATATTAATTTCCCTTCATTTTACAGATTTTTTAAGTAACGCATTTAAGGGGAAAAAATGCTACCTTTATTGTGCCATTAATATATTTATAAACATAATGATCATTTAAATCCTATTTAATGTTTTTATGATCATAAAGAGATTTTCAACTATTTAAAGAATTGTAATTTTTAAACTAGACTTAATATTCATCTTTCGTTTCTAATTGTAAACATTGAGAAAATGGCTCTACAAAATCATATTTTTCCTTTCTATACTGTAATAAAAAGGTCTAGTGTTCAGAAATGTGCTCCTGCTCAAGTTTATATATAACATAATTAGTTATATTTTTCAACATGTTATTATTTATGAAGGATGATTTGCCAACAGACGTATTTCTTACTCTCTCATTTCTAAAAAGCTCATTTGAATGTGTCTCTCCCATTCATCCTGTGCATTTCCCACTCCATAGAAACAAAATATCTTGAACTCATTTTATTAGTAGCCCTATGTATATAAAAAATTCTTTGAAATAACTCCTATTACTTTTTTTTCAAATAGCTAAGTGTTTTTCCTATAAATAATTGAAACTAAATTATTGGTCAAACTTCCAAGGTCAAAAGCAAGCAGAGAGCCAAGCTAGCTGGTAAGGGCTTGCCGAAGTGTGACACACATAATCTACTAGGCAAAAATACCATCGCAGTCTGCATTTGACTCTACTCCACAGCTTACATCCTTAAAGTAGTTTCCTTTCTCTATTCTATTCTATGTATGTGGTGCAAACATAAGACTGCAATTGGATGCTGTTACTCCATCTGCCAGTCATGGAACTTTCCTCTTTGGCTATAATGGAAAGATTGAGGTGCTAATAATCATTGTTTCTGTTATCCTTATTTTATAAAACTTACATTTTTCTTCTCCATTCCTGACTATTGGCACCTTCCTCTCTCTAGGAACTACAGTGCTGTCCTTCTTTGCTTCTGCCTTTGGCTGCCTTCCCAATAGGAGAAGATAGAATTAGTGCATACTCCCTGAGGAGGACGAGAGGGGACTCAGCAGGGGTGCTTCCTTAGTCTCTTCAGCCACTGGCAGGGAGTATTCACAAAGGCAGCCCTGGAACCAGCTACCACTGTATTTTGTGATGAGTAGTACCAGTGCCTCTGTATTCATGTATAGCCAGATGAAGGGAAATAATACACAAATACTAATTATTTGGAGATAATAATGTGTGTACAGCTCCTGATCTGTGTGTACAACTCCCACTGATATTATATTAGGAAAACAAAAACACATTCACAGTCGATGTTCGCCCAACTTATTTTTAAAGAAGTGTGGGTGTCCTCTAAGGGGAAAGGTATAACGAATCATTGCTTAATAAAGGAGAAACACATGCTGATGTATAATTTTAATAGCTGAAGCTAGACTCTAGGCCTTAAGTCTTTTGAACTCTATTAATAAGAAAGAATGCGAACCTACTTTTTCTACATAATTAAAATCTTCAAATTAAATGAGTGAATTTCATCAGATTTTGCTCATATGTGCCGGATCTGTAGAATAATCAAGAGGTAAGAAAGTGAGTTATAAGACAATTATTCATGTTATTAGAGGTCAAATCAGATGAAGATATTTTAGTGTATTTTTTCCAAGGGTATGGGGTGGCTGTGTTTTCTAAATGGTGTAGATTGTTTTTTATTTCCCTTAACTTCACTTTCTGGGGATGAGTGATGTCGTATGGTTTGCTTCTCTGCCAGCACTGATAGATTCTTCCCCAGATCTTCCCACTAGGTAGATATGTAATCATTCTATTTCACATCTTTGCTTCAGCACAATTCCGTGCTGACACATCTTCTCTCTGGAGGGAAGAGTGTGGCCTGGTGGTAGCAGCACACATTCTGAGAGCCAGGAATCATTGAGTGCTAATCTCAATATTAGGTTCCTCAGTGACTTAGGCAAGTCACTTCCTTATCCCTTTGTTCCATATCTGTAAAAGAGAGATGACAATGCAACAGTAATTTGGGTAGTAATTAGTGTTGGTGAAGTGTTACAGTAACTCTAAATATTATTGTCATTACTTCAACACAATCAGCTAATTGGAGCAACCTCCCATGAGTTCAAACCTGCTAGTTAATTAAACTATAAATGTAAGTGCACATGGTATGTATTTTCTGCAATCAGGTATATGCCAATAGTCTTACAAACTTATAAAGAGACTGTATTTCAAAAAATTAATGGGAATTTACTTATTTCTAATTTGGAACATATTTCCATGTATAAACAGTATCAGTAGTCATCTAGGCAAGCCTATGATGTTATGTTCATCTTGTGATAAGCACTTGCAATGAAAGTATTGGAAAATTATATTGTTTTTATTGTGAAGAGAAGATAATAAATTATCTTGATGTTCATGTTTAAGAAAAGAAGAATGGGAAAATAGCAAAAGAACCATGACTATTTCAAGAAGGTATCTAATGAAACTGGTTTAGAAATCACTAATTCAACATGCATTCTTTCATTTATTATTTAAAAATTAATACTTGAGTTTACCTCTGTGTCAGAAACTATTCTAGTGCTAGGGACATAACAGTGAACAAAACACTGTTCTCAAAGTGGGGGAAAGACGTCAAGCAAACAAATACATACTATTTCAGATGGACATAATGTGCTATGAAAAATAGCAAAGCAAGATAAGGGGTGGGTGATTGACAGGAGAGGTTGCCGTATCTCACGGGGTGCTCAGAGAAGACCTGCGGTCAGATAATACATAATCGTAAACTGGAATGCACTTGGAAATCCAAGCATGTGAATATCTGGAGGTAGAATATTCCAGGCAGAGGTGAGAGCAAGTGCAAAAGCGCTGATGTAATCACACCAATCCTTACAACAAGTAGTGAGATCAGGGCCAGTAGTAGGTGATACGACCATGGGAGCAAGACGTCAGAGTGATGCAAAGTCATTAGCCAAGGAATGCAGGCAGCCTCTAGAAACTGTAAAAGGAAAAGAAATTAATTCTCTTCTGTGCTTACTGAAGGAACCAGCCCTGCCAGTACCTAACTTTCGCCCAGGAGAATAAGTTTGGATTTCTGATTTTCAGAATTATAAAGGAATATGTTTATGTTGCTCTAAGCCACCAATTTTATGGTAATTTACTACAACAGCCACAGGAAACTAATACAGGGAGCAAGGGTATAAACTGGAAGTCCAGCTAAGAGCCTGGAGCCTGGAAGTGGTGATAGCTTGCACTAGAGTGATAATGGTGGGCCTGCTTAGGAGTCATAATATTCAGAAATTATTACGACTGGTATGCTAATAGGATTTGTTGATGACCTGGATACAGAGTGTACAAGAAAGACAGGAATCAGGGCTGACTTTAAAGATTTGGGCCTGAACAACTGGTAAATTGACATTTCCATTTGCTGAAATGCCAATGACTAGGGATGTCAAGAACAAATATTTTTGATTACCTACTAAATTCTAGCCATTGTTCCAGGGATGCAAAAGTCAAGATATCCACGCCTTCACAAAATTTATAATCCAGCATGGTGTTTCTCAAGTGTATCCTTGGGTTCCCTGATATTTCTACACTTCCTGCTCTGCTCTTCCAATATCTGGGGCACAGTAGGTTTTCTCAATCCCTGCAGTGTAGATACCTACTCTAAAATCTGTGACTCATATATTGAAGAATTCACTACAAGTTTGCTGGGAAGAGGTTCCTTATCCCTTTATCATTTTCTTCAGTTATCAGCCCCCCTTCCCCTCTTGTCACCACCAATGCCATTTTCTATCATACAGTGTAGTCATCTTCCAGTGATAGGCAGATATATTTTCAAATATATCTCACAGTGCCACTGAAATATGATGGTTATTCTGTTTAACCTATATCATTGTACTATATGCACACTAGTCCTACAGCAAACGAATTTAAAAGCCTCTGAAGTATCTCTGAAATCAAATGTACTGCTTCACCTATGTATACAAAACCTGGGTACTAGAAAATAACCTCAAAGCAGATTTATTTTTTCAATTATAGCTTCGAATTTATAATTGTATGTTAATTGCAAAAATCTTTATAGGTACAAGAGATAACACAAAGAGAGAAAGAAAACTAATATTACCTAGTAGAGGCCATATTAGGTTACAGATTTGCCTGCTTTAAAAAGTGATTCCAAAAAGAGTATGATTTAATCACAATAGAAATAAACTTATCTCTCTTGGTCACCACTCAGGAACCCTATGACACTTGGGTAGTATCAAGTAGTATCTTTCCATCAAGTAGTACCTTTCCATCTTGTTGCTCTGCCATTGCTATAGTTTGTTATCATACATGCTACAGAAATGCCTTCCCAAAGTGTCTGTAGGCCAGTGTGATGGAAAGAAAAGAGAAGAGGAAGGCGTATTTATTCCTTTAGAAGTATATGCCACAAATTGTACATATCTTTCCTCTCATTTCATAGATAAGAATTTACTCCTGTTGTGACGCTTAAACGCAAAAGAGGTAACACAATGAAGTTTGCGGATAGGTTAACCTATGCCCAGCTACAGCTTCTATTGCTACAGGAAAAGAAGAGAACAGATGTTTGAATAATAACTATTAGTCTTAGCCACAGAGCAAATAATGGACATTTCTTCATTACATACCATGATGTTCTCTTGTTTTTGTGGGTTCACTCTTTACTTCTAATGTGCTTTCCTCACAATTCCATTTGTCAAATTTGATGTAGCCTTTAAAGCCCAGCTTAAATTTCATCACCTTTCTGAAACTTTCTGTGGTAGAGATAATAACATTGATCAAATATTATACCTATTTGTCCATATTTGTCAACCATCTTGCAGTGGGTGGTAGGGGCTCGAGGAGGGTGACAACTACGTTTCTGGCCAGTGGCCTCTGAGATGAAGTGATGTAGACTCTTCTACTGCCATGATGAATATGGAATCTTCTGTTCTAAATGAGGAAACTATGAAAGGGTGGAACCTTTTTTATTCTGGATTCTTGAGTGACGACCCAACTTGAGCTGAATATATATATTGTGTGAGAGAAACCTTATTTGTGGAATATGGGATTAAGGTTTTGAGGTTGTTATCACAATAGGGTGAAGTCACTTTCTTTGACTCTTCCAGGCAGATTTGATTGCTCCTTCCTATCTGTTCTTTGTATATGTATAGACTTTTGCAAGTCACAGTATACTTTTTGATCTGTGTACTTCTGATTTCCTGGGAAAGTCAATGACTTTCTCAATGGATTCTAGTGTACAGTAGAGCTCAATAAAAGGGTGATTGTTTAAATTATATCTAGAGCTAAAATAAGTAGCAAGAAGCAGGGAGGTATCAGGAAAAATGAGACAGACTGAAAACAGAAGAATTTTCTGCAATAAGGGTATGGCTGGGTATAATACATTAGATGCTGATATTTGGCTAGAAAATAACTGTCATTTTATGGCTTCTGCATGTATTTTTGAAAACTTTCAGACAATTTTATGTTTTCTACCATTTCTTATTGGATAAAATAAGGACAGAGTGGCAATCTGTATAAGGAAGCAAAACAATGGTATGTGTCTTAAAGATACACATGGAATGACACCCATTTCACATTCAATGACATCTATAGACTCAAAGGAATGGAGAAAAATCTACCAATGAAATGGAAAACAGAAAAAAGTAGAAGTTGCAATCCTAATTAATGACAAAACAAACTTTAAACCAACAAAGATCAAAAAAGACAACGAAAGGCATTACATAATGATTAAGGGTTCAATTCAACAAGAAGACTTAACTGTCGTATACATGCATATATGTATATATACACACCCAACACAGGAGCACCTAGATTCATAAAGCAAGTTCTTAGAGACCTTCAAAGAGACTTAAACTCCCACACAATAATAGTGGGATACTTCAACATCCCACCGACAGTATTAGACAGATCATCAAGGCAGAAAATTAACAAAGATATCGGGACCTGAACTCAACACTGGAACAGATGAACCTGATAGATTTCTATAGCACTCTCCACCTAAAAGTAATGGCATATACATTTTTCTCATTGCCACATGGCACATACTCTAAAATCAACCACATATTTGTACATAAAACAATCCTCAGCAAATGCAGAAAGCTGAAATCATACCAACCACTCTCTCAGATCACAGTGCAATAAAACTAGAATTCAAGAATCAGAAAATTCCTCCAAACTATATAATTACATGGAAATTAATCAACCTGACCCTGAATGACTTATGGGTAAATAATGAAATTAAGGTAGGAATCAGGAAATTCTTTGAAACTAGTGAGAACAAAGATACAATATACCAGAGTCTCTGAGGCACAGCAAAGGCAGTGTTAAGCAGAAAATTTATAGCACTAAATGTCCACATCAAAAAGTTAGAAAGACCTCAAACTAACAACCTAACATCATAATTAAAATAACTAGAGAAGTAAGAGCAAACGAATTCTAAAGCTAGCAGAGACAAGAAATAACCAAAATCAGAGCCAAACCAAAGAGATTGAAATGTGAAAAATAATTCAAAAGATAAGTGAATCCAAGAGCTGTTTTTTGAAAAATTAATAAGATAATAGACCACTAGCTAGACTAATAAAGAGAAGATCCAAATAAATATAATTAGGAAAGACAAATAGGATATTGCTCCTGATTCCACAGAAATACAAATAACCCTAGAAGACTATTATGAACATCTATATGCACATAAACTATAAAATTTAGAATAAATGGATAAATTTCTGGACACATACACCCTCCCAGGATTGAAACAGGAAGAAACTGTATCCCGGAACAGACCCATAATGAGCTCTGAAATTGAATCAGTAATAAATAGCCTATCAACCAAAAAAAAAAAAAAGCCCAGGACCAGACAGATTCATAGCCAAATTCTACCAGATGTGCAAAGAAGAGCTGGTACCATTCCTACTGAAACCATTCCACAAGATTGAGTAGGTGAGACTCCTCAACTCATTCTATGAAAATAGCATTCTGTTATCAAAACCTGGCAGATACACAACAAAAAAAGAAAACGTCAGGCCAATATCTTTGATGAACATTGATGCAAAAATCTTCAACAAAACACTGGCAAACTATAGGACAAGGCACGGTGGCTCATGCCTGTAATCCCAGCACTTTGGGAGGCCTAGGCAGGAGACTCACCTGAGATCATGAGTTTGAGTCCAGCCTGGGCAACGTGGTGAAACCCCATCCCTACTAAAAATACAAAAATCAGCTGGGTGTGGTGGCACGCACCTGTAATCCCAGCTACTCGGGAGGCTGAGGCAGGAGAATTAGTTGAACCTGGGAGGTGGAGGTTGCAGTGAGCCGAAATCACACCACTGCACTCCATCCTGGGTGATAGAACTTCATATCAAAAAACAAACAAACGAAACAAAACACTGTCAAACTGAATCCAGCAGCACATCAAAAAGCTAATCCACCACGATCAAGTAAGCTTTATCTCTGGGATGCAAGGTTGGTTCAACATATGCAAATCAGTAAACATGATTCATCACATAAACAGAACTAAAGAAAAAAAAACATGATCATCTCAGATGCAGAAAAGGCTTTCAATAAAATTCAACATCGCTTCATGTTAAAAACTCTCAACAAACTAAGTATTGAAGGAACATACATCAAAATAGTAGGAACTGTCTATGACAAACCCATAGCCAGCATTATACTGAATGGGCAAAAGCTAGGAGCATCCCCCTTGAAAACTGGCACAAGACAAGGATGTCTTCTCTCGCCACTCCTATTCAGTGTAGTATTGGAAGTCCTGGCCAGGGCAACCAGGCAAGAAAAAGAAACAAAGCACATCCAAATAGAAAGAGAAGAAGTCAAATGATCCCTGTTTGCAAGTGACATCATTCTATATCTAGAAAACCCCATAGTCTTGACCCAAAAGCCCCTCCAGCTGATAAACAACTTCAGCAATATCTCAGGATACAAAATCCACACTAGCATTTCTATACACCAACATCAGCCAAGCCAAGAGCCAAATCAGGGATGCAATCCCATTTACAATTGCCACAAAAATAATAAAATACCTAGGAATACAGTTAACTAGGGAAGAGAAAGATCTCATCCTTGTGCAGGAGCCATGCTAATCTTCTCCATACTGTTCCAATGTTTGTGTATGTGCTAGTGAAGCGAGCACAGAAAGATCTCTACAATGAGAATTATAAAGCACTGCTCAAACAAATCACAGATAACATCAACAAATGAAAAAAATTCCATGATCATGGATAAGAAGAATCAATATCATTAAAATGGTGATACTGCCCAAAGCAATTTACAGATTCAATGCTATTCCTACCAAACTACTAAAGACATTCATTACAGAAATAGAAAGTTTTGCTTTAAAATTCATACGGAACCAAAAGAGTCCAAATATTTAAGGCAATCCTAAGCATGAAGAACAAAGCAGGAGGCATCACACTACCTGACTCAAACTATATTGTAGGGCTATAATAACCAAAACAGCATGGTACTGGATGGTACTGGTACAAATACAGACACATAGACCAATGGTCCAGAGTAGAGAGCCCAGAAATAAGGTCACACATCTACAACAATTTGGTGTTCAATGTAGCTGACAAAAACAAGCAATGGAGAAAGGACTCTCTATTCGATAAATGGTGCTGGGATAACAGGCTAGCCATATGCAGAAGATGGAAACTAGACCCCTTCCTTACACCATACACAAAAGTCAACTCAAGATGGATTAAAGATTTAAGTTACAACCAAAAACTATAAAAACCCCAGAAGACCAGCTAGGCAATACCATTCTGGACATAGGAATGGACAAAGATTTCATGATGAAGACGCCAAAAGCAATGACAACAAAAACAAAAATTGACAAATGGGATCTAATTAAACAAAAGAGCTTCTGCACAGCAAAATAAACTATCATCAGAGTAAATAGTAAACCTATAGAATGGGAGAAAGTATTTACAAACTATGGATCTGACAAAGGTCTACTATCCAGCATCTATAAGGAACTTAAACAAATTTATCTAAAATATACAAACAATCCCATTAAGACATTTTTCAAGACAAGGCATACATACAGGCGGCCAAAAAGCATGTGAAAAAAAAAAGCTTAACATCACTGACCATTAGAGAAATGCAAATCAAAACCACAATGAGATACCATCTCACACCAGTCAGAATGGCTATTATTACAAAGTCAAAAAATAGCAAATGCTGAGGCTGACGAAGATGCAGAGAAAAGAGAACGCTTATACACTGCTGGTGGGAGTGGAAAGTAGTTCAACCACTGCGGAGAGCTGTGTGGTGATTCTTCAAGGAGCTAAAAACCAAACTACCATTCAACCCAGCAATCTCACTACTGGATATATACCCAAAGGAATACAAATGATTCTGTCAAAAAGACACATGCACATGTAAGTTCACTGTAGCACTCTTCACAATAGCAAAGACGTGGAGTCAACCTAAATACCCATCAATGGTAGACTGGATAAACGAAATGTACTATGTATACACCATGAAATACTATGAAGACATAAAAAGAATGAGATCATGTCCTTTGCAGGGACATGGATGGAGCTGGAGACCATTATTCTTAGCAAACTCACACAGGAATATGAAACCAACCACCGCATTTTCTCACTTATAAGTGGGAACTAAATAATGAGTATACATGGACACAAAAAGGGGAACGACAGACACTGGGGCCTGCTGGAGGGTGGAGGATGGGAGAAGGGAGAGGAACAGAAAAAATAACTATTGTGTACTAGGCTTAGTCCATGGGTGATAAAATAATCTGTATACACACCCCCATGACATGAGTTTACCTATATAACAAACCTGCACGTGTATCCCCGAACATAAAATAAAAATTAAAAAATTACTTTTTAGTGCAACATTTACTTTTTTAAACACATTTTCATATTGCTCTTGTTTTATAAGTGTGTAACAAACTTTCTCAGCTTGTTTAGTACTATAAGGATTTATTAACTATCATATTTTAAAGTTATAGAATTGTTTTGTCTAATAAAAAGATGAGAGCACATGATATAATATTCCAAATAAATATAGTATACTTTTTGTATAATATTCTTCTCTATTACTCACTATGATCCAGTGATTTAGAGGTTATCATTATCTCATTCCACAAATCAGGGAAGTGGGTGGATTTTAATGCTATGGATTAAGTGTCTATATTATCATAAAACCATTCAATATTTTGTACGATTACTTATTTCATGCAATATTACATAAATTTACTAAAATATGCATTCCAACTTTTGAGGTAGGATTTTATTTTCATTCAGTGCTGAACATATTTCAATCATTAATTTACATTTCTCTTTGTCAATAATAAAGTTAAATTTCTGTACTTTGATTCACCATTTAGAATTGAAATCTGAACTACTTTCTATAGGAAGATCCACATATGTAATGAAAAGTACAGGACCACTGTCTGAAAGAGTTGTGCTTAAATTACTTATCACATTGAAGTAGTTATTCATGGGTAGCCAGAAGAGTAAAAAAAAAGTAATCTAAGAAGTTAAAATAATCTTGGTCACAGACATTTAAAAAGAGCAAAGAAATGTAGATTAGATCAAAATTTGCCTGGGTTTATCCACTCTCTGTACATAAGTGGATTTTGTAACTTGTATTTACTTGGATAATGTAGTAGGAAAATCACAGTTTACATTGATGTTTTATCAGCGACAACACAGTTGTTTAATGCTAAAATTAAATAGAATTTGGAACTGCTTTTTAAGTCAGAGTAGAAGAAAACATTTGAGGCAATTGAGATGTAATAATTTAAACATAAGCTTGCAAAAACAGAAAGATAAATCAGTGATTTCACCTGGTTTCTTTTACACATTCATTTTATGTGACATGAGAATTGGCCTTCAACACTATTTACATCTATCCTTTCTATTCTATAAATGTATTATAGTGTGTTGAAAAATTATTGTTTGTAGCATTTCCACAGAGAGGAAGAGAGAATATTTCACTCAGTATAAGATTTATGCTTGCTGAAGGCAGCAAGAATTGCTTGTGCACATTTTACAGAGAATTTGACTCCTTGCCATAAAAGTTCAAGTGACCACTTAGGATTTCTCATTGAGAACCACTGTATGCAAACACATGAGCTGTGGATTGATTCTTACTTAATTACTAGACCACCAACTTTGCAAGTGCCATTAACTGCAATACAATCTTGGACACTGTGCAAAACCATCATGATTTTCCTTCTGATCTCTCCAGTGTGTTTCAGACCATCTAGGAAGGCTCAAAAGTAGTACATAAAATTTCACCCTTATGTGTCAAGTTGATATAAAAAGTGGGCATGCTACAATCCTTTCAGAGTTACAATTCAAGTGAGAAACCCAACTATGTATTAAATTCATGGATAAACAATGGGAACTTGAAAACCATAATTTCAAGTTTTATTTCTGCAGGCATTGGCATATGACACCAAATTATTAAATTTTGCACAATACAAAATTGAACACATGAGAGATTTACATAGGGATAAGAGAGCTTCATGGAGTTTGGGAATGTGCAAAAGCTATAGAATATTTTCATAATAGTCTTACGAAGTACGAACTGAACAATAGTTGTCAAATATGACCCTCACCTAATTTGTATGGTAACTTTAATATGTGTAACCATCACATAAGTGGGTAAGAAAGTACGGAAATGCAGAAACCATGTGAGATAGCAGGTAGACGCTTGTTAGCTTTGGTTGCTGATGCATATGGAAAACTAATAATCCAATACTAAAAGCATCTTTAGCATATAGAATTGTTCTGGATGAGGTTTGGGGAGGGGGATATAGTGCATTTTTATAAGTAGCTCCTGTGCAGAAGTTGTTTTCTTTACAACATGAACTAGGGAAGTTTGTAAATCAATCCTCTTATTTGTCGACAAGATAAAAAGCATGTCATTAGAAGGAAATACTCTGTACTTTTATAAGATGGTGATATGGTTTGGCTCTGTGTCCCCACCCAAATCTCATCTTGATTTGTACTCCCATAATTCCCATGTGTTGGGGGAGGGACCAACTTGTGGGGGAGGGGGAGATAATTGAATCACGGGGGTGGTTTTCCCCGTACTGTTCTTGTGATAGTGAATAAGTCTTATGAGATCTGATGATTTTTTCAGGGGATTCTGCTTTTGCATCTTCCTCGTTTTCTCTTGCCGCTGCCAAGTAAGAAGTGCCTTTCACCTCACACCATGTTTCTGAGGCCTCCCCAGCCATGTGGAACTGCAAGTCCAGTTAAACCTCTTTTTCTTCTCAGGTATGTCTTTATCAGCAGCATGAAAACGAACTTATACAGGTGGCCTGGCAGGTATATTTGCACTACAAATAAAAAATCATCTCCTAAGGAATTGCAGTTGACAAAGACATTAAGGCACAGATCATAGATCAGAAGACTTAAATGTTTAGGAAGGCAGTATACCCCAAAGTGATCTACAGATTCAAGGCAATCTCTGTCAGAATCCTAGCTGACTTCTTTGTAGAAATTGATAAGCTTATTCTAAAATTCATGCAAAATTGCAAAAGATGTAGGATAGCCAAACAGTCCAAGAAAAGAAGAAAAATGTATGGGGACTCACACTTCCTAACTTTAAAACTTACTACAAATAACAGTAATCAAGAAAATATAATACTGGTACAAGGACAGGTATGGAAATCAGTGCAATAGAATTGAGTGTCCAGAAATAAATGCACATAATTATGGTCAACTGATTTTTGATATAAGTGTTAAACCATTCGTTGGGGAAAGAATAGTCTTTCCAACAAATAATGTAGGAATAGGTGGATATCTATATACAAAAGAATGAAATTAGACTCTTAAGATCAGAAGCAAAAATGAAATAAAAATCGACCAAAAACTTGAATGTAAGAGTTAAAACTATTAAATTTTTAGGAGGAAACACAAGAGTAAATCTTCCATACTTTGGATTTGGCCAAGGGTCCTTACATATGACACCGAAAAGCATGAGCAAACAAACAAATAAACAAAAGATAAATTAAACTTCATCAAAATTAGAGCAAACAAACAAAAGATAAATTAAACGTCATCAAAATTAAATACTTCTGTGTTTCAAAGGACATCAAGAAAATGAAAAAAGGCCACAGAATGGGAGAAATATTTGTAAAACATATCTTTGCTAAATTACTTACATTTGGAATATATAAAAACTTTTAGCTCAATAATAAAAGATAAAAACCCAAATAAAAAATAGGCAAAAGATCTCAGTAGACACTTTTCCAAGGAAGATATGCAAATTACCAAGAAACACATGAGGAATGCTCCACATCATTAGTTAGCAAAGGAAAGCAAATCACAACCACAGTGAGATGCCACTTCAGATACACTAGGATGTCTAGAATCAAAAAGTAGGATAATAACTAGTGTCAGTGAGTCAGAAACCTTATATGATGCTGGTAAGAATGTTAAATGGTGCAATCTCTTTGGAAAACAGTTTGGCAATTCTTCAAACAAACAGAGTTATCACATGACTCAACAATTCCACTCCTAGGTTTATATGCAAGAGAAATGGAAACATGTCCATATTAAAACTTATACATGAATATTTATAGTAAGCATTGAATAATAATTCATAATAGCCAAAAGGTGAAAACAATCTAAATATCCATCAACAGAAAGATGGATAAACAAAGTGGCATGTCAATACAATGCATTTTTGGAAGGGGAGAATAGAAAGAAATGAAGTACTGATATATCTGCCAATTTGGATGAACGCTGAAGATACTACCTTAAGTGAAAGATGCCTGTCACTGAAGTCCACATAGTACATTATTCCATTCATATCAAAGTCTAGAAAGGAAGTCTATAGAGACAGAGTGTAGATTAATGGTTGCTTAGGGCTGAGAATGGGGGTTGAATGATGAGGGGATGAGGAGATAATAGCTAAAGGGTATAGAATTTCTTTTTGAGGTGATACAATGCTCTAAAATTGATTGTGGTAATGGTTACAACATCTGTGAATATATGAATACTTTTAAAAATTGACACATAAAATTATATATTTTTTTTATGTACATGATGTTTTGAAATATGTATACATTGTGGAATGGCTACAGTGAGTAAATTAACATATGCATTACTTCAAATGGGTGAATTTTAGCCAGTGAATTTTATGTTAATAAAGCTATTTTTTGAAAAAAGGAAACTTTGGTGAGTTTGTTAACTTATGCTCTACATTTAAGGCTAGATAGCAACTACACAACAGACGAATAATATGACTTCTGGAAAAAAAGGCATATGGTAATGTGTCAAATCCTTCGGAACTGAATATTCAGTTCTTATAGATGAATAAAAATACAAAATATTCGGCTTTATTATACTGAAGCAAATTATTTGCCAATGCTAACTAAATGAGGTAGGAATGCTAACAGGCCAAGGATTCTATTTCTATTGAGAAAAATAGTCTTAAGCTGGAGGCTATCATAAATCCTTATTAACTTACAATGAAATTCGAAAGAGCAATCAACGGTAGCCTTTGAAACATTTCTTTCCAAAAAAAATCTCTAGAGGAGGGAACTAAAGAGAAAAAAGAGATCAGAGAGTAGACTCAAGATAGAAATGAAAGAAAACATGGTTGAGGTTTACATACTATGTAGCCACTGAGATAGTCACATTCAAGAGTATATAATTGATTTTTCTAGACAAAGTAGACTAGAAGATCAAGCACATATAGTGTAACTGAGAAAAAGAAATGGAAAATTAAGGGTTTCCAAGTCAACATATAAGCATGAAAAGAAAGAGATACATTTAACATTATCAGATTGCAAAGCAGTAAAAGTTACCTGTTGTCTAAAAATTTGAAGAAACACCTGGAATGACTGAGGCACTCCAAATTAGGATATTGGGTTTTTGTTTGTTTGTTTGTTTGTTTGTTTGTTTGTTTTGAGATGGAGTCTCACTGTGTCACCCGGGCTGGAGTGCAGTGGCATGATCTCGGCTCACTGCAACCTTTGCCTCCCAGGTTCAAGCAATTCTCCTGGCTCAGCCTCCCGAGTAGCTGGGACTACAGGCGCCTGCCACCATGCCTGGCTACTTTTTTTGTATTTTTAGTACAGACGGGGTTTCACCGTGTTGGCCAGGATGGTCTCTATCTCTTGGCCTCATGATTCGCCAACCTTGGCCTCCCCAAAGTGCTGGGATTACAGGTGTGAGCCACCGCGCCCGGCCTGGTTGTTGGTATTTTAGGGAGAGTCTAGTTTCGTTCAGAGGATAAGGTAGACCTATATTTAAGACTGTTATTCTTTTATTTACTTATTTATTTATTTTGAGACGGAGTTTCGCTCTTGTTGCCCAGGCTGGAGTGCAATGGCACAATCTCGGCTCATTGCAACCTCCACCTCCTGGATTCAAGCGATTCTCCTGCCTCAGCCTCCCAAGTAACTGGGATTACAGGCATGCGCCACCACGCCAGGCTAGTTTTGTATTTTTAGTAGAGATGGGGTTTCTCCATGTTGGTCAGGCTGGTCTCGAACTCCCAACCTCAGGTGATCCACCTGCCTCGGCCACCCAAAGTGCTGGGATTACAGGCGTGAGCCAGTGTGCCCAGCAAGAGTGTGATTCTCACAAGCAGAATTTAAAGCTCTTTATGAATAAAACAGAGGACATTGAAATATTATTATATTTTTGGTAATAATTCAAATGCATGTTGAAAATAGTTTTATCTAGAATTATTCTAAGAAAGATGAAAACAAGAACAGCATATAGCTTTCATTATAGAACTAGTGCATATGTATATGTGTATATACACACACATACATTATATATTATTTTATACATATACATATGTGTGTGTATATATATATATATTTTTTTCACAAAATTGGTGAAGGTTATATTGAGGAGAGCGAATAGAGGTAAAAAGACCGTGAAATGTAGTATAAAGTAGTATAAAGAGAAGGACCCATGTAGAAAAGAACATCAATATGCAACTTCAGAAGTATTGCCCCACTATAATTAATGTGTATAGATTTTCTCAAGAATGTAGGCTAACACTAATTTAATTCAAGGCCAGCTAAGAGCTTGATAAATGTAAGTGGAATGAATGCATTTCAATTAATATACTAGAGACATCCTGTGTATCAGAATTCATTCCTTCCATGCTGTTTCACATTCTTTGTCTTCCCTCTCAGCAGTGGGGTGTAATAGAAAGCGTACTTGCTTTGGATCATACAGACCTAAATTTAAATTTCAACTCTGACTTATTAGTTCTGTGATCTTAGTGGTCTCAGTAAGGAATTATTTTAGCATGGTTCTATTCTCACTTTCTCTTTATATAGCAAATATAGTTGAGGTAGTGGTAAGGTGAGTATCAAGGTCAGAAGGGCCACGGAAAAATGACAGGATGGAGTTGAAAAGAGTAAGACAGGCCCTTAGATTAACTAAGAGTTCTGATGTGTGGGGGTCCAGCTAATTCCTGTCTTCTGCACTGGTTTCTGCTGACCCCACGAGATCATGACACCACACTTCAGTGATCTATTGAGGCCTTTCTTTTCCTCCCCCTTTCCTCACAGGAGCTCCAAACTCTTTGTTGGAATGCTTTTCTTTCTTTCATCCATAGACATTTTTGGCTCACCCTTATAAGTAGTATAATAATATAATATCAATTACTGTGTGAATTGATAAGAAAGCTAAAGGCTATAGCTCCCCGTTACTGTTATGTGGTTATGCCTTAACAGTGAAATTTAGAGACAATACAGATGCCTTTTCTCTCTGTCTTCAGGAGTGATGCCACTATTTGAAGTTAGGGTAGAAAGGTGTTAACATGGAGGTGGAGATGGAACAGCTCTATCAGAGCTGATGGGGACTTGCTGGTGTCCCATAATCATATCATTTATAGGGCTATTGCTGCTCTGATTCTCTCTAGGAGAATATGATATAGATGATCTTTCTACTATTGGGTAACCAGAGACATGCAAATATCAAACTTTTTGCTTAGATTTAGAAAAATTTCTATTAAATTTTCTCCAAGTCAGAGACTAGATGAAAATGGAAAGCACCGATACGCACTTAGAATGTGAATAGCCATCTGTGAAAGTCCTGCGAATTATTCTCCAATTTTGCTAATCAAAATAATGTTTGGCAAGAGCTAGTTGATAGTCAAGTAGCCTTTTAAATGATATTACTTAAATCAAGGAAGTTGACTTGGAAAGCCTGTGTTATAACACCATTGAAGTGATTAATGGTATTATATACCTGCTCTAGCAAAATTCACCTCTGAGACAAAGTGCTATTTATATAATATCTCTTTTCATTTTCGCCAAAGTATTTTAACACAGAAAAAGCAGAATTCTAGCCTCAAGACTCATTTTTGCAAGGTGTGATTTTTTTTATTGGGTTTTAAGTTTCCATTATTTAAAAAAAGTCAGTAGATGGTATAATTTCAAGCTACTATATACATAATACGGAAATATTTTTTGAAATTATGAACTTTTTATAAACAAAAGGTGAAGCTCATTACTCTTGCATCAATGATAGAGCAAAATTCAGATGCTATTCATGCAAGAATTGAAATTAGACAAAAACTATATCTGCTTAATGTAATTCCATTAGAAATGTATGTGCTTATACAATATAATTGATTTTAAAAGTTTTTAACAGATTTTTTCCAGCTCTATTTAAGTTTGTGAGATTGAAGACATATGTACAGTTAAATTAGAATCTCAGATAAATAACAGCTATTTTTCAGCCAAAGTATATTGCATGGGTTATACTTATATGAAAAAAATATTGTTTATCTCATATTGGAATTTAATAGTGTCTTATATTTTTATTTGCTAAACCTGTATCTCTCTAATGGATAATTCCTTTATTTAGAGAATGATTTTTTTACAAATTCAAGGAAGAAAGATGTTTTATAATCATTCTAAATAGGATATTTGTACAATGACTAAAGTGATACTTTTTATTTTGAGTCATTTAAAAAATGGAGTGAGTTATGAAGATTTCCAAAAATCTGATGTTAGATTAGAATTCCAACATCTAGGGCAAATTAACAAAATTATTTTGGGATTTAGTTCACTAAAGTAGTAAAGTAGTGGTAGAAGATATTCAGAAATAGGAGAGAGGGAAGAATTAGTAAAATAGAGAAGGCCGTGATCTAAGAGAGGAACAGGAACCATCAGTTTAAGGAATAGTAGATATGCTAATATATATGACTTAAAGCTCATTTTCAACTTTACTCTTATAACAGTTACTATAGTTCAGACACTGTTATAAATACGTTTACTGGATAGTGACTCTTTAATCTTTAAAACAAGCCTTTGAGTAGTTGCTAATATTAGCCCCATCTTACAGATGAGAAAACTGAAGCAAGAAGAAGTTACTTGCTTAATGTTGGACTACAAGTAATGGTGGATATGGGATTTGAAACCCACCAGGCTGCTTCTGCTGTCTATACCAAACCACTATTCAGTACTACTTGCTGTCTATACCAAACCACTATTCCGTACTACTTTTACAACTAATTCTATTTTATGAATAAGATATTGTAACAGAAATTAGAAACTAATATGTATATTGACGTGCAATACATCTTTATAAACTGAAATAATTAGTAACAGGAAAAAACAAAAATAAATCTGCTATAATTGAATAATTATGTTTTCATGCTACCAAATGAAAAAATGGTTGGTGTCTGTCATGAGAAATTAAATCAAAATTTATGAAAATAAGCATATTTACCACAAAACAATAAAGCTATTGCCACTGCATACTAATTTTTAGACATGAAAAAAGAATTTGTGAATTTTGGGGGATGAGTTAGCACATAATTTTTCAACCATTCTGTAAAATCACATGTGGCAACCTTTACTTATCTTTAAACTTTTCCAACGTGATCTTAATGAGCTTGAGTTTTACACACATATGTATTAATTCATTAACTTTCCAAAGAGTTAGTTTTTTTGTTCTTATTTATTTATTTATTTATTTTTTATTATACTTTAAGTTTTAGGGTACATGTGCACAACGTGCAGGTTAGTTACATATGTATATATGTGCCATGTTGGTGTGCTGCACCCATTAACTTGTCATTTAACCTTAGGTATATCTCCTAATGCTATCCCTCCCCCCTCCCCCAACCCCACAACACGCCCTGGTGTGTGATGTTCCCCTTCCTGTGTCCATGTGTTCTCATTGCTCAATTCCCACCTATGAGTGAGAACATGCGTTGTTTGGGTTTTTGTCCTTGCGATAGTTTGCTGAGAATGATGGTTTCCAGCTTCATCCATGTCCCTACAAAGGACATGAACTCATCACTTTTTATGGCTGCATAGTATTCCATAGTGTATATGTGCCACATTTTCTTAATCCAGTCTATCACTGTTGGACATTTGGGTTGGTTCCAAGTCTTTGCTATTGTGAATAGTGCCACAATAAACATACATGTGCATGTGTCTTTATAGCAGCATGTTTTATAATCCTTTGGGTATATACCCAGTAATGGGATGGCTGGGTCAAATGGTATTTCTAGTTCTAGAAATACCCTGAGGAATCGCCACACTGACTTCCACAATGGTTGAACTAGTTTACAGTCCCACCAACAGTGTAAAAGTGTTCCTATTTCTCCACATCCTCTCCAGCACCTGTTGTTCCTGACTTTTTAATGATCGCCATTCTAACTAGTGTGAGATGGTATCTCATTGTGGTTTTGATTTGCATTTCTCAAAGAGGGAATCCTCCCTAACTCATTTTATGAGGCCAGCATCATCCTGATACCAAAGCCTGGCAGAGACACAAAAAAAGAGAATTTTAGACCAATATCCCTGATGAACATTGATGCAAAAATCCTCAATAAAACACAGGCAAGCTGAATCCAGCAGCACATCAAAAAGCTTATCCACCATGATCAAGTGGGCTTCATCCCTGGGATGCAAGGCTGGTTCAACATATGCAAATCAATAAACATAATCCAGCATATAAACAGAACCAATGACAAAAACCACACGATTATCTCAATAGATGCAGAAAAGGCCTCTGACAAAATTCAACAACACTTCATGCTAAAAACTCTCAATAAATTAGGTATTGATGGGACATACCTCAAAATAATAAGAGCTATCTATGACAAACCCACAGCCAATATCATACTGAATGGGTGAAAACTGGAAGCATTCTCTTTGAAAACTGGCACAAGACACAGATGCCCTCTCTCACCACTCCTATTCAACATACTGCTGGAAGTTCTGGCCAGGGCAATCAGGCAGGAGAAGGAAATAAAGGGTATTCAATTAGGAAAAGAGGAAGTCAAATTGTCCCTGTTTGCAGACGACATGATTGTATATCTAGAAAACCCCATCGTCTCAGCCCAAAATCTCCTTAAGCTGATAGGCAACTTCAACAAAGTCTCAAGATACAAAATCAATGTACAAAAATCACAAGCATTCTTATACACCAGTAACAGACAGAGAGCCAAATCATGAGTGAACTCCCATTCACAATTGCTTCAAAGAGAATAAAATACCTAGGAATCCAACTTAAAAGGGACGTGAAGGACCTCTTCAAGGAGAACTACAAACCACTGCTCAATGAAATAAAAGAGGATACAAACAAATGGAAGAACATTCCATGCTCATGGGTAGGAAGAATCAATATCGTGAAAATGGCAATACTACCCAAGGTAATTTATAGATTCAATGTCATCCCCATCAAGCTACCAATGACTTTCTTCACAGAGTTTTTTGGTTCTTAAGTAATTCTATTATGAAGTAACAACTGACTCATCACCCTTGCTATTTGCTTTTCTTCAAGTTCTAACTTATCTAACTCTGAAATTCTCTCCCTTGTCAAAGGCTTTGGGATATGGTTTGTCAAGCAATTACCTAAACTCACTTTATCAACACTCTATAATACCATGTCTATTGCAAGATTTATACTTTTACTTTTTAATCAATTTATCACTAAAGATTTATACTGTTACTTTTTAATCAATTTTTGGCTGTTTTAAAATTACTTCATCAATTTTTTTTGCAAGATCAGGCAACCATGTAAACATTGATCAAAGCCTTATGTAATGGGCAGATAAAGATTTAAATGGGGAGAGATGCTTGAATGGGTATTAATTTTAGAAGTGGTGAGTTTATCAGATAATATTGTCTGATATGGGAAGTTTTGCTTCCCAATGTGAGCAACATAGCTGTATGGAAAGAATAAATAAGATAAATCCCTTTTAATTACTCTTATTGGTATATTTGGAATATTTTTCAGATGTTATTATTATCCACTAAATTCTCCCATGTGGATAGTAGCTATTGTCATTAAAAATTTTTGCACAAGTGAAAAGAGTCTAAAGTACCTGTATTATTTTTGCAATGCAAAAAAATTTAAGAAGTCATAGTTTTTGAGTTTGAAACTGAGTTTATTGATTTGTTGTATCAGCTAAGTTAAAGCTCGATTAGCAGTATACCAAATCAAAAGAAATCTTATTAAAAATACCACTGAATATGATCTATTTAAACTATAAAATCTTATTGATATCTAGTACATACCTTAGTGGGAAACTTATTTTTACCTTGCAAATTTTCAATGTCCGTCTTAAAACTGTAACCCAGATGCCAGAGTTACTTCTGAAAGATCGAGTCTGCCTCTTTTGGAAGTGGCTGAAACTAGAAACCTCTTCTATCCTTCTCCAGTTCACTCCATGAAGAAAAAGTAAGTAAAAAACAAAATTCTAAAACACAAGTCTGCTCTAAATAGGTGCTTCTCTATCTACTAAATGCCTGCATTACATACATATCTCTGCCTTTATGTCTATGTAAATTTTCTTTCATTTCTGCTTTCTGCCTTCTTCCCTATTTCCCTCCCTTTCTCCTCATCTTTCCTATCTCTTTTATCTACTAATAATGATTTTCATTCTTTCCTCCGCTCATAAAGAATCTACCCTTTTTTCACATGTAATTAGTTCCAGACACACCTCCTCAGTTTTTCCCTTTCTTATGAATTCATTAATTGCTGAGAAATATTGGCTTTACTAAACTTTACCATATATTAATTTTTCATTATAAAAGGGTCTTACTATAAGATGTTAAAAAAATAAGAAATTTTACCTAGACATATAGCTAACCAGGGAAGTAAAAGATCTCTACAAAGAGAATTACAAAACACTGCTAAAATAAATCAGAGATGACACAAACAAATGGAAAAATATTCTAAGTTCATGGATAAGATGAATCAATATCACTAAAATGGTGATACTGCCCAAAGCAATTTACAGATTCAATGCTGTTGTCATCAAACTACTAAAGATGTTCATTACAGAAATAGCAAATAATGTTTCAAAATTCATATAGAACCAAAAAAGAGCTCAAATAGTGAAGACAGTCCTAAGCAAAAAGAGCAAAGCAGGAGGCATCATGCTATCTGACTTCAAACTATACTGTAGGGCTACAATAACCAAAACAGCATGATGCTAGTACAAAAACAGACACATATACCAATGGAACAGAACAGAGAGCCCAGAAATGAGGTCACATATATACAACAATTTGATCTTCAACATAGCTGACAAAAACAAGCAATGGAGAAAGGACTTTCTATTCAATAAATGCTGCTGGGATAATGGGCTAACCATAAGCAGAAGATTGAAACTTCCTTACACAATACATAAAAATAAACTCAAGATGGATTAAAAAATGAAAATATAACCAAAATCTATAAAAATCCTAGAAGACAACCTAGGCAATACCATTCTTTACATAAGTATGGGCAAATATTTCATGATAAGGATGCCAAAAGCAATTGCAACAAAAGTAAAAATTGACAAATGAGATCTAATTAATCTAAAGAGCTCTGCATTGCAAAATAAACTATCAACAGAGTAAACAGACAACCTACAGAATGGGAGAAAATATTATATTTGCAAACTATGCATCTGACAAAGTTCTACTATCCAGCATCTATAAGGAACTTAAAAAATTTACAAGAAAAAAAGCAAACGACCCCATTAAAAAGTAGGCAAAGAACATAAACAGATACTTTTCAAAAGAAGACATACATGCAGCCAACCATCATATTAAAAAGAGCTGAACATCACTGATCATAGAGAAATGCAAATCAAAACCACAATGAGATACCATCTCACACCAGTCAGAATGGCTATTACAAAGTCAAACCATAACAGATGCTGGCAAAGTTGCAGAGAAAAGGGAATGCTTATTCACCGTTTTTGGCTCAGTTCAACCATTTTTGGTTAGTTCAACCATTGTGGAAAGCAGTGTGGTGATTCCTCAAAGAGCTAAAAACAGAACTGCCATTCGATCCACCAATCTCATTACTGGGTATATATCCAAAGGAACGTAAATCCTTCTACCATAAAGACATATGCACATGTATGTTCATTGTAGCACAGTTCACAATAGAAAAGACCATATTCACAATAGAATAGAAATGTAATCTACCTAAATGCCCATCCATGAGAGACTGGATTAAAATAATGTAGTATAAATACACCATGGAATACTATTCAGCCATAAAAAAGAATGAGATTATGTCTTTTGTGGGGACATGGATGGAGCTGGAGGTCATTATCCTTAGCAAACTAACTCAAAAACCAAAAACCAAATACTACATGTTCTCACTTGTAAGTGGGAGCTAAATGATGAGAATTCATGGACAGAAAGAAGGGAACAGCAGACATAGGGTCCTACCAGAGGGTGGAGAGTGGGAGGATGAACGCAGCAGAAATAACTATTGGGCACTAGGGCTTAGTACCTGGGTGATGAAATAATCTGTACAGCAAACCCCTGTTACATGAGTTCACCTATGTAATAAACCTGCACATGTACCCCTGAACCTAAAATAAAAGTTAAAATAAAAATAAAAAATAGAGAAAATGTTACTTTGGTGAATGAAAAGTAATTAAGACCCTACCTCAAAGATGATCAAAGTTAAAACAAAATAAACCTAGCTTTTGTCACTTTATACAATGTTAATAAAATATACCAAAAAAGATATATTCAATTTTCCTTTTATAAAATAACATGTATTCATGAGAAGGAGATAGATGAGTGTGAACTATGAGCTTATATTCATCCCTGCCCTTGAGCTGATTTCACACAGCACAAAACAATGTCTCTTGATATGCTGGCAAAGATCAGAAAAATGCAGTTCACAGTTTTGAGACTTATTGTCATTATGCCTCCTTTGTTACTTTTGCTTGGGTAAGACTCTAATCCATCTTCAGTGTATAAGGAGACTTTCTTCCAGGTAGTTCTTTCTGAACACAACTTTGGGGTTACCTTGGACTTCTAACTCTCTGCCTTACTTTCAAACTTAAGGTGACAGTATGTTCTGAAGAACAAATTTGAATTCAATTTTACTATGTAGTCAAGCCCCCACCATCCCTTCTCACCCTAATCTCTCTATCTGCCTTATAAAAGGTAATTGTAGAAAAGAGCAAAATTAAGCCAAGAGAAGAGACTCTATATCTATGTACAATGAACCAATATTGCTTCTGTTTAGCTTCAGGCTCTTAGGACAGCATACAGATTTGAACTGTGAGATTACTCTGTAGACCACCCATTTGACTTGGTTTCATGATCAGCTTAACTGTAGTTATCTATAATCTGTAATTAGTTATATGACCTAAGTAAATTATGAGTGAATTAACTTATCCATATTCATTATCAATATTATTCTTAATTGACATAGTAGTGTAGTTTGAAAGACTAAAGCTTCTTTTTCATGGCATGGGAGTATTGTATAAGTAGATATAAATCTTGCTACTGTGCCTGACAGCATAGTTGACAGATTTTACTAACTTTTTCAAGCTCAAATATCAGAGACTTCTGCTTGAAGAGCAAAATACTCTTCAAAAACTTCATATACATAAGTATTATAGAGTATGACAATAAGAGACATTTGAAAATTATTTTAAAACTATTAAGAGGCCAGGCGTGGTGCCTCACACCTGTAATCTCAACACTTTGGAAAGCTGAGGTGGGAAGATCACTTGAGGCCAGGCATTCAAGACCAGCCTAGGCAACATAGTGAGACTCCATCTCTAAAAAAAAATTAAAAAAAAAATAGCCAGGCATGATGGCATGTACCTGTAGCCCCAGCTATTCAGGAGGCTGAGGTGGGAGGATCTCTTGAACCCAGGCGGTCAAGGCTGGAGTGAGCCATGATCACGCCACTGCACTCCAGCCTGGGTGACAGAGTGAGACCCTGTAATTAAAGCAATAGAAATAAAACTATTAAGAATCGAAGAGGAACGTACATTACAAATTAAAATATGGAAGGAATATATCACAATCCTAAGCAATTAGACTGATTCAAAATTATCTTTGCATTATGATACAATTTGGTATACTTCCATATTTAGGCTCATGCTATTTGAATTTTCGGCTATAATAGATAATTCCTAGATTTGTAGGCGGTAGGGAGCTGACAGTTGTTAAGCAATTCATATTTCCTCCAAATGAAATGTAAGGCAGCTTTTTAAAAAATCCACATTATAGATAAAGAAATTGAGGCCAAGAGAGTTCAGTTAACTTCTCCAGGGTCACAGAACTATTAAGCAGCAAAACTGGATTTGGATGGAGCTTGAGCACATACTTTTTCTTCTGTATAATGCCAATTCTCTACTTCAGAAATGGAGTGGAATGAGGAAATATGGAATAAGAAAATATTCAAGTGGTGAGAACAGCATGTTTGCCATTTGAGATATGAATATTTCTGACATATGTGACCAAGAAGGGAATACATGGATGAGAGAATCCTTTCTCTTGCATTCTCTTTTCTAAGGATCAGTGGACCTGCAGGATGGGAGCTATAGCTAGAAAAAGTCCACAGTTTTATTGTCAGAAACAATTACCACTGACAGATTTAAAACCTTTTAAAGCCGTTTCTGTATATTGTGAAAAGCATGACTTTTTTGTGCTTGTGTGTACATGAGATACCTATAACTCTTTTAGTATGGGCATGAAAAAAGAAGATGTGAGATTTATAAGTGGAAGCTAAAGCTTGAGTACACATGGACATAAAAAACAACAGGCACCGGGGACTGCCAGGGCAGGGAGGGAGGTGGCAAGGGTTGAAAGCTACCTATTGGGCACTATGCTCACTACTTGGGTGACAGGATCAATTGTACCCCAAACCTCAGCATCATGCAATATACCCATGTAACAAACCTGCACATGTACCAACTGAATCTAAAATGGAAGTTGGAATTTTTTAAAAAGTGAAACAAAGATGTGAGAAAAAGATAAAGGGAGAAGAAAAGAGAGAGAAGACAAGAAAATACATAAATATAGAAATGATGCATAGGGCCGGGCATGATGGCTCACGCCTATAATCTCAGCACTTTGGGAGGCCAAGGCAGACGGATCACGCCGTCAGGAGATTGAGACCATCCTGGCTAACACGGTGAAATCCCGTCTCTGCTAAAAATACAAAAAAAATTAGCCAGGCGTGGTGGCATGCACCTGTAGTCCCAGCTACTCAGGAGGCTGAGGCAGGAGAACTGCTTGAACCTGGGAGGTGGAGGTTGCAGTGAGCCAAGATCACGCCACTGCACTCCATCCTGGGTGACAGAGCAAAAAAAAAAAAAGGAAATGATTCATAGGGAAAATATTATTATTTTTTAAATGTTTTTAAATGGTTCAGTAAATGTTATAAATTACAGTGAAATAACATTTGAAGAAAGCCTGAGAAGATGTAGGTTCTGGGCCTATTGCTGTGAATTAGACAACAAACTTTCCTAGTGTTACAGGAATAATTAAGGAAAAGCAGTAATTGCTACTAGTTTCTTCCACCTGATGTACTGGCAGAGGCTATAGCCAGCCAGCTGGGAAAGTCAGGAAGGTAATAAAGTCACATGAGGAAGGTAGAAGGGACAACTTGAAGGCCTCATGAAACTCATGCTGAGGGTCTCTGAATGCCAGGAAATCCTTCTCCTGGCTGGGTGCAAGACTGCGTCTCTTACTCTGCAGAAATTTGCTGGCATCTTTCTGTCAAGTTCATAATTTCCTAGTTGTGCCAGCTGCATAGGGCTGCAGAGGACAATGCCAAACTCAGTGGAGCCAAAAGTAATCTCAGAATGTAAGAAAACATCAATAGTAGGCTTTACTTATGCTCAGGGATCATTTATGATTCTCCCACTACCAAATCAACAGACTTTCTCCCCGTTATTCCTGCCCATAACCTTCTATACTCTTCCTGGAGAAACATTGCCAGTTGTTTCCGTATGCAAGGCTGTCCTCATTCCTCATTTACCTCTTTTGAGTCCTGATTTATTGTATACTCACGACTGTGGATGTTTTCCAAAAATAAGTCTCTCACCCTTTGATCTTTTCCCTTTATATACTTAATAAAATATTACTAAAATTAACATATACTCCAATAAAAATGTCATGAGGCACACAGGAGATGCACAAAATAAAAAGGGTAAATAACTAATAAGCATAAAATAGTCAAATCACGAATTATCCAAAAAATGTAAATAAAAAAAAAAGCCATACCATTTACACCTATCACGTTGTCAAAGACAATATGTGAAACAAAGTTGTAATACAGAGTATTGTGAAGAGTGTAAGAAATTGGTCACTCATTTATTGAGAGTTTTTAGCATGAAGGGTTGTTGAATTTTGTCAAAGGCCTTTTCTGCATCTATTGAGATAAACATGTGGTTTTTGTCTTTGGTTCTGTTTATATGCTGGATTACATTTATTGATTTGCGTATATTGAACCAGCCTTGCATCCCAGGGATGAAGCCCACTTGATCATGGTGGATAAGCTTTTTGATGTGCTGCTGGATTCGGTTTGCCAGTATTTTATTGAGGATTTTTGCATCAATGTTCATCAAGGATATTGGTCCAAAATTCTCTTTTTTGGTTGTGTCTATGCCCGGCTTTGGTATCAGGATGATGCTGGCCTCATAAAATGAGTTACGGAGGATTCTCTCTTTTTCTATTGATTGGAATAGTTTCAGAAGGAATGGTACCAGTTCCTCCTTGTACTTCTGGTAGAATTCGGCTGTGAATCCATCTGGTCCTGGACTCTTTTTGGTTGGTAAGCTATTGATTATTGCCACAATTTCAGAGCCTGGTATTGGTCTATTCAGAGATTCAACTTCTTCCTGGTTTAGTCTTGGGAGGGTGTATATGTCGAGGAATTTATCCATTTTTTCTAGGTTTTCTAGTTTATTTGCATAGAGGTGTTTGTAGTATTCTCTGATGGTAGTTTGTATTTCTGTGGGATCAGTGTTGATATCCCCTTTATCATTTTTTATTGCATCTATTTGATTCTTCTCTCTTTTCTTCTTCATTAGTCTTGCTAGCGGTCTATCAATTTTGTTGATCCTTTCAAAGAACTAGCTCCTGGATTCATTAATTTTTTGAAGGGTTTTTTGTGTCTCTGTTTCCTTCAGTTCTGCTCTGATTTTAGTTATTTCTTGCCTTCTGCTAGCTTTTGAATGTGTTTGCTCTTGCTTTTCTAGTTCTTTTAATTGTGATGTTAGGGTGTCAATTTTGGATCTTTCCTGCTTTCTCTTGTGGGCATTTAGTGCTATAAATTTCCCTCTACACACTGCTTTGAATGTGTCCCAGAGATTCTGGTATGTTGTGTCTTTGTTCTCATTGGTTTCAAAGAACATCTTTATTTCTGCCTTCATTTCGTTATGTACACAGTAGTCATTGAGGAGCAGGTTGTTCAGTTTCCATGTAGTTGAGCGGTTTTGAGTGAGTTTCTTAATCCTCAGTTCTAGTTTGATTGCACTGTGGTCTGAGAGACAGTTTGTTATAATTTCTGTTCTTTTACATTTGCTGAGGAGAGCTTTACTTCCAACTATGTGGTCAATTTTGGAATAGGTGTGGTGCGGTGCTGAAAAAATTTATATTCTGTTGATTTGTGGTGGAGAGTTCTGTAGATGTCTATTAGGTCTGCTTGGTGCAGAGCTGAGTTCAATTCCTGGGTATCCTTGTTAACTTTCTGTCTCGTTGATCTGTCTAATGTTGACAGTGATTGATGGGACGTATCTCAAAATAATAAGAGCCATCTATGACAAACCCACAGCCAATATCATACTGAATGGCAAAAACTGGAAGCATCCCCTTTGAAAACTGGCACAAGACAGGGATGCCCTCTCTCACCACTCCTGTTCAACATAGTGTTGGAAGTTCTGGCCAGGGCAATTAGGCAGGAGAAGGAAATAAAGTGTATTCAATTAGGAAAAGAAGAAGTCAAATTGTCCCTGTTTGCAGATGACATGATTGTATATCTAGAAAACCCCACTGTCTCAGCCCAAAATCTCCTTAAGCTGATAAGCAACTTCAGCAAAGTCTCAGTATACAAAATCAATGTACAAAAATCACAAGCATTATTATACACCAATAACAGACAAACAGAGAGCCAAATCATGAGTGAATGCCCATTCACAATTGCTTCAAAGAGAATAAAATACCTAGGAATCCAACTTACAAGGGACGTGAAGGACCTCTTCAAGGAGAACTACAAACCACTGCTCAATGAAATAAAAGAGGATACAAACAAATGGAAGAACATTCCATGCTCATTGGTAGGAAGAATCAATATCATGAAAATGGCCATACTGCCCAAGGTAATTTATAGATTCAATGCCATCCCCATCAAGCTACCAATGACTTTCTTCACAGAATTGGAAAAAACTACTTTAAAGTTCATATGGAACCAAAAAAGAGCCCGCATCACCAGGTCAATCTTAAGCCAAAAGAACAAAGCTGGAGGCATCATGCTACCTGACTTCAAACTATACTACAAGGCTACAGTAACCAAAACAGCATGGTACTGGTACCAAAACAGAGATATAGATCAATGGAACAGAACAGAGCCCTCAGAAATAACGCCACATATCTACAACTATCTGATCTTTGACAAACCTGAGAAAAACAAGCAACGGGGAAAGGATTCCCTATTTACTAAATGGTGCTGGGAAAACTGGCTAGCCATATGTAGAAAGCTGAAACTGGACCCCTTCCTTACACCTTATACAAAAATTAATTCAAGATGGATTAAAGACTTAAACGTTAGACCTAAAACCATAAAAACCCTAGAAGAAAACCTAGGCATTACCATTCAGGACATAGCCATGGGCAAGGACTTCATGTCCAAAACACCAAAAGCAATGGCAACAAAAGCCAAAATTGACAAATGGGACCTAATTAAACTAAAGAACTTCTGCACAGCAAAAGAAACTACCATCAGAGTGAACAGGCAACCTACAATATGGGAGAAAATTTTTGCAACCTACTCATCTGACAAAGGGCTAATATGCAGAATCTACAATGAACTCAAACAAATTTACAAGAAAAAAACAAACAACCCCATCAAAAATTGGGCAAAGGACATGAACAGACACTTCTCAAAAGAAGACATTTATGCAGCCAAAAAACAGATGAAAAAATTCTCACCATCACTGGCTATCAGAGAAATGCAAATCAAAACCACAATGAGACACCATCTCACACCAGTTAGAGTGGCAATCATTAAAAAGTTAGGAAACAACAGGTGCTGGAGAGGATGTGGAGAAATAGGAACACTTTTCCACTGTTGGTGGGACTGTAAACTAGTTCAACCATTGTGGAAGTCAGTGTGGCGATTCCTCAGGGATCTAGAACTAGAAATACCATTTGACCCAGCCATCCCATTACTGGGTATATACCCAAAGGACTATAAATCATGCTACTGTAAAGACACATGCACACGTATGTTTACTGCGGCACTATTCACAATAGCAAAGACATGGAACCAACGCAAATGTCCAACAATGATAGTCTGGATTAAGAATATGTGGAACATATACACCATGGAATACTATGCAGCCATAAAAAATGATGAGTTCATGTCCTGTGTAGGGACATGGATGAAATTGGAAATCATCATTGTCAGTAAACTATTGCAAGGACAAAAAACCAAACACCACATGTTCTCACTCACAGGTGGGAATTGAGCAATGAGAACACATGGACACAGGAAGGGGAACATCACACTCTGGGGACTGTTGTGGGGTTGGGGGAGGGGGGAGGGATAGCATTAGGAGATATACCTAATGCTAAATGACGAGTTAATGGGTGCAGCACACCAGGATGGCACATGTATACATATGTAACTAACCTGCACATTGTGCACATGTACCCCAAAACTGTAAAAGTGTAATAATAATAAAATAAAAAAAATAAAAAAAAAGAAATTGGTCACTCATATATTGATGGAAGAGTAACTTGACAACAATTTTCTGAAATTTAAATTTGGTAATATGTATCAAAAGTTTTAAATGGTACAGTATTTATAATGCAGTAATTCCATATTTATTAGTATTTTAGGGTAAAATGTGTGATATAGAGATGCAATTTTATATACACCCATAAAAATGAAAATTAGAAATAATATAATTGTAGAACAGAAGGCAATTGGTTAAAACTAACGACATATTATTTTTACTACAAATCCGTGAGCGTTGCCAGCTTCCTGCCCATTGTTGCAAGACGTACCATTTGAGTCCTTTAGTTACTCCACATCTGTGCATAAGTTTGTCCCTTTGCCTCCCCTCCCTTCTCCTTCCTTTCCTACCCTTCCTTTCTTTTCCACTCTCTTCTTGCCCTTTTCCTCATTGTCTTTCTTTCTTTTTCATTCACATAAAGCAGCCAGAGTAATTCTGACACTTTGCTCAAGTTTATTCAACTAGAGCATGTGTTGGGGCTGAAATCTGAACTCAAGTAGATGACTCCAAAGCTTGTGCTCTTAAACACTGTTTCAGAGTACCACTGACTGCTCAAGCCCACCTCTGATTCTTACTGCTGAAATGCGTATGTGTCTACTTTTATCAGATTTTGCACAAGTCACTTTTCCTACTAAGATATCCTTCCTTTGCTTTCCTTGATTACTTCCAGTTCTACTTAAATCCTTCCAACAACCATGAGAATATCCACTTCTAAAATATTCATTAAACCCTGTAAATTATAGAGACATTCTCTTCATGACACTTCCTATTTACTGGTGGAATATGAGACAGTGAAGAATCAAAGCCAAGAATTACTCTCCAGCTTGAAAAACCACCACTGGTCCCTGTGACTTACAAGATAAAATCTAAGCCTCAGAAACTTCACATCATGTAGACATTTTTTTCTAGTCTGGTCCGAACCTACTTCCCTAGTGACATCCTACGCCACCTGCTCCTTTTTCTCCTTCTCCCCAGCATGTCCTCCCTACCCAATCCTTCATCCCCCCTCTCCAGCAACACAGATCAGCTTCCTCTTACCCCATCAGGTGAAAATTTGGCAGCTGTTTGACATGATGCCTTGAAAAACTTTATTTTGTCCATATGGCTAGCATTAATTTGTGTAAAACTTTCTTGTGACAATCTTTTTCATTGTCTTGCATTTTTAAAAATGTACTTTTATTTGTAGTGTAGAGGAAAACACACAATTCAGTCAGTGAAAAGACCTGTCTGACTTAATCTCTTCTGATTTGAGATGATTCCTAAAGGAATCCTTGTATTTTTGCCATTCAGGTTTATTTATTTATTTATTTTAAAATACAGGGAAAATGGCTGCTATCAAAATAAATCTGCGTTCTGCTCAAAGGAATATTTATTGATACTATAACAAAATTGCATTATGTCAGTTTAAATCCATGGAAAATACTGTAACTGAAATAATATATAATTTTATATATTTTGTTTGATTTTTTAAAATAGTTCAAGACATTAATGTCATTATTCTGATATTTTGCTTCAATATATTTATATTCTGAATATAAAAATTACATCATACAAAATAAGATGGAATACTCTTTCTGTAGGTTAGAAGGATCATATTGCACACTGCTGGAAACAAAAAATTATCTGAGAATAAAAATATTAGGAGATAGGAGATACAAAATGCCTTTTTTTTTTTTTTTTTTGAGATGGAGTTTTGCTCCTGTCACCCAGGCTGGAGTGCAATGGCGTAATCTCGGCTCACTGAAACTTCCACCTCCCCAGTTCAAGCGATTCTCCTGTCTCAGCCTCCCAAGTAGCTGGGATTACAGGCACCCACCACCACACCCTGCAAATCTTTGTATTTTTAGTAGAGATGGGGTTTCACCATGTTGGCCAGGCTGGTCTCAATCTCCTGACATGATCCACCCACCTCGGCCTCCCTAAGTGCTGGGATTACAGGTGTGAGCCACCATGCCTGGCCACAAAATGCCTTTTTTATGCTTACAAAGAAAGATGATATCAGGTGCCTCGTGTTTGTTGTTAATCGTTTATTTGATGTTAAATTCAACATCTCAACGTACCTCTGAGACACAGTGGTCTTTTACCTTAAGTTTTAATGGTTAGCTGCTGCCTCTTTTCTCTACTTTAAGATAAGATAAAACAAGTTTTTCTGCTTTCTTAATTTGGTACCAATTCATCTAGATATTGGTGTATTTTAGGTTCCAAAATTATTTTAGGCATGGGATCAAAGAAGAAACTTCTTTGTAGCAGCATCCCAGTACTAGGACTTTTTGTCTCTGCATGGAAATCTGAATATATTTATATGTTGGAGTGACATCTCTACAGGAAGCCTAGAGACCTAACTGTTTGCTACATGTCACCAAAGTTAAAGTGTAAGTGTGGGTAAATTTCATTGCTTGTTTAGACCTTATAAATATAATTACTCACTGTTAGACAATAAGAAATAGAAAACACTCAAGTGGCTTCCTTATACCTGGGTGTGTTGATTTTGTTTTGTCAATGAGGGCTTTCATTAAGAGCCACTAAAGGTAAGCTTCTCTCAATTGATGTAGTGGTAACAATTTACTCTCTCCTGTCATAGTGAAGATAGAATGAAAAGAACCTGTCCTTCAATCTGTTTGTGGTAGAGATTTCTTTTTTTTTAAAGTATAAACATTGAATTCCTCTGCTTACTTGGAGATGGAAGGTCATTAACAGGGCACTTGAGCAGATAGGAATTACAGTCAATTGAGACGTTGAAACATCCTAAATGGCCTAATGCACCAACTAAGTGCTTCTTAAATTCCAAAACTTTTACTTGAGCACAGCAATCATGATTTTCCATTGCCTTTAGTAAATGTTGTTTTATATCATTTTATGCGAGGCAGCAACACAAATTTAAACCAGTGTGTTTATGTTTTCAGCTTAGTAACATTACTTTGTCAAGACGTAAATGTAAAATTTGATTATCAGTTAATTACGTATGGTTACTTATTAAAATTAACAGAAAAATTAATGGAAGGTAAGTTAGATGGTACTGCTAATGCCAATGCAATTTATTTCAAGATTCTATACTAATTTGAACTATTACTGCTATATGTGTGTTAAGTTTTGCGCACTCTCTCCCTATTTATATATATGTGTGTGTATATATATATATATATATATATGCACACACAAATACAGGGTATTTAGCAATCAAATGTATCTTAGGCCACATAACATGTAGTATATGAAAATAATGCATATGCAAGACATTTTTTAGTCTGGTCTGAATCTCCTTCTCTAGTGACATCCTATGCCACTTGCACATATTTATTATGTGATAATAAATAACCACAGCAGACACAATGAAGTACTAAGAAGACCTAAACTTTAGTCCTAGTGTTGTCATTTGTCATCAGTAGGATCAAGGTCACTTGAGTTTTCTTGCCTTAGCGTTCCACTAAGAGATGTCTCAATAATAATAATGAGAGTCTCAATAGATGACCTGCAAGATTATGTACAGCTCTAAACTTCTGTAGTATTATGTGTACTTATAAATTCCTAAAGCCATTTTTTTTTCATTTATGCACAAATCCCAGTTACTAAGGTAAATGAGTTAATAGTAAGTTGGGACAATTTTTACAATATGAATTAGAGAATGCAGGCTCTGTTAAAACAATAAAAGAGTGAGACAGGAAGAATGGCAAATTGTGAGAAAAGAATATTTAGTCTTCTAAAACAAACTCAGAAATTGAAGTGATATATGGTGATAGACAGCATAGTGGTAATTAGTTCAGTGCTATGAGGTACTTGAAAGTCTAGACTTTAGAAGGTGGAAGCTATCCGTGAACTAAGAAATAGGATGCCAGTGGTACAGGTGGAGACATCTTTCTGAGATCAGAGTTACAGGAAAAACAGGAAATGAGGTGGCAATTAAGTAATTGCTGCTGTCAAGACTATATTTTTTTTCAAGAAGACAGTCTAGGGCAAGGTCAAAGGTAAAGGTAAGGTTGAAAAATATAGGAATAAGATTTTTTTCCCTAGAAAAGTACATCTGAAAAAACCTCCATAGAGTTTATACAGGGGCAGCAATGCATACTTTGGAAACATACAAATTCTCAAACCTCACACTAGTAAATAATATGTTTTAGAATCACTTGTGAATACCTGCAATGGCCCCAGAATAGTACTAAGAAAACACCTTTTTCATCATGCTTTGGTACAAAGTATGCCAAATAATAAAATACAGTCCTTGAAAT
This sequence comes from Homo sapiens, assembly GCF_000001405.40. Classification (NCBI taxonomy): domain Eukaryota; kingdom Metazoa; phylum Chordata; class Mammalia; order Primates; family Hominidae; genus Homo; species Homo sapiens. Next base: position 29,009,706 of record NC_000014.9, read on the forward strand.
TATTAAATATGTGCTTACACAGTGGACTATTCAAAGCCATTACAGGCTGGTAAACAAGTAATAAATGATCAAAAGTCCATAACTACACATTTATGTAATTCACAGCTGTCACCTTCAATGGATTAAATAATGTGACTTCTCAACCATGGTCTTTTAACCAATATTTATAACAGCTTAAATAGATTTTTGAAAATCTAATTTTGAATAAATATTAATCTTTTGCAAAAGGTGCTAAAATTAATATTTAGCCACTGTTTGTAAAAGCATTTCAGTATTGAATACTGTTGTTGCAAAATATTCTTTTATTGCATATAAAATATTCTATTTAATGATTAAATTAATCATAAAATAAAATTTTAAAAATGCAGGAAGATCATCACTTTTAATGTGTTCATTAATATTCAGTTGGGATTTATTTAAAACAAAATTGTTTCTTCAGACATTGTAAACTTTATTCACTACCTGGCAGTAGGTGTAAAATAAGAATTTACTTGTCAAGAGGGAAAAGAACATTAGAGTGGGTATCTATCTTTAAGAATTTAAGAGGATGCATTTCCAGTCAAATTTTCAAGGGTGATTAAAGCATTTAAATCTTAGAGTATTTTTAACTATATTTAAGAAGTTTATTTTATCATTTCATTCTTAGAATTTGTGAATAAGTCTCATTACTCACATTTCATGACAGAGAGTCAAAAGATCAAGCTGCCTTCTTATAATTTAAAAAGTCTCCATTATTCCTCCAGTAGACAGTTGAACATTTTTTAATGCTCTCTCTGGGGGTAAAACAATTTTATTCATTGCGTTATCTCATCTGAAACTCTGTGTGGTAAAAGGTGGTACGAAAAGGATAAAATGTTGTGAGTCATTTTCAATGACCTCTTAACCATGCTGCCATTTTGCTTTGCTACCATTTCAGCTGCAATACTTGGTTATTGTTCTAGATTTTGGTTTTGCAGTACATAGCTCATGCCTTGAATGAACATAATAAAATGTAGAAAGCAATAAAGCATATCTGCCTGAACTACCTTTATCAGAGTAGTCCCTCTCTTTTTACTATAACTTTGCTATTTGGACTTTGCTATTTTAATCCTATATATAAAAACATAGGAAATGTTGTTTATTAAGTTAGAAAATGTTTTTAATTTCTAATAATTAGAACCCTTACCAATGGCAATATCATACAGCAAAAAACTTTGTTTCTATTTTAGGGAGGAAGTTAAGGCTATTCAGAATTATGTCAAGCACACATCCATTCTTTGAACAACTCCTTCCTTTCTCCTACTCTCTCAGATTCTTTCTCTAGTGGTTCCTTTCCCTCAGTTTAAAAATATTTTTCCTTCACTAAACTTTTCTCTTGCTCTAAAACTATTTCCTTTCATTCTTCTGACAAATTTTGTCCACTTTCTCTCTTCCTCTCAAAGACACTTACTGAGCAATTGGTTTCATACCAACTGTCTATGTTCCCATGTTCATTCTTCCATCCACTGCAACCTAGCTTCTGCTCCCATTTCTCTGCAGAGACTATTCTTGCTGAGCTCATTAGTGATTCAACCCAATGAACAGTTTAGTCCTTATCTTACCAGTCATTCCTGCAGTGAATATTAATGACTATGTTGTCTCTTGCAGATTTTCTGTTCTTTTATCTTTCATGGCATGATACTCACTTCTTCTTGTCCCCATTTTTCTTTCTTCTTCTGTCTCTCACACAATTTGACCCTTATGTAACCGCTATTTATCATTATATTGCTTTCTGTGAGATTTCATCCATTGTCATGATTTCAAGCATATCTAAACTATGTGTACCTGATTCCCAAGTCTCTACTTCAAGCTCAGACTTTCTTCCACAATTAGACTATATATTACCTTGGACAAATGTTCTACAAGAGCCTGAAACTCAACAAGTCCAAAATGAAACACTATCTTTACCCTAAATGGGCTCATGTTTTATATTCTCTGCCTGATTTGGCAAGATCAATTTCTATTTCACCACTATCACTAAAAGACTAATTCTTAACCTCTTTTAGTCTCTTTTCCTCTCTACACTCAATACCTCTAAGTACTCTTTTCATCAGTTTTAGATGCATATTTCTGCATGTTTTAACAACTCTGAAATCAGGATGTATCATAACAAGCCACAATCAAAGTATTGTTCCAGTTTGATTAGCAGATATTTTATTACCTATTTGTAACACAAAAAGACATATTGTGTCCTATGGTCCACTCCATGTGCCTTACATTAGGTGAAATCTAGTACTTCACATATATATCTCAATATCTCCACTTCATGTCTACTCCTCTAATTCAACAGTCCTTACATTGAAAATTATAGAACACTGATGAAATAAATTAAAGCACACAGAAATAAATAGAAAGATACCCCATGTTCAGGAATTGCAAGAATTAATATTGTAAAAATATCTATACCACCCAAAGTGATCTACAGATTAAATGCAATTCCTACCAAAATTCTCATGGTATTTTTCACAAAAGTAGAAAAATAATCCTAAAATCTTTATGGAAGCACAAAGCAACCTCAGATAGGCCAGACCAATTCTGAGCAAGATTCACAAAGCAGGAGCCATCACATTTCCTGATTTCAAAATGTATTACAGAGCTAAATAACCAAAACAGTGTGGCACTGGCATTAAAACAGACATCTAAAACAATGGAACAGAATATAGAGCCCAGAAATAAACCCACGCATATAGGGTCAACTGATTATTGACAGGGGTGCTAGGAATACACAATGGGGATAGAACAGTCTTCAATAAAAGGTGTTGGGAAAACTGGAAATCCATATGCAAAAGAATGAAATTGGACTCTTTTCTTACACCATACAAAATGTCAACTAAACATGGAGTGATAAACACTTAAAATGTAAGAGCTGAAACGGTAGAACTCCTAAAAGAAAACACAGGGGGAAAACACCTGGATTTTAAGTTTAGCAGATTACATCAAACTTTAAAGTTTCTCTACAGTAAAGAAAATAATCAATGAAATTAAAAGGCAACCTTGGAATGAGAGAAAATGTTTGCAATCTGAATATTGGATAAAGGGCTAATATTCAAAATATATAAGGAGCTCCAACAATGCAATAGCAAAAATAAGCAAACACACAAGAACCAAATAACCAGATAAGAAAATGGTAAAAGGACATGAATAGATATGCAAAGGACCAACAGATATATGGAAAGGTGCTCAATGTCACTAATCATCAGGGAAATGCAAATAAAAACCACAATGAGATATCACCTCACACCTGTTAGGATGGCTTTAATTAAAAAAAAATAGATGCTGGTGAGGATGTGGAAAAAGGGAACCCTTGGACACTGTTGGTGAGAATGTAAATTGGCATAGCCTCTATGGAAAACAGTAAGACTCATGCAGTTTCCTTGCATGTGGTTGGCCTTCTCTCTCAAACTTCCGTAATCACTCATTCCCCACTTCTTACCTACCTGCCTTGATGAGGTGATCTCTAAACTAGGACCTGTAGGATGTTAATTAGATTAAGAGAATAGCAAAGAATATTTTATACAATCTGACATGTGCAAAAATCCTGTGGCAGGAAGGATTGTAAAAAATGACCAGTGTAAGGTTGAAGTAGAAAGACAATGGGTATAAGCAGAGACTGGAAAGTAATATTGGCACCATAGAATGCAAAGCTTCATGGATCATATTATGGAGTTTTCCCCTTAACCTTAGGGCAATAGAAAACCACAGAAAAGTTTTAAATGTTGGGCACAGGAGGTTATATGGTGAGATATGCATTTTTTAAAAGTCCTTCTGTCTCAATTGGAGGGAAACTAGACTGAACACAGAAGATCAATTATGTTTCTTGCACAAATTAGGGGAAACAACATGGTGTATAGGAAGAACACAGAACCTAGAGTTGAGCAGACTTGAGATCAATCCAGATCCCAGCATTTCTATAACATTGTGAGGATATGTAAGAACATATAAAAAGCTTAACAAACATTAGTTCTCTTTCACCTCTCCCAAATTGGATTCTCCCCAACAAGGTGAGCAAATAACTATATGTTATGCAGAAAGCACATTCACTTTCAAATTTAAAACTTCACCCCAAGGCTTACATTTTTATATCTCAACATATTGTTTTTAATAGCTATAGTATTTCTTATCTTTATACTTTTTGCTTAACATAAAAAGTAAATTCCAGGCCTAAAACTTAATAAGTAGGTAGAGGTAAGCAGAGAAGATTACAATTTGGGCCAACCAGCATAAACTCTAACCCCTTAAACAATGCCTCCTTTTATGTACTGCACTTCATATGGGTATCAGAGTAGAACTGTGTAATGACAGCCCTAATAGCTACCAGTCGTAAAGAAACAACAGAGGAACAAATGTTGAGACTTGAAAGTTGGAAGGATCAATAGCTAGATAGCATTTGTTATATGAGAGCTGAAATTAGATCTTCAAAGAAATACTGCCGAAAGCAAAATTAATTAGGTAATTTAGTATACCTCCAAAATAACTTACTTTAAGATTTGAGTCCCAACATACACTATATATTTCTGTCACTACTAATCTCGTTTAAAGGATTTATCCAATCCAAACTTTGTTTATCTTCTGGCCATTTTATAGTTTAGGATACCCTCTCTAGTATAACTTTTATTAAATATCCTCTTTTTTGAGGATGTGTGTGTTTCAACTTCTCTGTGTAAGTTTCTTAAAGTCAGATAATATTTATCTTTTATCCCTAGCCTCTAGAAAATCATGTCGAACGTGGTGAATACTTACAGATATCAGTTGGCCAGGTAAACATGTCAATTAATTTGGAGAGTCTCTGTTTAAATACCATTCAAGTATTACCTCTTCTGAAAGTCCTTTACTATCTACTTTTATCTTTCTCTTTTTTTCTCCATGGTGTGTATTGTTTTCTGCATTTCTATTCATTGTGCACTTATCTGTTGCCTGTTTCCCTGACCAGAACATGTACTGCATGAGGGCAGGCACTTCGTATTCCTCTCATCTATATCCCCAGGGACTCACACAGAATAGATGCTCAAATATATTTGGTAAATGAATGAAATACAGATTTAGTGTTTTCTCAGTGTTAACTTTTCATATTTGTCAGTACTTGAAAATATGACAGCATTATTCTAGGAAATTGATATTATCTCATTATGATATATTAGGGCTCTCTAGAGAAAAAAAATATATAGTTTTTGTTATTTTTTCTTCAACTTTTAAGTTCAGAGGTACAGGTATAGGACATGCAGGTTTGTTACATATGTAAACAAGTGCCATGGTGGTTTGCTGCACAGACCAACCCATCACCTAGGTATTAAGCCCAGCAACCATTAGCTATTCTTCTTGATGCTCTCCCTCTCTCCACCCGACCCCCGCCTACAGGACCCAGTGTGTGTTGTTCCCTGCCATGTGTCCATGTGGTCTCATTATTCAGCTCCCACTTGTAAGTGAGAACATACCGTGTTTGGTTTTCTGTTCCTGCATTACTTTGCTGACCATAATCGCTTCCAGCTTCATCCATATCCCTACAAAGGACATAATAATCCATGGTGTATATGTGCTACCTTTTCTTTATCCAGTGTATCATTGATGGATATTTAAGTTGATTTCATGTCCGTGCTATTGTGAATTGTGCTGCAATGAAAATACACGTGCATGTATCTTTATAGCAGAATGATTCCTCTGGGTATGTACCCAGTAATGAATGACATTGCTGAGTCAATTTTTTCTGCCTCTAGGTCTTTGAGAAATCACCACACTGTCTTCCACAATGGTTGAACTAATTTACACTCCCACGAATGATGTAAAAGTGTTCTTTTTTCTCAGCAACTTCACCAGCATCTATAGTTTTTTGAATTTTTAATAATAGCTATTCTGACTGACATGAGATGGTATCTCATTGTGGTTTTGATTTGCATTTCTCTAATGATCAGTGATATTAAACTGTTTTTCATATGTTTATTGGCTGCATGTATGTCTTCTTTTGAGAAGTGTATGTTCATGTCCTCTGCTTGCTTTTTAATGGGGTTGTTTTTTTCTTGTAAATTTGTTTAAGTTCCTTATAGACTCTGGATATTAGACCTTTGTCAGATGGATAGATTGTGAAAATTTTCTTCCATTCTGTAGGTTGTCTGTTCACTCTGATGATAGTTTCTTTTGCTGTGGAAACAGTGTGTGTGTGTGTGTGTGTGTGTGTGTGTATATATATATATATATACACACACACACAGAGATGTATATATATATACATCTCTGTGTATATATATGTATGAATGTATATATATCACACATATACACACACAGTCTGTTGGTTCCCCCTTTCTCTCTCTTGAGGTAGATATACGGAAAGATTTAGATATATATCTCTATCTGTCCATCTAGAGACATTTATTTTAAGGAAATTATTTATGCATTTATGAGACCTGGAAAGTCTGAAATGTTCCGGACAGGCCCACACGCTGCTATTCTTGCAATTCCTTCTTCTTCCAAGGATCTCAGTCTTTTGTCTTAAAGCCTTCAACTGATTGGATGAGGCTCACCCACATTATGGGAGGTAATCTGCTTTACTCAAAATCAACTGATTTAAATACTAATCACATCTCATACCTTCAAAGAAACATCTAGCCTGGCATTTGGCCAAACAACTGAGCACTATAGCCTACCTAAGTTGACACATAAAATTAACCATCACATGGGAGAAGAAACCTAATATCTAAGTCTTCTTTCTATCCCCTGGATTGCCAACAGGGAGCCTAAAAACTGCTTGCACAGCTGCCGCCAGCAGAGGGCACCCTGAGGCACAGGTTTTGAGGGTCTTAAGTCTGTGCTCTACCTACTCTGCGTGGTCTGCAGCCCAACAGCACCTACACCACCTGGGACCTTGTTAGCGGTGCAGAATCTCAGGCCCCATCCCAGATCTAGTGAATTAGAAACTGCATGTTAACAAGGTCGCCACGGCATTACTATGCACGTTAAGCAACTGCAATGTTCTTCCCAGGAAATTCCAGACAAAGAAATCTATCTTAATATTCCACTCTCCATTTTGCATTATGGGCCACCACATAGGATAGAAAAGATACTTGTGCTGGTTGGCCTGTCTGCCTTTATTTAGGGAGAACACTTGGGCTCAATGAAAATCAGACGCATGAGAAGTAGGCATAGCCTTCACTTCAAGATAAGCCTTCAAGGAAGAAGCAGCCGGGTAGAAGGCCGACTGTGTTGCCTGTTGAAAGACAGGTTCTTGATATGAGTGCAACAGTTTCTAGCCACTGTGGCCTTGAAAAGTGTTTTTCCTTTGGATGTAGCTTCCTTATGTATATATTGGGACATTTGGATTAGCTCATAATCTTTAAACTGACTTCAAGCCCTGATATTCTGCTATTAGATGAAATAATATGCAGAAAAAAAAAACCTGTGAAAATGTGTGGTAAAAGGTAAGGTAATGATGAAGAGGACAACTGAATTTAGCTGCTGGGTGTTCTCATGGAAGAGGTAGCTTTTAACATATGGTATTATAGAATCACTGGTGTGCTTTGTTGCACAAGAAGAATTTCAAAGTCCCACAAAATGTCTACACATAAGATTTAACAAATTCTGAAATTTTATCTTTGAATTAAGAAAAAGTCAGTTTTTTAAACATATGCATACACTGATGAAGAGGCTTTTTTGAGAGACAATTTTTGCCTGGGTATAGATGGAGAGAGTATGCACACAGTTTGAATGAGATGGAAGAAGAATGAGAGTTTTTGGAGGAAATAAAATGGCTGAAAAATTAGATTTATATATATATATATACACATATATGTGTATATATATGTATATGTGTATATACGTGTATATACGTATATACGTGTATATATACGTGTATGTGTATATATGTATATGTGTATATATACGTATATGTATATATACATGTATATGTATATGTCTGTATATATGTATGTATGTCTACATACATATGTGTGTATATATGTATATACATATGTGTGTATATATACATATATACATATATACATGTGTGTATATATACATATATACATGTGTGTATATATACATATATACGTGTGTGTATATATACATATATACGTGTGTGTATATATACATATATACGTGTGTGTATATATACATATATACGTGTGTGTATATACATGTGTGTATATATACATGTGTGTATATATACATGTGTGTATATATACGTATATACATGTGTGTATATATACGTATATACGTGTGTATATATACGTATATACGTGTGTATATATACGTATATACATGTGTGTATATATACCTATATACATGTGTGTATATATACGTATATACGTACATGTGTGTATATATACGTATATACGTACATGTGTGTATATATACGTATATACGTACATGTGTGTATATATACGTATATACGTACATGTGTGTATATATACGTATATACGTACATGTGTGTATATATACGTATATACGTACATGTGTGTATATATACGTATATACGTACATGTGTGTATATACGTATATACGTATATGTATATACACTACATACATATATACATATATGTATATATGTATACATGTATGTATATATGTATATATACATATATGTATACACATGTATACACACAATGTGCACACATGCATACACATATATGTGTACATACACATGTATACACACGTATACACACATGTATACACACATATGTATACACACATATACGTATATGTATATATGTATACACACATGTATACAGATATGTATACATACATATATACGTATGTGTGTGTATATATATACATGTATATGTGTGTATGTATATGTGTGTATGTATATACATGTATATGTGTGTGTATATATATGAAAGAAGGTGCCAATCCAGGGTTTTGGGTTGAGTGCTTTGGGATACGCCACAATATAGGAATATGAGGTATGATGAGCAAGTGCTGGTCTCTAGAGTCTCAGAATTAACTGAAACCTAATTATTATATGATCTTAGGCCTGACTGTGATTGGAAACACTAGGATCTTCGATCGAGTTATTCTATGTAAATTTAACAAAATAAAGCTTCTAAGAAGGAACTGCACTAAAGATTTGATGGGTCATGAGATGAGGTGGTATAATTAATACATTCACCCAGGTGCATTGACTTCAGTGTGGGATTTCTTTCCTTCATCAACCACATTTATTCAATTAGCAAATCCCTTTTCTTCAAAATTGACCTTAATTCTCTCCTTAATTCTCTCTCTCTCTATGTTCCTCTATGTACAGGGCTACCTTAATGAGCAGCCAGGATGCCATCATCTCCGACCTGAATGACAATAACCTCCAAACCAGCCTTTGTATACTCCTTCCTGCTGCTCTGCAGTCCACTTCCACAGACCAGCCAACTGAATCTCCTTATAGGTAAAGCCCTGTCACACCTCTCCATTTTAAAATTTCCTATCAGACTTAGAATTCTAACTAAATTTGTTTCTGTGGCCAATCCTGTCTCTAATATCAGATTTCAATTTCCTGATCATTCAACATTTTATCAGACACATCGACCTCTGCCATTTGTCAAATACTAGATTCTTCTCTGCCCAAGAGTGTCTTCTTATGTAGGTATCTGCCCAAAACATCCTTTGCTGTTCTCCGTATGGTGGGCTACTTCTCACCTTCTAGGAAATATTGTGCTTTAAGCCATCAAATAATCTATTATTAGAAAGGATTTGAACTCACCATCCAACATGTCTTGAGTAAAAGGATAGACAACTATTTAATTCCAAATTTCCTTAGGCATATTCTGTTATTTATTTGGTTATCTTTGAAGTATAAGTCCAATATTTTCCTTTCTATGCACTCATTTCACTCATGAAAACTATAAATCAACAATGTTTTTGCGCTGTGTATTCATATGTACTGAGACTGCCATTTTCTCAAAGTACTCAGTGTATAAAAGCCAGGAATGCATACAAACTATTTAACAAGGAAAGAGGCTATTATGATTTTCAATCAACTGGCTGGATCCTTTGTTCTCTAAACACCTTTAAGTGACTTTTCTAAGAAAATTTTCCCACCCAAATTAGGGTAAGAGCTATGAATGTATAAAACAGGGAATGGGCATGGCAGAAGGAACCAGATTTACGTTGGTTTCACAGAAAGCCTTTCTGAGTGACATTTAAGCTTAGACCTAAAGTTTGAGAGGGAGTCAGCTAAGAAATAAGAAAAGGGAAGAGCATTTCAGACAGAGAAGAGCATGCCTAAAGATATTGAGGGAAGGAGTCTGGTATTTCCTAGGAGCTGAATGAGGAGGTGTGGGTGAAAAGCAGCAAACATAAGGGGTGGAGGAGACAGGGCTAGTAGATGAGAATAGGCAGGAGATAGATCTTTCAGTACTTGAGAGGACATGTTAGGAGACTTGGAGTTTATTTTAGCTGCCCTGGTTAGCCACTGGAAGTGTTAGGCAGGGAGTGACACGATCCTATTTGCTTTATAAGAATCTCACTATATTTACCCATATTCTACACAGATAAAAATATGTAAATTGATTTGCTCTGATCTTTCATCATGATTTACATGTTAAAGATTTCTGTGTTAGATATCAATTACTTCTGAAAACTAAAATTTCTTCTTTAATATTTAGTGAAGATCTTTGAGTGAAAGCAATACATGTAAACAGCTAGGGAAAATAAGGAAGAAAGTTACATTGTCACACTCAACATTTTAGACAAAACCATCTATGCTATCATTGTAGCACCTAAACAAGTCTAGACAGTTTCTATGTATTTCCAGATTTCTGTTTTTTGTTAATGTTTTAATATAATCATTTTCCTGTATTTAATAATTCTTCTTTTAACTAACACACTGCACAGCAATTTATTATATGGTTAGGTTATACATTACTGGGCAGTTAGGTTGTTTCTTTTTAAATTCTTTTGATTAAAAACATTTGGTGAGTAGTTTATTTATATATAGATATTTGACTATATTTCTAATTATTTTATTGGCTTAGATTCTCAGAAGTGGAATTATTGGGTTAAATACCACAGATGCTTTTAAAGACTTTGTTACGCTTGTGTTTGGGCATGCTTGTCATCCTATCCCAATACATGCACTGAACATTACATCTATTTCAAACCTTTAAAATTAGAAAGGTAGCTTTTGGCGTCTTCTAGAGGTTTTTTTATTGTTGTTTTAATTTTTATTTCTTCATTACCTTTGGTTTAAAAATTTTGTTTGTTAGTGATTTATACTACTTCTTTTCTAAATTATTCATGTCCTTTGAATATTCCTGTAAGGGGACTTATTAACATTTTGTTTGTTGATTTGTAAGTTCGTTATAAATATTTTCAGGTTCTTCTTTGGCTTGTTAATTTTGCTTGTAGGTTTTTGTGATTTGCAGATATATATTTTATATTTGAATGGAATCAGATCTAGAATTCTCCTTTATGAACATTGCTGTAAAGTCTAGAAAGTTTTTCTCCATCAAAATATTCAATGAGTTTTCATATCTATTTTCTTAGTTTTTTTGAACTATACAATTTAGACATAATCTTAGAATAATGTGTGATGTGATGATCAAAAATAAACATCTCAAGCAATTTTTTATTCAACAGATTCATAATGGCCATCAGCACAAAGATGTTTTATCTGCAGTCAACCAGTCATGTTTCATGATGGCATCAAAATGTGAGTACATTTTGTCTATGGGTTCCTGGAAATATGGTACTCTGGTGACCCCATAAAGAGCCAGTGTTTATTCTATAGGTTAGCACATATTCCCTTGGCAAAGACATCCACACAGAAGTGAGGTAGCAAGATCTCAAAGTGCAAAAGATAATGAAAGAACAAGACTTGTAGAACACAGCCTTGGATAATACTTAACAGGAGTGGATCAAAATATGAGGTCAATAAAAGATATTTAAAAAAGATTAGCAAGGAGAATGAAAATCAAGAGAATATGTTGTCATTATACAAAGGGAGAAATAAGAGCATGTAATCAACAGAGCCAAGTTAATGGTCATGGATGGTGCGCTTATCATATGATTAAAGAAAACAGCATCTGCCTTCATGGTGAAATATGCTTAAAAAGTGATTACATTTTTATTTTAAAAGGTTATATTTCATGTCTTCTTAAATAAAATCTTCTTATATAAAATATTTAACCTGGCTTTCAATATTGGGAAGAATTAGTGTGGGCGGAAGGAAGTTAAGTGGTGTTCTAAGGGAAAGATGGTGTATCCAAATGTGTACGTATACCCAGAATAGAGAATAGAATGAACACAGAACTAAACATGTTCTGTCTGTGGACTATAATTTTAATTTCAAACCCCCTTGAAAGGTCCATGAAAGAGAGACGTGCAGTGCGGACTTCAAATATATGACATGTGAACATTTATACATAAATATGTATTCATTTATTAGGACAATAAAGAATTTTATTTCTTTCTTTTTTCATAAATTATACTTTAAGTTCTGGGATACATGTGCAGAATGTGCAGGTTTGTTACATAGGTACACATGTGCCATGGTGGTTTGCTGCACCCATCAACCAGTCATCTATATCAGGTATTTCTCCTAATGCCATCCCTCCCCTTGCCCTTGACGCCCCCTGACAGGCCTTAGTGTGTGATGTTCCCCTCCCTGTGCCCATGTATTCACATTGTTCAACTCCCACTTATGAGTCAGAGCATGCGCTGTTCAGTTTTCTGTTCCTGTGTTAGTTTGCTGAGAATGATGGTTTCCAGTTTCATCCATATCCCTGCAAAGGACATGAACTCATTCTTTTATTTTTATGGCTGCATAGTATTCCATGGTGTATATGTGGCACATTTGCTTTATCCAGTCTGTCATTCATGGGCATTTGGGTTGGTTCCAAGTCTTTGCTATTGTAAATAGTGTTGCAGTAAATGTACATGTGCATGTGTCTTTATAGTAGAATAATTTATAATCCTCTGGGTATATACTCAGTAACGGGATTGCTGGGTCAAATGGTATTTCTGGTTCTAGATCCTCGAGGAATCACCACACTGTCTTCCTCAATGGATGAACTAATTTACACTCCCATCAACAGTGTAAAAGCGTTCCTGTTTCTCCACATATTCTCCAGCATCTGTTGTTTCGTGACTTTTTTTTTTTGCTTAATCTTTGTAATTTTTCAATTTGAAATTTCTTTTTTTATTATTATACTTTAAGTTCTAGGGTATATGTGCACAATGTGCAGGTTTGTTACATATGTATACATGTACCATGTTGGTGTGCTGCACCCATTAACTCGTCATTTACATAAGGTATATCTTCTAATGCTATCACTCCCCCCTCCCCCCACCCCACAACAGGCCCTGGTGTGTGATGCTTCCCATCCTGTGTACAAGTGTTCTCATTGTTCATTTCCCACCTACAAGTGAGAACATGCAGTGTTTGGTTTTCTGTCCTTGCGATAGTTTGCTCAGAAGGATGGTTTCCAGCTTCATCCATGTCCCTACAAAGGACATGAACTCATCCTTTTTAATGGCTGCATAGTATTCCATGGTGTATATGTGCCACATTTTCTTAATCCAGTCTATCATTGATGGAAATTTGGGTTGGTTCCAAGTCTTTGCTATTGTGAACATTGCCACAATAAATATATGTGTGCATGTGTCTTTATAGCAGCGTGATTTATAGTCCTTTGGGTATATACCCAGTATTGGGATGGCTGGGTCAAATGGTATTTCTAGTTCTAGATCCTTGAGGAATTTCCACACTGTCTTCCACAATGGTTGAACTAGTGTAAAAGTGTTCCTATTTCTCCACATCCTCTCCAGCACCTGTTGTTTCCTGACTTTAATAATCGCCATTCTAACTGGTGCAAGATGGTATCTCATTGTGGTTTTGATTTGCATTTCTCTGATGGCCAGTGATAATGAGCATTTTTTCATGTGTCTGTTGTCTGCATAAATGTCTTCTTTTGAGGAGTGTCTGTTCATATCCTTTTCCCACTTTTTGATGGTGTTGTTTGTTTTTTTCTTGTAAATTTGTTTGAGTTCATTGTAGATTCTGGATATTAGCCCTTTGTAGATTGCAAAAATTTTCTCCCATTCTGTAGGTTGCCTGTTCACTCTGATGATAGTTTCTTTTGCTGTGCAGAAGCTCTTTAGTTTAATTAGATCCCATTTGTCAATTTTGGCTTTTGTTGCCATTGCTTTTTGTGTTTTAGACATGAAGTCCTTGCCCATGCCTGTGTCCTGAATGGTATTGCCCAGGTTTTCTTCTAGGGTTTTTATTGTTTTAGGTCTAATATTTAAGTCTTTAATCCATCTTGAATTAATTTTAGTATAAGGTGTAAGGGAGGGATCCAGTTTCAGCTTTCTACATATGGCTAGCCAGTTTTCCCAGCACCATTCATTAAATAGGGAACCCTTTCCCCATTCCTTGTTTTTTGTCAGTTTCCTGACTTTTTAATGATCACCATTCTAAATGGCATGAGATGGTATCTCATTGTGGTTTTGATTTGCATTTCTCTAATGACCAGTGATGATGAGCTTTTTTTCATATGTTTGTTGGCTGCATAAATGTTTTCTTTTGAAAAGTATCTGTTTATAAACTTTGGCCATTTTTTGAGGGAGTCGTTTTTTTTTTCTTGTAAATTTGTTTATGTTCCTTGTAGATTCTTGATATTAGCCGTTTGTCAGATGTATACATTGCACAAGTTTTTTTCCCATTCTGTAAGTTGCCTGTTCACTCTGATGATAGATTCTTTTGCTATGCAGAAGCTCTTTAGTTGAATTACATCCCATTTGTCAATTTTGGCTTTTGTTGCAATTGCTATTGGTGTTTAGGTCATGAAATCTTTGGCCATGCCTATGTCCTGAATGGTATTGCCTAGGTTTTCACCTAGGGTTTTTATAGTTTTAGGTCTTAGGTTTAAATCTTTAATCCATCTTGAGTTAATTTTTGTATAAAGTGTAAGGAAGGGGTCCAGTTTCAGTTCTCTGCATATGGCTAGACAATTTTCCCAACATAATTTATTAAACAGGGAATCCTTCCCCCATTGTGTGGGAATCCATTCCCACACGAGCAACGTGTGGGAATCCATTCCCACACAAGCAATGTGTGGTGTTATTTCTGAGGCCTCTGTTCTGTTCCAATGGTGTATATATCTGTTTTGTTACGAGTACCATGCTGTTTTGGTTACTGTAGCCTTGTAGTATAGTTTGAAGTCAGGTAGCGTGATGCCTCCAGCTTTGTTCCTTTTAAGTAGGATTGTCTTGACAATATGGGCTCTGTTGTGGTTCCATATGAAATTTAAAGTAGTTTTTTCTAATTCTGTGAAGAAAGCCAATGGTAACTTGATGGGAATAGCATTGAATCTATAAATTACTTTGGGCATGATGGCCATTTTCATAATATTGATTCTTCCTATCCATGAGCATTTTCCATTTGTTTGTGTCCTCTCTTACTTACTTCCTTCAGCAGTGGTTTGTAGTTCTCCTTCATGAGGTCCTCCACATCCCTTGTAAGTTGTATTCCTAGGTATTTTATTCTGTTTGTAGCAATTGTGAATGGGTGTTTGCTCATGAGTTGGCTCTCTATTATTGGTGTATAGGAATGCTTGTGATTTTCGCACATTGATTTTGTATCCTGAGACTTTGCTGAGGTTGCTTATCAGCTTAAGGAGTTTTTGAGCTGAGATGATGGTGTTTTCTAAATATACAATCATGTCATCTGCAAACAGAGACAATTTGACCTCCTCTCTTCCTATTTGAATACACTTTATTTCTTCTTGCCTGATTGCCCTGGCCAGAAATTCCAATACTATGTTTAATAGGAGTGGTGAGAGATGGCATCCTTGTCTTGTGCTGGTTTTAAAAGGGATTACTTCCAGCTTTTGTCCATTGATATTCCATCAATATCTAGTTTATTGGGTGTTTTTAGCATGAAGGGGTGTTCAATTTTATTGAAGGTCTTTTCTGCATCTATTGAGATAATCATGTGGTTTTTGTCCTAGGTTCTGTTTGTGTGACAGGATTACATTTATTGATTTGCATATATTGAACCAGCCTTGCATCCCTGGGAAGAAGCTGTCTTTATCGTGGTGGATAAGCTTTTTGTTATGCTGCTGGATTTGGTTTTCCAGTATTTTCTTGAGGATTTTTGCATCGATCTTCATCAGGGATATTGGCCTGAAATTTTCTTTTTTTGTTGTGTCTTTGCCAGGTTTTGGTATCAAGATGATGCTGGCCTCATAAAATGAATTAGGGAGGAGTCCTTCTTTTTATATATTTTTGGAAAGTTTCAGAAGGAATGGTACCAGGTCCTCTTTGTACCTGTGGTAGAATTTGGCTGTGAATCTGTCTCATCCTGGGTTTTTTTTTTTTATTGGTAGGCTATTAATGGCTTCCTCAATTTCAGAACCCATTATTGGTCTATTCAAGGATTCGACCTCTCCTGATTTATTCTTGGGAGGTTGTATGTGCCCAGAAATTTATCAATTTCTTCTGTTTTTCTAGTTTATTTGGGTAGAGGTATTTATAGTATTATTTGCTGGTAGTTTGTAGTTCTGTGGTTTCAGTGGTGATCTCTCCTTTATCATTTCTTACTGTGTCTATTTGATTCTTCTCTCTTTTCTTCTTTGTTAATCTGGCTAGTGGTCTATCTTGTTAATCTTTTCAAAAAACCAGCTCCTGGATTCATTGATTTTTTGAAGGGCTTTCATGTCTCTATCTCTTTCCATTCTGCTCTGATCTTAGTTATTTCTTGTCTTCTGCTAACTTTTGAATTTGTTTGCTCTTGCTTCTTTAGTTCTTTTAATTGTGATGTTAGGGTGTCAATTTTATATATTTCCCACTTTCTTTTGTGGGCAGTTAGTGCTATAAATTTCCCTCTAAACACTGTTTTAGCTGTGTCCCAGAGATTCTGGTATGTTGTGTCTTTGTTTTCATTGGATGCGAAGAAGTTACTTTTTTTCTGCCTCAATTTCATTATTTACCCAGTAGTCATGCAGGAGCAGGTTGTTCAATTTCCATGTAGTTGTGGGGTTTTGAGTGAGTTTCTTAATCCTGAGTTCTAATTTGATTGCACTGTGATTTGAGAGATTGTTTGTTATGATTTCTGTTCTTTCGCATTTGCTGAGGAGTGTTTTACTTCCAATTATGTGGTCAATTTTAGAATAAGTGCTATGTGGTACTGAGAAGAATGTATTTTATGTTAATTTGGGGTGGAGAGTTCTGTAGTTGTCTATTAGTTCTGCTTAGTCCAGAGCTGAGTTCAAGACCTGAATATCCTTGTTAATTTTCTGTCTCATTGATCTGTCTAATATTGACAGTGGGGTGTTAAAGTCTCCCACTATTATTGTGTGGGAGCCTAAGTCTCTTTGTAGGTCTCTAAGAACTTGCTTTATGAATCTAGGTGCTCCTGTATTGGGTGCATATATATTTAGAACAGTCAGCACTTCTTGTTGCATTGATCCCTTCACCATTATGTAATGCCCTTCTTTGTCTTTTTTGATCTTTGTTGTTTTAAAGTCTGTTTTATCAGAGAGTAGGATTGCAACCCCTGCCTTCCTTTTTTCTTTCCATTTGCTTTGTAAATATTCCTGCATCCCTTTATTTTTAGCCTATGTGTGTCTTTACACATGAGATGGGTCTCCTGAATACAGCACACCTATGGGTCTTGACTGTTTAATCTGATTTGCCAGTCTCTGTCTTTTAATTGGGCATTTAGCCCATTCACATTTAAGTTTAATATTGTTATGTGTGAATTTGATCCTGTCATTATGATGTTCACTGGTTATTTTGCCCGTTAGTTGATGCAGTTCCTTCATAGTGTCAATGGTCTTTACATTTTGATTTGTTTTTGCAGTGGCTGGTACCAGTTTTTCCTTTCCATATTTAGGGCTTCCTTCAGGAGCTCTCATAAGACAGGTCTGGTGGTCACAAAATCCCTCAGCATTTGCCTCTCTGTAAAGGATTTTATTTCTCCTCCACTTATAAAGCTTAGTTTGGCTGGATATAAAATTCTGGGTTGAAAATTCTTTTCTTTAAAAATGTTGAATATTCGCCTCCACTTTCTTCTGGCTAGTAGGGTTTCTTCAGAGAGATTGCTGCTAACATTTGATTGGCTTCCCTTTGTTGGTAACCCGACCTTTCTTACTGGCTGCCCTTAACATTTTTTACTTCATTTCAACCTTGGTGAATCTGATGATTATGTGTCTTGGGGTTGCTCTTCTCAAAAAATATCTTTGTGGTCTTCTCTTTATTTCCTGAATTTGGATGTTGACCTGTATTGCTAGGTTGGGGAAGTTCTGCTGTGTAATTTCCTGAAGAGTGTTTTCCAACTTGGTTCCATTCTCCCCATCACTTTCAGGCACACCAATCAAATGTAGGTTTGGTCTTTTCACATAGTCCCCTATTTCTTGGAGGCTTTGTTTGTTCCTTTTCATTCTTTTTTCTCTAATCTTGTCTTCATGCTTGATTTCATTAAGTTGATCTTCAATCTCTGATGTCCTTTTTCCACTTGATCTATTCGGCTATTGATACTTGTGTATGCTTCACAAAGTTCTCCTCCTGTGTTTTTCAGCTCCATCAGGTAATTTAGGCTCTTCTGTAAACTGGTTACTCTTGTTAGCAATTCCTCTAACCTTTTATCAAGGTTCTTAGCTTCCTTGCATTTGGTTAGAACTTGCTCCTTTAGCTCAGAGGAGTTTATTACCCATCTTCTAAATAAAGCCTACTTCTGTCAATTTGTCAAACTCATTCTCCAACCAGTTTTGTCCCTTGCTGGCGAGGAGCTGTGATCCTTTGCAGGAGAAGAGGCATTCTGGGTTTTGGCATTTTCAGCCTTTTTGCACTGGTTTTTCCTCATCTTCCTTGGATTTATTTACCTTTGGTCTTTGCTGTTGGTGACCTTTGGATGAAGTTTTTGCTTGGTCATTTTTTTTAAAGTTGATTCTATTGCTTTCTGTTTGTTAGTTTCCCTTCTAACATTCAGGCCCCTCTTCTGCAGGTGTGCTGGAGTTTGCTGGGGGTCCACTCTAGATCCTGTTTGCCTGAGTATCACCAGCGGACACTGTAGAACAGCAAAGATTGCTGCCTGCTCCTTCCTCTGGAAGCTTCGTCCCAGAGGGGCACCTGCAAGATGCCAACCAGAGCTCTCCTGTATGAGTTGTCTGTTGACCCCTGCTGGGAGGTGTCTCCCTTTCAGGAGGCTCAGGGGTCAGGGACCCACTTGAGGAGGCAGTCTGTCCCTTAGCAGAGCTTAAATGTTGTGCTGGAAGATCTGCTTCTGTCTTCAGAGCCAGCAGGCAGGAATATTTAAGTCCACTGAAGCTGTGCCCACAGCAGCCCCTTCCCCCAGGTCCCAGGGAGATGATGGGAGTTTTATCTATAACCTCCTAACTGGGACTGCTGCCTTTCTTTCAGAGATGCCCTACCCAGAGAGGAGGAATCTAGAGAGAGTCTGCCTAATTTGGCTTTGCTGCGCTGCAATGGGCTCCCTCCAGTCCAAAGTTCCTGGAGGCTTTGTTTACATTGTGAGGGAAAAACCGCTTACTCAAGCCTCAGTAATGGCAGACGCCCCTCCCCCCATCAAGCTCCAATGTCCCAGGTCAACTTCAGACTGTTGTGCTGGCAGCGAGAATTTCAAGTCAGTGGATCTTAGCTTGCTTGGCTCTGTGGGGTTGGAATCTGCTTAACAAGACCACTTGGCTACCTGGCTTCAGCCCCCTTTCCAGGGGAGTGAGTGGTTCTGTCTCACTTGCGTTCCAGGCACCACACAATTGGAAATGTAGAAATTACCTGCCTTCTGCGTTGGTCTCCCTGGGCGCTGCAGACTGGGGCTGTTCCTCTTCAGCCATCTTGCAGGGAATCACAATAAAGAATTTTTAAAAGGAAGAGAAAAGCAATCATCACTATTTTGGTTTTGTTTTGTTTTAGGAGTAACTGACTACTGAACAGTACTGCATGTTTCTGAGGTTCCTCTGTTATTCCTGTAGTTCACTACCTCTGCATCCTCCCCAGGACAAGAAATTCATTTTCCTTATTGTACTGTGTTATGCCAAGAATATTACTATTGTTCGGTGAATATAAAATAATCATTATAGCAACAATTTTTTTGGCGTCCTAAATAAGGCTGATCCATGGCAACGGTACTATGCAAAGAAAAGAATAAAGTCAAAACACTTGTAAAACCTTTTACTTATTGGTATCAGACATCTGTTATTTTATTAATCCTCACAATGTCTTTTAAAGGTTTTGTTATTTGTATCTACAATCCGGGGAGAAGAAACTGAAGTACAGAGGGGCAAAACGATTGTTACCTAGTTGAATGACAAATTAGATGAGAATCCAATATCCACAAGGTGTTAGGCCCTGGAAACATTAATCTCATGTATTATTAGCTATTCTCACATACATATAAGCGATCTTTCAAATGAAAAGGAAACATAACCAAGAATAAAAATACATTTTTTTTTGTTTTCAAAGAGCTATCAATTTCAATTAAAAACCCTGACATGAAATGTCTTAATGTACCTGTTACTCAGTACCAAAAAAAAGTAAAGAAAAATTTAGTAGTCTAAGAATTAGAACAAGAGATAAGATGGTCCTGGGATGATTCCAGTACGTTTTGTTTATCTACAGGAGATTATCTGCTTTGCGAATATTCATGACTAATTTTGAATCTTAGAGCTGTATTGCCCCACTGCCTGGTTAGCTTTGAGGCCCTTTCCTCCCACTACCCAGCTGGTGTGTGCTCAGGGAAGACAAACTCTTTTAATACCAATCCAAGCAAAACACAATTAGGAAAGCAAATGTGTTGGGAAAATAACAATATCATGGATTACAAAGCCAAATAAGAAAGATTTGAATGTCACCTACCCTTTGAAGTATTGAACTATTGTTTCTACGTGATGCTTAGGCAATTGAATTGGGCCAGTCATATCACAAAGAGGTCTTTAATCCGTAAGAGGGTCCCCCTCCTTGTTTGTTTTGCTCAGAATAATTGAATTGGAGAGTTTGGCTCTGTCAGAGAAGTAGCCACAAGCCTGATTCTTTTGCAATGACCTGCAGATAATTCCAGAAAAAAATTGAACCATCTACCAGGAAAAGCTATGGCCATAACTTAAAAATCACATTTCTCTTCCTTGTTGAAAATACCCAGATCTCAAGATGATCTTATAACTACATCTGAAAGGCTGTTGAGCCCCCATCCTCATCAGAGTTCATCTCTTCCAATGCATGCACATGTGCAGTCCATCTGCCAGGCATGAAGTAAATATAAAATTGACCTTCTTCAGAAAAGAAGGAAGACCCAGGTTTGAATTATTTTCTTCATGTTTACATAAACTTTTGAAAGGCAAGATGATTAAATAGCACTTCCTGGATAGGATAGAGATATATGTTTGTAGTTTCCATTGGTTAGCTAGTATACATAAATATCATTCTTAAAAAGAAATCAAATTCTAACGCATTCATGAATATCATGCCCATTTCCATATGACAGAAAGCTTTCAGCAGAGTTGCATCATCCAAATGATTCAGCTCCTTACAAATTAATGATTTGCACATACAGGTGTTTGGATAAAATACAAATTTCCAGAAGGTTTCCATTATGCAAGAGTACCAATATTAAAAATGCTCTGTAGAAATTAGGAAAACAAACACGCTCATTGCTAGAAATTAAACTCTGAACCCTATTGTAATTGTATTAATCATGAAA
Source organism: Homo sapiens (assembly GCF_000001405.40). Classification (NCBI taxonomy): domain Eukaryota; kingdom Metazoa; phylum Chordata; class Mammalia; order Primates; family Hominidae; genus Homo; species Homo sapiens. The sequence goes on from NC_000014.9 coordinate 29,031,361, forward strand.
TTTACCACATTATTTTTGTAAATAAATTGATTCAGATGAATACTTAAAATTTCATCAATAATTTTAGAATATATTTAAATAAGTAATCACTCTTTATATTACAGCTTTTCTTTTGCAAGCGAGATACACACTATCACTTAGTGTTCATATTTAAGTTAATGTTTATTTACAAATTACAAGTGACTGTCACAAGTAGAGTTTTATTAAATGAGTCTTGTAATGGAAAGGATTTGAATTAAAGCATGTACTGTACTTCTTTATATAGTTTTTTCTTCATTTGCAACAACAAGCCTAGAAATTAACATAATTTATTTTTAAGAAATTGATGTTCTTCTGCAGAATAATAACCATTCTCATTTTGACCTATTGAACTAGCTTTCTATTTACAAAAAATAATTAAATGTTGGTCAGAATGTGGCATCTTCTGAGGTTTTCTAATCACCAGCATTATCAGTCCAGGCCATTTCTTTGCCAACCCTACATTAATATACTTAACTAATGAGTTATGAACCTTTAAGAGCCTTCTCCTTCTGCACTAAACTTTCCTAAGAATTACTCCAAATGCTTTCTCATCTTTTCATCTGTGTACCTTTTTCTTGTTCTATCTCAATCTTTTGTTTTTTATTTATTTATTTTTTTGGTTGCTCAAGGGAACTATCTGGCATTTTAAAAAATTCAAATTAATGATAAAAATTATATCAATTTTTATCCCACCAAGTTTATGGAGGTATGCCCACTTTATTTACATTAATTAGAAATCTTCAGTTTTAATTGTAATTTTTAATAGGAAAATGTTCTTTCCTGCTAAATGTTCTACAAAATTTCACGTCATCTTTAACAGCATTGAAGCACAGAATGTAAAAATGGAAAGAACAGAAGATATCAAATTTAACCCTGCTTATTTATATATGTGTCAACTGAGGCCCAGAGAAATGAAGAACTATGCATAAAGTCAAACAGCTAATTAGTATTAGACTGGTATGCTATACAAATATAGATTTAAAAAAGTATTTCTTATATTGTTAGCCATTAAAGTCATTTGTATATATACAGGCATATGTGCATATAATTGTTTCATTAACTTTGCCAATCAAAAATGACTATTGTCTCTATGTGATATTGTATCCTGAATGTATCCTGGAACAGAAAGAGGCAATTAATGGAAAAAGTGGTGAAATTTGAATGAAATCTGGTGGTTAGTTAATAGTTATGCATCAAGGTTCATTTCTTAGTTTTGGCAACTATACTATGGTAATGTAAGGTGTTAACATTTGGGAAAAGTGGGTTAAAATATACAGGAACTCTTTGTAATATTTTGCAATTTCTCTGGAAAGCTAAAATTATTTCAAAGTAAAAATTATATTAAAATACTCACTTATAATTCAGGATTATACATAAGGCCATTTACTTTAGATACCTAAAAAAAGAAAAAGATTCAGATTCTCTTTATGCACAAACTACCCTTTCATTGTAAGCTGCAATTCTGTTATGTGCCTTACAGATAGCATAAGTTGAGTTCCTCAGGAAAAAGACTCAGAACAGAGATCTATCTGCAGGAGGATTACTGGGGAGAGCTCTTGGGAATAACATATACTAGGTAGAAAGGAAAATAGAGTTTGCCAAGGGAAGAGTTAAAATGTAGTAAAGGTGTAACAGAGGCCCCAACACATCTGATGGGGATAGCAGTTCAAAGATGTTCCAAACAGAGGCAAAAAGAGGCAAGGCCTTTGTACCCACCATGCCCACAAGTCTTTGGGAGTAGGCTATCCCAGGGAAGGGGCAGACTTTGAACAGGCAGCTCTCTTCAGTCGAGGGCAAATCCTGGGGAGAGACTCAGCTGTGAGCTCTCAGCAGCAACTCTCCTGCAGCTGGAGGAGTGAGCACCTTAGTTTTAAAGAAGGGATTTATCTATTGTGCCACAGCATCCACTGAAGTGAAGGTAACTCTTGAGCACAATGATTGGTCATAGGATGAATTTAAAATTAGACAAATGTGGCAGTTTCACTAGGCACAGGTAGTCAAAGTTACATGAGTTTTACTGAAATTTTTCTTGTTCCAAGAAGTTTTCCTCTTGAATTTTTCTTCATGTTTGTACCTGTAATTATCTATATATTTCATAACATCTATTCCAAGATGTTAATTATTTGGGTTGAAAAGGAAACAGAAAAGGATTTTTTTTAAGTGTACTTTTTTGGTTATTTAAAGGATGTGATTTTAGATGTGGGAAATATACACAGGAAGTCCACTGAGTTTGCTTATCTGAATGTATAATAAATTCTTACACCACCCCTATCTTCCACATTTGTCTAAGTGAAATTCATCTTCATTTTCATTAAGCATGGCTAAGTTATGTTGTAACAAATCAACCCCAATATCTCGGTGCCTTACCACATCCAACCTTACATGTCTAATAAGAGCTAGCAATGGTGCACAGAGGGCCCTATTATCTTGTAGTCCTGGTCTGGAACAGAGAGACTGTAAAACCACTGGAGGAGAGGCAGGGAGAAATGGAGGCAACACGTCTCTGAAACCAGAAGTGACTCTTCTGCTCATAGTCTAGTGTCTAAAACATGTCACATAGTTTCAACCTAACTGCAGGGGAAGCTAGGAAATGTAAAGGAATACATGGAGAACCAACAGACTCTGTCAAAACTGGCTAGTGAACCTTCTGGAATATTCTCATAGATCGCTCCAACCCAGCAAAGACAAGACATAATTCGTATTTCAATCTTCTTTATTTCAATACTGGCTAGAGTCTTAGCCATCACAGAAGCTTCTCTGAGCAGAAGAATAAGGTCAATCTTTGTGCCATATATATTTTTATATTAGCTATATTGGTTAGTGAAGCAACAACTTGAACATTCAGACTGTTAACATTTTTAAGGACACACATAAAAATGCTTTGGTGAGTTACATAATTATGGGAAGACAGAAATTTCATTTTAAAAATCTTTTGAATCTATTATGGAAATTAGCTTTACAATTATAAAATCCTAGACTTAAAATATCTAGGCAAGGATATTTTATGTGCTGGTTGCTTTATAAAGATCCACAATGTATTAGGGCAAATAGGACATACAAAAATCATCAGCAAATATCCAAACAGAACATCAGTAAAGAGCATTAGAGGGTGAGGCTTTTATACAGAGGCATGTATTTCCTTGCCATATGGTACTGGTTTTTCAGTTAAAATATTTTCCTTTCTGAGAAAAAAAAGCCTCTCTCTGTTAATGGTAGAGTAAACCTGTTTTTTTTTTTTTTTTAATTAGAATTACCATTTGTCATGAATACTGGTCACAGGAACATGAGTCTTCTTATTAAAGATGTGTAAAGTTATAGTTAAAATTCTGGGCCCTAAAATCACACCACCTGAATAAAGTTACTGGCTCTGTCAGTTACTGTTTCTGGGCAATCAATTAACCTCTCTGTGGCTGAGTTTCTTCATCTATAAAACAGACATAATAGTTTTATCTACCTAACAGTGTTGCTGCAAGAACAAAACAGTATTTGTAAAATGTTTATTTCAATGCCTGGCACATAGTAAACTCTGGATTTGCTGTTGTTATAGCTACTGTTCAACCACTTCTAAAAAACAACAAATTAGTTTTATAACAGAGGAAGCCTTTATAATGAACAATTTCAGTCCAATGGAAGATTTATTTTAAAAAATGGCACCAATATACATTTTTGAACGCTAAAATAAGTTTTATGAACATTACTCATTTTTTTCCTTTTCTTGTACTTTGTCTTTTCCAACCAGAAAATCATTTCAATGGGAAAATATGTTGGCATGTTTGTTTTATTAGCTAATACATTTTCTCATGTGATATCAGCTCACGGCAAAAGTTAAGGAATAAAAAAAGAAAAGATCTTTCTTCTTTCCACCTACTGAATTCTGCCTGAACCTCTCCCACTCCCATACACACACCAACACGCCCACTGTTCCACAGCAATATACTGCTTGGCATTCTGGCAGGGAACAGAAAGACAAAGCATCATGGGAAGAAACGGTTAGAAAAAAATAACTGAAAGATGTGGAAATTTTTATGCTCAGAGGCTCTTGGCAGTCAATGAGAAATAGGAGATTGGAATGGAAACTATAAAGGGGTAACTCTAATTTCTTTCCATTCCTCTTTGTGTCTTGCAGTATTCTCTTCTAGCAGTGGAAGGAGGAGACACGATCAAATCATTTATAGCTTTAGGATCTTCCAGTTGTGCTTCCCTTTACCTGATATCCATAGATACGTTTTCTTGATTCTAAAAATGTATAAGCAAGAAGAACCCCACTTCTAATTGCTACTGAGCATTGCCCAGATCTTAGCACCTAAAGTTATAAGCAATCCAGAACACATGTTATTGGGTGAACTGTGTCCCCCAAAATTTCAGATGTGGAAGCCCTAAACCCCAGTACCTAGAATGTGACTGTATTTGGAGATAAAGGTCTTAAAGGAGGTGATGAAGTTAAAATGAGGCCATTAGGGTGAGAATCAATACAATCTGATTGGTGTCCTTGTAAGAAGAGGAAATTCGGACAGAGAGAGAGGGATACAGGAATGCAGGCGCACAAGAGAAGGACCATGCGAGGAGACAGCAAGGAGGCAGCCATCTACAAACCAAGGAGAGAGCCCTCAGAGGAAACCAAACCTTGAATTTGAACTTCTGCCTCCAGAACTGTGGAAAAAATACATTTTTTGTTGTTTAAGCCACCCAGTCTGTGGTATTTTATTATGGGGGCTCTAGCAAACTAATACAACGTATTTTTTTTTGATTCAGTAAAATCAAATTATTGGCTTCTCCTTGCACACAATTGGCTCAGTCTTGCCAATATGTGTACATATTAGTTCTTATTATGTCCACCAATCTCTCCTTCAAAATGTAGCTTAACATCTACTTTCTCCAGGGACCGTCTCCTACTTATTCCATTCCAATTGATTACTCTCATAACATCTGAGTCTTAAGAAAGTCATGTGTTTGTATATCTGTGTTACTTCAGAAATACTATCATTTGTTGGGGTTGTTGCTGTGCTGTGTGTTACTGGCTATTGATCAGGCTTCCTAAAGTCAGGAAATATTCTTCTCCCTGATGGCATGATTCTCCTCTTTCTATTTCAATGGTTATGAAAAAAGGCAAAATTCACTCTTTGCCAGACACTCTTATAATACATTATATGCCTTGTCTCATTTAACATTAGTCTTTGTGTTAAAGAAAATAAACTACATAAAATGTATATACTTTATTGGTCTACTTCAGAGAAAACATTCCCACTCTGAAACTTTGGGGTGGTGATAAATAATTACAGTTATGTTATTTAAACTCTATCACACATTTATCCATACTAATTTTTAGTTTTGGAAGAAGTGATGTGGAAATGGTATTCAAATTAACATTCTTTGCTCCTTTTCTTGTACTCCCCGGAGCTAAGTTTATTAATATCAAAGATTTCTATTCATTCTATGTAAATTTACTAAAGTCTGTTAAATCTCCTGATTGCTGACATTTTAGAGTTTTATACACTTTTTGTCTCTCTTTTGACAAATCACACACATATCTTCAGGGACTCTTATTACAGAGCTAAGTACATTGTCTGACAAAAGCTGAAGAATTTTAATAGATAAATGACAAATTTTAACAAAGAGTTCTAGTGAGTTAATTTCTGAAATCGTTTACTGTATGTATAGAAAACTGGCAGAAGTAATTTGATGAAGTGCAGGTTTTCTATACATAATAAAAGAGAAAAGTATTAGTAGATATATTTGATAAGATCCATCTATTTGATGGATAATCATAAAAATAACCTACCAATACAAATATGGCTTCTAGTTTTTTTTTTCCTCTGGAATAAAAAAAAGTCACCACTTATCAATATCTATAATCTCCATCATTTAGATTGCTGCCTAAGTAGCATTTAGAATGAATCCAGAAGGTCAAGTTCAGATGAGAAACAGAAGCACTTCTACTACTGAAAAATCAAGGACACCTTGGACTCCAAAAATAAAAAAAAAAAGCTTTATAATTTAAATATACACCTATGAGTAGTTGCATTTTTCCTTGAATACTTAGTTTACATTGTGGTACATGTGTGGGGGTGCATGTGAAGGAGTGTGTTTGATCAGATTACTGCATGATCTGTTCTCTGCAGGTGCTGGAAAAGGTCAGAGAAAATCATCATCATAAAGTGAAGTGATTTTCTTCTTTATGAGCTCCTGATGTAAACAGACTGATGAGCACAACACAATCCTTACTCACCCACATGACATCATACACAATCACAGCTAAATGTTTCTATCTGTCAAAGCCTGAAGAGTGACTACCAGATTGTTGCCTGATTGGTATGTAACCCAAATGGTATTTCCTTGGTATCTAGTTGGTAGGGTATATTTTGTAAGATTTCTGGGCCCTGTTGGGGTGGGTCAAAGACAGTGAGCACTGAGCCAAGGTTAGAGTTTACCAGCTCAGAAAATGAGCAGGCTGTGTTGGTAATGGAGCAGCAACATTATTGAACATTTATTGACTGAAGAACAAGGAAATTAAAAAATGAATTTGAAACAGACATTTCTTATTTTAAAATCAGAAAATACATATCACATTCTTTGGAAAGCAAGGGTTTGTAAGCATGTGGCACTTAATCTTTGTTCATAATTTATGCCCATGTTCAAGACATTTTTAAAATCCATTTTTTACAGACACTAATTTTGCTGCCAGGCTCCATTTACTGCCAGTTAAGCAGCAGCTTTTAGTATATGGAGGCCTCACTGAAGATTCACCTTCTGAGTTTTCCTACCCAAGACATTTAAGTCAGAATCTGGACCCAATCTGCCACATCAGAGCTAGCAGCAAGTGAAGAGGACTCAAAGATTCTGCTGGTATAAACATACTCTTTGAGGGAGCAGCCAAATAGTTTGGAAGTTTAGATTTCTTTCTTTTTGGAAAAAAGAAACAACCGTGGTTAAATAACATTGCAGATTATCTTGAAGAGGAGCTTTATATACGATCCGGGACAGATATATAATTACTTTTAATTAAAAATGAAATTATAAAATTTATTAAAAAGTCTGATTAGAAGGGAATGGGAGATAAATTTCCTAATAGCGTAGGACAATACTGTCTTCTAATTAGACCTTAATTTCATGTAATTACTTACTACATACAAGAGCTATCAGCAGTAGAACACACTCCTGTTTTTAAGACATTATGGAAAAATAAGATACAAAATGTCAGCAATTGAGTTACATAGTCCACTTCAAGCATGTGCCAAAGTTTTGTTTTGCTGTCAAATATCACTATTTAACTAAACACTAAAATATAGCCAAGCAAACAAAAAGTGCAATGGCACACATCATACATGAATATGATTGGATTAAAGCACTATGCATATTATTTGCTTTCAAAAACAAAGCAAACAAGCGTACATTTTTTCTTGTGTATTCATGGCCAAAAAAGAGCTTATCCAACATATGTGAAGGTACTTTGCATTATCATATCATAATCTATGGTTATATCAATTTGTTGGGTATCTTTCTTACAATTCTTAATGGTAGCTTTCTCCATTCATAGATTTTTTTTCACCTTTAGCAAGCTGCACCAATTTCTTAGAGTCAAAGAATGGTTGCCAGTGGTCTGAACTTTTGATTGATCTGAGCTGTGTTTAGCTTTAATCTATCTCTGCACATGACTAGCTAAAGAGATGTTCTATCAGATTCAGTCCTTGTAGCTTCAAGTCTTTCTCTATATGCATCTAGAGTGAGAAAAGTTTTCAAATGCAAGTAGGGTCAGGATTTAACCCTTATTTGGATTTTATTGTGACTGTAGAGGGAGGACTGACAATTTCCACAGAGGAAGGGGTCAAGACCCAGAGGAAAACACAGAGGATTTAGGTGAGGTTGTGACTCTTGACTTGAGCAAATACAGATTTAATGGTTTGGAAATGGATTTCAACCTACTCTGGTATGAAATTCAGTGCTGAGTCACAGAGAGCCAGAGCTGACAGCTCCAAAGAAGCATGGGTTAGGATCAGGGCAGAAAGGAAGTTGATGCTAAATGGAGAACAGCAGGAGTTTGATGCGTGGCTGGAAGAGATAGACAGAGTGTGTTATGAGTTGGGGGAAGAGCAGATGGGGTGTGACTGCCAGCCTACCAGCTAATTAGAAAATACTGATTTATTAAACCTGAACTCTAAGAGAAAAGCCCGTAATATGTACACCTCTGACAGAAAGGACAGAAATGTGGTTTTTCATATGACCACATTCTGAATTACTTTTATTTATGAACTATATGTTGTTATCACTTGAAATGACAAGAAAGGTCATTTCTCCTTAGCAAAGAAAATCCTTTCAGAAAATTTTCGAAATAAATTACCAACTAGAATTTGTAATGAGGCATGATATCCCAAAATATTAGACAAAGAGTAAGACAAATACAATTCAGAATCATATTCTGCTTGTTGCTGGCCTGATAATAAGCCTTGATTCATTTGGAAATAATAGTTTATAGTCAGAGATAAACCATTATTTTTGGAAAAATGGGTCCATCACATCACTTTTATGTGTTATCTTCATAACAAATCAGAACATAACCCATTGTACAATAAAACACAACTTGATTTTCAACCAGGCTGTCTTCCAGCAGCATAATTCTATCTGCTTTACAAGAACAATGGTTTAATGTTGACAGATCTGGGGCCACATGAACTGTGGGCAGATACTTGAGTAAAGCATTGCTTAGCCATTCTGTTTTCACTCTGTTGAAAGGTAGACCTTATCCAAAAGATCACTCTAGCCTGACCTACTCTTTGTTATTATTAGTAACATTAGTAGTAGTCCTAGTACTATTGGCTTGGGTGGCCAGAGTTGTTAGTTGTTTAATACTCATTCGATGGAAGAAATAATCTAAGCAGGAGGCTTTCATTCTGTTATTTCCATGATAAGTAATTCACTGACTTGGATGTTTATGGTACCAAGATAGAAATATCTTCTAGAGAGCTATGTTTAAAATGTTTAACTGTTGAAGACCATTGTCCATTTTGGATCAGAAATGAGAAGCCTCTTATCAACTCCCCTCAGGCTATGTTAGATATATTTTAAAGTTTCTTTGCAATGCTACTAATTATTACACTTTTCCACAGATGTAGCTCAAGGCACTAGTTTTCTGAGAATAATTTATTAATAAAATATTGAGCATTAGGAAATAAAGGTATTTTCCTTTAATGGCAAAAAATCTAAACAGCCTAAAATAATCTAGCAGGTAAGGATGTTACCTGAGTGGTGAAATTGAAAAGATTACTCCTGGGGAGAAATCACAAATGTTCAATAACTTTTTCTCTCTCATTTACAATTGCAGTGGAAGGGAATGAAATGAACTAGAAATTTAGGGTTTGAGAAAATGACATGCGAAGAGTTCAAACTCATAATAAAAATGTGAAAATTGTTTAGATAGAAGAAATTCCAAATTGTTAGGATCATTATGCATTTTATTAATAAGGAAACAAGTCTCAATTAAATGTCTTGCTTTTATCATTTCTTCACTTATTTTCCCCTCAACCTCTCCAGTCAGGCTTTGTCTCTACTATTCTACTGAATCCTTGTAGAGGACATTATTGAACTACCATTTGCCAAATCCAATAGTCCTCTTCATACTTGATCTCTCCACAGAATGTGATAGAGTACTACCTCATTGTGGACATACTCTTTTTACTTAGCTTATGACCACTACGCTGCTTGTTTTCCTATTTCTCCTCTGTACTTCATTTCCTGTGTGGGCTCCTCTTCTTTATGCTAGTCTTAGCTCAGTTCTATTTTCCGTTACAGCCAGTCCCTATGTAATATCTTCTAATCCCATAATCTTAAATATGTCATCTAAATGCTGATGACCTCTAAATCTTTTCCACCAGTACAGACTTCTCCCCTGAGCTCTACGTTTTTATTTTCAACTACTTACTCAATATTCCTTTTCTGTTGTTTATTGCACATCAAAAACTCAACATGTTTAAATTGGAATTATTTTTTCTTACCTTCTTTCTCCTTTCTGCCTGTTCCTTTCTGGTTTTCCTCACCTCAGCAAATGATGTCACTATTCAGCCTTCTATTTGGTCAGATCAGAATCCTTGGTTTAAAATTTTAAACCAGTTCATATCTCTCCTCTACAGAGAAATCTCTAATGGTTTTCCATCACATTCAGTACAAAAGTCAAAGTCATTACCACAGCTTGTGAAACCTAGTATGATCTAGCACTTGCTTAATTTCTACCATGTCTTCCTTTCATTCTCTGACTAGCAACAGTGACCTTTTTTGCTTTAATGCCAGAAAATAAGCTTATTTCTACTTCAAGTCCTTTATATTTGCCATTCTTTTTCTGGAAAATTCTTTCTAAGATCTTCACAAGGTTCACCACCTAACTTCCTTTATGTTTCTCTTCAGATTTCACTTCCTCAGGTTGGCCTTTACATATCACCCAATAGGAAAGAGTGCCCACCTCCCCCAACACATGTTATCAACATCTGCCCCCTTTCCTCCTTCATATTTCTTTCTAATCTTATCACTTCTTGAAATATATTGTGTATTTATTTGTTTACTTATTTATTGTATATCACCTGAATATCAGCTTCATGAAGGCAAGGTCCTCATCTCATTCAAGATTATAGCTGCAGTGCTAGGAATATATCTTGAACACAGGTTGTTCTCAATAAACATTTGTAGGATGAATACATGAATGGATGAATAAATGAATAAAGGTATATTACTTGATTGTTCTACTTGACTCAGTTTTGTAATTAGGTATGGAGGTATAGCTGTTTCTCAGGATGAGAATTTTGTTGACATTGCAATCATCACTCTTTAGAAGATAGCTAATCACTTTTGACATCATTTTCTCATCACTTCTCCTTATACACCCTCTGTCACACACATAACTAGTATAATCTCTGGCTTTCTGCACCAACCCGATGATAATATTTCTTTGACTATTAAATGTATGGGAGAGTAGAATAAAACTGCCCTGTTTAGCATGAGTGGTAGTGGCATTTCAGGCAGGACAGAAAGACTTTAGCTCTGAACTCTCTAGTCCCAGTCCTAGATGATAGATTTTTTGGGCCCACCTACACAGTGTTCCTCAACTTCTCTGTGCCTGCCCAAAACAAGTAGTGCATTTCAGTTTCTGTGAGTTAACCCCCCCGCCCTTTCCTTTCCAAAGGTTCTGTGTGTGTTTTTTTTCCACATTGCCATTGCTGCACATTTCTTTAAAAACTCATAACAAAAAATTGAATTCCCAAACAAAATCCCATACCATATGTAAAAGAGCATGTCCCTCTCTCAACCGGAGGTGTATTTTGAAATAAGAAAGTAACAGCTCAGCAGTCACTTACCATAGCTTGCTGAGTAAGCTGGGCTCAGGTTAAAAGGGGGTTATAGGCTGCCAGCCAAAACACTGACGGCATTGCTGAATTCAGAGATTCAGAAACTCTATATGTCCCAAAGATTCTGTATGGCTGCCATTAATTACACTCTCTTATGCTCTATCATTGAAAGTATCTCAATCCAGTTCCCTCATGTGGATCAGAACAGGTAGGAATTTTAATATAGAACTTGTTAACTTACATTTTAAAAATATATTCAATATTAACATTAAGAACATTGAAGAGTATTGCCATCTCAGTGAAACTGAATCAATCAGAAATAGACATAATCACACTTGTTTACCACAACATTTATCATCAGATTGGATGGAAGGTGATTTATATAGCTCATGTAGGTTGGGTCAAAACTGACCCAATAGTAGCTCTTGAAGATGTTAAAGATGTTGTTACTTGGAGAAATCATAGAAAATAAATCAAAGGGGTATAATTTTAAAAGTATATATTGTATATGTGAAAAAATTACTAAATATAATCAATAGTAGGGGCTTAAATTATTATTGTTTACTTCATTAATTTTTATATAAGTTATTGCCACAGGTTTGGAGGTATCCATTATTCCAGGGGTACATCTGCATGAGTCTATGTTACCAATAAATGATGCCATTCATTGTCATGCGCGATTCTGTGCGTAGTAAAGGTCTTTGGTTTTGAAAACATACTACTTATTTCTTATAAAACTTTTGATGACAAGAATTCTTCAGGGTTTTTTTTTGTGCCAAAAATACACTAATGTGGTAAACTTTGAAAGATTTGAAAGTGAAATTACATTTTGTAGAATCTTTTAAGCTGTTTCCAACCTGTAACACAGGGACATTTCAATCAGTGTTTACATTTTTAAAAACTGATATATTAAGAAAATATTTTGCCTTCCTATATACCCAGATACTGTGGTATTTTCTATTTGAGATAATGCTTAAAGGATAATTGAGAGGAAAATTATTCTTGTGAATCGACACTTAGTTTTGTGATCTCTACGTAAGATACTTAAAAAGATTCAATTTTTTATCATTATAATCAAGTAGAATTTTTTTCTCCATAAGGTTACATCTGTTTATGCTATTTTATTATCTGTTGAATGGTATGATATGAAGTCTCTTTATTGCAGCTTAGCTAAAGAAGCACCAAGCCTGTGATGGAGCTGTCAATCAGCATTTAGTCATACAGTATCTATTTCTATCCCTGTTCTTCTTAGCACAGAAGGGCTATTATAGTCTACATTACGGCATAGTATCTTTGGATATAGATATCCTTGAGGGGCAGGATTTATTTTGAAAGAGGACACTCAACATAACATGACACATCATTTAGACATTTTTAAAAAGTACACATGCAGGTATTTCAAAGTAAAATATAGCAAAAGTTAATTTTAAACATTCAATTTAACATTTTGTGGATTCATTTCCTTTTTTTCTTACCTTAATAGCACTGAAAAAGATCAAATGGGGTCATGTGACTCTTTAGTAATTGAAAGTGTCTATTTAAAGGCATCCCTGTGCAAATCTTCTTGCATTATCACCTATGAAAGGCTAACTGTTGTAAAATAGTATGCCTATCGAAATTAACAAGAGAAAAACCATTCAAGGCCAAAAAGAAAGGAAAATTGTGCTGAAATGCATTTATAAACACCTGAAAATTGAAACTTTTCCAGATGTCAATAATATATATTTCCAAGTACACCAGTATATATGGAATATGACTAAAAATTAACGAGACTGATTACAAACCACAAACATGAAAATCAGTCATGCAGCTGTATATCACACTGGATGTGCTTCCAGATGTGATGATAAAAATGGATACAACCTTTTAAAGCATGAGCTTGGATATGCTATGCATGTGGCACTCATTAGCTAAGCAAATGGATGTTAATCTTTATGACAGTCAATTGCTGTGCTGCATTTCTACTGAGTGCTTATCAGCTGGTCTGACCTGATCATCAAGAGCATCATGACTTAATTTACAGGAGGATTATTCTTCCTTCCCCTGCAATTCCATGGGTTTAAAATACACAAAAAAGTTTTTAAAAAGAAATGGCTGAAGCATTTAAACTTCCTGATTCCCCATAGCTTTGCAGTACGTAGGTAATGGGGTAAAAAGATTTAGATTCACAGATCTGGAATTGAGCATCATTGAGTATCTAATTTTCCATGTTCAGGGCTGAGAAATTAACCTCATTTCTCCAACTGACTTGTTTTCCTTTGAATAGTTAAAGATATTCATATAAGAAAATATTTAGTCTTTTAAAAGGATAGGCCTTTTCTACCCATAGTAAATGGTATCTTTAGTAAATAGATGAGAAATGTCATGTTATGCATCCAGAAGAATCAGAAGCATCTCTAGAGCTCTAACAAACATTGTATTTCTTAGAAAAGTTATCGTGTTACTATATTTGCCTACATACTCATGGTGTTACCATCAGTAAACTTGTTGATTTGGACTACCTTGAGCTAATTATGAAAGACATGGGAGAATACCAGGTCTACCCCCATGAAATGGAGAGCTTGACATGCTAGACGTCATGTAGGAAGAAGCAATTCTAGCTTCTCACATAACTCTGCCAGCACACATCAACCTATTAGACAGCAACTTCTGTTCCTTAGGCAATTTTAGCTGGAGACAACCATTGTGCCAGTATTTTCTCTTTGCTATACGCTTCATTGTCCCCCAGGGGTGGCAGAAACCAATAAACCACATTCATATTCTAATAATAACTATGAGATAGAAACTGAAGTTTGTCTCTTCAGAAAGAGGCTGAACCATCTCTATATCTGATAAAAGCCTAGAGCATTGTAAGCACTTAATTAATGGACTCATGAAAGTAAATGTATCTATCACTTCCTCCTAGAGTTTTAGGGGATTGGGGAATAGATTTAACTCATTCAGTTCAGTATGGAACTATTTATCTGCTAAAATTTTTACTATGATTTCTTCATAACTTGATTAAGATCTTTTTCAAAATGTCTGACAGGTTCATGGACATGAAAGATATGAATAACATCTAGATCATTACATATTAATTTTAAAATCCATATTTCAAAAGTAGTAAGATATTACTTTTTAGTTAATCCATGAAGAACAATGAATTTGAAATTGTTAAGAATTTATAAAATATTTAAGGATTAAATGGATCATGATTGTCATCATGGAAAAATAAAAGATGAATGAGGCAGGTTGTTCTCTCCTAAACAACTATTAAATATTGAATGGACTTTGACGCATGGTATAGTGAGGACTTTCAAGGGTAAAGACAGGAGGATTAGTCCTGCGGACAGTGAGGAGATGGGAGGAGCAATTTTAGCAACTCCAGCACACCTTTTGCAGAGGTGTATGCCAGGGAATATATAATTGAATAATACATTCTTTTTTCTTTTTTCTTTTTTTTTCTTTTTTTTTTTTTTTTTGAGACGGAGTCTCGCTCTGTCGCCCAGGCTGGAGTGCAGTGGCGCGATCTCGGCTCACTGCAAGCTCCGCCTCCCGGGTTCACACCATTCTCCTGCCTCAGCCTCCCGAGTAGCTGGGACTACAAGCGCCCACCACCGCGCCCGGCTAATTTTTTGTATTTTTAGTAGAGACGGGGTTTCACCATGTTAGCCAGGATGGTCTCGATCTCTTGACCTCGTGATCCACCCGCCTCGGCCTCCCAAAGTGCTGGGATTACAGGCGTAAGCCACCGCGCCCGGCCGAATAATACATTCTTAAACATGTTACTTCTTAGAGCCTTTATTTGCTAATATTTGTTATGCTTCTTCCGAAATAGGCTGTAATATGTAGCAGTACTCAAAACTTTTTTGACCCTTGAATGGCTTTAAGGAATATAGATCTCCTGGTATTAGTCTTCTGTTAAGATCTCAAGGAAGATACTACAAATTTCCATCCATTTAGTCAATCAGCCATATTTTTGAGCATTTGTCAACTATAAGTACTTTGCCACATGATATGAAAAATACAACCAGTTGTAAAATAGGGTCTATACCCAATGGTACTATGCTTAATCTGATGAGATGAATCAAAATGTGTGTGTGTGTGTGTGTGTGTATATATATATGTGTGTATATATATATGTGTGTGTGTATATATATGTGTATATATATGTGTATATATATATATGTGTGTGTATATATGTGTGTGTATATATATGTGTGTGTGTGTGTGTGTATATATATATATATATATGAAATACAAAACTATCATAATGCATCTGGAACTTAGGGCATTGTCAGCTTCCACTTTTTGGAACACAGCTTTGAGTCAATAGAGGGCCAAAAAGAACGATAAAAAGAATTTCTTCATGGGAAAAATATCTGTGAAAAACCCAAGTTTTTTACTTCATAAAAGGAGATTTTGGACCTTGTTATTTTTATTGTTTATTATTATTTGGCCAAGAAGTCTATGTTGTTAGACTTCTTTATTTGTGTTAGTACATATAAACAAAATTTTAATATAAGATAAAATATAATAATATAATATAAAATCTTTATGGATTGGCAATTTTACTATAAAAGTTCTCTATTGCTAGCAATACCACTAGTCTTAGAGTCTATTTTGATTGATATAAATAAAAATACATCAGCTATACTTTTGCTTGTTATTTACATGGTGTATCTTTTAACTCCCTTTCTTTTTAAATGTATCTGCAACCTTATATTTAATGTGTGTATTTTATAAGCAGCGTATAGTTTTGTTTTTAAATTACTGTATTTTGATTTAGTTAAATTTAAATTAAATATAATTCAATATATTTAAATTCAATATAATTAATAATATATTTGAGCTTATATACCATCTGAGTATTTTTCTGTTTGTACTAACTGTTCTGTGTTCCATCTACTTTTTTCTTTCTTGCCTTCCTTTTCTTTCGTGCCTTCCTTTTCTTTCTTGCCTTCCTTTGCATAATTTGAATAGATTTGATTATGCAACTTCTTCAATGCTACTATCTTATATACATTTTTACAACTATCTTAATCTTTAGAGATTATATTTATCCTTGACTTATTAAAGACTAATGTACATGAATACTTTTACTTTCCAGACAATGCAGGGACTTAGAATACGTAGAGCATTTTAATGCTATTTATCAATTTTCTGCTTTTTTGTTTGTGCTATTATGAAATTCTTCATATCTTTTAGCCTTTGAAAATTTTTATTTCAAGTTGTGTAACATAGAAGAGCTTCTTATAACAACTTCCATCACTATAGAAATATAAATATTGAAAATGTTTTCCTGGGAGGGAATCACTATAAACAATTTGGTTCTAGAGTTTTTATTCCACATTTTTAATATGATTTAAAAGAGTATTTAGCACTTTGTCACTTCCCCACTCCTGGACAATACATTTATTCCACTCTACCCTGTTTTTATTGACCATGTGTAGGATGTCTTCTAGTTGGACGTGAAATAGAAGGAAAAGAAAAGTTATTACTGTCTCCTTGCTCACAATAAGCAATTCTGAACTCTATTGATAACTTAATCACAGGCCAAGTTCTTTTAACTGTTTTACCTTCTGCAGAATGAAGGATTAGCTGTAATTAACTTGAGTTAGGTAAGCTGTTCATTCTGGTCTTATCATTTCTGCCTCCATTTCTTCTACAAGCTTCAATTTTGTCCAGAAGCCCCTTCTAGTTCTATGTATGCTTGTGTATGTGTATGTATGCATATTCATGTGTATGTATGTATATTTATATCACTCTGTCTAGCTAGCCATCTACAATCTATATATCAATCTGTTCATCTATATATGTCTTTTGTATGTGAGCACTCATTTTTTGTTAGGTATACATACAAAAGTAGAATTCCTGGATAATAGACTAGGCATATATTTAATTTTAGCAGATAATGCCAAACAAATTTCAAAAGTGCTTGTACCAACTTTTACTGCCCTCAGCGATGTATAAATTTACAATTGATCAATTCTTCATGTTATTTAGCATTGCTCATCCTTTTAACTCTAACCATTCTTGTGGGTATATCATTGAATAGCATTGTGATTTTTGTTTATGTTTCCCTGTTCATTAATGATGTTGAATATGTTTTTACATGTTTATTGTCCATTTGAATATTGTGTGTGTGTGTGTGTGTGTGTGTGTGAAGTGCCTGTTGAATTTTTCTAGCCGTTTTTTAAATTGGGTTATTTTATTTTGGTTATAGTCCTAAATATGTTGTGGATTTGGGTCTTTTGTTTGGGTCTTTTGTTAAACTATGCATTGCAAATTGAGCTTTTTCTGGCTTATAATTTGTCTTCCACTCACTTAATGGTATATTTAGATGAACAGAAGTTATTGACTTTTGTGAAATCTATTTTTTTTTATTGAATGGATAGTGGTTTATTTATTTTATGTCTTCTATAAAATACTTGCCAAAGTCATAGAGGTAATTTCCTTTGACATCTTCTAGAAGATAGAGTTTTAATTTTCACATTTCTTTATGTTCCACCCACTTCGAACTAATCTTTGTATATGGTGTAAGACAGGGAAGAATTCAAGTTTTCTTTGCAGATACCAATTGATTCGCCATCATTTATTTGGAAAGACTGTACTCTTCCTTCCTAATGGTAGGAGCGCTTTGGGTCAATCCTGTGCTAATACTACACTGTCTTAATTATCATAACTTTATAATAAGTCTTAATATCTGGTAGTGGAAATCCTCTAGTTTTATCACTATTCTTCAAAATTGTTTTGAGTATTTTGGGTTCTACGCATTTCCGTAGAAATATTAGAATCAGGCTTTAAATTTCTACACAAGAAACATTCTGCAATTTTGATCAGGAATCTATTGAAAGTTAGACCACTTTGAGTGACAATTGGCACAGTATTGAGTATTTTAACTGGTAAAGACACATATGCCATCATTTAATTAAGCCTTCTTTCTTTCAATAGTGTTTTGTAAATTTTAGTTTGGAGACCTTACATCCTGTATTAGATAAATATATTTTTAAATCCCACAAGATATTACTATTATTGATTTAGACTTCCATATTCATTGGATTTATCAATAGTTTTACTCCTTTTGTTTTTTATATTTCTTTTTGTAAGCCTTTACTTCTGTCTTTCTGAAGAATTTCCTTAGGTTTTCCTTTAAGATGCATCTGCTCAGTTTATGAGTATTTATTTACTTAACCTTTATTTATGAGGAATATTTTCCGGTTAATATAATTCTAGATTGATACACTTTAAAAAAGGTCATTTCACTGTCCTGTGCTTTCCATTATAACTGTTGAGAATAAGCTATTAATCATTCTGTAACTGTTTTGAATATGAAATATTCATAATATCTGGATTATGAATAGTCAATCTCTGGATGCTTTTAAGATGTATACTTTGATTTTAAGCAGTTAACGATATACTGAAGTGTGGTTTTCTGTATATTTATTTTATGTCTCAGTGTCTGTCTTCAGTTTTGGAAAATCCTCTTCTATTGATTCTGAATATTCCTTTTATATATTGTCTTTCTTCTCTTTTTCTGATACTTCATTTGCATATACTTTAGACATTTTACCATGTCCCATATGGTTTTTATGTTGTTTTCTGTATTTTACATCCTTCATTGTCTCTGCGCTTCAGTTTGGATAATTTTTCCTAACCTAAATTTCTGTTCACTAACCCTCTACCCTGCAGAAGTTATGTCTTGTTTAAGAAATCTTTACCTAACTCAAGTTAATTACAGCTAATCCTTCATTCTGCAGAAGGTAAAACAGTTAAAAGAACTTGGTCTGTGATTAAGTTATCAATTGAGTTCAGAATTGCTTATTGTTATTTTTCCAGCCTTAGAATATTCATTTGTTTATTGTACACAGACTAGGTTTTGCTGAAAATTTCAACAGGGTCTCCTATTTTCTTGAGAATGTAATTTACATTTACTTAAAAACTTGTCTAACAACTCCGGTATCTCATTTGCCTGAGTGTCTAATTCTATTATATG
This sequence comes from Homo sapiens, assembly GCF_000001405.40. Taxonomy (NCBI): domain Eukaryota; kingdom Metazoa; phylum Chordata; class Mammalia; order Primates; family Hominidae; genus Homo; species Homo sapiens. Next base: position 29,050,684 of record NC_000014.9, read on the forward strand.
TTTGTTCTCTTAATTTTGGGCCCTTTGATTTTTTTCTCCTGGTGGTACACCTGAAAACTTTATATTAAATGTTACAGGTTATGTATACAACACTGCAGAGATAATCTGTGCCTCAGGATCTGACTAATGTAGTCTTCCTCCAGAAAATATTCTAATTCTAGCAAGGCAGTCAGGCTAGCGGCAGATTGTCCTAATCCAATACAACTATTGGCCTCCCAACCCTGTAAAAAAGCTTCCCCTTCCAGTTTAGAAGAATATTAGACTGTAATTAAGATTCAGATAATTTGTAGCTGGGTTTTGGTCTTGTGAGAGATGATTTATTTCTGGTGTGCTCTTAGTACTTGAGCATATACTTTTAGAACCCCAACCAAAAAATTAGAGATAAGGGTCCCTTTTTCCTTGATTGGGCTTAATTCCAATTTTGTTTCCTCAGCCCCATGAGACCTCCAATATCTCTGACAAGCTTCTTAGTCTCTCAGCTGCTTATTGGTAGTTGACAAACGCCTCAAGGGGAAAAGCAGTGCCAAAAACAAGGCTCATCTTTCACCGCTTTCTGTTTCTCCAAGGTACTGACTCCTCAAGTCCTAACTGCTTTGGTTGTTCTCCAATGTCCTAAAACACACACACACACACACACACACACACACACACACACACACACACACATTCCATACAGTTTTTCTTGTAGTTGTTGGTGGAAGAATGAATTGGTACAAGATACTTTATCATCATCTAAATAAAAATTCAATACATAATACTTAAAGTTTAGATATATCCATCTATATAACCCCAAAGGTCCAAATTAGAAGGATAGAGAAGGGAGGATTACAAAGAATGAAAGAAATAGAAGGGTAGAAGAAATAAATAAATAGAAGGATTTAAAAAATGCAATTAGGTGAAAACATTAGTTCTCTGACAACAATAGATGAAAGAGTTTTTATAAGAAAGTTTATGCCTAATAAATAGCATGTGATTATGGAAAACGTGTGACTGGGACAGGTATTGAGTCAGCTTAATACATGAAAAGAGAGACATATTGTGAGAATGATCAGGAATAGTTCTGAAGAGGAGATGACCATTCAGATGAGGCATAAATCCTAGTAGAAGTTAGACACATGACAAAAAAATGTAAAATTTATAGTTGCTTGAAAGCTTTATTTTTCTAGAAAGAAAAGAATCATTTCAATATTTCAAAACATTATGCCTATAAGAGTTTGAGGTTTAAATTGCCATACACCAGTTAAACTTAAAATCTCAGGTTTTATCTTTTCATTGATCAGTCAAATTTGGCACTTACTTTAATTTTCATTTCTGTTCTGACCTGAATATAAGACTGGCATACTAAATTTAATTGCACTCAGCTTAATTGCTCCTCGATTTTTGACTCATTATTTGAGTTAAATAAGTCAACATTTTAGAAGTGGGCAGGGAGCACTGATAAGTGAAACACTGAAAGCATGTCTCTTAGCTACGTACTGAATTGGACAGACAGCACTGATTGAGGTCAAATTTGACCCTACACATTTTTACATATTTGGAAACACATTAAACATTAATATTTACTTTTCTTGACTCTATCCTCTTTGTTTATTATCACAGTAATGCAAATATTATATATCATACTGATATATGACCAGTGGTAGATGTGAGTGCTAATGCAGAATGTGCCCTACCAACATATAAATATGTCTTCACTACTAAACAATATAGAGGTTTCTAAACCTCCGATCAGTTTCTAGACTTTTTTCTTGTATCTATGTTCATAAATTGGAAGAAAACAAGAAAATACATTTATAATTATGTGATTAGTAAGACTGTAACTGAATTTTGAGTATAACTACAAAAGAATTGAGGGACAACTTGATAAAGCAATTTATTAATTTAACTGGTTGCTGTAAAAAGAACAATAATCAGTTAATCTTCACATCCAATGGGACTGAATTACCAGATTTGAATCAAATGTTGTTTAAAAATTGAATGATGATTAAAGTACTACCTGATGAAGAAGAAGTCTGTAATACTTGGGAAATTGTCTATAAGTTTATCTAGGACTGCTCACGATACTACAATCTGAGTGACTTAAAGGATTATCTTCTTGGCTTTGGGCAAACAGATGTCAATGCAAAGCCCAAGAATTTCACTTATATGAGATGGAATTGAGTTCATGTTTAGCAATAAATTGGAAACCTGTAGATCAAAAAACTAATACAAATATGTGGACATCTCTTTGTCAAATACTAAAATTGTTCAGTGAAAAATAGTGAAACTTGTGAAATAGAGTACTAGCTTGAAAGAAAATAATCTCCACACATTTTAAATTATTCTTTTTCTATGTGGACCGTCAACTGTCAACTAATATTTCTAAGGACAAATGGTTGTGTGTTTGTGTGTGTGTGTGTGTGTATGTGTGTGTCTGTGTCTGTGTGTGTGTTTGCTTATTCAGATGAGGAACAGGCAGACAAGATGAAAAGTTTATGTAAAAACAATATTTTTATTGATAAACAAGAGAATGCAAATGCACAAATTTGGGCTAACTTTTCACAAATCAATTCTAATCATTGATGAGAATATTTTGTTGTTGTTGCTATTGTTATTAATGCATGTCTTCGATGCAAATTCACCTAAGTTTTAATATCTTCCTGCTCTTGTTAAGCTTTACCCCACAGGACAGAATTAACTTTTTCTTTCCTTTTGAAATACTTATCTTTAGATTGGTCATGCCTATCACATGGAGCATTGTTCATATGAGAATCATGGTATCAATTCTTTTCAAAAACCTCTCCTTTTATCCCACTGGCAATGGATAACACAGTATGGAATCTGTGCAAAGGGAAACTCCAGAAACCAAATTCTTCTGGATGCTAACAATGCTTCCCCTGGGCATAGTGAGAAGGGTCTCAATTAACCTGCTCTCCATGTTCTAACTAGACACAGGAAGCCCTTTAGTCACCAGCAATGGAGTTTCATTAAGACCACTTCACTGGGTGTGTAACAAAGCTCCTTCCAGGAAGCAAACGAGAAACTCTAGTCAGATTGTAGAATTGCCCAAACATTGGGGTCCCTGCTTTTACAAAGCAAAAATTGTGTAATGGCACCAGAGGCTCCTTAGTAAGCTAACAACCCTATGGAGCAACAAAGATCAGGCTAAAAATCATGGAGTTTCTGATTGAAGCTGAATTTGAATTGCCATTTCAATTCTTTCCTCAAGAAAACTATTCAACTAATCTGCATGGATCGTTTTGGGAAAAAAAAATGTTGTTCAAATGATTGCAAGGGAGGATGAATGAAACTTTTTTGTTAAAAAAAAAAAAGATGCATTTTGAAACTTTTACTTCTCAGGCCCATCAAGGCTGGAAATTTCTGAAAGGGATATTTCTCAGGCTTCTCTTAGTACAAATAAAGTCATATAGAATCCTTTAGAACCAGTAAAACCTGAGAGAGAATTAAGAAATTCACAGGGGTCATAGACCTGCACCAAATAGGTCTTCCTTCTGTTAATCGGACTTCAAAGTGAGTCCCACTGTGGAGGGAGTCAGCATAAATTTCATTTACCTAAAAGTCCCTATTTCTTGTTAAGTCCTCCCCAAGGAAGGACAGAAGCTAAATGATGACCGGCATGATTTATGTTAGAAGCACTGATATCTTCTGAAGATTAGGGATCCTGGAACAGTCATGTAAGCAAGGAAGTCAGCCAGTGCCTTATTAATAAAAAGAAAGAAAGAAAGACAGTGAGGAAGATCAGGTTACAGCAGCACTTTACTGAGGGAGCTTTTACTGCATTTTGCAAAATATCTCATGTCCTAGCTCCTCCCCATCAGTTCTTTGGTGTATAGGGAGACCATTTACCTCCCCTTCCCCAGGAGCCAAGTGCTTACTTGGTATCAGTTCCTTGCCTCACTTCCTTTCTTAGGTCAGAGTGCAATACATATATTACAACTTTTTAACTTCTACTGTTAGGTAAGGTAGGAAAAGTAAAAGTGTTACCCTACAGAGGACATATACATTGGTAATTTACTTTAGCAAGTAGAAATGTCATGAATATTAATCTGAAATTTTCTATTCAGCTTACATAATACATAACCCATGCTCCTTTATAGCATTTCTTCCTCATTCAGTGTATATCCAACATCTGGAAATTGATACTAACATTTTGAGAAAAATAGCTTCCTGTTTTTTGGTTTCCAGGATCTGTTCAATTTGCAAGACTCCATCATGTTCTACTCTGAGATATTTGCTTATGTAGAGCATTGGAGTAATAAAAAGACATATTGTTGAAGTATTTATAAGATATTTTCAAGTTATTCATAGTGCTATGAAAATTAAATTCTAACCAACACCTAATTTTCAACTATTAAAACCTAAGCAGTAGTGTAACGCTACATTTCAGTTAGGGTTTTGACAATCCTACATAGCTACACAATAAATGAAAAACAAAAGGCATATGTAAACTATTTAAGTACAGGATGCTTTTGTTCCTAAAGTGAAAGATAAGTGTTAAATCATAGAGAGATTTTATAAGTGCGTATTTTAAAAATATGATTAAAAGGTACATATCATTTAATATAGCACATATCATGTCTTTTTTATTGTAAACAGCAAGTAATCCATGATTACAACTATTTTCCCTGAGAAAGGAAAAGATGCAGTGCATTCTATTTGTAGAAACTAAGGTGACATGATGTGATGGACTTGCTTTAGGTCATATATTTCGACCAGGGTGGAGAACCTCTATTTTTTGCCTTGCTGCTCCAGGAAACAAAATAATCCTATGCACTTTCTTAATTTTTTAGCATTTTAATTGACAGGTAATAATTATACATATTTATAGGATATATTGTGATGTTTCCATATATGTATACATTGTATAATTACCAGGGTAATTAGCATATCTATCCCCTTAAACATTTATCATTTCTTTGCAGTAAAAACATAGAAAATCCACTCTTTTGGCTATGTTGAAATACACAATACATTACTATTAACTACCATTACCCTACTGCGCAAGAATACCAGAACTTATTCTATCTAATTGTAGCTTTGTACCTGTTGACAAACCTCTCCCCAGTGCCCCTGCCCCACCCCTCCCCAGCATCTGGTAACTACTGTTCTACTCTCTACTTCTATGAGATCAATATTTTTAAGATTCTGTATATAAGTGAGATCATGCGAGATCCTACCTGCTCTCTGTATTTGATATACCTAAGTCTGTCAGTGAACTTCTCCTGGACAATCGCTATTGAATCAAAAGCCCTGATCAACTGAATTTACCATGTTGCTACCTGGTAATTTTAAGCAATGGAAAAATAAATGACTGGTATGACTGGTTATAACTATTCTTTTCAGATGATATTAAAATGCTAAGGTATTAGAGATGTTTTTTCACAATGAGAGTCTTCCTTTTTTCTGGATCAGATACAGTAAACAAGAATCAAACACATGCAGAAATATGTAATTTAAAATTTTATGTTGCATTTCGTTGAAATGTTAACTGAATAATATTGCTTTGGCACATATGTTATATTCATGTCAATATGTTTCATATGCTAAAAAGATCTGTGCAAGAGTGCCTAGCCTTCCCTGTTTACAAAAGAACTAAACAGCTGTGTAAGTTCATGGAAGAAGAGACGAAACGAATTAAGAAAGTTTCAGGACCAGTTGAGATATTCAACCACACATATCTCATGAATGCTGTGGTCAGCAAATAAAATATACTTTTGAGGTTAATATTCACTGGATGCTCTAATTGAGAACAAGAACCATTTACTTGAACTAAATGTCAACTCTTTCGTTCTCTTTGTAAACCCACGTTAAATTTCTTCCATTTAGATTCTTTTTTAGACTCGATTTTGCCAACAGGTTAAACATACAATAATATTAAACTTATGATGATATATGTACTCACTAAATTACAGTGAACATTATGAAATGCATATTAATGTATGGCACTTGAGTATAGGAAGAATACTAAGGCTTTTTATAATGCTATATTTAGGTCCAGATTCTTAAATCAGTTGCTAGATTTAAAACCATATAAATATCCACAGCAATGGAGGAAAAAGCTACTGGGAATATTGTAAAAGCCTGTTAACTTCTTATAAATGCTAAATTCTTTTGAATAGCATTAGATTCAAATTTGGCCATAATATCTTAAGCTTTTTATTGCCATTATTTGTCTAACTTTAGTCAATATACTTTTTCCTTCTATTAGTCTCTCATCTTCGCAAATTAATTTTCGTCAATTCCTTAGCAAAAAAAAAAAAAAAAAAAAAAAAAACCAACAAAAAACAAAAAACAAAAAACCCACAGCAGAAAGGACAGCTCAACCCATAAGGTATCTAGAGAAGTTTGGAGTTTTTTTTCCATCAAAATATCCTCCACCTGACTGCTGTAGTTCCTGCAACCTACAGTAATGGATGAAATATTTCATTACAAAGATTTTTTAGATGTCTATGTTACCAGAAAAAGACATTAAATACCAATGGTTTGTGCCTAAATATTGCAAAGATAAAATGGTTTGCATTACAAATCATGTTGGCTCTGCAGTAAATTTAACTCAATATGTAAAGGAAATAAAGTTTATGCTATAGTTTCTTTATAAGCGGTTTGTTCTTTTTTCCTGCATAGTCAAAGAAAAGTTAATTACCTTTTTCATAAGCATTATTGAATACGTAAAATGTATACTGCTTTGTAAGGAGTGTCTTTATAAATGAAACCTATTCAGACATATTGGACAGCAAAAGCAGTAACTCATATCTTTGGATCTGAATAGCCAATTCTTGTTTGTGATCCTATAGGATAGGATTTCCTAGCTGTTAAGTGCCTTTTTATTTCTCTGAAGTGATCTTGGAAATGGAGTGCTTGAGATTTTTAGTTTATCTTGATACAAGCCAACATATTACTGCAGAACACTTTGGTTTTACATCTGAGGGCTAAATTACTATATCCTAGTAGATGTTGTGCTATCAAATTCTAAACAATGGTGACAAGATAATTATAAATGGGACTTTATATTATTATCTAATACATCTTATTATCTAATATATCCCATATAAAGTTTGGATTTGGATAAAGGAAAATTGAAAAATTTACTGAGTGATATTAATGGGGATATGAACATTTTATTTTTTGTTACCACTAAATATTGAGTAATTAATATGTTGATAGCATTGTGATATGTATAAATGGATATTGTTTTTTGTTATGTTTATGATTATAAATGTTATTCCAAATATGAATCAGACAGTTTATGTTTCTAATTTTTAAAACTCAAATTGGTAATAGCACAGATACATTTTGTTTTTATTTGCAGTAAGAATTTCTTTCTATAAATATAACTGATAGAAAGCAATTTATCACATTTAAACACATGGATGAAAATGCTGCCGCATACAGTGATTGGGACTTATTCTGAAAATAAATTACTTTAATGATGGGGGAGAAAACCCCAATGAGGAATTCATGAGGTGGAACCAGACAAAACTCTCCTAGACAACAATGAAAAACCTTTTAGGTATGAAGAAACTGTAATATAATGTGGCACTTGTAGGTACATTAAGATAAAACATCCAGGAGCCAGTACATTTTTTCATGCTGTCAGAGTATTCAACGATACATATGAGCTGTCGTACTTCAGCCATCAACAACCAAAAAAGCTTAGCATTTTAGAAAACAACTCTCCAATAGAAACAATTCAACTTCATACTTACAGGCATATGGATACTAACAGATTAAGTAAAATAGCAGTTGTCATCTTCTGAATCTTTACTACCTTTTTGTCACCTCTTTTTGACCAGAGCCCTATAGCCTATAGTCTCAATATTCTCATTTTCTGTTTCATAAGACTGAGAGAGTGAGCGAAAGAGAAAGATGGGAGAGGGAAATGAAGAATGAATCAGAAAAGTCAAGTACTAAAGGGCAACAAGAGTGTGTGCCTCTCAGAATTCTTAGTGATCCTCTCAGATTCCATTAGCATTGGGATTTACTACTGGTCAATTGGGGAAAGAGAAGCAGGAAAGAAAAATATTGAGAAAATGTGTGTGTGCATCACATTCCCCATGTTATGCTTTAATTTGCAGGAAATCCTAGAATCAGTTTGCATATAAAGCATTAATATGATGCCATCTTCTGCACATGAAGTCAAAAGAATCCGTGAATTTATTAAATGGAAATAAGAAGGCTCTATTAGTTTGGGCCTCCTAACTTCATTCAACCCCCACCAACACACACACACAAATGTTCTAATATACAGGATTTGGGTTTCCCTAATGTTTAGTGTTAATTCTATTTTATGATTCTAAGTTCAAAACTAGGAAAAAGTTTAGATTGGTGAGCTAGATAGTTAAATTCTATTAATAAAATTTCTTTTATATTTCATAGGAATTCATTCAATATCTTAAACTATAATGATATATATCTAACAATTATCAATGCTTCAACATTTTGCCCATTATATCTTCCTTCCCTCTAAGAAAAGGCATTTCATACTTATTGTTTACTTTTCATTGCAATGTACTTTTACAATGCCAGTGTTTACAGATAAAGCATTCATGAGATATGATTTCACCATGGGAATTTCAATACAGTTGTTATAAGGCTAAAATTATATACATATGTGTATATATGCATGTGTATAGATACACACATGTATATATAAAGCATTCATGAGATATGATTTCTCCATGGGAATATCAATGCAGTTGTTATAAAGCTAAAATTATATACATATGTATATACACACGTGTATATACGTATATATACATATATATGGTGGAAACATACACATACATAAATTTAATATGGTCAAAATATATTATTTTATGTATAAAGATATTTTGCCTTTACAGTTCTCACTCTTCATGTATAGAAAGTTAACAATTTTTCTCAGAGCACGGGGAGTGAATGGTTAGAACAGTTATGTAATAAATGCTTCATTGAAGTATATTTACTAATGCCATGTATCAAGATGTAAGCAAGACCCAGTTCTTGTCTTCAAGAAGCATATACTTTACAAGGAAGAGAGATAAAATTTTTAATTCCTTGCTATTCAGAATTTGATCTATAGACCAGCATCTGGTTATCACCTGAGAGCTTGTTAGAAATGCAGAATCTCAGGGCATACCCAGACCTACTGAATCAAGTTGCATTTTCACAAAATCCCCAGGTGGTTTGTATGTACATTATTGTTAGAGAAGCACCACTATAATTTGAATCTGAGTAGGGTTGCTTCCATAATATTTAGGAGAAAGAGAGAGATGGAGAAGCTTGAAGAAGGAGGGGTGGCATCATGGGAAAAAAATACCCTGTTATCTGAACTTTGTTCTTCACAGAGAGAGACCGCTAGTCAGGCACCTTTTACTAGCAGAAAAATAAATGTTTTCAAAGAAATATATTTTTAAAATGTTTTGGTTTACATATCATTGGGGAAAACAGTCATATGACTGTTACTAATATTTCAGTTTGACAGAAATATGTTTATATAGATCCAGATATAAAAGAAGTTTTACCTTTTGTTTTATTCATTGTAACTTTTATAGGGGAAGGAGTTGGCCAGGGTGGCTTCTAAGAATAGCTTTGCCAGCTAATGCAATTCCTCAGTTATGACTGTGGTGACAATATAGGTAACTTTTCTACTTCAAAATCTCTTGCCAGATTATATCTAAGTAGAACTAGTTCTCATAAAAATATCATTTGGAAACTAAGGCATTTCAAATTATTTTCATGTGTTTGCAAAGCTTCAACTAGATATAGGAATCAAGAATGTCACAGCAAGCTGGGTACAGTTGCTCATGTCTGTAATCCCAGCACTTTGGGAGGCTGAGGTGGGAGGATTGCTTGAACCCAGGAGTTCAAGACCAGCCTGGATGAGATAGCAAGACTCCATCTCTACAAAAAAAAAAAAAAAAAAAAAAAGCAGGGCAGGGTGGTGTGCACCTATAGTCCCAGCTATTCAGGAGCCTGAGTTGGGAGGTTCTCTTGAGCCAGGAAGTTTGAGGCTGCATGATTGAGCCTCCACTGTGCTCCAGCATGGGCAACAGAGTGAGATTCTATTACAAACAAGCAAACAAACAAAACCAATGTCACAGCAACATATTTTGATCAGGTCTATTTGCACTATCCCTCTGCTTCTTTCCATTGCTTTAACCATCCAGGACACTGTAACCAGAAGGGAGTCATCCTGGGAATTGGCCATATTTTCTATTTGCTTTGACTCTGCATATTATATCAGTGTGTTTGAACTTTATCTCTTCCACATGAAATACCAAGTAAGGGATTCCTTCTGAAATGTTTTTCTGAATGTGACTGTATGTACATATAAGTGACATGTAAGAATCATATATAAGGGGTGACAAAAATGTATATTAATCTATGATTCCATGGGTAAAATACAGATACAAAAGTAAAAACAAAATCTGTACTTCACAGAAAACGTTGGGTATTATGTTATTTTGAAATAATTCTTGCTAGGTCTTAAGAGTACTAAATTTACTTGTGATACATTCTAAAAAGGTGGTGATCTTTTGTGATATAATAACATTTATTATTAGGAGCCAAATTAGGAAAACAAATAGTTACAAAAGAAAAACCCGTATTGTTGGAATTAGATCCAGTTATTTTATTAATAATGATTTAATTAGGCATAGGCATTTTTAGCTTTTGCATGTCTTTTATTCAGCTTTCAGATCCAGTTTTAACTGGGTTATAATTCATTGCCACTGTTTATGTTTTTCATCAGTTCAATTGGGGGTTTCTTCCTGGGATGAAAAAATTCAGAGAGATTTGCTTGAACACAAAAACTGAATCTATAAATCAGAAAAGCTTACTAAGCTTTTACATACCATATAAGAATATCTTACAAACATCTCAATTTATTTTCTAACAAATTTTAAAAGTCTCAATAATTAATATATATTTCTAAATATCAAGTCCAATTAATCTTCTTCTGAATTACAATACCATTATTTTATACTTTTGTAGGATTTTTCTAAGCAGTGACTTTTATTGTAAATATATGATTAGCATTCATTCAGATGATACAATAGGCCTCATAAATTTCTCTTCTGCAAGTGCCAGTCACAAATTTGTTAAAGTTAAAATCTCTCTATTTATATTTAGCTAAGAATTGATGCTTGTTCAACTGGGATCTATCCAGAGAAACATAATCCACTTCAAGAATTTTCTGAAAAGGGAATCTAATGCAAGGAATTAATTGCAAAGATGATGCAATATCTGAGAACGATAGGTAAGAATAGTGTAACCTACAGATTAACAATATCCTTACACCCGGGGTCACCTTTGATGATACAACTATGCTGGGCATATACTGTGGAGGCTGGAATCACAGAAGAGACAAACTGCTTAAGGAGGGTTATTCTAACCACTTCCCTCCTCCTGCCCTCCATCTTCCACCTTCCATCTCCCATTGACTGACCCAAGACAGAAGTCAGCTGGCCTAGGAGCCCAAGGAAACTAGCCTTCAGGGACCAGAGGGTTGAGGAATGGATTTGCTGGCCAACAGGCTCAAGATCTGAAAAATAATCTTCCAGGGTTTTATAAACACATGTAAAAACTCAAGCTTTAAAAGCAATTTGTGGCAGTAGGAATGCACACTTTGCCCTCAAACCTAGCCCTCCTAAGAAATCTGGCACCTGCATTTTTCATTCATCAAAGAGGGCAGTGACTAGCAAAAGAAATCATAGCAGAAAGAGAATTATATTAATCAAAGCAATTTCTGGTGAAAGGAGGCACGGAAATCTCTAGGCAAGTTATAGAAAGAAATCTACACTCTTCGAACCTCTGAATTGAAAACAAAGCTTCAGATAACTATATGATTTGACAAAGATACCTCAAATTGCTCAGGAAAATCTCTTTCTTTAGAGTAATGTTTCAGGCTATTTAAAACAGAATCTCAGTCGAGGAACTAAACAAAGATGCTAGGATTGGACATAGAAGACAGATGAATTTGGCTGTTATCCATGTAAGAATAGAAGCCAAAATTATGCTGACTAAAAATGGAGCCAAGCGATGTCATATAGATTTGAAAACGATGTTGTGCCAAGGAAGATGTTAATGTTTTTCAATTTGCAGGTTTAGTAAGGATCATAAATTGTTTGATTTCTTAATCTAGTTTACGTATCCTAAATATCTCTGCGACTTTGCAAGGCCCTAATTTATTTCCTTTTTTTTTTTTTTAATTCTAGATTTGACAGTTTGGTCTACATTTCAAGGCTGGTTAGATGGGAGGTATGTCCTGGTATATTAGTTAATTTAGGTATATCTTACTGATTTACATTGCATGATTTATCAGATGCTATTGACTCATTCAAGTAAATACATTTAAAAATTATACCTTTTGCTCATACTAGTAATTGGGTCAGTCATGCTCTTGAAGGAGGCATACTGGGAGCCATACATTACCAGAGGCAGAGGATTCAATGGATGTTTTCTGTTTTCTCTTCTTCGTGCTCTGTAATTGAGACACAGAACAAAGGTAATCTTTGCTTAGCGTAATAATGGAGAGTGACTAGACCAACAAAAGATATGTCAGAATCATTTGCAAGGGTAAAACTTACGAGTGTATTTGTGAACCTGCTTGAACGCTCCAATGCACATGTGTCTGTACACAATTTCTGGCCTATTAACATTTCCTAATATTTTAAGCCTCTGAAATTATTGTTATAATATTTGGTATCCTTGGGTAAAAAATGACATTTAACTATAAAAAGAATATTTCATCAATCATTTAAAAGTTGCCATTATTTTCTTTATAAGTCTATGGATGATAACAAAAATAAAATTTTCCAGAAAATAAACTTCATAATTACTAATATTATATAATTAATTATATAAATAATTATAATTATTATATATATGAGTACTAAAGGTATATAAAATGGAGCAAAGTAGCAGAATTTTAAAAGTAGCATGACAAAATAAAGTAAATGGGATTAGAAAAATACATGTGTGTGTACTGTAGTTTGTTTTTATTGTTAGCAAAAGCAAAACAACCCAGAAAGTACCACTAAATGTTCAAGTTATATAATGCAGTGGTAATAATAATAATATATGCCAACATATTTTGTAATTATTATAAAATGATGCACATGCTAGTTATAATTATCTCTTTTGAGCCTAAAAATGCCCAAAAGAAAGAAAAACATTCAATAAACATTCAATTCTGTTATTTATTTCAATTGTTCTGCAATCAGAAATTCTAGCCAAGATTTGGAACCAATCTAAGTGTTCATAAACAGATGAATGGATAAAGAAAATGTGGTATGCATACACAATGGAGCACTATTCAACCATAAAAAAGAATAAGATGCAGTCAATTGCAACAACTTGGATGGAACTGAAGATAATTATGTTAAGTGAAATAAGGCAGGAACAGAAAGACAAACATCATATGTTCTCACTTATTTGTGGGATCTAAAAACCAAAACAATTGAACTCATGGTAATAGGAAGTTGAAGGTTATACCATTTTATCTGAAAATAGAACTTTAAGCCTTCTCTTCCACTTCGCCAAATCCCTGTTGTTAATGAGGCTTTATTACTATATTTCACATTAATAGAATTCAAACCACTTATCACTGATTGGGTTCCCCAATTTAAGAACCTGAAATCTACCTCAAAGTCTTAAGACACCATCTAAACCATATCTGCTATCTGCTATTATCTACTTATCTTAGTCTATTCGGGCTACTATAACAAAACACCATAGAATAGTGGTATGTAAATAACAGAGAGTTATTTCTCAGTTCTGGAGGCTGGGAAGTTCAAGATCAATATGCCAATAGATTCAGTGCCTGGTGAAGCTCTGCTTCCTGATTCATAGATAGCTGTCTTCTCAGTGTAACCTGACAAGGCCAAAGGCCGAGGCAACTCTCTCAGGCCTCTTTTGTAAGAGTGCTAATCCCATTTATGACAGCTCCACTCTCATGACCTAATAATTACCTCTCAACAGCCCTACCTCCTAGCAACATCACCTTGGGGGCTAGGATTTCAACACATGAATGTGGGGGAACACAGATATGCAGTCCATAGTGCTGCTCCTTATCAACTTGTAGTTAGTAAGGACAAAGTATATCAACGTTACCAGACCACATCTCTGGATTATTCACAGAGTCTGCTATTTCTGTTTGTACTACCAGACCTGAGAATATTTATGGTAATGTCTGTGGTCCTAGCTTCTTGTCTTGCCCATCTTCTCTCTCATCCTGTCTAATCATTTACAGGTCAATTCTCCCACTCTTACTTGTTGCAGCTCCCATTCCTGCTGACTTCTGCTTTGGGTCAATTGTGTGAGTATACCAGCACCAAGCTTCTCAGTGTTTACTCACCCTCTGTTGCCTCATCTGACTGAGCGTCCCTAATTGTACAGCGAAGGTACAGGCTTGGAAGGCATGAAAATGTTGGCATATAGAGAAGTGTCAAATACCTAGGGGTGATAAGAGTGCTGCGTTTAGAAGACAAATGATAGGAGATAAATTGGTCCTGGAGGTTGGGGCTTCTTACAGAATTGGGGGCCTCTGAATCTAAAACTTGTGCTCTTAACTGTTCTCCATTATTTCCCCCAGCTGGCCTATTAAACATCATCTATAAAAAAATCTATAATCTAGTTTAGAAACTAGCTTACTCAAAGACACAGAAGTTTGCTCTACCAAAGGTTACTAGGCAGGCATTGCAAAGTTATCTACAAAGACTAGATGGTAACATAAATCTGTAACTCTGTTAGATTCAGTGATACAGTAGCTCCATGATAAATATGGAGCTTCAAAATCTGGAGAATGGACATACCATCTAAACACAACTGAAGATTGTTGTCATGGGAAATGCCAACCAACATTGCCTGATATTCTCCTTTCACAGAGCTCCTGGAAGATCATTCCAGAAATCCTGGAAATCCAGATGTTAGTTACAAACAAACATTTAAAACTGGGCCAGCGTATTGAAAAACAAATAAATGTCTGTACTCCATATTTGACTCTCCAAGAGGCAGTTTACAGCCTCCGTTAGAAGACTTAACACATTTATTTGTCTAAGACTAGACAAAGAGCTTAGTCCACAACTGAAATACACTTAAAAACAGCAACAAAAACAATCATGCTGCTTAAAATCCTTCAGTGGCTTTGAACTCTGATTGATGTGAAATCCAGCATTCTTCATAGCCCAAGTCTTCACATGATCTGGCAACTTCCCGATTCCCCAGCTTCTGGGCAAGCTGCTGTCCTCTTTGCTTGCCATGGTCCACCTATAACAATCTTCTAGCTTTTCAGAAATGTTAAGCTCTTCCCATCTCAGGTAGTTTCACATTATTGCCTCTGCTTAGAATGCCTTTCCTCTTCTTTTCAACTGTTGAAATCTTTTTTCTAGTTTTAAATTTCTTATTGATGCACAATATTTGTACATATTGAGGAGGCACATGTGATTTTTTTTACATGCATAGAATGTGTAATGATCAGGTCAAAGTATTTAAGATAGGCCTCCTCTAAAGCATTTATCATTTCCATGTGTTCCAAACATTTCAAATCCTCTCTGCTTGTATTTTGAAATATAACATACATTGTTGCTAATTATAGTCACCCTATTATGCTATAAAACATTAGAACTTATACTTTCTAACAGCTTGGTACTCATTAATCAATCTCCCTTTATTCCTCCCTCCTCTCCCAACATCCTTCTCAGCCTTTAGTACCTATCATTCTACTCCCTACCTCCATGAGATCAACTTTTTTTGCTCCCACATGTGAGTGAGAAGATGAAAGATTTGTCTTTCTGTGCCTGGCTTATTTCACTCAACATAATGACCCCCAGTTCCATCCATATTACTGCAAATGACATGGTTTCGTTCTTTTTCATTACTGAATAGTATTCCATCATAAATGTAATATATGTACATACACACACACACACGTGCACGCATGTTCTATAGCTGTCCTCACTGTTCTATAGCTCCATAAGGACAAGGACTGTCTTCATGGAGTGGTGTGCCTTCCACACAATTTGTGCTCATGATTAGTTGAATAAATAGATGAGGGATTTATCTGTTTCTAAATTCTGCATTGCATTTAGCATTTCTTGGGAGATTTAAACAAGTCAGTTCAGGTAACAAGTTTAGCTCAGTGCTAGGAATATAGTAGTGGCTCAATTAAATGTTAGAAATAATTAGATGTCTGTTTTAACTTCCCTGATCAGAAACAGAAAATAAAAATGATGACACAAAAATGCAACTTATATTTTATAATGCGATTCTCATGATATCTTAGAGTGGATTTGCCGAAAAGCAGACCGTGAGGCAGGATATAAGTGCAAGGTGATAAGCCTAGGAAGCATAGTCATGGAGTAGGAAGGTGAGCCCGGGAAAGGAGGCAAGCCAGCAAAGGGCATGTTAATTGAGTAGATCACCCCTGGGCTCAGTCCTCCTTGGGGACCCTCTGAGAGACTGTGTTGAACCTAATCTCAGAGTTGTTCCATGAATGAGCAAGAAAACTAGCTTATTTAAGTACCATCTTCTGTCCCTCACTGGCTGGGAGTTGCTCTTTGGAGGCCCCCCTGCCACTAAGGAGCGTCAGATGCAAATCTTTACGCCTTTTTTTTTAACTGATTGATTTAGCTCTGTTTTTGCCATGATCTTTGAAGTTCTTTTTAAGAATCACATGTGCTTTCTTCATAATAAATGTTTATTTTTGCTAGCATTATCTTAAATTTGTACAATATTTTATTAAGGAAATTTGGTAATGTGTAGCAAACAAACAAATGCACTTTGATCCACATAAGTCTACCTCAAGATGCTTTTCCTAAGGCGATAATTATGAATATGTGCTAATATTTTTGTCTTATTTTACAAATATTATAATTCTTGTAGACATTTAGAAAACACTGAAAATATGTACAAATAAAGTTATCAGCACTGCCACAGCACAAAAATACTATTTATATTAGAAATAATTTTTTTAATTGAAATGACACTATATATGCTGGAATTGTCTACATTTTTAAATGATGAACATTTTCTCATGGTTTTAAATATTTTTCATAAAGTTCGTTAGTAATAATGTATTGTCCTGAAGCATATTTAAACAGAACATACCAAATTTTCAACAGATACATAGCAGTTCTGTAACATTCTATCTAGGGCTTGAGTACCCAACAAATGGGGGTGGGGAAGGGCAATTAAAGAAGAAGGGAGTTAGTGTCACACCAAAATATTTATTTCCTTGATAAATCATTCAGGTCGACTCTAGATGTTTGTCATGATTGGGGGTCTCAGGTAGTCTTGGTTAAGCAGCCTCCCCTGGGGCAATTTCTCTTCTTTGGTACGATTCATGGGAAAGATGGGTCTTAGACACCATCTGCCGCTCCAGTGGTTTATTTTGGCAGTGCTTTTTCAAGACACAAGAGCAGGCTGGTGGCATGGGCTAGATATAATCAGGTAGTCAGATGACCAGCTGACCAGGAGGGTCTCCATGTGGAGATCATTTTCAGAATTTGGGGGATTCTTTTCCTTTTCTTATACCTGTATGCAATCTAAGTCAGTTTCCAGGTGTTTCTTTCATAACGGGAATTTAAGCCTATTCTTGTAAGGGTGAGCTTGTTTTAAGGTTTATAAAAGTTGCAGCTGTGCTGAGATGGAGTTGTCTTCTGGAAATCCCCCACTGAGTTTCATCATACTGCTAAGTGACATGTAGTGTCATCCCTGCAAGAAACTTGAGTGGGGCTTATGGCTATCATTAATCTTACAGCCATGGACGTCTCTTGTAGTGTACCATAATATTTGTGTATAATGTTCTTGGTGCCAAGCCTACATGCCCTACAGTACGTCAGTGGTTTTATTATGATGTATTTCCGTGACTTCCTCCTTTTCCCTCTTCAACTCCATGTTTTGTCATTTCCCATACCAATGACAACTCAGCATATGGTATAAAGACATCCATACTCGTCTTGTCTTATTTTGTACCTTCTACATTCTGTGCACATTTCTGACTCCCACTTTTCCTCCCCCTCTTTCATCTAGGGCTAGTTCCTCCATCTTTGCTCTGGTTCCCTTTCTTTGTACGTAGGATCATTGATTCTCTCTAATCAGCATTTAAACTTGTGAAGTATCTTCTGTCTTAAAGCAAAAGAAACCAAAATTCTCTCCTCATATTCAAATTCTCTAGTCACTAACCCAATTGTGTTTCTGTTCACAACAGAAAAATATTTTTGGTTTCCTTATTATTTATTTTTTCTGAGACCAAGTCTTGCTCTGTCGCCCAGGCTGGAGAGTAGTGGCAGCACGATCTTGGCTCACTGCAACCTCCACCTCCTGGGTTCAAGCAATTCTCCTACCTCAGCCTCCCAAGTAGCTGGGATTATAGACATGTGCCACCATGCTGGCTAATTTTTGTATTTTTAGTAGAGACGGGGTTTCACCATGTTGGCCAAGCTGGTCTCAAACTCTTGGGCTCAAGCAATCTGCCCCACTTGACCTCCCAAAGTGCTGGGATTACAGGTGTCAGCCACCGCACCCAGCTGGTTTCCTTATTTTTAAATTTTTTCAATTTTTAATTGTTATGGGTACATAGTAGGTGTATCTGTATATGGGGTGTATGAGATATTTTGATACAGGCATACAGTGTGTAATAATCACAAGGTAAATGGAGTATCCATCACCCCAAGCATTTATCATTTCTTTGTTTTACAAACATTTCAATTATACTTAATTTTAAAACATAATAAATTATAGTTGCCCTGTTGTGCTATCAAATACTAGATCTTATTCATTCTATCCAACTATATTTTTGTACCCATTAACCATCCCCACTTTCCCTCCAACCCCCACCACCCTTCCCAGCGTCTGGTAATGATCATTCTACATTTTGTCTTCATGAGTATAATTGTTTTAAATCTTAGCTCCCACAAATGTGTGAGAATATGTGTAGTTTGTCTTTCTGCAGTTTTTGAAAGAGATTACTCCATTTACTGTTCTCAATTTCTCATCCTTTACTCATTCCTCAACCTTTCATGATATGTCTGCTCCTGTCTAAGCAACCTGCTTCCAGCAAGACTGCTAATCACACCCTTACATTGAAATTCATTTGTAGCTGACAGCGTTTTTTATTCCTCTTGGCTACCATAATACTACACTTCTTGTTTTTGTTTGTCTTGTTTCGTTTTGTCTTGGGCAGGCTCTAGCTTCTGAGCTCCCTTTGTATCCTGTCGATCTCCATATATTTTATGATTTCTTCCTCTGCCTGCCCCTTACATCTGTCTGGTCCTCAGGAATCAGTGCAGGGCCCCTTTAAGTCTCATTTTACACATATTACGATACTTTCAAAACTTCAGCTCTTAGTTATTTGTTAATGACTCCAAAATCTGTAATCCTATCCCAGTTGCTTTTTCTGAGCTCCATGCACATCTATTCATTCATTCATTCAAAAAAAAATTTCCAGCGAGTGCCTATTCTGTGCAAGCAAATTGCTACATGCTGAGAACACCATGATGAGCAAGGGACAAACGCTTCCATGTTGGTGGTGAATACAGCCAACAAATAAGTAAGCAAATAAATAAGCAAAGGGACTAAGAAGCTGCTCTGGTCAAATAATCAGGGAGATACTTTGGATAGACTGTGCTTGAAGCTGAGAAGAGTTAAAACCAAGTAAAAATGCCTGTTCAAGAAGATCCCATGATGAAACAGCAAGCTCAAATGCTTTGAGGCGAGAAAGAAGTTGATGGGTTTGGGGAAGTAAACAGAGATCCAAGCCTGGATATGGTAATTAGAGTAGGAGTAGTAGGATATGATGTTGAAGAAGTAGGTAGGAATCACGTAAGGGTGTGTGGGCCATAATCTGGAATTTAGGTTTTACTTTAAAGACAATGCAAAGCCACTGAATCATTTTTGGCAAGAGAATAACACTTTGTTATTATTGTTGTTAAGTATTTTATTCTCTTTAAGAGGTTTTATATCATAACAAACTTGAGAGAAAGGTACAGATATATCCCCATATACCCTCTGCCCCCCAAAATACATAGGTACATTAAAATAAAAACTTTTTATTTAAGTAAAATTAAGCTAGAGAAAACTACAGATGCCACTGAGTTTTTGTAAGTTTTGTGAGTACATCCATGTAGCTAGTATCTGGGCCTAATAATGAAACACTACTCCTATCCCAGATGTCCTCTCATGTTGTCTTCTAGTCACTACCTGTCCCCTGCTCAGAGTAAACACAATCCTGACTTCTAACATGGATTAATTTAATCTGTTTTGTACTTTATATGAATGATATCATACAGTATGTGCTATTTTATGTCTGGCTTCTTTCTTTCTATATTCTGTCTCTGAAAATATCCTATGTCATTATGTCTAGTGGTATTTTCTTCATTCCCATGCTGCAAAGCAGTCCATTTTGTGAGTATTCTGCAATTCATTTATCCATTCAAATGAAAATGGGCCCTTGAGTAGTTCCCAGTTTGGGAAAATTATAAATACTGCTGTTATAATCAACCTAGTACATGTCTTTTGTTGAACATAAGCATTCATTTGTTGGAAATATACCTAATAGTGGATTTGGGGGCAAAATTTTATGCATATGTTCACTTTTATTAAAATCTATCCACTTTATGGAAAAATTAATATATGTGTATATATGGATGTATATTTAAATGTACAAAGATATATGTGTATATATTTAATTATTTATGTGGAAAGTATTTCAAATGTACAGAAGAGTTACAATAATGTTTTACAGAATATCCATACTCCTTTATTTAGTATCAAATATTGCTAATATTTTGCCCCATCTTCTTTGTCATTTGCTGTCTTTATTTATATAAATTTTACTTTTTCTGTACCATTTGAGGGTAACTTACATACATGATTGTATTAATCCATTCTCATGCTACTATAAAGAACTACCTGTGACTGGGTAACTCATAAAGAATAGAGTTTTAATTAACTGACAGTTCTGCATGGCTTGGGAGGCCTCAGGAAACTTATAATCATGCCAGAAGGGGAAGCAAACACATCCTCCTTCACAGGACGGCAGGAAGGAGAAGGGCCGAACAAAGAGGGAAAAGCCCTTTATAAAACCATCAGATCTCATGAGAATTCACTCACTACAATGAGAACAGCAGCGCAGGGATAACTGCCCCCATGATTCAATTACCTCCCACTGGGTCCCTCCCACAATATGTGGGGATTATGGTAACTACAATTAAAGATGAGATTTGGGTGGGGTCACAGCCAAACCATATCATTCTGCCCTGGCCCCTCCAAAATCTCATGTCCTCACATTTCAAAATCAATCATGCCTTCTCAACAGTACCCCAAAGTCTTAACTCATTCCAGCATTAACCCCAAAGTCCAAATCCAAAGTCTCATCTGAGACAAGACAAATGCCTTCCACTTAAGAGCCTGTAAATTCAAGTTAGTTTCTTCCTGGATACAATGGGGTACAGACATTGGGTAAATACACTCATTCAAAATGGGAGAAGTTGGCCAAAACAAAGGAACTACAGGCCCCATGCAAGTCCAGAATTCAGTGAGGCAATCAAATCTTAAAGCTCTGACATGATCTCCTTTGACTCCATGTCTCACATGTAGGTTATGCTGACACAAAAGCTAGACTCTCACAGCCTTGGACAGCTCCACCCCTGTGGCTTTGCAGGGTACAGCCCCCATCCCAGGTGCCTTCATAGGCTGGCTGGGTTTCTGTGGCTTTTCCAGGTGCCCAGTGCAAGCTTTGGTGGATCTACAATTCTGGGGGCTGGAGGATGGTGGCCCTCTTTTCACAGCTCCACTAGGCAGTATCCCAGTGGGGACTCTGTGTGAGGGCTTCAACCCCACATTTTCCTTCTGCACTGCCCTAGCAGAGGCTCTCCATGAGAGCTCTGCCCCTGCAGCAACTGTCTGCCTGGACATCTAGGTATTTCCATACATCCTCTAAAATCTAGACAGGGGTTCTCAAACCTCAATTCTTGACTTCTGTGCATCCACAGGCTCAATACCACATGGAAGCTGCCAAAGCTTGGGGCTTGGACCATCTGAAGACATAGCCCAAGCTATACCTTGGCCTCTTTCAGCCACATCTGGGATGCAGGGCACCAAATCCCTAGACTGCACAAAGCAGCAAGGCCCAGGGCCCAGCCCTCAAAGCCATTTTTCCTCCTAAGCCTCTGGGCCTGTGATGAGAGGAGCTGCCATGAAGGGCTCTGACATGCTGTGGAGATATTTTCCCCATTGCCTTGGTGATTAACACTTGGCTCCTTGTTACTTATGCAAATTTCTGCAGCTGGCTTAAATTTCTCCTCAGAAAATGGGTTTTTCTTTTCTATCACCTTGTCAGGTTATAAATTTGCTAAACTTTTATTTCTTTTATTTATTTAACTTCCCTTTAAACATAAATTCCAATTGCAAATCATATCTCTGTGAATACATAAAACTGAATGCTTTTAACAACACCCAAGTCACATCTTGAACACTTTGGTGTTTAGAAATTTCTTTTGCCAGATACCCTAAATCATGTCTCTAAAGTTTGAAGTTCCATAGATCTCTAGGGCAGGGGCAAGATGCCACCAGTCTCTTTGTTAAAACATAGCAGGAGTCACCTTTATTCCAGTTCCCAATAAGATCCTTATCTCCATGTGAGTCCACCTAAGCCTGGACTTTATTGTCTATATTACTATCAACATTTTGGTCAAATCCATTCAATATGTCTCTAGGATGTTCCAAACTTTCCCACATTTTCCTGTCTTCTTCTGAGCCCTCCAAACTGTTCTAACCTCTGGATATTACCCAGTTCCAAAGTCGCTTTCACGTTTTTGGGTATCTTTACAGCAGGACCTCATTACCCAGTACGAATTTACTGTATTAGTTCATTCTCATGCTCCTATAAAGAACTGCCCAAGACTGGGTAATGTATAAAGGAAAGAGGTTTAATTGATTCACAATTCTGCATGGTTGGGAGGCCTCAGGAAACTTACAATCTTGGCAGAAGGGGAAGCAAACACATATTTCTTCACAGGATGGCAGGAAGGAGGAGTACCAAACAAAGAGGGAAAAGCCCCTTATAAAGCCATCATATCTCGTGAGAACTGACTCACTAACACTAGAACAGCAGCATGGGGGTAACCACCCCCATGATTCAATTACCTCCCACCGGTTTCCTCCCACAACACGTGGGGATTATGGAAACTACAATTCAAGATGAGATTTAGCTGGCAACGCAGCCAAACCATATCAATAATGTTCTTTTACTTCTACATGCTATACTATATATTACCTAAAATTAAGACTTTTAGTATACAAAACCATGGGACAGTTATCCATTCAAGTAAATTTAACATTGATACATAATATTTTTCCTAATCTTTTGCTGGTATTCCAGTTTTGCTAATTTACTAATAATGTCTTTTAAGCATTTTAAAATTCCAACATAGGCTGAAATATTGCATTTAGTTTTTATCTTTTATACTCCTTTATTCTAAGACAGTTACTCTGCTTCTTTTGTCCCATATGACACTGAAATTTTTGAAGTACACAATCTCACGTTTTAGTAGAATAATTATCACTTTTGAGTTGTCTGATAATTCTCCATGGTTAATTTCAGTTTATGCTTTCCCAACATGCATAAGTGATGTTGTATCCTTTTCAGGTTTTCTCACGGAGAGATACACAATATATATTTGCTCCACTCAAGATTGTCTGATTCTCCAACATTATAGTTATTAGTTTTTCCTTGCTACTAAACAATGTGGGGACACATTTTAAGATAATGCAAGTACCTGTCTCCTCATCAAAATTCAGAAAAAAAAAAATGGCCTGGTGCAGTGGCTCACACCTGTAATCTCAGCTTTTTGGGAGGCCAAGGTGTTGGATCACTTCAGGCAAGGAGTTCGACTGGCCAACATGGTGAATCTCTGTCTCTACTGAAAATACAAAAAATTAGCTGGACATGGTGGTGCGTACCTGTAGTCCCAGCTACTTGGGAAGCTGAGGCATAAGAATCCCTTGATCCCATGAGGCGTAGGTTGAAGTGAGCCGAGAGTCGGCCACTGCACTCCAGCCTGGGCAGCGGAGTAATACTCTGTCTCAGGAAAAAAAAAAAAAAAAATCCACGCCCTCTAAATTTAGCATCAGTTGATGTTTCCTGCCTGAAATAATCTTTGGAGTGATATTTGCAAGGTAATAATTTTACAGCTCTAGCACTCCCTTTATATTTATGAATCAGCACTCAACATTCTACTATAAACAAGAGTCTTTCTTTTGTCTTTTATGTTTATTTATGATTGCATGATATATATTTTTAAAGGATAACTTTGCCGCTCAGAGTATGTTTTAAATGGGGCAAGAGTAGAAGGAAGAGAGATCAATTATCTGGCTATGATAAAAAGTTTAAGAAAGAGATAATAATATCTCCAATAAGAATGGCAGCAAATCAGATGGGGATAAATGGGTCAATTTGAGATATGTTTGGACTTCAAGTAAATAAGATTTGTTTAGATATATAGGATGAGAGATAGGTTTCATTCCTGAACAACTAGATAGAGTTGCCATTGCAGGAAGATAGGAGAAAAGCAGGGTTTGGCAAAGAGAAGATTGATTTCAGGTCTGCCAAATTTAAAACAGTTATCATACACTGAAATGGAGAGGTTAAGTAGGCAGTCACATAAACTAGTTTGTAATTTAAGGTTTTGTCTATACTGGAGATATATATTTAAGAGCCAAGATCCTATCGATGATATCTAATTATTAATGATAAGAAGGTCTAGGATAGACCCTGAGCAGGGTAGAGAGAGAGTCAGCAAAGAAGTCTTAGAAGAGCATCCAATAAGGCAGAGGAAACTAGTAGAGTACTTTCTTATGGAAGTGCAAAAAGGAGAATGTTTCAGATTCAAGCCAACTGGGTGAAATATATTGAGTTCTGCTGACAGCTGTTGAAATATTCAGTTGGCTACATAGATATGCCCACTTGGATGTATCACAAGTATCTCCAGAAAGTTTGAGTTATCTTAGTCTTTTCTACATCCACCTTTAATCTATCATAAAACTCCTTTTGACTCTACTTTCAAAACATATACTGAATAAAACATCTCACCACTTCTGCTACCCTTTCCATCTAAGCTATTGCTATTACTCAAGTAATTGCACAGCTTCATAGTCTCCATCTTTACATCTTATGTCCCTTTGGTTAATGTTGAACATTGAATGATCCAGTTAAAATATAACTCATCTTATACCACTTATCAGTTCTCACTCAGGACAAAAGCCAATGTACTTACAATGACCTAGAATACATGAGCTGGCACATGCCACACTACTTCACTGACATCATTTCCTGCAACTTTACCTCCCATTATCTTTTCTCCAGCCACAATGGCTGTCCTAGGACATGCTAGGCAACATCTCACCTCAAAGCTTTTTAGGAAATCTTTCATATGGATGGCAAATAAACACATAAAAAGATGTTTGACATTACTAGCCATTAAGGAATTGCAAATTGAATCACAACGAGACAACACTATACAGCTATCAGAATGGTTAAACAAACTGTAATGGCAATACGAAATGCTGGCAAGGTTGCAAAGAAACTTGATCACTCATACATTGCTGATGGGAATGTAAAATGGTACAGACATTCTGCAAAACAGTTGGGCAGGGTTTTATTTTTATAAAATTAAACATGCAATCCAGCAGTTGCTCTCTTGAGCACTTTCTCCCAGAGAAATAGAAACTTATGTTCAAGTAAGAACCAGTATACAAATGTTTATAGCAGCTTTATTCACAGTAGTTAAAAACTGGAAACAACGCAAATCTCTTTCAATGGAGTGAATGTTTAAACAAACTGTGGTACATCCAGATCAAAGAATATTACTCAGAAATAAAAATGAACAAGCTATTGATAAATGCAACAACTTCAATGAACTTTAAAAGGATTATGATGAATGAAAAATGCCAATCCCAGAAGGTAATATATTGTATAATTCTACTCATTTAACATTCTTGAATGGCAAAATTATAAAGATAGAGAGCAGATTAGTCATGGTCAGAGGTTAAGAATGGGAAAGATGGCAGAAGGGGGGTGGATGTGATTATAAAAAGGAAGCACAACAGATCCTTGTGGCAATGGCACTGTTTTGCATATTTAATATGATGGCATTTACACAAACATACATATCTGTTAAAATTGCATACAGCTAATTAAACACATGCACATACATGTGTATAAAATTGGGAAAATATGAAAAAGATCAGTGGATTATATTGTGTGTGTGTGCGTGTGTGGTTTTTTTTTTTTTTTTTACTTGTGACATTGTTCCTTATTTTCACAAGAGGTTATCAGGGATTGAAATTGAAATTGAATGAAGAGTACACAGGATCTTTCCATATGATTTCTTAGAACTTCATGTGAATCTATACTTATCTCAACATTTTAAAAAGGGTTAATTCGAAACCTTTATTTTCTGTTTTTTTTTTCTGTGTAGTATTCTAATGTATGCATATATCTCAATTATAAATTTGAATTGTGATATACGTTTGCTTTTTCTTCCACTTTTGACTAATATGAATAATGTTTTTAATAAATAATCTATACATATATTTTAATGTACATCAGGATATCTCAGCCTTGACACTATTGCCATTTTGGTCTAAAAATTCTCTTTTGTTGGGAGTCTCTACTGTATGTTGTAAGATGTCTAGCAGCATTACTGGTGTCTACCAATTAAATGCCAGTAGCACCTCCTCTCCAAATTTTGAAAGTCAAATATGTCTCTAGATGTTACCAGATACATTTTGGGGACAAAATCACTCCTGACTGAGCACCACTGATTTACATAGCTGTACACTTTTCAACGGCGTAAAAGTGGAGTGGAATTGCTCTTAATCATTACCTTTAAATCAAGATAGAGAATGTGATTTGTTTTTCCAAAATTATTTCACCCATTTGTATGCCCATCACCCATTTGTATAAAAATTACCATTTTTTGTATCCTTGTCAGCATTAGGTATTATCAGACTTTTAAATTTTATCCATTCTGTTATACTGGCAGTGAAATCTCATTATCAATTTAATTTGCATTCTTTCATTATTAATGAAGTTGTCCATCTTTTTAAAAGTATCTTTATTGGTCACTTGAATCTACTCTTTCATAGTGTCTGCAGATCTTTTGACTGTGCTTCCATGGGTTTAAATATTTATAACTTTTGTTGCAGTTTTGTAAAAAATTATTTTAATGCATTTTGGATATAAGCACCCTGTGTGTTGTGTCTGCACACACATACACATACACATACGCATACACACATATCATATTTTCTCCCACTCACTGGTTTCCCTTGACAATGTGGTTTCACAGTAGGAAGATGCATAGACCAAGAATAGCTAGAACATTCTTGAAAAAGAAGAAGGTGGAAAAACCTGTTCTATTGAATATCAAGAACTACTGAAGACACATTAACCAAGAGAGTCTGGCATTGGCCCAACCGTAAATAAATAGACCAGAGGAAGAAAATAAAAAACCCAAAACAAACTCACACATATTCAGATGCTTGATTTGAGAGGAAGATCACATTACAGAGGAATGTAAAGACTCATATTTCAATAAATGGACATGGGAAATTAGTATATATTTGGGAAGATGAAACATAATTCCTACAGTATACCATACACAAAAATCAATTTCTGATAATTTATGAACCTAATTTGAAACAATAAAGCATTTAGGAGATAATATTTCTAAAATCTTAATAAACTTGGACTTCCTGTTGGAAACTAAAACTCTAATAAACTTGTTGGAAACTGGCTCTTAAATGGGACACAAATTTGACTACTTTAAATTAGGAAGTATTTATCAGCACTTCATTACTTGCTGTTCCCCTGCCTGTCCACATAGCTCACTCCCTCCCTTTCTTTACTGTCTTTCTCTCAGTGAACCTGTTTTTGACCTCCCTATGCAAAATTGTGGTGCTCCCTCTCCACCACCATTCACAGTCCCCATCCTCCGCTCCTGCTTTGTTTCTCCTCAGCATTCAACAACCCTCTAACATGGTGAAGCTCCTGGATGGAAGACATCTTTGCCTTTTTTATTTTAATGCTGTATTCTCAGTACCTAACTCAGCAGTAATTGGCAAATAGGAGACACTAAATAAACAGGAGTTGAAAGAATAAATATTCCACTTACATACTATCTCTTATATCTCTTATTTTCATCTTTTGTTTTTCATATACCCAGTGCCCAAACAGAAACCTGTGTATGGCATCAGATGGTTCTCTGACCTGCCCTTCATAAACAACCAGGTTTCAATGTATCTTAAATGTGTTTCTATTTTTATCCACTGATTTCCCCCAGTCCAGGATGTTGTCATTGCTAAGCTAGACTACTGTAGCCACCCTGGTTGGCCTCACTCCATTGTACTTCCCCCTTTGAAATAATCCCTTCTCTGCAGTCTGAATGATACATTTCTTAATACTGACTAAAGGAAAACCTCTAATGCAATCTCACCCATTGTCCTCAAGATGAAATTCATGCTCTTTACTGTGGTTCTCAAAGCCTTCATATCTTCATTTACCAGCTTCATCCTTAACCTATTCCTATTCCTTTTCCTACCCTTCCTACTCTCACCCTACCCTATTAGATTCTTGTTCATCCCCCTATCTTTTCTCTTGGCAGATCTCAACTTGAATATTTCTTCCAAGCTGTCTTCGCATTCTGCCGAAGTCCTGGTTGAGTTGTTTTGCTCTTTTCCTGGTATACTCCCAGAGCCACCTGAACTTCCTCCCTGACACTTTATCACACAATATTTGATTGCTGGATACTTCCCTGTGGGTGTGTCCCACACCGAATGTAAATAAGATGACCATAAGGACCATGACTGGCTTGGCCTTGATCCTAGCAGAATCCCGGGTTATTTAGGTCTCAGCAAATATTGAATAGGGTCTGCTTTCCTCTATAGAAAACTCTGAGTTTGCAACAGAGAGAATCTACTTAAAATAGTGTGAAATTTAAAAGAAAATAGAGCACTAAGGCCAGAATTGATATCTTTGTGTAGATAATTACATGAACATATGTGATCCGCATAGTCAAAATAAGAATTTTCTAGAAATCATTAATAATTTTAATATTAAAATTCTTATAATTATTGTTAAAGAAGACAACATTGAAACAAATTGATAGGGTTATTTTTCTTTTATGTTTTCTCAGTATTATCATTACTTTCAACACCCAAGAATGGCACAAATGTAGACATAAAATGTTAATGATCATGCAATTTCAATTTCAAGCAATTTGGATTTTGTCTATTCTTGGAAAAATTATTTTGAATTTAAGTAAAAGTTTAACCTGTTTGAAATGGACCTCATAGTAATGGATTCGAAATAATGTCTAAATGTAAAATAGTGTTTCTATTTCTGGTTATCATTAACTTTGGAAATCAAAATATACAATTGCTTGCAAAGAGATGACCACCTCAAAATATCTAGGTAGGCTGCTTTCAAGGTGTGTCCTTTTTTCTAATTTGCTATTCCAGAAAATATGAGAAGAAATTAATTCAGTGCAATTCATAACTGCAGGTAAAAAGAGATGTATTAAATCAAGGCACTTTCCAAAACCATATCCTTCCTAAAACGTGGCATATTTCTCCTAAACTGAATATGGCAGCAAAACTAAAGGCAAAAGTCATTTTGTATACTCCTGAATATGGAACAAAACTGCTCTTCAATTCAGGGCTTACTCTATAGTAGTAGTAGTGTCTGATAATAGGGAAATGCTTGACAACAGTTCTGACAATGACTGAGGAGGATGCAGTGACAAGGGTATACTTAGGCACATATGGTGGGAACTGACCCTTATTCAGAGTTTCTGGAAATTGATATGATCCCAGATTGACAAAATTGCAGGGTATGATCTGCCTCTGGAGTCCAGGGAGGTTCCTCAGGGAGAGCCTGGTGCTAGGACATATGTATCATGACACTTGCAGAAGACAGCTGAATGGGCAAGTGTGATACAAGTTGTCTGACCGTCACAGAAAGCAAGACATTTTTCACCTTTCAGTGAGTGAGGGGCATCCCTCATGCAGAAACATTAGCAAATCACACCAATGTAAATGGTCACCCTGAACACTGGTGTCCACAGAATAAGAATCTCTGTCACCCAAACTGTTAGAAACCATATTTTTACTCCTACTGATGACTCTAAGCTGTGCATTACATGCTAAAAGATAATATTTAGAAGAGAATTTAAGAGAGGTGGAGTGAAATGGCCTAATGTGTATTTAAAAGGAACTATATTTTTTCAGTGTTCACTATTATACCAAAAGGAAATTCTGAAGGTAAAAATAGTGCTGTTCAAGGTCCTGAAGGATAAATTTGACTGTTTCTACAGAAAACTCACACTTATTTTGGCAACCAAGCAGTGTTAAATTTAAAAGAAAGTTATGTATGTTTTTGTATGTGTGTGTATATATGATTCATATATGACACATAAAACAAGGACTGCTACAAGAAATTCCACAGAAATCCAAATGTTTTTATTGTTGTGAAATGCTGTGGAAATGACAGTACTTCCAGAGATATCTCATTCCCAGCAGAAAGGAGTTATGGGCAAACTAACAGAGCCAGAAGAAGGAAATGCCAAAACAAACAAACAAACAAAAATGTAACTAAAGGGAAGTGCTATCCAAATCCTGGGCATATAGATAATATTGTCAAGGAAGTTAGGTCCATCAGTTGCCCTCTACCATATCTGGCAATTCAATAAAAAGCTGGACTTTCTTTTTTAGCTCTATTTCCTTCTAGCTCAATCACAAGCATCTTAGGACATTATAATTAAATATATTTTAAAAATATATATGTATATAGATATAGCTACATATACACATACACACATAAATATATATATACATATACACATATACATATATATTTTATATATAGAATCTCACTGTTTTGAATTTACAAAATATTAAAATTCATTTTTTTTCTCAGAATGGTTGGAACATAAGCTACTCTGATTAAGTAAATGCTATATTTGGCTTAGCCGAGATTTATTACATATAATGTGTGATATATCCAATTTCAAAGACTGTGAATCTGGTAAATAAACACAATGCACTCATATCTTCAATATCCTTTAGTTTTTTAGATGGTCTAGAATATGCTTAAGTATTTTTCAGTAAATGTGTTATTAGAAAAATATTTTAAACACTTTACTATTTTAAAGTATTACTAATAAACATTAAAACAGAATGCCATTTAGAGTTCAAAATTCTAAATAACGTAATAAAAATATTTTTATAATTTGAAGCGTGCTTGTATTATTTATACTTATATTTGCAATTGGCCTGTTTACAAATTTTGGTCATATAGGAGGTGGTTACTTAACCTCAGATTGTTCAAATTCCAATCCTTAATATCTTAATTTTTCTGTCGGCTTTTGAATAATGTCTCATCACAATCTCTATTAAAAGAGTGTGAGGATATGTAAAAAAAAACACACAAAATACAACTTACAATATATAACATGTATTACACCTACTGTATTTCCCATTTTATAGATAAGAAAACTCAGTTCTGGGATTTTAAGAGACTTCTTTAGATGCACAAAGCTAACAAGTGGTAGACTTCTAGCCCATCAGGACTGATTGAAAAGACAATATTTTTTGTCATGTAAAACAGGCCAATAGAAAATTTTATACTGATTTGGAAGTTTAAAAGTAAAAAATAAAATTACTGCTAAATTTTAATAAAATGGTTTTCTCTAAGTAGTAATAAAATGTTTCTTTAAAAAGGACATTTCCAGATATTTTGCATTCCCAATAGGAATGGGTGATGGCCCAACCACTGCAGCTAAGGTCATCACAAAGCTGGCAGTATGAGATGGGATTTTTACCCAGGTCCTGTGGCTCCAGAGTTTTGTACTCGTAAGCACTTTGCTGTAATGCTTCTACTACTAGTTAAGTTTTGCCAGTTACTAGAAATGGTGCTGAAGTGATTGGTAAAAATTTCTTTACACTACTGATTAATATTACATTTGTGAACTCTCCCTACACTGAAAAAAACCTGTTTCTTTTCATATTACAGACTACTGGTAATCAGCTATAATTTTATCTAAACTGATGCAGACAATTAATTATGTAAAATTAATAACTACGAATTCAGTGATTCAATATTAAGTAATAGAAAAGAATGAGTTATAATTACTATATTAATTGGCTGAATGTAAATAATTGTAAAGGTATTAAAGGTAATTTATTCTCCCAATTAGATAATCATTTTCCTAAAATTATTAATTACATTATGAATTTATTCCACAAATTTGTTTAAAATAATTCATATACAGGTAGCCCAACCTCACTTAAATATGAGTTACTTTAAATTTCACATAATAGGAATCAAATTAGCATTTTCTTTTACTTACCTTACCATAAATATGCAGATAGTGCATATTGGAAAACATTTACAATTCTTTAGCTATTAGAAGAAAGAAACTCCATCAAATATAGTATAATGATGCCCTAAGACAATTATAATGAAGTAATAACTGACCTTAGCCATGTACTAAAGTGTGACATCTTGAATTCAGTTGCCAGTATAAACTACAATTACCAAATCACTCAGTGGTTTAGAAAATCAAACCATATTCTCTCTAGCTATTCTTCTGTCTTGGCATTACCTTCTAAATTTCAGGCTTACCCAGGTCTGCCGTGGTGTAGCAACTGCCTACATTTATTGATAAGCAAATATTTTCTGATCTGTTGCCACAAAGGAAGGAACACCCAAACTGGGAGGCCAGATTAAAAATTGAAATCTTGTCAAATGTCCAATTCTCAGCATGACTTATTATTTCGTATTGTCATTTTCTGTACCCACAGAGTTAAGTCTTGTTAATTTTAGCACATTTAAAAGAATCCTAAATCATGGGTTTAAAACTAATGGGGTTGAACAGACATTTATTTATCCTGCAAAGCAGGCCAATAAACAATTTTATGTTTCCAAATGCTAATTTGGAAGTTTGAAAGTCAAAGAATGTATTGCTAATGTTAAGTAAAAAGGATTACATGAAGTAGATAGAAAAACAAATATACGCATGCTGAAAAAACATTCCTCCATGATCCATGTGATGCCCACTTTTAAAACTGAAGAGAAATAACAGAAAATATTGAGCTTCAGTTCTTCAATTGGCACTTAAATTGCAGGGTCTTGAGAGGTGAGAAAAAGGCATGAAACAGTCTGTGTTGCCTCAGATCCTTAGGTCAGAAACAAAATTCTTATCTGAAAACATAAGTTGGAATTTGTGGTCCAAGAGACTGTCATGATTCACCTGGCACATTGGATTCATCTTTTTGCTTACACTTAAATCTTTTCTAGTATTCGTTTAAGTCAGTAACATATTAAGGTTAAAAAAAAAAAAAAAGACAGTGAACATTGATTCCCTTAAATGGAGTTCTAAGAAAGTTGAGAATTTACCAAGTCAGGCACATTTTCAGTCTTCATAAGGAAAGCTTTAATTTACAATCACTGTGAAACCCCATGATACACTAAAATAGTACATTGTCAAAAGTACCAAACTATTGGGAAAAAGATGTTAATGTGATGATATTTCTAATTTTAGTCTATCCCTATATTACAGTCCTATAGCACCTTTTCTCCAAGGAGATCAGAATGCTTTATATTTAGAATAAGACGGAAATACAAATCAAAGTGAAAGTTCCCCCAGAATTATGTTGTAAAGATTAAGAGCCACAGAAGAAGAGATAAAGGGGATCAGAAGAAAATAGAAGCATGAGCAATAGGAATCCATGCAGACCCTGGCAAGTTGTCTGACTTAAGCGTTGCTGCTGCTACCTTCTCTAAATTTAGTAGTAAGGACAGACAATAGGGGCTATTCAAGGGAAACCTCTTGTTTGGTCCAGTCTAATATATCTTGATGTAGCACCATATTTTAACCATTCCTATCCTTCCCCAGTGTCATTAGGGCTTAGTTCTCCAATTCCCTCAGAGGATTATCAAAGGTCAAGGCTTGTCTTATGAGTTGTATTTTGTACATGTGGTTTAGTGACTGATAATAGTAAGAGGGAGGGTCACTCAGAGAGTACCCGCAACTATTACAAACATCTTCAGGATATCTTTATTCTGGTACTTCTCAGAAGAAGGTATGGCTTTATGCAAGTATTTTCTTTCTATTTGATTATGATAAAATGTTTTTTGATACCAACGGATGCCAATGTAAAACTTCCAATAATTCAGAAACAAACACAATTTTCATTCTCGCTTATTGAATTCTATTAATATATATAGACAGGGAATCTGAATTCAGATGTGTTATGTTCAAATCATGGCACATTAATGCCACTAATTACTACCTAAATTAGCAAGTTATTTAATCCCTCTGTGCCTCAGTTTTGGCATCTTTTCCACTGGGTATAAAATGCTTCCTACCTCAGATTGTTCTGAGGGTTACTATGTGGCACATAGAAATAAATGAATACATTTATCTATTAAGTGCATGGGAAATATTTTTTATTCAGGGTCCTAATACAAGCAGAAAAATATCTAGACTCATTGACAGTTGGAAATACTCCATGCCCTGCCTCTAGGGACGAGAAGCTCACCTTTGGAAACTATGGCTATATTATAGGACTTCCTGTAGGGAGTGTTGGGTTAAATCCTGACAAGTAATAATTTGTAAGGATGTTTTGAGAGATCATCAAAGGAGGCATGCCATTATGTTGGAAAGATCTTGATTACAGCAGAGTTGCTTATTCAACATTAACCTACATAGCCTAGTGCAAAAATAATGGTAAAGAAATAAATATTTAAAAAGAATAGCACTCATTTCTGTGTTCTCAACAACTTTCTGCAGTGCTCTGAAGTAAGGCACAGGTTCATCTGACCATCACAAAAATAAAAATTGAAATTGTATTATACTTTTTAGAGGACTTTTAATACAAATTTTATACAAAGTTTCCAAGGAGAAGCTACATATATTAAAATATTAATTATTATATCAGTTTGATACCTTAGGATAGTTAGAAAACTTTGATCAAGTTCCTTAAAAAACAGAGCAAACTGCGTGTAACACAAGACCTCTTCTCTTCCGCGTCTCTGCTACAAGTTCCCCTAGAGGTAGGGCTGAGAATACCAGGCTATGCAACTAAGTCTAGAGTCCCTGGGAACCCACAGAAGACACTAGGATCTGGGGTTTGTTCTGACACCCTACACCAATTTAGCATAAGGTTGATTTCAGGCAGGACAAAAATAGTAATAGAGGCTCCAGTTCATATCAGGCACAGTAAATCTATTTTGGATTCTCACTGTAAATAATAAACAAAGTAATGAGACATAAAGATTTCCATGTCTTAATTATGCTGAAATCAAGAAGTAGACCTGAGCTGATTGACAGAATATGCCCCACGGGAAGGTATCTAATGTGTTCAGAACAGTATGGAATACTATGAAAGTTCAAATATCCACTCCCCTTCCCCACATTCTTTCTGAATTGGAAGTTTTATGTGCAACAACAATTCTTAAGCAATAATTCTAAATATACTTTCTATTGGAAAATAAAAAATAATTATTATCTTTACTATCTGGTCAGATGCTATGATTTAAAACCTGGGCTACTTCATCTTTTAATTCTCATTCTATTTCTCTCATTCTATTCAATTATTCCCTTATTTCAAAGACTCTCATAATTTAAATGAACATTTTAAATTTTCTAACAGCTATTCTCAGTCTGGCTTCCCTCCCAGGTCTGGAGTCAGCACATTGAGACACTGCACTTTTCTTCATTATTGATTGATAAGTGACACCACTTTCCTGGGTTCACAGTCAGAGACGCAAGAACAGACAGTCCGGCTACACCATGGAGTTTAACACACACACACACATACACACACTACTGAAATTACAGTTCCTTTTTAAAGTAGGAAAGCAATCTAATACAGGTATAAACTATTAAATATTTCACATATCTAACAGTTTCAAAGGAACAGTTGAGTTTTTCTGCTATCGATTCTAGTGGTTTGCACCCAATTATTCATTCATTCATAAAGTCAACATACTTGAGTGCTTATCAGACATCAGGCTCTATGGATACGCTAGAAGTTATGAAAGTGTTTGGTGTACATGGAATGTCTGAGCTGGACAGTGGGAGAAAGAAATGGTGATAGCCTGAGTGGGAGGAGATGAGACCAGAAGAACACATGGAGGCAGATTTTGCACACCCCAGATGCAAAACTACATAATTTAGATCATATCCTACAGACATCTTGGAACCACTGGAAATTTTCAAATTTGAAGATGACAGATTTATCTTTGATGATTTTGGGGCAATAATTATGAGTGTTCTATGGAGACTGGATTGGAGTAGACAGAGAGGCTAGGGATTCCAGATCAAACAATGTTAAATGCAATCAAGATAGACAAGCTTAGATTAAAAAAAAAAATGCCTAGAAACAAATTTAACCACGGAGGTGGAAGACCTTTAGAGGGAAAGGTTCAAAGCACTGACAAAAGAAATTGAAGAGGATGCAAACAAATAGAAAGGCATCTCATGTTCATTCATCAAAAGAACTGATATTGTTAAAATGACTATACTACCCATAACAGTCTACAGATTCAATGCAATCCCCATCAAAATGCCAACATCATTTTACACAGAAATAGAAAAAAAATCCTAAAATTCATATGGAACAAAAAAAGAGTCTGAATAACCAAAGCAAAAGAAACACAGTGGAAGGCATCATGCTATCTGACTTCGAAATATATTGCAAGGCTATAGTAACTCAAACATCAGAGTATTGGCATAAAAACAGACACATAAACCAATAGAATAGAATAGAGAACCCAGAAATAAATTCATGTACTTACAGAGAACTGATTTTTGACAAATGTGTCAAGAACATACATTAAAGGAAGGGCATCCTCTCTAAAAAATGTTGCTAGAAAAATTGAATATTCATATGTGGAAGAATAAACTGGGCCTGTGTCTCTCACCATATGTATAAAACAATTCAACATGAATTAAAGACTTAAATGAGAGACCCAAAACTATAATACTACTAGAAGAAAATGTAAAGAAAGCACTTCAGGACATTCATCTAGGAAAAGATTTTGCGGCTAAGACCTCAAAAGCACAGACAACAAAAACAAAGAAAAATGGGAGTATAGTAAACTAAAATGCTTCTGCAGAGCAAAGGAAACACAGGATGAAGAGATAACCTGTTAAATGGAAGAAAATATTTGTCAAACTATTCTTGGAATGAAAGACTAACATTCAGAATGTATAAGAAACTCAAACAACTCAACAATTAAAAAAAATAGCAAATACTATTAAAAAGTGGGTAATGGATGTGAAAAGAAATTTCTCAAAAAAGACATACGAATGGCTAACAGGTATTTGAAAATATGCTCAACATTACTAATCTGGGAAAGGCAAATCAAAGCTGCAATGAGATATCAATATCAATGAAATATACCATATTAATGAGATATCATTTCATCCCAGTTAAAATGATCATTATTAAAAAGACAAAAGAAAACAGATGCTGGCAAAGATGTGAAAAAAAGGGAACCCTCATACACTGTTTGTCATAATGTAAATTAATACAACCATTATGGAGGACAGTTTGGAGACTCCTCAAAAAACTAAAATTAGAGATACTTGTAGGATCCAGCAATCCTACTTCTAGCTATATAACCAAAGGAAAGGAAATCAGTATATTGAAGGGATACCTGCACTCCCATGTTTATTGCATCACTATTTACAATAGCTAAGATTTGGAAGCAACCTGTGTCCATAAACAGATGAATGGATAAAGCAAATGTGATACATATATAAAATGGAGTACTATACAGTCAAAAAGAAGAATGAGATTCTATCATTTGCAAAAACATGGATGGAACTTTCATTATGTTATGTGAAATAAGCCAGGCACAGAAAGTCAAACTTTGCATGTTCTCACTTATTTGTGGGAGCTAAAAATTAAAATAATTAAACTCATGGAGATAGAGAGTAGAAGGATGGCTACCAGATGCTGAGAAGGGTATTGTTGGGGGGGTGGTGGAGAGGGGAAATGGGGATGGTTAATGGTTAATAAACAAAAAATAGAATGAATAAAACCCAGTATTTGCTAGCACAACAGGGTGACTATAGTCAAAAATAATTTAATTTTACATTTTAATATAACTAAAAGAGTATAATTGTTGTAACACAAAGGATAAATGCTTGGGGTGATCAATAACCCGTTTACCCTAATGTGATTATTATTATGCATTACATTCCTGCATCAAAATATTTCATGTAAACAAAATATATAAAACTACTATGTACCCACAAAAATTAAAAATAAAAAATATCCCAAAACCCAAAGAAACAAAAACTATATAGCTCTAGGTCTACCCTGTATCATCAGCCCTAAATACACAATAAAATTCCCTCGGGACCTCTCCACCTGATAGCTCCTCAGGCATCTCAGACACAACTGCATCCTATACTCCAGACCAGGGTTACCTAACTTACTCCCTATTTACATTTTGTGCTGCATAATTTTTTCTTATGTGACTGTTTTGTGTACTGTAGGATGTTTAGCAACAGCCATGGCCTCTATTCAGTACACATGACTAGTGCCCTGATATGGTTTGCCTGTGTCCCCGCCCAAATCTCATCTTGAATTCCCACGTGTTGTGGGAGGGGCCTGGTGGGAGGTAATTGAATCATGGTGACAAGTCTTTCCTGTGCTGTTCTCATGATAGTGTGTAAGTCTCACGAGATCTGATGGTTTAAAAAGAGGCATTCCCCTGCACAAGCTCTCTCATTTTTTTGCCTGCCGCCATCCACGTAAGATGTGACTTGCTTCTCCTTGGATTTTCCCAGGATTGTGAGGCTTCCCCACAAGTGGAACTGTAAGTCCAATTAAACCTCTTTCTTTTGTAAATTGCTCAGTCTCGGGTATCTCTTTATGAGCAGCGTAAAAGCGGACTAATACAGGTCGTTTCCCCCAGTTGTGAGAAGCCAAAATATCATTCAATATTGCCAGATATCTCCAGTGGAGAACCAGTGCTCCAGACTGACCTAGATAACATGATTCTCTAAAAATATGGTTTTACAGTCTGTCCCCTGGAGGAGATAGCTCCCTGGTTTCCTACCAAGATGTCTCTTCTATCCATCAGTAACCATGTTGAGTGTTAACATTGCCTGAGAAATTCTCCTTTCTGACAACACAGTATCATTTCTACACTGCTTTTATTCCACAAATATAATAAAAACGATTTTATCATAATTATTTCTGTGCATTTGTTTGCCACAACTAAACTCTTACAGGTTTCTGGAGGCCTGGCACATGGGAGTTGTTTGTTAACACTTGTTTAAATAAATAAATAAATAAATAAATAAATAAATAAATAAAAGTTTCCACATATAATAGTAACATTATCTATTAAAGTTTCACTGTTAGAGGTTATCTTTTAGAAGCCAACAAGATATTTCTCACTGATTTTTTCCTGTGTTTGTTTATTATTTTTAGTGTATGCCTTTTTTCATCAATTTATTTCAAACTAAGACAGTATCAGTAACCAGCTTTAACTTATTATTTTAATAGGTTTCAAAAGTATCAATTACTCACACAAGATATTCTAGATATACTTTACTATTTTAGAAGATGTATATTGAAAATACATGTGGGATTTTCTTTTTTTAAAAAAATTTCAACTTTTATTTTAGGTTCTGGGGCACATGTGCAGTTTTATTATATAGGTAAACTTGTCACCCTGGGGTTTGGTGTACAGATTATTTCATCTCCTAGTTACAAAGCATAGTACCTGACAAGTTTTTTTTTTTTTTTCTGAACTTCTCCTTCCTCCCTCAAATAGGCCCCAGTGTCTGTCATTCCCCTCTTTCTTTTCATGTGTTCTCATTTTGTAGCTCCCACTTGTAAGTAAGAACGTGTGGTATTTATTTAGTTTTCTGTTCCTGCATTAGTTTGCTAAGGATAATATTTTCAGTGCTCTTAGCAATATAATAATGTTCTTCATTTTTACATCATCTTTTATCAGGAGATTACAAAAACATTTAAGTTAATTCCTATACCTCTTACTAAGGAAGGTAAGTGAGTTCGTTTCCATTTCGTTTGTTTGAATAAATAAAACTCAGTACTTTTTCTAGAAAATTTTTGACAGTCCTGAGATTAGCAGTAGGAGTGCCTGGCACCAGACCTGCTCTCATGTTGCAGAGCTGTTGGAACTATTAGCTGGAATAACTAGGTTTAGTGGACTAGACTTCAACTCTGTGGTAACACATTGAGAAGAACCACATGTGGAACTTGTCAGAGATTTTCGTCAGGTCTCAAATTCATGCTGAGCTAATAATATAAGACTTCTTCCTTCTTAATAGTCTCAATGCATTACGTCTGTTGTCATCATAGACTTCTATTAAGATTTTTAGTAGAGATTAGAGCAGGGGTCCCCAACACCCAGGAAGCAGACCAGTATCGCTCCATGGACCGTTTGGAACTGGGCCCACAGCAGGAGGTGAGCTGCAGCAGCATTACCACCTGAGCTCTGCCTCCTTTCAGATTAGAGGCAGCATTAGATTCTCATATGAGCACGAACCCCACTGTGAACTGCTCATGAGAGGGATCTAGGTTGTGCTCTCCTTATGAGAATCTAACTGGATTAGATTAGTTAGATCTAGAGGTGGAACAGTTTCATTCCAAAAGCATCCCTTCCCCCACCCCCACACCAGCTGTGGAAATATTGTCTTCCATGAAACTGGTCCCGGGTGTCAAAAAGTTTGGGGACTACTGGGTTAGAGCGTTCTAGATGGTCCCAAGAGAAAGTTGTGTGTGTGTGTGTGTGTGTGTGTGTGTGTGTGTGTTTAAACAAACAAAATGTTTCTTATTAATAAGATACTTCTTCCTAATTGCTTTTGTAATTTTAAGCCTGGGAGCATCAGTCCACTACTAGGGGATTACTAGAATGGCTTTAAATTCTGTCTTAACTGATAAAATTCTCAACAAATAAAGTTGAGCCTAGAGTAAGATTTCCAATTACAGTAATATAGTAGTGAATTAGCACTAGGCATGCACTATGTTATATGCAAATTGAAGCCAAGTCCTTGGCTCAACTTCTCTGGTATACAGGGGGATGAAGCTGTCCATCAAATTGGCAAGATCTCTAGAGATAAAAACCTTCAGGTTGGGGAGATAACAAACCACTGAAACCCTTTTTAAAACAATAATTTTTCATTATGACTTAAAAATATGAATATACTGAACATAGCAATCTCACTAGTTACCTGTTATAGAAAAATGAGAAATCTTTTCTCAAAAACAAAATCATATGTATGTAGGGACCAATGGACAGTGATGCTTATCACAGCATTTTATTTTGTAATAGCAATAAATTATAAGTGATCTGGATGGCCACTAATGGGGGAATAGGCTTAATAAAACATAAATACAGGACATGTTATTTTGAACATTTCCAGTTGCCAAATTTATGGAACCATAGGTATATAACATTTTAAGTGTAAACCTAATATTCATTACTGACTTAAATTTCTTTCTTGGCTCATTGCTTTGGATCTGGGTTCTTCAGAATAATGAAATAATTCTGTTTGGGAAACAGTTTAGAATTGAAGTTGGTTGTGGGTTGGTGGGGGGGCGGGGATCCTTTCTGGATCCTAATTTATTATTCCCCAAGGCAGTCTCCTGAATGAATCTTTTTCCTTTGTTGTATAAGAGGCTTCAAAAGCAGCGAAGAACGTTCATTTTTCTCCTTAATCTTGTTACTTTGCCAGGAATAGCACAGGGGTCCCTTTAGCGAGTGAGACTAAGGGTACTAAAGTGGTTGGAAATCACTGAAAACAGTAGCAGGTTTATTTGAGCAAAATCGGCAGGGTGGTGTAATATACATTTTTAAAAATGCGTTTTCATTAAAATTAAAAAATAGCTTCCAAACAAACTCTGGAAAGGGCTCCAAATGCAGCCTTACAAACCCCAAATGAAATCAATAAAAAGAAACCAGCCAAGCAGCAAGTTGAGAAAACACCAATTAGAGTTTTTAACAAACAGAGAAGCTCGCTGTGGGGTACAGTTTTTAAATCAGACAAGAGAAATTTGGGCTTTTTTCTCTACCTCGGCTCTGCTGTACTGTGCTCTTGCTGGAACTGAAATTTATGGGATTCAGAATGCACCCCAGGAAGAAAACACAAACAAGCGGGTGCTCTGGGCATTGTATCTGAGCAGATGAAAGCAAATATTATTCTGATAGCTTTTCATTTTGCCCTCCAAGGAGCTCTGCGTTATTATCCACGACTAGGGATTTTAATAGTCAAACTACCACAAATTTGTCAACACTCAATTTCTGCCTGGTTACAGAGTACAGCTTCCATGCATGGAGGTTAACACAGGTTTCTCTAGCCAAGGAATTTTTTGAAGCAAATCATACTTGCATAGTCTGTTGCAGCTAATGTGCCTCCATTGATGACGCCACACTACGTTGGCAGGTAGGTAAAGTTCATCTTCAGTCATACCTCCCATCCCAGGCCTCAGCTGGGCTAAACACTTCCAGATATAGTCCTGTGCCTGCCTGCCTGGCTCTCTTCGGAGCTTTATTTACCTATTTCCTATCAAAACTACCCTATCTTCTTGTACCCCCTGAAATAAGCTTTGTGCTTATTTAAGGTAGTCATGAAAATATGATAGTCATGAAAATAGATAGACATGAAAAGTCACCCTGTCAGTTCTTAGGAAGCCAGTGCTTTTGCTTCACTTCCACTTAAAAAAGAGGCATTCACAAAACCCGAAGAATAATAAAGCAATTTCTATGTGTAGAGTATTTTCTCAGTTATTTGTATTTCTTTATATAGATATGTGACTATATGCATATGCATGTATATATGTATATGTATGTACATATAAATGTACATATAAACATGTATGTATATGTATGTACATATAAATGTACATATAAACATGTATGTGTATTAATTTATATATTGTGCATGTATGTATTTTTTTTTTGTCCTCAGACCCTAAGGCTGAGATTGTGGTTTTATGTTTCTATACAATTCTGGTTGTTAAAGAAA
Source organism: Homo sapiens (assembly GCF_000001405.40). NCBI lineage: Eukaryota > Metazoa > Chordata > Mammalia > Primates > Hominidae > Homo > Homo sapiens. The sequence continues at coordinate 29,093,745 of NC_000014.9, forward strand.
CATCTTCCATGTTAATTATGTAGCCACATAACCAGGAGCTTTAAATCAAAGCTCATAATCCTTGCTGCTATGATAGGTTATAAAGATGCTTATATTGTATAAGGCCCATTGATCTAAGAATGAAACTTCCGAGCTACATCCAGGATCCTATCGTTTTCATCACCTCAGCTGGCACCACCCTCACTCTCAAGTCACCGTTTTTTCTTTCCTAATTGTTGTCCTTGCATATATCTTACGTCTGTTCTCAACACATAATCTTTTTAAAATTTTTAATTATTTAAAATCACAAAATCATGGAGTTGTAGTAGATAATCCTTCAAGTTTATTCCATACATAAAATTTTAGAGTACTTAAAATTTAGAGTACAATTTCTTTCTATATAGTCTGTGATGACCACTTCTTTTTAACCTTAGACCTAAGCTTTCATGGTTGGCCTTTTGTAGTCTTTCTTGGTATTGATAGTTGATTTTTTTTTTTTTAATTTTTAACTTTTATAACCTCAGACCTAAGCTTTCATGGTTGGCCTTTTGGTATTGATAGTTGATTTTTTAAATTTTTAACTTTTATAGATTTTAAGAGTACAAGTGCAGATGTGTTGTTACATGGGTATATGGCATAGTGGTAAAATCTGGGTTTTTAGTGTACCTATCATCCAAATAGTATACATTGTACCCAATAGGTGGTATTTCATCCCTCACCTCCCTCCCACCCTCCCACAATTTGGAGTCTCTAATGTCTATTATTCCACTCTGTTTGTCCAGTTGTACCTACTGTTTAGCTCCCATTTATGAATAAGAATATGGAGGTTTTGATTTTCTGTTTCTGAGTCATTTCTTTAAGGATAATGGCCTCAATTTCCATCCATGTTATCGCAAAAGACACAATTTCATTCTTTTTTATAGCTGAGTAGTATTCCATGGTGTGTGTGTGTGTGTGTGTGTGTGTGTGTGTGTGACTTTTAAAAATTCAGTCATCTGTTGATGGAAATTTAGGTTGATTCCATGACTTTGCTCTTGTGAATAGTGCTGTGATAAACATGAGTGCAGGTGTCTTTTTCATATATTGAGTTTTTTTTCCTTTTGGTATATACCTAGCAGTGGGATTGCTAGGTAAAATAGTAGTCCTATTTTAAGATTTTTGAAGAATCTCCATTCTGTTTTTTTATACAGGTTTTACTAATTTACAGTCCCAATCCCAACAACAGTGTATAAGTGTTCCCTTTTGTCTGCATCCTCACCGATATCTACTTCTTTTTTTTTTTTTTTTTTTTTTTTTTGAGACAGAGTCTTGCTCTGTCGCAAGGCTGGAGGGCAGTGATGCGATCTCGGCTCACTGCAACCTTTGCCTCCTAGGTTCAAGCGATCTCCTGCCTCAGCCTCCTGAGTAGCTGGAACTGTAGGCACACACCACCATGCCCAGCTAATTTTTGTATTTTTAGTAGAGACGGGGTATCACCATGTTGGCCAGGATGGTCTCAATCTCTTGACCTTGTGATACGCCTGCCTTGGCCTCCCAATGTGCTGGGATTACAGGCATGAGCCACCACGCCCGACCTATCTGCTGTTTTTAGACTTTTTAATAATACCCATTCTTACTGATGTGAGATGATAATTCCTTGTCTTTTTAATTTGCATTTATCTGATGATTGGTAATGTTGAACATTTTTTCATATCTTTGTTGGCTGCATGTATTTCTTCTTTTGAAAAATGTCAGTTCATCTCCTTTTAACCACTTTTTAATGAGATTATTTTTATAACCACATTTTAATGAGGTTATTTATTTTTTTCTTGTTGATTTGTTTGATTCTTTGTAGATTCTGGATATTAGCCCTTTGTTGGATGCATTGTTTCCAAATATTTTCTTCCATTCTGTAGGTTGTTTACTCTATTGATTATTATTACTTTTTTTTTTTTTTTTTTTTTTTTTGCTGTGCAGAAGCTTTTTAGTTTAATTAAGTCCCATTTATCTATTTTTGTTTTGGTGTGTTTTTTTTTTCTTAGAACTTAGTCATAAATTATTTGCCTACACCAAGTCCAGAAGAACCTTTCCTAGGTTTTCTTCTAGGATTTTTTTTTTAATTTCAGGTCTTCTATTTAAGTCTTTAATCCATCTTGAATTCATTTTTGTATACAGTAAGAGACAGAGGTACAGTTCCTTTCTTCTGCATATGGCTATTCAATTACCCCAGCACCATTTATTGAATAGAGTTTTCTTTCCCCAGTGCAGAGTTATATTTTTAAAAAGTAAATTACCTCATATCATTCAAACCTTCCAGTGGCTCTTAATTTAACTAAGGTTGAAAACCACCAGAGTCTTTGAATTGTCCAACAGGCTCTAAATGATCTTGTTCCCCTCACCTCTCTGCCCTACCATCTAACTACTCTCCCTTTACTCATCTGGATCATCCATCAGTATTGAGCCCTTACTGTTTCAGGAGCATACCAGTCCTTCTTCCATCTACATCATTCCCTTTGCTTGGAATGTTCTTTTTCTAGATATGCACTTGTTTGACATCTCCACCTTCAAATCTTTACTTATTCAGGCTTATTTTGACCCTTCTATTTAATACTCAACCTACCCATTTCCTCCCTCCCACAAACATCATTCCCTCTTCTAGGTCTCTTAATTATTATTATTATTATTATTATTTACTATATTTTTGTAGCATTTTCCACCTTGTATACAATGGAATTTAGTTATTTCTTATTTTCATTTTTACTTTCTATCTTCCTTGCCAAAATATAAGCTCCCTGAGGGTGAGGATCTTTAACTTTGTTTGCCAGTCCCTATGTTTAGAAACTGATACATAGTAGATAATCAATAAATATTCAGTAAAAAATGAACACTGTTCAAATACATTCAAAATCATAGATTGCATTTTTCATCTCTAATCAGTGATGCAAGTGTATATGTGTGCATAATTATAACAATTTAATTATAGATTTCTTATTTGAGAGTGTGATGAGATGGATTATATTATTTTTTGATGAGATATGCTTAAGAAAATGTTAGAATGTTTAAAAAGAGAATGTTTTGATTGATTGTTTCCCCTGGCACAACAAACATTTAATGAACAACTACTTTCTCTTACATATTTGAAGTACAACACTGGTAGAGTCATGTCGCAAAAATACCAAAGTTGGGTGGTTGAGGCTGACTTGGAAACAAAAGACCACAGTATAGATTGGTGAGTGCAATAGCAGAATCATGCACAAGGAGGAACACTAACATGCAAGAGAGTCATTCACAAAATGGTAGACACTACTGTGGTTAGATCATGATCCAGGTGAATTCAAAGTAAGTCTTGAGAGTCACCCTGTGTTTTGATATGAAAAGAAATACAGGGAAAACGTAGAGAGGAAATAAAAGGAAGCCATGTATGAGGGCTTGAGATTTTGTTGTCTGTTTTATCCCAGGAGGAAGACTAAGTGCTCTGCCTTAACTCAGGCCAGGCTGTGGGCGCAAGTGCACCAACGGCTTTGAGACTAACACACAGCTCAGAACAAGGTATGACAAGTGAAGGAGGAAAGAAAGAAAAAAGACAAAAACCAAGAGGAAAACAACTCTCTCGCCTTTTCTCTTCCCATAATCTATAAGGAAAAAAAAAATCCACAGGGCCCATTGTGGATACATAAGAGAGGGTAAATGCTCATTCATACTGTAGGATCAGAGATTTAGCCCACTGCTCACAGGATGGAGAAAATTGACATAATTGAGTCTATAATCTAAACATCAATTTTGACCAAACAATAAGCAGAAATTGTTTCTATTTATTTATTTAGTTTCAGGTCAAGTTTTGTGCTTGAGTTAAGTTTCCATGGAAATTCTTACTCCATGCTGTTGTGAAGAGGCAACTCTGTTTCAACAGGCTTTGGATTCCGGTTCAGGCTCCAGCCTGTCTCAAAATCTAAACAGAATCCTAAAATCTGTTCCTGCCTCTACCAGAACTTGCTGTATTTTCTTTGCCTCCTGCCACCACACAGTTGGATGGACACCAAGTTTAGAAAATTTCAGCCTCAAAGAAACATTTTAAGAAAGTTATGAGCCAGATTCAATTATTTATATAATAAAAAGTATCTCTAAAATAATATTATTGGAATATACCTTTCAGCACAACTTAAAATAGCTACAAGTGTCAGCTCTAGAAGCAGATGGACTTGGGTTTCAATTCCAGTTTTGCCATTTATTAGCTATTTTAACTGTGACTTAATTTTCCTATCTGTAAAATGGGGGTAATAATTAGAATGACATCCTAGAGCTATTGAAACAGTCTAATGAGATAATTTATGTGCAGTGCTGAGCAAAGTGCCTGGTTCCTAAATAATGCTTAACAAATCCATCATAATTGCTGTCATGATGGTTATAATTTCCAACCATCAACTCTCAGCATATACATTTTATGAATTTTCAAACAGTAAACTAACATCCAAGCATTCGTTTAGTTTTCCGTGAGCACAATGAACCCATTGGTTCCCATCATCTCCGTGGCATATCTTCTTTCCCTGGAGAGAAGAGCAGTAAATAAAAATGACAATGACAATTATTTTTGCAAGAGTTTCCTGAACAAAAGGATAAGAGTGAAATGTTTGTTAGTAAACTTCAGCTCCATGGTGAGAAGATGTTATTAGCAGAAGCTGATTAAAAAACAAAATTTTGATAATTTTAAAAGGTAAATCATTTAAGATCCTTCACGCTGTAGTATAACATAGGCAAGTGCATTGATTTGGAAATAACAGTCTTATTTACTAATTACAGAAGCTATTCATTTTGTACATACTGCACTCCCTTTCTTTCCCCTCTCTTTCACCCCCTCATTAATAGATTTAGAACTGACAGTGCTTTCACTTCTAAGTATAAAGAATAATTTTCTTCTGAACATAGAGACAACGATGAAATCAAAGTTTAAAATATAGTCCTCTTCTAACAGCGATTCAGATTTCCATTAAACCTCCTCCCACCCTCTCAAATTAAAGTTTGAAAAGCAGAGCTCAGAAATAAACTGACAGGCACTAGTGCTTCGTTCATTTCCAGCAAGGAAGCACCAATTTGATTCCTACCATAACAATTTTTGCTGTTGCCAGTGCATCAGATTTTTTTAACACAGCTTCTCAAGTGATAGAAATCATCCCGTCACTTTGTTTCATAAAATTGACACCCTGGGGAAATGCAAAATATAGTAAGAACTTGAGCAAAGCTTCTCCTCCAACCCCTGCTAGGTATTCCTGAAATCCTTTTTTTCCTCTTAAACGAATGTCATCAATCCCAATTGCTTGTTGTTCTTTTCTCCTTGTTCTGCTCATGTGCTACAACATCCCTTGGCTTCCCTGAGCACAAGAGTTGGTGTTTTTAAAAGTGTTACTCATAGATAGGATTCTACTGCTGGCTGATTGGAATGCAGCGACAAATAAAAAAAAAGAAACTTGATGAAATTATTTCACACACAGAGCAATAAACATATGGAATAAATTACTACAGAAGACGATTCAAAGAGTTTAAGAAACACCTGGATTTGTTTCTGGAGGCAGTCGATTGGAGAGTAGCATTAGAAACAGGAGGGTGAAATAAAAGCAACACTCAAGAAGCCAAGAGTCAGGGCTCTAACCTCTTGTTGAAATGGCACCTCCTCTTGCAGTTGCTGCACAGGAGTCTATTAGGGAAAGACTTCTCGAATACACTGGGAACAAGTCAGACTAAGTCACAGGAGCTACCTTTCTAAAGGGGCTGGTCACTGGATTTCACTAAAGGAAGTAAATGCTGGAAGATTCTTCTCAATCCAGAAAGAGGGGAATAATGTCTGAATATGCAGGAACTGAAACTCAGCAATTGGTTTGAGATCTGGTGAAGGCTTACCATTTTAGCCACATCTCAGACCTCTTTCCACCACCCTTCCTCCCTATTCTCCAGGCATATTCCGACTGTTCAGACATGATTGACGCCCCTCCCAATCTGTACGCATGTTGCTGTTACTTTTCCCAAATCTTCCCTTCATTCTTCAGTACCGAGGTCACCCTTTCTGTGACATCTCAGTTTATATTAATGTCTCCCTCTGTGTCCTATACCAGATGCAAAATATCTTTATGTGTTTATTAATCTTCACCTCAGCACTCCACAAAGTGCCTGGCTCATAGGAGATGTTTAGCATATAAAACATTTATTTTGTCTTACTTTGTTCCAGAGAAGAATTAAAGTGTTTGATAAAATAATAGCTAACATTACCAAGCCTTTAACATGTGCCAGGCACTGTTCCAAGTGCTTCGCATGTTTTAACTCATTTGGTGCTCATAACGGCACTGAGGATGAGCAAGTTTGCGATGTAGGTATTAATGTTATCCCTATTTTGAAAGTGAGGAAATAGAGGTGCAGAGATTTGGGCTAACTTGCCCATGGTCAGCCAGCTAGGGAAGAGCAAAATTTGGGTTGGCCTCAGCCAGAGGTTAGTTGGTTCCAGAGGCAGTATTCTTGACCATGACTCTGACTACCTGAATGCCTAATGTAGCAAGGAGACAAAAATAGGAGAAAGTGATACGAAATAAACAGCTGAGGTCACAAACAAACTCTTAATTAGGCTAATTAAAAAGGCATATTGTAATGCCCTATACACATTTTATTATTCATAATCCAATTTAAGAGATAAACTTTATCAATTCGTTAGTTAAATGATGAAACAAAAGCAAATCAGTTACTCAGGAGGTTATTCTTGATAACAAAACCTGAATTTTTTTATCCTATGCGGTTCATAGAAGACAATGGTGCATTAAATTGTTCCTTTATTCAACCATCCAAGTGTTCACCTATCCAAATAGCAGACCTAGGTATTTAAGCAGCTAGGAATAGTGGGTTTCAGGACAAACACTTTGTAAAAGTATATATGACTATACAAAATGATATGCACTGATTTTACATATCTAAATGGACAGTAGACATCCAATCATTCAACAAATAGACGTTGAACCTCTACAGTGTGTCAGGTGTTATTCTAGGTCCTAATGACTCAGTGATGAACCAAAAAAAGGTATCGTTCCCCTTTTGGTTCATCATATTGCCCTCATGGAGCTTAAGTTCTAGATGAAGAGGCAAATGATAAACAAATGATAATGTCAGGTGGGGTTAACAGCTAGAAATTAAATAAAACATTATGAGGATAAAGAATAACTAGGGAAAGGGGGACTCTCTTTTAGAAAATATGGTTAGGAAATATCTCTCTGAAAAGATAATAACTAAACAGAGACCTGAGTCAAAAAAGATATCAGAGACTGTTTTCTACTTTTTCCTTAATTATTCCAGCTGGAAATCCAGATGAAATGTTATCACTTATTTGTGTAACTTCAGGCAATAGAGAAAAAATGTATTTGATGATTTGTTCTGTAAATCATCCTTTCTTCCTGATATGTTCCTTTATTAGTGGTAAATACAAATTTTTTGGAGGCCTGAATATAAGCAAATGAAGACAAAGAATGGGGTAAATTTGATACCCACCAATCCAGCAACAGTCTGTAGAGTGGTGTGATTAATTTAGTCTAGTAAAAATCCAAAAGCCTACACTGACCATCAAAAGGAAGACAATTAGAAAAATAATTAGAAATCTTAGAGGTGAACTATATCACACCTATTTCAAAACACTTGTTCAATTTGGTTTTCAAATAATAGGATTTGGTGGGGCCTGATGGCTAAGAAGTATTTTAATAAATGGTCCAACTTTGGGAAATATAATGTTTTGATCAGATGCTACAGGTTATTATATTCAACTTATGAAAATATTTAAGAATTCTAGACCTGGGTGTTTGTCATACCTGTCATTGCTGGTCATTTCACATGTGAGTATGGAAAATCTGTATGACCAAGGGAAAAAAATAAAAGTGTTAATTTATTAATGCATGTGTTTTTAACATGCACTCTAGATTAATTCTGCTTTTCAGAAGAGTCACTCATTCTTTTTTTATTTCCTCCCACCTTGTACTTTGTCGAGCAATCAGCTATCTATTTTCTAACACTGCACACTAAAACTAGGGAAATTCTTCCTATATTATGATTCAATAACTGTCAGATATCAGATTATTTTAAGAAACTGAAGTTTTAGTCTTTAAATGTTACCAACTTTCTCCCCTATACCTTACAAGTTTGTGTTTCATTTGGGACCACATTAAGTGAAGATGGCTCCAAACTGCATGTCATTATTTATGTAAAAAAGGATGTCGTTGTACATTTTTAGGTGCAAGTGGCTGGACCTTCTATTATTTTAATATTAGCGGTGTTTCTGTTCAATGCGAATTTCAGGAAGAATGCTCTGTAGTGAAAGGGAACGAAAAGCATAGACATTTATTTTCTTCTCCAGAATAATAATGCCCTATGGGATTTTGTCATTGGAAGGACCCGGGTCCTAAGTATTAGAATGCTCTGAGATAAACAATACAAATGGAACCAAAAGCCGAGGGAGAAAAAGATTTCAAAGCTGACAACCTAGACTAAGACGAAAGATTTTAAGTGTGTGTCTATTTATTTGCTAGGATACATACTAGAACCATGATACTTTCTTTGCAAAGTTAGAGCATGTGCTTAATTTAAACGCACTGTTTCAGCATCCAAGTAACTACCATATATGGGTGGGGTAGTGAGGCAAATTAGGTGTTGGAATCATACGATGTTACATAGACCCCAGCATAAGGAAGAGGCTAGAGCTTTGTGAGTGCAGTTGCTTATGTACTGTATAGTGCTTTCCGTATTTATAAAACTGGAGCATACGTTCTATTGCTCTTGTTCTTAGATTTTCAGACAGCCATAATTTCCGGTCTTTTGTTTGAAATGAAGGCCTGCCTGGAAAAATTGAGGGTGCTGCCAGGCTTACTAAAAGACATATTTTGTAGCACACTATATTCTTTACTCCGCTATTCCCCATACCCCCAACTCTCGGGTGTAGGGGGAAGGGCACAAGGTTTGAGAAGGATGTAAATTATGAAACTGAAAGCACATTAAAGCAATTTATGTACAGAATCTTTTCAGATGTCCTCTTAGCCAGAAAACACGGACATATACTAGTGTATTCTAATATATTATCCATGCATACGTTGAAGACTATGTTCCTGGAGTGAAATTATTTGTGAAATGCAAGTTACATTTTGATTCCTTTTGGAGAAGAAAATAAAAGTTAAAATTTAGGTTATATATCTGGAAGACCAAAGTAGGCAATCAAAATCAAACTTTTACATCAGATTCATTTGACACGATTTCAAGATAAACTAAGTTCAGTAAACCTGTTGGCAGAGAAGTATCATTTGTCAAGCGATTAACAGAGACACAATCTGTAATTACAAATTGCAGAAAGCAGGCCACTAATGAGAGAATGACTCACATTTTGGGGTGAAGAGGGAGGGGTCTCTCAGAAACTGCCATTTGATTTACAAAACTCTAAATAGCTAATGGCAGGTAACTCTTGCCAGCTAACCAGCCAACTCTTTCAAGCTCATTAACAGAACTCCATGGTCTCACTAAAGGATAAACCATATGGAGGTGTCACTAAAAGCTGGAGATGAGAGACTGTAATTTATGTTCAGTCCTCCTGTGAGTCAGTCATATGGGCATTGATTTAAGCCTTTGTTTATCTGACGTGACCTGTTCTTAAGTAAAAAGAGAAAATAAATTTTTGGGGTTATTGTTTTTTTTTCTATACTATCTTAAACTGCAGTGTTCAACTCATTATTAAACTTTCTTTTTTCTGTTCTTGTTTCTCCAGCTTCCCATCTTTGTCACATTTTAGTTCTAGCAAAACAATTGAATAATAGCATTATACAGCCCTAATCCATTGTTTGCTTTGAGCTCTGCTCTTAGAGGGTTGTTAAATTGCTATTCTATGATTTCCCTCGTGATTGCAAACCTGCTGCTCTAAGGTCATTTTTAACTCTTTATTCTCACGGACCTTGTGAATGTTTGAGGAAGCATAATGTGTGGCAGCATGCCTAGGAATGCACCTTTATAAAGTGTCATTTTGTAGGGGAATCTTTTTATTGAGTCCCTCTAATCTGAGTACCACAGTAGTGTGCATATATGCAACTGCGATTTCCGCCTGATATCCTTATGATATAAAAAATAAAATACCAAATGAAGATAGTTTTAAAAAATAGTACTGATGGCTATTTAATGATAAGCAAGTCATCTGTTCTGTCTTTCTATCTCAGTCTTCCCTAGAGGCAAACAGTTTTAACCAGTTTTTCCTGAGGGTTTCATTGTGATTTTGTTTCTGTTATATTTCTTTATTTTTATTCATCCATTCATTTGCCCAGAAAATATATATTGAGCACCTTCAACATAACAAATTGGCTGGGCACTGATGGAACAACTATAAACAAGCCAGACAGCATCACTGTGTTGATGAAACTCACTCTCAAAGGGGAAAGAAAGTGCTTGAAGCAAGGACAATACATTGTGAACAATGCATAATGAGAGCTGGCATGCTTGTCAATGGAAGTCATACACAACATCTGCTTGAGTGGTGAGTGGTCAAGGGGTAGAAGAGGTTTCATAGGGAGGTGATATCTAAGCTAAGTCCTCAGGAATTAGTAAGTGTTTTACAACAGAGGATGGTAGAAGTTCTGGGTTAAGTAGTGAGAAAAATATGTTCAAAGGCCCAGAAGCCAGAGCACATAGAATTTTAGAGAATTAAAGTAATTCTGAATGAAGAATTCATTTCAAGAAGCAGGAGAGTGGAAATACCATGGAGGCTGAATAATTTCCTATTCAGATTTATTGATATTAAAAGGTGTGTGTGCTTGTGTGTGTGCACACACACACTGTGGCTCGGGAGAGCCATTGAGATACCTGCATGTTGAAACCACGTTGATATTAATCACCCAGAATAATCTGGGGAACAAGAAGGTTGATATTCTAGAAGGGGACACCAAGATGGGAGGGACAGGCTGCAATTTAAGGGTGATCAAAGAAGACCGATTTGGGTGACACCATGCCAGAAAAGTGGGATGGCATGGATATCACAAAATAGATTTCAGCAATTATAAAGGGATCAGAAGTGTTAAATGTTTCTATATGGAATGTATTTTGATAGACTATTATCAGTTAAAATACATGTATACCCTCCTAATTGTCTTGAACTACATACTCGTAACAAAGCATGGCTGTGCCTGGCCTGCTTCTTCGCACTGATGTCCACCAAAAAATCTTGCTGTGTTAAGCAGATGTCTTACCACACTGCAGGCTTTCTCCCATTGACACCCATGTGAGAACTCCAACATCTTCTTGGGTGGAAGCTTTGAGTATTTTTTTCTGCAGTTGTGAAAGGCATAATTTTGGGCACTGCTCATTCTATCAATGGTTGCTCTTGCCCTCAGGCGTCACATCTCCTAGTAGAGATTCCTTTAAGTCTTAAGCCTGAGTGTCATCTTTAGTGAAACACTGCTTTCTTAGGAGATAAATCTGTAGATTTCTCATCTCTTCCTTTTGAGTTAGTCTTGCAGTACTAGAAGAAATCCATCAGAATTTCTAGCATGTGGGTCACACTCTACTAGTTTCCAATGATGGTACACATTTTTACGTTATTAAAATTTCATCCTATAGATTATTTCCAAGAAAACGTGAAAGAGGGATTATTAGAACAGGCATTGTCATTTTACCTGGAGATGTTCAACTATTTTACTATATCAAACCTGATAGGTTCAATTTAGGACTCCATAAGTCAGCAAAATGACTTAACATTGCAGAGAAGTAAATTAAAATATATTTCCTACAGATTAATGCAAACTAAACAATATTCTAGAATTCAAGTTAAGTTTCCCCTCAATTAGCCAGATAAAACTATGGACATGGCTCTTCTTGATCTCCTTCAGATCCCTTCTCCCCTTATTATTCCAGTTTCAGGGTCTCTGGCTCCTCCTCATGTGCTTCACATACTTCCTGCAGAGAACTTGCTATATCATATTTGGTTCTTACATTAGTTGTCCAAATATTTTGAATCTCTCTAATTGCAGTTGCTCAATTCATGATTAAATTTACAAGGATGTTGCATTATACTTACAAGGATTTTTATTCTTCTCCAGTATATGTTCTTATAAGACACCGGCTAGATCGCTTCATCTCTCCATTTTATTTTATGAATATGGCATTTGGGCAGATGTATTTCAGATTTTGGATTGAGAACAGCCTTTAAAGTCTCCACCAATAAGTCCGTGAAACTCTCTCTCAGGTTATTAGCCATCCACCCTATGAATGATAATCCAGTGTTTTATTGCTACCCAGGTGAGTGGGTCCACTATTCTTCCATCTCAGTCTCAATGGCAGCTCCTCAGAAAAGCCTTCCCTGACCACCTTGTCTGAGTAAGCGTTCTCTTAGTGTCTTGCCTTTTATTACACAATGCTTATTTTCTTCATAGAACTAAGCATCATTTGTAATCATTAGTTGCTTTTTTGTTTGTTTGTTTCTCTCACTAACCTTTAAGTTGTGTGGGTACAAAAATGGTAACTTTTGGATTGCTACCATATTCTAGATAATACATCTTTAGAATGTCTTGATATTTAAAATGTATTTGTTCAATAAATGAAGGAACAAATACATTGTGTAGAATGGCATATGTTGGTGATATGGTTTGGGTCTGTGTCCCCACCCAAATCTCATGTTGTTGAATTATAATCCCCAATGTTGGAGGAGGGCCCTGGTGGTAGGTGAATGGATCATGAAGGTGGATTTCCCCCTTACTGTTCTCATAATCCTGAGTGAGTTCTCATGAGATCTGGTTGTTTAACAGTGTGTAGTACGTCCCTCTTCACTCTCTTCCTCCTTGTCTGGACATTTAAGAGGTACCTGTTTCCCCTTTGCCTTCTACCATGATTGTCAGTTTCCTGAGGCCTCCCCAGCCAGGCTTCCTGTACAGTCTGTGGAACTGTGGGTAAATTAAACCTCTTCTTTATACATTATCCAGTCTCAGGTAATTTTTTATAGCAATGCAAGAATGGACTAATAGAGTTGGAGATAATACATCTCCAGCTGTGTATTTAATTTTCAACATATCAACTTAAAATTTTATTAAGCAACCATGACCGTATGTGATTTTTGGAATATACTATCAAAAGCAAAATATCTATGGAATAAAATAAGACGTTTATGCTAACAGTTAAATGCCTTAGTTGGAAATAAGAGGGCATCTTATGTTTTATTTTATATGAAATTAATTGAGCAATAAGTTGATAGGAGGCTTTTCAGTCTGAGGTATATAGAGGTGCCTGTTCACCCACTAAGATTCTCATACAGTTTAAAATCTGATTAAAAATGCACTCCTCATAATTTAATTAGGCTTTTAGAAAGTTAACACATCATCAGCATACCATACTCATTAATGAGCAATTATATATGAGAAAAACAATGTGGTCCAGTAAAAAGGTCCATGATTTGAAGATAGGTATTCAACCATCCCTCTACCCATCTACCCATCAATCCTGCACTCCTCTTTTCATTCAACAAACACACTGAATATTCAATGACCACAGTTACATGCTGTGCCACTTGCTAGATTTGAAAGGATAATGTTCTGCATACTAGATATGTACCCTGGGCAATTACTTAATATCCTCAGTTACAAAATGTTATGCATGATTGTAAGAAAAGATGTATAATTAAAGCACAGCATCCGATACTCAAAAAGGCCGTGAGAATATGGAAATGCCTTCAGTTTTCCAAGAAGATTTTAATTCTATGGTTACATCATGGAATCTACATACAAAGAATTCCAAAACTGAAACAACATTGGCTAGCAATTTTTAAAATTTATTTAAAAAACTAGTATTTACAAACTAATTACAACATAATTGGATGGCTAGAGAACTTAAAGTTTACCATTTTTGATGAAAACTGAAATCAGAAGCCTTGAGTATTACTTGTGGGCCATCTAATTGGACATTTTTTGATACAAAGGCAAAAATGAAAACCAACATTGGATAAGAAATGTATAGAACAAACATACTAGTTTTCTCTATCTCTAGGTGGACTGTAAGAGAATGAAAGAGTATTGCTTTTTCAGTAGGAGCTTTGCCTTTTGCTAAATCTTTCCAAGCTGTCAACTTTTGCTATTGCTTGAAATTTGAGTACTGCTGCTTTTTACTTATCATTTTCCAGCATCTTCTAGCAATATTGTGCAAAAGACAAATAATTCTGATGAAGACATTGTAGAATTTCTCAAAAAATAAATAAATTGCTCATTTTAAGATATAAATAATTAAAATCAAGCATATATTTTTGCTATTCAAGACTCTGTATTATTTCCCTTGTATAATAGCCAGATAAATTATGAAAGAAATGTCTTTCCTTTAAAAATTTTTAAAATTTCCTTCTCTAATATTTCAAACAATAAGAAAACTACTAAAAGTCATATGCCAGATATGAATGTTAATATTTTGCCATGTTTACTCCTGCCTCAGCCTCCCAAAGTGCTGGGAAAACAGGCATGATTCATTGCACTTGATCTCTTATTGTTTTCTTAAAAAAGGAAATAAAGGGACACAAATAAAGTTATAGACTAATTTCTTCCAATCCACTACCTTCCCTCTCTTCCAAGAGACAAATGTTGTCATAAAACTGATATGATTCCAAAACATTTTTAAAATATTTTCTGTATATGTATGTATCTATAAACCATATATTCTAGTTTTGTGTTTAATATTATTCATAAGTGGTGTGTTTCTAAATTTTATATTTTGTAATTTTATTATTTTTTTACGTTGCATTTTGAGGTGTATAGATGTTGCAACATGTAGATAAAGTTACTCATTTTAACTTCTAGATTCCTCTATTTCCCTGTATGCATAAATCTGAGACAATAAATTTGTTTCTATTCTGTCACGTTAAAAACAGTCTTGCAATGAACACCATGGATTTGTCTTTAGTTACACATATGCGAGAGTTTCTCAAGAAAGACCACATGCCTGTAGTCCAAGCTACTCAGGAGACTAAGGTGGGTGTTGAGGCTGGGAGGTTGAGACTACTGCTTGGGCGACACAATGAGACTCTGTCAAAAAAAAAAAAAAAGAAGAAAGAGAGAAAGAAAGAAAAAAAGAAGAAAGAGAGAGAAAGAAAAAGAAAGAAAAAAGAGGGAGGGAGGGAAGTAGGAAAGGAGGGAGGGAGGAGAGAGAGAGAGAGAAAGAGAGAAAGAAAGAGAAAGAAGGAAACAGAGAAAGAAAGAGAAAGAAGGAAACAAAGAGAAAGAAAGAGAAAGAAGGAAAGAAAGAGAAAGAAGGAAAGAAAGAGAAAGAGAAAGGGAAAGAAAGAAAGAGAGGGAAGGAGGGAGGGAGGAAGGAGAGAGAAGAAAGAAAAAAGAGAAAAGGGAGAAAGAAGGAAGGAAAGAAAAAGAAACAGAGAAAGAGAAAGAAGGAAAGGAAAGGAAGGGAAGAAAGGAAGAAAGAAACAAAGAGAAAGAAAGGAAAGAAAGAAAAGAAAGAGAGAGAGATCGGAAGAAAAGAAAGGAAGAAAAGTAAGAAAGACATAGGTATTGGTGGTTGTCAGATCTAGGGTATGTATGTTTTTAATTATGTTGATTTGCCTTTCCATCAGGATGTATAGAGGTTCTGTTTTCCCCACATCTTCTCAACAGTTTGTGTGACAGGCTATTGTGAATGGTTTCCTACTGTCATCTAATTGATCATTTCACAAATACTAGTGAGGCTTAACACATTTTTATGTGATTATTTGTCATTTTCTATTGTGCTTCTGTGAATTTCCTGATGTCCCTTTTTCAATTGGGTTGTCCTTTTAAATTTGTAGGAATTTTATTTTATGTGGAATATTAACAGATTGCAAGTTATATGGGCAAAAAACATAATTTTCAGTTTATAACAGGTCTTTTCATTTTTATTATAATGGTCTTTGTCGTAAAAAAAGTTATTTTAATTTTAATGCAGGATTGGATTTTGTGTGCATGTGTTTATATCCTGTAGCTATTTTAGAAAACTCTTGCCAATATCAGGAATGAAAATAAGAATTCATTTTTTTTTTCTAAAAGTAATGCATCTAGATTTTTAATCCATTTAGATTTTATTTTTGAGTCAGCATTTTTCTGTATGGATAGCCAGTTGTTCTGGCACCATTTATTGGCTGATCTATTCTTTTGCCACTGATTTGTAATGCCACCTCTGTTTTTACTTTTGTAGTTTTATATTTTATACATTTCTTATTTTCTAGTTTATCTTATACTATATTCATTCCCTGAGTTTCTTACACTTTTGTTCCTATTACTCCTATTATCCATGTCCCCCACAATGCTTCATTATGGATATTTCAAACATACAGAAAAGTTGAAAGAATAGTACAGTGAACACCATATACTCACCAACTAGATTCTACAGCTAAATTTTGCTGTATTTGCCATATCGTGTATTTAGCCATGTATTCATACCTATATCCATTTCTATGCCTCTTTTTTAATGCAGTTCAAAATAACTTGCATCCTTAAAACCTCAGCATGCATGGTATTAACTGGAGTTTAGTAACTACTTTTTAAAAAATAACATTATACACATTGAAATGCAAAAAAATTACCATTCTGTGAGTTTTAACTGATGCTTACACCTGTGAACCCAAACCCTATCATTATATACAATATTATCATCTTAGAAATTTCCCTTTTGTTCTTTTTCAATTAATCCTCTCAAATTTAAATACTCTTCTGATTTTTTTCCATAATGGATTATTTTAGCATTTTGTAGAACTTCCTATAAGTGGAATTATAGCATGTACTTTTTTTTTTGAGACGGAGTTTTGCTCTTGTCACCCAGGCTGGAGTGCAGTGGCGCGATCTCGGCTGACTGCAGCCTCGGCCTCCCGGGTTAACGCCAGCCATTCTCCTGCCTCAGCCTCCCAAGTAGCTGGGATTACAGGCACCCACCACTACACCTAGCTAATTTTTGTATTTTTAGTAGAAACAGGGTTTCACCATGTTGGCCAGGCTGGTCTCGAACTCCTGACCTCAGGTGATCCACCTGCCTTGGCCTCTCAAAGTGCTGGGATTACAGGCGTGAGCCACCACGCCCGGCCAGTATGTACTCTTATGAAATATTTTCTTTACTCAGCATAATATATTTTGGATGTATTCATGTTGTTTTACCTATTGGGAGTGTGTTCAGTTTTGGTTGCTGAGTAGTATTATGATGTATGAATATGCTTCAGTTCTATTCTTTCTCCATTTGATGGACATTTGGGCTGCTTTCAGTTTTGGGCTATCATGAATAAAGCTTTGATAAACATTCTTGTACAACTCTGTTTGTGGGTATATACTTTGAATTCAATTAGAATGATATCCAAGAGTGGAAATGTCAGATTAAAGGGGAGGCATTTGTGAAACTGCCAAATTTTTACAAAAGGTTTATATTATTTTATATTCCTATCAGGAAAAAAATAGAGTTCTGGTTGCTCCTTGTCCCTTCAACATTTGATATTGTCATTTTTTTCTCTCACTCTTCCTTTTTTTTTCTTTCTATTCCAGTGGTCATATAATGATATCTCATCATAGTCTTAATAAGCATTTTCTCAATGGCTCATAATGTGGATATTTTTCATATGTCTGTTCAAATCTTTTGGTTATATTTTAATTGGGTGGTTTGTCTTTTTATTTTTGGGCGGTGGGTATTTTTTATATATCCTGTATACAAATCCTTTTTCAGGTGCATGTTCTGCCAATATTTCTCCCAGTTTGTGAGTTCCCTATTAATTTTCTTAAATCATGAATTTTAGTGAGTGGAAGTTTTTAATTTCAAGAAGTCGAATTAATTTTCTAAGCCTGCCATTACAAAGCACTACAAACTAAGTGGTTAAAACAACAAAAGATATTATCTCACAGTCTGGAGGCAAAAAGCTGCAAATCAAGGTGTTGGCAAGGTTCCTTTTTTCTGAGGGATCTATCTGAGGGAGAATCTGCTCCACGCCTCTCTCCTACTTTCTGGTGACTGCCAGCATTGCTTGGCATTCTTTGGCTTACAGAGGTATCACAACAATCTCTGCTTCCGTCTTCACATGCCATTCTCTCGGTTTGTTTGTTGCTTCTCATAATTGTCATCTTAAGGACATGGGTCACAAAGGATTAGGGGCCTATCTATCCTCTTTCAGTATGACCTCATCTTAATTAGTTACATCTCTCATGACATTATTTCCAAATAAGGCCTATTTTCCTTTTATGATCACTGTTATCTCTGTGCTGAGGAAACATTGCTTCCTTTAAGTTAGAAAGATATTTCCCTTATGTACTGTATTTTTGCATTATTTTTTCTTTTGGCTTACCTTATACCAAATTAATTATATTTCATAAATTCTCTCTTTCTCTGTGAAGTTTGGAAGCTCTACATTTTGCTTTTTTTTTTAGTGGATAATTTTAACTTTTACAAAGTTCTTGACTCAACAAGTCTGAAATTCATTACTATCTGTAGCCTTATCCCAAGAATAATATAAACTTAGAACATTTTATCTGCAATCATTTCTCTCATTTTCTGTAAGTTTTGTTGCCTATATTTTAGTTCTACTTTGTTTCATGCCCACCAAAGTTGAAAATTAGTAGTATTATTATTATTTCATAAAGTTCATGCTCTTTTAGACTTAACCGCACAGTAAATTCTTTACTCTTGATTTCCACATTCCTAGCTGTACTTCCGGATTCACGTTCCCTCTTGAATTATTGTTTACATATTCATACAGCAAGGATCTATTAGGGGCATATGTTTAAGTTGTACTCATTACTGCTCTCTTAACAATTAAGCATTTGGCTGTTTTGCATAGATCTTTTACTCTATTTTTAAAATTTGGAGGTCTATTGTTTGATGATTTTTCTTTTGTAAGCAATCTGCCTTCTAAATCTGATTGCTTTCAAAATCAGTCCTTTATATTTGTACTTTCTCTTTGATATTAAGATCTTACCTCTATTTTTTAACTTAGGAAGTCTAAATATGTGTTAATCTATCTACTGGAGACTTTTTGTTCTTCCTGAGTCTGAGAATACTTGTCATCTATCACATCTGCAAAATTCTTAAGACATTGTCTTTTCATTATTTCTCCCTAACTCTGTATTGTATTCTAAAACTTCATATATCTATATATCTTTTCCTTCTATCACTCATGTCACTTAACTTCTTTGATAATTTCTATAAATCATATATCTATGTTTTGTTTGATTAATTTCTTCAGAGACATTTTCCAATTTGCTAATTAGCCCTTCAGCTGTGTCCAATATTTTCCATGACACATCCTTTACAATTTACATTTTGATTGCTGTATTTCTCATTTCTCAAAGTGATTTTTTTTTTCTTTTTCAGATGATCTTGTTCTTTTTTCATCATCTTGTTCTTTTATTAAGGTTTTTCTTTTTAAAATCTTTCATAATTGCAAAAAATCTTATTTTAAAATCTTCATCAGATTGCTCCAGCATATGAAGTTATTGGTCTCTAGTCCCATTTGGTGTGTGTATGCTTGACATTGTTTCTTTTTCAGGATGGATTATTTTCTGTTTGTTTCTTCCTTTATGTGTGAGACTTCCTTCCAGGCTGAGTTGTGAGAATGTCCATCTGGAGTTTTGCATTTTTATTTTCTTCTGCTAAATTGGCCAAGGCACTACTAGCCTTATTTTCTTTCTTTTCTTTTCTTTCTTTTTTTTTTTTTTAAGCTTCATGGTTTCTAAATCATATAAGGCCCCATTTGAAGGCAAATGTCTCCAGAGAAATTTTGAGTAGTTATCCACTAAATGCTTGGAATATGTTAATTATTCTTACATATATTAAACAAACCTGTGAGGTGGAGACCATTATCATCATCTCCATACTTAGATGGGAAAACTATGCAGTTGAAATATTAGGGAAAATGTTTGAAGCAGCACATCTACTGAGTGATCAAGGCTTGAGCTTTCCAATCTACATTCCAAACCCATACCCTTAGTCCCTGTGCTGTGCTTTGTTGCTAGTCAGGCAAACAGTTCAGCCCCTCAAACATCCCTTTATGTCTATCAATCACTCTTCAGGAAGGCAATTGTATACATTTAAATTTTCTACATATTGATTTAGCCAAAAATCTAAAAAAGGATGATTATTCCCAAGCAACTGTTGAATTTGATATTTGTTTCTCCATTACAGCTATTTCATTCTATACATATTTTAAGATATTTGTACTGCAAAATGAAAATGGGTGTACAGGCTCTGAAACCACTCAATATTAGTGATCATGGACTGTTGTTGGCTGTATTTCGTGCCATTCTCAATCACCTCTCGTCCCAGCGTGATACTCCAATGCTATCATGCATCTTTCACTGGAAAGAGCAGCTATCCTGTATCTCATTTTAAACATCAATGCTTTTATTCTCATTTCAATTCTTAGCTGGAAATATGATTTTTCATTTCATTATACTTTTAATTTTTATTTTTCCTCTCCTGTTATCCATTGTTTAATTCTTTCCTTGAATTACTTACAGTTATTTTTTAAGGCACTTAAATATTCAATATGAAATAAAATTGTTCTCTTTTCAATGACACTGTGTAGAGCATAATCATTTGCCTCCGGACTCCATCCAAGTTTGCTTCCATTTTTCATATAAATTATCTAAAAGCAACTCAGCTATATTAATGACTGTATCATATAGCATTCCTTCATTAAGATTTAATAAGTGTTTGTGGAATAATGAAGAACTTTTGTTGACATTTTGATATCGTGTATGTAAAAAGCTGTCACTTATAGATATTTCGGAATCTATCTAAAGAGTTTATTGTGGGCAAAACAAAACATTTAAGGAAATTTTTAAAAATTAAGCCTTGGAAACTGTGATGCCCAAGAGAGTGAAAAAACTGGAATAGAGCACAGTTATCAGAGCTGTTCAAATGTTCTCAAACAACCCAGTTATTTATTGCTCTGATTTGGACTACCTGTTTTTCTCTTTGAAGAACCACAATATATGATTTATAATTGCCATTTGACAAGTAAATAGAGATAGAGTAGGTGATCTTAGTTTGAAAATATAAAACATATCTTCTCTGATATTGTATTAGAAATTATTTTATTTTTTCTTTATGAAAAAGAAATTCATTTATTTCTTTATGAAAATTGTTATTTCTTTATGAAAATTCATTTAAAACAGAGTTTAGAAATGTAAAGATTTTTCTATTAAATCTAAAAGACATAATTTTACCAATGATAAATTTGATCACAGTGTTTAATTTATTCCAGTTACAGAAAGTCCAGAAAAACCTACTTTCTGCAAAGACGTTATCTTTTTAAATCTGTTGTTCATATATTATTATTATTATTTTATTTTATTTTATTTTTTTAATTTTTTTTTTTTTTGAGACGGAGTCTTGCTCTTTCGCCCAGGCCGGACTGCAGTGGCGCTAGCTACATCAGCGCACTGCAAGCTCCGCCTCCCGGGTTCATGCCATTCTCCTGCCTCAGCCTCCTGAGTAGCTGGGATTACAGGCACCCGCCACCGCGCCTGGCTACTTTTTCCTATTTTTAGTAGAGACGGGGTTTCACCGTGTAAGCCAAGATGGTCTCGATCTCCTGACCTCGTGATCCGCCTGCCTTGGCCTCCCGAAGTGCTGGGATTACAGGCCATATATTAATTTTTTGAATGAGATATGATGACCACTAACATTAACTTTTATTGTAGTTGTAAATATAGTGGCAAGATATATAATGATCTATTAAAATATTTTCTGAAGCTTAGCAATGAAGTGATACATTTACAAGGTATTATTTACATTGTTAAACTCTAACAGTTCTTCAACATTTGAATAACTAAATAATGATATGGTTTGCCATATGTTTCCATTTAATGAAGCCTTGTATTGATACTTAAATGCTTCATTAAGTCACAAGCTGCCAAAATAAGTAGTTTTTCTCTTGTCATAAATGTGACATGGTTTAACTAAAAAGTCTTGTCATTTTAAAAATTAAGAATGCTTTTATTCTGCATATGTTATAAGCAACATTTCTCTCAATATTTCAGGTTTAAGTACAAAACATTTTTAGGAAGCTGACATTGTAGTTTGGGAATTTTTGTGCACAATTTTCTTGTCAGTAGAAGGTTGTATGCGTTGTTATAACTATCATTTCATCATAAACTAAACAAAGTTTATATGCCATTTTCAAAAGCTTCTTGAAGTGACACCTGTTTCATTAACAACAACAATAATAATAAGCTTAAAAAGTCCTTGTCTGAGCTGTAAACACCAAATAAAAACTATAATTTCACCAAAATCATATTTTTAATGCATCAAGTTGCCTTGAAAATGACAAGTTCAAAAAATGACAAGTGTAGCTATTCTGAAAGAACACATACATCTTGGAACAATTAGTATCAGAATTTGCCTTTTTACCTGGCCTATGAAAAACCAAAGACTGACTTTATGACACAATGATTTTTGTACATGTACATAAGGTCTAATTGATGTTTATATTGAGCAAAAAGGAAGCATTGTGATCTTAATATATATAGTTTTCTAGATTAGGTTGGATAGGAGAAAGTTCAAGCATGAATAAGCGATTATTTCCAGGTTGGTTCATCAAACATGGCTACTTAAAAGATCATATATTGCCACTGAAAAAAATAATATATTTTGCAAAACCGAGTTTTCAGAAGAAATGAGGCATTGCCATGTTTCAGTATTGATTTTTGATACATGTGTTTGAGTAGATAGGAAATGTTACTTGAAACTTTAAAGAATATAGAATCAGTAAAAATTATCAAGGACTCTGAAGCTTAATCATTTCTTTTTCAAGTGTAATTCACGTAGTTTATTTTAATTTAGATCCTCAAATAAAAATTTTCTTTAAAACTATTAAACTATATATTTTTATTTAACCTGTAAAAATTATAGTTACCTTCTTTCTCTTCTTTATGTATTCATTGCTACAAATTACCTCTCAGCCCCTACTAATATGATATGAAAACGTAGTATTTGTTTGCAGAAGAAAAGAAATAGAAATATATATGGAATAAAATCTCAAATGCCTATGAGATAGCCAGTAATATAATACTGGTATAAAATAAGAGACGTTAGTAGAGTCTGTGGGTACATGCTCTGACTAAATGCATTCAAGTCAAAACAGCTGGTGAGACAATATGGCAACCACAATATTTAAGCCAAACAAAACATATTTGTAGTTTCAATTTGGACCCAAAGGCCACCCATTTTTATCCCTGGCATAGAGATTCCAAACTAATAAACATTGGTAATACATAATTTACATTATAATACTATATCCAATGTTCTCTTCAATATACTATTCATTTATGTTATATTAAATAGTTGTCATTTTTAAATTTTTTTTTCTGTCTCTCCATACCACAGTGCCTAACACTACCAATGAACTGTAAAAATAAATAGCAAACCATAGGGTGGAAATAAAAGCAACATTATTTTCAGTAGACACCAACATGTTTCTCATTAAGAGTCGTAACAGCATTCTTATTGTTATCTGTAGTATCATCTAACTCACTGACATATACATATGTCATTACTAAAGAAGGTCCAACTTGAGCCCAACATGCCATAGGAGACGCTTGTTTTTAATTATGAATCTACTAAATTCATCATTATTTTATGCAAATTTATTCATTCTTTCATCAAGGTTGGTATGGTAGAAAGTGCCCAACACCTTGATGAAATGCAAGTTTGATCAATTAACCCAGTAACCTTATCAGGAAAGGAAATGAGATTTGTTTTATATAATATGCTAAATTTTATCAATTATAATTTGTTTGATATATATACTCTCACCATGGGATACAACACTTGCTATGAAATTTTGTCCCTCAGGAAGCCCACAGTTCAATGTTGGAGGCGAAGTGATAAACAGTAAGAATGCGCAAAATAGTGAGTCATATTAATAGCATGCACATGATACCATGTGAATAGTATGGGAATAGAGAGTTCATATGCACAACTCTTATAAAAAGAGTCCAGAATAGTATCTCAAGGGTTTAAATAAGGTATGGTATAATGCATTCAGTTTTCTGGTTACTTTTGTAGAAATTTGAAAGAGAAAGTTTGTTTAAAAAGTCAATTAAGACCGTGGGTCCTGAAACCGGTGGTTCATTAGAATCACCTGGGTATTATTTAAAACTACAGCCCCCAACCTTTTTGATTCCAGTTTGGTAGGTAGGAGGTGATTTCTAAAATATGTCGTATTTAGGACTTTGTTCAGGTGGTTACTTTCAGGCACTGGTTATTCAAAATGTGGCCTACAGTTTAGCAGCAAGTGTCTCACCTGGAAGCTTGTTAGAAGTGCAATAACTGAGGCCTTATAATAGACTTACTGAATCTGAATCAGCATGTTCACAGAGTTGCCAGATGGTTTGTGTGCATGTTACGATGTCAGATGCTCTGGATTAAGACACTGGGGAAGCTGATAGACCCTTAATGGGACTGTGACTAAGACTTGCTCTTGTTAGATTCCAGAGGTGACCAGAGACTGACTAAAATGGGCCCAAGTCTTGAGATTGACATTGACTCCAGAATGCCAAAGTACTACTACTTCACCATGAGAAATTTCATCTGTCACAAAGCCCAGAGTATTCAGTTCAACATAATTAGCATCTTCTCTTCTAATGAGGACAACTATCTGGAAAGCCAAATTACAAACAGAAGAAATTTAGAAGACCTTCCCCAAAGTCGTTAGTGAGGATAGCCAGAGGAACGTTGCTCATGTAGCCACTGAATGGAAATAACCCTTTGGCCAAGACTCTCCTCTGGAGACCGTAAATTGTGTGATGGCAAAGTTCTTTATCTGATCCCTTTTGTGTGTGTACTCCACTGTTTATCTTCTATAGAGAGCTTCATTTCTTTCTCTTTAGCTGTATACTTTTATACTCTTGTGTGAACCACAGCCTTAATACTGATAGCTGCTTGTTAAATACACTTACAATGTACTAACTGACCAGATCACCTGATTAAAAGAAATAATTATTTTTCATTATATTCTCTTAACTCAGTGCTTTTGGGGCTTGTCGTATTTCACCTAGGTGTTGGTTTTATAGTTTCAATTACATCTTTATCATTTCAACATTTTGGGGAAATTCTTCAGTGTAATTCTCAAGTATTAACAATTATTATCTTTTCTAAGATTATTAATGCTTACAAAATATTTATTTAATAACGCTTTTGAATGGATAAAGACAGAGAGAATCTCAGTAATTGGGCAAAATGAAAAGAGTGCGATTAAGTTACTTCAGATTTATTTTTATTAATCTCTCCTTTGTGCTGTTGAGTTTAGCAATGAGAAATTTTAAAGGAGATCAGAGATGGATAATTAACTATTCTCTATTTTCTTGTTTCTAAAGTTTAAAAAATATGTTCTCAGCAACCCAAATATTAATTAGATGCTAATTAATAATTTTTCCCATGAAACATTTACAAAACAAATATGCAAATCCTCATAAACCAACTTACACTCTAGTGATAATTAGGCTATCATTATATTCAGGAGAAATTCTGATGAATGCATAAGATTTTAAGAGTATGACCTAATGCTAATATGGTGAAAACTTAAATTTTTTTAATATTGTTTCTCTCTGTAGCTTATAAGAAGAAGAATACATTTGTAAGACTCATATTTAAATTAATTTTATACTTCAGTATTCCGTTTAATCTTTGAAACTATAGCCACCAGTCTGATCTAGTTTAATGGTTCTTAACAGTTTTGGTTCATGAACTCCTTTGAGAATATAATGAAAGCTGTAAATCACTCAACAATAAGAAATGTATTGTTTGTGGAAACAGAATTTTCCACACAGCATAGATTGTTCAAAGCTTCTCTAAAGTCATACATGGATTTCATATGTATAACTCTAATATATGTGGGAATTAGGAGATCAGGCATCTAATCCTAGATGAATATTAATGAGTACATGATCAATAATCTACTTTATCTCTGAATATAATTCTTGATCCATAAAATTACATAGTAGATTTTTTAAGGTACTCTTCAGCTCTGAGAAAATGGATACTAAATTTAACTCTTAAATGTAGAGATACAGTGATTACCTTCTTAAAAATATAAATGCAACAACTTAGATTTCAGATGAATATTGTCTTTCAAAGTGCTCACCCTGGGAGACCATCTGATTACTCTGGAGATATGGCAACATCACTCAACAGAGGAAACATATCTCAAAATATTATAAGAATTATCTTTTGTAGTTACCAGTGACAGAAGCTTTTTGCAATTTAGTATAGTGAAAACACTTTGCAGAAAAATTGCTGAGCAACTGTTGGGATTCTTTGAATCCCACTGAAAATTGGGAAGCGCCAAAAGACTGAGGCCGGGCAATACTACAATATTTTTTTCAATAGCGAAGGTGGTGTTACAGAATATGGACCATGAATTTGATATTCATAATTGATCAGATCCAGATTGTATTATTAAACAGATACCTTCCAACAACTATGTACTAGGAGTCAGAGAAGATTAACTTAGAACAAATTATATCAAACAAATCTCATTTCCTTTCCTGATAAGGTTACTAGCTTAATTGATCAAACTTGCATTTCAGCAAGGTGTTGGGCAGTTTTTATCATACCAACCTTGATAAAAGAATGAATAAATTTGCATAAAAGAATAATGAAGTTAGTAGATTCATAATTAGAAACAAGCATCTCCTATGGCATGTTGGGCTCAAGATGGGCCTTCTTTATTAATGGTATATGTCTATATCAATGAGTTAGATGATGCTATAGATAACAAGT
The DNA here is from genome assembly GCF_000001405.40 of Homo sapiens. Classification (NCBI taxonomy): domain Eukaryota; kingdom Metazoa; phylum Chordata; class Mammalia; order Primates; family Hominidae; genus Homo; species Homo sapiens. The sequence goes on from NC_000014.9 coordinate 29,120,442, forward strand.
TGATAGAAGAGCAAATCCAACAAATGATAGAGTTAGTACCTTTAAACACTTTAGTAGAAGGAAAATTAACTGATTTTTAACATAGTACATATATTTTTTAAAATGAACATACCATTTTCTACTTAAATCCAGACAATAAATGACAGGTATACAAATTTCAAGCATTCATTAAATATTTATTGGGTAGCAACTATATGCCAAGAGTTGTGACCCACACTGCAAAATATCTTGGTACTCCTACCGTGGGATGCAACACTTGCTATAAAATGTTGTCCCTCAGGAAGCCCACAGTTTAATGTTGGAGGCTAAGTGATAAACAGTAAGGACGCATACAATAATAAGTCAATATTAATACTATGCAGATGATACTATGAGAATAGAGAGCACAAAGGTTTAACTTTGACTTACTGAGTGAGTCAGAGAGTGCTTCACAAAGATTATGGTATTTGAGCTCTGTTCAATACAGGTTTGCCAAATGAATAAGGATTAAAGAAGGGATAGGGAAGTCTGGCAGGGAGGACATTCCAGGCAGAGGAGATGCCAGCTACAAAGAAATGGAAACACCCAAATGTCCATCAATGATAGACTGGGTTAAGAAAATGTGGCACACAGGCCAGGTGTGGTGGCTCACGCCTGTAATCCCAGCACTTTGGGAGGCCAAGGTGGGTGGATCATGAGGTCAGGAGATCGAGACCATCCTGGCTAACACGGTGAAACCCTGTCTCTACTAAAAATAAAAAAATAAAAATAAAAAAATTAGCCGGGCGTGGTGGCGGGCACCTGTAGTCCCAGCTACTCAGGAGGTTGAGGCAGGAGAATGGCGTGAACCCAGGAGGCGGAGCTTGTAGTGAGCCGAGATCGCGCCACTGCACTTCAGCCTGGGAGACACAGTGTGACACCATCTCAAAAAAAAAAAAAAAAAAAGAAAAAGAAAATGTGGCACATATAAACCATGGAATACTATGCAGCCATAAAAAAGGTTGAGTTCATGTCCTTTGTAGGGACATGGATAAGATGGAAACCATCATTCTCAGCAAACTATCGCAGAGAAAAAAACAAACATTGCTTGTTCTCACTCATAGGTGGGAATTGAACAATGAGAACACTTGGACACAGGAAGGGGAACATCACACACAGGGGCCTGTCGTGGGGTAGGAGGAGCGGGGAGGGATGGCATTGGGAGATATACCTAATGTAAATGACGAGTTGGTGGGTGCAGCACACCAACATGGCACACGTATACATATGTAACAAACCTGCACGTTGTGCACATGTACCCTAGAACTTAAAGTATAATAAAAAAAAAGTGGTGTCAGAGATAGGCTGCTGGGGACAGACAACTAAGGAAATCGGAGAATTAGAAACATTAAATCTTGACTGGGCATGGTGGCTCACACCTGTACTCCCAGCACTTTGGGAGGCCAAGGTGGGCAGATCACCTGAGGTCAGGAGTTCGAGACCAGCCTGGCCAACATGGCAAAACCACATCTCTACTAAAAATATAAAAACTAGTTGGGCGTGGTATCGGGCACCTGTAATCCCAGTTACTCGAGAGGCTGAGGCAGGAGAATCACTTGAACCCGGGAGGTGGAGGTTGCAGTGAGCCAAGATTACACCACTGCACTCCAGCCTAGGTGACAAGAGCAAAACTGTTTCCAAAAAAATAAATAAATAAGAAAAACATTAAAAAAAAAACAAAGAAATGGAAACATGCTGCATTTAGGGGAACTGCAAGGAGTTCCAAATAAATTCAAGAGAGTAAAGAAAGTGTAGGCAAGCTAGAAAGTGTAGATTAAAAAGGATTGAGTTTTTAAGTGGGGAAAGGAGTATAAGGGAATTAAATTACAGTTAATTCCTGTTCTATACAGGCATCAATTAGATGCTTTTCACTCATTGACCTCAATCCACTATAACACTGTTAATGGGGAAACCATTATTAATGGGGAATTATTCCTGTTTTGAAAAGAGAAAAATTGAAGCACAAAGATTAAATAACTTGCTAAGGCTTCGTTTGTTGAATTGAAAAGTCACTATATAGAATATAGAGGAAAGTGGCACCTTGTGTGAAAAGAGGAGAGAAAAAAATTATGAGCTTAGTTTTGGACATGCTGTTAAGATATCCAAACATTTCCAACCACCTTTGATATGTCTTGTGGGTATGTGTTTGGCATACATGATTGTGGTGGCTATTGTTTTTGGGTTGTCAAACTTCTTTGCCCTCTTCTGGTAACAGAGCTAACTTCTCTGCTTATTGGGTAAGCACACAATGAATTGAAATAATCTAAAGAGCTCATTCCCACACCCAAACATTTTCAAAATGGACATTGATCCAAGCAAACCCATTTAGTGTCTTTCCCTGCTAATTTTCCTACTAGAGCCAATAGGGAAGAGTGCCTTTTTCCTTCCCTATTATTGAAGCTATAATATCACCACCACAAATCTGCCATGTCCATGTCTGCACCACTTGGAAAAACTCAAAAAGTGAAGGTTCCTAGCATAGAGACCCCACTATAGATCCCAGAAGTCCCCAAAATTGACCTGGTTTTGACTACTATTTTTTGAGCTTTCAATGTATTTCAGTTTCTTTCCAATAAATCAATAAATTCTCTGAGTGTTAAAATTAATTTATGCTCTGCTACTGTTTCTTGCTTGTAAAGTGTCTTAACTAAACATTAAACTCTAGAGTTCCTTCCATTGTTCAAATGGAAGTTGGCTAGATGATTTCCAATGACACATTGGCTCCGTGCCTTCAGCTGCCTTTGCTCTAGGTGGTTTTGCTGTTTGTCAAATCCAAACTCAATCTCAAAGGAAGTAGTATGATACTAATCAGCTATCCTAGGAAAGAGGAGATCTTTATTTAAAAACAAACCAAACACTGGCAACATAACTGGATTAACTGTAGAGTCTCTCAGTTGACTATATTCAAAGCAGTCACATTCATTTTATATTCTCATAGATTGGTTATCTTGTTGGCTTACATTCTACTTAAAATTGAAAAATAATGAAAAAAACTATGACACATTAATTGCACTTTATGTTTTATTCTCTTTCATCACTCTTCTCTGTATGTACATTTATGTTTATAAATATTTAAACTTCAAGCAGATTTCTAGAACTCATTTGACTAAAATTAACTAGTCCTCCTTAAATCTTTTCAATTTCTTAAAAAACTATCTCTAGATTGAAACCACTTTTCTAATTTCTTCTATTTAGTTACAAACTTTTTATTCTATTATGTGTATTGAACTCTGGAACATAATTCAATTGTGCTATAACTTTAACATTGTCAATTTTATCACTCTTATTTTGATTTTTAAAATGTCCTTTTAGCTTTCACACTTCTAATCTTTATCTTAAATATGTTTTAACTTCATTATAAAACTCTTCTACCATCATGCATGACTGCTCCCTAGTGCATGACCACAGTCTTAGACACTCTCTATATTCATCCAATTCTAATTACTCTTGTTAACACTTTGTTTTCTTTGCCCTAGAGTGCATTTTGCTTACTGGACATCTTAGACATTCAGATTGCCATGCGTGTTATATCTACATATCTATTTTTATGTATGGATGGATTTTTTATTTATGGATGGATTTCATTTGAAACATTCTAGGCATTATATAAAAATACTTTTTTTTCTCACTATGACCATTAAGCCACTTCATTAACTCACACACAAGAAAATTGTTGGATAGGATTTGGTTAAAAGGGGTCAAGAGTGAGAATCAGTAAATGCACAAGGAAAAAGGGAGAACAGTGCATTCATAGGCACATTTGTAGCATAGACTTGTGCCATTTGAAATAAAAAAAAAATTCAGAGGCTGCTTACAACCTGCCCAATGAAGTCCAAACTTTTAAGCAAGATACTGAGTCATGAATATGATCTTCCCTTCCATCTTCAACTCCACTAAACCTAGTTCCAGTCAGACTTTTTTTTTTTTTTTTGTATTAGTCCCTTCTCATGCTGTTAATAAAGACACACTCAAGACTGGGTAATTTATAAAGTCAAGAGATTTAATTGACTCACAGTTCCACGTGGTTGGAGAGGTCTCACAATCATGGCAGAAGACAAAGGAGGAGAAAAGTCACATCTTTCATGGCAGCCGGCAAACAGAGCATGTGCAGGGGAACTCCCCTTTAAAAAACCATCAGATCTTGTGAGACTCATTCAGTATCACGAGAACAGCACGGGAAAGATCCGCCCCCATGATTCAAGTACCTCCCACTGGGTTTCTCCCATGATGTGGGAATTATGGGAGCTATAATTCAAGAAGAAATTTGGGTGGGGACGCAGCCAAACCATATGGCTACTAAAACACACTCTAGTTTCTTGATTATTTGTCTTTTTAATGCTGTTCCATTTTCCAGAAAATTTCATCATGCTAAACTGTCAAGAGTTTTACTTCAGATATACCTACAAGTTTATCTTTACAGTATTTTGATACTTTCCCTAGGCCCACACATGATTTTTTTTTTGCAAATTAGAGGTTGAAATGGAGAGTAAGCAAAATGAGTTAAATTTAAATGCTAATAACATTTGTTGACTTTCTTGTTGAATTAGTCACATTCTGCTTATAGTAAAAATTGGTAAATAAGCTTTTTCTCATATCATAAGGTGTATTCATTATTTTCCTTTCTTTACTTCCCAAAGATATTTAAGATTATTTACAAAAATGAATGCATTTCATTTCATCTTAGACTTATTTATTATTTTTTTCTCTAAACAAATGAGAATACTTCAGGGACCATAGTGATAAAGGCACATAATTGATCCTTCCTTTTCCATTGAAATTATCTATAGAATTTTTTTTCTTTTTTCTTTTCTTTTCTTTTTTTTTTTTTTTTTTTTTTTGAAACGGAGTCTCTCACTCTGTCACCCAGGCTGGAGTGCAATGGTACCATCTCGGCTCACTGCTGCAACCTCCGCCTCTTGGGTTCAAGTGATTCTCCTGCCTTAGCCTCCCAAGTAGCTGGGATTACAGGCATGAGCCACCAAGCCTGGCCCCACAGAATATTAAAGTAGAAGAAAATATATTACAGAGTTCGAATAGGAAAGAGTGCCAACTTCAACACAGATAATTAAAAAATTATTTCAGTGTAATCCCAACACTTTGGGAGGCCGAGGTGGGTGGTTCATGAGGTTAGGAGATCCAGACCAGCCTGGCTAACACAGTGAAACCCCGTCTCTACTAAAAATGCAAAAAATTAGCAGAGCATGGTGGCACATGTCTGTGGTCCCAGCTACTCAGAAGGCTGAGGCAGGAGAATCGCTTGAACCCAGGAGGCAGATGTTGCAGTGAGCTGAGATCGCGCCACTGCTTGCCAGCCTGGGTGACAGAGCAAGACTCCTCAAAAAAAAAAAAAAAAAAAGTCATTTCAAATCTAACAATCTAACACACATGGGTCTAGTTACAATGTGATTATTGAGAACCTTTCATATCTTCACTTTCTACAAGTTATCTAATTCATTAGGCTAAGAGTGAGGGCTGCCTTGGGAAAAATAAAATAAAATCCATCGATTAGGAGAAGCAATAATTGGGGACAATGGTAACATGCAAATTTCACCTGGATTCTTCTCTGCCCCTGCAAATATGCTCTTATGAAACCAGCAATAAACCTACCTGAGGTCACTTAGCAGCTATCTGCATTAAAAAGACAGCAAAGGGCTACTCACTTGCAGACCTCCAGCATTATATAATGCATAAAGGTAGAATTAAAAGTGAGAGCGGGCAAAGAGGCAGAAGGAGAGCACACTGTATAGGTTTTGTTTGTTTGTTTGTTTGTTGCTGTTATGTATCAGTAGCACATCAAAAGTCTTGCTCAATATCCACACATGGGTTACCTGAAGGAGAAAGCACAGAGTATGGTGAGTAGTAAAACTAAGGAGGGTGCTGTGAAAAGCCATTTGGTTTCAGAAAGGCCTTGCACTTGGTTTAACGCTTTGTTGTTCCATCTTGAAGACCATAATTATTTTATCTTGGAATTTGTAATTCGTAGGTGAAGTTCAGTGAGACAATATAATACATGAGTGAGCAGTAGCGGTATGTGCCATATGTGTGTTCATTGCCATTCCTTGCTGCATGGTCACACATAGCATTTCCAGTGTCTCATGAACTATATACAGAATTCCAGTGGTCCCATATCACATGAGAGTTTAGCAAGACTCAAAGTTAGTACAAAGTGTTTTGCATCTATGACTGAGTGAGGGCACTGGCAGCTCTGAGAAGCTGAGCTTTCCCTCAGAAACGGAATTTGGGTCAAATGAAAGAAGGCAGTGTTTTAAGAAGTAGCTCTTGACTCTTAGGGATGGATTTTGAGGAAAAAACAAGACTAAACAAAAACATGTAGCTCCCTATGTTTTCTCTCTAGGTTGTTGGACTGAAATATGCATTTTAGCTTTGTGTGTTTCTAAAATAAACATTTCTAAAATTTACAGTAAAAAAAAGCATAATCAAAGAATCCTATCATTTTCTTTCTTACTTATGTAACTTGTCTGTATTAACCAACCACTTTTAATGAAAATGATGGCATAGAAAGGGAAAGACAGGATAACCCATATCTCCTTTTCCTTTCAGCCCACCTTTATGAGTAAGCCAAAGATAGAGAATGTCGGTGGAATGCAAGCACAGCAAAACGTAAAATAAAAACATTTGAGTTGGTTTTATGCAGGTTTTGACTGTAATGGTAAGAATGAAACATACATACAAGTACTAGCTATGAACTGTGCAGTTTCAGTAATGTTGCACTAGTTAAGTGTGCTTGTATTTGTATTTAAAGCTGGCATTCATTGCACAATATGAACATGAATGGTAAACACTTGTTACCAATTTAATTTTTTAAATTTTTGTTTGCTTAGAATGGCATTAAATAGTAAATCTAAAGCAAAAAGGCTTTTCATTTTCATTTTGCATTTAGCCCTACAAATTACATATCTAGCCTTAGATGGCGGACCATGTAATCTGATTTGGGACAGTAAGATTGATGATAATGTTTGCTACGAGCCACAAGGAAAAATGGTCCTTTGCTTTCTGGTTCTAAAAGAGACTCAACTTTTCTCTCCCTGAACATGTAATATAGGAATATTGATAATATTGAAACCATATTAATGGTTAACCTTTGAATGAAGGTGACAGTATGAAGCAAATTGAAGGGCGGGAAACAAACCAGGCCCTTGATGACGTTGTTGAATCTTTGAATAAGACCAATAAATACCCATTGAATGGAAGAGTAAATAAGTCAATGAATCTTTATTTGAAACTGAGTAGGGCTTTCTGTCATTTGTTATCTCTTATATGTTCATTTATACAAGACTGAGATGAAAACAGATATATTGGATATAATTTTAAAATGGAACTAAAATATTTTGAAAATACTTTGAGGAGCTAAAATTATGTAACATACATAATCAGCAACTACCTTAAAATTGTTAAAGAAAATCTACAAGCCAGACAATACAAATCAATAATGTGAACAAACTCAACGTGCTATCTGCAGATGCAAAGAAATAAAATGATGCAAGTTTAAAACAGTAAGAGAGAGGAAAACTGATACAGAGGAAAGAGAATAGAAACCTAGTATATTTATGATGTATTTATTCAAAAGAGACCAGAACACTTAGACTCTAACAATAATCTAAAATATTCTAAACAGAAGAAAAAAAACCCTACATTATTTTTTTTAATGTGTCAAATTATAGGAAGAGTTAGTAAAATAGATTAGCATCTGAAATAAACTGGTGATATTTTATATCTCAGGAATAAAGAATTACATAAGCATCAAATCAGAAGAAAACAGATTATCTTTAATGGAAGCAAAATCCAATTAGACTCAGATTTTTTATCTTCAATAATAAATGCAAGAAAACAAGAGGAAAATGTATAGATAGTTTTGAGGGGATAGATAGGCCATGGTCCAAGATTCTTACACCCAGTCAAGTTGAGATTAGTATGTGAAGTCAACATAAACATACACTGCTATGTATAGGACTCAGAAAACTAACTATAGATTTCCTAAAAGAATTTTTAAAACTGCAATTCAGCCAGCCTGAAGATACTCAGTAACTCCAAAGGCCTCTGAGCACTAAGGCTACCCTTCCATTTAAAGCTCAAATAATTATTGTTGGAGACCTAATCCAAATAGCTTGGAAGAAAAGACAATGCTCTCCTAAATACACCTTAATATCTGAAGGATCTGTTTTATTATATTTTTCCCTATGAACTATAACTCCTGTTTCTCTACACATCTTATGCCATCTCTATACTACATCTACATACCACCCCAGATTTTTGTGGTTTGATTTATTTCAAAACCGGGATATAATCAATTTCTTTATTTCCCTTACTAAGGATGTGGTAGTATCATAAAGGAACAACAACACAAAAAGGAAAATCTAGAATGCACATAGATATCACTTCTGAAATTTCATTACCCAATTCCAACATAGGACTGGCATCCTAGGCTTGGCCCTGTGTTGCTGAGAATCTTCCCATCACAGATATTGACCTAAAATCTCTTCTCACTTTTCAAGTTTCAAGTCTCAGCCACCGTCTCACTTCTCATTTGAATCCAGGAAATCAAAATATGAATTAGCAGTGTTTTCGATACCTGAAAAAACCTATTCTTTAGTATTTGTTTATTATTCATTAGTTCCTCCAATCATAAAGCAGTTTATAATTTATTTTTCAATCTTGCCACTCAAAAGTAGCATTTTATCTCCCCCTGCCCTCTTTTGGCCTAGCTACTGTTTCAATTAATTATTTTTCCCAGGCAGTAAAAATATTCTTACCAAGTAGGTATTGATTTGAATTTAGACCTTTAAAAATCACCCCCCTACACACACATACACACACAACTTGCAGATTTCTATTTAGACCTTTCAAAAATCACACACACACACACACACACACACACACACACACAACTTGCAGGTTTCTAATGAGATTTCCTTTACTGAGCCCAGTGTTACCAGTGGAAGTCTTTGCCAGAGCTCATGTTTAAAACACATCTGCTTTTATAGTCCTCAAAGATTATATGTAACTTTAAAAAATCCCTTATTTAAAAAATTTGGAATTTAAAAAATTCCAAACCTATTTGGAATCCAAGTCTGCTTTGATAATGTGATTAAGAGGTGATATTTTCTCTTTTCCCTAATAAACTATAAAAATAAAGGCTCTTGTTTTATCTAATATAACAAATTCCAGAAAATGTAAGGTATCACAATTATTTTTGTCATTATAAATAATACTGGGATGAAGATATTTTATTTGCATTGATAATTACAGAATACAGTTTTAAGCTTGTGGTTATAGAACTGCTAGAAAAAAGGATGCATACTTTTTGCTGGAAAAATAAAAGAAGCATGATCTTTATTGGCAAAATACAGACGATATCAAGAAGCATTATAAATAGAAAACCCAAGATAAGGTACTAAAATAAAACATATCAGCTACAACAATGAAAAGACAAAGACTTTCATGGAGGGTAAAAATCTAAATCCAGCTCTGGGCCATCTCTGTTAATGGTACTATTATTTGTTAAGAGCCATAAACAAACAAAAACAACAAAAATGAAGGGAAGAAATTGTATCAATATGAGAATGGTGACCTAAATAAAAGTATCATGCTGCATCTATGTTATAAAATATGAAGCAGTTAAAAATAATTTGGTGTGTTATATAGCCTGTGCATTCACACATGGAATGCTCTTCAAGACGTATTAAGTTAAAAAGTCAAATTACAAAACAATGTGCAAGGTATAATCCCATTTATCAAAAACAAAACTGTATATTGATACGTATGAAGATATACATAGGTGGACATATAGGCAGAGTTTTGAGATGATACATTTCATTCAGATAACAGTGTTTATCTCTAAGGAAGAGACTAGAACAGCATGGGATTCAATGGCGCTTTCATTGAATGTGTATAGATCTTATGTTTTACAGTAAGAATTCATATATTATATTTAATAAATATGTAATTAACATAACTACTTTTTTTCAAATATTACATAATTTCAAATTTTTAAAATAGGAGCAACAAGGCCTATTATTGCTTAAATTGGAAGGCTCATTATTTTAAAATGCTCATTATTTTATAATTTCTTTTCCAAATTAAATTATAAATCTGTGTATTCCCAATCAACATAGTAACACTTTTTTTATGTTACATTTAGATTGTTTCTACTTTTTCACAGTTAAAAATGCCTGTAAATTACTCTCATTGACCCTTGACTCTGCAAAGACAACTTGGTATGGGTTTTTCTAACATGGAATCTGAAGCTCAAAATTAACCAAGTAGGGAATCTTTCTTTGATGTTCAAGCCATAATTTCCTGCGTGATTAAATGGAGGAGGTGATTTTTTTTTTCAAACTTACCTATTGTTAGAGATGGAGCTTTCCTCGGTATGCTGGGCAGCATCTTTACCTATACGGTACAAATTCTGTGCCTTTCACCAGTAGGTGGCTTATTTTGTTTTTAATTCCATCTTTATTGTTTTGAACAATTCAGAATGTGTATTCTGTCTTTCCACATCACTTAAAAAATCTTGTTTTTATTTAGAGGCAAAATAATAGATTTTTATCCCCCTTAGTGTTTTTTTAACGTAACGCAATAAAGTATGGGTCTCCCACTCAGTACTTCTAAGAAATATAGGCAATATATTTGAACAGAAACGGACTTGGAGAAGAAGCAGTAGCTCTTACCTTTTCATTAAGTGAGAGGTAGAATGACCGTCTGACTGATGAACTGGAAAGAATTAGCCATTCGCTGAGCCACCATATCCAGGGAATGTTCCTCTTCATTAAGCGAAGATATGGACAAGGATGTGAAGCAGCCATGTCTCTCATACATTGCTGGCAGGAATGTAAGATAGTACAGCTACTCTGGAAAAGGTTGGCAAATTCTTAGAAAGTTAAACAAATTCTTCCTATAAGACTCAGTGATCACGTTCTTGGGTATTTATCTTAGAGAGGTAAAAACTCAGGACCACACAAAAACCTGTTTACAAATGTTCATAGAAACGTTATTTGTAATAGGCAAAAAATGAAAAGAGCCCAAATATCCCTCAATGGGTAAATGGATAAACAAAGGGTGGTATATCTATATAATGAAATGCCATTTAGCAATAAAAAGGAACAAATTATTATGCACACAAAAACTTTGGTGGCTCTCAATGGCATTATACTGAGTGAAAAAAATCTTTCACATCCTCTCTACAATAATTATAAATGTGATTTATTGGTTTTAAAAATACTTTTTGTCTTCTTAAAATCAGTAAGACAAGTTTCTTTTCTGGAAAATATTAAATAGGCCTTCAATGTCATAAATTCCTTGGGAGAAATTGTCCTAGAAGTGCGAAGAAAGCCCTAAAGATTCTAAAACTGTAATTGGACATAGCAAAGCAGTACATGATTATAAATAAATTGGTAATTTCTCCATTTCATCAAACCTATACCAACAAACAAAGAAAATGGTCATTTCCCAGTGTGGCGATTTCTCAAGGATCTAGAACCAGAATACCATTTGACCCAGCAATCCCATTACTGGGTGTATACCCAAAGGAATATAAATCATTCTACTATAAAGACGCATGCAAAACATATCTTTATTGCAGTACTATTTACAATAGCAAAGACATGGAACCAACCCAAATGCCCATCAATGATAGACCGGATAAAGAAAATGTGGCACATGTATGCCATGGAATACGATGCAGCCATAAAAAAGAATGAGTTCATGTCCCTTCTTTACAGGGACATGGATGAAGCTGGAAACAATCATTCTCAACAAACTAAGATAGGAACAGAAAACCCATCACTGCATATTCTCACTCATAAGTGGGAGTTGAACAGTGAGAACACATGGACACAGGGAAGGGAACATCACACACCAGGGCCTGTCAGGGGGTTGGGGGAAAGGGGAGGGACAGCATTAGGACAAATACCTAATACATGTGGGGCTTAAAATCTAGATGATGGTTTGTTAGGAGAAGCAAACCACCATGGCACATGTATACCTATGTAACAAACCTGCACATTCAGCACATGTATCCCAGAACTTGAAGTAAAAGAATAAAAAAAAAAAAAAAGGTCATTTCCAATGTTTTCCCAAGCAGTAGATTACAAAACTAACTACATCAGCTGACTCCACCCCAGGTATTACAGTTCAGGAGGTTTGGGGTTGAGACTGGAGATCTAATTTTTTCTCTTTTTCTCTAATGATGTTTCAACTATCCATCTCTCTATTGCAATCAGTACAAATACAATCAATACAAATGACCAATCAATACTGATTTGATCATCTCACTGCCTGGCTATTTTTTTCTCTCTTGTCTTTGTTTACCTTGTGTGGTATTATTTCTCATCACTTGGAAAATTTTTAGTTATTAATTCTTTTAGGAAGCTTCTCTGGTCATGCTTTCTTTTATGGGTACTTTGTCTGTATTCACACAGAAGCCTAATATTTCCTTAATTATCATAGTATATTAAATTTTTCAGTTTACAAATGTATTTTCTCCACTAAATTGTAAACTTTATAAAGGAAGATATAATGTTATTTGAGTTCACTAATGTATTCCTAGGGCTTTTCATGATATCTGATATAACTATTTAATCATTATTTGTAAAACAAATGGACGATTTACCTAACCCACTTCACTACTCTGATTTCTCAACTGAGAAATGCAGTTGTAAAGTAATCAAAAGATATTAAAAATAGACTAGGCTATGAGAAGACAAGTAATATTTCTTCATTGCATCAAATTTGGAATGTTTAACATATGCATTCTTTCTTTAGCCCTTCCTATATGGGCTATATATGTCCCAATAAGAAAGAAAATACCAGAGTACTCATCTTAGTAATTAAAATAACTGAAATTTCCTGAGGTTAAATGATATATCTTCATTCATGTTGCCACAGTAAGAACTTGGAAAGTTGAAAGATTGACTATCATGGAAGTCAAAAATGGCTATCATCTTACATGGCAACTGCTGCTGGATGTTGTCTGAAGGCTCGGCTGGACTATTAACTAGAGGGTCTATGTGGCTGTCTCTTTACAGTATTTCATCTTGCTCCTATGTACTTTTAAAAATGAAAAGACATGAAGTCTTCGCCCATGCCTGTGTCTTGAATGGTATTGCCTAGGTTTCATTCTAGAGTTTTTATGCTTTTAGGTCTCACGTTTAAGTCTTTAACCCACCTTGAGTTAATTTTTGTACAAGGTGTAAGGAAGGGGTCCAGTTTCAATTTACTGCATATGGCTAGCCGGTTTTCCCAATACCATTTATTAAATAGGGAATCTTTTACCCATTGCTTGTATTTGTCAGGTTTGTCAAAGATCCAATGGTTGTAGATGTGTGGCATTATTTCTGAGGCCTCTGTTCTGTCTCATTGGTCAATATATCTGTTTTGGTACCAGTACCATACTGTTTTGGTTACTGTAGCCTTGTTTTATAGTTTGAAGTCAGGAAGCATGATGCCTTCAGCATTGTTATTTTTGCTTAGTATTGTCTTGGCTATATTGGCTCTTTTTTTGTTCCATATGAAATTTAAAGTAGTTTTTTCTAATTCTGTGAAGAAAGTCAATGGTAGCTTGATGGGGATAGCATTGAGTCTATAAATTACTTTGGGCAGTATTTCCACAGTGTTGATTCTTCCTATCCATGAGCATGGAATGTTTTTTCATTTGTTTGTGTCCTCTCTTATTTCCTTGAGCGGTGGTTTGTAGTTCTCTTTGAAGAGGCCCTTCACATCCCTTGTAAGTTGGATTCCTAGGTATTTTATTCTCTTTGTAGCAATTGTGAATGGGAGTTCACTCATGATTTGGCTTTCTGTCTATTATTGGTGTATAGAAATGCTTGTAATTTTTGCACATTGATTTTATATCCTGAGACTTTGCTGAAGTTGCTTGTAGTTTAAGGAGATTTTGGGCTGAGACAATGGGGTTGTCTAAATATACAATCATGTCATCTGCAAACAGAGGCAATTTGACTTTCTCTCTTCCTATTTGAATACCTTTATTTCTTTCTCTTGCCTGATTGCCCTGGCCTGATCTTCTGATACTATGTTGAATAAGAGTGGTGAGAGAGGGCATCCTTGTCTTGTGCTGGTTTTCAAAGGGAATGCTTTCCAGCTTTGCCCATTCAGTATGATATTGGCTGTGGGTTTGTCATAAATAGCTCTTATTATTTCAAGATACATTTCATCAATATCTAGTTTATTGAGAGTTTTTAGCATGAAGGGGTGTTGAATTTTATCAAAGGCTTTTTCTGCATCTATTGAGATAATCACATGGTTTTTGTCATTGGTTCTGTTTATGTGGTGGATTACATTTATTGATTTGCGTATGTTGAACCAGCCTTGCATCCCAGGGATGAATGAGCCAAACTGATCATGGTGGATAAGCTTTTTAATATGCTGCTGGATTCGGTATGCCAGTATTTTATTAAGGATTTCACATTGATTTTCACCAGGGATATTGGCCTGAAGTTTTCTTTTTTCGTTGTGTCTCTGCCAGGTTTTGGTATCAGGATGATGCTGGCCTCATAAAATGAGTTAGGGAGGAGTCCCTCTTTTCCGATAGTTTGGAATACTTTCAGAAGGAATGGTACCAGCTCCTCCTTGTACCTCTGGTAGAATTCGGCTGTGAATCTGTCTGGTCCTGCACTTTTTTTTTTTTGGTTGGTAGGCTGTTAATTACTGCCTTAATTTCAGAACTTGTTATTGATCAATTCAGGGATTTGACTTCTTCCTGGTTTAGTCTTGGGAGGGGTGTGTGTCCAGGAATTTATCCATTTTTTCTAGATTTTCTAGTTTATTTGTGTAGAGGTATTTATAGTATTCTTCCATGGTAGTTTGTATTTCTTGGGATTGATGGTTATATCCCCAAGACTTCATGACTAAAACATCAAAAGCAATGGCAACAAAAGCCAAAATTGACAAATGGGATCTAATTCAACTAAAGAGGTTCTGCACAGTAAAAGATTCTAATATCGAGTGAACAGGCAACCTCCAGAATGGGAGAAAATGTTTGTAATCTATCCATCTGACAAAGGGCTAATATCCAGAATCTACAAGGAACTCAAACAAATTTACAAGAAAAAAACAACCCCATCAATATGGGGCAAAAAATATGAACAGACACTTTTCAAAAGAAGACATTTATGCAGCCAACAAACATATGGGAAAAAAAGCTCATCATCACTGATCATTGTAGAAATGCAAACCAAAACCACAGTGAGATACCATCTCATACCAGTTAGAATGTTGATCATTAAAAAGTCAGGAAACAACAGATGCTGGAGAGGATGTGCAGAAATAGGAAAGCTTTTACACTGTTGGTGGGAGTGTAAATTAGTTCAACCATTGTGGAAAACAGTGTGGTGATTCCTCAAGGAACTAGAGCCAGAAATATCATTTGATCCAGCAATCCCATTACTGGGTATATACCCAAAGGATTATAAATCGAGTATAAAGACACATGCACACATATGTTTATTGCAGCACTATTCACAATAGCAAAGACTTGAAACTAACCCAAATGCCCATCAATGATAGACTGGATAAGAAAATGTGGGACATATACACCATGGAATACCAGGCAGCCATAAAAAGGATGAGTTAATGTCCTTTGCAGGAACATGGATGAAGCTGGAAACCATCATTCTCAGCAAACTAAGACAGGAACAAAAAACCAAACACCGCATGTTCTCACTCATAAGTAGGAGTTGAATGCAATGAGAACACATGGACACAGGGAGGGGAACATCACACACTGGGGCCTGTCGGGGCGTGGGGGGCTAGGGTAGGGATAGCATTAGAGAAATACCTAATGTAGATGACGGGTTGATGGATGCAGCAAACTACCATGGGAAGTGTATACCTATGTAACAAACCTGCACGTTCTGCACATGTGTCCCAAAGCTTGAAGTATAATAAAAAATGAAAAGACAGCCTGCTTTTATTCTAAGAATTTTATCAGTGCATAGAATAATGTACTAAAAAGAAAAGTCATCTGACTCCATGTATTCTAGACAGAAGCGTTGCGATTTATATTGCTACCAACAAATTACCCAAAATTAGCAGCTTAAAACAATGATTTCATTTTGCTTTCAATTTTATCTTAAATTCAGGAAAAACTCAGCTAGACAGTGCTTGCTTAGATTCTTGCATGCTATTTGAGCCAAATGTTCGTTGGAACTTCAGTCATCTGAAAGGCTGAACTGGCCTGGAAATAAATGGCCAACTCACATGACAGCTGACACTGGCGGTAAGCTGGAAGATCAACTGGACCGTCAACAGGAACATCTACCTGATGCTTTCCAGTATGGCAATCTCAGAGTAACTGAAATTCCAACAAGGTAGCTCAGGGATCTAAGCACAATTGCTCTAGGAACCTAGGTGAAAGCTGTATCACCTTTTCTAATCTAGCCTTGAAAGTCAAGAAGCATCATTTCTGCTACAATCTTTTAGGTATGAGCTCATCTAGCTATAATGGAAGGGGACATAGATACCATCTTTTGATGAGAAAAGTGCCAAGATAGCCTTGTAGGAAAGCATATATCATAGGAGGTATTTTTACTCACTTTGGAAAATATGACCTACCACAGACCATCATCTGGCCTCATCAAGTCACATATTTCCCACATGTCATATATGAATGAAGGCACTTTTTACTTCTTTTCCCATCTGGATGTATTTTGTTTCTTTTCTTAGGCTGAACTGGCTACAGTGAAGAGTACAATGTTGAATAGAAGTGATGAGAGTGATACACTGGCCTTGTTCCTAATTTAGGGGGAAGAGTAGTCATTTATTCATCAGGTATGATGGATGTCCACTATTAGGTGGAAGAAGTCTCTTTCTGTTCCTGGTTTGCTGAAAGATTTTGTTGCTGTTTTTTAAATCAGAAATGGATATTGATTTTGTCAAATGCTTTTTCTGATTCTCTTAAGATTATCATATAGTTTTGCTTTTTTACTATTTAATGTAGTTAACTGCATTAATTGATTTTCAAGTCACTTATATTCCTGAGATAAACCCCATTTAGTCATTTATTATCCCTTATGTATCCTGTTGGATTCCATTTGCTAAGATTTTAAATTCTTTTTATGTCTATGTTCCTGAAGAACATGGGAATGTGGCTTGCTTTCCTGTGATAAATTTCTTCATTTTTGATATTAGCATAATGTTGGCACATAGAATTAGGTTGGAAGTATTTATCTCTCTTATTTTCCAGAGGCATTTGTATAGAATGGGTATTATTTCTTCCTTCCTTGGCAGAACCCAAAAGTAAAGCCATTTGTGCCAGGCTTCTATTTTATTTATTTATTTTGAAGGTATGGATCTAGAAGATTAATTTTTAAAGATAGATATAGGGCTACTTGGGTTACATATTTCATCTTGAAGGAACTTTGTTAGTGTGTCTTTAAGGCAATCTGTTCATTCCATACAAGTTTGTAAATTTATTGGCATAAAGTTTTGTTAATAATATCCTCCTATTATTCTTTAATATCTACAGTTATATATCTTACCTTTCTCATTCTTGATATTGGTAATTTGTGGCTTTTGTCTTTCTTCCTGATTGGTTATTTTTCATGATAAATAATTTTATTGATCACCTCAGTAAAGCAACATTAGATCTCATTGATTTTCCATTGTCTTTTCTGTTTACTATTTCCTTTACTTCATCTCTTATTTTTTTAAATTTTATTTCTTCTGCTTATCTGGAGTTTAATTTCCTCTTCTTTTTCTAGTTTCAAAAAGTGAAATTTAGGTAATTGGCTTTAGACAATTCTTTTCTTCTGAGTACTGCTTTAACTGCATCCCACCAATTCTGACATGTTGTTTTCATTTTCATTTCGTTCAAAATATCTTCTAGCTTTTTCTTTGACCAATGGGTTATTTAGAAGTGCTTTATATAGTTTCCAAATATTTGGGAATTTTCTGAATATCTGTCTCTTATTGATTTCTAATTTCATAACATTATGGTCACAGAACATACTTTGTATAATCTGACTCCTCTTAAATGTATTGAGACCTACTTCATGACCCAGAATATGAACAATCTTAGTAAATGCTCCATGAGTACTTGAAAAATTCTTCTATTGTTGGGTGTAGTGTTTTATAAACACCAGTTAGTTCTGGTTGGTTGACAGCATTGTTCAAGCATTCTTTATACTTGATTTCCGTCTACTTCTTATAGCAATTGAGAGAGTTCTTAAATTCCTGATTGTAATTGTGGATTTGTCTATTTCATTTTGAATTCTGTTAAGTATGACTTCATGCATTTCAAAATTCAGTTGTTAGGTACAGAGACTATAGATTGTTATCTGAATAAATTAATCATTTTACCATTACAAAATGACTATCTTTGCCCCATTCCATATTCTGACATATGTCTTGACTAATACTAATATAGACACTTCAGCTTTACTTTGTTTAGTAGTCATATAGCATATATTTCCTATATTTCCTCTTTTTTTTTTCTACTATTTGTGTCTTTATATTTAAAGTGAGTTTTTGGACTGGTGCAGTGGCTCATGCTTATAATCCCAGCACTTTGGGAGGCAAAGCGAGGCGGATCACTTAAGTGTAGGAGTTTGAGACCAGCCTGGCCACCCGGGTGAAACCCCATCTCTAGTAAAAATACAAAAGTTAGCCGGGCATGGTGGTGCACGCCTTTAGTCCCAGCACTCAGGAGGCTAAGGCAGAAGAGTCGCTTGAACCTTGGAGGCGGAGGTTTCAGTGAGCTGAGATTGCACCACTGCACTCAAGCCTGAGTGACACAGCAATACTGTCTCAATAAATAAATACATAAATAAAGGCAAGTCTTTTGTAAGTAACTGGTAGTCGGGTCTTGTTTTTCAATCCATTCTGACAATTTTTACTTTTTACTTAGTATGTTTAAACTATACATTTAGTGTTGTTAACGATCTTCTTGGTTTAAATTTACCTTTCTACCAAGTATATTCTTTTTGTTCTCTCTCTTCTTTGTTTCCTTTTGGTTTAAAAATTATTTTATTGCTCCATTTTGTCTACTTCATTTGCTTATTAGCTACAACCCATTGCTTCATTTTTAAGTGGTGGCTTTGGTGTTTATAACATTTCATAAAAGGGTGGAATATTAGCTGGGCCTTCAAGGGTGAGGAAGATTCTGATGGCTAGACAGGATATAGACATTGTTAGCAAAAGGAATTTTATGAAAACAAAACAAAACATTTTTGTGTGTAGAACAATTTGAGAGCTAGAACGTCTTTATATAGGAGTGGTGAGAAATTCAACTTGAAAAGGCGAGCACTTGATCTGAGAACATACTTTAAAATAAACTAAGGAGGATATTTTATACTTTAACATACAGCCAGTGGAGAATCATGGAAAATAAAATGGTTAAAAGAGAACTTTCTAAAGTTTAATTTGACAGCTATTACATATTGGACTAGAGTAGAAAAAGAATAGAGGTAGAAAATTACCTTAGAATTTGAGGATTATTAAAGACCTCAAAAATTGCAGTTTAAGATTTTTCATTTAGGGATGAAGAAATTGAAGTCAAGAGAAGTCACAGAGCTTGTGTGATGTAGCTTCAGTAAAACCCAGGTCTCCTGCCTTCTAAGCTAGTGTTTCATCTGCAGCTCTGTTTTATTGTTAAAAGGCTACTGTGTCAGGCTAAGCAGGAAGTGATAAGATTCTAAAGGAGGAGATAACCATTGGACTCAAGAAAATAAACTTAAGTGTCAGAGTGCAGAATAACAGCGGCCTTAAGGGAGATATTATTTATATAAGCTAGTCACAGAAGGCCTCATTTAGGTGATATGCTTGAACAGAATTATGATGTTAGTGACAGGTGTCACGTGAAAACTAGAGGAAGAAAGTTCAAAGCGGATATACAGCAGTTCCCAATCCTTGAGACAGAAATGAGCATGAGGGCTGTGATGCCTTAGCTTGTAAGGAAAGGTAACATGGTACAAGGTGAGGTCCGTAGGCACAAGCCAGGTCATGGGGAATCTCCTGGGGCTTTGCAAGCCACATGAAGAAGCTTGCAGTTTAAGTGTAATGCAAAGTAACTGGAAGGCTTTGCTCAGGATTGTGACATGAAAGATACACTTTTTACAAAGATCACTTTTACTATCTATGGAGAACTCACTATGGAGAAACCAAGGCTGGAAAGATCAATAGTCTTTAAGATACTGAAATAACACAGCAGAAATGATCAGAACTTGGGATAGTGTGATAATAACAGAGCTGGCAAGAAGTTGTTCCAGGTATATTTTGCAATTAGCACAACTGGGTGAGTGGTATGTCATTTACTGGCATAGGCACGGTATGGATGGGAAGAAAGAATTCTGCATGGTCATGATAATTTTGAGAGGACTGTCCTTGATCTGAAACCCTTGAGACAATATGTGAATAGGAATCAGATTTTTTTCAGAATTTAGGATGGTAATATTATTCATGTAATTCATATCACATACCATCCCTAACAGAGTCTGGGACACTATGTCTTAATCCCTTCATCAAGCACATTAAAATCTGCTGCAGAAATACTCATCCTTAAATGGGATGAATTAAGATAATAAATAGCTCAAATCAGTTCAAGTCAGATTCTAACCTAAAAGAAGTTCAGGGAAAAGCTTTTTGGATTTCAGAATTACAAATAAGGGTTGTAAATTCATATTTAAACCTGTAAGAGTTTTTTGGGGGAGCAGGAAAATAATATGTGTTAAGTGTTTCTCAACGTTTTAAAAGCATAGCATGCTAAAGGAAAAATGATTGTTTTGTTGATCCCCTCCTTCCTTTGGGTGAATCTGGACAGACTATAACCCACTGGAGGCACATTGTTTAAAAAATTCTAATAAAGAGAAAGAGGTGGGCATGGTGGCTCACAGCTATAATCTCAGCACCTTAGGAATCCAAGGCAGGAGTATTGCTTGAACCCAGGAATTCAAGACTGCAGTGAGCTATGATTGCATCACTGCACTTCAGCCTAGGTGACACAGCAAGACCATGTCCCCAATAAAATGAGAGAGAAAGAGAGAGAGAGAAAGAAAGAGACTGCAAGATTTTCATCATAAATTATTAGTGGAAGACTGTTGTTACCATTTCCTGAAATAATTGCAATCTGAAGGCAGTGTTGTTGAAGAGAGGTAATGGAAACTGTAGTGTCTTCTGTTTTGACTCCTGTAGTAGTTAACAATTTATTTTCTGTGCAAAGAGCCAGATAATAAATATTGTAGAGATGCAGACCATACAGACTGCAGCAACTACTCAACTTTGCCACTGTAGTGCAAAAGCAGCCATAGACAATACCTAAGGGAATGATCATGGCTGGGTTCCAATAAAACTTTGTGGACACAGATTTGAATATCCTACAATTTTCACAGGCAAGAAAATATTAATCTTTTTTTATTTTTTTAGACACTTAAAATGTCTAACTCATTCTTAACTCAAGGCCATGCAAAAACAAGTGGTGGGTCAGATTTGGCTCATGTCAGATTTGGCTTCAGTATGTTTGCTGACTCCTGCACTGGAATGGCAAGTTAATCCCTTCATAAAAGAAATGTCCATACCCTGAGGAATGGAGGTGGTATCAGAATCAGAGGCAGAAAGATTATGAAGAGAGAAAGATAACAGAAAGGAATGAAGTCAAGTACAAGAATTTGTTGCAGGTATATATTGTTCTCCCTATAAAACAGTAACTTAGAACATTAAAATGAGGTTTCTGTAGAACCATACCTTTCTGTTGCTTCCTAGACATCTCAACCTCTGCTCTGAGAAACACTTTGTCATGAGCTCCAGGAATCTGCCGACTTACCCTGTGTGATTTGAAGACTAAATATTATAGTTAGCTTCATATTTCCTTTCAGCAGCCTCTTAGCTATCAAAATCAACTAGAGATAGTTCTAAAAGCTGTTAAGTCTTAGCTTTCAAAGTTTGAAAGGATCTTTTTATTTTTCACAGAACCTAGACCTTCAGCATCCTGATATTTTTAAGTCAGATATTAAAGTAGAATTTTCTTTTAATTTTAATTAATGTGCTTCTCTTTATATAATCCCTCAATTCTCCTATAGTCTTTTTTCCCCTGCTACTTTTTTGGAAAGGAAATCTAAGGGAGAAAAAAAAATTAGTTGAAGGAAAAAGATTTGGAGTGTTGTATCTAGCAGGTGGTAGAGAGTAAAGAGACCAAAATTACCAGAATCTTCTCTTTCTATCTTTGCCCCCCACCACGTTGTCTTACGGCAAAGTCTAACACATTAAATTGAAGATGAAATGCTTTGACCTTTAGGTATAATGGAGCAATGTATTCAGGTTTTTCAAATTAACAGCTATGCTCATGACCCTAGAGGGTTTTTAAACACTATTAAATCAATTTTTTAGAAATACTATAGAAGTATTTAAAATTTGGTGTGTGCTGTGTGATATTTCTGGTTCTCTTTCACACTTAAAACTCTCGTTGAGAATAAAACAGTTTTCTGCATTAAACTGTAACATGATTTGGCATTTATATATCCTGTAGGAGAGAGTGAAACACTACCTGTTTTAAATTGTGATTTCTAGGAGGGTTTCTGGATTTAGTAAAACCTCAGATACCAAAAAATAAATAAATAAATAAGGATTTTGAAATTGCTTTGCCAAGGCTAAGATTCATATGTCTATTTTTACTCAACACCAAATAAAGGTAGCATTTCTAATCCAAGAACTTCTCTCTGCTGTCTTCCATCACGCTGACATTTTCCACAGGCATTTCTCATGTTTTTTATTTCTTTTTTTCCTTAATAGGATAAGGACATTTCTTTTGCAAAGAAAGTATTTAAAATGCTAAATTATGGTTAATTTTTGCTATCCTGCAAGTTGTCAAAGGTGCATTGACTATTTTCAAAGCTTTGTTTTACTTGTCACCTTTGATTAAGAATATAAATAAAGTAAATGACGAGTTGATGAGTGCAGCAAACCAACATGGCACATGTATACCTATGTAACAAACCTGCAAATTGTGCACACGTACCCTAGAACTTAAAGTATAATAATAAAAAAAGAATATAAATAATCTAAATAAAACCTCAAGAATGAAAATTTCGATAATATTTGTGTTATTGCAGAATGAAGCAGAGCTCCACATGCAACATAAAATAGAAATTTCCAGCACTGTAAGAGATTTTCATTGCCCTTTCTATGTAGTTGGATTAAGAATAGTTTAGTCAAAAGGTTTACTTTTCCCATGGCTATAATATGGTGAGGGATAGTATGATTTCTCTAAGTGCTAAGTTTAATTATTTCATGATATTTTATACATGGTAATTCAACTCCAAATTAAAGTAACTCATCTCATTGTGTATTCAACCACATGAGGTCAAATTATATCTTTCACGATTATTTTGCAGGCATAGGTTTTTGCTTTCAAAGATAATTTACTTAGTTTCAAAACATAAAACAATCTTCCAGGTACATGATTACTATGAAAACAAGGTTTCAAAATATTTGATTTCAGAAGTTCAAGAAGGCAAAAAGGATTTATTTTTGCTTTATATTTGTTTTGTTTTTCCCCAAATTATGCCAAAAACATTTTCTGATATTTCAATAAATGTCATTTCTGATATTTCATATATTCCAGTAACATGTGTGGCCCACCAACCTTTACCCTACTTTTTTCTCATGAAACAAAAGCAAGAGGAATTCTTACTTCATGCGTAACATATACTTTACCCTGTGAAAATCTCAACTGAAGGATGATGCTAAAGCTAATAGCTTTGAAAGTTTAGGAGAAAATGATTAGAAACTGATATGAGCAAAACTAACAATATGTGGCTAATAAATTAGGATAAAATAACCAGATATATCCATGCTTATTCTGCAGAACATAATCTCCTAACATTTGCGAAAACACCCAAGCCTTATTCTGGGATTACATGACATGCCTGCATTTTACCACTAGTTTATAAAGGGCTGTTGGTTCTATCATTTTCCCAGTATGACTAATTTTTTAAGTCTTGATAACTGGTCTATTATTTCTACATATCCCACCATAACCCTAAAAGGAAACATAGAGGTAAAGGTTACAAAAATGTTTTATCTGCCACACCATGAAATCTGTCCTACTTGCAAGTGAAAAGTCTCCTGTAGAACCCTTTCTTGCCATCAAGAATCCAAATTAGCAACAGCTTGCAATGATAATCAGTTCATTTCAGTGTACTCAAAATGGGCTCATTATTATTAATTTTTGCCAACTCCCAAGCAATTCATGAACCATTTTTAGATTTTCAAAAAGCAGTTCATGAATCAGACAAAAAAAATTTAAAAGGAACCCATCCCACAATGAGATGATGACTCAGAGTCCTTTGCTGTAGCTGTGTCAACTGCCGAGCATCTGAAATCTGATGAGGATGGGGTTGATGGAGAAAAGGCCATGATGAGCATGAAACAATGTGTTGAATTTACATGTTAAAACTTCTTGTTGGTTTTGGCAATTTTGCTGAAGATTATTGAGAAATCCATAACATCTGGATGTGGGGGAGAAGCTCCACTAAAATGATGAAGTTTATATTGGTCGACAAGACTATAAATGGAAAAGAAAGTAGTTTCTTAACACAGCTGTTTCCAATTTTGTTAACATTTTAGTCCAAATTCATTTGAAAAAAAAAAAAGAAATAACATAAAACTCTTATGTTTGAGATATACTCTACAAGTCTGACTTGATGTACACATGCTGAAGACATTCTTGACTCAAACTAGCATATCTAGAGAATGGACAAATGAGCCCTTAGTCCTAAATCTAGGCCCTATCTGTCTTGGAAATGCACACCAGTGTAAGGCATTTAGCCATGGAATCTGGATTTCAAAGTCAAGTAATCCTTTTAGGTTAATTTGTTTTTAAGTGAAATAAAACCATCAGACTCCTGGCACTGTCTTATGTTGCAGTACATGTCATATCTCTCGTGCCTTAGAAAACGATATAATTTAATGGGTAGTTCATTGATTCAACCTCAAAGGAACTAAATTCTCTCTGTTCTTTCACTGACTTGGTGACTTTATATTCATCTATTCTTTCTGTGCTTTATTTTTTCCTTCTGCAAGGTGGGCAATATGCAATAAGACTTAAGAAAATATATGCAAACATGTTTCCTTGTGCTCTTGAAGGAACACTGAATAAATCAGATACGTTAATATACCTATATTTGCGTATATACGTACACATGTACAGATATGCATATACATACACATACAAACATACAGATAGATGTATGTATTTATTTCCATCAATGTCATTTTGGCTTCAAATTTCCCATTTTTCTGTTATTAGTCTTCTTATATCTTTTTAAAAAATATTTTACCAGGAAAAGTGGCAAACAGTTGAAAATTCCCTATTCTATTTTTTTGCCTCCTCTTTCCTTCTTTTCCTTTCCTTTTCCTTTTCTTCTGTTGCAGCCCTCAATTTTTTTCTGTTTTCCTGCACAAAGAACAAAAGTGAAATAAGAACCTCAGAGATAATAGGCTCCACTCTTGTTTTCCTTTTATGGATCTCTGAAGTCATTATGCAGCTGAGTAAAGTGGGAACAGCATCTTTATAAAATGTTCTGTTAGCTTGCTGATGCTTTTTGGCTAAAGATGACTCTTAAATATTGATGACAACTACAAGTTACTTTCAATGCTTTTATTTTCAGAATTCAAGATTTGGTAAAGGCATGAGCATACTGATATCAGATAGATTGGTTAGCTCTCTTTGACGTAAGTCAAGCCTGGGACAGCAAGATGTTTTAAAGATCATCAACAATATGATCAATATAGATTGCCAAAATCAATTCTGGAGTCTGACTCTGCCTGCTGTGAGCAGTTGTCATAATGTTCTTTGAGAAAATTGGCAAGAAATGATGAGGATTCTGTCAACAGACATCCATCAATAGAAAATAATCCCCCTGCAGACATATTACACTCCTTTTGCCTTTTCTTTGCAAATAAGTCATAAATAAGGAAATCCTGGTTAAACCTTTGTGATTAACTGACTTAATATAATAACTTAACTAAGATATTTCTTTGTTTTGAATAAAGATATTAAATGAAAGTTTGCATTTCTCAATTTATAAAGTACTTCAGACTTCAGAAATAGTACCAGTACCCACCACATGAAATTTATTCAACACCTCCAGAAGTGATTTTCAAACTTGGTCGTCTCTTTTCCATAGTTACAAAATTTCATACTTGGAGAGCTTATCAATGGGCTTTGGTGAGGGTCATTTTTTATTTCACAGGTTTCCACTTTGAGGAAGCTGGGTATTTGTTTGACTATACCATTTTTGGCTTTACAGTTTTCCACATAGGACCCAAAGATGCTGAGAATCCATGGATTCTATGGATGATTTTCATGACGTCTATGAAATTTTAAAAATTGAGTAAGATTATTTCTGTATGTGGACACGTTTATATTGTTGATGGAGACAGGAATTCTAACAATTGTCTGATTTACCAAGAAGTCTACGATTTTTTTTTAAAGGAACAATGGAGGAAGGAAAGAAGGAAAAATTGACCTGTAAATAATTTGTAAAAACTGGTTAACTTAACCCTACCTAGATATTCACTTATTTTAAAAGTAAATACTTATTAAGTGCCTATGATGTGCCATCAATGAAATATAACAATAACAAAAAAGCACCACCCTTTAAAATCTTACATTCAAGTGACAGGAGAAAGATAATAAAGCATGTTAAGTGTTAGCTGATACAGACCTAACTCATAACTCTCCAATAACTTTATTCACTTTGCAATTATGGTCTTACAAAACAGTTTTATAAACTTGCTATCCACAGAAAAACGCTTTCAATTTTTCAAATATCTTCTAATATCCTGTAACATTTCTATAACCATAGGATCAATGCCTCGTTTTAAAGCATGACCCCTTATCCTGGGTACCGTTGACATTAGAGCCAGACAATTGTTTGTTATTAGTAGCTGTCCTGAGCATCTGTTTAGCAGCACCTCTGGCCTCTACCCACTAGAAGACAGTAGTGCCTACCCCAACCCAAGTTGTGACAACCAAATATGTCTCCAGAAATTGCCAAATGTCTCCTGGGTTACAAAATTCTCCCAGTTGAGAAGCACTATTCTGAAGGCTGCATCTGTTAGTAGTTCAGTGGTAATGTGGGTGGTGATGAATCCATGTTTTTATTGTTATAAGGCAGAAATCCACATTGTCCCAAAGATAATTGAATCTTGATAGTCAAATTTGAAATTCACCAGTCTACAAGATATCTGCTAAAGAAACCATACCTTGTCCTAGAAGGGAGATTTTTACTCTTCTTCTTCTCTCTTTTCCCTTTTATTTCTTGTTTGCTCACTTATCTTTTGTTTTAATTTCACATCTAGGCTAATAGACAGGGCCAATTCGTAGACATTCTCTTACACAAATTTTGGTTTGAAATAATAAAATCTAGCTATGAAAAATGTAACTAATATTGGAGATATTTACCTAAAGGAAAGATGTGTAAGTAGAATCTAGAAATGCAAGAATAATAGCTTTAAAAAACTTAAAGAACTAAAGATGGATATAGATTTGTTGATATTTTTAATGCATTGAAAATCAAAATTCATAGTTATTTCAGAAATTCTGAATTTGGCAGTATTGGCCTCTTTTTACTCTGTTACTCTTATCCCTATAATAGTAACACCTCAAGTTCAGTTCCATTTAAAAGAGATGGAATATTAAAATAAGCGGAGGAAAATGAAGACAGCCAATTTAATTAGGAAGTTTAAAGGCAAGAAACAAAAGGAAGGAAGGCAAACAGGGCAGAAGATGAGAAAAAGAGGATGCAAAATGGAAATAAAGTAGTTGAGAAGATTTCTGAAACATATGGCATATGTTTATTTTGATGATTTTATCCTGGGTTTGCATTCTCTGTTAATCACACTTTCCACTCTTTAGTTCTCCTTCAGTTCTGCTGCCTACCTAACCTCTGAATGTATTGTAGAATTCTTGTGCAAGTTTCGTATTTGTTATCTTACTTATGTGCATAGCAACTTCCTGCTCAAGTCAAGTTTTCCATTTGTAGCTGGGTATTATGTGGCAGAGGGTGGACCAAATAAGCAAATAATTCTCTGAGATTCCCTGATGGTGTCTCCTATTTCTGAGCCTTCTATACAGAACCCATGCTATGGGGAAGGTAAAGGGACGTAAAGTCTGAGGTGAAAATTTTGTTATAATACTTCTCTCTGTTTTAGTTAATATTCTGAATAACCTAATTTAAGGTCTCAAAGAACTCTGGACTTGGAATCAAAATGCTTGGTCCTTAAATTCTATTTCTTGGAATCTACACTAAAAATAAGAAAAATAAAACAAGTCCTATGAATAAAGACAACCAAAGCAATATTATTTATAAAGGAACAGAATTGGAAGAAACCTACATTTTCAATCATAAGGAAATGGATAATCAAATGATGGTAGACATATACCATGCAGCCATTAAAAATACTGGTAGTCACATCTAAAATTAAGTAACACAATTTTAATAGAACAAAGCAAGATATGTTATACCACAGTATAATAAAAAGTATATAAATAAAAGCATTTATTTAAAATGAAATTACAAGTTTGATGGCAACACTTTTGCTAGGTAACGTTACTGTGGGTACCACTTACCCTTTCAACTTTCCTATATTTTCAAGATTTTTAAAATAAAAGCAAAGCAAAATAAAAGTAACTAAATAAAAGATTAATGACCAGCAAAGAAAAATAATTCTGAGTTTACAAAACACTAACTGCAGGAAAAAGTGTGTAAGACCTATTAGAAACTTTTACAATTGAGCTGGATGAAGGAGGGAGAACAAAAGTTGTGTAGAAATAAAAGTTGTGTAGAAACAAAAATATGTACAAATATTTAAAATGCAGTTAATGGGTTCTGAGAAGGATAATGAGTTAGTTGGGAAGAAAGATAAAAACAAGTGTGTTTTTCAGAGGAAAAAAATTATTTTTTACCCAAACACATTTCTACATTATTCAAATTTAATGTTCTACTACCAGATATTGAATACTTTATTATCTGGGCAGACAGAGAAGAGGATAAAAGGGTTTTATTTTTCTTTGCTTCCTTCACTCCGTTTGGCTATTGCTGTTGACCTCACGTCTGGAGAGATTCACACTTCAAGAAAGATATTAAGATTTCATAAATGAAATTAAATAAATACATATTCATAAAATTTAGAGAATTATCTGCCACAGAATAAGTGTTATTCAAACCTTTGTTATATAAATACTCTACTTTTGAGTAGCCTAACAGATTGCATAAACCATCCTTAAAAATCAACTCCTTAGGACTAAGTACCAGAAAGTAATTTGTAAATATTATACTTTGCCTAATGCTTTACAACAATCACAAAATTAAAAGGATACACAGCAAATTACTTTTAAAATTTTTCTTTCATTAGACTCAGAAAAATGAAAATGGGTATATTCCAATTTGCATTTTTTAAGATGAACAGGCACACTATCTTTAAAGCTACTGTAAATTACCAGCTTAATAATGACAAAGAATGTGTATAGCTATTTATTCTTGTGTTCAGTAAAAAAAATATAGTAACCATGGCAACTACCAAATCTCATAGTATGTATGCTACCTCTATGATCACTTTTTATAATAAAGACATGAGTAATATATCATCTAGGTTCTGGTATTAAATGTGTTGAAATGCCTTCAAACATACCCATTGCTGATATACATATTTACCATGTTTAATTCCCTTAGCTCTGACATCAACTATACCTTCAATTTTAACATTTTTGCATTTTAGCTATAGTCTGAATATATAACCATGTGTATTAAATCTGAAAATTGTAAAATTAGAATCAACATCCCAAATTTCTCAATGACTGACAATTGACTTTCCCTGAGCTCTACAGAAATACATAAGACGTAATTTTTCCTTAAAGAATGTGAAATTGAGTTCCAATTTTTTGTAAAAATTTTTTTCTATTAGAAAACATACTGTTTATACTTTCATAAATTAAAAATAAACAAGTTTGTATTAGAAGTTGATCAATATAATGTTTTCAAGTATTTTATGCTCCTGTTATATTTAATGCAAGTTCCATTTATGAGACACCTTAAGCAATAGAGAAGTGCAACATTTGTTCACAGGTTTTATTTAGACAAAATGGTATGCACCCCTCTGGTGAACCTAAGCCTTAGAAAGTCTTGGGAATAGAAACCCATGTCCCACCAGTTTATTTAGCTGGAGCTTAGAAGGAGAATTGATTGATGTTTTGTCATGTTGAGGGGTGAAGCCGGCTGCACTTCTGGGTCAGGTGGGGACTTGGAGAACTTTTCCGTCTAGCTGAAGGATTGTAAACGCACCAATCAACGCTCTGTGTCTAGCTAAATGTTTGTAAATACACCAATCAGCACTCTGTAAAAACGCACCAATCAGCGTTCTGTAAAATGGACCAATCAGCACTCTGTAAAATGGACCAATCAGCAGAACGTGGGCAGGGCCAAATAAGGGAATAAAAGCTGGCCACCAGAGACAGCAGCAGTAATCCACTGGGGTACGCTTCCGCGCTGTGGAGAGTATGTTCTTTTGCTCTTCACAGTAAATCTTGCTAATGCTCACTTTTTGGGTCCACACTACTTTTATGAACTGTAACACTCACTGCGAAGGTCTTTAGCTTAACTCCTGAAGCCAGCAAGACCACGAATCCTCTGGGAGGCATGAACAACTCCTGACCCGCCACCTTAAAGAGCTGTAACACTCACTGTGAAGGTCTGCGGCTTCACTCCTGAAGTCAGCGAGACCACGAACGCACCAGAAGGAAGAAACTCCCCACACATGTGAACATCTGAAGGAACAAACTCCCGACACTCCATCTTCAAGAACTGTAACACTCACCGTGAGGGTCTGCAGCTTCATTCTTGAAGTCAGCAAGACCAAGAACCCACCAGAAGAAACCAATTCCGGCCACAGTGTCTCCTTGGCTTACTGTGGAAAAACTCAAGGGGAGATTATTCTCTGAAAAATCTTACCAGGTATGTAAGAAGGCTTGGACCCCCAGGTTGCTCATAGGACCCTTTTAATAAGAATGTAACTTAACTGAATTATGGTTAACTTCCTCTCTTCCCCAAACAGGAACTACAATGAAGAAAATTTAAAAAATTTCACAAATTATTAAATAATTTTAATCATCATAGATGCCCAGTGGTTTTGAATTGGGCAACTTTTTTGTTTGATTTTTTTGACTTTTCTATGAAAAAGGAAGAGCTTTATAACATTTAATTTTTAATGAAACTATGTAAGTTACTGTTATAACAATTTAATGGCATATTTAAATGAATCATGTATACCCTTCATTATTGCAAAACCAAGGTCAGGAATCAGTAAGAATAAGAAAATATTGCTGGGTGTGGTGGCTCACGCCTGTAATCCCAGAACTTTGGGAGGCTGTTGTGGGCAGATCATGAGGTCAGGAGATCAAGACCATCCTGGCTATCATGGTGAAACCCCGTCAGTACTAAAAATACAAAAAAAAAAAAAATTAGCCAGGTGTGGTGGTGGGTGCCCATAGTCCCAGTTACTTGGGAGGTTGAGGCAGGAGAATGGCATGAACCCAGGAGACAGAGTTTGCAGCGAGCCAAGATTGCGCCACTGCACTCCAGCCTGGGCGACAGAGCTAGACTCTGTCTCAAAAAAAAAAAAAAGAAAAGAAAAAATAAAATATTTATTATGTCAAACTTTCCAGGTGCCTTCAATGCCAATTTACTATAATGCCTGTTTACTCACTGCCCTTGGAAAAAGGGTCCCTTTTATTTCACTAAATGCAGTGTGTGTGTGTGTGTGTGTGTGTGTGAAGAGACAGAAATTTAAGTGTCACCTTCAAGAACTTACAAAATTTGCAACATTCTGTATTTAACCATTGTTTTCTTTTACAAATACAAAAATTGTAGGGCAAAAGAAAACTGACATCAAAAGTATAGAAAGCCCTTCTTCTCTGGCACCCTTTTTTCCTCCAGAAATTCCATAAATTTATTTATTCAATCTACCTAATAATTTGGAGTTTGCCTAGTGCTTTCATAGACATAATTCCATGTGATGTTTACCATACTGGTAGGGTTCATATTATTTGTTTTTTATTTCTGTTTTCCAAGATTTAAAGAGGTTATAGTAAGGAGAGCAAGAGGATAAGAACTAGAAATGGTGTACAAGGATTGCAGGGGAAGTAATAAGAAAGAAGAAAGGTGAATGAAATGAGACAGAAAAATAGTCCACAAACTTTAAACAAGTGGGCAGAGACCAACAGTTGACAGTTACGAGGCATGATAGTCGTGTTTGTGCAAGAGGAAGGAGAGAACGAAACTGGGTGTATAGTGGACTTGAGGATGGGAGAACCTAGAAACAGCCATCGAGTCTTCAGTGGGAAGCAGGCGGAGAAGAGCAGCTGAGAACAGGAGGGATGTGTGCTTCCCAGTACCAGGTGAAGCAGGGGCTGGTGGTAAGTGGGTGTACAAGGCTGAGGCAGGACAGCATCTGTGAATTATCAAACTGACCCTTCAAGCTTCCATTTCAGAACCAGGTACCACACAGGAGAGAAATTTAAGAGATGGAATAAAAAATGAGGAGGAATAGGGGCAAGAGGTACAGATGAGGAAAGGGAAGGTCCAGAACTGTGATGCCAGTAAAGTAGCCAGTAGCACCAAGTCACTACTGAGCACTTCAGTTGACACTTGTCTGAATTGAGATGTGCTGTAAGTATAAAATACACATCATATATGAAAGACTTAGAATAAAAAATGCAAAGTATCTTATTAATATTTTTAAAATACTTGATTACGTGTTAAAATGATGGTATTTTGAATATACTGGATTATATAAAATATATTAATTTCATCTTTTTCCATTTTTTTCAATGTGACTATTAAAAATTTTAAACAACATATGTGCCTTATATTTTTGGATCTTATTATATTTCTGTTGGACAAATTGGTCTAAATCAGAGAGGTAAGCAAACTATAGCTTGTGGGCCAAATCCAACCTGTTGTTTTTTTTTTAAATAATGTCTATTAGAACATAACCATTCTAATTCGTTTAAGTGTCTCCTGTGGCTGTAAAAGGGCAGAGTTGAGTATTTGTGTCAGAGACTGTATGGTTTGTAAAGCCTAAATTATTTACTATATGGCCTTTTACAGAAAGTTTGCCGACCTCTGGTATAAACAAGTGGAGGAAGAAAACAGCCAGAAAATCTCAAAAAGTAAGCCAACCGGCCAGGTGCGGTGGCTCACACCTGTAATCCCAGCACTTTGGGAGGCCGAGGCGGGCGGATCACCAGGTCAGGAGATCGAGACGATCCTGGCTAACATGATGAAACCCCGTCTCTACTAAAAATACAAAAAAATTAGCCGAGCGTGGTGGCGGGCGCCTGTAGTCCCAACTACTGGGGAGGCTGAGGCAGGAGAATGGCGTGAACCCGGGAGGTGGAGCTTGCAGTGAGTCGAGATCGAGCCACTGCACTTCAGCCTGGGCGACTGGGCAAGACTCTGTCTCAAAAAAAATAAAAAAATAAAAAGTAAGCCAACCTATTTCCAAATACTATACAAAAACAGTAAAAAAGAAAGCTCTTGGAAATTAGAAAAACTTCCCTAAACCCCACTTCACTTTAGAAGTTTGGCAAAATTAATTTCATGTAATTTGTAACATATAAAAATCTAGGTCAAATCCCATACAAAATTATTATATAAAGAAAGATAATAAAGAGCAGAAAAATAACCCGCATCAAAAAGACAAAGTCACAAAACAGAATCAACCTGAAACTAATATTTGAAAATGAACTAAAAGACAAAGAAAATGATCTAATAAATGCAAAGACATAAATCAGTATTAGAAATGTTCAGAAATGTATGAATGAACTCCAGAAATAATTGGAAGTAAAACAAAAAATCACTTTTAAAATAAAGATGGAACTAGGAAGAACACAGAATAATTAAATGCAACTGATAGTGTGTCTTAAAAACATAGAAGGTGAAAAATGAAAAAAATTAAATAGAAATAAAAGAAATAATCAAGGGACAGTAATAAATATTGAAGAGGTGAAAACGCACAAAAAATTTATAAGGTAACTCTTGTATAATCTGACAATCTCAAGTCTAAGCTGCGGGCTTATAAAACAAATTGGGAACAAATATTCTTGAGGTCATTTGACTAGTGAAGACCTGAGATTAAAATTCCCCACTCTCTTTCTGAATGCTCATACATATACAGGCTAATGTAATAGAAATGGGCCTTTTGAAAGAACTCAAGACTATTGGAGCACACGCAGCCTTTTAACACAAAAAGTACTGTGGAATCTAAAAATGTCAAACTCATAGAAACAGTGAGTAGAATGGTGGATACCAGAGGCTGGGAAGTAGGGGAATAGGGAGATGCTGTTTAAAGGGTACAAAGTTTCAGTTAGACAGGAAGAACATATTTTTGAGACGTATGGCACAGTGTGGTGCCTATAATTAACAGTAATGTATTGTATATTTAAATATTGCTAAGAGAGTATATTTCAAATGATAAATGGGGTGATTGATACGTTAATTAGCTTAATTTAATCATTCTACATTGTACACATATATCAAAACATAACATTGCACCCTATAAATATGTACGATTATAATTTATCAGTTAAATATATATACATATATATATTAGTAATAAGATACCAAAAATAGGCATGAAGGAAAGTCTTTGCAGTGCAAAGATTGGCTTGTCTTAGTAAGTTAAGGACAAACTATCATGAGTGCCTCATTTTTCCTCTTCTACTTTCAGAATACAAAGCACTCCACTTGTTATTTAGCAGGAGAGTATAGCAGAGCATAAAATTTTTCATGCCACAAACCAGGAAAGGAAGTGGAACTTAGGATAAGGGATAGTGAAAGTGTCTAACAGTTTCAAAGTGTTCTAAGGAAGGGGAAGAAGGAAGAGAAGAAAACAAGAGAAAAGTCCCAAAGGACACACTTAGGGAGAACGCAAGAGTTCAGAGAGAACTGTCCCATTCTCCATGGCTTGAGGCACAGGGCTAAATTTAATAAAGTAAATATTCTACGATGACCTTCCATACCTTTCTGGTATCTACTAATGAAGTCTTTATTAGAATAAAATCTAATGAAGAATGATGAAAACTTCTTTTGGGCTCTTTGGGTATGCTTGACCAACTAAGTGAGAATGCATTTTTTTTTTTTTTTGCAGGTAGTGTCGAAGAACACTAATAATATCCCCTGTAGTCATTCCTTATTCTTAGTAATAAAATACGTT
Organism: Homo sapiens; assembly: GCF_000001405.40. Taxonomy (NCBI): domain Eukaryota; kingdom Metazoa; phylum Chordata; class Mammalia; order Primates; family Hominidae; genus Homo; species Homo sapiens. Next base: position 29,155,701 of record NC_000014.9, read on the forward strand.
TTAACATAAATTAAGTTTTAACAGGGCACATTGCTGTCCAGGATAAGATGATACTTCCCTGCCTCCTTTGCAGCAAGCAATGGCCATGTGACTAAGTTCTGCCCCATGAGATGTGAGCAAAGAAACGTGTGACTTCTTAGCTATGCCTTTAAAAGAAGCTTCTTGCCCCCCACTTTATATTTCATCCTTGCTACAGACTTGGGCACAGAGCAGGTAGGACTTAAGAAAGTGACAGGGAAGTAATATAAATGATCTGTGGAGTCATTCTACTTCACTCGGCCACCTGCCAGGTCAAAGTTTTCAGTGAGGGATTAATAATATTCTCTTTTGTAAAAGCCACTATTATTTTGGCCTCTATTGAAACTGCTGAACACATATTCTAGCTCATATACTGCTGATCTTTATATGATTAAGGCCTAGCACTTGGGCTATAAGAGATTATTGGATGGTAGCAGGAGCCAGTTACCCCCAATTCAAACTACACTGCAGCACTGAACCAAATGGCACCTCAGCATGGCAGCCACCTCTTAGCAGAAGAGTGGGGAAGAATGAAATTTGACTCAGCACCAGTAATAAGGGTGCATGAAATAAGCTGACATTGGGAAAAAGACATGATAGAGAAAGTTGTGATCCTTGAACTGTTTGGACCTGATTGGCATCTATGGTATAGAAACAGATGATTTAATTGAAGAGTAGGTGGTATGCTAAGTGAAGCTGAGATCAAAGGGCATTTTCAAACCCCATGATTAAAATAGAACTCCTCTGCCTCTGTCCAGCAGTATTCAAGAGGAGGTGGGCCCTCTGTCTTTGGGAGAGAGACATGTAGTTGGACTTGAAGGCATGGTAAGAATTTGTCTCATCTCATAAAATTGGGCTCACATGGGGTTAGAGGGTGCTGTTTTTGTGAGTAGCATCGGCTTAGACACTCATGTTGTCTTTACAATTGTAAGTCATGGAAAAGGAGCAGCACCTTATTATGAGAGGACCTGAAGGTTGTTATAGGGAGTAAGTATAGTAGACTAGCTTTTTCTTACAGTTCGCACCCCCGTCTCTTCCCTGGAGCCTGGTGCCTTCTCAAGCTAGAGTTTGGGAAGAAAGACTTTTGAACTATATCTCAAAGCAGAAAAAAATAGATATTTTCCTGCAATAATTCAGTATAGGAGATATACTAGTAGGAGATCCAATCAAAAATGTGAAAGATATGATTGTCAAATATTGCAAATTGATGCTATAGTGCTATAAAGACTGCAAAGACCTCTGTTTAACTCTTCATGTGTCATTCTCCAGTCCCTATCCAGTAGTGGAAACTGACAGAGCATATACTGACTGCCAGTCAGGCTTAGGTCCATACTCAAAGGATGGCAAAAGACAATGGCAGATGGAAAGAGGGGCAAGGAGAGAACAAGAAGAAGGACTGTGGTACTGGGTTGAAATTATTTGATGTATTTTCAGACTATCTTGATGGTTCTCTTTTGAATGCAATCTCATTTTTAATGTTTCTTAAAAATGTAACATTTGTAATTGAATACAAAACTTGAACTCTGAACAGTACAGAACACAGCACACTATCAATTCTTATAATCTTGACACTATACTTTTAATAGAATATTACAATGTTAGAGTCAGAAAATATTTTAGGGACAATAAAACATCCAATTCAACCCTTACTCTTGCAACCCTCGTTTTACAGGCTAATATATGGAGAGCCAGAGTCAAGCAACTTGCACAAAGGCTGGTATCTATGTAACAATAGAGTGGGAATAAGAATTCAAGTCCCCAAATTATGTAACAGTTGCCTTAATTAATGCTAAGATCATGTTTATTTCTTCCAAAATTGTAGGACTTATATATAGCTTAAGATTGACTAAAACACCTTTTTAAATTTCATTTAGCCAATGACCCATAAAGTCAATACCTAACAGTAGTTACTTGGCAAATGGTGGTACAATTGAAAGTGTACCCTCTCTAATGGAAAGACATAAATCAGTATTAGAAATGCTCAGAAATGTATGAATGAACTCCAAACATAATTAGACATAAAAGAAAAAAATTGCCCTTAAAATAAAGACTAAACTAGAAAGAACACAAAAATAATTAAATAAAACTGATAGTGTGCCTTAAAAGACATAGAAGGTGAAAAAGTTTAAAAACTTCAAAAATAGAAAATAGGAAAGATTCAAGAGACAGTACCACCATTTTCAATTGTACCACCATTTGCCAAGTAACTGCTGTTAGATATTGGCTTTATGTTTATTTAAATAAAAACTGTACTTTTAGAGTAAAAAACACACAATTATAACAAGTACTGACTCTGACTTCATAAAACTTTACAAATGCTTTTATACTGTAAAGTAACGCTTGCAATAGATATATGTATGTATGTATGTATGTATTTTGTATGTATTTTGTATTTATTTATTTATTTTTTTGAGATGGAGTCTTGCTCTGTCACCCAGGCTGGAGTGCAGTGGCGCGATCTCGTCTCACTGCAAGCTCCACCTCCCAGGTTCACGCCATTTTCCTGCCTCAGCCTCCTGAGTAGCTGGGACTACAGGCACCCACCACCACACCCGGCTAATTTTTTGTATTTTTAGTAGAGACGGGGTTTCACTGTATTAGCCAGGATGGTCTCGATCTCCTGACCTCATGATCCACCCGCCTCGGCCACCCAAAGTGCTGTGATTACAGGTGTGAGCCACTGTGCCCAGCCGATATATGTATTTATATTCATAAGTTAGTCAGGGACTGAACAGCATTGTATTTGCTGACATTCCTGTGACAGCAAAGGTGTCTCTATCACTATCTAGAACTTTAGAATAAACATCTAGGTCCAAATCTATCCTTACCTATTTATATGCATGTATAACATTTTAAACTCATGCTCTCCAGTTGATAGGGGACATTCACATATATCAAACCAATCCTCATTAAAACTTGTATCATTAGCCTCTTTTTCTATACAAAAAATTAATAATTACCTAGTTTATATAGCCAGTTAACTGTGAACTAAAACTAATTTATCTGACTCCAAATAAAATCTCATACACTTCTAAAAAAGCTAAAGGCTATTGTAAAAATCTATAAAATACAAAAACAATGGAAGAAAACAATAGAATGAAAAACCACATAACCCGTGTTCCTTTCTCAAGTCTCAAAATAGTGCTATAATGTGCCTCCCTTGTTTCTCTTCGTGTCTCTTTGCATCTTACAGAGATATTTGAAAGGTCTTATATACCTTTTCTCATCCAGTTATCTCTAATCTCTCCCACAAAGGTAACTACTATCTTAAATTTAGTGTTTATCATCAGCAGACATATTTTTATACCTTTACATTTGGTAATTTTAAAACATGAATCACATAAATATATGTTTTTAAAATGTATACACATGGTATCCTACCACTCTACTTTATATTATGATTCATCCAAGTAAGATTTTTCCAATTTACACAGCATAAATTTATTCATTTTACATGCTGCATAATATTCCTTTGAGCAAATTTATTTATTGTTCTATTAATGTAAATTTAGATGTTGGCAATTTTCACTATTATAAAATGGCTACAAATGAATACTCTTCTACCTGATCTGAAGCTGTTTCTTTACATTATATTTGTATATCCAGTTTTAAACTTTCTGAATCATAAGGCACAGGCTATTTCAGTTTCTCTAGAAATGGCCAAATTGCTGTCTCATTTGGCATTACCAACTAGCACTAGCACCCAATGATCATATTATGTTTTTTTCTTTTTGAGATGGAGTCTCACTCTGTTGCCCAGGCTGGAGTGCAGTGGCGCAATCTCGGCTCACTGCAGACTGCATCCTCTGCCTCCCAGGTTCAAACGATTCTTTTGCCTCAGTCTCCTGAGAAGCTGGGATTACAGGCATGCGCCACCACACCCAGCTAATTTTTGTATTTTTAGTAGAGATGGGGTTTCACCATGTTGGCGAGGCTGGTCTTGAACTCCTGACCTTAGGTGATCCGCCCGCCTTGGTGTCCTAAAGCGCTGGAGTTACAGGCATGAGCCACCATGCCCGGCCTCATATTATGTTCTTTATACCATCATTTAAACATAATTCAAAGAAGTACATGATTGTGTTTTAACACTCTAGGACACTATATGAACTTTTAAATATTCCTTACAAATCAGTTCGTTCTTCTTCTTTTGCAGAGCAGAAAGATATCGAGGGTAAATTAAGACAATTACAAGAACTTACAAAATATCAGGGTTTCACATCTATTGAAAAGCCACATAAATGTAGAATATTTTCTGGGTATATTGGAAGGGAAATGAAACCAAATCTTCTTCTTTGTTACAGTTATTTTTATTACTTCTTGTCATTTAGTAGTTTTGTGTATTTTTGCACAATGTAAGGTAATTCAAAAATAGAATATGAAATGAAAGTATATACTTTCCATACAAGTCTATGTAAAATTTCTATATATTAAAGCACTGAGAAATTATTAAAACATGTTTGCATTTAACCTGTACTTAATATTCAACTCTGTAACTGAAAGTTAAGTTAGTAAAAATTTTATTTTCACATATAAAGCATAATTGTAAATTTTTCCTCCCATGTTTCTCTCTTTTTATGATATGTTTTTCAAAATGAGTACTTGAGGAATAAAGATATAGACCACATAGGCATTTCTCTCTGCTTAGAAGAGACACATTTAGGAAATGAGAAAGAAATGAACCAAAATAAGGAGTTTTCACAAGTGCTCTGAATAAAGCATAGGATGCTTCAGCATGCATATGCTAGCAAATGCTATCACATTAACTCAATATTCTAGACGAGTTTTATCCTAAACAATTTCTCCTACCCTACCTTCCTAACTGTTCAAAGGCCTGTATGCATAATATTCTCTGTATTATCTATTCTATTCAGATATCATCCTTCAAGTATCTTGAAATGATTGTAATAGCAAATGGCTGACTTTTTAAAATGCTAAATCAGTGATAGCTTTGGTAGTGTGCCATCATTATGTTACAGACATTACAGACACTGATGTATAACTCAGATGTTTAGAACATAGAACTATTGCTTCTCATTATTGCCTTTCTTTCAATTTAATGTAATTGTATATTCAAAAAAGCACGTTATCTGTTATTTTTATCTATGCTGTATATTATTTTAGATGTCTTTGCCTTTATGTTTTGCCAAAAATAATTGTTCTTCACTAGTAACACAAATGAAGACATTGTGACTCTTACCACCTCAATATCATCCATGATGTCAACTACTGTTCTCTGTTCTTTTGTTTTATTATCAAACCAAAAGGGAAACACTAATCTGGCCTTCTCCATTTATAGCACAGGTGCTATTTCTCCCATTTCAGGTGTGCAAAAAGTATTATTACAATCTTGAATAATATTACATCAGGAAAGAGAGTTAAATTGTTTGAAAACATTGAAAAATGCAATGGCTTGTCATGGAGGAATGTAAATTAAAAATAAAAAAACTCCAAACTGGTAAATACAAATGCAATAGATATAAAAAGAGGTGCATAATATCTTTAGGTGGTATTTATAGAAATATAATCTCTTCTGAAATATTTTGAAGACTGGATGAAATTTTATCTTCATTTCTCTGAATTAATCATTTTAATATATATCAAAGTTTAAAAGTTTTCTTATTGTAAATTTTCTACACTTACTTTAATTCCATATTGTGTTAAACGATTTTAATTTCCAACATTAAACAACATTCAATAATTGCTTGAGTTAAAATTTTCACATTTTCACAATTAAGTAGAAAGTATGTGGAGAGCCTATCTCTTTCACTCATATGTCTTTCGTTATAAATATTTTTAACTTTTGGCATAGAATGTTAAATGAACAACTGACTTTGTAAGTAGCTAACTTCACAAGGCAGGCAAATTACTAAAAATGACAATTTAAAAATCATCTCATTTGAAAAACTGTTCCAATATTTATTTACTGTACGGTAGTTTACCAATTATTTGTAATTTTAGAAGTGTTAAATACGATTTTAGAGAACCCACAGTACTAGCCCTGGCTGTCACTGCCAGTGTATTTTAGGAAAATGATGTAATGTCTTTATTTTAAAAAGTATGCAACCAAGAGTTGCCGTGATGATGGTACCATCTGGTTGTGGCCGGTATAGGATACTATATGACCAAAACCCTCACTACTGTTGTCTTTCTACTCTCTCAGAGAAAAGAAAATCAGACAAATGATGTGCTCTCATTTATTCTTCACTTTAATCCTAAAGTAAGTAATTCCATTTCTGAAGTCCTTTTATCACATGGACATATATACCTCTATAACTACAGAGGTTTCTGACTTAATGATGTTTCGACTTATGATTTTTTAAGTTTACAGTGGTGCCAAAAAGACATGAATTCAATATGTTCCTCAACTTAACGATTAGGTTATATCCTGATAAACCTATCATAAACAGGAAATACCATTAAGTCTAAAATGCATTTTCAACTTACTATATTTTTGATTTATGATGGGCTTATAAGGGTATAACCTCATCGTAAGTTGAGGAGCATCTGTATCTTCTTTACTCCTTTTTTCCCTAGGCCTTGAATACTCACCTAAGAAAAGTCCCTTTTCCCTTTCTCTGTAGCCTTCCCTTCTGCTGGTGCTGCTGCTGCTGCTGCTGATGCTTTCTCTTCTTTTTCTCCTTGCCCAAACAAATCTAATCTAGTCTGATAATGCATATAAGCCTTCTGGTGTCAAGGAAATAGAAACCCAAAGTGTTTCACTATAATGAGACAAAATAGAGAACCATTGCCATTGACTCCTGTCACCTTGGCTATCCCCAGAAGTCTCTTTTGCATGCCTCAGGTATCTCTCTTGTCCTTGCTGTCATTCATTCTCCTTCCTCTCACTCAGTAAACATTTCTTAAGCCCTGTGCACTCACATTGAGTTACTCAGTGACAATATCATAATGACTAAGGTAAGATTCCTGACCAAAAAATAGAAAATCAATGCATTTAATAACTCATTTTCAATGTGACTAATTTTCAATCTTGCTGACAATAATACTACTTTGTTTCATTATTTTTTCAGAGCAAATAAAGTTTACTGAAGTTATATCATGGGTTAAATAGGTTGTGTGATAGCTGGCAATTGTTTGCATTATTTATATAGCATTGTTTTTACTGGGAAAATAGTCTGAATCTCAATCCACTGCATAAAAACATGGCTGGGAACACTTCCCACCTATAATGCAGCCTGCCTGTAATATCGTGAACTTTAAATTGCACCTTTTCTCAGAAGGATTCAAATATCTCCATGTGTAACATCACTGGGTCTTGTTTGTTTATACTCAGCCTTCTTTTCACAAATGATTTAAAACAGATTACAAATGTAACATAATAATAATGCAATATAAACAAGGTAAAGAAGTAGGGCTAGTGGGAAAAACTGTAAATGAAAGCAGAAGCCCAAGCCTGGAGCTGGCCGTGGGCCAGGCAAGCCAGTCCATATGTGTAGGTATGACTGCCTGTTGAGCTGTCATAGGTGACCATGAGGACACTGGGCATTATCACTAAAGGCTTCGTTTTTAAGTCTCTTACTGAGTTGATGCTTGAAAGTGAGTGAATATATAGGCTGTGGAAATTTGATGAGTAAGTGTAAAGGTTGGCATCCTTTGGGGAAAACTTAGAAGCCTTTTAAAAATATTTCCTTAAACATAGAAAAATCACACTTCTACCTATAAGTGAATTTCAGAGGGATATATTAAAAAATTCAGGAAATTTTCTCAATAAATCACTTAGGGTTCTCTCTGACACAATGTAATGGTTTCTTTGGTCCCTACATTTTACCACAGAAAGCTGACTAAAATGGTTGGAGGTTGGAAGATTTTAAAAACACATATTTACTTGTAGCTAATACAAATTAATAATAATACAACTTATAAAGATATTATGGAATGTCCAAATTGGGGTAATATATTGCCCTATTGAACGTGTCAGAAAAAAAATAATTTCTGAAGTGTCACTGACTAGCCCAAAAGGTAGACGGTTATGTAGGGTTACTGAAAATAAACTGCATTCATTTAAGTAGTATTTTTCAAAAATATGGTATAATTTTTTAATAGTTTGTCATTCTTTCCAACAAAGATAATGGGAACAGTTGTTTTTTATGTCTCTTTTAAGTGACAGTGCAGTCATATCATCAATAAATAAGATGATATTATTTTGTCTTATAATATTCTCATTTAGATATGAAACATTTTATTATTTTCATTTCACAAAAGCAAAATTGAGGTGGTAAAGGAAAAGAAGAGTTTAGTGAATGTTAAGCCAAGAATTGAAGGTGCAGTGCTAGGCATACACACTTCATATTTGCTGGCTAGTTGATTTTTTAATATCTATATTTGTAACAATTGAATCAAAATCGGCAATAGCTTTAAATAACTCTGCTTTTTTATATGGATGGTCACAAATCTCATAGTGACAGAAATGTAGAATATTGATCTCTTCTATTTCCATAACTATTCTAGTACAGCAGTCACTGAACCCTAAATAACTGTCAATCAGAGAGCCTTAATGAACTTTCAGTGTTAAATCAAAGACATTAAGTTTCTAAATTGAGTCCTTTATGTACATATTACTTCCCTTGGCCCTTTGTAAGTCACATTAGAATTTGCTTCATCCAAATTAATTACCTACTTAGAAAATGAATTTTGCTAGTGTACATAATGTTTCTTAGCTTTTAAAATATATTTCACATTGTGGTAAATAAGGACATTTAATCTAATCATATTTTAGAAATGTGCCCCCAAGGTTACCTTGAAAAACAGTTTTAATTAATTTTTAAATGTTTTACTTTTGCCCCAAATATAACAGGGCTTATTTTGAAATATGATGTCCATATAAAATATAATAAAGTCCTAATAAGTATATGTTAAAATGCCTGTCTTAATTCCTTCCTTGTTTCTTTTCCCCCAAGAAGCCTACAAAAGTAAAAATCAATTACACTCATGAAAAAAAAAACAGCCCCTATTGAAATTAACAGAACGCTACATAAACAACAACCAGAAGAGGTGAAATTAGAATATTTAATACTTTCACCTTTTAAATTTTATTGAAATAAATTCTATTTAGTATGTATTTCTGAATAATCAATGTAAATGTGTTCAAATGAAACAATCATTTGGGGTAAGAGAAAATATTAAAGATCAGTATTTTTCTAAACATAAGCAGCTTGTTTGTTTTTCAATTTCCATGTAAAAATAGTGCAAAAACAAATATTTCTACTGGAAGTGGTTTAAAGAATATTGATAATATTGTATTAGAGCTGGATATTTGTGTTAACATTTTTAAATATATAGAGATTAATTGAGAAAATTCATTTTGAGCATAACCAGTCAGTAAATATGTATTGACTATTATATTCTTAACACTAAACTAGTGGTTTTTGTTTTGAGGATGCTTTTAAAGAAACTAAAACCTAACTTCTATTAGCAACCCTCTAACAATGGATACTCAACTTTTAAAAATAGTTCTTAAGAAAACGCAATCCCTCCCAAAGTAAAGGAGAAACCAAGAAGAGTTCGAACACAAAGATTTAGGAGGTGTTCTGAACAGTTAATAAATATTATGATCTGACTGAGATGTGATTAAAACCAAGTGTAGGAAGTGTCTATATTCATTGAAGCGGTGGTTGTCACATTGCCATTTCTGCCACAAAAATGTTATTTCACCCTTGAAAACAACTCCCTTCATTAGTAAAGGTATAATTCAGCTACTTGGATATGGTTATGCAACTCTTTAATACTAAAAGCAGAATCACAGTTCCTGTTTTTCTTTTCCTTGAAAGGAGGTGAAAATCTGACAGCTCAAAATGAAGCAAAAACCCAAGATTAAAACAGACACCATTTTGTGCCCACTCAGTCTTCTTTCCAGGGTCATACATGTGTAAGTAGCTGTTTGTTTATAGTCGAGACCTTCTGTGGGTAAATCTGGCAGGATATCAAAGACATTTAGCATAGATATTTCATTTTCAATGCATGTGTCTATTTTTTTCCCTGTTGATGAACCAAATATAACACATGCAGATGATTTTTAGGAATTTATTTTAAATCATAAGTGTTTCTTTTTTCTTTTTCTGAATGTTCACAGTAGCTGGGAGACAAGTATTTGCTTACCACTCCCCTCCCAACACGGCATTGAATGGTTGGGTGGAACTGAACACAAGATTGCATAATGTGCTTCCTCTCTTTAATATCTCCATATTTAATCCACTAATTAATCATATATATATCAATCTGTCTATTAACCATCTATAATCTATTCATCTGTTAATCATCTATAATTTATCAATCTGTACTTCGTGGCATAGTATTTAAGAATATGGGCTTTGGACTCGGTTATATCTGAGTTTAAAGGCAGGGTCCATTTCTTATTAGCTAAGTGGCTTTAGGCAAATTAACCTCTCTAAGACTAATTGGCTTATTAATAAAAACATTCATTTAAGATATTATGAAGATTAAAAGATAATCCAAGCAAAGGGCCTAGCATATTACTTGACATATAGTAAATGTTCAATAAATGTTAAGGATTCTTTTTTATTAAAAACAATAATCATTTTTCAAACTAATAGGTCATAGACTTGAAGGAAAGATCATTTCAAATATTTTAGTGCAATATAGTAATATTTTATTAATTTATGAAAAAACTCGTGATTTCAGTTAATTATAGGTAATACTGAGAAAAAAATTTTTCTTGAGTCATTCAGCTTTCCATTTCTGATATTTTCATATCCTTGATACTGTTTTTCTCTTTTCCCAATCAGAATAACATATTTTTTCAGGTGTTCCTTTTTTTCAGTAGCAAAATACTTGCATTTATATCTTAAGTCAATGTTACCTCCCTGTGATAATTTTTGGTGTTTTTGTTTGTTTGGAAATGCTGTCTTGATCTAGTTTGAGGCCCTGGCTAACAGCCGGTCAGTTTCCCTTCATGAGTAGCTGATTAATTTCACATCCCAACCACACACTAGGGGCACTATCCACCTGCCCTAACTGTCCCAGGGCCAGATAATAGATAACTAGGGACTTCTCTTGTGTCTTGGAGTCCTGGAAATTACCCAAATTAGCCAATCCACAAGGAACCTGAGGGCCTAACTAACTCTTGCCACACCTAAGCTGCCCCATCCAGCTCCACCTTGCTGTTACTCTGTCTCTGGATACAACACCTTATGTGGCACTGCAGCCTTTTCTCCTTTGGCGCTAATGGTAACAAAGAGTTCTACATCTCACCTATCCAAGTGTTGTTGTGCTGTGTTCCACCACCAAAATTGTCTTTAAATCTTGTAAAACCCTCCCTAAAGCCTTTGTGCTCTCTTATTAGAGAATTGTATGTTAATGGAGTTTTATTTTAAATATGTAGTTTTCAGTTATTTTCAGAAATAATATATGGTGATGTTGAACTTACTGAATATACAAAAAATTTAGGAAAAAATTCCTCAACAAACTCATAAATAGCTAATATTTAAGTTTAGTTACTTTCTAATAGGTTTTATCTACATTTTATCTGTATCTATTTTATTCACATTCACATATATATACCCACATATATGGAGATATAGCCATATCTGTATATTCATATGTATATTTATTTATATCCAAATAGACATAGTTACATAATATCTTTTTTTATTTGTACAAAGAGAAATCTTTCTAAATAAATCAGAATCCATACCTCTTTCTCAGAATTCAGATCACAATATAATTAAATAATTATGTGTATACTTATTTCAGGTTTATAACCGCACTTCTACATTCTATTATGAGGGCAAGAGTTGTGGCTGCTATATAAATGCTTCCTAGCATAGTTCCTGACAACTAGGTGATTCATGAATATTTGCTGAAGAAATAAAAATAACTTTATGAACATCGTTACACATCCTGCTTAATTTTTCAATTCGCATAATTTTTTTCTGTATATCCTCTAATTTAATACTATTTCATAGTTATGGTATTTGTTAAAGGAATATAAAACATCAATACGCAGCAATAGATCAACTGTACCATACCTCCAAAATACAATGTAGCCAGTTGTCAACTCTACCTATGAAAGAAATTGGTCCAGCCTTGGACAGGCATGGTGGCTCATGCCTGTAATCCTAGCACTTTGGGAGGCTGAGGCGAGCGCATTGCCTGAGCTCAGGAGTTTGAGACCACCCTGGGCAACGTGGTGAAACCCCATCTCTCCTAAAACAAAAAATTAGCCAGGCGCGGTGGCAGATGCCTGGTAGTCCCAGCTACTCCAGAGGCTGAGGCACTAGAATTGCTTGAACCTGGGAGGCAGAGGTTGCAAGTAGACAAGATCGTGCCACTGCACACCAGCCTGGGTGACAGAGTGAGACACTGTCTCAGAAAAAAAAAATAAAAATGTTTAAAATTTTTAAAAAGAAAAGGGTCCAGTCCAATTCATTTCCCTCGATCTGATGGGTACAGTGGAATTTGAGATCATGTTCAATGAAGCTGTGATGCTACCTGCAGTAAAACATGTTTGTTATTATGGCAGAGGCAGCCTTCTGGAGTGTCCACTGTGAAGATGCTGGCTGCAGCACAGGAGGTGTAGACAGGGTTGTCCACTCAGTGGAGCAGGTAGGGGCCGGGAACAGGCAGGAGCCCTGCCCCCTACCGGGTTAAAGGGGCAACAGCCCCATGCTCCCGGATGCAGCGGCAGCCTCCCAGCTGCAGCTCTGGACCAGGGAATACCTGTGCTCTCAGGGGCCCAGGAAGTCCCACTGCTCGCACAGGCTTGGAAGTGCCTGCTCCGTCTCCCTGGCTTCTCTCCACTTCCAGCACTGGCTCCAATTTCGGAGCAAAGTTGAAGCTGAGCCTGGGTGCTCTCATGACCCATTGGGTATGTGTAGATTATGGCACTGACAGGTCACCTCCTCCTGCAACCTCTGCCCACTCTGAAACTTTGGGCACTGAGGAGCTCAGGGAGAGAGGGTGAAGGGGGTTGGAGGTGGCTCAGCACAGGCCTGCAGATGCCCCTTGGGCACAAACAGACTGAGTACTGTGAACAGCATGTTTGTGGCAGGAGGCAGACAGGTTCCTGGGCAGAAAGGGTTGGGTCTGCAGTGAAACTCCACCTTCAAGCCAGGAACAGCCTGAAGCCTGGGGGCTGGGCTGCCGGTTCTGGGTGCAGTCCATAGCGTGGAGTGAGAACTTATGGTGCATTTTCCAGGCCTGCCCATGGCTGCCCATAGACCAATCAGCAGACAGTTCCTCCCTCCTGAGCCCGTAAAAATCCCGGGACTCAGCCAGACTGACACAGAGGTAGGGATTATCAGCTGCAGGAAGGAGCTGCCCACTGCAGGTCTCCTCTCTACTGAGAGCTGGACACTAGCTGGGACAACCTGCCCGCAGAAAGGATCTAACCACTTCTGGTCTCCTAGAAGCTGTTCTGTCGCTCAATGAAGCTAGTCTCCACTTTGCTTACCCTCCAGGTTGTCTGCATACCTCATTCTTCCTGGATACGGGACAAGAACTCAGTACCCACTAAATGGCAAGACTAAAACAGCTGTAACACAAACAGTACTGAAACACACCCACCCGTTTGCCATTTTGTGGGTGACGAAAAGGAGAGAAGTCCTGCAGCCTATGTCTGGGAACCCAGACCTCAGGGCTCTTTAAGCCAGGACTGTGACATGCTGTAACAACCTCTTTGAGGCTCTGCAGTTTCTGGGATCTCCAAGATTTCGGGCGCCACTGCATTCCCCTTGTCCAGATGTTGGTGCCCACAGCAGAAGTCACCTGCAGTACATCTGGTACAGCTGCAGCCTTGCATGGAGTTGGCACCTGTGCCAGCACCTGGAGCTGCCTGTCCATCACAGCTGGCATGCCTGGCTGTGCACAGTGGCCAGGCCCCACGCTTACCTGCTCACACACCCCTCACTGCTTCATGCCTAGCTCACACTTGGCAGGTGTGGGATCCAGGCTGGTAGCAGGAGCTGAGTGCATCATGCTAGGCTGATTGGACAGAACAAGCCCAGTAGGCCTGAGCAAAACTTGGGCAAAGACGCCACCGGCCATAGAGGTTTCTGGCTGGAAACCAGTGACACCCAAAGGATCCTGCGACAGTATCACACCAAATAAAGGGAAGTGCTGACAATTATTTACTCATTTAAACTAAATAATTCAGATACAGAACATCTTGTCATGTTTGTCTAGAGAAAATGGTTCCATAGGTAAAATTAAGAGGCTAATTTCCAAAGTTGAATATTGGCACAGGAAAAAAAACCAAGTATGTATATAGAGAGAATAGCTCAGAAAGAAAAAAATGTAACTCTATGCAATTGAGAGAGACGATGTAACTTGAAAGGATTAACAATGCACAACGTCATTGATCAGCTGAAAAGCAGGTACTATCTAATGCACACAGCCAGGCATGTTCTGTTAACTTCAAAGTGTTCTCAGCCTAGTTGGAAATAAAGATTGTATATTATTATTATTATATATATATAATATATACATAATAAACACAATTTTTTACCCCAAGTGGAATGGAAGTAACATTTTGTGCAGAAGAATTGTGTTATTTGAGTTGTCTTTTGTTCATGGAAAGAAGGATGGAAATGGATTCTTCATAGAGGTAATAACAGGAATGAAAACTGAGAAGTGTAAACAGGTACACTGGAGGGTGCATATCTGTAGTGTATAATGTGAAACAAAGCAGGATAGGTATGTTGAGACACTACATGGGTGAAAAATAGGACTTATCTTTCTCTATTTTATCCTCTTTGTAGACTAGTGGTTCTCAACTAGAGGCAATTTTGTCCCTGTGGGACACTGCAATGTATGAAAGCAAGTATGTCAGGAATGGGGTGCCCTGGCATAGAAGTGAGTATCCAGGGATTCTGCTAAACATCCTGTGATAAACAGGACAGCACCCTCCCCACTCCCAAAATAATTTTCCAACCCAAAATTTCAACAGTCCAAGAATAAGAACCCTTGGAGTAGACCAATCGTCTCCAAAATGAGGTATTTGAACCTGACAGGTGATGAAAGAATACCTGAAGGTTCAGAAATAAAGCAGTACAATTTTATAGTTCATCTCCTTTTAAAAACTCTTTCTGAAGGTAGATTTTGTAGCATACAAAATATACATTTGTAATGCATGTGTGATGGTTAATACGAGTGTCAACTTGATTGGATTGAAAGATACGAAATATTGATCCTGGATGGTCGAAAGGAGATTAACATTTGAGTCAGTGGTCTGGGAAAGGCAGACCCACCCTTAATTTGGGTGAGCACCATCTAATCAGCTGCCAGCACAACTAGAATATAAGCAGGCACAAAAATGTGAAAAGAGAGACTGGCCTAGCCTCCCAGCCTACATCTTTCTCCCATGCTGGATGCTTCCTGCCCTTGAACATCGGACTCCAGATTTTTCGGTTTTGGGACTCAGACTGGTTCTCCTTGCTCCTCGGCCTGCAGATGGCCTATTGTGGGACCTTGTGATCATGTGAGTTAATACTTAACATAAACTCCATATATATATATATTCCATATATATATATATATTTTTTTTTCCATTAGTTCTGTCCCTCTAGAAAACCCCAATACACATTTTATTGCCAGGAGTGGTTCTGGAGAAACAAAATAATAAGGATGGACTTCATTCTTTGGTTTTGGGATTTCTAGAGTTGGCTACTTAATATGATTAGACCCAAAGATGCTAAGGAATCTACTTCTAATAGTATGGAGAACACTGATAGTCTTGGCATAAACTGTTTAGAGAGTTACGCAAAATAAATGTATTTGACACTCTTGATTCATTGCTTGTTAGCGGCAAGGAGTTTGGTGAGTCTATGCATAATACCTTTGACCATATGTGGAAAAAGAAGGAACATGAGGAAGCTGGTTGGTTGCTCCTAAGTTCAGTGGACAAAGTGATGAAAGAAAATGATGAACTCAGGGGTTCTACCCACTTGCTTCAGAAGCAGATACTGAGCCTCAACATAGAGCTGCATCAGGGTTTATTTATTGATTTGGGCCAGCTAAGTAGAAACTGTGCATTTAATGTTGCAGATCGGGGAGTTCAAAAAGGTTCTAATAGTTTATTTGCTTGGTTATCTGAAATATGGATTAAAAGATGGCCAACTGTGAGTGAGCTGGAAATGTCTGATCTTCCTTAGTTTAATATAGAGGAAGGGATCCAAAGGCTTAGGGAGATTGGGATGGTGGAGTGGATTAGTTACTTTGACCTACTAATCCTAGCTGGGAGGGTCCAGAAGATATATCCTTGACCAATGCCTTGTGAAATAGATTTCTGAGGGCAGCTCCTGCATCTTTGAAAAGCCCTGTAATTGCTCTTCTTGTATGTCAGATCTAACAGTGGGAACAATAGTCACTCAATTACAAAATTTAAATACAATGGGAGTAATTGGATCCCGAGGTGTCAGGGGCCAAGTGGTGGCACTCAACCATCAAAGGCAAGGTGGGTGTAGCTACCTTAATGGACAGCAGAGGCAAAGCAGCAATCAGAATAGTCTGACACATGTAGAGCTCTGGCATTGGCTAATTAATCATAGTGTTCCTAGAAGTGAAATTGATAGGAAGCCTACTGCATTCCTACTTAATTTATACAAGCAGAAAACTACTAGGTCAAATGGACAAAAGATTAATTTGAATTATGAAAACAGAGAATCACTGCCCCTCAATTTCCAGACTTGAGCCAGTTTACAGAAACAGAACCTCTTGAATGAAGGGAAGGCCGGGTCCCCTTGAGGAAGGACCCCGCTACATTACCAACAATTTATGCAGTGAATCTTTCTCCCATCCTTCCCCAAGAAGACCTCCAGTCTTCTACCAGAGTAAGTGTGCATTGGGGAAAGGAAAATGATCAGACATTTTGGGGACTACTAGATACTGGCTCTGAGCTGACATTGATTCCGGGTGACCCAAAATGTCATTGAGGTCCTCCAGTTAAAGTAGGGGCTTATGGAGGTCAGGTAATTAATGGATTTTTAGCTCATGTCTGACTTACAGTGGGTCCCCAGACTCATCCTGTGGTCATTTCCCCAGTGCCAGATGCATAATTGGCACAGAAATACTTACCAGTTGGCAGAACCCCCACATTGGATCCCTGACTCGTAGGGTGAGGGCTGTTATTGTGGAAAAGGCCAAATGGAAGCCATTAGAGCTACCTCTATCTAGAAAAATAGTAAATCAAAGACAATATCACATCCCTGGAGGGATTGCAGAGATTACTGCCACCATCAAGGACTTAAAAGATGCAGGGATGGTGATTCCCATCACATCCCTGTTCAACTCTCCCATTTGACCTGTGCAAAAGACAGATGTATCTTGAAGACAGTGGATTATCATAAGCTTAACCAAGTGGTGACTCCAACTGCAGCTGCTGTACCAGATGTGGTTTCATTACTTGAGCAAATTAATACCTATCCTGGTACCTGGTATGCAGTCATTGACTTGGAAAATGCCTTTTTCTCCGTGCCTGTCCATAACGCCCACCAGAAGGGATTTGCCTTCAGCTGGCAAGGCCAGCAATATACCTTTACTGTCCTACCTCAGGGGTATATCAACTCTCCAACTCTTTGTCATAATCTTATTCGGAGAGACCCTGGTCACTTTTCATATCCACAAGATATCACATTGGTCCATTACATTGATGACATTATGCTAATTGGATCCAGTGAGAAAGAAGTAGCAAACACATTGGACTTATTGGTAAGACATTTGCAGGCCAGAGGATGGGAATAAATCCGATTAAAATTTAGAGACCTTCTACCTCAGTAAAATTTCTAGGGGTGCAGTGGTGTGGGGCCTGTCGAGGTATTCCTTCTAAGGTGAAAGATAAATTGCTGCATTTGGCCCCTCCTACAACCAAGAAAGAGGCACAACACCTAGGGGGCTTACTTGGATTTTGGAGGCAACACATTCTTCATTGGGGTGTGTTACTCCAGCCCATTTATCAAGTGACCCTAAAGGCTGCCAATTATGAGTGGGGTCCAGAACAGGAGAAGGCTGTGCAACAGGTCCAGGCTGCTGTGCAAGCTGCTCTGCCACTTGGACAACATAACCCAGCAGATCCAACGGTGCTTGAGGTGTCGGTGGCAGATAGGGATGCTATTTGGAACCTTTGGCAGGCTCCCATAGGTGAATCACAGCGGAGGCTTCTAGGGTTTTGGAGCAAGGCCCTGTCATCTTCTGCAGATAACTACTCTCCTTTTGAGAGACAGCTCTTGGCTTGTAACTGGGCTTTGGTGGAAACTGAACGTTTGACTATGGGTCATCAAGCATCAAGTCACCATGTCTGCCTATCATGAACTGGGTGCTTTCTGTCCCATCTAGCCATAAAGTGGGTTGTGCACAGCAGCATTCCATCATCAAATAGAAGTGGTATGTATGTGATCGGGCTCGAGCAGGTCCTAAAGACACAAGTAAATTACATGAGGAAGTGGCTCAAACGCCCAGTGTCTCCACTCCTACCACCCTGACTTCTCTCTTCTAGCCTGCACCGATGGCTTCATAGGGAGTTCCCTATGAGCAGTTGACAGAGGAAGGGAACACTAGGGCCTAGTTTACAGGTGGTTCTGCACGATGTGCAGGCACCACCCAAAAGTGGACAGCTGCAGCACTACAGCCCCTTTCTACGACATCCCTGAAGGACAGCAGTGAAGGGAAATCTTCCCAGTGGGCAGAACTTTGAGCAGTGCACCTGGTTGTGCACTTTGCATGGAAGGAGAAATGGCCAGATGTGAGATTATGTACTGATTCATGTGCTAGCCAATGGTTTGGCTGGATGGTCAGGGACTTGGAAGAAGCATGACTGGAAAACTGGTGACAAAGAAATTTGGGAAGACATATGTGGATGGACCTCTCTGAGTGGTCAAAAACTGTGAAAATATTTGTATCCCATGTGAGTGCTCATCAGTGGGTGACCTCAGCAGAGGAGGATTTTAATAATCAGATGAGCCGTCCTGTGGACACCATTCAGCCTCTTTCCCCAGCCATCCCTGTCATCGCACAATAGGCCCATGAACAAAGTGACGATGGTGGCAGGGATGGAGGTTATGCATGGGCTCAGCAACATGAACTGTGACTCACCAGGGCTGACTTGGCTACCGCCACTACTGAGTGCCCGATTTGTCAGCAGCAGAGACCAACACTGAGCCCTCATTATAGCACCATTCTTCAGGGTGATCAGCCAGCTACCTGGTAGCAGGTTGATTCTATTTGACCTCATCCATCATGGAAAGGGCAGAGGTTTGTCCTCATAAAATAGACATTTACTCCAGATATGGGGTTGCCTATCCTGCACACAATGCTTCTGCCAAGACTACCATCCGTGGACTCACAGAATGCCTTCTCCACCATCATGTACTCCATCCAGCATTTCTCCTGACCAAGGTACTCACTTTATGGCTAAAGAAGTGTGGCAGTGGGCTCATGCTGATGGAATTCACTGGTCTTACCATGTTCTCCATCATCCTGAAGCAGCTGGATAGATAGAACGGTGGAATGGCCTTTTGAAGTCACGATTACAACACCAACTAGGTGACAATATTTTGCAGGGCTGGAGCAAAGTTCTCCAGAGAGCTGTGTATACTCTGAATCACAGTCCAATATATGGTACTGTTTCTCCCATAGCCAGGATTCATGGGTCCAGGAATCAAGGGGTAGAAGTGGAAGTGGCACCACTCACCATCACCCCTAGTGATCCACTAGCAAAATTTTTGCCTCCTGTTCCTGCAACATTCTGTTCTGCTGGCCTAGAGGTCTTAGTTCCAGAAGGAGGAATGCTGCCACCAGGAGAGATAGAAACAATTCCATTAAAGTGAAAGTTAAGATTGCCACCTGGACACTTGGGCTCCTCCTACCTTTAAGTCAACAGGCTAAGAAGGGAGATACAGTGTTGACTGGGGTAACTGACCTAGACTATGAAGATGAAATCAATCTACTATTCCACAACAGAGGTAAGGAAGAGTATGCATGGAATACAAGAGATCTATTAGAGTGTCTCTTAGTATTACCATGCCCTGTGATTAAGGTCAATGGGAAACTACAACAGTCCAATCCAGGCAGGAGTATAAAAGACCCAGCCCCTTCAGGAATGAAGGTTTGGGTCACTCCACCAGGAAAGAAACCACAACCTGCTGAGGTGCTTGCTGAAGACAAAGGAAATACAGACTGGGTAGTAGAAGAAGGTAGTCATCGATAACAGCTATGACCAGGTGACCAGCTGCAGAAACGAGGAATGTAACTACCATGAGTATTTCCTCCTTTTGTTGAAAACATGTTTGTGCATGTATACACTTGTACCAAGAAAATATCTTCATTTTATTTCCTTTCTCTTTTATCATGTGACATGAGATTTATTGACCTCACATCAGCATTTAAGTATTGTTCACTTTATGTAATAGTATTTGGGTTGGGGATTGGTGTGATTCCGATTGTATGAAGCAGAGTTATATTACGTTAGGTGTAATTATGACCTTATTGTCTTTATTTGAAGACTATGTATGATCTCAGGAGATGTATATGGGTTCAAGTTGACAAGGGGTCGACTTGTGATGGTTAATACTGAGTGTCAATTTGATTGGATTGAAGGATACAAAGTATTGATCCTGGGTGTCTGTGAGGTTGTTGCCAAAGGAGATTAACATTCGAGTCAGTAGTCTGGGAAAGGCAGACCCACCCTTAATTTGGGTGGGCACCATCTAATCAGCTGCCACCACAGCTAGAATATAAATAGGCAGAAAAATGTGAAAAAAGAGACTGGCCTAGCCTCCCATCCTACATCTTTCTCCTATGCTGGGTGCTTCCTGCCCTCGAACATCAGACTCCAGGTTCTTCAGTTTTGGAGCTCAGACTGGCTCTCCTTGCTCCTCAGCCTGCAGACGGCCTATTGTGGGACCTTGTGGTTGTGTGAGATAATACTTAATAAACTCCCCTGTGTGTGTGTGTGTATGTATGTCTATATATACACATATACACAATATATATATATATATATATATATGATTA
Source organism: Homo sapiens (assembly GCF_000001405.40). Classification (NCBI taxonomy): domain Eukaryota; kingdom Metazoa; phylum Chordata; class Mammalia; order Primates; family Hominidae; genus Homo; species Homo sapiens. Next base: position 29,176,698 of record NC_000014.9, read on the forward strand.
GTTCTTTCCCTCTAGAGAATCCTGACTAATACAGCATGTATGTGTAAACAAAAAATAAAATTCTAAGACCCCCAACCAACGGCATGGATGCTTCCTCTTGGCCAAGGGCACTTCAAAATAAACCTAAAAATATAGTCCACGCCGTGATGGGGAGTCAGTATTGGACATGCCCCATTATATACGCCTCCCTTTGGAATTCAGGCACAGCTGACCAGCATTCACATTAAAACAGAACTCTTAAGACTGTTGAAACTGTTGAAACAGATTTGTTTTTGTAGCAATAAAACACCAAATTCCAGCTTGACTCCAGTGTAGCATCACATGACAGACAGTGAACCCTTAACAAATTTGAATTATTTTACCTAAAAATATACTTACTTGGCATATTTTGAAATGACCCTGCAAAGCTTTCTCTTGTGAGAAAAACCTGGATTATACAGAGAATACCCATTCCTTTCCAGGTCTTTTCTCTGATCCAGGAGAGAATTAACCAAAGTCTGGCATCATGTTAGGCCTGAAAGAGCTCTGAAGCCTGCTACCTGGAGGCTTCAAGTGCGTGATAAAACCTTTAACACAGATATTCTATTCTAATGATTACAGGTCTTAGATAATAACCCTTTTAACCAATTGCGAATCAGAAAACCTATGACTTACGACCTGGAAGGCCCCTCTTCCACTCCCCTCCCCACCTTCGACTTGTCTCGCCTTTCCAGACATAACCAATGTACATTTTATGTGTATGGATTGATGTCTTATGTCTCACTAATATATATATAATATATAAAATATACATAATATATAAAAATATATATTATATGTTATATATATGTATGTATGTATATATATACATAAAACCAAGCTGTAGCCTGACCACCGTGGCACATGTTCTCAGGATCTCCTGGGGTTGTATAATGGGCCATTGGTCACTCGTATTTGGCTCAGAATAAATCTCTTCAATAAATAAATAAATACAGAGATTGACTATTTTCATCAACATATGCAACTTATAAATATCTCCATATGTGTTTACATTGCCTATTCTACTTTTTAAAAATAATGAGATACACAGTCAAAATTGTAGACCCTCGTTTTAGAAAATTAAAATTTGTAAAAAAATTAACTGAATAGGTTATAAAAAAACAAGTGGTGGTAATGTGGGTGTCCGATGAAAACAAAGGAGATGCTGGAAGCATGCACTTGCTGCAATATTTCAGGCAAGAAATCAAAAGAACATGCTTTGGGAGATCAATTTAATTGTTGAAATAAATTCAACAATAATTCAACAATAATTTTTGGGTTACAGATTTGGTTTGAAAACTGAATAAGAACGAGATGTTGGGAAGTAATTCCAAAGTTTCCAGGTGAGACATCTCATTGTTCTTTCTGCTTTGTATTTTAGATGATTGTTTGCAAGTTTCCCTGATCTCTGTAAAGGGAGAGCTAGAGTTTTAGTTATCTTGGAAGGTGGTGGATGAGGTCAAAATTTAAAAGGACTCCGATGAGAACTTGCGGATGGTGAAGGTACAATCAGAGATGAAATGTGAGAAGAAATTTAGTAGTATCTTTTATTTGACAGGGTATATATGTTTGTCTTGGTCATTTTGATTTGTAGTCAAAATGTGGTAAGTATGTCAAGTAGAGATTTGGAGACTACTTTATCTGCTCATTTGAAACTGGAAGGAAAGGTTTTAGTAAGTGACTAAAAAGACATATAATGTTGGTATTTATTGAAATATTGTGAATTATCTTACACAGTTTTCTTTGATCACCACAAAGTAACCAAGGGTGGGGAGAGAAGAAAGCGTTTAGACTGTTGCAGAGCCGGGGATTGAAATATAGGGAAAATAATACAAGACTTAAAAGTTAAAATAAGCTCAGAAAGATTAGTAGGCATGATTTCAGGCTATAGAAGCAACAGGGGAAGAAAACAGAGGCTTTTATTACATTAAGAGAATAGAGGAGATTTGCAGGCAAGTTCTTGGTGAAGAACAGTCCAGTTGGAGTAATGCATAATCATAGATCATGGTCCAAGAGCATAATTCCTGGGTTTACAAATCTAGTTTTAAACATTATTATTTTCATAAATCTACATAGAAGACTATCAAAAATGTCAACACACACAGGCACACACACTCACACACACAAATCTTATAAAAGAAATTTGGAAAACAGATCATTCATTACAAAGAATGAGGAGAAAAAATAATGGAAAGTAATTTACTATTTGGTCTTAATAAATGCCATCTTCTCCTGAATTTTTCTCTTCCTACATAGTTTCAATAGCAATAAGTATGTTTCATCTGGCCTTCCAGGTTTCTCAGTGAACACCCCCCACAAAAAAAATTATTTAAGTCCAATCCTGCAACTGTATTTTCTCAAATGGTGATGGAATAAAAGAGAGGGATGGGGAAGAGTAAAATTCATCATAGACACATTTGCTGAAAAAGTCTGGCAGATGAACAAAACATGATTTTTTGAGAGGCTCTGTAATGGATAGTTCTTTTTTCTCACTTATGTACTTATGTGAAACTAGGAAAGATAGTAAAGTGCAAAAAAAAAATCTACCAACTAAAAAAAATTACAAAATCTTAGCAGCTTTGCCTGTAGCGACTTATAGTTAAGTTATCCAAATGCTCTTAAAGCTGCCTTTTTATTTTCTTTCATTTTGACACTATAATATACTGTTTCATTTTCAAAATCAGAATGTGAATCGGATAGATGCAGTAAATTGATAAATTCTACATCTGTGATTTTCTCTTCAGTAGTAGAAATAATGTCATATCTTAAGGTCAAAGATTATTAACCAGAAATCATTAAAACTACTGAGTTTCAAATAGTTTTCTTATCTTCTAGAGGAAGAGGCCAAGAAGCATATTTAAATTTTTAACATTTTTTCCACACATTAGTTGGGCTACATTTTTATTTTTAAAGCAAAATTAAACAAATATGTCCACTTTAGGGAGATTCTATAAACCATTCAATTCAGTTTAGGTTAACAAGAAACTGAAATCCATAATAAAATATGTTGTTGAATTGTCATTTTACTTACTAATTTCTTCATAGCTTCTTACATATTTTGAATACATTCCTCACATTATTTTGGAAAGGAAAATACAGTTGTTTTCTTTTTTTTTTTAAGAGGCTTTTTGATGCTAACAAATAAGCTTATCCTTCTGGTATACATGAGATGGCATATTGAAGACACTTTTTCTTAATAACATCTACTGGTAATCATTTAGAAATTGTGGAATCTCTATTGAGGCATATAATAAGCTACCACTGAAACGGAAAGATTGCTAGATTATCTCATCGACAGAGTTCACTCTTTTAGTGCTGTTCCCCCAAATAGCTATCCACAATTTACTTTTAGGGCTATATGCCCTAAACTATTTATGTGATTGCCAAGTACAAATTGTTCTGATATTCATACTGTGTTGTAGGGCACATTGCTCTGTTAAAAAGAGGTTTCCTAAGGAATCTGTTTGTTTTATTGGAATTCTGGTGTTTGTAATGTTTCTTTTAATGAGATGATGAATTTATGGTTGAGGCTGTGACAAGAGTTCAGTCTTTTCGTTAGAATAAAGATTGCCGGCCAGGCGCGGTGGCTCACGCCTGTAATCCCAGCACGCTGGGAGGCCGATGCGGGTGGATCACGAGATCAGGAGATGGAGACCATCCTGGCCAACAAGGTGAAACCCCGTCTCTACTAAAAAAAATACAAGAAAATTAGCCGGGCGTGGTGATGGGCGACTGTAGTCCCAGCTGCTCGGGAGGCTGAGGCAGGGGAATGGCGTGAACCCGGGAGGCAGAGCTTGCAGTGAGCCGAGATCACGCCACAGCACTCCAGCCTAGGCAACAGAGTGAGACTGCGTCTCAAAAAACAAACAAACAAACAAAATTGCTTCTCCAGAGCTGACAAAATCCTTCAGTGTCACTGAAGCTCTTTGTCTGGCTGTAGATACTCAGAATAAAGCTTTGAGACAGTGGAAATGACTTGCTCTTTGGCAAGTCTCTTCACATTTCTGCCTCTACCCTATGGGGCAAGTCTTATACAGCAGCTTCAGAACAGGAACCTGACTGTCCAATCTAGATTGTTAATCTTATTTTCCAAACCAAAATAGAAACCAAGAAATGGAGCATATAGCAAGCTAATTATAATCTAATCAGCTTTTGAAATTTCAGTCAAAAAATAACACAAAGATTTCCCCTTAACAGAATGGAAATATTGAGGTGCAGTTTATGTATCAGAAAAATGAAGGCAATTATGAGACAAGAAGGCTCTCAGAATTTTCACAAGAAAAAATGTTGAGAAAATGTTGAAGTGGGAGAAGGTTTGCACTTTTTTTGTATTTTTTTTAACAGAGATGAAATATAATACTGGCTTGTTAGAGATCATCTGAATCTGGGGGCATATGGAAGCAAGTATTGTAAATGCCATTCTGAAACAGGTAGTCTTCAACCATAAGGAGTAGTTTGGTTAATATCTGGGAAATACTACTCATTTAGTCTTTCCCTTATACATAAGTCACAAAGCACGAAAAGAAAGACTTGGAATGATAAAAAGCATGGCATATTTAGCAAAGCAGATACGTAGACTTCAAGAGGTATAGATTTAAAAAGAGTAAAGTTGAATGAACTAGTCATTTTAGCTTGTTATTAAAATAAGAAACTGAACAAATGGCTGGATTTCTGAAAATGCTAAATTCGAATCCTGATTTGATAAAATACTTGAGTTTTTTAACTTAAGGAAATCATTTAAATCTTAATCTGTAAATGAAGAAAAAAAAGAACTGCTCTCACTATATAAGGATTTTGTGGAGAAATATGCAAGAACAACATGCCACACAAATGCTAAATAATAGCAACAAGGGTGGTAATACTGCCAAATGAAACTTCTTTTTTGTCAATTAGTTTAATGTCAAGATTGAATCATTTCAAACGTTCACATAACAGGACTTTACTAATCACTATGAAGCACGGCCCAGGCCAGGGAAATCCATATGTCTTTTCAGTTCCCAGATCGGCAGTGCACAGATTTTTGAAATTGCTTTTTACTAATGTCCGTAAGTAGATGAACAACACTAGACAAATAATGCTCTCAGAGTTTTATGTTTTCACGGTTTTTTTCTTCCTCACTTTTTATTTCTGTGCTCCCTGTCATACCAAGGAGTATAACCTGCTGCTTAAAATGGTGTTTAATAGCATATAGTAACTCTCAACTGAAATTCATGGAAAGTAGTATGCACAGAGGAACATTTCAGAATATTTAGTTTTTTTTTTTTCTCTTCTTAAGAATTTGGACACATGAGTCCTTTTACTTTTGAATTTATCTAAGTGATGCTTCCTGCCTCATGTTTAAACACCTTTTTTTTTCTTTTTAGTCTCACGTGAATGCTGAGAGAAAATCTATTATTGTTTCTAACTTGGTAGAGAAAATGTAACATAATAACTAGTGTCTGACCATGTATGAGAGGCTCATTTTTATCTTCTTAAGAATAAAAACCAGGAGTGTGCTAATAGATAAGGTAAATAGCTCATCATTTTGTTTCTGAGAATTGTTTAGGAAAGGTTTAGATTCTTTGGGAGAAGTCTGCCAGAATAAAAATAAGAGAGGGTGCGCTTTAGATGAAATAGTCTGTAATTTAAACCTGACATCTCTGTGTAAAAATTCTGTGATTTTAACCAAGTTCAGTTTCCTCATCCACAAAGCTAGTGATAATAATATATATTTCGGTTAGTAAACTAGTGTGAATGCACCTAATAGCAGATGGAGCAACAAAATAGCAGGGAAGGCCAAAAATGGTTAAATATCAGCAAATTTAAATGATTTCTAATATATAAGAAAGGCTCAAATTGTATTAGGTAAAATCCAAAATGCTTTCTTCTTTCTTTGTCTTTTGTTTTCTTCTTAAATTTATTTGCACATACAAGCATACTTCAGATATATTGCGAGTCCAGTTCTAGACTACAGCTATAAAGTAAATATCACAATAACGTGTCATGAATATTTTGGTTTCCCAGTGCATTCAAAAGTTATATTTATACTATACTATAGCTCTTTGGGCATGCAATGCCATTATACCTAAAAAATATGCGCCTTAATTAAAAACATCTTATTGCTAAAAAAACTCTAACAATCATGTGAGCCTTCAGCAAGTTGTAATGGCTTTGCTGGTGAAGGGTCTTGCCTCAATGTGGATTCAGCTGCTGACTGATCAGGGTGGTGGTTGCTGAAGGTTGAAATGTCCGCGGCAATTTGTTAAAATAAGACAACAATGAAGTTTGCTGCATTGATTGACCCTTCACTAAAGATTTCTCTGCAGTATGTGATGCTGTTAGATAACATTTCACTCACAGTAGAACTTTTTTGTAAACTAGAGTCAATCCTTTCAATCCCTGCTGCTATTTTATCAACTCAGTTTATGTAATATTCTAAATCCTTTGTTGTCATTTCAACAATGTTTGCAGCATATTCACCAGTAGTAGATTCTATCTGAAGAAACCACTTTCTCTGCTAATCCATAAGAAGCAACTCTTCATCCTTTGAAGTTTATCATGAGATTGCAGCAATTCAGTCATATCTTTAGGCTCCAGTTCTAATTCTAGTCCTCTTGCCATTTCTATAACATCTGCAATTACTTCCTCCACTTAAGCCTTGAGCCCCTCAAAGTCATCCATGAGGGTTGAAATCAACTTCTTCCAAACTCCTGTTCCTGTTGATATTTTGACCTCTTCCCAATGGCATCTGGAAGGGTGAATTCTTTTCTAGAAGATTTCCGATTTACTTTGCCAAACTTCATCAGAGGAATTACTCTCTATGGCAGCCCATGAACCAAGGAGTTGTTTCAACTTTCAAATCTTATTATTTAAGACATGCATATTATAAGACTACAACTGCCATAGAGAGTATGTGAGTAATGTGACTCTCTAAATCAAAAGCTAGAGATGATTACACTTAGTGAGGAAGACATGTCAAAAATTGCTGTTATGTTAGCAGGCATAAAAATAACATTAATATCCTTGTATATCTTTATCAGAGCTTTTGGAAAACCCAGTCCATTGTTAATAATCAATTATATTTTGGAAAGAATCTTTTTTTTCTGAGGAGTAGAACTTAAACTATTAAGTAAGCCATGCCTCAAACACATATGCTGTCATCCAGACTCATTTTTCCATTTATATAGCACAGGCAGAGTATATTTAGCATAATTCTTAAGGGCCCTAGGATATTTAGAATGGGAAATGAGCTTTGGCTTCAACTTAAAGTGACCAGCTGCATTAGCCACTAAGAAGAGAGTCAGCCTGTCCTTTGAAGCTTTGAAACCAGGCAACTTTTCCTCTCTAGTTATGAATGTCCTAGATGGCATCTTCTTCCAATAGGAGACTGTTGTGTCTTCATTGAAAATCTGTTGTTTAGTAGAGCCAATTTCATTAGTGATCTTACCTAGATCTTCTGGATAACTTGCTGCAGCTTCTACATCAGCATTCGTTGCTTTACACTATACTTTTATGTTATGGAGATGGCTTCTTTCCCTATACATCATAAACCAACCTTGGCTAGCTTCCAACTTTTCTTCTGCAACTTCCTCACCTCTCTCGCCTTCACAGAATTGAAGTAAGTTAGAGTCTTTTTCTGGAATAGGCTTTGGCTTAAGGGAATGTTGTAGCCAGTTTGATCGTCAACCTTGATCACTAAAACGTTCTCTATGTCAGCAATAAGGTATTTCCTTTTCTTATCATTGATTTGTTCACTGGAGTAGCACTTTTCATTTCCTTCAAGAGTGTTTCCTTTGCATTCACATCTTGGCTGTTTTATCCAAGAGGCCTAGCTTTTGGCCTTTCTCAGCTTTTGACATGTCTTCCTCACTAAGCTTAATCATCTCTAGGTTTTGATTTAGAGAGTCACATTACTCTTTTTCACTTCCACACTTAGAAACTTAGATGCCACACTTCCACACTTAATAATAACCTTAGTTATTAATAACCTTACTTAATAACTATAAGGTTATTAATTGACCTAATTTCAATATTATTGTTTCTCAGGAAATAGGAAGGACCATAGAGAGAGAGAACGAGAGAGAGAGAGAGAGAGAAAGAGAAACAGGGAATTGTGGGTCCATGGATCATTCAGAACATGAGCAACATTTATAGAGTACATTGACTGTCTTATGTGGATGTAGTATGTAGCGCCCCCAAACAATTACAATAGTAACATTAAAGATCACTGATCACAGATCACATAAAAGATATATTAATAATAATAAAGTTTAAAATATTGCAAGAATTATTAAAATGTGACACAGAGACATGAAGACAGCACATGCTGTTGGAATCACAGTACTGATGGACTTGCTCGACACAGGGATGCCACAAGCCTTCAATTTGTAAAAATCACAATATCTGCAAAGCACAATAAAGCAAAGCACAATAAAATGAGGTATGTCTGTAAATATATTCTTTCAAAAACTCTTCATCTTTCCATAAATTATAATTATCTGATCAAAGTACATCTCATTGGATATACATATAATCATAAAAATATGATTAAAGAAGAAAGTAGGCTTAGAGTTTGTCCCTTGTCCAAATTCACTTAAATGTATCCACAGATAATCATGCTGGCTAATATTTTCTAATAATCTGCAGAGTTTTTTCTCCTTTTGTTATGTTTGGAAATATGAGTGTTAGATAGCATGACTGTGTGTTCAGACTGCCAAATGCCAATAGGAGCAGACTGCACAGCAAGAGAATTGCGTTTGTTTGACAATGTGTTATACACTATTGATAATGATTTTGAAATTAAAGTTGATACTCTTGCCTTTTGCTCAGTGATATGAAGTTTTAAAATTGTCTTTAATTTCAATTAAAGAGCAATGGTTAGTGCTGTTGTTTATGTTCATCCCTCCTGTCAGTGTATGTGTGTAATTATAACATGTAAGGTTTTAGTCTCCCAAATGTTTTTGAATTTTATCCAGGACAACATATTTCTTAAGGTATTTGCATTTGTTCAGTGGAGACTGAATGATGCTGCTTGTTTTCTTGATTAAATAGTGTTTGCTCACAGTCTCCTATTTCTCTGTTCTTAATTACTAACTCAGGCCCACTCGTCATCATAGCCAGTGATAGAGTTCAGCATGAACCCATAGGACTTGGGGGTTTTATTTCTAGGATCTCTCAAAGATTGTTAAGTAACTTAAATTCTTAATGCTCATGTTAAGCGTTATAGGGAATTTGCGGGAAAAAAGAGCTGGGATTCTTACTTTCTACCAATATGCAAATTGTTTAGCAGTTTGCAAATGTCAGATTCTAGGAGTGAATGATTTTCATTTTCATCACAAGAGCTTTGCTAGCTAATACATGAAGATAATTGTACTTGTTTCATACTTGAAACCAATACCTCCGATCATGGAAAAGGCTATAGAGAAGCATATGAAGAAAGATTATTAAATCAAATGTGTGTTCATTGTTGCATGCATTTGTCAACTCTCAGGACAAAAGCAGGACAGCTCATTTTGATTAGCAGAAATTGCCAGATTTCAGTGAGAAACAAAGTGATTCAAAGGGAGAATTTTTACATTAGGTGGTTCTCCATGAATCACCCCAGAGATAGTTGCTGGGACGCTGATAGTAATTCTAGGTTGTCATCTCAGGTTTTTGAGAATTAATCCACACAGTCTACAGTGTTTTTATGAATCATCATAGACATATTCAGGAGTTCTCTAATATCCCCTCATAGGAATCTGTTAGGAGAATCCTGGCATTATTAGGTGGCTAATAGTTAAGAATTACTAAGGATCTGGCAAGGAGAATAGGGCTTCACTATTCAAGTTTTGCTTCTGTCCTCTTGAGACGTGAAGGGAGCTGGACTTCCTGGGTTGAGTGGGGACTTGGAGAACTTTTCTGTCTAGCTAAAGGATTGTAAACACACCAATCAGCACTCTGTAAAAACGCACCAATCAGCACTCTGTGTCTAGCTAAAGGATTGCAAATGCACCAATCAGCACTCTGTAAAAATGCAGCGATCAGCACTCTGTGTCTAGCTAAAGGATTGTAAACACACCAATCAGCACTCTGTAAAAACGCACCAATCAGCACTCTGTGTCTGGATAAAGGATTTTAAACGCACCAATCAGCACTCTGTAAAATGGACCAATCAGCAGGATGTGGACGGGGCCAAATGAGCTAGCAGCCGCAATCTGCTGTGGAAGCTTTGTTCTTTCGCTCTTCACAATAAATCTTGCTGCTGCTCACTCTTTGGGTCCACACTACCTTTATGAGCTGTAACACTCACCACAAGGGTCTGTAGCTTCATTGCTGAAGTCAGCAAGACCACAAACCCACCAGGAGGAACAAAGAACTCTGGACGTGCCACCTTTAAGAGCTGTAACACTCACTGCGAAGGTCTGTGGCTTCACTCCTGAAGTCAGCGACACCATGAACCCACCAAAAGGAAGAAACTCTGGAAACATCTGAAGGAACAAACTCCGGACACGCCATCTTTAAGAGCAGTAACATTTACCGTGAAGGTCCGCGGCTTCATTCTTGAAGTCAGCAAGACCAAGAACCCATCGAAAGAAACCAATTCCGGATGCACTATTAAAAAAGACAACTTAAAATACATATACTTCACAGAGGTATTTAGCTTAGGAAAAAGTGTGTACCCAGTAATTGAGAAAATTGAGAGCTTACTAACTGAATAGCCATTTTCCTTTTACCAAAGTTGCAACTTTGTAGCTAGAGAGGCACTAGGTATGGTTTTTACCAATCAGATATGGGCAGAAGTGCATTAAGAGGCTTCTACTTTTGTTTCATTGTCACAAAAGCAAAGCCACGGGAGACAAAACCCTTTCCCAGCTTCTTTTTCTGTGAACATAGCAGTCATAGATCCCAGAATTGGAACCCATTGCATAACTCTGAGAACAACCCCTTCTGATAACAATGAAGTAGGAAGGTTTTAGTAGAAGGAGTCTATGTTCTTAGTGGCATTGTCTGGCCACCATGCCGTCCCTGGACTGCCGTTCTTGGGAATGCTGCTTGTTAAATGCAAACAAACCCCTTTCTTGTTTAAGCTATTATTGATCATGTTTTTAATTTCCGGTAGCTGAAAATATTCCTGCTGAAACAGCCTGCACCATTCCATTCTCTACACTAGCGGTTCTCAGATTAGAGAGTGAATGAGATCGCATGAAGGACTTGCTAAAACATGGATTGCTGTGTCAAAGGTGAGTGGGATGGTTAATATTAGGTGTCAACTTGATTGAAGGATGCCTAAATGCCTGGTAAAGTATTGTTTCTAGGTGCTTCTATGAGGGTGTTGCCAGAGGAGATTGACATTGGAGTCGGTGGACTGAGAGAGGGAGACCCACCCTCAATGTGGGTGGGTACCACCCAATCAACTGCTACTGTGGCTAGAACAAAGCAGGCAGAAGAAGGTGGCATAACTTTGCTTGCTGAGTCTCTTTTTTCCCCATGCTGGATGCTTCCTTCCACTTCTTCTGCCCTTGAATATCAATCACACTCCAGGTTCTTTGGTCTTTGGACTCTGGGACTTGCACCAGCAGCCTACTGGTAGCTCTAGGGACCCTCCGCCACAGACAGAAGGCTGCACTGTCTGCTTCCATGGTTTTGAGGCCTTCGGAGTTGGACTGGGCCACTACCAGCTTCTCTCTTCCCCAGCTTGCAGACAGCCTATCATGGGACTTCACCTTGTAATTGTGTGAGCCAGTTCCCCCTAATAAACTCCCTCTCATACGTACATATATCCTATTGGTTCTGTGCCTCTGAACAGCCATGACTAATACAGGAGGTCTGTGGCACCTGAGAATTCTCTCTTCTGACAAGTTTCCAATTGATGCTGATGCTGATGATGCAGGGACCACACTTTGAGAACCACAGCTCTGCAGAATAATTCTCCGAAACATAAATATTAATATAACACTCATCCAATTAAAATACATTAGTACTGTCCCAGACCCTTCAAAACAAACACCAGTCTCCTTAGAATAGCGTCTATATCTGCTTCTCTCATATATATATATTTTTTGTGGGCTCTATTTTCCCAACATCTTCAACTGATATATTTCTCTGATAATATTCTATTCTCTGTGGCAACTTTCTAACACATTTTTCCCTCTGCTTAAAATATACTCCTCTATTATTTTTTAGACGCTTCTCATTAATCCTTCAAGACTCAGTCTTTCTTTGACAAAGTCACTGGGCTCAGTACCCTATATTGTGAAACAAATATTTATTTATTTTTTGGTTTTGTCCATGCAATTTACTTGGGATAGGCTCTACAGAATTCGGGCATTCATCTCCATCTCCCCCGTGCCTAGCACAGGTTTTGAAACACAGTAAGAAGCCTTGCTAAATGAACGACTGAGTAGTTGTCGAAGCACCAGTGATGCTATGTATTTCTAATAACAGTTTTTTATACTCCAAGGCTGAAATAGAAACTCCATCTTTCTTTATAGCCCTGTTTATTGTTTATAATATCCATGTTAATAATTTATTACAATCATTTTTATTCCAGTTTAAAAAATAATTTTGTGGATGACCTTTTGGACATAATCCTTTGTAAGGGACAAAGTCCTTATTTATCTCATTTTTTTGGATGTAACAGAAATTGAAACCAGAAAATTCTCACAGAACAGATGCCCTTGCAATTGAAAAGCACTCCCTCTAATAATGCTTGGCATAATTTTTGTTAGGTTTGTATCTCTGGTATAATTACATGATGATTTTAATGGAAATTATAAAGAAGTATTTTACAAAGGAATAGAATATTTTATGTGTAGTTATATGTAAATTAAGTCTTATAAATATGCAAGCTTGCTTTCTCACATGGGTATTTGCTTAAGGATCACTCTGATAAATGCAAACAAGACTCATATTATTTATTAGAAGATTGCTGAGATATATAACAGTAATTGTCATACCACTCTGTAGAATTCACTTCCAGAATCTGCTGTTGTTCCTATTGACTGATAATGTGCAGTAAAAACTGCCACATTTATAAATTCAACTAAGATATTAAAATATCTAAGTTTTTATTTTCTTCAGATGCATAAACCATCTATTATGTGCATGTTGTTATTTTACCAAGACAATCTGGCTTCCAAATGAGGCAAAACTCTGGTTTATACAGTATGATTTTTGAGGGTATCATTCATGTCAGTGTCAATCTAATAATATTAATAAATAAATAAGAGAAGAAGCCACTTTTCACCTTTGGAAACTTGTATTATATGATACAATATAGCAGAAGAGGAATAAGGTTCTACAACTGGTTATGCTTTCCCAAGATTAAGTTTGAGGTACAAATAACAATAGTGTCCATTTTATAAGATACACAAGATGATTCTTTCCTCTTATAAGCTAAATAGCTGTACTTTCATAATAAAATGTTTTTAAAAGCTTCAGTTCAGTTTACTTCAATTAATGTAACAGCCACTTGTTGAGAGTCTTCTATGTCATTAACGCTGCTTAGCTATTCTGAGGAACACGTTTTTAATTCTTCAAGAGATATTCTTGTTTTCTAGGTGAAACTCAGAAAAGAACATTACAGGTCTTCTGAGTGATTCTGAGATATTGTCATGAACGCTTTCTTTAAATGATTTAAATTCTGAGAAAAGGTCAGAAAATTGTAGGAGATTAGGTAGATCTGAAGACATATGAATTATGTATTGTTGAATTATCTAGAATAGGCACACTGGCTCCCTTATTTCTGTTTTATGGCATAATATACTTTTGGAATAATCAGATGACATATTAAACCTTGAAGGAGAGGAAATTTTGAATGTCTTGGTGGAAGAGTTGGCATAATTTTTTTCATGGGAGATAAGTTGAAAGATACTTAGAGTCCTCTCCAGAGTAATGCCAATGTAGGCAGTTCTTTCATACCTGCCTTGGGCTAAGTGTTTTCTCGGGCAAGTAGTCACCATGTAGAGTTAGGAAACAATTTAGGGACTTTGTTCTGGGAGGACTCAAGGCTTGGATACATCTACAAATCTTTCTCAATTATCAGGCAAATGAAACTGTTTTACTCACTGATACTAAACTTGTGAGTTGCTTTTGTATGACTTATTTATTTCACTGCAATTATTTTAAACCTGATTTGTGTATTTATAGTAGCAAAAATGGCACCAACACTTTGTGCTAGGCTAGTGGGTTGTATGGATATCCTCCCTACCCTGATTGGGCTCTGACATGTCACTGTGGTTTGCACCCTGTAGGGTCGCCACCTTACCCTACTTCATCTAGATGCCCTATACTGATCAGCCCCCAACTCTTCACCCTTCAGCCCTACCTAATGGCTTTTGGACTTCGCTTTTTAGGAAGGGAAAGAAAAGGAATAACAAGAGGGAAGAAAGGAAAACAAAGAAAGGGAAACAAGTTATTAATTATTAATTGTTCTACATATTAAAATTATTTATAATAGGTATTCAGAATAATTTTTAAAATTGGTCCTTTGAGGACAAGTCTTCTGCAGAAATGCATGCTTCAACCTGTTCCACTATTACAGTTTTAAAATACAAACAAAACAATCAGCAGAGTTGGAATACAGTACTAAAACAATATTGCCTTTCAGTTGCAGTTTCAGGTTGCACCAAAGTAAAGCAGATAGAGAAGAGTCTTGTTTCAATTAAATAACCTTTATGGTTAAAGGGCACCCAGAAAAATAAAGACAAGATCTATAGTTGTCAACAGAAGGTGTGAAAGGCTAGATTGTCCAATTCTAGTGGCCTAAATCTTGAGGCCTATATAGGTTCAAAATAGCTTTAGATTCTTCAGATTTCATATATGGGGATAAAATGCATATTAACAATAGTTTTAGATTAAAGTAAATAAAACTTATGATACTTGTTAATAGGTAAAAGTACTGAAATGCTCTTTAAAATGCATAGAAATTTTTAAATATTCCATTTATCCTTTAAATGCTCTGCATTTCTGGCAAAAATTCAAGTAGATAGGCTCTTTTTATTAACTCAACAACCATTTATTGAATTTCCACTATGTTCTAATTAAGTAGATAAGTTCAATGTAATGAGTCAAGTGCTATAATTCAGATAAGAACAGAATTCTCCGGATGTGCATAGGATCATCACCTAATGTTACGGTCAGAAGAGGCTCCCTGAAGCCTTTATCTTAGCAGAACATTTAAAGATGAGTCAAGCAAAGATAGGGCCTTGGACCAGAAGGTATGACAACTCAGAAGCTTTGAGAAAACATGTTCGTATCACTGTAGATCATTCAGTTGACTTTTAGTATTTAAGGTGGGGAGTTGGGATGGGCTGTATTCTTAAGATGTCCTCCCAAAATTGTATACCTTGATTATTCAATCAGGCACGCGTTTAGGTGCTACTCAAAGAGACTTTGCAGGGGTAATTACATTTCTGAAAATAAAGAAAGTGTCCTGGGTTATCTGGGAGGGCCAGATCTAATTGTCTGAACCATTAAAAGCAGGGAAATTTCTCCAGCTGGAGTAAGAAAGCTGCAGCCAAGAGAGGAGAATGAAGCAGAAGTTAGAATGATTTGAAGCATGAGAAGGAATTGACCCACTCTAAATAGCTTTGAAAATGAAAGGGGGGCAGGAATAAGCCATGTAGATGCCTTCTAGAAGCTACAACTGACCCCCAGCTGAAGGCCAGCAAGAAAATGAGGACCTCATTTCTGCAGATGTAAGGAACTGGAGTCAGCCAACAATTTCAATGAGCTTGGAAGCTGATTCCTTTCAGACCCTTCTGATAAGAGCCAACTAGCCGAGACCTTGTTTTCATCCTTGTGAAACCAGGAACAGAAAAACTAGCCTCGCCATTTTGAACTCCTGACCTATAGATTCTGAGATTACAATTTAGTGTTGTTTTAAGGTACTAAATTGTGATCATTTTTAAGGCAGCAGTAAAACAAGAGTAATTGTGAAATACGAGTCTAAAAGCAGTGATTCTCAATTAGGTGTGATATGGCATCCCAGGAGACATTTGGCAAGGCCTAGAGACTTTTTTGGTCACAACCAGAGGTGGAGGGTTTGCCACTGGCTTCTAGTGGGTAAAGTCCAGGGATGCTACTAAAATCCTATAATGTGTAGAACAGTCCCCTACAACAAAGTATTATGTAGCCCAAAATATCCATTGTGTCAAGGTTGAGAAACCCTAGACTAGAAGTAGGCAAAGACTGGATAGATGATCAAAGGTCTTGTATATCTTGATCCCCCTAGCTGGATAGAGAATAAGTTATATTTATTTTGTTGGGAAAAGGGTAGCTACCAGGACTGAGGTAATTATTAGAAGTAGTTTTGTTACTTAGCAAACATCTACCGAAAAAGTAGCTAATAAATTAAATTACATCAAACTTCTTGGTTGCTGGTCTAACATAAATAACAATTTGTCTATGCAAGTGGTCATTTACAAAATAACAATAATTACCAAAAAGATGACTTACAATGAGAAATCATTCTTAAAACTGGAAGCTTAATGATATTTTTGAAAAATATTGTTAAGAAAACACCAGAAGAAAGTATTCACCTAATTAATTTGCTGTGTCTTTGTCTTTGTGAGGATGGCTCGTCATATTAGTGTCTTTTATATTCACATCAAATCCTCTGCTTGGTTAGGTCACTGTATAATTAGGCTATTGGACATCTACATCCTTAAAATCCCTTTGTTTTAATCTTTTATTTTTTCATTTATCTGCAACTTGCATTCCCTTCATAAGCCCAAGACTTTTTTTGTTTCTATATATAACTTACAAAGACAGGGATGAAATATAAGCTCTCTTTATCTCCCTAATCAAACTCTTGTAAGCTAATTAGCATATTTCATATTGATAAGGATGATCGATAAGAATATTTCAAAAGTCCAGATAGTATTAAGTTTCAATGACATTCTTAAAATTTCTACTGAAATTTTAAAATAAAACTATATTAACCATATACTCAGTTTATGCTTTGCTTAACTGAGTATAGACTAGTTTTTCCGTCTAAAATAATGACTTCTACTCACATGTCCCTGTTGCTCATTAGGTTTCACTATTTCGAGCTATTACCTTTCTTAATTAATGGTTCCTTGTCATTACTGATGCATACAGGACACATCTCTTGCTTTTATTGGTGTGTTTTGTTTGTATGTGTTCATGCTAAATGAGTATTGCTTGCTAGGTATTTTTAAATCAAGTAAAGAACACAGAGTTGTGTACCTCATTCTGTTTTTGTTTTTTTTTTTTTTTTGTTGTTGTTGTTTCTTTGCTTGTTTTTCATCAAGCACTCTGTTTTTAAGCTCTGTCCACATTGTTCTACTTGCACTCTTCCAACACATTTTAATTCTCCCAATGATGTCAGTCTCCTACGATGCAGACCCGAGTTACCTCCAACTTTCCGCCATGCAAATGGTGCTACAGGAACATCTTCAAAAAGAAAAACATATAACTATTTGTCTAAGGATGTATGGGCATGTGAGTGATTTCTTTGGGATATGCACTATGGAGCAAGAAGTCAGACTTATAGGGTATTCATCTCCTATATTTGACTAAAATATATCAGCAATCTCCACTGAATGTACCCTAGTTTCATGAGCACCAATGTTTGTATCATCCAGCTTTCTAGTTTGTTAGTGTTTTCTTTAGGAAATAACATGTTGTAATTTAAATTTGTGTTTATTGGATTATTCATGGTTTTGAACATTTTTTATGTGGGTGTTGGATTTGGGGGTTTTCTTTTTTGCAAATTGCCTGGTCATGGTCTTTACCAGCTCTTCCATTATAGCTGCTATCTCTTTCTGGTTGGTTTGTAAGAAATCCTTATCATTATATATCATCCCTTTGTAAATGTTATGCCTTACAAAATACCTTCTCTTATTTTGTCTTCTCTATTTAACTTTGACCAAAATTGCCTTCATTGACAGAAAGCGTAAATATTGGTTTAATAAAATTAATCTCTTTTTTCCCCCTATGGTTGTGCTTTGGAAGTTTTTTTTAAAGTTATTTTCTAATCTTGGGTCTAAAATATAAATATACACACAACGCACACATAATTTTTCCTTTCAAATATATATCTTTAATAAACTTCTAAAATTTTTAGAATTGTTTTAAATTTACAGAAAAAAATATGAAAATAATACAAAGAATTCCCATATCAGGGGTCCCCAAACCCCTGGCGGAGAACCTGTACCTGTCCGTGGTCTGTTAGACACCCCTGGAGTGGCACTACCACCTGATCTCCACCTCCCGTCAGATCAACAGTAGCATTAGATTCTCATAGAAACAGGAAGCCTATTGTGAACTGTGCATGCGGGGGATCTAGGATGCGTGCTCCTTATGAGAATCTAACTAATGCCTGATGATCTGAGATGGAATAGTTTCATCCCCAAACCATCCACCACCACCGCCCACCCTATCACCCATTCCCAAACTTTTGACAACAACAGACCAGTTTGTCATCTCTGTATTTTGCTTTTTCAGAAGGCCAACTACATAGAATCATGCAGGAAAGAGCCTTTTCAGACCGGTTTCTTTTACTTTTCAGTAAGCACCTAAGATGTATATGTATGTTTGTATGGTTTGATAGCTCATTCCTTTTATTGCTGAGTAGTTTTCCATTGTGTGAATGTGTCAGTTATTTTAACCATTTATCTGCTGAAGGAAGTTTGGTTCCAGTTTTCGGTGATTGTTTATGAACTGAATTGTTTTTTTTGTGTGGACAGCTTTTTCCAAGCAAATTCAGCAATTGCTCAATGATATGGTAAGACAGTGTTTTGCTTTGTAACAAACCACCAGATTGTCTTCTAGGCTACCAGTCTGTACTCCCACCAGCAATGAATGAATTTCCATTACCTAGCATCTTTGCTAGCAATTGCTATTGTCAGTCTTATTTGGATTTTAGCCATTCTAATGCCTGTGTAGTTGTGTCTTGTTTTAATATGCATTTCCCTAAAGACAATTATGTTGAAAATATTTTTACATCCTTATTTTCTATTTGTATATCTTCTTAGTGAAGTGTTTGTTCAAATATTTTACCCCTTTTAAATTGGGCTATTTTTCTTATTCTTGAGTTTCAAGAAATCTTTGTATATTATGGATACAAATCCTCTATCAGATATGTGTTTGGCAAATATTTTTTCCCAGTTCATGGCTTATCTTTTCATTTTCTTGACAGTATTCTTCAGAAAGCAGGAGTTTTTAATTTATTAAAGTTCAACATATATTTTTTCTTTCATGGATGATGTTTTTGGTGTTTCATCTAAAAGCTCATCACCAACCGAAAGGTTATATATAATATACGTATATATTTCGTTTTAAAAATTTTCTTCTGGAAGTTTTATATTGTGTTTTACATATAAGTCTATGTTTATTATAATTTAAATTTTGTAAAAAATGTGTAAGTCCCTTTCTAGTGTCATTTTGTTCAACAAATTATCCAATTTGTTGAAAAGATTATCCTTTAGCCATTGAATGCCTTTGAATCTTTGCTAAATATCAGTTGACTATATTTGTGTGGGTCTATTTATCGGTTCCCTATTCTGTTTCATTGATCTTTGTGCCTATTCGTCCACCAGATGGTAGATTTCTAGATTTCTGTAGCTTTATAGTAAATCTTGAAATTGGGTGATGTGAATCCTCCAACTCTGTTTTTCTTCATTATTGTGTTGGCTATTCTAGGCCTTTTGCTTTCCCATATAAATTTTAGAATCAGCTTGTTGAAATCTACAAACTAGCTTGCTGAGATTTTGATTAAATTGTATTGATTTTGCAGATTGAGTTTGGAAAAACTGGCGTCTTAACAATATTGAATCATCCATCTCTAAACATGGAACATCTATGCATTTATTTAGATGCTTTTTATTTCTCTCTTCAATGTTTTGTAACACATATAGGTTTTTAATGTATCCAAGTTGATCTTTGTATAGGATGTTGATAAGGGATCTGGTTATGCTTTTTTCATGCATTAAATATTATATACTCAATAATCTATGACCTCTGTTGATTTGTGGCTTCACCTGTACTGAATACTTAATTTTTATACATAGACACATTTGCTTATAAGCTTTCTTTCTGGCCTTAGTTTCAGGAGGCCATTCATAATTCTTAGCTCCACTGGATTCCCCAATATGGCTGCCTGACTCTTCAAAAGCAGCAAGGGAGCAAGAGACACCAAGAAATTTAAGAAGCATGTCAGGTGAAGCAAAGAGTTCTGTTCCAATGAAGATTAAAACTGTTCATTTAATTTTGTAAATAGAAGGTCCCTGGGCAACTTGGCAACAAATTCACTGTAGTGGTGAAAACAGGAGCCAAATTTTACTGGATTATAAAGTAATTTGAAATTAATCAAACAAAAACCTATTGTGCACTCTAGTACTTCCAGAATCTAGACTGTACAATAAGGAGAGATTAAAAGACATTTTAAAAAAATATGTAGAAGAAGGGAGGGCTTACTGCTGCCTTGTTGGGTTTTTAGATATGGAAAATGCTGAACAAAATTCACATTTTCTCAATGCTTTAATAAAAAATTGTAACTTGTAGAAATGCCTAACTTCATAATAATCTACCCTGAAGATAGTTGTCCACCCTCTTAAAGAGATCATCTAATTCAAGAGGCAACACCTAATTTACCATTATTACAATGAAAGAAAACCGCTATTTTTAACTTAAATTTGAAAGCAATTATATCCCAGTGCATGGATAATAATAAAATCAGCCTGGAAGATCAAATTATTTTTGATATTAGTTTTTATTTAACTGATGCCTTAAACTTTACTAAACATTAAAGATATATTCATTTATGTCCCTTATACTAAATGCTATGATAACACTATTTTGCTTACTTTTATTTTCTCTTTATTAATTTAATTAATTTTTAAAACTACTTCAAAAATGCTGCACTATTATACACTAGAACGCAGCATTATTCTTATTTAACATTTGAGGAAAGCAAAAGTCTAACTTCAGACATTTGAAATATGTTAAACATAAAATGTATTTTATTGATTTACCTACTGGAAAGTGCAAAGCATGTTTCCCAGTTACAACTGTGCATCAAATGGCAACCTCAGGGCACTGACTCAGCTGACTGATCATGCCTTATCTGTTCTGTTTGCTTTGTTCTAATGTAGGTATACCCACAATGAGCAAACATCATAACTTCTATCAACTCCAAACATATAATATCATTTTTCCAATAATGTCAGCTGTAATACTGGGCTAAAAAGTCCTTGAGATTAGATGACCAGCCTGGGTCCCAAGCCCATCAACTGTGCAAAGGAAGTGTAGTCAACTCCACCTTATAAACCCATGGACTCAAGGGAGGAGGAATTCCTCAACGAAGGTCAGAATGTTGTACCAAAAGAAGGAGAAAAGGAAGCTAACCAAAAGTTAAAAAGAGATGTTGAGTATAATAATGCTTTGAGATGGTGAGTACATTTCCCAGGGTACATAAGTTGTTACAGGAGATGCCTACAGACCTAGATCTGACAATTGTTAGTCAAGTGCTTGTTCCACTACACCATTGTTTCACTTGATTGAGGAGAAAGTTTATGGTTATTTTGTGGAATATATTGGGATGGTTATTTAAGATTTGTACAGCATTTTCATACATGTTGGGTCACTTGAGAAGGCAGCAGGATATGTATGCTATCTAGGTTTCCCATCTCGATTTCTTTAGCTGTTCTTGGCAGCCTTCACTTTGTTAAACTGACTATATAAAGCCGAGTAGCACTCAAAATCAGAGCTACTTTCTCTCAAGAAAGAACATGTGGTTAAGTCATTATATTATATTCCTAATGTGGTGCAGCCTGAATGTAAAGTAAAATTAGACTGAGAGATTGAATCAACCAAAAAAACAATAAAGAAGAACATGTGCTTTCAGCAGAATATATACTGCAGTTTTGTTGATAAGTGTTAAAGCACAATTTCCTACAGTATGGATAGTCCAGTCTGAGCTAACCAAAGGTTACTCCTATATGCAAGATAAGTTATACCTTCATACTCCCAATCAAGATCCCTGACACTGAATTCCTCCATAGCATAATGAGAGGACTATTTTAACACAGCAAGAACATTCTATTATAAAGCAATTCAAAAATTGAAACCAACTTATTACATTGGGCAAACCCAAATGCAAAAATGGAATGGCAAGAATGCAAAAGGATAAAATTTCATAATTTGTACATAATGATAATCATTATTACATTAGATTGAATTCAGTATTCAGAACTGTTTCATTTTTCTAATTTGAATTTAATTCCTTTAAGGTTCATTCAACAATCATATAATAGTTGATGACCAGTGGAAACCTAAAAAGCTTCTAATGGTTTTATTACTGAAATTTATGATTTCTGTAAAGTTTTCTTCTGTGTAATGTTTACATAATTTTTGGTAATTTTTCTTAAAATATTTTGGAATTTTTGAAAGTATCAGTTCTATCTTAGGACAGACTAATATTTATTATTTTCTTTCCTGCAAGAATAGCTGTCATTCACTCCATTATTCATAATAACTGCATCTTTTAGTTTTTCATTTAAAAAGGTGCTTTGGGGGATGAATAACATGAACCTGACACACACTCTCCATACAGATATATTATTGCACCTTAATGAACATAAAACATGTACACAAATACCTTTAATACAATGCAGGATGTGCAGGGATCCAGGTTGTACTTGGAGGAAGGAACAATTTCCACTTGTAGCACCAGAGAAAATGTTTTGGAGATGGTGGTATTTGAGCTAGATTGGACACACGGATATGAAGTATAAAACATTTCTCTCTCAATCTCTCTCTCTCTCTCTCTCTCGTCTACTCTCTAGGGACATCAGACTATATACTAGTTCTTTTAAAGTTCTACTCATGTTCATACTAGTATGCCCTCACCTTCTCTAAGAGAACATCATCTTCCAAGCACAATCTCAAAAGTTACCTACTCTGGAGAGACGTTGAAGGTCTTTGAACAGTACAGTGAATTGATCAGAGCTGTACTTCAGGGAGCGTAATATCACAGCAAGGTGGAAGATGAGTTGAACCAGGGACATGCTGATAGGAAAACGCAATTGTGTTAATATGACGAAGTAAGAGCTTAATATAATAGACAATGTTGTCATTGTCTAAGAACAGGTAAAAATAGCCATGGAAGATATTTCATCACTGATGGATCATACTATATTCTGAGCTTTAATATATTGAGTAAGGTGATTCCATTAAGGTAAATGGAGAACAAAAGAGTAGGGAAAATGTGTGGGATGGAAAATAATAAATTGAATCCTGGCCATATATAATTAGAGGTGTTGGGGATATCCAAATGGAGATGTTCCACAGACACTTGGAAATGAACATTTGGAACTTACCAGAACAAGTATATCTACAGTTTGGCCCCATAAAAATGATCACATAAACAAAAATGTACAAGTCGGACCTAATTCAACTAAAGTTCTGCACAGTAAAAAAAGAAAAAAACTATCAACATAGTAAACAGACCACCTACAAAATAGGAGAAAACCTTTGCAAACTATGAATTGACAAAGGTCTGATATCCAGAATCTATAAGGAACTTAAATTTACAAGCAAAAGTCAAACAACCCCATTAAAACATGGGACAAAAGGCATGAACAGACACATTTCAAAAGAAGACATATGCACAGCCAATAAGCATATGGAAAAATGCTCAATTATCACTAACCATTAGAGAAATGCAAATCAAAACCACAATGAAATGCCTCTCACAGCAGTCAGAATGGCGATTATTAAAAAGTAAAAAAATAGTAAATGCTGGGGAAGTTGCAGAGTAAAGGGAACACTTATGCACTGCTGGTGGGAATGTAAATTAGTTCAGCCATTGTGGAAGGCTGTTTAAATTTTTGAGAATCAAAATTTCTCAAAAAAATTAAAACAGAATTACCATTCAACATAGCAATCACATTATTAAGAATATACCCAAAGGAATATAAATCATTCTGCCATAAAGACACATGCCCATGTGTGTACAAGTAAAATGGTGGAATACCTCACTCCTACTCTCTATGGGCCCATAATATGACTTAATTAAATAACAAACACAAAACTGGTTTTTGGAGGCTAGGATCAATATATCTATTTTGAGTTTGTTTTACACCTAATCAAACTCTTTAATTCTTCAAGATTAGGTGAAATCTTTTTCACTAAATATTTTTGCAAAAGTAATTTATGGTCTGATTTTGCAGAAACCAAATAATATTCCCTAGCAACTTTAAATAATTCACATTATCATTTGAAGAGCCTCAAAAACTGTCTCTATATGGTGCTGAGCTAAATATGCAATAATAAGTAAAATACCTATGGTCCAAGTACATGATGAATTTAAATCAACTTCCCAAGTGTTGGAATGTTTATTTAGCAGGAGTTCCTGATAAGATGGCTAAATACTCCAAACCAAGACAGTTCATTGTTGCTGCTTTTGCCCCCTTCAAATAGGTGATGTGAATGGTAACTATTGTCTTCACAGTCCAAAGCAGGATCTCATCTCTCATTTATTTTGCTAGGTTTTCCTACACAGAGTGTCTTTATTCTCCCTACTCCAGCAATTTGACCTCATCACTTATACTGTACTCTTCATTTCTGCATCTTCTTTTTAACCATGTGTATCTTCATTTACTTAATAACTTTCTGGCCATACCTGTTGCAGCTGATCTTCATCCAGGAGTGAATGAAAGATTACCAAGGAAAAAATAATTGTCCATGGTTTCTCCTCTCCTAGTAGAAGAAGTCAAAAGCTCTTTGCACAATCTTTCCAAGAGTTACTAATGAGGAGATCTCAGTCTGGCATCTAGAGATTAGAAGACAGACATATCTCTGATAAAATGATACAGCTATTCATTTTTAGATTCGTCTTGAGGAGTTTGAGATAAACAAGAATGTACTTGGAATTTAGATAAAGTCTTCTAATCTTTAGTAAAAAGTCTTCTTCTAATATTTAATAAAAAGTGGGTTTAATTGAAAACTTTAACTATAAAGATAAACTACCTCTGGAGATTCGAGAAGGGACTTCTTGGCACATCCGCAAGCATTTAAATAGATAGCAAGTGAAAGGATTAATCTGTATGTTTAATTTCACTTTCGATGTTTCAATAGGTATTCAGCAGGCATTTTTACCATCTCTTTTGACTCTGGTATGAAAGGGGAGAAAAAAGAAAAAGAAGTTTTCCTGACCTAAGTGGCCTTAGATTGGAAGAAAAAAGGGAATGAAGAAAGATAGGATGTGTGAACATGCCCAAGAAAGACATTTCAAAAAGCAGAATTGACTGAACTAGGAGAGGTAATAGAAGAACCAGGGAAACAATCAGTCCAGGAACTCTTGACTGGAAACCAAACATATTTATTGAGATAAAACAGGTGATTGGAAACAAACTGAATTCTAGGAGCTGGTCAGACGTCTGGAGATATATGTGGCAGTACAGTTGAACAGCCACATTTACAGTAAGGTTCTGCCAGACAAAAAGAGTACAGGGCAGAAATTCAGGCATAAGTAATGTACAAAAATATCTATAGGCAGATAGGACCTAGACACTGGGCTGAAATTCTAGAGTTGCTGGGATTCCATTCCAAGTTAGAATAAAGACAATTAAACAGAGCTCTAGAAATAGAAGCAATGCAGTATAATGCAGGTTATCAATACGAGATCTTAGGCTACATCTTAGCTAAAATAGTGCAGGCACTTTACCATTGGACTTGAAGTTTAAGATGAGGACTAGGTCACAGGAATAAGGGAAACTGGAATTGACTAACATTATTAGAGGGAATCAACAGGAAGCTGGACTACTTGAGACAAATTTGCTGAACTAGAATTCCTTTACTTTCCACCGACATAGGAAAAGAAGAATTCCATATTTTAGGGTAGATTTGGGGCTCCCTATAGAGGGTAATTTGCTCCAGATGGAGGAATGTTAGGAGTACAGTATAAAGAACACATTTCTTACTTTATTCATTAAGAATTTTTTCAATCAAACATTTACACTTAGTGAGGCCCTCCTATATGCAAGGCACTGAACTAAGCAGGGCACAAAAGTGTTAAGATACCAATAAAACATCAGAAACTCTAAGGTCTAGTTGTGTGAAAGATAAACAGATAAAATTGAAACTCTAAAAAATACTACACCAGGTAATTTTTTAAAATATGGAAATGTAGAGATTCCACAAACTAAGCTGGGAGAAGTCAAGAAATGTCCTTGAACAGATGACATTTGAAATAAATCTTAAAGAATAAATTTATTTTTTTTCTAGCTGAAGATTTTGGGAGAAAAGGAGAAGTAAAAAAGTATAGAATAGTTAATAATATTAATATCTACTACATATCAAATAACAATATTAGCTATTATTTAGTGTTATATATGTCATAGGTATAATTGTCCTCTGATTTATTAAATCTGCACAACTGCCAATATTTCTATTTTATAGGTGCAGAATTGGAGGCTTAGAGAGATTAAGTCATTCACTCAAGTTCCCAAAGTTATAAGTAAAAGATGCAGAATTGGAGGCTCAGAGAGGTTAAGACGTTTATTCAAATTCCCGAAGTTGTAAGTAAAAGAGCTAGATTTTTTTTTTTAATGGAATTTTGCTCTTGTCACCCAGGCTGGAGTGCAATGGCACAATCTCAGCTCACTGCAACCTCCGCCTCCCAGGTTCAAGCAATTCTCCTGCCTCAGCCTCCCGAGTAGCTGGGGTTACCGGCGCATGCCACTAGGCCTGGTTAATTTTTGCATTTTTAGTAGAGACGGGGTTTCACCACATTGGCCAGGCTGGTCTCGAACTCCTGACCTCAGGTGATCCACCTACCTCGGCCTCCCAAAGTGCTGGGATTACAGTTGTGAGCCGCCGTGCCTGGCCAAGAGCTAAATTTTTTATTGTTTATTTTTGTTTTATTTTTCTTCAAAGACACCTGCTGTTTCCATATATAATAGCTTCTCTGACATGTTCTAGGAGGAGTGAGAAGTGATGTAGGTCAGAAGCATAGACTTCATGGATGATATTTTCATGAGAATTGGTTAAACTGGAGAGGCCAGAGCTAGAGTGTGAAGGCCTTTGCATGAGTAGGAAAGAGGAGAAAAGGAATTAAGCTTAAAAAGAAATCTCTTAAAGTTTATTGAGATGGTAAACTGTTCATCATTAAGATAATGAAATTTTATTTTACTCTAAGGGTTGTAATAGTTTTGAACTAGATGGAATTTGGGAAACTATGTTGTTCAACTCTTCAGATTTACAAGTAAAAAGACTGAGATCCAGATCAAGAGCATAAATTAGCCCAAAATTAAGGCTTCTTTAGTTCCACATGGGAGCCCTAACTGAGCTTGAACTTCCAGCCCTACTGAGCTTCAACTTTCTCCTTTTAGAATAAGTGATAGATGGTCGTGGTTGGAGTGGAGAAGTGAGCTCAGTAAGATGAGGGAAAGGAAAAACACTGTGTAAGGCATCTGAATACGAAAACAGCACTGACAAATCAGGCAGCCAAGTACTCTTTCCTCTTTGGTTTTCTGAATAAAAGTCAATTAACTAACCTTTCCAATTTTGATGGTTGAAATCCCACAGGATGTTTGGGGCCTGAAAAGAATGAAAGAGATTATTCAGATCATTAATAACGACAAACTTCATTATGAAATTAATTTGTAAGTGACCAGTAAAATAACCCAGAAAAGTTCATTACCTAATTATGTTTCTAAAATTATAACCTTTAATTCTAGGATGACTTTGCTAACCGTAACTACTAATAAGCCTAAGAATAATTTATTCACCTATTAACTAAGGACTTTATCATCAAAGAAAAATTGAGCTGACTCTAAGTTGATCATAACAAATTTTTTTAAAAGCAGAAAGAAAGAAAACAACCCTCAGCTGTGTCCTACGCATAGACTTTTCATTACTGTTGACAATGAAAATGAGAATCGCAAAGAACACAGCTGGAATCTTAACTCTTACATTGAGATCAAAGATTTGGCAGTTAGAAAAATCATCCTTTTGACTTGTAAACAAAACAAATCTTATATGGATGTCAGAATAAATAAAGTGTTTCTTTTTTAAGCAGTTACTGTTTTGGCAAAACTGTACTTATCATACCTATTAAGAGATTTAAGGTACAGTATTTATCACTCTTACTGCCATCTTAACCTCAGACACAATTATTTAAAATGAAATAAATATATACTTAGAAAACAAGGAAGATATATTACTAATTGTCCACTAGGCAGTCAATTGCCAGTTAGAGTAGCCACTTGTGTAAACTCTGTCAAACATGCTGACCCAAACACGTCTCTAGCAATTTTCAACATCTGGCTTAAAAGCTTCCCTGTAATTATTTTCATTTTGCATAAGCAAAACTCACTAAACCCTGCATCTGTGGTGGTGATATACAAAACATATAAATTTGGAGGGATTCATTAGATAATGCCAAAGAAAACGCACCAATGGCTCAATGTCATTTAACTCCTGCTCTCATGGTGAATTAGCCAGCAGTGAAGGCCGTTTTCTCTTCAAAAGACTACACAGTGCTTCTTGACTTGTTTCTGCTGGAGAGTGTTTATTTCATAGAAATTGACATATACCAAAGTTACAAAGATGTCAGTACTTTTTCTATATGTTTTTGCTATCCCTGGTTTTCTATAGAAGATATGGGCAATAAGATAATACAGATATCAAATATAAAATGAATAAGAGGCATTACCTAGAATTTTTGCTTCTTTGAAGCTATGGGTCTTATTTTGGTACAATTTTCTTGGAAGAATGCTTAAAACATATTTAATGTATTGTTTTATCAAAAATTTTCCAAAATCTAATGATGCACAAACATATAAATTCTCAAAAGACTACAAATCACTTATAATTCTAAATTATAGTTGCATATATTTGTGAATGGAGTATAGATATAATTGTTTCTAATATCAGGAAAACCTCTCCATTGTATCATAAATTGTTCTAAAAATGTTGCCTTCTAACTCTATGTCCGAGTGCTGCAATAAAATAGTACGTGATTATACTTTGATATATTAACCTCCGTTAAATAAACTCATTCATATGAAAATGTTCAGAACTGTTTTGAATATATATTTATTTTCTTAGCTCTCATCTGTAGTTGGCTATTTCTCTCAACCTGCTCTAGGGAAAGTGGAATAGTCTAGGTTGGATGATGTATATTTATTAGCTTCAGAATCACATCTGTGTGCTCAGATTGGAGGAAAGGTCATAAACACAATGAATGTTGCTAGGAAACCATGCCTTTTAGTCAATTTAGTTGTGAAGATGAAAGGAATTTTTTTTTTTTTGGTACAAAGATGGGCTATTTGTAAAGTACAATGAATAATCATTTTATTTTGATCTTTGAATTTATCATTTAAAAAATAACACTTTTCATTAGTAGCTTTTCCTATTTATTACTTGGATTTCAAATGTTTGAAATTCAAGACATCAATGTAGCTTTCTATGAAAAGAAAGATTCGTGGCAATTTTCATTTAAAGAAAATAATCTTGGTGAAATTCAGGGATATCTAATCCTTAGGGCAGCCCATATGAATCATAAAAAGATTAATAATCAAATAGTAAAAGTCAAGGAACAAGTAGCTAAATCCCTTGAAATAGCCATTAAAAGGATTTGAAAGCTCAAGTGCTATAAACAACTCTGACACTTCTTTTCGTGTTTCAGAACTACAGGACTGTGATCCTGGAAACTTTTCACAAAGATTAATCCGAAAGGAAACAGACATGTTTTACTGGTCAACAATAATTAGATGGTCCTTTGACATAATTAAGTACTCTAACTCCACAGGACTGTATTAGCCTACTTACATACCTAATTAGAAGCTTATGTTGTCTGTGTCTGTGTTTATTGATTTTGAATCAAAACGTAATTTTAACCAGGTAGGTTTTTATTGGATCAATTTTACTGGAATATTTAAGCAGTATTTGTTGGTACAAGTTATATTAATGACGAAAAATCCAGCAGATTAGCACTGCAATAGACATCTGGTTTTTTAAGTATGGGGCTTATATCCCTTCTTTAATAATTGTTTCTTGTTTCTCTCATTCCATTTGATTTGAGTGGCTCTGTTAATGGTTTGGCTTCATCTTCCCTCCACACAGGTGGATATGTCACTCAGGCTGGCCAATCAGAATAATCCCAGGTCACATTGTGTTTGAAAAAGAGAAGGAAAGCTAGTGTGAATGGCACCTAATTGGTGTGAGGTGATAGGAAATGAAGCTGGGGAAGTAGGTAAAAGCCAGGGTGCATAAGGCCTTCTGAGCCAGAGTCAAAAAAATGGAATTTATCTAAGAAGTGTGTTAGAAAACTTGGGGTTAGGCAGAAGTGTGACATGATCTAATTTATGTTTATAAAAGATCACTCAAGCTGCTAAATCAGAAAGGATTGAGGGACTGAGCAAGCATTTTGGAGGCTATGACAATAGTGTTTGTGAAAAATGATGCTGACTTGGGCTAGGGTAGTAACAATGGAAATGGACAGAAGCTGATGGACTCAAAATAACTTTTGCACATGGAGCTAACAAGTGTTGCTGGCAGATTGTATACAGGGTATGTGCCTAAGAGAGAACTCAAGGATGACTCCTGGATTATTAGTTTGAACAACAAAGTGTGGCATTGCTATTATGTCAATTGGAAAGCCAAGAGGAAGAACTGGGTTAAAGGTGCAATTAAGAGTTTTGTTTTAGGCTAATTAAATTTTAGAGTATCTCCAAGTGAAGATGTTAAGTAGGTAGCTGGCCATGATGTTTAGAAAGACAGGATAATAAAGACCAATTTTTGAGTCAATTACAAATAGTTAATATTTAAATCCATGGGACTGATTGAGATGACTGATGGAGAAAATATTGATAGGAAAAAGAAAAGGACTACAGACTTTAATAAACAATGTAGTTAATTTAAAATGCACTAGATGATTAAGAGTAATTTTGGTAAGGAAATAAAATGCCACATTTTTACACTTATTTACAAAGGTTTTTGGTATTATGTCACATCCATAATACCCAAAATTAAATGTATTAAGCATTCAGACAAGTCATTTTTACCACTGCGTAGATGGAAAAATTGAGGACTGAGAGATTGTGTCCAGACCTCACCACCAGTAAGTGATGGAGTCAGGCCTAGAACAGAGACCTTTCTAACTCTAATCCATTGCTTTTTCTGTTACACATTTTGGAAACTCTACTTGCAAATACAAGACCCTCAGGGCTATTACTGATGCTATTTGCCTCTACACTAACATCCTCAGTTTTTAATGCTTGAGTTCCTATGTCTAATTAGTTTTCTATCCTAGCCTTTGTTCTCTAATGTCACTTCTTGCTGCAACCTGCCTCAGAGTTTTTCCCTCTAGTGATCTACTGTTATTATTCTATGAGCTGTGAAAATAGATGTAGAATTATTATGAATACAATAAGTTAAAATAGTCTTTGAGAGGCTCTGATTAGTTGTATGCCATGACCTTACTGCATTGTCTTGAAACATATATCACAACTATTCATGGCCTTTCACTTATTATCTCATTGTTTCTTTGTATTTCTCTTATGAACTGAATAGGTTGTCAAATAAATGATTTCTGATGGCTAGTGCAATTTTGTTGTTGTTGTTGTTGTTGTTGTTTTATTTGTTTTATTATTATACTTTAAGTTCTGGGGTACCTTGCAGAACGTGCAGTTTTGTTATATAGGTATACATGTGCCATGATGGTTTGCTGCACTCATCAACCCGTCATCATCTACATTGGGTATTTCTCCTAATGTTATCTCTCCCCTAGCCCCCCCTACCCCCCAACAGGCCCCAGTGTGTGATGTTCCCCTCCCTATGTCCATGTGTTCTCATTGTTCAACTCCTACTTATGAGTGAGAACATGCGGTGTTTGGTTTTCTGTTCTTGTGACAGTTTGCTGAGAATGATGGTTTTTCAGCTTCATCCATGTGCAATTTTTAACAGTCATGCATCTTTTTCCTGGACCACATGCTGCACTAGTCCACATTGTTAAGTGTCGGTTTCACCCTCAATTTCTGGGATAGCGGTTCTAAAAGGTCACAGTGAAGTTTTGGTTATTCTTTTTATGGAACTTATAAGAAAATAATCCTAAGATGCACTTTAACAAAGGCAGCTGAAATTTTAAAAAATCACTTACTTTGTATGTGACTATGACATTCCAGGGAGCAAGGCTTTCTCTCCCCATTCAGTTTGGGTGTTGGTGGGGACGCTAGTCACTACCCCTCTTCTTGGTCATTGTTGGGGCTAATCTTCAGATTTCTGCGCTTTTTCCCTTGGCAGAGGCATTCTGTGGTCCCACTATTGCATTCCTCTCATCTCTCAAGCAGTCTAGATCACCACTATGTTTAAAGACTACCCATATTTTTTTCTTACAAAATAGACTCCAAAGTTCTGCATTTTCCAGCTGTTTCCTCAAGCAATCACAGAAGAATTTTATTTTTATTTTCTTGATAGTAGGGGATTATTGAAAGAATTTTAGCAGAAAAGTGACATAGTTTACAACAGATTATGATGGCAGCAACATAAATAATGGCTTTGAAGGGATGACGATGATGATGGTGGGGAGTAGAACAATTACAAAGCAAAGTTTCTAGTGAGAGTCAAAAACTTCTCAATAGTGGCCGACTGCGGTTGCTCACACCTGTAATCGCAGCACTTTGGGAAGCCAAGGCAGGCAGATCACCTGAGGTCAGGAGTTTGAGACTAGCCTGGCCAACATGGCGAAACTCCATCTCTACTAAAAATACAAAAATTAGCCAGGCATGGTGGCGCTCACATGTACTCCCAGCTATTTGGGACACTGAGGCAGTAGAATTGCTTGAACCCAGGAGACCGAGGTTGCAGTGAGCCGAGATTGTGCCACTGCACTCCAGCCTGGGTGACAGAGCGAGACTCCGTATCCAAAAAAATACCACTACTCACTAGTGATCAGAATAGCTATAAAATGGCATCGTTTGAAGATATTTATAAGATAAAGTAATGTAGGATGTGGCCATTCACTTGGATGTGGAATGAAGAAAGGGGAATATTAAAATGACTCCTTAATTACTGACTCATGTGGAAGAGATAAGAGGGTAGAGATGGAGAGATAATGGGTGTTATCTGGTACTGGTTTAGTTAGAAGTGGGTTTGAAATATTGAAGTTGTGCAGGCCAAAAAAAGAAATCTGGGAGACTTTAAGATTTAAGTGGTCAATAAAGCCATGTCATACAATGAGATTACCCAGAAAAAGCATTTCAAATAAGAAAGGAAAAGATGAAACACTAAAGACAGCTGGCCTGTGGGAGGTAGCTGCAGAAAAAAATATATATATATTTCTTAAGTGACAGATAATAAGAACCGGGAAAACCTAGATCATTACATGCTGAAGGGAGAGAGAAGAAGACAGTGATCGCCAGTGCTGAAAGCCTTAGAGGAGTAAGACAGATGAGGACTAAAAATTATCCATTGAATTTAGCAATCTCAATCTGATGAATCTATTTACAAAGATTACAAACTCTTGGGTAGTGAAGAAAGAAAATCAATTGAAAGAGTTGTGGAGCAAATCTAATTTAGACGTTAAAGAAAGAAAGAGTAAATGGTTTGAACACCTAGATAGTAAAGGAAAGGAGAGAACAAGATGTTTACCCTTGTTTGTGTGTTACAAGATAGAAGGCAGTGGTGAGGAGAAATTTATGATACAGAAGTGTCATTGAGGGGAGTTTCAGAGGGGATAGGAGGGACAGGATCAAATATGGAGACAGAAAAATCCTTTGTGCAGAGCAAAGGATATTTTATCCACGGAGACTGGAGGGAAGTAAGTTAGGATGAGTACAACATAGTTTTAGGGTGAGAAATGAGAGATTTTACCCCTGAGGGCATAGACCTTGTCACAGAAGAGGTAGGATAGGAGGTCAAAACTAAGCAACAGCTTTGGTTACGCCACTGTTCCCTAAGGTACCTATGAATAGTAACTCTTAGATTATAAATACACATAATTGTTTTTAAGTTTATGAAAGCTAAAATATTCAGCTTTTGCCTTTATTTAATATGTTAGACTAGAGCAAGTATAGAATATCATGTATCAGGTCTTTTCTGCCACTTCTGCAGAGCATTACCAGTATTAATTATATCCACAGTTAAGTTCTAACCTGGTGATGGTGAAGATAACTTATTGCAAGATCTTTAAATTAGTAACCAACTGGTAGAAGTGATATCTTTTATTGTATCTCCATTTAACTAAAGATTAGCCAAAAGCCATACAATTCAATAAATAAGTTTATTTTTATTTTAACCATTATTCAAATCAAATAACTAAAGGAAGTAGCCACAAAAGTAATATTTTCATGTAAGTTTTAATCATGTTCGTTTTTACTGAACATATATTTCAATCAGAGTATGTCAGTTATGAGTTGCAATTCAATTTATTTAGGTGTTGTCCACCTAATACCTGTAGAGCTGTTCACAAATTAGAAGACCAAAAATGATAAACTCTAGTCTCATCTCTGATATAAACAGAATGAAAAATCTTTCTGAATAACTCAGAAATCTTGCAGCTATTGTTGTTATGTATTGCTACAGGCAATAACTCAGATTTTTAAAAAATGGGTATCAATTGAGAGGCCATCTGGTATTGTAGTTAAAAGTAGAGACTGTAATGTCAAACAGCTCCAGACTCAAGTAATCATCCCACCACTTCCAAGTGCATGGCTTCAGCTTCCTCCTTCCTAAAACAGGGTTGAAAAGAGTGCTTACCTCAGTGTTACTGTGAAAAGAAAAGGAGATCATTCATTTAAAATGTTGATAATAGCTGACACATAAGAGGAACTCAAATAAATAATAGTATAATTTACTAACTACAATAATAAAGTACTATAGACATTCTAGCATAGAATGAATCATCTAAAATACTCACTGTCTCAATGAAAATATATGGCTTATTATTCATACTTTTAGTCACTCATTTTCAAACCAAAAAGAGAAAGAAGATACAATTTTCTAAGAATTTAAGATGAACTTTATAAAAAATCTTTTGATCTTGAACTAAAGAAATGCTTTTTTTTTTTTTTTTTTTTTTTTTGAGACGGAGTCTCGCTCTGTCGCCCAGGCTGGAGTGCAGTGGTGTGATCTTGGCTCACTGCAAGCTTCGCCTCCTGGGTTCACACCATTCTCCTGCCTCAGCCTCCTGAGTAGCTGGGACTACAGGTGCCCGCCACCATGCCTGGCTAATTTTTTGTATTTTTAGTAGAGACGGGGTTTCAGCATGTTAGCCAGGATGGTCTGGATCTCCTGACCTCGTGATCCGCCCCCCTCGGCCTCCCAAAGTGCTGGGATTATAGGCGTGAGCCACCGCGCCCGGCCGAAATGCATATTTTTTTAATGGTAAGGATTGAGGAGTAGTAGAAAAATTAGCATATTTTGTAGAAACTGCTGAAAAAGTGGTATATATGTGAGACAGAGAGAGAACTTATGTCAAGGTAGAATTTATGCCAAAATATTTCAAGAGATATATGTTGAGGAAAAATGTACAATTGTGTTTATGAGAGATCAGTATTGATAATAGTCTTTAAAAATCTTAGGAATTATCTATAATCAGATCTGTATCTGTTATCTAATTCTTTTTGTGACACCCATATCACTTTTATGATACAATAAAAACTCTTATTGATTAGTCTTAACCAATCTGTAAAATATGACTGTGAAAAAAATGTATTTTTTTTCTACTACCTAGATCTATCATGTCCTAGGGCTAAAACACTCCCTAGCATTTCCAGGCAGAACTTGAACACAAAGCATTTATTTTCATCCAGGTGTTTAAAGTACCCAAAAGAAGAAATTTTGGAGGTAGCTACAGTTCCATCATGTGCTCTTTGGCATTATAAACAAACGACATAATCCTGGTGGATAATGACCTCCAGGAAATAGGCATTTTTGTCTGACCTGTACAATACACTATCCCTTGTACTTCGAACAATTCCTAGCACATATGAGGATCTCATTACATAAGTTTTTAATGGATGAACGAGTCTGTACGCTCACTGCAGCCTGTGAAGAGGGAGCAGCTGTTGAGAAGTGGGCAGTATGAGGGCAGAACCCCCAGCCATACACACACAATCACAAGACTGCAGAAGCTGGCTGTAAGTGCCGGCAAAACCAGAGATGTATTGGCTAAATTCTTTTAAAAGGGTGGGGAGCAGTTAGGAAAAAACATAGTATTGAGTTTTAGTTTTAGAAAATGCACATGAACATAGCTCCAAAAAGACATCAAACATTATTATCAGCCCATAGAGGAAACTATAAGGAAAAAAGTAACTTACATAAAGACAACATAGAAAAACAACCAACACTTTTCATGTTCTTCTTTGCCAGGTGTTAACTTGAGGACATCACCAGTTCTCACAACCACGTATGAGGAGGCTACCTTCGTATTACTTACTGATTGGCAAAGTGACACACACTTAGGACACTGTCCAAGATGACTCAGTTAGGAAGCAGTGAAGCCAGGGTTTGAATTTAGGTTATCTGGCTCCATGATACACTCTTTATCTGGTCTGCCTTTCTCAAATGCAAAAGGTCTGCATGGTCATTGACAGTTTCCTTGTAAACAACTCAGTCAGTGAAATGCAGCACCACTTGCCTCTTACCGTACTGTCTGCCACTAAGTTGCTGATGGCTGGACTAAGTGGTAGTGCCTCTGTCAGTTTCCTCATCGATAAAATTAGTATTTTCCAGACCTATCCAGACTGCTTTGCTTGGAGATTGTGTGAAATAACTAATCAATAATCGTAAAATGCTTTGAAAACATGGAGGACTACATACAAGTTCAATATTATTACATGAGTTTACAGTGTGATAGCACAGCCGTAAAGGTCAAAGCTATTTTGAACTGCATACAGAGAGGCACGCTGATGTAGAACTGAGAAGAAGTTGTTGTCTTTCCAACAAGGGGGCTGGGAATTGGGAATATTTTAATAAAAATATTTTTCTTATTTGTGGACGGTTAAGTTCTCAAAACAAGAAATTAATTAGAAGACAAATATGTAGAGAGAATTACCATCATTGCACCAAGTATTAAGGGACAAGAGTGGTTGGATCAAGACAAGGAAGTAAAGATGCTGATCTGGTTAAGTGAAAACACAGACTAAATAAACCAACAAACTTCAAACACTTGATTGTGTAAATCCAAGAGTGAAAGGAAGTTAGTTTGAGAGTTAAAGGAATGCCCAGAAATACAAAGAAAGGAAGGAGGAAAAAGAAAGAAGAAAGGAGAGAGAGACAGAGCGAGAACACGAGCAAGAGAGAAAGAGAGAGAGAGAGAAAGGAAGGAAGGAAGGAAGGAAGGAAGGAGGCTGGCTCATTTGGGTTATAACAAATAAATACTTATTAAATTAATGCTGATTTGCTTTGCTTCATTTTAAAGATCGTGGATTACTGACCGATCAACTCAGCTGCAGTATCAATAATGATTATGTCAAATGCCAGTGTGGATTGTCATGCTAGTCTAATGCATTCAGAGACACAGCCTTACACTGATGCAAATGGTCCTCTTATCTAGACTGGCTCATGGGATGTAAGTAAAGCCTTGACAGTTGGAATGATGAAAGAAAGTCTGGAAGAGGTTCTTGAAATTGTATTTAACAAAAGATCTTTACTCCAGCAGAGCCAAGTATATTGTTAGATGACTTTTCCATTTGTCTTACATAATTCCCATAATTTTGTGAATTAGGCACTATGTCAAACATTGTGAAAATTCAGGGCTCTAGATCAGTGCTTCTCAAACTCAGTGTCTTTCTCAACATATTGAAATCTCAAACAAATGTGAGGAGATTACTAATATGGTTCTTACTAGTAAAGCCAATAGCAAATATTTTTGAGCTGTTGTATGCCAGGCACTTTACATGAGCTAATTCATTTATCCTCAAAACAGCATTAAGTGGTAGTAACTCTCCTTATCCCATTTTCAAAGATGGAGAAATCGAGGCACAGGTGAGTTAAATTCCTTGCTCAAAGTCATCACAGCTAGTAAGTGGAGGAGCCAGGAGTTCAGGGCTCAAACTTTACTAAGTTGTGAGTCATTTAACTTAAATATAGACATGATTTCAAGTCAGTTCTATAAAAAGAACATTTTCACTTGCATATAACCATGCTTACCTGAAACAGAGGGTTAAGAAGTGAATTTACACCAAAAAGCTAGAAGTTATCCAAACCCAGGTTCATCCACAGGAGTATGTTTTTTATTGAAAACTCTTTATTCATAAGTTTTTGGAATAAAGTCCAAGAACCTCTGGACTAGAGAACCATGAAACATTTTTATTTTAGAGATAGTGTTTCCATCACTAATGTATCTTTATCAGTGAAGAGTTGTTATCCTTAATTGATATCCTCCTGTCTATCCCACCAAAAATGAAACCTTAATATTCCAAATATGTCTTAATTCAAGATAATGACCATTGTTGAGAGTGCTGTCTAGGGCCCTTGTTTTTAGTTTTGTTCTTGAGGCAATTCCCAGGTCCCATTCTTGAAAGAGCCTCACAGGCCTGGACTGATGTGTACAGCTTGAATTGTCACCTGCTGCATATCTGAAGCAGCTGTATCCACCACAACCTATGTTATCCTAGTACCATATCTTGTAATTGAAACAGATCCCACAGGTCTCTTAGCTCAGTCTCTCTTTAAAAAGCTTAGAGACTTTGCTGCTCCTACTAGCTGGATCCTTCCTTTCTCAATCATTTCTTCAAGTCTTTGGGCAAATCAAAAAAACAGCTTCTTCTTGCGTGAAAAGTTGGTAAGATCAGAGATAAATCCTGCAGCTCCCAACTCAAATACTTCAAAATAGCTGAGAGCTTCCCTGGGTTTAGTGTACTAACCGAAGGCTTTGCCTGGTACAGTTGAAGAGACACGCACCAAGCCAAGAGATAATCTACAGAGGAGAGTGTCTTCTCTCTTACTGATGATCAGTGCAATCCTGTGGGGTAACGTAACATTTCATCTGCACACACAGACAGTAGGTAATTCAGAGGAAAAGAGAAACAACAGTACACAATCCACTGTGAACAATCTGCTAAGTTAAAGTCTTATTCCCATATGTCAGAAATTAACTTGTCTGCTTCAAGCATTTATCCAATAGGAATCCACATCCAATGTATTAAAACTTAATTTAAACTTAATTAGTTTGTGAGCAGTGTTCAATAAATCTTCTCCAAGTCTTTCTATAGTGAAATCTCTGTAGCCAGATGTTGATTGTGTACACATTGTTTTGTGTTGCTTGCATAAACATTATAATCACATATAGACAACAGCAGAGCTACAATATTTAGAAAACATTTTTCACACCTCCTTATTAAGCAAGACTATGAAAATTATGACTCATCACTGCACCATTGTTTTTGCCTGTTTTCTCGTGCTGGTTGAACAG
This sequence comes from Homo sapiens, assembly GCF_000001405.40. Classification (NCBI taxonomy): domain Eukaryota; kingdom Metazoa; phylum Chordata; class Mammalia; order Primates; family Hominidae; genus Homo; species Homo sapiens. The sequence goes on from NC_000014.9 coordinate 29,216,065, forward strand.
TCATAGGCAGCTGGTATTAATACAATAGGTAGTGCTTAGGGAATTAATGGGTGATGTGTAATACACCACAAAGGTATCTGTCATGCGGAACAATAGGCGCAATGATATAAGATGTATGTATTTGAAAATTTGCTCAAATGTGAGTTTTCCAGCATAAAGACATACCTTGACTGTGCTGCAAAATTAGTTTTTAACAATTGTAAGAAGTCTGCCAAAAAAAATCTGCTTTTATTTTATTTGTGATCCTGAGAGCATTTAAGCTACTAGGAGCAGGGATATACGTGCTCCTGTTCTCTCTGCTCCTATCAAAACAACACTAGAGCGCTTATGCTCCAGGGAGATTTGTATAGAATCTGACGCTTGTATCAGCTCTGAAAAAAACAACAAAATTACAGTCTGAGGTGATGCAAATGATATCCTTGGTGCATCTTCCCCATGCTCCTGCGAGGCTCTTGACAGCTGATGGTTGGATTAAACAAAAAGACCAGTAACTTATGACTATTAGCTCAAAGCAATCATCTCTCATTATTTCAATTACATGGGTAAATGCATGCAATCATGTATCAAATCACTTTTCCCTTTTGAAGAGGTTCTTTTCAGAGTAGGATTTCTGCCAGAAAAAATGTGCAAATATTTACACTGGTTTTTCATCCAACTGCACCTTTGTTTGGCAAAACCACCCTATGGCTACAATTCTGAGTGATATTTTGAAAAAGGGGGAAAAAAACAAAAAAGGGAATTGGAAATAGTATGCGGTTTTGGTGACTCATTAGCAGTCTGTAAAGGAGGCATCTTCCGTTACTTACTGCTACCTGACTTGTCAGTATGAATGTGGCTCCTATTCCCTAAATCACACTACCTGTGAATAGAGCTCCGCTGGCCAATTCAAGGCTCTTTAGGCAACTATGATTGATGACTCAGTGACTAGGAGAAAATTGCCTTCAATGAATTATTCATCAAGCTATCTCTTTGCTGTTAAAGTAGCTGACAGGAAAGTTCTGACACTGCCTAAGCACAATCCACTTACAAATCAGTTACAAGGAAATATTAAAAATAGCTCGGTTACAGCATACCAGCACAGTATCAAGTTGGGGCTTTTTTCTGTCTACATTGAGCATCACGGAGAACTTGAGCAGCTCTTCCCATTTAGCCATTGTGCTAATGGCAGTAAAGGCAGTGATTAGATAGAAAGCAATGTGATTTGTATTGGCTTTGAAACAATACACTGTTTTTAATAACACAAATCTCTAAATTTAAGGTAGACAGTTAATCAAGCAAATGGTAATATTTAAGCATCTTCCAAGAAAATAAATAAATACAGTTTGTGGAGGTTAATTTATCTTTGCCTTCCTGTTATTGAATTATTATGAACCTAGGAAAGGATCAAGCCCATATCTACTTAGGCATGTTGTATATTAATTTTTAATATGGAAATGATCAACATATAGCCGGGAAAACATGGCAAAAACATGGTAGCAAAACTTAGTAAAGGTAGTCATAAATAGTTATACAGCGTTCCTGCTTTCTTCAAAGTATTTTCTTTGCCATTCTTAAGATGAGTTATTTCCTGTTGACTCTGATCAAAATTCATAAATATGCCATACAAATTAGACAAGATATACTCCATTTCTAATAGAATTCTAATAGAGTTCTGTCTTGTTTGACTTCTCCCTTTTATATATTTAAGATCTGAGGTTTCATGGAGTTTTGACTCTTGAAAACAAGCTTGCTCTTAGCATAAAAATCAGAAGTCGTATTTTCAGTGACCTTTTTTGTATCACTATGTCAGTATGGAATTAACTGGTGTCATTCTATGGGTCAAAGAAAGTAGAACAGTAATAGGCTCATGCCTGTTAGAGACTGGAGAGCTGCAGATTTCCACATTTTCTACTCTAACCTTGACCTTATTGAGCATTAGCTCATTTTAAAAAGAACGTCTTTGCCTTGTACACAGGACTGTGACCCTGAAAGGATTAGACTTCACCCTGGAAACCCCTAATTCTGTTTGTTTGTTTTCGTATGGGCACATCTCCAACATCATTGCTGTCATTTTACAGATTATTTTAATAGTTGAAGTTTTAATTTAAGGCTTTAAAGAAATTTGTTTTTATTCTTGTAGCTTGTTCCTCCTCCCTCCCCAACCCCATCAGCTTTAGTCAGAGAATTCTATTCCTGTAAGACACTTATGTTTATTTCCCCGAAGAGCAGGGTGATTCTGAGCAACATGAGTCCCAGTTGCCAGAATGTTCTGACCTACACTAAAATCTGAAGTCATTCCCAAACTCATTTTGTTTTCTTCGTGCTGTATTAGTAGAGTTGATGAATAGATAGATTATAATGCATAAATTTTTGGCAAAATCTCAAGAAAATTTTATTAAATCATATTTAAATGGGGTTAGCTTGGCAAAGTCCCCTAATTAATTCACAATTTCCTGATTACCACCAGCAAATTATCAAAAACCTTTTATTTTTCCCACTTCCTAGAAAAAAATGTACTGACATTGTCAGTCAATCTATGTGAGATGATGTCCACGTTAGCTACTGCAAGAAGTTTGCATGTTATCCAGAGGTTCTTTAATAGGATGCACTTATCTTAAGAATATATTTAAGCTAAATTAGTATCAAAACTATTATCAGAGAACAGTTTTCCAGTGATTTTTTTTTCTTTAAAACTATAACTGAAAATACCATCCATTTTAAAAGCTTTAAAAGATTTAGACTCAACATTTCATTAGCAAGAATTGATATGAACTTATTTCTGTAATGAGATAGAATTCTTATTTAGGAAAAGTCCTGTTTCTGAGTTTGTTCTGATTTTTTTTTAAGAAAATGATGATTTCCGCTCTTATCTCTACCATCCCATAAACTGAGGTATAAGAGTTTGTAGTCTAAACCTAAATAACTGACTCCATTGCAGTTCTGGTATCTCAAACCATCTGCTGCTAAATATGAGTCCACTTAAAAAATTCAAGTAAAAAAAAGCCAATATAGTAATATTTTGAAAACATTTAGCATCATTTACTAAAAATGTGGATGAGGGAGCAAAAATACTTGAAGAATGTATTGAAAAGCAACGCATCTGTTTAATGGCTCTTTCACGAATCCCCATCAGTTTGGCATTGTGGAGAAAATCGCTACTAACAGCAGTTCTGCATGTATTAACATTTTGCCCTCTTTTCAGCAATGTTTGCTCACTGTTGTTTTACAGTAGGGTAATAATAATGCTTATCTTATGGAATATTTTTCTTTTACTTTTCAAAAAAATATATGTATTCTAAAGATAAATACATAAACACATATTCTAATAATAAATACAAAATATATACCATATATACAAAAATAAATATAGATACTTACATACATAAATACATAAATTTAACTAACCATAAATTTAACTTGCTAACAGTTCTTGCCATTACCTACCATTTAGATATTTCTTTGAGATTTAGATTTTTTTAAATACTGCTTTACAGCCAGACATTTTTTGGTTTTATTTTCCTCTAACATCTGCATTTTTACAAATGTGATATATAAGTGGCACAATTAATGCTGCACTTAATTGAAACATCTTTTTGTTTGTGAAATCTTGAAATCACATATTCCATTTTTTCTAGTGCATACTATTGACAAATATTTGAATCTATTAGTATTGCTAAATATGATTAACTTTGTGATTGAAGGTAGAATAAAAGAATTAAACCTATAGAGAAAACAAAGTATCATGTGTCCATAAACTTAATTAGTTTTGCTTCCTGACATTCTTATATTGCCTTTGTCCTAGTAAATGCTAATTTTTATTGTACTGAGCTCCCAGATATTAAGTATCTCAGAACCAGTGCTTTATGCATTTCTCCATTTTGACACTTTTGGGAAAAATGTGGTTTTGAACCTATTTCTCACCTCTTCTTTTTCTAATCTTATTCACCCCACACTCTATACCACGTCCCCCAAATACGACCAAATATTGACTGACAGCTTGAAAGTGCTAATCGAATCATTCCCAATTGTATGTATTCAATATGTTGGCTTTAAAAAAATTGGGAGCCCAAATCTTTCATCGAAGATCATTGCTCAATAGACAGACAGATTTTTAACCAGAGCAAATTCAAGTACAGCTTTCAGACCAGTCAAACCCAGGAGACAGGCAGGAGGTCTGCCCTTCCCCAGCCGTTCTTCTGTTTGCATTAGCTGTTCTTGCTCAGGCTCCATCGACCTGTCAGAGCCATCACAGTGATTGACTGCCCCGGCAGATGTGCTGCTATAACAGGTAACCTGATCATCCAGACCCATCTGTCTCTAAGTCCTCTTCAATTCACACTTTGAAAAATATTAGAGGTTGGGAGGGGTTGAATTCTTTGTGGGGATTTTTTAGAAAAGTAGGCTATCTGTATTTCACAAAAGGTTACCCTCCAGTGAGTGAATGGAAATGTATAGCATTTGAGCTCTTTAGTGAGATAAGCTGCTTCCAGGGCATCTTACTATCAACATTTTAAATTGGCCAACAAGATCTGGGGGAATTTGAAAACCTGATTTCCAAAACACCATCTCAAGTTAAGGACCAATTTAAAAGAATAGCCATGATAATAATAGAATGATGTTGCAAAGATAACAGTTTCCGTGTATGAGTGAGACAGATGGGCTGTCTGTGCATAGAGAGGAGGGGAATCTCATGCAATGGGAGCAGTCCCGTGTCTTCCCTTCAGTGCCCATAGCCTGGCAAATGTTGTGACATCATTAAGCTGAACTGCTGATTTCAGATGAGTCTGGAACAAGAATGGGCAGGGGTAACTCAAGCTTCACGCTGAAATGTACTTAACTAATTTACTGGTGTCACTGTTTCTGATAATTACTTTTCACCAAAATATTTTGCTGTGCTTGTGTGCAGAGAATTTCATTCTATAAGTCAACACGGTAAGTGTAGAGCTGCTCAGGATCTATCAACAGCTTCTATTAAGACAGAATATAACCTTGGTGGGATCGGTGGCTAACACTTTTCTATTTCTCAGTAAAGTCTATTGCCTACGCACTATCAAGGGGTGAACATTGGCTGAGAATGACATGGTTCAATATCTATGGGAAAGTAACATACTGTAGCAAGCACGACAAAGTAAAATGAACGACTACTAGCAAAAAAAGTGAACTTTTTTTTCAAATGAGACGAACAGAATTATACTAAGTGTGCACATAAATAACGATACCTGCAGAACCTAAAGAAATACATGAGCACATAGAAATATATGAATGAAGGCAAACATTCCTTAATAGAACTCATTTGCAATTCTTTCATAGGCTAGCCCTGTGAATGAGAATATGCCAATATTTATACTATTTCTCCAATTCAAAATGTTAACAATAAATACATTTCCCAAAGTGCTCTTTCTTGGCTAAAGAAGCTAAATTCTGTTCTGGGCATAGTTTACCACTTTTATCTACTGGTCAAATTCCTTGATTTGTTTTAAGGTCCTTCATGGAAATGAACATACTTTTTTCTTCAGGTAAGAAATAGAAAATATAACATTTTATTATTTTAAATTAGCAATAACTATTCTTTCATCCTTTTTGTGGCCTGAGGGAGGATCAGATTTGTTATTGATGTTGCTTGAAAAGGCAGAGATGGTTTGAGTAAAGCTATCGAGTGCTTCAAGGAGTTATTTATCATATAAAGATGTGGCTGATTAATTCAGTTTAACAGTGCCCACTCTTCTTCTCTGTTCCTATACTTCTAACCCAAAGTGAAAAAAGTCGCATATTTGAAACACAAATCTACCCAAAATTTAGAAAGAGCTGAGAACATGATGGCACAATTAGAAAAAAATATCAACACTGTCTTGGCAAAAAATATTTTTAAAAGAGTTCACCATTTTTTGTAATTAAAAAGTTAAAGGGGAAATTGTCACTATTTTAGTAGTGTTTGTCATTGTATACTGTGCAATTATTTGCTCTGAAGCCCTTATAGATGCAGTGGTATTTCTAAACCACACATATCTTCAGTACTTGCATGCCATGGATTCAGATCTGTAAGTATCCTGATATGGAACAAGAGATTCTTTTTTAAACTCTTGCATTTTCATCTACTTCACATCATATAACTCACATTCTTAAAAAACGACTGAAGATTTTCTTATTTCCATGTGGTTCCTGCTTTCTAAATTCTGTTGCTTGTTTTCTCCTTGGAGTTCTAAATGTTGCTTTAACATCTTTAGGTGTGATATAGATAGATTTAGAGTGATGTAGTTAGCAAGCCTCAAGCTGCAGCTTTTAAATACATTTGAAAATCTTCTTTTGGAGGAAAACAAGGCACTCTTATGGGAAAGTTACACTTTATTTTGGAGGTACCTCTTGCAACTTTTCATTCCAAAGGTGCTGAATTTACTATTGCTATCAACATGTATGTAATTAATCTTCCATCTCACAAACTTTTTCATGTGCAGCTCATCAAAGCTAGTTTATCCTTTGAACAGCTTAAATCCTAAATTTTAAAAAAGAGGGACTAAGGTCTATTTACCAAATCAAATTCAGTTGAATGTTTGAGAAAGTGTCCTTTTACATAAGGTTTATTCCATATGATGTGTTGATCTTCTGGAGCACAATTTGCCTCTGTGTTCTCCCATGTAACTATAGGCCTGCATTCATCTCAACCCTGCCCTTGTAACATTTTTTTTCAACTAATTACATCCATAGAAAGAGTTTTGTGTAAATATGGTTTTAGCAGTTTATAACAAGAAAAGTGGCTTTCACTTATTTTAAGTTCAAGTTCTGTATATTCAATTACTGTTAACAAGCACTCCACCTACTGGCTTACGTGATGCCAAGCAAGCAGTCCGTGATACGAAGCAAATCGGCAGTAGTAAAAGATATTTCCAAGTCTGCGATATGAACGGGACCTCAGCTTTATGATCATCAGCCAGGGTCAAGTGTGACTGAATTGCTGTTCACCAAGATTAGGATGATTCCTGGTATTTGTCTTGGCTAAGTGACAACCTAATCGTGAAGAAGATTTCCAACATCAGTTTGTCCTAAGAGGGTAGGATGGTTCACTGAGAGGTGGATTTTTGCAACCACAACAAAGAAGGGGGAAAATCACATTCCAGAGCATCAAAATACCTTTCATGCATATTTAGAACAAATAAATATCAGTACAAGCATAAGTATAAAAAGTACTTTTGTCCAAAAGAGTTCTTAAATAAAATAGGATATTTATTTTTATAATGAGTTAGAATTATAGACGTTGCATATGGTTATTTCTCATCCACCAATATGCCATTTTAAAAACTGTAATATTGCAGGAGCAACAGAAAAATATGTGCTTGAAAAATGTCTTTGACCATTGCTTCCTACCCTGTGAACTTTTTAGCGTAGTAGTCTTAGTAATGACTAATTATATGACAGACAAAGAGAGATTAGTATTAGGCATTATAGTGAAATCAAAAGAAATTGAACCAGCTCTATTCCACAATGTCAACATAATGTATAAATCATAACCTTCTGCCTACCCCACCCACCACTATCCATCTTGACATCTCTTTTTAAGGACAGCTTACTATGTAATTATGGCCACTGTGACTATATTATGGTATGTTTGAATGTGGCAATAAACAATATAGCAATTAATGTGAAATAATACAAGAGCAAATCAAGGCACACAGTCTAGATATTGAGGAAAAGCAGCAGGGACATTGAAAATAAAAGCTTAATGGGCTGTGGTGTGGAAATGCTTTTCCTAATATTGTCTCGGGGTGTTATTGTGAATAGAACTGAAAAAAATGTTGATGGGAAACTGTCTAACTATATAAAAGGTTTCTTGGGGTCAACTGTATTTTATCTCCAACTTTCCATCTTCTCCAGGATTAGTGAAGAATAATCATACACTTTCAATAGCATGGGAAGGTCTCCTGACTCCAGAAACTCTTGTAGTTTGCAGCTAAACCAGGATACAATATGGCACTAAGTAATAGAACCTATTCTGGGTTGATGAATGCTTGTGCACTGATGCTGGAATAGCTTTATAACTGCTTTAGTAAGAGCCCAGTAAAACTGCATCCCAGATGCATGAATTTCTCTTTTGGCTTTGCAGAGGAACTGTTCACAGTTAGGGGGGATAAATCAGTTCCATTAAGCATTTACCCCGCAAAACAGATATTGAGGAATCTTAGCACATGACGACACAACAAAATTTACCTGACCCTTCCAAGCTAAGGAAAACAAGACAGAAGGTCCTCTCGAGAGGCTGTATCATATATATGTTCTAAGCCTGTGCTGCCCATATGTTCAATAGGACTGTTGAATCTCAAAGTTATAATAATTTGCAACGAGGTGCCAGAACCAATTATTAAATATCATATGATCCAACAGAGATGAAATAAAAATATACAGGGTCGATTTTACTGGCTTTGACTATTATAAGGCATTTAAAGTACTTTGAATTTACAGTTTAACTTCAGGGTTGTATTAACGACATCCTTATGCTAGAATTTTGTTCTCAGCTGAATATGATAAGCTCAATGCAGATGGCATACTTTTCCAAGGACAAAGGGAGTCTTGGCCTTATCCTTTCTTTTTGATTTGTATATCAACTCAGGAAAAGGAGATATGCTATTATGATATCTTCCACTAATGTAAACCTTTATTCAAAAGCGCAAATGACAGCCAAAAGTACAATTCAAGTGAGAAAAAAGGTAGTGTGTGATAGTATCACAGAATGATACAATCTCAGCCAAATCGCTGCCTATAGTGTAGAAAAAGGAGACTCTTAGTCTTCAGTGTAAACAGTCATAATTTATTTACCATGACATCTCTAAAACACGAATGAATAAATGTTTTAAATACTGGTTCTGATCTCAATGCCAAGGCCAGTTCTTTCTCCCTGATTGCTGTGAATCTACCCTCAGCGAAATAAGAGATGCGGATTGGTGGTTTGCCACGAGTAAAGTGAGGTGCTCAGAAAACGAGGTTTGTTCTGCTACTATTATTTCAAAAGCACGAGTGAGGCATTCAGTCGAGTCTCCAGAATCAAAACAAGATTGTTCTACCTTAGTAACATGTTGCTGGAATGAAACCATGTCTTTGAATGGATTTTCTTGAGAATCAAATTTGAAAGGCAAGCTTTCTCTCCAATCTGAGCATAGTGTGTCTGCTGAGGCCTCAGTATGATCAGTTTAGGAGATTAAAGCCTGTCTTCCCTTGGTCAGGGGAGCATTGCAAGCACAGGACCATGTTTGTCTATGTATGTTTACAGCACCTGTCAGTTGATACATGAGAAACAAGAAGAGTAATGTAAACTGATCCCCTCTATTGCTGAATATTTAATGCAGTCCACTAGAAAGAAAAGCACAAACATTCTACTTTTCCAATGCTTGTCTTCCATGCCCTCTTCTAATATTCTCTTGGGAGAGGTGGGTTTCAATCCTGGTCAGGGCAAGTACCCATTTATTTCAGAATCCTCACTTTCTTGTCTCGGCTTCCTTCCTGGCTCCTAAAATGAAATTTATTTTATTTTAGCCACCTCTGAGCATACTTGTGTGTATATATTTTCAGGAAAATTGGATTTTCCATATAGATTTTTAAATCAGTTTTCAGATCAAGTTCAGAAATATGTAAATTGTTGTGTTGTTGGACCAGGCAGGAGTAGAACATATCCCTCAGATGAAGAGTAACCAATACTATAAAGTGATCTTAAATGAGAAAACTAGTGTGTAAGTCAATTAAAATGGCCAATAATGGGAAAACAAGTGCCCATTCCAAGAGCAATTGTAAGACATTTAACCCAAGGAAAGTTGCATTATACATTTTTATTAAATTGAGGCTATATTCACACTTATTGTGGTTTGAAATGTGAACCAATATTTTCTATCTTTGGTTTCCTTGCTTTAAGATCTCTTAATGTGCATAAGATGTAATTCATAATATCATATGACTGTTTTAAGTTTGCAAGTTACTGTCTCGAAAGTTATAATTTAATTTAAATTGACAAATGCCCATTAAACTATTATGCTCTCTCATAAAATCGTATCTGACCTGAGATTAATGTAACAAGACTCTGCAATTCCTAAGACACTTGATTCTTTGTCATTTTAACCTTATTTACAACACAACACAGTCAATTTTAAAGAGCACTATCATTTAGCACAATATAAAGTATTAGCTTTCAAAGATGTATTCAAATCCTATTTAAAGCTTAGCTCTGCTGTTTTTCAATAATCTTTATAATAAGGAAAAGAGAAAAAGATTAAAGTCCTAGTAACAAAAAAATACCCTTATGCCTACTCAAATCCTTCCTGAAAGACATGCAAAATGATATTAATAACTCTTAAAATAGTTTGTAGATAATCTGCAAATATAGATCTTGGGAGAGAGAAAGAAGAAAACTTCTGTAAATCTAAAATGCATGATAGGATCTGTAGAAAGGAACTCCAGCCACTTTCCAAATGGAGGTCTTCACATTGAGAGTGAGGATATTGCCACGTACAAATAAGAAAAAAACAGAAAATAACAGAAGAAAACAAAAGAAAATATAATAAAACTCTTGTCTGATCAATTACACTACTCTCATTGGGGAAGTGTTACACTCTGAAGTGGCAGCTTGGAAACTCCGACATATCTATATGCTAATTTCCTAACATCTGATTGTATTCCAGTTTTGATCTTGGCCACCCTGAAGGGTCTGACTTCCTTTCAAGCTATCAGTTTCATTCCTCCTGGCAGGTAATCCCCATGAACAAAAAGATTAATAAGTATAAAAAGGATTAGGATAAAACATAATAGAATTTCATGGAATTCTGCCATTTTGTGCCATTATATTTTGTTAATGTTAACAATAGATTTTGTATATTCAATACTTAACCCATGACAGACACAATGCTAAGTGCTTTTAGGACATTATCTCATTATATTCTCTCAGAAACCCTGCAAGTACATATATAGTTTGTTTGTTTGCTTTTTAGATGGAGTCTCACTTTGTCACCAAGCTGGAGTGTAGTGGCACGATCTTGGCTCACTGCAACCTCCTCCTCCCAGGTTCAAGTGATTCTCCTGCCTCAGCCTCCTGAGTAGCTGAGACTACAGGCTTGCGCCACCATACCCAGCTAATTTTTATATTTTTAGTAGACACAGGGTTTCACCACGTTGGCCAGGATTGTCTCGATCTCTTGACCTCGTGATCCACCCGCCTCCCAAAGTGCTGGGATTACAGGCCTGTGCCACCGCGCCCAGCCCCTGCAAGATATTTTTCTGTCTGTTTCTCAAATGAGGTAGTTGAGGCATAGGAAGGCTAAGGGAGTTGCTATAGGTCAAGTAGTGGCTTAGAGATTCCTGCATAAATATGCCTAAATCCCAGGTTCATACTCAGAACTCTACTCTGTTCCTTCTCTAAATTTCAGCCCTTAGAAATTAACCATTTAGTGTTGACATTGGAAATGCCACATGATGATGCAGGCACATGATTTACTTCCCAGCAATGGGAATGAAGTCACAATAGGACAACTTTTAAGTTTTGAAGATAAAATGAACTAGTGTTCATATGTAACATATGTAACATATAGAAGAGGTTCAAATGTGTTGCATATGATTATAATTATTATTATTAGTAACAAAGCCTCACAAAATGACATGGGTTTCAATTTTATAGTACATATATTGAAATCAGCTCAAGGGAAACATACAGTGTCCAGGAGAGGGAAAAAAAAGTTCAATGATGTTACCCCAAACAGTTCCTTTCATTTTGACTTCCACAGTTTCATCTTTGAGCTCAAGAGGACCATGTGATGTGATTCATCCTGGTTGAACTGATTGTGTAGTTAGGAAAACAGAAAGCAACACTCCCTTTTTGCTTCTACCAATAGCACACTCAAAGAGATGGAATTTGAAGCGTCATCTTTTAAATGAAACATTAAATTCAAGGACAAGGACTTATAATCCACTAAGATTTTCTTTAACAGAAAATAGTTGGTCTCAGTGTTTGTGCTTATGTAAATTAACCATCAAAAATTATCTAATTCTATTTCCCTGTGTGTGTGTCTCATCACTACTACAAAGAATGTGTGTATGTGATTTTTTTAAAAAAATTACATCTATGGTAAAATGACTAACATTTTATTAAAATAATGGTAGAAGTGACTGCCTAACATGGGTAAAGCAGAAGAGAATGAGATATTTCTACATTTTGGTAAAAGGGAAATTTGGGTCCTGAGTTTAACAGGTGATACAGAAACATAAACTTTTATTATAAATCATGTACTATAGTGATTTGGTAAGGTAAGGAGATGAGATGAATGATAGAAAAGTTGTAGAAATGGAAAATTTGTTGTTATTTCAAAAGTTGATTAGATAAGCAGTTATGAAAAATTAATTGTAGTAGTAGAGTATTTCCAGGCTGTAAAGAATGAATTGGTTCATGAGTGCCACCCCCTAGGAATTACAGGTTGTGTATTCAGTGATCACAGAGTATAGTGATTCACTGAAGGAAGACACTGTCATACCTGAGGTCATTGCAGACTTTTCTCAGTAACAAAAACATAATTGGTCCTGTATGTGATTAAGAGTTTTCTATAATTTCAATACACAGGTATTTTTAAAGATTGATTTAACTAATACCAGGATTTTAGCAAATTGAATTTAGATTTTCAAAATGTGTGTAATGATATTTTTGAAGTTTCAAATGTTTAGAAGAATCTTAGTCTAAGGGATAAATGTTATCCCTAACTGAACAAATTAAACATTTGTGGCATAAAAAATTTAAGATTAGAATTTACAAAGTTCAAACAAGAACCATTTTTTTCTGTACAAGACCAAATGAAGGCACATGCTACGTCACTACATGTACCAAAAATTCAAATTACCTAATATTCCTGAGAGCAATTATTTCTGTCAGTGACAGACTATTAACCAAGAATTTTGTTTTGATAAAATTTATACCAGATTGCCTTTTTTACAAAATTGAAGATATTATTAAAATGATTTTTCACTTCAATTTCCCTCCCCTTCTTAACCAAAAAAATAACAAACAATATAACCAAGAAATCACACTTGGATCATGATCTGTGTTGGACTAGCCCAATGTTTTCTGTGACTTGATCTGTATAAGTTATCAGTAACTAAAATGATTTGTTTGGAATTAAGAATTCACTTAATTGTCAGTAACTTTTTAAACTTAATGATTGCAAAATATTAAGAAAATGCTAAATACAGTAATAAATTGATACATATACTGCTTCTTAGGAGATTAATTCTTTTAACTCTGTGTGTGCCCATCAGGATTGTATGATTTCTTAAACCTCTATTAATTGAGTACACAAATAAGAATATGCAAAAGGTGCTCTTGCATTTACTAATAGTTGGCCTAGCTGTTGAAAAGTTGGTTGAAAAGTGAAAAATTCAAACAATTATCTCATCTCTATCTCTGTATCTACATCTCTCTAAACCAGATATTTGGGACACAAATAAACAATTTTAGCTACTTTGTTCTTCTGTGTAGCCAGTTACCTATTAGAGCAACACTAATTTAATCAATTCAGAATATTTTGCAAAGCTACAGGTGTAAATAGAGTAATAAATTGTGAATATTTTTTTAAAATACAGGAGCTGGGTAGTCATGGAAATTTAGACCACATATTTTTGCCATACTAAAACTCATTTGGTTTCATAGGTATGTCCTATATTTCTAAAAATAGGAAAACTTACAATCTTTAAAGGAGATACCGCATTATATAAGGCTTTTAGTTAACTTCACACTGACAAATTAATAAACATATTGTCAATATACTTTAAAGAAAAAGTTAAGTCAATATTATATCTTCCACACAAGTCCATATTATGAGAACTTACCAATATGTATGCGTACACTGGTACCTGGCTTAAAGTCTGTCATTTAGCTGAGACTCATGCTGAATTAATAAATAAATAAATACATGTAATTATGTAACTGCATGTACACACATTTCTTAAATTTATAATTAATGTTTAGATACTCATCATGGGCACATATCCAGGGAGCCAAACTAAAGTTTTTGACATTAACAATCTCATACATTGTTAAATAATTATGGTCTGCTGGAAAATAAAGAATAAGCATAATTATTTCTCGTTTTAAATAATTAATTTGATTGACAAAATGATACTTTATCCAGAGAGCCAACATAGGTAGCATTCTATTTGAAAAAAAAAAAAAGAAAGAAAGAAAGAAAGAAAGAAAAAAGTTGTAACCTATTCCTACTCCTAGTCCTTAACCTAAAACTAGCATAATGCTCCAGTGGATCAATTTGTCTTACTGTTACTTTGGTTACATAAAAGGTAATCAACGTACTTTAATTTCAAAGACTGGGCTCCCTGGAAAAAAATTAATTAAAAATATCATTTTCAATGCCATTTAATTTATGAGATTTGACTGTCCAGCTATTCTACAGTTGTGTTTTGTTTTTACTCAATGGATTGAATGTTGTGTTTTATTTTCAACAGATGTGACTTTCAGTGCACTGGAGAGCAATTTATGCATTTGGCTTAGAATTTTAAATGAATATACACTCTAATGATTTGCCCAATATAAGTGGTCACTTTAAAAAGTAGTACTGAAAGCAAGAAAAATTACTTAAAGGATCAGTTACATCTAAAATGATGAAATCAATAACAATATTTTCTCTGTGATTCTTTCTCTCTGATAAGCAAAATCATTGCTTAAAAGCCGCATTAAAATTTAATCACAATCTGTGTGCTTTAGTAATTGATAATTTCTGGACAGCTGTCTTCTGCTTTGTTTAAGTCTTGTGTTCCTTGTGTTTAAGTTATGCCTTTTAATAACTGAATTAAGTATGTTTGGTTTTAAAATCAATTATTAAAATATGATCATATTTTATCATCTTCCAATAGTGGCTTATGGTTTTATATTCCTGTACAACAGTGTTAAAACTGGGGTGAAAACCTCATGAGTGGTTAAATTACTAGAAACTTATATAAATTATACAATCATGTTTTGACCTTAATATATTTTTTCAAATTAAATATGAATAGATAACAATTTGTGTTAATGATCTTAAAATAAGTACTTTAGTTTTAGACTGCGAGCTAGAATCTTCTCTAACTCAGCTTTCTTTAACTTGTGCCTAGTATTTTGTGTGCCATATATTGAATAATAAAAATGTATGTCAAATGATTTCCTAAAGAATTCTTAAAAATATTTTCTTAGATACTTTAAAAAAATCTTAAATTAACTCTAAGAACTATCTCAGCCATGGCAATAGAATGTATACGACATCCTCAATATTTAAAGGGATAGATGATCACTTGTTAAGTATCATTACTTCATTTAGCACAGATTATGTAACAGCCAGTTCAGCAATTATTGCTATTCCATAGTTCCTCCCTCTGTGTGTTTCAAAGGAAAGGAATAAAGAAAGATTATCTTTCAAAGTACTTCCTCTGATTACATCCCTACTCTCTAATCACCTAACACAACTGCCCAGACTTGAAGTGATAATGTCATATTTATTATAGGGTGACTATTTAAGGATCAATATATTCGAAGTTAAACTATGCATTTAAATTTTGAAGGCTAAAATAGCTGACACAGTGATCATATTATATAGCCTTGTGGTAAAATATTTTTTATTATGTTATTTTAAGGTACTCAACTAAATCAATAAGGTTAACTGCATTTGCCAGCATTAGGACCAATAAAATTTGTATCTATTCAATAGCATAATTTATGTGTTCATATTTACTTTTGACTTTGCATGAGATGCTAATTAATTCAATACTTCTGCAGAAACTAATAAATAAGTAATAATTAGATAAACACATTGCAAAAACATAATTTGAAAGGAGCAGATTGAAGTGGCTTGGAAATATAAGTAGCCATATAGTATGTCAATTAAGAGAAAAGCTGAAATATTCCAAATATGTCCACAGTATGTCCAAATATGTCTGCAATATGTCCAAATATATGCACAATATTGCAAAATTTAAAATAGTGCATATTTTAACATATATAGAAAAAGGAGCATGGACCTTCAGGGTGGTTATCTGAAAAATAAAAAAAAATTATTCCTAATGTCAATTCAAAGGTATAATTTACATGAAATTTAATTTATAAGTCAAAATACGTTATTTACATAACATATATTTTGATATATATAAATTATGTAAGACGGGAAAATTATTCAACCATAAGCGGGTACTTGATTCCCTTAAATAAGATTGCTTGTTTGGGGAGTGAAGGGTATTGGAATAAGCGTGTCTTAAAATGCTGTGGCAAGGCCATGTGTTCATATGCCTCATTTTGAACAGAGAAAATGTATCATAAAGCAATGTAAGGATGTGTGTTAGAAAGCATGCAGCAAATGAAGTTTCGTTTCCCTTGAAAGTAGAATCTCCATAAGTTACTAATGTCAGGGTTGTTGTTATCTTTATTTTCACATCATCATTTTTTTCAGTGTTCTATATTCCAGTTTGTTATGTTTAAATGTTCAGGAACTAAAACTGCTTTTACAAAATAACCCTAGAAAACTATAAAAATCACAAATCCTTCCAGGGAATTAATCTGAAGTAAAATCATTTTAACACACTATTTTTTCTCCCAGTAATTTTCAAAAGCATTTTTTTCTAAGATCAGATTTTGACACTATCCTTTTTTTTTCACACTATGATGTGACTCCTCCTATTATTAAACTTTATGGTTTGAAAAGTCTTTCTTATTTTACTGCCTCCAACATATTAGGTTACTTTTTTAAGAAAAGGTGAACATATTAGCATTACATAAAATGTTAAAGTGACAAAGAGTTAAACTAGGAATTTTAGATGAATACACTAGCAGTTTGCCATTCTGACAGCAAAAGCCAAGCTAGTGCTTAAAAAAATGCAAGTTTGAAAAATGCAAATGGTGTTATCCAAATATGCAGCCATATGTCCATAATACACACATTTTTTGGGGAAAAATTTGTAAAGATTTCTATCACAGAATTGTATCTCAAAATGGTGGGGGTCTTGTTTTTTATATTGTGTTCCCATGAAGATGGTAAGATATGAAATTATGTTTCAAAATCTTTTAAATATATTAGGATGGAAAAAGACATTATTTTTAGGTTTTCACGGGAATTTGGCTCTATGTTTTAACATTCCATTTTGAGTAGGTGCTCTACTTTATCTATAATATAGCTAGCAAAATTTTCCAAAATATCCAGATTCTAGTCACAAAATTTTCTATTCAGACAAGTAAAGTTTAAAACATAGTCTCTTTGAACAACAAGTTAACAGTCCTTGGAAGTCAACATCTATGAGTCAAGGAAGAACCATAATTAGTTTGAATAATGCTGAGCTGTGAAATTTGGATAACCTTTAAGAACTTTGCTCTGTTGATCACAGCGTCAATAACAATAGGCGAGTGGAAGCCAAATGCAAGTGGTGAAACCTCCAACAGGAAAATATCAATTAATCTTTTTCAATAGAGTCGAAGTAGGTGTAATCTTCTCATTAAATAGTTTGAACCTTTTTCCAAGTAAACAAAGAAGGGATAATGAGTGATGCCATCCGACTTGTTTACATGGAGAATCTTCAAGAGGCTTAAGCATAACCTCTCAAGACAGAGGTCTTCTTAGCCACTGGTCACTAATTACCCTCTTTTAAAGATGTTTGTATAAGCAAAGAGACTGTGTTTTTAGACTTAACCTGAGAATGCCATTTAAAGTGCCAATATTTTATACTTAAGCCAATATATTGAGCAGTACCAAAATTCATGGGATCCTCACAAACCCCCCAAAGAAAAATTATTTCCAATATATATTTGAATAAATGTTCATTCTCTTAAAATTCTGACTAAAAGAGCTACTTCTATTATAAGAAATAATTCATGCTTAACTGCTAGAGACAGGGTATAACTACTGATTGAACTACAGCACCCTCAGACCTCCAATTGCTGTGAAAATTCTGGGTTGGAAAGGAGAAGAGAGGACTGGAATTAACATCTGTTGTGTCATCTGCCAACCAGTTTGCCCTTGATATTTAAGCAATTTCAGTAAATACGTTCTTCAGTCCACTTGTCACAATGCAAGTGTCATTTAAAAATCACTTGATGCTTTCAAGTTGTTCTATGATATAGGCACCAATAGGTGTTAATTATTGTTACAAGCATTTTTGATGTACCAGGTATATGTCTGTAATGGACCTAAAGGAAGAGAATTTTACCATGATATTTAACAAAGGCCCACATTTCTTACCGTGCTTATTCTTAATATTGGTATCTCCATGAGCTTATATGTGACTGAATATATATTAATGAAATGAGTATCAGTAACTTTAAGTCGGCAACAGCGTAGTTGTAATTTCTAAAGCAGTCTGTGTAAGAAGTTTGATTTGCTAAATTAATCAGCACAAAAACTTATAGAAGATGTGGTCAAAATTATAAATAAAGAGAGATGAAATTCTTAAACAATGTTAACTCCAGTAAAATGGATTTTTTTTTTGCTACTAACTCAGTTTCAACAATTTACATTTACAGTGCTATTTTGATACTCTCTTTGGATTCTGCTCTGTGGATTAAAACATGAAAGTGTAAGAGCTTTACATGGAGTTCAATACAAAGAGAAAATTTACGTTTTCATATCTATAATTTGTGATTGCTGTTTTCTTTATATATTAAAACAGTATGTATTTTGAAGTAAAATTTTATTATTTCATAAAACAAATAAACCATGAGAACATATGATTTATGTAGTTATGAATTCTTATAAATCTATGCTACTCTGAGGATGAAACTTAAAGATGGACAAATTTGGAAGAAAACTGAGATAAGTCTATGGCTTTGTCAATGGTATCTAGTGTTTTAGTAATATCTAATATTGGAAACATCATCAGATTTTAGCATCAGAAATTTGATTCTAATGACATTTGAATGTTTTGTATGCCACAGAAAGATTTCAAAAACCACCAAATTTTTAAAAAATCTGCATATATCTAATTATGTAACAGTAGATAAGTTGCTTAAGTGCAATTTTCTTGTCTATAATATGGAAAGATTTTATTAAAACACCTTTAAGAACCCTTTCAAGCTCTCTGATTCTATGAATATGATACAGATATTAGTATGGGCAAATAAACAAGAATCACTGCTTGTTGTTTATTTTAATGTGTTCCAATAATTCCTTTATACTCTATTGATGGAGATTGTGTGTTATTCTAATAAAAATTTAGAAAAATTTATTTGTGTGTGTAGGCACAAATCTAGTAAACATATGTGAATAAATATATGATATACTCTTGTAATTGAAAGTGATTCTGGGAAAAAATAGAATTGCTTTTTAATAGAACATACAGTAGATGTTTTGGCCTTATTTAACAGTGTGGTGAATTGTTAAGAAGAGAATGAATTATTTGTAGTGACACCAAATGCTCGTTGTGTATAGAAAACCTTAGTCAAAGTTTACTTTTATTATGTTTTGTGTGGTTGATGAAATTCCACAGCATCTAAACACAAAAAACATCGTACTTATTAAAATCACACACAAAATATCCTTCTGCCCTTATGCTTGTTTATTTTTCCAAGTTTCTGTTTGTTAGAGATTGTCTATTATTGGAAAATTAATTTAGAGACGCATTTACACCTACACAGTCACCCATTTGATTTCTAGATACTTGTGGAATAGCTCACTGTTGGTTAAATGAGAGGTGTGTTGGCCAATTAGCATACAGTTGGGCTTAGTCAATTTGCATATTTCTGTGTCTATTACTAGAAGCTACTTTCTATGCCACTCAAAACTTTGTAATTTGGTGAGATTTTATAAGCTATAAGCAGTGATTATAACTAAGAAATGCCATTATGTAGCAAATATAAATAAAACTTTTTAAAATTACATTTTTGCTTATTTGTTTCTTAAAAGCATATCTGACCTCAAAGAATATCATTAACTTTGCCTATCTGCTTTTAAATATATATATTCCCAAATAATATTTGATTCATATAAAACAGAGAAGGTATTCAGTATATTTGTTACACGATTGTATGAAGAAATTATTAGTATTAAATGCACATATTTGACTTTGCCAGGTTAGAATGTTTTGTAATTGTTAGCATGATCTGACAACTAAGCAGGAGCAATTTTATCTTCTTCCTGTTTATATTATCTGTAATGCAAAAGACAGCTTCACAATCCTCAGAAGAATCTTAGTGTTTGCCAAGTACATTTCCCCCCTGACATTCTTAAATGCAGTATTTTCATTTTATATTATGCCATGTGACATAAAACCAAAAAAAAAAAAGCCTACCCTAGTTGTTTAAGCTCTTATTTCTCAGAATAGAAAAACTGCATTTTATGTATCATTTGTTAATAGGTGAGATTTTACTGGAAAAAAAAAGTAGACCATTTACTTTGGGAGAGACAATACATTTTTCAAAATATGGCAAGAGTGTCAAATAGCAGAACACTGTTCATTGATCTGAATAAGATTATTATAAATTGATCTGAATAAGATTATTATAAATTGTTCTCCACCATTACCATGCTGTTACCCAGACTAGTGCTTAAGCTAAACACCAGCCAGTCAGCCTGAGTTGCCAATGAGATAGAGAGACTATCAGAATTCCTTGAAGAAGAAAAGGAAGGTTGGTCTGTACACAGAAACAAGCTCAGTCACTACCTCAAGAATATTAGTAGAAGCAGAAAATTAGTGCTCTGATTTTACCACAATCATACATCTTAGGAAACAAGTCAGAGTTGAAACTTAATAATTACCTTAGCTTCATTAGTTAAGGAAGGGAGAACTAGAACAACCTCTAACCTTCACTTAAGAACAACTTCCCTCATGGGGTCCTTAACCCCTTGCCGTTTTTACAATAGAGAAAGAAGAAATTTATAGTCTTTCAGCCCCTGCTCTCCTTGCTTTGAGTGAGGGGGATTGAAACACTTAAAGTAAGCAAAGAGAAAGAAAAGTCACAAATGAGTCACTAAGTGGAATAAAATCTGTGCTTTCATCAAAACCTTCTGTGACTCATCGATATTTTTTCTCCTCCACAATATACCATGGTAAAGTCACTGCCTTAGTCACTCAATCAAGGGAGAATTGCATTTGAGTTCATTTCTAAAAATGAAGTCATAAAATTTCTCTGAGTGAAAAATGATGAACTATATTAACTCAGTTTGCATACATCCCAAACAAGGCAGGGAAGAAACCTGATTTGTAACTGTTGATGTCACTGGAATTCAAAGATGTGTACAATTTCTAAGCTTGTTTTCCATTCCAATTTGGTGAGAGAAAGTATTTTCTTCAATTATGTGGATTTCCAAAATTTTTGAAAATTTTCTTACAAGCACAGTTAGCTAATTCTTGGGATCTGAGTAAATAATGCTATGATATAACAAAAACCAAAAAAATATAGAAATCACAATGTGTTAGTATTTATAAAAAGCTATACCTGTCCAAATAAGCAATATAAACACTGAGTGTCATATAGACCTCATAGATTTATTTTAATTCAAATTAGAAACTACAAACCTCAGTCAGTATCATGAAGTAGAAAATGTTATAGATAGATATAGTTAGATACATAGGTAGGTAGATAGGTAGGTAGGTAGGTAGATAAATGATATAAAGAGAGGGAGACAGAGAGAGACAAAGAGAGAGACAGAGGGAATAGATAGCTATTTCCTTAACTGTAAGGCAAAATTAAAAGGCAAAACTGTAAGGCAAAATTAAACAATAAAACCACAAAATACCTGATGAGAACTCAAAAAATTTGCAAGTTTCTCCATGGCTAGATTTTATTAAGACTCAAATAAGGCTTTAAAGACAAAGTGAAAAGATGGTCAGGATAAAATGAGAGTTGGTCTTTAATTCAGGTAAACTAATCTTCTTAATACACCATTCTGATTTGGATTCAATGCCTATTTGGGACTCTGGAGAAACTAAGTTATTTATTATAAGAAAGTGCTTGGACTCTAAAACTGTGACCAAAAAAAAAAAATAATAATAACACCTATGGCACTGTACATAAAACAGTTACAGCAAATAAAAAAAATCATATCTTACTGTCTATAGATATTTTTGAGTAGATATTCTTATATTTGTCTGAGAATATACAAATGTTATTTTTGTGTGTAATGGCTGTCTTTTGACATCCATTTTGAGAGGTAAAGGCTCACAACTTGTCTGTAAATAGGCCAGATTGCTTAATATGGCTTTGAACTAATGTATTATCAGAGTACCCCTCCAGTGCTTTGTTTAGCTGGGAAATTTTCTGCATGGAGTCGAGAATCCTTGTGCTTTAGAAGTTCATTCTGAAATGTTCATTGCTACTTTTAGGAAGTTCAGTGAATGCGACTTTGGCAACTTAATCTCAATAAAGGAAGATCACCTCTTCAAAGTTCAGAAAGTGCCATCATTCTGACCTTTGTCACATAGCAGGAAATGAAGAGTAGCACCATGCCCTTTCTTCCTCTTTTCCCTGTCCGTGTTTCTCAGTTCTTGACCCCTCTGTCTTCCTCTATACAAGAGAAATGACCTTATTTTACCTCTGTAATCCCCCAATAAAGGCACTGAACCCAACTTCTTGGGGTTAATTATCTGATCTTCTCTGGTCATCTTCCTACTCAAATCCTTTGTGCTGTTAGAATTTCCATCCAATTGTTGCGTTGCTTGCCCATTTGTTGGACCCTAGCAGGGCAAAGTCAGGCTAACAAAGGACACAATCTTTTAGATACTGATATGAAATATGTATAAAATAGGAAATATTATGTATGTTTGTCTATTTTAAAAGAAATACAATCTTTGTTTCAATCTCAATCTAAAACAAGATTTACCATCTCTTTTAACAAAGCCCTCAGGAGAGTTTGTCCAAAAGCTGAACCAAATAATTTTCAGGAGAGATATATTACACACTAAGTTCTCAATTTACCACCTAGGAGAATATTATAAAATGCAATAATACATGCACACGCAGACACAACATTTAAGCTATGTGTAGTTTATTTTGAAACGGTGTTTTTATGCAAATTTAAAAGTTCATTATTATTTTAAATGTATGAAATATTATATATTTTTTAAAAGGCATATATTTATAAGAAAAATTTGATTTTGCCTTATTTGTGTCAATTTCATTTGGATTTTCTTAAAGGCCCAAGATGTTCAAATACTCCTTATCACCACTGCATTTCTTACCCATTTTTGATACCTAAGATATGTAAAAGAAATGGATTAAGACTTTATGGCTGCTAGAGTAAGTTAGCCTTACAATTTCCAAGTGAAGCAGAAAATATATATTTACTCAATGCAAAATCCTGAGTTGATATTTAGCTTTATCCATACATACAGGTCTAGTGTTCACCACACTTGTTCTAGTCATTAATCACTTTAAAAGTCATATTGCGGCTGGGCACAGTGGCTCACACCTGTAATCCCAGAACTTTGGGAGGCCGAGATGGGCAGATCACCCGAGGTCAGGAGTTCGAGACCAGCCTGCCCAACATGGTGAAACCCCATTTCTACTAAAAATACAACAAAATTGGCCAGGCATGGTGGCACATGCCTGTAATCTCAGCTACTCGGGAGGCTGAGGCAGGAGAATCACTAGAGCCCTGGAGGCTGAGGTTGCAGTGAGCCGAGATTGCACCGTTGCATTGCAGCCTGGGCAACAAGAGTGAAACTCCATCTAAAAAAAAGTGATATTGCACAGATAATTTTTTCAAGGAAGCAAAACTATGGAATTTCAAGCTTTCAAGGCCAGCCCAGAGGAAAATCATAAATAATAATAATAATAATAATATAACAATCTAAAGACTCTATTTCTGATGTATCTTGCATAGGACCCTTTTGAGAAAATGTAACCTTAAATAAAATATGTCCACAGGGAGGGAGGCATAGGGTTCAGATAACACAAATCAATGGTATTCTAAAATGGAATTTATAACTTCTGTGACTTGTCAATGTTAAATACTAAAAACCTGTAAGCTCCAGACATAAACGCCTTCAGAGTGTGCTTAAGGAAATAAGCTCTCAGATTTAATACAATTTAATCTCATGACTACAAATCAACTATCTTTCTCTTATAATTTGTTGTTATGGAAAACTATGAACTCTTAAGTGTACTTAAAACCAGGAAATGTTCTTCTTAGTTTATACTAGTTATCAAAAGCGGTGGAAGAACATAGGAAGCTAACTCTGAGAAGCGGATATCTTTAGTAAATATGACTAAGGGATTATGACTTTTGTTGGTCACAGTGAATTGCCAGAATCCAGTGATTCAGGCAATTGTTTTTGCTAAGATGGTTTGATATAAGGTTATTTCTTTCAGGCGTAATATTTTTTAATGTCAGCCTTTACTAACCAAAGGAAAAGAGTCATGAAAAATGGATGAAGAAACACATTTTAATCTAATGAATCATATCCTAAAAAATGACCAGCAAGTATAGTAGAGACATAATAGATTTCCTAAAGTTAAAATTACTAGTTATTTGCATAATCCCAACATTTGTCTGTTAAAACTAAATGTACCCACATATTTTTTTGTTTCAAAAAAGAACAGCAGGCAAAATAGCCATAGAGTGAAAATTCATGGATCTGACAAAAATTATATATGATAAAGTCGATTTATGCTGAATAAATCCCCAATTTACTTTTTCTTTATTCGAAGTTTGAATATAGAACTGCTTCTTAGTTTTATGCCAACTTTTGAATAAATGAGTCATAAGAAGTAAAGCTATTTGTTGATAACAGAAAATATAATAACAGTAATCACATTTTGACATTTCTATTGCACCTTTCACCTTGATAAAATCTAAGGCAATTAATCTGAAAGTCATTTCTCTACTCAGAATTTTCAAGCCCCAACTAAATCCAGTTATCTTCTAAGTTACCTCGAAGTGTAAGCAGAGCATCCACTGCCCTGTTGGCCTGTCAACCTACATGAATAGCACTTGCTGCTAACAGACTTCTGAGGCCAGGTGAATGTATATGGACCTTTAAATAATGGCCAGTAGGTCAAAAAAGCTAATGTCATTTCATATCCAGTAATGAATCATACAACTTCACTGACATTATATGTCAAGGCTAGGTATGCCCAGCCACTAAGCAGTTAATCTGTCAACCCAACAGAATATTAGTATCTTGAAGTTTTAAGGGCACTTGTACATTGTATAATTTAAATTCCAGCCAGGAAACAGGAAACAGTTTTACAACATTTCTGTCTTATCAACTGACTGTCTTAACATCTTCAGTAGATGGGCAATTCTAAGTGTCAGGAGAATATCTATGTTGTCTATAGGTTTAATCTTAGATGCCTATTTTTTATGTTGCTAAACACATATAAGACTTTCTAAGTATTTAAAAATCTGATGAATAAAAATTTAAAACACTATGCTAAAGGTACTAGAGGTTAAAAACCTCTAGAGTTTTTAATTGAGTTAGAAACACTATTGTAAAGGTTGGAATATAGCTTCACAGCACAGTGGTTGCACAAAGGAAGGAATAGCCATTCTACCTGGGTAAAAGAGTAGATCAGATAAGGCTTCATGGACATAATGTTTTATGGAAAAAATGTTATGCAAAAAATAGTATGGAATAAAATTTTATTTGCATTATTACCTAAGTTACATAAAGAAAAAAATGAATAACAAAATGAAGGAGGCCAATGTATTAAACATGGTGCCTTTGCAGGCTTGAATGATGGTTTTTGTTTTGTTTTGTTTTGCATAGTTAGGGGATCATGTAATATTTGATATTCAGGTGAAAAAAGTCAAAACAACAACAAAATTTGTGGGAACTAGAATAAAACACATTGGGTCTACTTGAGGAAGAAGATGATTTTTTTCATAATCACCCCTTTCCTACTTTAATTAGCTAGCATCAGAGAAGAGAGTACTTTCAAGAGAAAGGGTAAAGAATCCTAAATGGATCTACCACAGAGACAAACTTAATAATTCTACTACCTCTACAACAGTTAGATAACATTCACCGTGAGACAGCTGAGTATATGTCGGCTTCTAAACTATAGCATGCAGGCACGTAAAACAGTATTTGCATTAACACACTCTTTATGAAATGAATTTGAAAGACTTTTCTGAGTTGTCCTGAAAAAAAAAAGCAGCCTCCCACAGCTGGCTCCTCTATTTTTGGCTTCTCCTATCCCTGTTTTCATGGCAGCTGAGAAATATTAATGTGAGAAAAGTATCTTTTATTTTAGTCTTTAGAAAAGAACTCAACAGAAAACCCTGCAACTTCAGCAGTAGATGATAAGAGTTCCAAGATCACACTGTGGAAGTACATTATTGAAACAACCTGTAGGAAAGGGAACATAATATAAAATAATATGTTCCACTTACATATGACATACCCAAAACTTATGCTGTTTACATATAATGATTAAATTAACATATTTTGCCAAAAGTTAATAGGTCCCCTAGGAATGATTATATAAAATAGGTTTGTAATCAATCTCATACAGAGAAAAGGCACAGTGGAAGAAAAAAGATTTATTTGATCCACCACCATTCAACAGAAACAAGTGATGAATAGATCTATTTGAAGATTGGAGAAACATTTAGCTTTATGAGAAATTTTCCTCCTGATGTTTCCTATGATACATGCATACATATAAAATCAAATGCTTCATGACATTAATCTAGAAAAAAAGTACCTGCCACATTTGATTCAGCAAACTGGCTTTTAAAAAGAAATACAGAATTTTAGTCCCATATCCAAACCACATTTGAAAGAGTAATGACAAGTTACTTGAGTTTTATTGACTCAATCAGATCATATGGTGAGTCATTTCCAGACATATCGATAAACTCATTGATTCCTCTCATTCTTGTAGTCACTGGACTATAGAAAAAAGGATCAGTAGCCATTTGACCTTCATTGTGTATTAAACAAACACCAGATGGCAAGGATTCATTCAGGAAATCCATTCTTTCTTCTTCATAGTCATGTTCACACTGTTGCTTCCCACTGAGCCTTTATCTCTGTTTGTCATGGTGCCAGAGCTGCCTGCATAGCACCTTTCATGCATCACAGCTTTCAAATCTTGTCCCATTAGTTTCATTTTGTTTCCATCATAAATAATCTTCCACTTTCTCATACACTCTTTCATTATCTAATAATGGGCTGGGTCATTATACAAAGGAGCCAAGTATTAAAGGGTTAGTGAATACAGTTTGTCCACTTGGTTTCTGGCCAGTGTGTGAACTATTTATTAAACAGATGAATTTATGCAACTAAAAAAAAGAGAGACCTAAAGAATACAAACATCCTCATCCTGCTAACAAGTTTTCAAGAACACTAGACATAAAAATGAGGACATTTTAATCTCAAATTGGAAACTTTAAAGCACTATACCATGAGCATTAATCTAATTCAACCTAATTATTTCAAGAAACACACAAAAGCAAATACGCTATCCACTGAAACATTCCATCACTATTTCTTTCCTTGGCCATTCCCTAGTCTCATTTGGACATCAGCCAGCCATCTAGAAGTGTTGAAATGCTGGTAAGCATTAACAAGCCAAGTGACTCCATTCTAACGGCATTATCCTATGAGTAAATTTCACAGAGTCCAAGAAGGGAGGCTTGTCTTTTTGGACAATGTTGTACACAGACAAAATAAGAAAGCTGGACGTTATGTAAGATTTATCGCCGACACTACAAAGTTTAGTACAAACAAGGAGTACTCTCTGGTCTCAGCAGAGTGGTTCCTCAGTGTTCATAGGAAGTTAAATGTTGAGCAAATAAAGTATGCTGACAGCTAAAATCAGATTCTGCCCATATTTAAGGAAAAGTTAAGAAGTTTAGAATGCAGCGTGTAGGATGCTGTGAATATGTCAGCACTGAGTTAAGTCATCCCAGACTATTATTCTTACAGGCAGGCCAATTATCAGGGGATAATTAGACTGATAATGAGCATTCTGACTGGTTGAGAGGTTCCTCCGAGGGTAGAGCACCCCCTGCCCTTATAAGGCTGTCCTCTGTGCCAAGAATGGTATGTTATAAATGGGACTTTTAAAAGAATATCATATTTTTGAGAAAAACAAGTTTACACTGATTAAAAATAAGGTGTTGAATTCTAAACTTATTTTTAATAATGAAATCCTTGTTCCATACAGCTATGTAGTGAAACAAAATGGAGGTAATTCAGCTACTTTGTTTTTTTGTAAAATATTTCTATTCTATGAAAGTATCTCAACTATATCTAGAAAACTGGAAAAGAATAAAGACACACTTATGATCCCATCTCTGAGGTGGGTGGATCACCTGAGGTCAGGAGTTGAAGACCAGCTAGCCAACATGTTGAAAACCCGTATCTACTAAAACTACAAAAATCATCCAGGAATGGTGGCACACCCCTGTAATCCTAGCTACTCAGGAGGCTGAGGCAGGATAATTGGCTTGAACCCAGAGGCAGAGGTTGCAGTGAGCCGAGACCACACTTCTGCACTCCAGCCTGGGCAACAGAACGAAACTCCATCTAAAAAAAAAATAGAGGCCGGGTGCGGTGGCTCATGCCTGTAATCCCAGCACTTTGGGAGGCCGAGGTGGGCGGATCACGAGGTCAGGAGACCGAGACCATCCTGGATAACACGGTGAAACCCCGTCTCTACTAAAAATACAAAAAATCAGCCGGGCGTGGTGGTGGGTGCCTGTAGTCCCAGCTACTCGGGAGGCTGAGGCAGGAGAATGGTGTGAACCTGAGAGGCGGAGCTTGCAGTGAGCCAAGATAGCGCTGCCACTGCACTCTAGCCTGGGCGACAGAGCGAGATTCCGTCTCAAAAAAAAAAAAAAAAAAAAAAAAAAAAAAAAAAAAAAAGGAGTCAATTTAAATCTGGAGTTTTAAATACATTTTAATGCACTGCTGTAGCATTTGTATGAGTAATTATTCTATTATGTACTGTTATATGACAGCAGTAAACTCATCATATTAAGCCCTACATATGACAACATATTTAATTAAATATTTTCTGCCTGGAATCCTCTTTTCTTCTTTCTTCCAACAGTTAACTTCTACTTAATCTTTGACTCCAGCTTAACTTTCAGTTCCTTAGGGAGAATATTTCTTTGACTCCCCTGAGCCAAATTCTTATTATGCACACTTACACACTGTCTCTTCCTAGCCCTTATCGTAGTATGTGATTATTTGATTAATGTCCATCTCTTCCAACCAATAACAACCTCCATAAGGGCAAAGTGATTCCACTTTTGCTTAATATTCTATTCCAGAAGAGGATCAGGCACATAATAGGTGCTCAATAAATAATCGTTGAATGAATGAATAAATGAACAAACTTAAAGCATTTTCTGTGTTCTTCCAGACTGTGATATGTAAAGAAAGAAGAGCAAATGGTTTGTGTATTGCCCTATCAATAAGAGTACATATAGCTAAGGATGGCATCTGCTCTGATTCCATCACCTCAGCACTTTGCACTTGAATGTCATTGGTCAACCAGCACGATCCTAGAAGAAAATAACAGAGCTGCAATCATGTGAATGACGGTATAGGAAGAAAAAAAAACGAGAAAACAGGTAAAGAAAAATAAATTGCTTAAAGCTCCCAGTAGTCCCAATTGTCGATAATTGTTTACTGGGAACAACATTTTACTTTGAATGGAAGAAACTTCTTCATGGCTTTCAGGATGGCTTCTGGTTTCATATACAGCTACTCAGGTTAGAAAGGCTAGAAACTTGAAAACTACATTAAAAGCAATTCATCATATACTGCTTCATTTCACTGAGTTCAAACTACAGAATAAAAATAACCAACCATTTCCAACCTAAACTGTAAGTCACAAACCTTATCTCAAATGGCAACTTAAATCTCTTTTAAACTCTGCTCAATTTTTACCAACATTTACAAACCTCATCATGTGTTTCAATTTTATCTCAATTGCTAATATGGTCTGAAATACTTGGTTAATGGTGTAGAAAATTCATTTTTTAAATAACTGACAATTGCCCATTGTTTTTTATTATATAAATTGGAAATTCAATTGTAAATCCATATATAAATAAATTATGTTTCAGTACCTACAAAGTTTTATGTTTTATGGCAATGTATGTTTTAAAAGTCTGAAAAATTAAATTATTTCATTGACCCTTTTTTCTCTCACCAGCATATTATTAAGAAAACTCAGCCATGGCATGTAATTTTTCAACGAATAAACTATGTTTTAGAGAAGTTTTAGGTTAGAGAAAAATTGAGAACAAAGTACAAAGAGTTTTCACGCACTATCAACATCCCACACCACAGTAGTACATTTGTTATAATCAATGAACCTAACCTACACAGACACATTATTATCATTCAAAATTCATAGTCTATATAAGGGTTTACTCTTGGTGCTGTACATTCTACAGTTTTGACAATTTATAATGACATGTGTCTACCATTGTAGTACTATACAGAGTAGTTTCACTGCTCTAAAAATCTTCCATGCTTCGCCTATTTATCCCTACCTCTCCCCTAAACCCTGGCAATCGCTTATATGTTTACTGTTTCCATAGTTTTTCCTTTTCTAGAATGGCATATAATTTGAATTACATAGTGTGTTAGTCTTTTAAGACTGGCTTCTTTCACTTAGTAATATGTAGTTAAATTTCCTCCATGTCTTTTCATGCCACGATAGTTTAGTTTTTTAAGCACTGACTAATATTCCATTGTCTGAATCTACCACAGTTTATTTATCCATTCACCTAGTAAAGGACATCTTGGTTGCTTCCAAGTTTTGACAATTATGAGTAAAGCTGCAAAAAACATGCATTTGCAGGTTTTTGTGTGAAAATAAAGTTATATTCATTACGTAAATATCAAGGAGCACCGTTGCTGGATTGTACAGTAAGAGTGTGATTTGTTTTGTAGAAAACTGCCAAACTGTTTTTGAAAGTTACCTTGAATTCTCATCAGCAATAAATGAGAATTTTGTTGCTCCATATCCTCACTAACCTTTGGTATTGTCAGTGCTTTAGATTTTGGTCATTCTAATAAGTGTGTAGCGGTATCTCATTATTGTTTAAATTTGCAGTTCCCAATGAAATATGATGTCTAACATCTTTTCATGTGGTTACTTGCCATCTGCATATCTTCTTTGGTGAGAGTCTGTTCAAGTCTTTGTCCATTTTTATTCAGGTTGTTTATTTTCTTATTGTTGAGTTTTAAGTGTTCTTAGTATATTTTGGATAACAGATGTTTATCAGATGCGTCTTTTGCAAAAATTTTTCTCCAAGTCTTTAGTTTGACTTATTCTCTTCACATTGGAGTTCACAGAGCAGAAGTTTTGAATTTTAGTTTGGTAGTTTCGCATTTTACATTTGGGTCTATGATTCATTCTAAGTTAATTTTTGCAAAGGATTTAAGGTTTAGACATAGGTTTTTTTTTTTTTTTTTTTTTTTTTTTTTTTTTTTTTTTTTTTGCATGTGCATGTTTAGTTGTTCCACCCTTATTTGTTGAAATGACCATCTTTGCCTACTTGCATTTCCTTTGATCCTCTGTTAAATATTAGTTGACTATATTAATACGGGTCTATTTCTGAGCTCTATTCTGTTACATTGATCTATTTGTATATTCTTTCACCAATGCCACACTGTCTTGATTAATGTAGCTTAATAGCAAGTATTATGTCATCGGAGTGTGTTAGTTCTCTGACTTTGTTCTTCCCCGTCAATATTGAGTTGGTTATTCTGGGTCTTTTGCCATTCTATATAAACTTTAAGAACAGTTTGTCAATATCAAAAAATAAAAATAAAAATAAAACTTGCTGAGATTTTATTCGGACTGTATTGCATCTATAGTTCAAGTTTGGATGAAGTGACATCATGACTATATGGAGTATTCCTGTCCATGGACATGGACTCTCTCGCCAAATTTTATTTAGATTTTTGTTGTATTGTTCATCAGAGTTTTGTAGTTTTTTCCATAGAGATCTCGTACGTGTTTTGTTAGGTTTATACTTATTTCATTTTTTAGTGGTAACTAAATGGTAATGTGTTTTTAATTACAAATTTCACTTTTTATTGCTGGTATATGAAACTGATTGACTTTTATGTACTAAACTTATATTGTGCACCCTTGCTAAAATTGTTTGTTAGTTCCAAGAGATTTTTTGTCAATTTTTAAAAATTTTCTACATAGATAATCATGTCATTTGCAAACAAAGAGAGTTTTATTTTTTCTTTCTATATCTGTATACTTTTTCTTTTCCTTTCTTTTCTTTTTGTCTTATTGCATTAATTAGGACTTCCAATATAATGTTGAAAAGCAGTGGTGATAAGGAATGTCTTATTTTGTTCCTTATCTAAGTGGGAAAGCCTAAGTATTACATTAGCTATAGATTTTTCTATTTTTTTTTAATCAAGTGAGGAAGTTCCCTGTATTCCTAGCTTCCCAAGAGTTCTCATCATGAATGGAAGTTGGATTTTGTCAGATGATATTTTTGAATTTATTAATATGATCATGTGATTTTTATTCTTTAACTTGTTGGTGTAATTGATTGCATTAACTGACTTTCAAATGTTGAATGAGCTTTGCATGCTTGGATAGGCCCAAGTGGTCATGGTGTGCAATTCTTCTTAAATATATTGCATTGGATTTGCTTATATATTTTGAGCATTTTTACATCTATGTTCATGAGAGATATTTATCTAAAGTTTTCTTTACTTGTAATGTATTTGTCTGCTTTTGGTATTCAGGCAATGCTGGCCTTATAGAATTAGTTTGTAAGTATTCCCTTTGCTTACACCTTCTGGAAGAAATTGTAGATAATTTGTTTAATTTTTTTCCAAATGTTTGGTAGAATTCAACAGTAAACCAACTGTGATTGGTGTTTTCTGTTTTATAGGAATACTGATTATGGATTCCATTTCTTTAATAGATATAAGACAATTTATGTTGTCTAATTTCCACTGTGTGGACTTTGGCAGGTATATCTTTTAAGAAATTTGTTCATTTTATATAAGTTACCAAATCTGTGGGCATAGAATTTTCCATAATATGACTTGATTATCATTTTAGTATCAATCATATCTAAGGTGATGTCTCCTCTTTTATTTCTGATAGTAGCGTTTTGTGTCTTTTCTCTTTTTTTCTTAGGTATCCTGGCTAGAGGCTTATCAATATTATTGATCTTGTCAAAGAATCAGCTTTTGGTGTCACTGATTTTCTTCTATTTCCTGTTTGCAATTTTGTTGATTACTGCTCTGGTTTTTATTTCCTTTCTCCCGCTTATTTGGACTTAATTTGCTCTTTTTTTCCCTAATATTTTAAGGTGGAAGCTTAGATAATTAATATTAAATCTTTCTTCTTTTCTGTTATATACATTCTATGCTATAAACTTTCCTCTATGCTGCTTTTGCTACATCCTACACATTTTGATGAGTTGTATTTTCATTTTAATTTGCTTTATATGTTTTTTATTTTGAGATTTTTTTCTTGGAAGCAATTGTTATTTAGAAATGCCTTATTTAATATTCAAATATTTTGGGATTTTCCAGCTTTATTTCTGTAGTTTATTTTTAGTTTAGTTCCACTGTGGTATTAGAGCAGATATTGCATAATTCCTGTTCTTCAAAATTTGTTAATATATGTGTTATGGCTCAGAATGTGGTCTATCTTGAATGTTTAATGTATTCTTGAGAAGAATGTGTACTCTGTTGTTGTTCAATGAAAAAGTCTATAGATGTTATTTATGTCCAGTTGATTAATGATGCTGTTAAATTCAACTATATCTTTACTGATTTTCTGCTCAACTGATTGGTCGATTGATAGATTTATAATAGATATGTGTTAAAATCTCCAACTGTAATAGTGTATTCAACTATTTCTCCTTGCTGTTTTATCTATTCTTTCTTCATGTGTTTTGACACGTTGTTGCTAGGCACATACACACCAAGGACTGTTAGGTTTTCTTGTGGTATTTTCCCCTTTATCATTATTTAATGCCCCTCTATATGCCTGATACCTTTCCTTGCTCTAACGTCTGGTTTGTCTAAAATTAATATAGTATTCTCACTTTCTTTTGAGTAGTGTTAGCATGGTATATCTTTCTCCTTCCATTTACTTTTAATAGATATGCATCTTTATATTTACAATGAATTTTTTTTAGGCGTCATATATTAGGTCTTGATTTTTGATCCACTTTTACTATCTTAGTCTTTTAATTGATGTATTTAGACTCCTGATTTTTAAAGTAACTATTGCAGATGACATGATTGTATATCTAGAAAACCCCATTGTCTCAGCCCAAAATCTCCTTAAGCTGATAAGCAACTTCAGCAAAGTCTCAGGATACAAAATCAGTGTTCAAAAATCACAAGCATTCTTATACACCAATAACAGACAAACAGAGAGCCAAATCTTGAGTGAACTCCCATTCACAATTGCTTCAAAGTGAATAAAATACCTAGGAATCCAACTTACAAGGGACGTGAAGGACCTCTTCAAGGAGAACTACAAACCACTGCTCAACGAAATAAAAGAGGATACAAACAAACGGAAGAACATTCCATGCTCATGGATAGGAAGAATCAATTCCTGAAAATGGCCATACTGCCCAAGGGAATTTATAGATTCAATGCCATCCCCATCAAGCTACCAGTGACTTTCTTCACAGAATTGGAAAAAACTACTTTAAAGTTCATATGGAACCAAAAAAGAGCCCGCATCACCAAGTCAATCCTAAGCCAAAAGAACAAAGCTGGAGGCATCACACTACCTGACTTCAAACTATACTACAAGGCTACAGTAACCAAAACAGCATGGTACTGGTACCAAAACAGAGATATAGATCAATGGAACAGAACAGAGGCCTCAGAAATAAAACCACATATCTACAACTATCTGATCTTTGACAAACCTGAGAAAAACAAGCAATGGGGAAAGGATTCCCTATTAATAAATGGTGCTGGGAAAACTGGCTAGCCATATGTAGAAAGCAGAAACTGGACCCCTTCCTTACACCTTATACAAAAATTAATTCAAGATGGATTAAAGACTTACATGTTAGACCTAAAACCATAAAAACCCTAGAAGAAAACCTAGGCATTACCATTCAGGAC
Source organism: Homo sapiens (assembly GCF_000001405.40). Lineage (NCBI taxonomy): Eukaryota > Metazoa > Chordata > Mammalia > Primates > Hominidae > Homo > Homo sapiens. Next base: position 29,251,072 of record NC_000014.9, read on the forward strand.
ATAGGCACGGGCAAGGACTTCATGTCTAAAACACCAAGAGCAATGGCAACAAAAGCCAAAATTGACAAATGGGATCTAATTAAACTAAAGAGCTTCTGCACAGCAGAAGAAACTACCATCAGAGTGAACAGGCAACCTATAAAATGGGAGAAAATTTTTGCAATCTACTCATCTGACAAAGGGCTAATATCCAGAATCTACAATGAACTCAAACAAATTTACAAGTAAAAAACAAACAACCCCATCAAAAAGTGGGTGAAGGACATGAACAGACACTTCTCAAAAGAAGACATTTATGCAGCCAAAAAACACATGAAAAAATGCTCACCATCACTGGCCATCAGAGAAATGCAAATCAAAACCACAATGAGATACCATCTCACACCAGTTAGAATGGCAATCATTAAAAAGTCAGGAAACAACAGGTGCTGGAGAGGATGTGGAGAAATAGGAACACTTTTACACTGTTGGTGGGACTGTAAACTAGTTCAACCCTTGTGGAAGTCAGTGTGGCGATTCCTCAGGGATCTAGAACTAGAAATACCATTTGACGCAGCCATCCCGTTACTGGGTATATACCCAAAGGACTATAAATCATGCTGCTATAAAGACACATGCACACGTATGTTTATTGCAGCATTATTCACAATAGCAAAGACTTGGAACCAACCCAAATGTCCAACAGTGACAGACTGGATTAAGAAAATGTGGCACATATACACTGTGGAATACTATGCAGCCATAAAAAATGATGAGTTCATGTCCTTTGTAGGGACATGGATGAAATTGGAAATCATCATTCTCAGTAAACTATCACAAGAACAAAAAACCAAACACCGCATGTTCTCACTCATAGGTAGGAATTGAACAATCAGAACACATGGACACAGGAAGGGGAACATCATACTCTGGGGACTGTTGTGGGGTGGGGGGAGGGGGGAGGGATAGCTTTAGGAGATATATCTAATGCTAAATGATGAGTTAATGGGTGCAGCACACTAGCAGGGCACATGTATACATATGTCACTAACCTGCACATTGTGCACATGTACTCTAAAACTTAGAGTATAATAATAATAAAATAAAAAAAAATAAAGTAACTATTCGTATAGTTTGATTAATACTTACTGTATTTGTTACTGTTTTCTGTGTTTATTGCCTTTGTTCCTATTTTTGTCTTTACACTTTTTCTGTCCTTTGTAGGGTTAATTGAGCATTTTATTTGATTTTATTTTATCTCCATCCTTAACATATAATTCTTTTTTTACTTGTTTTGTGTTTGTCCTCAAGTTTACCATAGATATGTATAACTAATCTAAGTCTACTTTCAAATAGCACTATAAAATACTTGTAAGACAAGTAGCATATGATAACAATTCTAATTCCTTTCTCCAGTTCTTTCTATTGTTATCATTTATTTCCCTTATGCATAAGCATATATATATACATAAGCATATACAATAAAATACATTACTGCTATTATTATTTTGAGCAAACTGCTATTTGTTAAATTAAGAACTTTAAAAACAAATTAAGAAAAATTTTACCTTTACTTATTTTTTTTCTAATGCTCTTTCTTTATGTAGTCCGAAGTTTCTGACGTATATCATACTCCCTCTCTCTGAAGAACTTCTTTTAATTTTTCTTGTATGGAAAATCTATTAGCAAAAAAAAAAAAAATCCCTCAATGTATTTTTGTTTGAGTTAAGTCTTTATTTCTCCTTCATTTTCAAAGAATAATTTCACAAGGTCAGAATTCTAGGTTGGTTTATATATTTTTTTAACATGTCACTCTACTCTCATATTGCTTGCAGTGGTTCTGAGGAGAGTTTGGATGCAATTCTTATCTTCACTCCTCCATAGGTAAGATTTTTTTTTTCTTTTCTGAGTTTTTTTCTTTATCTTTTATGTCCTGAAGTTTAAATATGATTTATCTAGGTGTAGTTTTTTTTGTCATTTGTTCAGCTTACTGTTCTCTTCGCTTTCTGGATCTGTGGTTTGGTGTTTGACATTAATTTGGAAAGATTCTCAATCATTATTGCTTCAAAGATTGCTTCTGCTCCTTTTTTTCTTTCTTTTCCTTATGGTATTAGCATTAAACATATGTTACATCTGTAGTAGTTGTCCCACAGCTCTTGGACATTCTGTTCTCGGGTATTATTTTTTCCAGTCTGTTTTTCTTTGTTTTTTAGAATTGAGGGTTTTTATTGTCATTGCCTAAAACTCAGAGATTTTTTGCCCATCAAAGACATGTTTCCATTCAAAGGCATTTTTCATTTCTGTTGTAACATTTCTTATCTCTAGCATTTTTATTTTTTCTTAGAATTTCTATCTCTATGCTTATATCATTCATATCTTCTTTCACATTGTCTACTTTTCCATTTAACCCTCTAGCATATTTATCATAGTTTTTTTTCTTTTAAAATTTTTGGTCTGATAATTCTAACACATTCCCATCACATCTGATTCTGGTTCTGATACTCTATTCAGTTGTGATAAAATGTGTTGTGTTGCCTGTTAGTATGCCTTGTAATTTTTTCGAAAGCTTGGCATGATGTACTGAGTAAAAGAAATCATTGATGGCTGGGTGCGGTGGCTCACACCTGTAATCCCAGCACTTTGGGAGGCTGAGGAGGACAGATTATGAGGCCAGGGGATCAAGACCATCCTGGCCAACATGGTGAAACCCCATCACTACTAAAAATACAAAAAAATTAGCTGGGTGTGGCAGTGTGCACCTCTAGTCCCACCTACTTGAGAGGCTGAGGCAGGGAATTGCTTGAACCTGGGAGGCGAAGACTGCAGTGAGCCAAGATCATGACATTGCACTCCAACCTGGCGACAGAGCAAGGCTCTGTCTCACAAAAAAAAAAAAAAAAAAAAAAAAAAGAAAAGAAAGAAAGAAAAAAAGAAAGAAAGAAAGAAAAGAAAAGAAATCATGGTAAATATGCATTTCGTAATGTAGTGAAAATCATAAGACCCTATAGTTTTATAATTAGGTTTTAATTTCTTAATAAGCCTGTACCTCTGGGCTATAAACTTCCCAAATGCTTCTTAATTTACCCTCCCCTTACTTAGGTGGAAGAGAATGGCTAGAGGGTGATGACACTGGATATCTCCCTTCCCCAAGATCAATTAGGTCCTGACATAACCCCAACAGGTAAGGCTCTGTTAAAAAAAAAAAAATCCTCCTGAGGGCATTCCTTGTTAAGAAAAACAGAATGCTCTGGCATATTTCAAAATGGATTCTTTTCCCCTCCTTCAGGTCACCATGCCAGAAGTTAAAAGAAGCTCCTGAATTTATGGTATTCATGGAAAGTTCTCCATAATACCACCCTGCAAAAATTACAACCTGACTTGGTGCTGATCATTTTGCTGTTTCCTCTGTAATTATAAGATGCCCTGGACTGCCCTGCATTCTGAAAATATAACCCCCAAAATCCTATGATTAGAGAGCAATCCTCCTGCCTTGACCATGCATGCTCATTCCCTATGCTACTTCTCTCTTTATTTTTCTCAGTAGCAATTATTACTATATGATATTACTCACAAACAAATGTAGTTTACCTCCCCTCAACTTCACTAGAAGGTTCTGTGAAGTCAGGAACTGTGTCTCTTTGGTTAGCTGTTGTATACAGGGCCTAGAATAGTGCCTGTATAAAATAGGTTTGCAAATATTTCTCGAATGGTTGATTCCCTCACAAGTGAAAAAGATTTTCAAACAAAGTGACTCTATGTCTAGGATGTCAGTCAGTTTGGATAGTTTTAAGACTCAGCTGACTTATTCTATTTGACTAGCAAATGCGTGCAGTCAAAATGTCATTATGTAGGTATAATTTATATGATAGCTTCTCACTAACATAATTAAATGTAAAGTTATTTGCATTTCTCAAAAATACAAGCCCAATGGTACTCAGTCTCTAGGGCACACACACAAAAATGAACAGAACTCACTAAAGGAGGTTTAGTAATCTTTTAAATACTATCATATTAATATAGAAATGCTTATTCTATATAACATTTTAAATATTTTAGTAAAATAAAATGTTATGGCTAGAAAATAAAGTACTAAAACCTTAAAAACTTGTTATCTCTGATGGCTACAAATGTGAATTATTATTTTCTTCTTTATAATTTTTTTGTACTTTCTAAATGTTCTACAATGAATATATATTAATTTTATAATAAGAGGAAATGTTATTTGCAACAGAAAATATTTTAGACTTCTAATGGCAAAAATATAAATCACACAGTAAAATTAAAGATAGAAATATTATGTAGAATAATGTATTATTTCATTTACCTTGATACATGGAACACAAATGGGGAAGATTTTTATCACCTCTCTACAGATTACTATTTCTAAAACTGTTTATTTCTCAGGGTAATTTTAATTATTATTATATATTTTTTGGTTTTTGATGTAATACTTTTAATTTATGTAATAATTCTTAGGTTTTTTCTATTCTATATGAATTAAGTAATATTTTATTAATGAAATTTTATTGTTAGAACACTTTCAGAATTGCAGAAAATTATGAGGATAGTACAGAGATTTTCCATAAACTGTTAATCTAGTTGCCCCTATTATTAACATCTTACATTTGCATAGCACAATTGTTACAATTGATGAGCTAATATTTACACACTATTTTTAACTAAAGTCCACATTTTATTTAGATTTCCTTAGTTTTTACCAAATATCTTTTCATTATTGCTGTTCCAGAACCCCATCTAAGATATCACACTATATTAGCTATCATTCCTCCTTAGGCTACTCTACACTTTGACAGCAATCAGAGTTCTCTTGTTTTGATGACATTGACAGTTTTGGGGACTATGGATTGGGTATTTTGTAAAATGCCTATGGGATTTGTCTAATATACCTCCTGTTATCAAACAGAATGTATTAGTCCATTTTCACACTGCTATAAAGAACTACCTTAGACTGGGTAATTTACGAAGAAAAGAGATTTAATTGACTAAAATTCTGCATCCTTAACAGGAAGCATGACTGGGAGGCCTCAGGAAAATTACAATAATGGCAGAAGGAAAAGGGGAAACAAGGCACATCTTACATGATGGCAGGATATAGACAGAACAATGAGAAGAACTGCCACACACTTTTAAACCATCAGATCTCATGAGACCTCACTCACTGTCATGAGAACAGCATGGGAGGAAACCGCCCCCATGATCCAATCACTCCCCACCAGGTCTCTCCCTTGAGAGGTGGACACTACAATTCAAGAGGAGATTTGGGTGGGGAGACAAAGCCAAACGATATCATTCTGTCTGGGGCCCATCCAAAATCTCATGTCTTTCTCACATTTCAAAACACAATCATGCCTTTCCAACAGTCCCCAAAAGTCTTAACTCATTCTAACATTAACCCGAAAGTCCAAGTCCAAAGTCTCATCTGAGACAAGGGAAGTCCCTCTGCCTATAAGCCTGTAAAATCAAAAGCAAGTTAGTTACTTCTGAGATGCAATGGGGGTACAGGCATTGGGTAAGTGTTCCCATTCCAAATGGGAGAAATTGGCCAAAACAAAAGGGTTACAGGTCTAATGCAAGTCCAAAACCCAATAGGGCAGCCATTAAATCTTAAATATCCAAAATATCCTTTGACTCCATGTCTCACGTCCAGGACACACTAATGCAAGGAGTGGGCTTCCAAGGCCTTGGGCAGCTCTGCTCCTGTGGCCCTGCAGGGCACAGACCCCTTGGCTTCTTTGACTGACTGGCATTGAGTGCCTGTGTCTTCTCCAGGGGTGTGGTGCAAGCTGTCAGTAGATCTGCCATTCTGGGCCCTTGAGGACAGTGGCCAGCTTCTCATGGCTCCACTAGGCAGTGCCCCAGTGGGGACTGTCTGTGGGGGCACCAGCCTCACATTTTCCCTCTGCATTGCACTAATAGAGGCTCTCCATGAGGACTCCACTCCTGCAGCAGGCTTCTGCCTGGACATCCAGGCATTTCCATACATCGTCTGAAATTGGCAGAGGCTCCCAAAGCTCAGCTCTTATCTTCTTCACACCTGCAGGCCCAACACCACATGGAAGCTGCCAAGGCTTGGGGCTTGCACCCTCTGAATCAATGGCCTGAGCTGTATGTTGGCCCCTTTTAGCCATGGCTGGAGCTGCAGTGGATGGGAAGCAAGGCACCATGTCCTGAGACTGCACAGAGTAGTGGGGCCCATGAAAGCATTTTTCCCTCCTATCCTCTAGGCTTGTGACGGGACAGGTTGCCATGAAGATTTCTGAAATGCCCTGGAGACGTTTTCCCCATTGTCTTGGCTATTAACATCTGGCCCTCACTACTTATGAAAATTTCTGCAACCAGCTTGAATTTCTCCCCAAAAAATGGTTTGTCTTTTCTCCCACATAGTCAGGCTGCAAATTCTCCAAACTTTTATGCCCTGCTCCACTCTTAAACATAAGTTCTAATTTCAGTTCATCTCTTTCTTAATGCATATGAATGTACATTTTTAGAAAAAGCCATGTCACATCTTGAACTTTTTGCTGCTTAGACATTTCTTTAACCAGACACCCTAAATCATCTCTCTCAAGTTCAAATTTCTGCAAATCTCTAGGGCAGGGACAAAATGCTACCAGTCTCTTTGCTAGAACATAGCAAGACTGACCTTTGCTCCAGTTCCCAATTAGTTCCTCATCTCCATCTGAGACCACCTCAGCCCCTGGACTTCATTGTCTATATCACTATCAGCATTTTGGTCAAAACCATTCAACGAGTCTCTAGGATGTTCAAAACTTTCCCATGTGTTCTTGTCTTCTTCTGAGCTCTCCCAACTATTCTAGCCTCTGCCCATTACCCATTTCCAAAATCACGTCCACATTTTAAATTATCCTTATAGCAATACCCAACTTCTCTCAGTACCAATGTTCTGTATTAGTCCATTTTCACATTGCTATAAAGAATTACCTGAGACTGGGTAATTTATGAAGAAAAGAGATTTAATGACTCACATTACCACAGGCTTAACAGAAAGCATTACTGGGAGGTCACAGGAAACTCACAATCATGGCAGAAGAGGAAAACAAGGTACATCTTACATGGTGGCAGGATAGAGAGACAGCGAGAGGGTAACAGCCACACACTTTTAAACCATCAGATCTCATGTGAATTCACTCACTATCACAAGAACAGCATGGGGGGAAACCACCCCAATGATTCAATTACCTCCCACCAGTTCCTTCCCTTGACATGTTGGGATTACAAGTTGAGACACAGTTTGTGAGATCTGGGTCAGGACACAAAGCCAAACCATATCATTCTACTCCTTGCCCCTCCCAAATCTCATGTCTTTCTCACATTTCAAAACACTGAGGTTATGTCTTTTTGGGAGGAAGACCATAGATATACCATTTTCATTGCATCATGTCATGGCACATACTGTCAACACGATTTATCACTGTTGATGTTTACCTTGATCATCAACTGAGGCAGTAGTTGTCAAATTTCTCCACTGTAAGGCAGCTACTTTTATTCCTTTCTATACTATATATTTTTTTGAGAGTCCCTACGCATAGCCCTCACTTTAAAACTAGAGAATTGTGCTCCTATCGTCTTGAGAGTAAAGCAGCTACACAAATTATTTGGTATTCTTCTGCAAGGAAGATTTGTTTTTGTTCCACCATTTCTTTACTTATTCAATAAGTGAAGATTTATGCATATTTATTTTATATTTTGGTTAAAATTCAATGCTACTTTATTTCTTTGCTCATTGTTCTATCCATGCCTTTTGAGAATTCTTTTTTTTTTTTTTTGTTTTGCAACTAATATTGATTTCTTTTTTATTTTTATTTTTATTTTTATTTTTTTTTTAATTTTTTTTTTTTATTATACTCTAAGTTTTAGGGTACATGTGCACATTGTGCAGGTTAGTTACATATGTATACATGTGCCATGCTGGTGCGCTGCACCCACTAACGTGTCATCTAGCATTAGGTATATCTCCCAATGCTATCCCTCCCCCCTCCCCCGACCCCACCACAGTCCCCAGAGTGTGATATTCCCCTTCCTGTGTCCATGTGATCTCATTGTTCAATTCCCACCTATGAGACATCATCTCACACCAGTTAGAATGGCAATCATTAAAAAGTCAGGAAACAACAGGTGCTGGAGAGGATGTGGAGAAATAGGAACACTTTTACACTGTTGGTGGGACTGTAAACTAGTTCAACCATTGTGGAAGTCAGTGTGGCGATTCCTCAGGGATCTAGAACTAGAAATACCATTTGACCCAGCCATCCCATTACTGGGTATATACCCAAAGGACTATAAATCATGCTGCTATAAAGACACATGCACACGTATGTTTATTGCGGCACTATTCACAATAGCAAAGACTTGGAACCAACCCAAATGTCCAACAATGATAGACTGGATTAAGAAAATGTGGCACATATACACCATGGAATACTATGCAGCCATAAAAAATGATGAGTTCATGTCCTTTGTAGGGACATGGATGAAATTGGAAACCATCATTCTCAGTAAACTATCGCGAGAATTCTTTCCATTGGATCCTGTGTCTCTTTGACAGACCCCCACCAGTGTGTATTTATGTATGTATGTATGTGTTTGTTTGTGTGTATGTGTGTATATGTTTAACCCTTTCATGCTTTTGGTGCTATGAGATTATCCAGGTGCATCGTACATATTTCCAGCCCCAAACCTACAATTAGTCATTTATCTATGGAACTCTGATTCCTTCTAGTGGAAAATTGTATTAGTAATTAAGATCTGGGTACTCAGTGTACACTTGTCCAATGAAATGTCATTTTTAGGCACTCTCAGCTGACAGAACAAAGAAATATATCTGTGAATTCTAATCCATGTATATACAGATATCTATAAACATTATCACCTGTACCTATATTAAGCTAAACTTATACTGATGTCTCCAATGTAAATCCATTACCACATTGATGATCCTAGCCTTCTCCCTTCATTTATTTGTAAATTCCCATTGCAACAGTATGAAAGGTGGATCCCACAGTCCACTATCCACTTATGTAATTATTTAACTCCAGCATAAATGTATACCAGTATCAGAATTCTTAACTAATGGGGAAAAACATTTGTTAACTAGTGTATAGTGCTTATGCATTGTTCTTTTGCCTACTCTCAGACTCCATTCATTTCCAAAATTTCTTAAGTAAAAACCTTTTCTCCTAACACCTTCAGTGTGGTTGTTTCACATATTTGCAATAAGCTTAAATTTTTGTCATATATTGCATTTTGTCCTGAGATCTCTGAAATGTCTAAATGATTTTTAAAATTTATTTTAAAAATATATTATTTAACTTTTATACTGCACTTTCATATGGATTTTGACAAAAGTATAATATGTATCTAACATTGCAATATTATACTAAATAGTTTCACTACACTGTAAATCCCCAGTACTTTACCTGTACTATTTTTCCCCATTCCTCCTTGCAATCACTGATCCTTTTACTGTCTGTAGATTTATTTGCCTTTTCCAGAATGTCATGTAATTGGAATTATAGAATGTAGGCTTTCCAGACTGGCTTCTTTCACTAAAATAGGGATTTAAGATTCATTTTCATCTTCATATGAGTTAATAGTGTTTTTCTTTGTATCACTGAGTAATATTCCATTGTATGTATGAATATACCACAGTTTGTTTATTCATTCACCTTTTGAAGGACATCTTGGTAGTTTCCAGGTTCTGGTAATAATGAAAACAGATTTTATAAGCATTCATGTGTAGGCTTTTGGGTGAACATAAGTTTGTAAAAGAGTTGGGCAAATATCTTGGAGCACAATTGCTGGACCACGTGGTAAGACTGTGTTTAGCATTATAAGAAACTATCTGTTTCAAAATTGGCTGTACCATTTTGCCTTCCCACACATAATAAATGAAAGTTCCTGCTGCTCCACATCCTCACCACCATTTGTTATTGTTAGAGCTTTTTGTATTGTTTTAGTTTTACTCATTCTACTAGGTGTGCAGCAATATCTCATCATTGCTCTAATTTGAAATTCTCTAATAATAAATGATGTTGATTATTTTTATATACCTATTTGTCATCTGTGTATTTTCTTTGATGAAATTTCTGTTTTTATTTTTAAATTAGTATTTTTTAAGAATTACATTTTAAGAGTTATTTCTATACTTCAGATACAAGTCTTTTTCAGGTATGTATTTTGCAGATGTTTTTGTATTGGTCTGGACTGCTGTTTTCATTCTCTTAATGGTGTTGAATTTAATTTGCTGATATTAGGCTAAGAATTTCTGCATCTATGTTCATAAGAGATATTGCTCTAGTCTTCTTTATTTGTACTGGGTCTTTTTCTGGTTTTGGTAGTAGGGTAGCACCAGCCTCATAGAATGAGTTAGAAAGTATTCCTACTGTTTCTGCCTTTTGGAGGAGAAATGATACATTTAGCAAACATTTAATGAAAAAATATTATTTCTCTACAATTTCTATTGTATTTTTTTCATTAAATGTTTGCTAAAAGTGAACCTAACTGGTGCTTTCTATTTTGGAAGGTTATTAATTATTGATTCAATTTTTTGAATATACATAGGTATATCCAAATAAGGTGGTCTCCTTGTATGAGTTCAGCAGTTTGTATTTTTCAAAACATTGGTTCGTTTCTTATAAAGTATCAATTAAGAAACATAAGGAAAGTCTTTCATAATTCTTTTCCTTTTTCCTGAAAAGTAAGTTTTATTTTGTTTTCTTCTACTGACATCTTTCAAAATTTTCTCTTTGCCTTTGTTTACTGAAGTTTGATTTTAATATGCTTAGATGTTTTGGTATTTATCTTTCTCAGAGTTCTCTGAGCTTTCTAGATCTATGGTTGTTAATATTTCTTTACTATTCTTTTGATGTTTGTGGGACCAGTACAGATAATACATCTTTCCTTTCTGATGCTGTGAATTTCTGTATTCTCTATTTCTTCTTAGTTAACCTTCTTATAGGTTTATCAATTTTATTTATCATTCCGAACAAGCTTAGGATTTCATTGATTTTTCTCTATTGTTTTCTGTTTTCAATTTCATTGATTATCTGCTTTTATCCACTATGATGTTACTGTCATTTAACTTATCCAAGGACTATAATCATACAACACACCGTTAGAATTACTGTAAATAAAAAGATATCTTTCATAATTAAGAAGAAAAAATATTTTAATTTTATTTAATGCCTTTAATTTTCCCTCCGCCGATGTTCTTCCTTTCTTTATTTAGATGTGAGTTTCTGAATGATACCATTTTCTTTCCCTCTAAAGAATTTTAAAAATATTACTTGTAGGGAAGATCTATTGATGATAAATTTCCTCAGATTTTTATCTGAGAAAGTTGTTACTTTGCCTACAAGTTTGAAGAAAAATTTCACTGGATATAAAATTTTAGATTTCATTTTGCTTTTCTTTTAATACTAAATATTTCACTTCACTGTCTTTTTGATAACATAGTTTTAGAAGGAAAGTCTTTCATAATTATTTTCCTTTTTCCTGAAAAGTAAGTTTTATTTTGTTTTCTTCTGCTGACTTCTTTCAAAATTTTCTCTTTGCCTTTGTTTACTGAAGTTTGATTTTAATATGCTTAGATGTTTTGGTATTTATCTTTCTCAGTGTTCTCTGAACTTTCTAGATCGATGGTTTGCTTTGGCCATTAATTTTGGAAAATCCTCAGCCATTATTCCTTCCAATATTTCCTCTGTCCTTTTCTCTCTTTCTTTTCCTTCTGCTGTTTTCATTATATGTAAGTTACATTTATTGATTCTTCTATTTTTTTCTAAAAATTATTTTTCTCTTTTCTCTTTGCATTTCTGTTTGGAAAATGTATAATGATTTATCTTCATGTTAACTTAATTTTTATCAGCTGATGAGCCCTTGTAAAGAATTTTTCATTTCTGTTACCATGGCTTTGATTTCTAGCATTTTCCTTTCATGAAGGTTTTATCATTCTGTTTAATTTACCTGTCTGTTCTATTATTCTCTCTACCTCTTTTTTTACAGCATACCAAACATATTAGTAACAGTTATTTTAAATTCCTTGATGATTCCAACTCTGTGTCACAGCTGAGTCTTATCTGATGTTTGCTTTGTCTTCAGAACATTTTCTCTTGCCTTTTGTTATGTTTCGTAAATTTTTTTTTTTTTGGTTGAAAGTCAAATATGATGCATGAGGTAGGTGTTAGGAAATTAGGTAAGTAGACCTTTAGTGTGGGGTTTTATGATAATGTGGCTAGGAGTAGGGCCATGTTTACTGTTTGTTGTAGTTGTAGGTGCCAGAGAATTCAAATGCCTAGAGTGCCCTTGTTTTTGTCTCCCCTGTTGTGTTTAGTGTCCCTCAGAACTCTTTAGATAAAGTCTACCTTACAGCTCTTTGGGAAATAACACTATTATACTGGATCCTTATTGATGTGATGGTAAGGAGTCAGGGAGGAAGAGCATTCTACAGCATTATGATTAAATCTGTCTTTTAGTGGGTCTTTAGACATAGACTGTAACTTTCACAAGTTACAGTTCTTAGATTTTTTTCCCCCCTTAAATGTCACAGAAAGACCAGACGATGCTAGAGTCGAAGAAATGACTTCCTTATGCCATCCTTATCATCAGGTGGATAAGGCTCCAGTAAAGTCTTACCCTTACAGAGTAAACTTTTCTTTGTGTATGTGTGTGTGTGTGTGGAGAATACTCTATGAGTATTTAACACTGGCTAATTTTCCCCTTCTCCTCCCAGAACCAGGAGAAGATATTTTTTGACTTTTCAACATGTGAATTTAGTGTGGTTCCTGCAGGAAAAACCCAAGAAATTATTTAGGGGTTTGGAGTGCTGAGCACCAAGATTGCTGCTCACAGGAATTTCTCATTCTCATGGTAGTCCACACTGAGCCTCCAACAATAAATTAAAACTATCATTTGAGTGTTCTTATCAGCTTATGACTCCAGTGGCTTCTTTTCCAGAAAAGGAAATTGAAAGCATCTCCATATTTGCCTGTTTCTCTATATTTCAAGGTAGCAATATACTCTGGAACCTCAGTTCTCTAATGGGTCCAGTAAAAGTATTAAAAAAAAAAAAAAGCTTTTTACATGTCAGAGCTTTTGATGGTTAATTTTATGTGTCAACTTGATTGGGTTAAGGGATATCCAGATAGCTATTAAAATATTACTTCTGGATATGTCTGTGAGGGTGTTTCTGGAAGAGATTAGCATTTCTATAAGTACACTGAACAAAAAAGATGTGCCCTCACCAATGTGGACAGTCAACATCCAGTCCATGGAAGACACAAATAGAACAAGAAGGAAGATAAAGAATGAATTTATTCCTTCTGCTTGAACTGGGACATCTTCTCCTGCTTTTGGATTCAGACCAGGAATTATACCATCATTTCTCTTGGTTCTTAGGCCTTCAGATTCAGACTGAATTACACCATTGACATTTATGGTTCTCCAGTTTGAAGACAGCAGATCGTAGGACTTCTTAGCCACCATAATATGTGAGCCATTTCCTGTAAATATTTTTTATTGGTTCCATTTATCTGGAGAACTCTAACACAGAGTTGAAATCAAAAGTCTAATTTATTTTACTTTAAATCATGTCATTATGAAAACTTTTACTAAAAATAGCCCATTTTTTCCAAAGGCCGTCACTGATAGATTGTTCTGCTTGCCAAACTCTCTATTCCTCTGACATTAAACAGTCAAGTCTCTATTCTCATAAACATAAGTATCCATAGATGGGCTTTCCTCTTCTAAGGCTACAGTGGAAAACCATGTTCCAGGAGAACTATGAGTCCTGGAGTCATTCTCAAGTCTCCTGGAAACCCCCACACCTGAAAATATAAAATTGATATCATCGTCCTCCAAGTTTTTGTGTCACTGCTTTTAAAAGTAGTAATATATATGCCACAATATGTCTCATTCTAAAGGTTGAAAATTTTTATGCTATGACTATAATGACATCATTCTCCCTCCCACAGAAGGCTTTTGCTTAGAGAATTCAGCAAGAGAACAAAATTAACAGGAAACGTCACTTTCACACACACAGATGGAAAAATGTTAACATCTCTTGAATTCTATGACAATCTCCTAGATGAGAACATGTATGTCACTATAACGTACCAACGATGTGCAAACACATCTTATAAGCAGGTGCTAAACTGAGGTCACTGCTGAAAAATGGAAGTTTTGGCAGCACTGAGAACAAAAGCTTCTTCCTAGGTGCAATTTCAAGCTAAGCAGTAAGAATCATGTGTAAGAAATTTTCCAGGCAGGATAAAACTTCGGGATGTTTTGGTGACATTGTACAGAAGAGGGCTTCTATTCTGTTCCACCTTCATTTCGCAGATCATGCAGAAATCTTACTCCTTACTTAAAGATTTTTTGGAATAAAATCAAACATTTTTACTAAAAAATAATATTGTGATTATTTCAATATAAAAAAGAAATATGTGAACTTTGCCCTCCTTGAAGCCAGACCTAACAATGAATTATGAAAACTGTGCAGAAATATCTAGCAGATTCATTTGGCTCAAATTTCCCTCTGTGCCTCTGCACCTCTAAAATGCATTTCTATGTTGCCAATATGCTGAGAATAAAGAATTACTTAAATTTGTTCAGAATAACAGTTGAAATCGTATGCAGCCAGTTCTATATCTAGAAATAATGTTAACATGGTTTGTATATACAAGATAGAGTGAATATTCTTTTCTTTTCCATAAGTAATCCTAAGAAGGTTTACTCTGAACGTTCACAGAGCTGTAGAGTGAGTAAAGAAGTATTTTTTTATATTTGTGAAAATGTAAGACAAATGAGATACACAAAATTTTATAATGAGAATGATATTCTTGTAGACAGCATAGGAGAAATATATGGGACTATTAAACATTAATAGCCTATCAAGCTGAGTCATTGTTCAGAGAATTGAACACAGAATCAAAATACTACCCTAATCCAATTTGTCTTTCAAGTACCACCACACATACACAGACACACACACACACACGTACACACACACACCATACAAATAAGTACACAAATATCCTCTTTAGTAATCAGCTATGTTATCTCCCCTCCATTGCCTTTGCAATTTGCTCCTTTTCTCCTGTCTCCTTTTTTGCTAGATTGAAGAAAACTTCAATCTAGCAATCTAGCAAAGCATTTTCCTCAACTCTACTCACTTTTCAATTTATTGCCCTAACCTCTTCCTTTTGTAACTCTTTCTTGTACTCTTAACATCTGACATTGTGGGAAATTTATTATTATTAGACAATTAAATATACCACATCCACAGAATGGTGGTGATTTTTGGGTTTTGATTTTTTTTAACTTTTCCCTTTTAAGTGGATCTCAATCCATATATGTCTCTTCTTAGAGGCACATGATAAAAGTCATTTTTCTACCACTTCCCTCTCATTTGCCATGCTTCCTCAATGCCCCACACCCCCAGTAACATAAATACTGTTCTGTCAAATTTCATTATCATGTGATAGAACACCAGGAATAAGAGGGAGCTGTGAGAGATGAGGTCAGAACAATAGTAAGGTCATAGGAGTTTGGACTTTTCTCTTCAGGTCAATATACTCTCAAGTACATTGAAAAATATACTTGAGACAATAGATTGAATATACTTCAAAACAGTAGGTTGAAAAAATTGATAGGTACATTTAAAATAGTTCATAGTCATATGATTATGATCTTATTAGGCTGATCACATTTTAACAGTTTCCTCTACCAAAGAGAGCTCTTTAGAACTAATTTACCCTGTGGCTCTCCCAAGACTATAGTATATAGCATTTGTCATGAAACTCTTTGGCATTTTTTTCACAATATACATTGGAAATTTGCTTTAGACAATGGAGGTCATAGAAATATTTATCTTGTTATTTTAAAGATTACTTAGATGGCAGTACAAAGGATGGTTTCAAGGAACTACAAATAGGCTAAATATCACCACATCTGTTATATAAGAAGCAATGGGATAAAGCACGCAACAGGACTGTTGAAGAGTTACTTTCAACATTATAGGTAAGAAAAATGGTGTTCTGAATAAGATGGTGCAATAGGCAATGGCAATGAAGAAGGGGAAGAGATTATTAAGAGTTTTTAAGGAAGTAGACTTAACAGGACTTATTTGACTATAGTTACAGGATGAAGGAAGAGCCCAGAGCAGGGCCCTGATTTCTGACACAGGAGCTGACTGAAGGACCATAGCATGATATGGACATTCAAATCCAGAGGAAACTGGAGGATAGTAGAAGTAGGATGGTTTCAAGGAGGGGTGCTACAATGTGAGAAGCATGTGAAAAAGGGGTGAGAAAACTTCTCTACAGTTTTGCATGGAACTGTGCTTGCTCTAAAGGGCATAGGTTTTCATGTCATGTGGCTAAGTACAGTGAATATCTCATGTAATTTATTCTTTCAGTAATTATGTCTAATTTCTTTCACTGGTATTTGGTCCTATATAAATTTGATTGATACATTTTGTTCCTACTAAAGCTAAGACTGGACTCAGGTCTGGTACCGTTATTCTCTGTGTCAGAGTCTTCAATTGACCCAATTTCCATCAAATAAATAAACAATCCTTCTTCTCTAAGTGAGACTTGAAACCATGTTTGTCTCTTTTTCTCCCTTCATATTTCAGTTCTACTTTTTCACCTTTTATAATGTTCTCATATCCAGAAGACTCCAAAACAATCCTGAAAGACATAAATGTAGAAATAAACAAGTGGAAAGACATACCATTATCTTGGGTGGGAAGAGTTAATGTATTAAATATGCAGTCTCCATAAAAATGCCATTAGTTTTCATTTTCTTTGAAGCTAAACAGAGTTCGGTTTGAAAAAAAGTAGGAAAACTCTGAAATAAAGGATAATCCTAAAAAAGAAAAGAGTATGAGTAATCTAGCCCTAAAAGTTGTCAACACATATTATGAACCTCCTATAATTTATTTATTTATTTATTTATTTATTTATTTATTTATTTATTTATTTATACGGAGTTTCACTTTTGTTGCCCAGGCTGGAGTGCAATGGCACAATCTTGGCTCACTGCAACCTCTGCCTCCCAGATTCAAGCGATTCTCCTGCCTCAGCCTCCCGAGTAGCTGGGATTATAGGCATGCACCACCACCCAAGGCTAATTTTGTATTTTTAGTAGAGATGGGGTTTCTACATGTTGGACATGCTGGTCTCGAACTCCTGACCTCAGGTGATCCGCTGGCCTCAGCCTCCCAAAATGCTGGGATTACAAGCGTAAGCCACCGCACCCAGCCAAACCTTTCTATAATTAAGACAATATTGAATCTGTGTATGAAGAGACAGACAAGTGGTATAATACAGAGAGAACGACTATTTACAGTGACTTTAAAACACAATAACTTGACGGTGTATCCTTGGTTGGATATATTCTAAGACAAAAACTTGAAAATAATTATACAGTTTGTGGATTATATTTGTAGATGTCATTGATACGTTATTATTATGAGACTTGTATGTGTATTAAGGGAAGAACAAATAAGGATTTATGAGTATGGTTAAAGGCCAGGATTGCTGACATGAGAGAAACAGGAAATAAAAGTGAAATAAAGGTAAAAATCATATACTCCTGAATTTGAATTGGAAACATCTTTATAAAACCATAACAAATTTTGTATTTCCAAATCCAGATTTCTTAGGTTCGTCCTCTGGATATATATATATATATATAGTTTATATATATATAAACAATTTCCAATGCTATAGTAATTAGCACCTCTAGCACTCAAATTGTAATTTCTAAATATCATTTCATAGTACAAGCAATAAAGACTCCTTGGAGAAATAGAGGATTCTGAGTTCTGGGTAGGAAATTTAAGATAATCTTGGGGCATCTTATCATACAAGAATGTGAGAAAACTCTCAAAGCCTCCACGGCTATATCAAAAAGCCTCAGAAGTCAACTTAAATAAGGAGTTTAATAATTATTGCAATCAATAATTGCGATAGATTGAAATACATCAAACACGTTCTAATCCATGAGCTCATAATAGTTCTTTAAAAATGAAGAAATAAAACTCACTGGTCAACTTTGGAAGATGCTAGGAAATCAACTTAGGAAGATGCTAGGGAATCAACTTATCAGTTTGCAAACTGTTTTATAAAGAGCAATAGACATCTGAATTTTCTAAATGAGCTATAAATCAGTGTAATCAAATTATTTATGAGAAGTTTCATGTTATAGTAGTATTTCAGTTAATAAAAGATTGAAGTAGAATATCGCCATTTTGTAATAACTGCTATAATACCAACAGGGAAACAAAAGACAATGAAATAGTACACAACACAACCTATAAACAATTATTTTGGTTTTCTGTTTCTGTTTTTTTTGTTTTTGTTTTTTGTTTTTTTGAGAAAGGGTTTTGTTCTGTTCACCTGGACTGGAGTGCAGAGTGCAGTGGCGAGATCACAGCCTCGACCTTCTGGGCTCAAATGATTCTCCCATTTCACTCTCCAAAGAAGTAGCTGGGACTAAGGGGGCACGCCATGCTCGTCTAAATTTTTTTTTTTTTTTTTTTTTTAAATACAGGGTTTACCATGTTGCCCAAGCTAGTCTCGAATTCCTGGGCTCAAACAATCTACTGTCCTCGGCCTCCCAAAGTGCTGGGATTATAGGCATGAGCCATGGTGCCTGGCCCAATTCTGGCCAAAAAAAAAAATTGAACCTAAATCTGTTCAAGATTTTAAATTCAACCACCATTTTCAGGAATACATAGGGAACAGAAGTGCATAGCAAATCCTACCCTGAGTATGTGGTCAGCAAAATAGAGACTGTGTTTCAAGAAAAAAGAGGTGAAAGATGAAACTAAAGATTTAAAGAGATTTCAGAAACATAAACCAACTCAAGTGAATGGGCCTTATTTGGACAATAATTCAAAGAAATTAATTATAAAGAAATTTTATATAAAAATTGAAGAAATCTAAACACTGATTGCATGTTTGGGATTGTTAAAAATTATTGATTTTTTAGGTATGAAAATGGTATTATGGTTGTTTGTTTTTCATTATTCCTTATCTTTTAGAAATTTATATTAAATCAATAGGTGAAGTGAAATGATGATGGGCTTCAAAAAATCTGGAGGTAAAGTAGGTAGGCAAGAATATAGATAAAATAAGATTAGTCATGAATTGATAATTTTTGAAGCTGAGTGGTGAATATTTGGGGGTTCATTATATTCTCTTTAATATTGTTTGAAATTTTTCCTAATAAAAGATAAGAGAAAGAAATTCATATTATTCCATTCTTCTGATTTCTTACATCAGGTTCTCCTTTTCCTGTACTAAAAAAAAACTTACCATCACAGTGGTTTCTTTAACCAGAATTTTAACCCCTAAGCTTCATGTTGAACATGCTCATTATGTTCATTCTCTAAATCTTAAAACACAACTTTCTACAAGTAGCTACTTTGCTCTGAACATGTAAGTGGTTCTCCACTTTCCTCAAAATAAACCTTAGTTTACTCTTTATTTGTAGTAAAGTATCTTATTTTCGAAATACTTTAAAATCTGTTTCTATCCAGCTCTCTGAATATTTCTTTTAGTTTTCCTTATGAACTCTAAGGTATGGTCAAAGCACTCTTATTTGTATACTGGTCTACTTGTCCTTAGAAGAGGCCGTAGGAACTTCCTCTTCTGTCTTGTAGTACGTCTGTCTCAGTAGGTATATTTATATTTATCTGAATGTGTTTCTTCCTCAAAGACCAATTCAAGTGTCACCTGCTCCATCAACCTTTTTCTAAAGACACTTCGGTCCACAAACAATTCTCTCTTTAAACTCCAGAATAAATTATTTCCTTACTACTCATTTTATCACATGCTCCTCTACATGACTAGTGTTATTTTAATGCACATATTTTACTTTTTCGATGTCGGGGACTATGCCAGATTTCTATGTACTCAAGAACCTACTGCAGTATCTTACATAATTTTCCAACAAATGTGTGTTGTTGTTGTGGTTGTCATTGCTGCCATTATTGTCGTTGGGGGTGGTGATGTTGATGATGATTGTGGTGGTAATGATAATGATGATAAAGGAAGTTCATTTGACAATAGTTGTCAGGATCCCAAAATTTTTCATTAAGATGACCTTGCCTCTAGATACTTATGGCTAAATTTGAGAGTAGTAACTCACAGAACTAAAACTTCAACTTTCCTATGGTCCTCAGAAGTCTAATTCATGTGTTTCAATAACTTAGTCTTCATAATCAAGATGATTTAAAACATACAAGTAAGCAAATGAAAGACAAAATTTAATTTTCAAAATTCTTCATCGGCTTTCTACTTCTCAGAGGAAAAATTACAAATGTCTTGGTATAGCATCAAAATTTTACAGTCTGCTCTAAAATCCAAAATCAAATTTTATTCTCATTGTTTCCCTTTATGCATACACTACTTCAGTTAAAATCACCTAATTTTAAGTATCTTTGGAATTATTCCTATATTGGCATTAAACTTCCTTAGTTTAGATCTTCCCAGTTTCTTAGATTGTTTCAATCCCTTTTCTAAAGGAGCACCTGGCCTCTAAGTGTATACTTTCCATTTCATGCTTCACCCTTCACTGAAGCCCAATAAGGCTTAACCCTGCTTAAAATTCTTCTTTGACTGTTTTAGATGTAAAGGCTAAATGCTTTAACATAGTGTTCTGGATCCTTTAAATGATCTTATTACTTCAATATCTATTATATGTTTGGGACTTACTACAGAGTGTAAACACTATACACCCAGTCCTATGAGCTATTGTCTAATGAGGGGGAAATGGTTATAAACCAACAGATATAAACATGTGATAAAGAACAAGAGCTATGACACATACACACAAAAAATACATGCCATGAGAAGGAAATTTAAAAAAACATATTTAGATTGAAGATCAGAAGAGGCCTTTCTACTGAAGTAACATTTAAGTTGATTCCTTTATATACAGAAAAAGTTACCTGAGATAAATTTTGAGAAGGCTCTGAAACTACACAGAGCAATGAATTCGCAATATATACCATCTGTGTTTATTAGCTGCCTGATCAAACATTATGTTTTAGAAAAACTGATGATAGGAACTCTTTATGTAAATTATCATGACCCTTTGTATTATACACTACAAATATTTTTCTAGTCTGCTGTGTGTCTTTTATTGTTATCCTTATTTTTCTATCAGAAGTTTAAATTTTTCAACAGTCTTTCATAGGTCTATGGCTTTGTGTTTCCTGCTTTCCCCAACCACAATATTATTATAAATATTCATATATATTTCCTTTCCTACTGTTAGAATTCTCTTTTTTATATTTACTCTTTCATCCATCTGATTCTATGTTTTACATAAGGCATAAGGGAGACCTAACTTGTTTACTATGTGGTTAGCCATTTGTTTAAATCCCCATTTATTGAATAATAATAATTAGCATTTATTATGGTTTACTATGAGCCAAATACTCTGCCAAATGCTTTACATTTATTATTTCTGTTACTTTTCAATGTAAGTGTGATTATACTCCCCAATTTTCAGATAAGGGAATCGAAGGACAGTTTAGTGATTTGTTCAAGGTAATACAGCTATTAAGAATAAGAGCTGAGATTAGAACCAAGAGATATCAAGCCAAGATTTCATTCTCTTCACAATCACATTGTACTGACTTCCAAATCTTTTCCCTTGCTCATAGATTTGAAAGATTTCTTTTATCATAGAATAAATTTATATTGTACAAATATATAACTATATATATACCTACTTGTGTTGTTTCTGGACTTAAACATTCTATATATGTACTTATATGTGCAATAATTTTAAGGTGATTACAGAACTCATGGTTAGTTCTTTTTGCTCCATGTTTCTAGGCTTCTATTAATTGATTCATTCATTTGACTAAATTATCTTTGAATACCAAAATGTGTTTTCTACTTCTACTATTAAAATTGTCTCTCTTCTCTTTCTCTTCTATTTCATTCTCATGTTCTGTCATCTGATGCCCAACTTGATTGTAGAATTCGATCTAATAATATTAAACTTTATATAAAATGATCACATTTTATATAAAATATAAACTTGTATAGTAAAAATATTCCGTATACTATAATAAGAGACCTGTTTCCAATTTCTATCTGCTTTTCTGATATATTACGTAGATATACGATATTGAATACATTGAAAACTTAGAAAAACATTCTCGTACTCTCCCAGTCTCGCTATAAAAAATATTGTTTGCTGCCAGAGTGTGTTACACATAAACCTTAACTATATTTTGGAAGAACATAGTATCTGTTGTCATGGATCATGATCCCTTGAGATATTCTTTAAGAAGGGCATCATCTCAATGTTTCTCTACAGGATTACTGAATTTCCAAAGGCTCCATTTCTCCTTTCTTAGCAGAGCTGTATTAATCAGAATTGCCACCTGCTCTTTGATAGACTCCTTCAAAGAACTTATCTCTCCTTAATATACTTTTATTAGATATGGCTATTAGTGAGTTACTGGGACACATTCCCTGCTCTGTATATTGCAAACTAAGATTGAATTGGGCACTTAAGGAAACTGCATTAACTCTTTCAGGCCACCAGGGTATCATTTAGGGGATCTCTTGTAACATTTTCTTTAAACCAGGTCATTATGATGTCATTTAATCATTTTAGAACACTGAAATAGATATTTATGAGTTAGCTCCCTAGCAGTCTGAAAGAATTAGCATAGGTCTCCAAAGCCTATGACCTGCTCCAAAGTCAAATAGGATGAACTTCCTTCAGTATGCCAGTGATTTCTTCTCTAAGAGAATGTGCAACATTTGACGATGGAAAAGGAATCAGTTGAAATTCCCCTACATAATTCAATGAGGATTATTTGCTGAGAAATTATTCTTGTTCTCTCTTCATTCCATTCCTGTTACCAATGCACAACTGTAGCAGAATTCAGGGCCTATTCGCTGGTTGTCTATTCCTACTAAATGATACTCACCTAAGAAAAATTATGGTTAATTGTAGAATGATGGAGTTGGAGGGTTTCTCTAGAAACCATCTGGTAAAAGTGGAGTTTGTCAGATACAGCCCTTGTGAAACTGTCTCAGACTAATAAGAAATTATCCTGCTTTAAAGGTCTGAATTTTTTTTCACTAATAGGAAAAATATTTATATTGAGATAACATTTGCTTTTATGTAGCTTATGGAACATGGTAGGATTTGGGGATAATATATCACCTTGCTGTTCTCTACTACTAAGTAAAAATCTTTCTGCACAACTAGGTAAAAATCATTTCACTTAATCATGCAAAATCTGTAGATTTGTCAGGATGTAATATTTTTAAGGTACTTTGCACTACCTACAGGAGATGTGTGGGAAACTGACTGTTTATATTGTCAATTTCTGTGATGTCCTAATGAGGTGAATATTCTAGAAACTAAAAAAAAAATACAAGAAAGAAAACGTTTTACCGCATTAGGATAAAATTAGTCTTTTTTTTTTTAAAAAAATCTCCATATTTCCATTTCTATTATCTGCCTATTTTTAACAGATTCAAATTCCCAGATATGCATTTATTTATCAATTCTGTGCAGAATTTTTATATAAGGCAAGGAATGAGATTATACCTTGTGATGTCATGTTGCTGTATTTAACAGATACTTCAAACTGTAGTCACTCTCACATCACTGTTCAGAATTTCCATAAATCCAAAGCAAGATAATGGAACTAAAAGAAAAACAATATTTTAGATTAGGGAAAGCAAGGTATTTCAATTTTTATGGGGAAAGCCAATTTCAGTTTAATTTGCTTTATGTTCATAATTTTCTAGAACATTTTCTTATTAGACTTCTATATATAAAAGCCCAGTACTTACTGTTACATTTCCCATCTTCTTCTGCAAGTAGGATACTGTCCTTTAGGCTTAAAACTCCATTCAAAATGCCATGCTAACTATAAAAACGGGTTTGTTTGCACTTATATACTTAGCTCCTGATTCAGGCCATTGTGTGTTTTACACATCTCATAACCGAGATCTATATTCTGTGTGCTCGTGGCAGTCTTATGTGGGTTTGTCTCTGAGCCAGATTTATCTTCATATTTCCCATTATAGCCTAAAAGAACCGTATTAAGGAAGCCTTTCTTTTCAGTTCCCGCTTGTGATTGCTAACATATCAAATTTATTCCTTCGTAATCCAGATCATTTTCCAGCAGCTTTGAGGCCTGGATGTAGTAGTTTGTTAGAGAGCTCATAGTAACCCTACACTGACAGACCAAAAAGCCCTTCGACTGTCACTTTATGTCATTAACAATTTTCTAAAGCCATTACAGATGGGATGGACTGATTAGAACTGAGGAGGGAGGATCTTTTTCCCAGCCAGAAATATCCCTGGAGACTTTGACGCCGTGTGAAGTTTCTAGTGATTAATGGGAGAAAAATAAGGCCGCCTGTCCCACAGTTGCCATAGCCTTTATTTGGGAAAGAGCTTATTTATATTTGGTGATCTCTCTGGATAACTAAACATTAACTGGCTCACATAAAATATAGACAGAGCGATGGATTTTAGCTGATATAATACATGTTAGGTTTAGGTCCTGAGGTTGGATTTTCTCTCCTTGTTTGAGTATAGCTATTATAATTTAATGTCAGTGCTGTTTCAAGATGAAAGTGTTTATCTTCTCCTGGCCTTTTTCCCTCCACTTCTGCTGTTTTATTTCTGTAAATGAAAGCTACAGCTGGAATATTGTTTTACTGCAAATCTCACACCAGCACTGTCAGTTGTGATGTGACACCAGAGATTCTTATCTGTAGGTTGGGTTGGAATTATTAAACATTCTCACATTGTGCAAAGTGTTGGGGATGAACAGCAGTGCAGTGAGGTGCATCCAACACTTCTGTCTTTCCCACCTGATCCTTGAAATATGACTCTTTTAAAGGGCTAATGTTCACTTTCTATAGCTTTATATAGAAAAGTGACAGTACTCAAGAAGTAACATGAACTGAAAATTATAGTAACTTCCCATCCCTCCATCTTAATGCATGCTTTCAAAAGCAGTCCTAATGGTAAACCTCATTTGAAAAGCAAACAGTTGGCCATTTGTATTTGAGAACAATTAGGTTTTTATGAAGAAAAATTGCTTGTAGCCCAAATATTATAAAATATTTGCGTTTATTTTTTCACTTCTTTTTTCAAATAACCTTTCCCATAGCTGTGAAACCAAAGTAAAGCATTTTATCAAATTAAAGTGAGAACTAAACCTCATGTTTTTATTTTACTGAAATTATTATTAAAACTGTGAAAACATGCATGCTCTTAGATTATTGCAGGTACACAGCATAATTATATATTATTTGCCATCTTGCTAATGCTTAACAAGATATAGAATTTTCATCTTCAAAGCAGTCCATAAATGTTAATCACCGTGACACTTCTGGAAGACTGGAAAGAAATATTACCTACAGCTTAAAGATAAGGAGACTGAAGAAGCGAGATTAAGTGATTTGTCCAGGAGCCCTCATTGGGCTTTGACACTCAAGGGTTCCTGGATTTCAGCCTTAAGAGAACATTAAATCCATTTCTCAGAGCCTTGACTTGAAATACACATTAAGGCTCCTGGATCACTTAAATGCTCTGCTTCAAAGTTACATTTGCACTCTGTAGAGAGATACTTACCAAAGTTGTATAGGAAGAATCAGAGTTGTACAGTGATATTTAGGCTACACAAAATTTCCTGGAAAGCACAAAATTGCTTCCTGTGTTCTTTTTTGATTAAATACAAATGTGTATCCAAAGTACTATAAGAAATAGTTCTGTCTGGTTACGAGTCACAGAGAGCAACTGATTCAGTTTTGCTGCAAGTGATCAAAACTAGGGTTCCAGATGAAATATGGAATGTCCAGTTACATTTGAATATCAGATAAAAAATGGATCTTTTTTAGTATGTCCCAATATTGCAATATCATTGTTTATGTGATATTCAAAGGTAAAGGTATCTTGCATTTTTATTTGCTAAATCTGGCAACCCTAATTGAAACCCAATTTAAACAAGCTTAGACATATGTGGGAATTATTGACTCAGAAAATCTAAGAAAGGTTTAAACAAGTAAAATGCAAAAAGGCAAAAGAAGCCTGTTTAGGGATCATTTAGAAGCCATGACATGAACACCTTCGATATTCTCTCCAGATTGTGCATCAAGGTTTTGACTTTACAGTGTTTTACTACAGACCTACATTAGCAGGAAACATGCTTGCATTTTTGCAAGTTTTATATTTAAAAAATGTGCCTCTGGAGAGACAATGGTCTAATGCTCTCCCTGCTTCATGACTCAAAAATAGTAGGTAAGAGCTGTAATTGGTCCATACCTAGCAATAATCAACTATAGCCAGACCATAGGGTTTATGTAAAAATATAGCACTTTCCACAGAAGTTGTACACCTAGAGTAAAATTGAGAAGCAGAGAAGAGGAATATTTTCTGAAAGAAGGAACAAATTGTTCCCCGATGAAATGGGTATTTTGGCACTTAAATACTAGGCAACACATTTCAAAACAAATTCATTCAAAATATCAGGGCTTTTATTGAAAAAAATACAATGCTATCTTAAACACTACTCAAGGTAGAGGATCCAGGTGTCATACAAGACTTGAATAATCAATACAAAGGCCAGTAGGACACACGCTCTCTAATTCTTGTTTATTTTTTTCTTTCTATTTTAATTCTTTTCCACTTCTGCAGACTTCTGAGCTTGTCTGGTCAAGGTAGTCACAGGTACACAGTAGGACAATGCATTGTTGCTATGAGGCACAGCTCATAGACAGCATGACTAAGAATAGGAGACACTTTAGGGAAAGTTTAGGTAGTAGGGTACAATTTTCTGGGAAAAGGTATTTTTATATTCCAATACTTTAAAAGAGAAGTAGTATTACTACCCGTTTTATTTATTTCAGGCCCCAGGGGAAAGTTGATATTTTAATCCCCTAGTATTTTCTTTCCTAAATTAACTGTACCCTAGAGATAACAAGTCTTAGGGGAAACATGTAACTTAGTCATATTGATCCACAGTACTACACTGATCCATAGATCACTGAAGAATATAATCTGAGTGGTCACATCCTATAAATCTCATTAAGCGAGGGTTCCATAACACACCAACAAAATAATTTATTTAAAGCTAACTGCCTAAAGGTTTATCCTGAAGGTACCATTCTCAGATGCATTTGTCATGTACACCTATAGAATATAATGAACTTGTAGCATGAACAGTTTGTCTCTTTGACTTAATAGTGACAAACATTCAATTTGAAATTTGAAGAGGTAATGGTGGTAGTTACCAGGAAATGAAAAGCTTCAAAGCTTTACATTTTCTTGGCATGATCTCTACAACAGCATCTGTTCTTGTCTCTCTTTTTCTATTTTTATTATTCTTGAGTAATACTAGGAAGTTTCTAGACCAGATGAACTTCCTATGACCTATTTAGTAGACCCAAACAATTAGCAAATGGTTATTCAATCACTCCTATGGGTAGATTTATGTGAGACAAGTAGAATATCATGACATTTTGATTTATTTTATATACCCTTCCATATACAATTTTTCTTACAATGCCTGGCACATAGTCAGTGAGAGGAGATGATGGGTTGAGCAAATCCCTGCTACAGGCTATAGAGACAGTGTGCTGTTATTCTTCATTGTCCCTGGTACAATTCCCCAGGCAGTTTTCACCTCTGGACTCAGATAGGCTGACCCTCCAGACTCTGTTTGCTGGATTATTAAAAGCAATTAATATAAATAGTGGGCAAATCTTAAGAGTGGGTGATCATCTAGGAATATATATAGAATATGAAGAACAAAAATGGAATTCTGAAGTATACCCAAATGTAATGTGTGGAAGAAGAAGGGCCCCTGCAGTAGCCTAAGATTTAATCCTTTAGGTAGAAAAAACTAAGAGAAAATGAGACCAACAGTGAGTCATAGAACTGAAGAGGTAATATCAAGAAGGGAGGGAATAGCCGCTTCAAATGGCACAGGGAGGCTACTGAAAGCATCTATTGAAGTTGTCAAGTTAGAAATCAACAGTGACATTACTGAGAGCAGTTTCAGTGGAGTGGTGGGGAAAAAAGCCAGAACACAGCAAGTTTAAGATAAATAGAAGGTAGAAAAGTTTAGAAAATGAGCATAAACTACCCTTTTTAAAAGCTCAAATGTGGGAAAAACAAGTATAAGCAGTAATTTTGGATACTTTTGTTATGGATCAGAAATTCTATAAGCTGAAGAAAAATTTGATAGTAAAAGTCACCAATGACCGGATTAAGATTTCATACAACTATTTCCAGGGACTCAAAAACTCAACTGTTATTCTTCATTTTTTTTTTGTAAGAACACTACCTTTTCTTAGTCATTTCTAAAGCACCTACCTGAAAGTCAACCCAAACAAAGGGAAGAAAAAGGAAATTGTGTATCTGAACTTTCCCTCCACTTTCCACCAGCCATTAACTGAGATTTAAAATTTTTCCCCATGTTCCCTAAGTAGAAGATAAGTTATCGGTAGTTTGTGTTTAATTCATATGAATTATAATAAAATAATCTGTTATTAACAGGTTCTGTCACTGCTTTCTTAATAGGAATGTTGACGTATATTACCAAAATGAAAGGAAGTTATAGGCAGAAGCTTATGTTATTCTGTTGTTGTTTCAGAACATTTAGCATTCTCCTCTTAGGCTGTTTTGTCCTTCTCTGAAGTAGTCATATTTTCTATAAGCCCACCTCCTCTGAGGTCTCATCCAAAGTGCTTGTGAAGAAGAATTTGATAAATACATTTGTACTTAAAAATGTTGAAGAATGCAGCCTCATCTGTTACCTCTTCCTAGATGGCTGTATATCTGTGACCTAAAGCTAGGAAAGAATTTCAAATTGAAGAATTTTAGTAGTGTAGAGGATGAAGCTTTATTGATTTTACCGCCAGGCAGGGTTCTACCAGAATACCGCAAATAGGAATTTTTCTACCTAAATAAAGCCAAAATTACATGTTATCTTCAATTAAAGGAACATCTATGCTCAGGAAATAGATTTTCTGATGTAAGGCCAAGTTAATTCTTCACTGATATTTTAGAAATATTTCTCAGTGAGATAATTGATAGATTTTCATTTAGACATATGTGACTACACAGGTCAAGATTTCAAAAGAATTTAGGTAGCAGGCTGACCTTTTCATGTTGCCACAATTCCATGGCTTTTGTTCTTATAAACACATGAGGACATTGCAAAGAAAATGGTGGAAACTTATAAATTAAAGGTTCTTCAATATTGATCAGGCTGTAACATCTAATTAACATTTTCAAGGCTTTCATTTCCTTTAGATGAGTGGCAGGCCCTGACTGGCAGCCACAAGACAGCTCATGAACATGATTACAGCAAAGTAATTTGCCTTTGTTAGATACAGACTTTCATTAATAGTGTTCACTTGGCTTAATAAAGTTAAGCACCACTTATCATCTGTTCTTCATTTTGCTCCTTTCCATCATATAGTGTGTTGGCTGTTCTGTTCTTATAGCAGACGTCTGCATAGGTCTTCATTTGTACTCTCCCACTGTGTAGGTACTGTGATTCTCAAGATTCTAGCTATAGAATAGTTACACAAAATGTAGTTTGAATTTTTATAAGCTAGTTTTCATCATCATTACTCAATGTACCAAATATTATACTCTCCAATATCGTTTTCTTTTGACTCATATTTCTATGCATTGAAAAATTCCTCTGTGTTTCAATATGAGTTAAAATAATCACTAGCCAGGCGCAGTGGCTCAAGCCTGTAATCCCAGCACTTTGGGAGGCCGAGGTGGGTGGATCACGAGGTCAGGAGATCGAGACCATCCTGGCTAACAAGGTGAAACCCCATCTCTACTAAAAATACAAAAAATTAGCCGGGCGTGGTGGCGGGCTCCTGTAGTCCCAGCTACTCGGGAGGCTGAGGCAGGAGAATGGCATGAACCCGGGAGGTGGAGCTTATAGTGAATCAAGATTGCACCACTGCACTCCAGCCTGAACGACAGAGCAAGACTCCATCTCAAAAAAAAAAAGCAATAATAATAATAATAATAATAATAATCACTAAAGAAACATATGCCATGTAAGTTAAAACTAACTTTAGTCTTGAGAAATCACATAAAGGATTTATGAAATGTGTAGGCAATGAAGACAATTTCAAATAATGACAAATTTAATTATTATTTAGTCAGTAATGGCAAAATTTGTAATTTAGAAAGTTTATTTATTAATGAAAAGTTTGCTATTCTATTATTCTGTAATTAAACTATCTTGATTGATCGTCTTCAGATTGGGATCTTCAAAAGAATAGAGTAAGATTTAGATTATCCTTTCAATTTTTCCAAGCATCATTTTCCTCTAACATTATCCTCCTGCAACAGCAAATCAGTACATTCTTTAAGATAATTAGAAACTATAGTAATTTCTTTTTTATTTTCTATATATATTCTGCTTATGTATATAGTGATTTATTTTTAAGTTGGAATTGAACATAGAATCTTAAGACATTTTTATGATTGATTTAAGTAATAATGAAATATATTTGGAAAAATAATTATTACATGAGGTATTACTTACAGAGTATTAGTATGAGGCCCATTAAATTTCTACCATTTAAAAAAATTTAACATTATAAAAAGTTTATGCTGACCAAAATAATCCAGAGTACCTACTATTTGATTCCATGTATATAAAATTTTATAGCAGATAAAACTATAATAACAGAAATCAGATCACTGGTTGTCTGGGATTGGATATGAGTGTATGGAGAGGAATTGACCACAGTGGATCAGAGGGGAATTCTCTAGGATGACTGAAATTTCCTATATCTTTATTATAATGGTAACACAGATATACACCTTTATCAAAACTCCTCAAATTGTATACTTAAAATTTTATTACATGCAAACTATACTTCAATGAAGTTTATTTAAGCAGTGAAAAAAAAATTCTTCATATCCCTCTTCAACCTGTCTTCTCTCTCGGGAAGACAGATTGTTGAAACATCAAAGTAAGGTCTCCCAGGAATGCTTACACTTCTGAAACTCCATCTTCTCTCTTAAATCTTGGGCTCTCGTGTTTTTTGTGTAAGCCAGATATACATCAGGAATGAAGAGATATGTGACTGTGGAAATCCAGATCAAGAGCCAAACTAATGGATACATAAGTTGGGTGGCATAAATATTTGAGAAGACACATAAGCACTTGAAATTACACAGGCTTTTCATGACAGGAAAACCTAATTTCTTCAACTTCATGATTAAACAACAAAAATATTCCTTATTCACTTCAAAATGCATTCCAGACTTAAGAATCACAATCAGAAATAAAAGCAAGGCCTTTTTCTTTCAAGTGTGGCCTACAGGGAAAATTTTCAGGAGCTACTGAATGAAGGAAGATGCACAGAGTTAATGGAATTTTGAACAATGGAGAAGAGATGAACTTACCTACTAAAATGGGAATTTAAAATGACCCATGCTTGCAAGGCAGTGAATTTTTAAATGTACGTTTACTCATTTACTGTGTTACAAAGGAAATTTTGCTATTGCATCTTGAGTTTACTCTAGGGTAATTTTGATAAATTATCAGTGGACACTTCTATAATATTAAAAAATGACTTTACAAAAGTAGTTTGCACAATGTGTAAAATGATAATATACCCAGTGAAGATTTAGAAGTTTTCATTATTTTTCAGACCTAAGGTGTGGCTTATGTTGAGTATGGATAATTTTACTGCCCTATTATGGGATATGTAATATGGCTTTAGATTTCAGAAGCAAGAGTAACCACTTTCAAGTTTCACTCTCATTTTGGAGAAACAAAGAGAAAGTGTATTGAAAGTATCCTTAGGTATACAACTGCACATAATTCTAAACAATAGGAAATATACTGGGGGGAGTGGCCATGGCAGAATGAAGGAATGACATTTAGCATCATAGTAACTATTTACTTATATCACTGGTCTTGGTAAGAAGGGTCCCAGGATATTTTTGGCGAGGGAAATATTCTTAATCTCTGCCACTGACTTAAGAAGGGGTAAGCCCTAAATGGTGCATGTCTCTAGGATCAGGCAGGGCCTTTGGTGGTGTGCCTATAATTAGGAATATATCTATATTCACATCTTTATCTAGGTTAGAAATATGACTACACAAGAGATCTTTCTTAATGCCCAGGCTACTATTTACCCAGGATACTGTTTAAATATCAAATCTTTTTTACTTTTATAAACTTCGTTTTCAAAACTGGGAACAATTGGTGCTGCCATTTGCCCTTTGATCCCAAACTTCTCCAAATTCCTTTCAAAGTCCTAGACTCTCTTTCAATCTAAAGTGATTTCATTCTTCCAAACTTTCGGAAGAATTTTTCTAGTATTTTATAGTATTATTTTACATATCCAATTTAGAGAATATCCATTGCAAAATACAACATTTTGGAAAGTGGTGAGTTAAAAATATGTTATTTTCCTTCCATTCAGGTGTTTCTGTTTTATTCAAATTTTTATTTTGAAAATTCATCTGTCTCTAATGGATAATCAATAATTTTGTATTGACTGAACAGAATAAAAGCCATATTAGGCAAAAACCTACCAAACAAAACACTACTTTGATGCCTCTGTTTGCCATCTTCCTAGACAATGTACTAAAATGAACATACAGGGTCTACTACAATGCGTCTCTTGTGGGATTTCATACCAGTCCCAAGGTGCTCTGAGGCCATTATTTGCACATACCGAATGAGCATCTATTTATATAGGTGGCTACAGAAACACCACTCTCCAGGCATTTGGTAAACCATATCTAATACATTTATTTTTCATATGTTTATTCTTAAGGCTGGAGGAAGAAGTTGGCCATCAGGGTTATCTATTGTCCCTGTTTGCAGATGACATGATTGCATATCTAGAAAACCCCATCGTCTCAGCCCAAAATCTCCTTAAGCTGATAAGCAACTTCAGCAAAGTCTCAAGATACAGAATCAATGTGCAAAAATCACAGGCATTCTTATATGCCAAAAACAGACAAAAAGAGAGCCAAATCATGAGTGAACTCCCATTCGCAATTGCTTCAAAGAGAATAAAATACCTAGGAATCCAACTTACAAAGGATGTGAAGGACCTCTTCAAGGAGAACTACAAACCACTGCTCAACAAAATAAAAGAGGATACAAACAAAAAGGAAGAACATTCCATGCTCATGGATAGGAAGAATCAATGTGAAAATGGCCATACTGTCCAAGGTAATTTATAGATTCAATGCCGTCTCCATCAAGCTACCAATGACTTTCTTCACAGAACTGGAAAAAGACTACTTTAAAGTTCATATGGAACCAAAAAAGAGCCCGCATTGCCAAGTCAATCCTAAGCCAAAAGAACAAAGCTGGGGGCATCACGCTTCCTGACTTCAAACTATACTACAAGGCTACAGTAACCAAAACAGCATGGTACTGGTACCAAAACAGAGATATAGACCAATGAAACAGAACAGAGCCCTCAGAAATAAAACCACACATCTACAAATACCTGATCTTTGACAAACCTGACAAAAACAAGAAATGGGGAAAGGATTCCCTATTTAACAAATGGTGCTGGGCAAACTGGCTAGCCATATGTAGAAAGCTGAAACTGGATCCCTTCCTTACACCTTATACAAAATTAATTCAAGATGGATTAAAGACTTAAATGTTAGACCTAAAACCATAAAAACCCTAGAAGAAAACCTAGGCAATACCATTCAGGACGTGGGCATGGGCAAGGACTTCATGTCTAAAACAACAAAAACAATGGCAACAAAAGCCAAAATTGACAAATGGGATCTAATTAAACTAAAGAGTTTCTGCACAGCAAAAGAAACTACCATCAGAGCTATAAATTTTCCTCTACGCACTGCTTTGAATGTGTCCCAGAGATTCTGGTATGTTGTGTCTTTGTTCTTGTTGGTTTCAAAGAACATCTTTATTTCTGCCTTCTTTTTGTTATGTACCCAGTAGTCATTCAGGAGCAGGTTGTTCAGTTTCCATGTAGTTGAACGGTTTTGAGTGAGTTTCTTAATCCTGAGTTCTAGTTTGATTGCACTGTGGTCTGAGAGACAGTTTGCTATAATTTCTGTTCTTCTACATTTGCTGAGGAGTGCTTTACTTCCAACTATGTGGTCAATTTTGGAATAAGTGCAGTGTGGTGCTGAGAAGAAAGTATATTCTGTTGACTTGGGGTGGAGAGTTCTGTACATGTCTATTAGGTCTGCTTGGTGCAGCACACCAACATGGCACATGTATACATATGTAACTAACCTGCACGTTGTGCACATGTACCCTAAAACTTAAAGTATAATAATAATAAAAAAGAAACTACCATCAGAGTGAACAGGCAACCTACAGAATGGGAGAAAATTTTTGCAATCTATTTATCTGACAAATGGCTAATATCCAGAATATACAAAGAACTCAAACAAATTTACAAGAAAAAAACAAACAACTCCATCAACAAATGGGAGAAGGATATGAACAGACACTTCTCAAAAGAAGGGAGCCAACAGACACATGTAAAAATGCTCATCATCACTGGCCATCAGAGAAATGCAAATCAAAACCACAATGAGATACCATCTCACACCAGTTAGAATGGTGATCATTAAAAAGTCAGGAAACAACAGGTGCTGGAGAGGATGTGGAGAAATAGGAACACTTTTACACTGTTGGTGGGACAAAAACTGGTTCAACCACTGTGGAAGACAGTGTGGTGATTCCTCAGGGATCTAGAACTAGAAATACCATTTGACCCAGCCATCCCATTACTGGGTATATACCCAGAGGATTATAAATTATGCTACTATAAAGACACATGCACATGTATGTTTATTGTGGCACTATTCACAATAGCAAAGACCTGGAACCAACCCAGATGTCCAATAATGATAGACTGGATTAAGAAAATGTGGCACCTATACCCCATGGAATACTATGCAGCCATAAAAAATGATGAGTTCATGTCCTTTGTAGGGACATGGATGAAGCTGGAAACCATCATTCTCAGCAAACTATCGCAAGAACAAAAAACCAAACACCGCATGTTCTCACTCATAGCTGGGAATTGAACAATGAGAACACTTGGACACGGGAAGAGGGACATCACACACCAGGGCCTGTTGTGGGGTTGGGGGAGGGGGAGGGATAGCATTAGCAGATATACCTAATGTAAATGACGAGTTACTGGGTGCAGCACACCAACATGGCACATGTATACATATGTAACTAACCTGCACGTTGTGCACATGTACCCTAGAACTTTAAGTATAATAATAATAAAAAACGCTCTTTCAAAAGAAAAAAAAAGAAATCACAAATAGAAACTGGGCTTCCCTTTAGATGAGGTAGCAGGTCTTAGCTACAAGATTAGAAATGCCATGGTATTACAGCCTAAAATATCAAAGAAAGTGTTTTCTCTATTAGACTTAATTAATAGGGTATTACCATTTCTCAGTATTTTGTCTATTCTTAATAACTGGCAAAACATCCGGTCTCTCACTAGTACATTTGGGCAACAAAATGCGGCCTTTTATACACATTAGCCAGCTACAGTTATACTCAGGGACCTGTAATATAAATAAGATGTATATCTTAAAGCTATTCACTGCAAGGAGGATGATAGTACTAAAATGTGTCAGGATTCATTTTACCCATTGGTAAAATGAAAATAAAAATTGTATTTATCTAAAAGGGTAATTAAGGGATCAAATTAGGTAATAGAGGTAAAATGTTTAATATGCCTTGTGCAAAGCAAGATTTCAATAGATTTTAATTATTAATACGTGTTATTTCTCTTTAGCTACTAGTAGTTGAATGAAGAAAATTCAACTATATTTATGGAATAGTCATTTATGCGATACTCATTATTCTGAAGAACACCTTCTGTAATGACCCAAAACCAGTTCAGAAAACCACAACACTTCTGAATTCAATCTGGAGGTAAGTAATAGTTTCCTTTTCATACATACCAAAAATATCAATAGTAAGAAACCATTCTTCCCAATCCTATTTTATACCAATGTACGTCTGCTAATTCCTCTGCTTAACAGAAGATCCCCTTAAGTCATTATAGCAAGTCCATCTGTGCTTCAGTTCAGCACAATAAATATCTACTGAGTGCTTAATATGTTCAAAGCATGAATAACATACAACTCTTCTCTTCAACAAATTTATGATCTGTATTAAATTTATAATATTAACATAGACATTTAGTCAAAGTAAGTCAGCAAACTTTGAACTGCCTGCCTCCATACATTACAACCAACATTTAGGTTTAGAATAAATTTACTTGTTGCTAACCTTAACAGAAATATAGCCCTTTTTAATTCAAATACTGCTTGTCCTTATTACTATATTTACAGATGAAGGAGGCAAAACAATGAGAGTCAAGTGAGTTGCTCCATTATTAATAAAACAAAAAGTAGAATTCACTGTTTCCTTTTATATACCAAGAGCTCCAGAGACAGTAAATTGTGGACAATTTAAATTAAAAGAAAGTGTTAAAATTTGTTGGAGTAATTTTGATATGGGTATTCCATTAGTGAAGAATGCCCAGAAGCAATTTTAGTTATGTGTACTCATTGTTTTATTCTAAGAATGGTATAGTTTGCCTCAAACAATGATTAAAAAATAGAAATAGTACCCATCAATGGATATATTTTCTTTTTGAATTTACTGACAAAAATGGTACAGATGGCACCCCAAATAGGAGACTGGCATGGACCCGTATCTTCTCTGTGAAAATGACTAATGTATCACTACGTTTCTGCCAGAACTACATGAAGAGCCTGCCAAAAATGATCATATCATTATCAGCTAGTGTTCCCAATTGTGCACTGTTTGTGTCATATATGGCTCCTCTGAAATGCAGAACTCCTACCTAAAGAAACCCTCCTAACATTATAAAACATGAACTTTTGCATGCTTTAAAAATGTTTTAAGGAAACTGTATTTATTCTACAGTAAACAGACATATTTTCCTTGTGTCAGTAAAAAAAAAAAAAAAAAAAGCGCAAAAAAAATTGAAGATTCAAATGTCAAAGCTTATATTTGTAAACCCAAAATAAAATACAAAGAAAATTTGGTCTAGATGTCTATATAAACCAACAAGCTTTGGTCTCTCACCTATTATAGATTTTGAACTGATAGCCATATACCAAACATCTAGCATTAGCCATTTGGTCATATGGAGTCATTGATTTCTCTCAATTTGTGAGGCTTGAATAAAGATTCATTGAATGATGCAATGTGCCTAATTACAATATACTATATGACCTTAAAATAAAAATGAATGTCAAATAAGAGGTTAGTTTAGTTATATATTACAAAGTATGCATTTATTTAGCTTCTCATTAGTTCCACCTTAGGCCAAAAAGTTAGCAGATTTTAAAATTTTAAATATATATATATATGTGTATATATATACACATATAATCAAACAAGGAACTGAATAGTGATATGCATACATTTATACACACACATATACACATATCCTTTTATACTACCAATTATAAAATATAACATATTTCCTACAAAACTAAATGTATTTCTCAATTATAATATATAAGGTAAAAAATATGGCCTCAGTGTAAAAAACTTCTAAAACAGTATTACTTATAAGGCTTTACTAAGTGTCATTGCTGCAAAATTTCTTCATCCTTACTATACTTTTAAATTTGAGACTCCACCCCACTTTATGTGAATCAAGATCTCTAGGGGTGGAGCCAGGGAGCGTGGATCACTGGCCTTCAGGATGAAGGCCAAGCCCTTCAGTATAGCCTATCATTCTTTCATAACATAGTAATATCCTACTTTTTCAGCCTCTCTCCTAATTTCCCCACACTGTGACAATATTCTAAATCGTAACTACAGTTGGCTGTGTACCACTCCTTTCATAGGTATGTGCCTTCATCCTGGCCTGCTGTACTTGGCCAACACTCTCCCTTTGACTGGAATACCCTTGCTTCCTCCCAGTCCTAACTTTCTGGTGGACTGTGAGTAACAGCTCCAAACTCAGCTGAAGGGAATTATTATGAGGAAAAGTATTCCTGAAACCCAGAGCAATGTTTTCTGATCTGCCTCTCCTCATAAAGCCATGAGCTCCTTAAAAAACATCAACTGACATCCTTATATACCCAGTGCTCAGGGCAGTCTCTTAAATATAGTACCAATTCCAGAAATATTTATTGAATTTAATTAAACTAAAAAGGAAGATGACCAGGTTTTCAACCTGTAGCTTAGCTAAAAAAATATTTTGTAAGTCTTTTCTCCTAAATGAATATGAAATAATGGAATTTAATATCCAGTCAGGAGCTATCTTCTTTCCCAACTACTCATTTTCCAACACTAGTTACTACAGTCAACTTCAAATTTCAGATTCTATCCTTGATACTTGATTTTTAATCTAACCCAAAGCCCATTACGACTTCTAGACCGAGGGAAAAAACTGGTTAGGTAGATATGACAGGATCTGCTGCCTTTTTTTCTGTTCTTCATGGATTTCCTAGTGCCTATGCAACTAGATGTTTGAATCACCATTTGTTTAGTTTTCAGAATTCTTTCTGATTCTGATCTGCTGCTTTACTTTCAAATTTGATAATTTATTATGGGTCTCTGAGTTGTTAATAATAAGTATGGTGGCTGCTGTATTTTAGTCCCTAATACTAACATTCTGCAGTTTGCATAGTTTAACTTTTTATCATTATTTCCTAACCTAATGCTCATAGACCGACATATCTATTTCAAAATATTCATTAAGTATTTTAGAATTATTTATAGTAAAGACATGCAAAAAAGCAAACAAAGTATTTTTGTATTGATCATAACAGAGCATGAATATTTTCTTCAGTCTTACTCATATAAAGGCAAATACAAGATCATTCAGTTAGAAAGATTTTTCACTTTAACACTATTTCTCTACCAGAAATTGAGCTGTAGGTCACCTTTATATGTAAAATATTTCGAGAAAAATGATGGTTAGATAGAAGAAAAACGTAGTTTGAAAATTAGTCTTATAGGGTGTGGGAAGTTTGAATAGATGAAATATAGGGAAATTTTAGGGTAAGAAAATATTCTGTATGATGCCTTCATGGGGAATATATGAGATTGTGCATGTGTCAAAATCCATAGAACTTTATGATATGAAGAGTGAACATTAATATATGCAATTTTTTTTTATTTTAAGAAGTCATCTTTTAAATTTAAGAAGTCAAGATTACAGGATGGAATGCAGAATGTGATCATAAATTATCTAACCACATTACAAATGTAAAACAACCTCACTTGAAGGAGGTGAGGGAAAGATGCTGACCTACGTAACTAAAAATGATGGAGTCTGAAGGCTAAAGGCAAAAGGAATTGTGCATAAATATTATACCCTAGAGTATAACATTTTTCCCATGGGGATAACGGTTAACAATTCTGAAACCACA
Source organism: Homo sapiens (assembly GCF_000001405.40). Lineage (NCBI taxonomy): Eukaryota > Metazoa > Chordata > Mammalia > Primates > Hominidae > Homo > Homo sapiens. The sequence continues at coordinate 29,290,549 of NC_000014.9, forward strand.
ATAGATGTATACTGGAATTGAACAATTAAATAAATGGGTGGTGGAAGGTGGGAGCCAGATTTCTCACTGTTGGAGTGGGAGGTTATAGACAAGCAAGAGGAGACATGAATAATTCATGCAGTCATGGCTTAGAGTTGAAGACATCAGTTCGAACTTAATATAAATTCAGATGGGAGAGAAAGAGAGAGAGAGAGAGAGAACTATGCAAAGATATATGTATATGTACACAGTTTTTTTCATTTTTACTTTATCAGCTGAAAGGGCCTAAAAACAATGAGTTTAACTAGTAGCAAGATCTTGATTTCTCCCACCATTCTCCAAAAACAAGAACCAGGGTTCCTTGGAAAAATGACAGATCCTTGGACTAGGCAGGAAATATACATAAGGCTAGAATATATTGCACTGCCAGCAAGTAAAGACATGTAAAACAAGCAAACAAACAAACCTTAATGATGGGAGTATGTCAAAGGGATATAGGGGGCACTTGAAAGATTTCCCAATGGCCAAAACTTGTACAACTTGAACAAAAAAATAAAGTAAATAAAATAGTATTGGGTTATAGCACAAATTATAAAATAAATATCCATAAGTCCATACTGATATAGATAAATTATTGAGTAAATAAATGAGAGATAATAGACAAATCTCCCATGCACAAGAGTTTTAAATAATTTATGTAGATATTTCATTCTCAAGTAGGTGGTAGATAATTTTCCACTTCTTAAGTGTGGGCTGCTCATAGTGACTCTCTTACAAAGAATATAGAACAAACAGGGGGGATTAAAAAAAAAAGACTGAGATGGAGTGGAGAAATCTCACCAACACTACCTCATCCAGTTGATCAAGGCCAATATCATCAACAGTGATAAATCATGTTGATAATATGTACGCTTGCTGTAATATGATGAAAGTGTTGTTTACCTTCGTATGGTTTCCCTCCTAAAATCTCATAATCCCAGTTTAATCGTGATGAAATAATCAGACAAATTCTGTCTGAGGGATATTCTGCAAAATACCTGATGAGCACTCCTCAAATTATCAAGCTCTTAAAAAGAAAAAAGTCTGAGAAACAGTCATAGTCAAGATGAGCGTAAGGAAACATGACAACTAAATCTTGGAAAGGATTTACATTTTACCTAACATTTTTTTTCTTTTCCAAGATTTTCCAAGATTCTTACAAGTCAATCAAATTTGGTCAAAAAAAATTTGGTCAAAATCATTCAACAAGTGTTTGGGAGGTTCCAAACATTCCCACATCTTCCTCCCTTCTTCTGAGCCTGCCTGTTACCCAGTTCATAAGTCACTTCCACATTTTCAAGCATCTTTAGAGCAGTACCACCCCACTACTTTGGTACAAATTAACTGTATTAGTCCATCCTCACACTGCTATAAAGAGTTGCCCAAGACTGAGTAATTTATAAAGAAAGAGGTTTAATTGACTCACAGTTCCTCATGTCTGAGGAGCCCTCAGGAAACTTACAATCATGATGGAAGGGGAAGAGGTACATCTTACATGGTGGCAGGCAAGAGAGAGCAAGTTTGTGAAAGATAAACTGTCAGACACTTATAAAACCATCAGATCTTGTGAGAACTCACTTCCTGTTATGAAAAGAGCATGGAGGACACTGTCTCCATGATCCAATCACCTCCCACCAGACCTCTCCATTGACACATGGGGATTATGAGGATTATAAGTCAAGATGAGATTGGGGTGAGGACACAAAGCCTTTACAATATCAGCGTGCTTTATCCCTTTATAGCCACTGTAGTCTTTTACACAGCAGTATTTTAAAGTATGTGCTTGGTTTAAATGGATACCAGGTCTTATATACTGGAAATCAAAATCTTCATATGATTGAGCTAAAAGAGACCCTAGAGGGCATGAGACTAAAAACAACTGGAAACTTTTCTTTCTAATTCATAAGTCATCCTACAGTCTAACCTGATAAGAAGCTTTACTGTTCTCTAATCACTCTATTGGGTATGTATGCTGGTAAACAATAACATCCTTTGAGATTAATTTAATGAACTGAGTTTACTAAAATAAAAAATAAAAATCTTTTGCAATTGGATATCTTGGACTGGGAATCCTATGGTTATTTCCCAATTGCTCCTGGGGCTTCATTTCTCAATTGTGTGCATTCATATCCATCAGCTTCCACGGCACTATGACAGTTCACACTCTTGTTGGAGTCCTAACTTGTCTAGCTAAACAAGGATTTCTAGCCAATGTTCAAATAGTAAACTTTTCCATTGAGCTCTGATCTATTAAATTACCCCCTCCATTAGTTTTGTACTCAATAACAACACTTTCAAGCTCAATCTAGAAGTCAATTCACCTCAAGATCACTTCTTAAACTTTTATTTTACATTTGATTTAGATTTACAGAAAAGTTTCAAAGCTAGTACAGATTGCCCATATACCCCACACCCAGTTTATTATTTGCATCTTATATTCATATGGCATTTGGCACAATTAATAAACCAATATTGATAAGATGTACTTCTTCCCCTTCCACCATGATTGTAAGTTTCCTGAGGGCTCCTCAGACATGAGGAACTGTGAGTCAATTAAACCTCTTTCTTTATAAATTACTCAGTCTTGGGCAACCCTTTATAGCAGTGTGAGGATGGACTAATACAGTTAATTGGTACCAAAGTAGTGGGGTGGTACTGCTCTAAAGATGCTTGAAAATGTGGAAGTGACTTATGAACTGGGTAACAGGCAGGCTCAGAAGAAGGGAGGAAGATGTGGGAATGTTTGGAACTTCCCAAACACTTGTTGAATGATTTTGACCAAAATGCTGGTAATGATATGGACAATGAAGTCCAGGCTGTGGTGGTCTCTGATAGAGATGAGGAACTTACTGAGAACTGGAGGAAAGGTTGCTCTTGCTATGCTTTAGCAAAGAGACTGGCAGTATTTTGCCCTGCCCTAGAGATCTGGGGAACTTTGAACTTAACAGAGATGATTTAGAGTGTCTGGCAGAAGAAATTTCTAAGCAGCAAAGTATTCAAGATGTAACCTGGTTGATTTTGAAACCATTCAGTATTATACATTTACACAGAGATGGCTTAAAATTGGAAATTATGTTTAAAAGGGAAGCAGAGTGTAAAAGATTGGAAAATCTGCAGCCTGACTTTATAAGTCAGAGTTCTCTAAAGGAACAGAACTAATTGGATAGATGAATATACAAAGGGGAGTTTACTAGGAGAACTGTCTCACATGATCACAAGATGAAGTCCAACAATAGGCCACCTGCAAGCTGAGGAGCCAGGAAGCCATTCCAATTCCCAAAACCTCAAAACTAGGGAAGCTGATAGTGCAGCCTTCAGTATGTGGTCAACAGGCCAAGAGCTGCTGACAAACCACTGTTGTATGTCCAAGAGTCAAAAAGCTGAGGAACATGGAGTCTGATGTTTGAGGGCAGGAAGCATCCAGCACAGGAGAAAGATGGAGGTCAGAAGCCTCAGTCTGTCTACTCCTTCCAAATTCTTCTGCCTACTTTAATTCTCGTCCCACTGGCAGCTGATAAAATGTGCCAACCCAGATTGAGGGTGGGTCTGCCTCTCCTAGTCCACTGACTCAAGTGTTAATCTCCTTTAGCAATTCTCACAGACACACCCAGCGATAATACTTTGCATCCTTCAATCCAATCAAGTTGACACGTAGTATTAACCATCACACTGACCATGTAATAGAAAAGAAAAACCCATTTTCTGGGGAGAAATTCAAGCCAGCTTCAGAAATTTGCATGAGTAATGAGGAGCACAATGTTAATAGCCAAGAAGATGAGGAAAATATCTCCAGGGCATGTCAGAGACCTTCCTGGTAGTCCCTTCCCATCACAGCCCAAGAGGCCTAGGAGGAAAAAATGATTTTGTGGAACAGGACAAGGGCCTCACTGCTGCTCTATGCAGCCTTGGGACTTGGCAGCCTCCATCTCAGCCATGGCTAAAAGGGGCCAATGTACAGCTCAAGTCATTGCTTCAGAGGGTGCAAGCCCCAACTTTTGGTGACTTCCACATGGTGTTGGGACTCTGGGTGCACATAAGTCAAGAATTGAGGTTTGAGAACTTCCGCCTAGATTTCAGAGGAGGTATGGAATTGCCTGGATGTCCAGCCAGAAGTTTGCTGCCGTGGTGGAGCCCTCATGGAGGACCTCTGCTAGGGCAGTGCAGAAGGAAAATGTGGGGTTGGAGTCCCCACCCTGAGTCGCCACTGGGGTACTGCCTAGTGGAACTGCAAGAAGGAGGCCACCACCCTCCAGACTCCAGAATGGTAGATCCACCAACACCTTGCCCTATGCACCTGGAAAAGCCACAGACACTCAACTCTAGCCAATGAAAGAAGCCAGGGAACAGGGGATTGAGGGGAGGCTGTACCCTGCAAAGCCACAGGATTGGAGCTTCCCAAGATTGTGGGAGCCCACCTCTTGCATCAGCATGCCCCAAATGTGAGACATGGTGTCAAAGGAAATCATTTCAGAGCTCTAAGATTTAGTTACTGCCCCGTTGGATTTCAGACTTTCATGGGACCTGTAGGCTCTTTGTTTTGGCTAATTCCTCTCATTTGCAATGGGATCGTTTATCCATTGCCTATACCCCAACTGTATCTTGAAAGCAACTAACTTGCTTTTGATTTTACAAGCTCCTAGGCAGAAGGGACTTGTCTTGCCTGAAATGAAACTTTGGACTTGGACTTTTGAGCTAATGTTGAAATGAGTGAACCCTTTGGGGGACTGATGGGAAGGCATGATTGGTTTTGACAAGTGAGGACATAAGATTTGGGGGGTGCCAGAAATGGAATGATATAGTTAGGCTTTGTGTCCTCACCCAAATCTCTTCTTGAATTGTAATCCCCACAATCCCCACATGTCAAAGGGTAGACCTGGTGGGAGGTGATTAGATCATTGGAGTGGTGTCTCCCATGCTGTTCTCATGATAGTGAGTTCTCATGAGATCTGATGGTTTTATAAGTGTCTGAAAGTTCCTCCTTCAGACATTCACTTTCTCTCACCTGCCACCATGTAAAAGGTACCTGTTCCCCTTCTGCCACTATTGAACGTTTCCTGAAACCTCCCCAGCTATTTGGAACTGTGAGTCAATTAAACCTCTTTTCTTTATAAATAACCCAGTCTTGGGCAGTTTTTTATAGCAGTGTGAGAACAGACTAATACACTAATACACATGCCCTTTCAAATATCATACTAGAGTGTTACCAGTAGAATCTTCCAACTCAGCTTCAGTCATGAAGTTCTTTGAGTATTAGGCGATTTATTTATTTTATTGCTGGGCATATAGCTTAGATGTATTATATCTGTATTAATCTGTTCTCATGCTGCTAATAAAGACCTACCTAAGACTGGGTAATTTATTTTAAAAAAGAGATTTAATTGATCCACAGTTACACATGGCTGGGGAGGCCTCACAATCATGGTGGAAGGCGAAGGGGAAGCAAGACACGTCTTACACAGCATCAGGCAAGACGGTGTGTGCAGATCTCGTGGGACTCATTCACTATCACGAGAACAGCAGAGGAAAGATCTTGCCAAATGATTCAAATTCTCCCCACTTGGCCCCTCTAATGACACTTGGGGATTATTACAACTCAAGATGAGATTTGGGTGGGTGACACAGCCAAACCTTACCACTCTGCCACTGGCCCATACTAAATCTCATGTGCTCACATTTCAAAACCAATCATGCCTTTCCAACAGTCCCTCAAAGTGTTAACTCATTTCAGCATTAACTCAAAAGTCCACAGTCCAAAGTCTCATCAGAGACAAGGCAAATCCCTTCCACCTATGATCCTGTAAAATCAAAAGCAAATTAGTTACTTCCAAGATACAATGGGGGTACACGCATTGGGTAAATACACCCATTCCAAATGGGATAAATTGGCCAAAATGAAGGAGCTACAGGTCCCATGCAAGTCTGAAATTCAGTGGTCAGTTAAATCTTAAAGGTCCGAAATGATCTCCTTTGACTCCATGTCTCACATTTGGGGCATGCTGATGCAAGAGGTGTTTTCCCATAGTCTTGGACAGCTCTAGCTCTGTGGTATTGAAGGGTACAGCCCCCTCCTGGTTGCTCCATGCAAGTTTGAAATCCAGCAGGGCAGTAATTAAATCTTAAAGCTCCAAAATGATCTCCTTTGGCTCCATGTCTCACATTCAGGGCATCCTATGCAATAGATGGGATCCCACAGTCTTGGGAAGCTCCATCCCTGTGGCTCTGCAGGCTATAGCCACCTCTCCAGCTCCCTACTACCAGCTGCTTTCATAAGCTGGCATTGAATGTTTGCAGCTTTTCCAGGCACACAGTACAAGCTGCAGGTGGGTCTACCATTCTGGAGTCTGGAAGATAGTGGCCCTCTTCTCACAGCTCCACTAGGCAGTGACCCAGTGGAGATTCTGCATGGGGACTCACGCCCCATATTTCCCTTCTGCACTGCCCTAGCAGAGGTTCTCCATGAGGGCCCCGCCCTGCAGCAAACTTTTGCCTGAGCATCCAAGCATTTTCATACATCTTCTGAAATCTAGGCGGAGGTTCCCAAACCTCAATTCTCGACTTCCATGCACCCACATACTCAACATCACAAGGTAGCTGCCAAGGTTGGGGGCTTCCACCTTCTGAAGCAATAGCCTGAGCTGTACATTGGCCCCTTTCAGCCAGGGCTGAAGTGGCTGGGACACAGGGCACCAAGTCCCTAGGCTGCACATAGCATGGGGACCCTGGGCCCAGCCTATGAAACCATTTATTTTCTCCTGGGCCTCTGGGCCTGTGATAGGAGGGGCTGCAGGGTAGTTCTATGATATTGCCTGGAGACATTTTCCCCTTGGTCTTGGGGATTAAAATTAGGCTCTTTGCTACTTACACAAATTTCTGCAGCCAGCTTGAATTTCTCCCCATAAAATGGGATTTTCTTTTCTATTGCATTGTCAGGCTGCAAATTTTCCAAACTTTTATGCTCTGCTTCCCTTATAAAACTGAATGCTTTTAAGGGCACCCAAGTTCCCTCTTGAATGCTTTGCTGCTTAGAAATTTCTTTTGCTAGATACCCTATATCATCTCCCTCAAGTTCAAAGTTCCACAAATCTCTAGGGCAGGGGCAAAATGACACCAGTTTCTTTGCTAAAACATAGCAAGAGTAACCTTTACTCCAATTCCCAACAAGTTCCTCATCTCCATTTGAGACCACCTCAGCCTGAATTTCATTGTCCATATCACTATCAGCATTTCGGGCAAAGCCATTCAACAAGTCTCTAGGAAGTTTCAAACTTTCCCACATTTTCCTGTCTTCTTCTGAGCCCTTCAAACTGTTCCAGGCTCTACCTGTTACCCATTTCCAAAGTCACTTCCACATTTTTGGGTAACTTTTCATCAATGCCCCACTCTACTGGTACCAACTTCCTGTATTAGTCTGTACTCATGCTTCTATTAAAAACACACTCAAGACTGGGTAATTTATAAAGAAAAGAAGTTTAATTGACTCACTGTTCCACATGGCTGGGGAGCCCTCACAGTCATGGTGAAAATGAAGGGGAAGCAAGATACGTCTTACGCGGCAGCAGGCAAGAGGGTAAGTGCAGGAGAACTCCCCTTTATACAACCATCAGATCTCATGAGACTCATTGATTATCACAGGAATAGCACAGGAAAAGACCTGCCTCCATGATTCAATTACCTCTCACCCAGTCCCTGCCATGACACATGGGGATTATTACAATTCAAGGTGAGATTTGGGTGGGAACACAGAGCCAAACCATATCAACATGTATAATATGTTTCTGTAGAACTCTAAATAAGTTTATCATTACCCAAATTTAATCAATAAAAAGGAAGTCTTACCAATATGACTCTAATTTTATTATGTTTGCATATATTCTTAAAATAACCTTGCTGCATATCACTTATTGTCCATTCATATTTTCACTTAATTTGTATTCCAATGACTAAATCACATACAGAGGTGTTTTCAATAATTTCTGTCATATCTAGAATATAAAATTCTACATCAGCTAGCTTAGCCACAACACCCATCAGATAATTTCCAAGTGATTTATGATAAAAATTATTTTAATATGCAGTTTTCTGAGACCTACCGTAAGTTGCCACAGGCCTACTATATCTATATCTATATCTAGCTATCATCTATCTATCTATCTATCTATCTATCTATCTATCTATCTATCTATAGAGAGAGAGACTCCTCTTTTTTGCCATTATGTGTAGACTTCCTAATGGAATTCTGTATATGTTTCCCTCAGAAATATGCTAGTGATATCTTCTAACAGAAAAGTGCAGAGTGACACACTATGAATGTCATGAGAAAAAAATATGGTGGTTAGAAGCATGGACTCCAGAGACATTCTGTTCTTAGTCCCAACTTCTTTGCACACTAAGTGTGTAACACTGAAGAAGATGCTAAAACTCTCTTTGCCTCATTTTCTTCGTCTGTAAAATGTTATCTTGTCACAATTTAATAATATGTTATCTCCCTCAAGTACACAGTGGCTAGCATATAACAAGTTAAACGTTTGTTGAATGAGGGAATAAATGAATGAATGGATCAGGAGTAGTCAGCAAGTGTTTGGAGTGATTATACACACTAGGAAATATGAGTGGAACGAGTAGAAACTGTGAATGTTAGATGGAGTTTTAACAATTATAATGCTAGTAGGAATCTACTTGCAATGTTGCCCACTATTGAACCCAGCAGAGCTTATATTAAATGTTGGCCTTCTTTCTGGATATCTACCTGGAACCTTACCCATGTGGTTTTCTCAGCTTATTTTCATTCAAGCTGAAACTTCATCAGCTTCACACTTAATATAGGTGCCTCATAGGCTTTCAGTAAATTTAAGGTAATTTATGATTTCATCTTTCTCAAGTAATTTTCAATCAAGTAAAGTTATCCAACAAGACTGGAAGTTGCACATGGAAACATTTTATTTTAAGGTTTCATTAGTATGCATAAATTCACAGCCCCTCCCAATCTCTATCCATTTTTGCAAGTAATTGAAAAAAAGTGACTCAACATATGTGGATACCAGTTTTTAGGTTAGCAAATGGGGCATGGCATTTTAAGTGTTTTAAATGTGGAACGTTAACTGTGTTATGATTTAATGTTTAATAATGAACTTGATTCTTCTTTTAAAATGAAGAAAATATCCTGTGGTAAATGTGGAAAAAAAAAACAACAACAGAATAATGCCATAGAAAATACATTATCATATGAGGCAGAACATCTGTTTTCCAGCCCCTTTATTCATTACCTGTGGGTAATGAATTTTGCTTAATTTACTTGGCCTCAGTTTCTACATCTGTTGAACACAGAAAATAATTATGTGCATAAACAAAGGCAGAAGCTTAACCAAATCCTTTCATTCACTTACTATCTACTAAGCCCCTATAATATGCCAATGTTAGACTTTTTCCTTGTCCTTTAGCTGTTTGTACAAGACCCCACATAGGCACAAACTGGAGAAGAGCACTGTGTGCAATCATGGTGGGTGGCATGGTGCGTGGTCACTTGCTCATGCAGCTACTTGGACATCTAGTCTTGCCTGGACTCAATCCAAAGGTACCATTTCCATCTTACAATGTACTTCTGCTGAGAACATCTGACTTTGACTTGCCAAGTCTGACAGAATCCAGCTCATAATGGACATTTTCAGATGCATGGTCACTTTGGGTTTACTCCAAGGTCAACCATTCTGTCTCTGCCAGGGCCGAGTAATGTCAAGAGCTGTTTCTCAAAGTATATGTAATCTCAAAGTGTATGTAATCTCTACATATGTAATCTCTTCCTCAGAGTGTATGCAATCTCTAGGTATAATGGCATGACCCTGTTCTAGAATTCCAGGGGCCTGCACTGAGTTCTCTTAATGGGGATTGACATAATCTCCATATGGCTTCCTTTTTCACTATTGGCATCCCTCCCCCCACCCCCCAACTATTATACATCTTGGTGTATAGCCTTTTTCCTTCCTTATAAGAACCAGCACCATAGAGTCTGCTAGGTCATATAGTCCAAGTGGCAGGACTGGTGCACTGAAGCCTGGAATTTCTGCAGAGTCATTTTCTGCTCAAGGCTGGACTTAAAATTGACAGCCTTCCCTGTCACTTACTATTACACCAAAGCAATAGTTCTAGATGTGGAATGTGCTGCATCCAGAACTCGGAAAATACCTACTAGGTGCAGTGTTTCCATTTTTGTTGTAGGAGATGGAAGATTCAGCAATTCATTTTACTTTGGAATAGATACCTCAGAACACCTCTGACCACTCCATCCTTAAATTTCACAGAAGTAGCAGGTCCCTAACACTTCTTAGGGTTTAATCTCCCATCCTCAGAGTAGAAGTGTCTTACCAAAGCCTTAAGCATACTAGTTCACCTCTTGCCCATCTTCTCCAATCAATATAATGTCATTGTTGTAATAGATCTGTGTCGTATTCTGTGGAATGTTCATGCAGTTCAATTCTCTTTGGACTATATTATGACAGAAGCAGGAGAGGTAATATATCACAGCTACAAAACTGTAAATAAATACCGTTATTTGTTTACATAAATGAAAATTGTTCTGATCTACTTTTCTAAGTAAAATTGAGAAGAATGCATTTGCCAAATCATTGGCCACATGCTATATACCTATGACCTTAATAATGTGCTCTAGCAATGATACCACATAAGCCAGTGCACCTGTGACCTAGATTACTACTTGGCTAAATCTGCTGTAGTCTTCAGTCATTATTCAGGATGGGGTTTATGCAGAGACCAAACTAGTAAAACAAGTAGAGAAATGATAATGACTACTGCAACTACATCTTTTTTGTTTTTAATAATGGCACTAAACTCCCTCCAGCCCCTACCATGAGTGCTCTTATCCAAATGACCAAGGACCCAATGTGGGTTGTTCCCACTGACAAGTATATTAATTCCAATTACGTACATTCAGCAATTAGGAAAATGACCACTGAGCAAGTCCTTTGACCGAGTGGCCACATTGTGACCTGGACCTTATCCAGGATTCCATGAAGGTCTGCTTTCTAAACAAGGTGCCAGGACACTTTGGGTGTTTAAGCTCCACCAACTGGCCTCTATTTATTTGGGATTCCATTATTCCATAGATGTTGATGAGCCCAGCTCTTTGACTATCTCTCCTATAATGAGTCAGGGATAAGTAGGCCAGCCACCACTGAACTTCTTAGTGATCTTGTGCCCAGTTTACTAATTTATTCCATATGCCCTGGGTAAATAAGGTATCCTCTGAGCTTTTCTGTGGAACATAATCTTCTGATGGATCCTTTGTCTTAGATAATATATCCATTTCAGCAAGCCCAATTCCCTCAGATCATTCATTGCTTCTTTCACCATCTTCCAGGGAAATGGGATTTCCACTTTGCTGAGTGTTGGACATAGCCTTTTCCAGACTTCTAATGGCCACTCTAGGAGAGAGTTTCCCTATTCCCATTGGCTTCCTACTAGTCTTAATCCAGTATCCTAAGAAAGCGTCCCCAAGTCAATGAATTATTCTTCATCCAGTCTTGTATTCTTGCCTCTTTGATCAAGCCTCCTCAAAATCCATTTCCCGATGTACTCTACCAGCTTCTGTTGGCACATGCTAACAAATTCTTGAAATTCTCTTGGTGTATAGTCTTTTCTCTTCCTTATTAGGCCCAGCACATCTTCTATTGTGCTATGTAGGGATTTAACCCTAGTTAGCATCTTTTCAGTCAAGATATAAGGTGAAAGCAGCTCCCAAGGGCAATACTTGTTAATTTATGGAAGAAAAGCTTCTTCAGCATTATTCAGCATAGGGAAGTGCTGGCTGTTACTAGCGAAGGGTAACTAGGGTAGGGAAAGCCCAGAGGGTAAGTGGATCTTATAGAGTTAACCTCATCAAGGGTAGTCAATCAGATACAATCCCATGTTTTTAGGTGCTAGATTTTCCCCACAACGGAGCTTGTCTTCAGCCCATACTCCTAGACTTTTGCATAACAGATATGCCTTGGCTGAGTATTCAAATTTTTCTGATGCTCTGCAACTCTAACAAATGACATCTTCAGGTTGCTGCTCAGATATATCTGCTTTTCCACCACAGGAAAAAAAAAAAAAAAAGCCTGTTTAAAGAGTACCTCAGAGGCCCTCTGGCTGCCACCTTTAGCCATTAACTGTTTGTTTACTGTCCCCAATCTGTAATTATCTGCAGGGCATCTATACAACTTAGCAATAGCCAGCCAACTGTCTTTATAGGCACTGTTTCCAAATGACCTACATAATTGCACTTGCTAAAGCATTCCCCTCCAGGAATATTTTCCTGGGGTACCACTAGTGAAACCTTTAGCAGTTGAACTGCCACCTTGTGCCAGGGACAATTCATGCCCCTCTACTAACCAGAATAGCATCCTCTTCAACCCAGCAGGTGATGGGTGAGCCAGTCTCTAAAATTTCCATCCCACCACAGCCAATTTTCTCAAACTACTCTCAGAACTGTATATGCTGGTTCAAGTACTCCAAGAAGCCAATGACAAGGCAAAATTAGACACTCAAGAAATACCTTAAAGGAAATTGGGAAAGGAACTAGAGGAGGAGGAGCCTGAGAAAGCTATCAAGCTGTGATGCAGATCTGAGGCTTTTTAAAGAGAATGGGAAGGAAAGACTTGTGGGTGGAAGAGCCTTAGACCACAGGGCAATTGTAAGGAAGTTCAGCAATAGATCATGGGAGTCCTGGAGACAAAGCCATAATGCTCTCATGTCTCCTGAGAATGGGCCTTAGTGTCTCTGCCACACTCATCACTGGCTGGGAGCAGCCTATGGTAGATACAGCAACAGAAGTGAATTTCAGAGCTCAGCAGCTGAAGCTATGGGTCAAAGATACTCCATAGTCTGAGATCTAAGACGTTCATTTTCATGGCTGCCACAGATACTCCATAGTCTGAAGTCTAAGATGTGCATTTTCATGGCTGCCACAAATCAGCACTTATTGAGATCTTAAACACGCCAGTCACCACTCTAAGCATATTTTAGGAATTACCACCTTGATTCTTCACAACATGGTGAGATTTGTTCTTTAATTATTCTGTTTTCATAGATGAGACAACTGAAGCTAAGTGGCTTGCCCAGCTAGAAAGTGATAACAATGGATTCAAACCCAGGTTTTTCTGATTGCACAGCTCGATGTATTTAACTACACAGTCCCTGTCCTCAAAGGGCTTAGGACCGGCCAGAGAAAAAGATGTGGGAACAGAAAACGTAATAAAACATCATTTTCTTTTATGCTAACAATTACAAAGTGTCAGTAAGAAAGATTGTTACAGTTACCAAGTGTCTGTAAGAAAGATTACTTCAGTCTGGAGGGTATGAGAAAGTTTCTGCTTATACTTATAAGGAAGATTACACATTTCTGTGGAGAGTAAAAGGATTCCAGGGAAACAGGGAATAACACTGAATAAGAAGACATGGAAGAGTATCACAATCCTAGTTCCGGCATGGACCTTAGCATTTTCGTGTTAAGTCCGAAGCTCCTAGGAGCAGTTCACTCTTTTCTCCAGAAGAGATTTAAACAAATACTGTTAATGTCAAAACAGACAGAAAGGATGTTGATCCCAGAATAAAAAGGCAGACAAGGAGTAGTCAATGGAAGAGAGAGTGACATCTGAAGCAACAGCAATAACAGCAGCAGGCAGCCCATTGCCATCCTTGGAGGTAAAAGTAAAGCCAGCATTTGCAAAGAATGTGGAAAGGAGGCAAAGTCTTCAGGAGAAGCCAACTGGGTAATTAACTATTGGTACTAAAAGACCATGGTGGGAGCCACAAAGACAAATAACTGTCCACAATGTGAAATACACACCCGGGTGTTAAAAATAAACACCTCATTGAATGTGTAGGAAGGAGCAGCCCTGAAAAAAGGATTTGGGTGGAACAAAATGGAAAATTTTTCTTATATTTAGAGTCAACCTAATGAGTATGTAGATTCTGATTCCTAGGTATCAGAATCTTAAATGGCATATGACATGATCCAGCAATCCCGCTTCAACGAATTCTTTTTATATAAATTATATTATGAATACATGAAAATAAACAAACAAAATATGAAGTATTGCTTGCAATAGAAAAATTGGAAATAACTGAAATACTCATAGATAGGTGAATTACTATGCTATTGTATATTAAAATACATCTACCTGGGAGAAGTTAATTATGTGCCCAATAAATACTTACTGAGAAATTACCATGGGCCAGCATTGTGCCAAGAGCTAGGGACACAGAAGCAAAGAAGACTGATGTGGCCTGTGATCCTGCAGAGCTTGTAGTCTGGAAAACTGACAACCAAGTAAATGATGACCCATAAAGATCAAGAGGAAAATAGGATGTTATATGATAGACAAATAACTGAGATGGGAGGTTGGAGGAGGGGAACTTTAATAAAATAGGTGGTAGAGAATATCCCTTTGAGATAATATTTAAAGTGAAGCTGAAGGAATAATGTAAAACAGCCATTGGAAAAAGAGCAGAGGAACAATGTTCTAAGCAGAGGAATTTATGAGTAAGAGCCAGGGGCAAGATACGAGAGAGGGGGCTACCCATAAAAGTCACACCCCAGAGTAGATGAGAGAGCACGGTATCTGGCTTACAAGGAGGGAGATGGTCCTTTAATAGGAGAGACTTCCTGCATTTTAATATAAAAAGTAAATAAGATAGGTAACAATGGAAGTAGCCATATGTCTATTTGCTGATAAGAACATGAGAGAATTAGTTCCCGTCTACCATTTTCTGTTTTCCTCTGTGAATTATAATGTGAGTGGATGATGAAGAAGTGTAAGTATATGAGTAAGGTAGAAAGAAAAAAAATAAGGTACAAAATAATTTTCCTAGAAGTGGGAAAGAGGATCTATTAAAAAATATGTAGCAGCATTTTCAAGGAAGTGTTCAAAGAATATAGGTAATTGCACACAGCACAAATATACATACTAATTACTCTTTTTGTAATTGATATACTTCATTCTCTTTGTTTGGTTTTTCATTTGGCAAAACCTCCAGATTTAACACATGCAAAAAAAAAAACTGTGGAAATGGCAAAGATAAACAATTAAAAACATAATGAGATTTAAACAAGGATATATACATTATAAGCAGCCATGTAAATATAAATACATTAAACTTATTAAAATAAAGTTGCAAATGGAATGACTCATTTTAACATTATTTACCAAATGAAATGAACTAAAATGAATCTTTTCCTAAAATAACTTTTTGAAAAATTTTACTGTTTAAAGTGTCTCAGGTTTCAGGGAAAAAAAAAAACATATGGGCAGGTAGGAAATTTAAAATAAATGTAGAAGTCTTTTTACAGACTAAATATAGATATAATAGTGTGCCAGGCTTTCGTTGAAATTTATCTCTATATAACCTGTAATACATCCAGTATTTACCTTTTAAAATGTTTATTTCTAAAGAACATGTAACTAATTAAAATGCCAATTAACAAGGTATTTATATTTCTTTTGTTTTCATTTCTGCACACATGTATGACTGAGAACTCAAGAGAAAAGGCCACTTGACTGATATGGTTTGGCCATGTCGCCACCCAAAATTCATCTTGAATTATAACTCCTATGATTCCCATGTATCGTGGGAGGGACCTGGTGGGAGATAATTGAATCACGGGGGCAGTTTCCCCCATACTGTTCTCATGGTAGTGAATAAGTCTCATGAGATCTGATGGTTTGATAAGGGGAAACCCCTTTCGCTTGGTTCTTCATTCTCTCTTGCCTGTGGCCATGTAAGTGGTCCTTTGCTCTTCTGCCATGATCATGAGGCATCCCCAGCCACGTGGAACTGTGATTCCATTAAACCACTTCCACTTTACAGATTACCCAGTCTCAGGTTTGTCTTTATCAGCAAGAAAATGAACTAATATACTGACTATAAAATAAAGAGAATAACCATGAAGTGGACATCAGCATAACATTTTGAACCAAAAAAAACAGAAATTTGAACCAGTGTTAAAATTCTAAAATTCTAAAAACTCTTTTAGAGTTTCAAATAGCCTCTTTGGGAGTCATTTTCAAGTATTAAAGAAGGGCATTAAAATCATCTTAACGCCGGTAGTTTAAAACACCAGTATATATCAGAATTATGTGGATATTTACTGAAAAGGTGAATATGTAGGCTTCACTCTGTGACTAAGGAATCAGAATCTCTGGGGTAGCCCAGAAATCTGCCTTTTTGTAAAGCTCCCCAGATGGTTTTGAAGTAGGTGACTTTTGACCACATGTTGAAAAAATATTGCTGGTTAAATTTCAAATTATATTTTAGATAGATGATCATGGTGCAACAATTAAAAAAAATAACTTCTATTACCCAATGAAAACTTTTGATTCTAGGTAATTTTAAGAACTGGTTGTCCAATCAAAGTTTGGTGATACTAATATGTTGTAGAATCATACACATGTCTTGGAAACAAAAATCCTAACCCTTAATCTACATATATAAATGTCCATTTTCAATTAGAGAATGTCTGTCTTTATACATTGCTATGGTGTGGTAAATTTAAAGAGGTTGGTTTGTTCATTCCATGGATAGTTTAATATTTAGAATTGTGAAGGACCCAGAAAGAAATGGATTCTTTTGGCACCACAGCAAGTAGCAATGTGGATTGCAAGATTTTAATGGAGGTTGTTTAACACTCGTATGTGATTGTCTTGATGAGTAAACTATGAAAGAAAATATTTTTTAAAAATCTACCTGGATGGCTACAGCTGACATCAGATAAAGTAGCTGATAAAGTAGTTGAACCACCATAGCCAAGAAGCACAACTCACCCAGAGATAAGCCGAAAAGAAATTCATTTATGGAGAAGCTGAATCTGTCAGATCTTTATGCCAAAGTGTTTACAGGTTCCAAGGGGACAACTGGAAACAAGAACAAATGACTCTATGAGTGATCTGATTTCTGAGGAGAGGTGGGAAGGTTGGAAGATAGTAATCACCAATCTCTGAGACGTGAAATGTCTAATAGCCACCAGCCATATGTAGATACCACACGTGAAATGGGAGCAGTGCAAATTAGACTTTGAATCTTTAATTTTATTTAATTTTCATTAATTTAAATTAGACTTTGAATCTTTAATTTTATTTAATTTTCATTAATTTAAATTTAAACAAAAATCTGGTATTCTATTCAGCTATTCTAACATTTTTAAGTATATTTTGGATAACTCAGATATAAATGTGTTCATTTTGTTCAAGTGTATACTTTATGAAATATAAATACAGGTCAAGTATACCCAATGAAAATTTAGTATCCTAATTGAGAGCCACTGTAAGTAGAAAATATACACTGGATTTTGAAAGCTTGACATAAAAAAAGTAAACTATCTCATTAATAATTTTTTAATATTGATTACACATTGAAATGCTAATATTTGGAAAAACATGACTAAATAATATATTTTACTAAAAATAATTTCACTTGTTTGTTTTCACTTTTTAAAATGTAGCTACTAGAATATTTAAATTTACATAGTGTATTAGTCCATTCTTACATTGCTATGAAGAAATATCTGGCACAGGGTAATCTATAAAGAAAAGAGGTTTAATCAACTCAAAGTTCCACATAACTGGGGAGACCTCAGGAAACTTACAATCATGGCAGAAGGCAGCACTTCACAGGGCGGCAGGAGAGAGAATGAGTGCCAAGCAAATAAAGAAGCCCCTTATAAAACCATTAGATTTTGTGGGAACTCACTCATTATCAGGAGAACAGCATGGGGGAAACTGCCCCCATAATTCAATTATCTCCACCTAGTCCTGCCCTTGACATGTGGGGATTATTGCAATTCAAAGTGAGATTTGGATGAGGACACAGAGCCAAGCCAAATTACATAGGTAGCATGCATTATATTTTGATTGGATAGGGCTGCTTAGACAACGTTGAACAAGTTGTTGCATAGTAAGTTTATATCCAGCTTGCCGTATATTTCTGCCATTACCTTGTACATTGAACCAGGACAGAGAATCTTGTATTTAATAATTATTAATAAATTACATAAGGAAACTGAGGATTTTTATTTGCACACAGAGAGACCTAGAGCAATTGGTACTCTTTCAGAGTCACAGCAAGAGTATATGATGGGCTTGCTAGCTTTCAGGAACATGGTCTCAAATAAATGAAGCTACTGCATCTACCAGCATCTGCTAGTTTGCCTCTGTCCCCAGAACATGAAGAGAGAAAACATAGACAGAAGTAGAAAGAATAAAATCATGGTTCACTTAAAGGGACCTAATAATGTGAGGAGAAATATCAAGATGGACCTCCTGAAAATTGGCCTTCTTTATGATAAGATGCAAATAATTACATTTCTGACACTAAAAAATTTTACAAGTAAAGCAGATGAATATGATCTTTCAGAATACACAGCTCTTTTGTACCCCAAATTTTTATTATTCAACAATTTCAAAATGTTTCTGTAAAATAGAGATATAGTGGCCAGGGTTTTCCATCAAAAACATAGTTCTCACCTGTAATCTCAGCACTTTGGAAGGCCAAGGTGGCAGATCACATGAGGTCAGCCATGGCCAACATGGTGAAACATCCTCTCTACTAAAAATACAAAAATTACCTGGGCAGGGTGTCAGACACCTGTAATCCCAACTGCTTGGGAGGCTGAGGCAGGAGAATTGCTTGAATCCAGGAGGCGGAAGTTACAATGAGCCAAAATCACACCACTGCACTCCAACCTGGGTGACAGAACTAGACTCTGTCTCAAACAAGAACAAGAACAAGAACAACAACAAACATAGTTCTAAGTTAAGTATCACTTTGTTATCCATGAAAACAAATAAAAGTTTGAAATTTAGACCATTTGGAAATTTAAGAAAAGTTATGCTTTGTTAGAAAACAATGTGACTTGGAATGATATAAACATTAATTTAAAACATTCAATGCCTTCAGCAAAAAAAGTGCTGTGCCAAATACTTTGGAGAATGCAAATATGAGCTATATGGAAGTACTTTCATCTGATAACAAGCAAATGTCTATTCTCAGGAAATATTCTCTCTAGATTTCATCCACACTCTTTCAACTTTCCTCTCTTCACAGCTGTTTCTTGTTCTCATCTTTCCAGGTTTTCTTCTTGGAGTGTGTCACCTCTGAAACTCATGTTGAAATTTGATTCTCAATATGGCCGTATTGAGTAGGTGTTTGCATCATGGGGACATCTTACTGGAGTGAGTGAGTTCTCAATCTTCCTGGAATGAATTAGTTCCCATGAGAGCGAGCTGTTATAAAGTGAGCCCAGACTTTCAGGTGTCCCTCTCTTCATACATCTGCTTCCCCTTCTACTTTCTGCCCTTAGTTGAGGCAGCACAAGACTCTCACCAGATGGGCTGCCTGATCTTGGGCTTCTCAGCCTCCAGAATTGTAAGCCAAGTAAATTTCTTATCTTTATTAAATCACCCAGTCTCAGGTATTCTACTATAGCAACACAAAATGACTAAGACACTGAAATTTCTAGACTTTCATAAAATACATAAGAAAATAACAGAAGTGTTATTTAAAAAAAAATCCCCCAGGGACCCAAGTAGAAATGTATATACTAGAAAAAGTATAACAAATCTAATTAAGAAATATAGTCATTGTAACAGCTGAAATTACTATTGTAATCATCCTCTCCCTCCTGACCCTTTTCATACTGCACAGTCTATTCAGTGATGGCTGAATAGAGTGTGCAGTATTCTTGCTTCAAAAAAAAAAAAGACTCACCTGTCAGAAAGAGCTAAAAACATGGATTTAGTACAGCATCTGGCAGATATTTATTAATTATGGCAACTAAAACAGATGGGCAGTGAATCCTCAAAATCTGTTTTTTCTATGGCCTAGAATGACAATGAGTAATAGGTCAAATATTACCCTGGTGATTGATCTTTATTGAAGAAGATTAAAGTGGGCATCTTAAAATTTTCTTTGTTTGAATAGTTGTCTTCTCTCCAAAAGATTTCAGATTAGTTTACCTACTTCCTTATTTACATGATAAGGTATCATTTTGAAAAGCTGGCTGTGATATTTTCATTCCTCTTTCTTAAAAAATGATAGAAACTAAGAAAAAATATTATACCTAATAACTTATATCTCATAACCCTAATCCCAATACTATCTACAGATCAAAAGGAGTATAGAAAAAACATGAAATTACTTTGTATAATATGAGCAAGGGAAGTGTATACATGTTACATACACACACACACACACACACACACAATAGGATCTGTTTATATGACATAAGACATCATACTCAGAAATCTTAATTTATCACAAGAATTTACAAGAATTTAGGCGTCTAATTCTTCAGTGCCATTGCTGTTCCTGGACTTCTATTCCTGTGGCTCAGCTTCTGACTCAGACCACACTCACTCCCTGGAACATCCAAATATCATTGCAATTCATCATCATCTTTGTAATCTTTAATGACATAATTCCTTGTTTTTTATAAGTTTAAACAGATTTAGCATTAATGTGCAATGATCCTTCATT
Source organism: Homo sapiens (assembly GCF_000001405.40). NCBI lineage: Eukaryota > Metazoa > Chordata > Mammalia > Primates > Hominidae > Homo > Homo sapiens. Next base: position 29,311,090 of record NC_000014.9, read on the forward strand.
CTCTTCTACCTCCAAAATGTAGTAAAATATATGTCATATCCACAGTGATATAGTATATATGTACCAGTGACTTTCAGGGGTGGTTATACCAAAGTTAGAATATTTAGGTTCAGAAAATCTCAAAGCCTTACATTTGCTAGATTTTCATAATGCAATCTCTGACAATAGTGACCACAGGATTTTTTTGAAAACTATCAACAGGAAAATTCTGTAGATTAGTAAAATCTCTGGGTTGAATGGTTCTCACTTACTCTATAAAATTTTCCACTTGATGTTTGAAAATGTACTCATAATTTTACTTCTAATAAATTTAATTCAGTACTTATTTTACATCTCCAATCTGCAGAGTATTCTGCTAGGTACTTTGAAGAACAGGGAAAACAGAAGCCTTTCCTCTGAGGACTTGTCATCCAAACTGAAAGGCAGGATAGAAATATGTAGTGAGGTTTCCAAGACAAACGCAAGTGGCAATTTTATGGGATGGATTCCCACTCCCTCCTTTCCTCCACATGTTTCATCTTTATTTATATTAGTTAATTTACATGAGGGCTTTCAGTAGTTTTGTCTAAGAAGAAAGGGCAAAGAAGACAGAAAAGTTGTTTTGTGCATAAAGCTCATAGAGAAGATATAATAGGAAGAGAAATTGAAGATACAGCATAGATTCCTAAAAGAAACCATTTTTGAGCCTTTAAAGGACGTGATATTAAAAATAGACAACCGAGGTAATTTTTCCAAGCTAGATTATGTGACACTTACAACATAAAGTAATGGCATAGGCAAGGCAATGCAAATAATATAATTTGACATGGATTTGGAGAAATAAGACCATTTTTAACTTCCTATTCTTTTCTAGAAATCACAGAAGTTTTGACTTACTAAGAGCTCAAATAATCCATCAGAGGAAACTTCCATGCTTGAAAGAACTGCAGGAAAAAGTACAACACCCATTAAGAGGCCTTCTCATGGCAGTAGTGTCTGTATTGAGTCACCACTCTCGAATGGCTAGTGCAGAAGAACCTGAAAAGTCTTGATCCTAAGTTCATCACTATGCTTCTTGGCATCCCCAAAATAACAAAGTTGCAGGAATGTGCACCAAAGTCCTGTAATGATATATGCAAGGTTGAGCTAATGAGCTACTGAAGTCCACAGATGAAGTCCTGGGATACTCAGATTACAAAGTTCTGAAACAATGATAAACAACTTAGAATGGAATATAGTTATGTACAGCTAAGTAGAAAACTATGTGGCAGGAACTTCATATATTATAAAATTTCAGAGACAATCGAAGGCTGGAGGAGTCAGTAAAAGCTTTTGAAAGTGTTGAGAATAACATGGGACATTGAAGGATGATAGCATTTGCTTATATAGTGAAACAGGAGATGTTTCAGATAAGTTAAATATAATTGTTTTAAGTTGCAACTGTGATGCAGTGGTAACAACTTGACCAGATCTGTTAGCCCTTAACTTTTCAAAGAAAACCAATCCAGTAGAGCATGTCTTGTCTTTCATTTACTAATTGGTTTGTTTATTCAGCAAATCATTGAGCACTAACCACATCACTAAATAAGGAATCTGTATATGTACAAACACATCTGTGCCATCAGAGAGCTCACAGTCTAGTGGGACAAGACAAACATAAGAAAAATTACAACACAAAGGGCTAAATGCAGTGAAAGAAGTCTGAACACAATGCTATGGACCAATTTCCACTCTCAATTCCTGTGAAGCACAGATCAAGATAGACATGCTTTAATCATCTGATACTGACAACCCAAGCCTTAAGGCAAATGGATTTGGAGACAGAAGGAATTATGACAAAAAGCTGGCAATAATTTATAGCCTGTTGCAAAAAGGTAAACTAGGACAAATGTCCATCTCAGGAGTTGGGGAGGGACTCACTGGGAAAGCAAATCAGATAGCAGCAGGAGTCAAAGCCAAAGAGCCTTCATCAGAGGAAAAACCAGATAGAACATAGGGGGCACTCATAATAAGCCTTGTATATTTTGTAACTCAAGAAAAGGAAGACATAGGAGATGGAGCAGACACAAGTAGAGAAACAAAGATGCCAATAGCACTGAAAATGAGAAAACTCCTGCCTCAGTTTTCCATAGCCTCGTATCCCACTTCTAGTTCATCTGAGGACCAGCTGTAAATCTGTTTCTGCCCTTGAACCATGCATTTGAATACGGCCCCACAGTAATTTCTCCATTGACTTAAGCTTTATATCAAAACTCTTTCAAAGTTACCCAATTTTTGAGAATTTTTTACTGGCTCTGTCACCCACACATAGTGTCCTGACTTTCTGATTTCTCTTTAGATTCCTAATTCCATCCCATTTCCCCCACCATCGTCATTTTTTTTTTTTTTTGTATTTCTCCTCAGTGGCCAATTTTCTTTCCCCTTCTAATGTCTGGAAATTTAGCAAATTCTATTGTTGACTTAATTTCTATTGATCCTTGGGGTTTAAGCTTTCTACTAAGCAGCTTTCCAAGTCATTTCCCAAACGAAAATAGTTTCTTCTCTGAAAGGACTAGTATCAATGACTAACATAAAAATTGTTTGGTGTGCGTGTGTGTGTATGTATGTGTATATGTGTTTGTACACTTGAACAAAAAGAAACTGGTAATAATGCATATCAAAGTATTAATGGTTATATCTAAGAAGAAGTTGAGGGCAAATTCTACTTTTTCAGACACAAATATTTTGTTTAAAATATGAATTCTTCATGTAATAAAAATATTTTCAGACACAAATATTTTGTTTAAAATATGAATTCTTCATGTAATAAAATTATTTTCCAAAATTATTTGCATAATTGTTATTCTTTATGCAGTGTGTAATAAATTTAACTTTTTTTATTGTAATAAAATATTATATAAATAGAAAGCATAAATACAGAAGAAGACACAGCTTTTGGCCAAAAAAGGGAAGAAAAATATACAATTATGACACTGATAAAAAGATTTTTTATGTAGTAGTAAAAAACAGTTTTCGAGAAACAAAAAAGAAAACTAATAGAATAAAACAGAGAGTTCAGAATCAGACATGTGCACATAAGGAAATAGTCCATGATAAAGTTGTACCATGAATCAATAGATAAACAGATTGTTTAATAGATGTCTTAGCCCATTTTTGCAGAATATCTGAGACCAGATAATTTACGATGAACAGAAATTTATTGGCTCACATTTCTGGAGGTTGTGAAGTCCAACATCAAGTGCAGGCATCTGGCAAGGGTCTTCGTGATATGTCATCCCATGGTAAAGGTAAAATGTTAAGAAAGAACAAGAATAGGTGGCTCACACCTATAATCCCAGCACTTTGGGAGGCTGAGGGGGGCAGATCACCTGAGGTTGAGAGTTCAAGACCAGCCTGGCCAACCTGGTGAAACCCTGTCTCTACTAAAAATACAAAAATTAGCTGGGTGTGGTGACGCATGTCAGGCATCCCAGCTACTCCGGAGGCTGAGGCAGGAGAATCTCTTGAATGTGGGGAGGCAGAGGTTGCAGTAAGCTGAGATCATGCCATTGCACTCCAGCCTGGGCAACAGAGTGAGAGTCCATCCAAAAAGGAAAGAAAGAGAGAGAAAGACAAGGAAAGAAAGAGAGAGAAAGACAAGGAAAGAAAGAAAGAAAGAGAAAGAAAGAAAAAGAAAGAAAGAAAGAAGGAAAGAAAAGAGGAAGGAAGGAAGAAAAAGAAAGAAAGAAAGATAGAAAGAAAGAAGGAAAGAAAGAAAAAGAAAGAAGGAAAGAAAAGAAAGAAAGAAAGAAAGAAAGAAAGAAAGAAAGAAAGAAAGAAAAAGAAAAGAAAGAAAGGGTGGCCTAGACTTTTATACGGCCACCAATTCCACCTATGAGGGTAGAAACCTCATGGCCTAATCTCTCAAAGCTTCCACCTCTCAAAACTAGTACAATGGCAATTAAATATCAACATGAGTTTTGGAGAGGACAAACTGAAACCAGAGCAGTAGATAATATTATGAAAATAATATTCTCTAACATATGGAGAAATATGTAACTGGAATTCTATATATTAACAGACAAAAATTATCTCTAGATAAAGACAAATTAAACTTTGAAAATAATTTTAAAATAAGAAAATTTATTTGTGTCATAAGACTTCTTAAACAAAATGTCAAGAGTACAATGTATAAGGGAAAATCAATTAACTGAATTATACATATTATAAAGGATTTCTGTTTAATAAAAACATGACAGACAAATTAATAGGTTGTCTTTGTGTGTGTTCTTGCCACAAAGCAGAATTTGTGTACATGTAGTTTATTCTGTGAAGTGATTTAAAGGAATGAGTTCCTGGGAAGAGAAAAACAGGAAAGGAGGAAACATTCATACAGGCACATATTATCAGTCAGGTCACTGTCATGGCCTTCATCCTGTTGAGACCTTTTGAGGACCTGTGTAGAATGCATTTAAAATTATTTACCCAAGAAAGATGTGATGATTAACTTCATGCCTCAATTTGACAGGATTACAAGGGGCCCAGATATTTTGACAGACATTTTTCTAGATGTTTCTCTTCCAGTGTTGTTTCTTTTTTATGAGATTAACTTTAAATCTACAGATTAAATAAAGCAGTTTGCCCTCCATAATGTGTGTGGTCTCCACCCAATCACTTGAAGACCTTTATAGAACAAAAAGGCTGATGAGATTTCCCTGGAGTTAGAGGGAATTCCTGCTACCTGTTAGCCTTCAAACTGAGATGCTAGCTTTTTCTTCAAACTTGAACTAAAACATTGGCAGTTTCTGGGTCTCTAGACTGCTGACCTTTGGACTAGAACTGCACCATTGACTGTCCTGGTTCCTAGGCCTTTGCACTTGGATTGGAACTATACTATTGGTTCTCCTTTGTGTCCAGCTTACCAAATCACCCTGAATATTATGGGACTTGTCAGTCTCTATAATTGTGTGAGCCAATTCCTTATAATGATATATATACTTAATAAAATATATAATGATATATATTTATAGATATATGCATCCTATACACATTCTGTATCCTATTGGTTCTGATTATCTGGTGAACACCAGCTAGTACAGATTTTTATGCCAAGAATTATTCTATAGGAACAGGATTTTAGGAATGAGTCTACTGAATTGGTTTTGGAATTTCTGGAATTGGCTTTTTAATCTGATTAGATTTACATATTATTTCCATCACATGATATGTGATTTGGCAAAAGAGACACAAAACATTACCATTAGACACTCCTAATCAACTAGTATAAGCAAGTGTCTGAGCCACTGTGTATATGATACTTTCAAACATTTTTCTCAAACTAACTAGTATAATGAGATCAGCTGTTATCTACTAAGGTCACTGGATAATGTGGTAAAATAAAAAGATGAGCTCAGAGATTTGAATTTCTCCTGTAGCAACAGAGCTGAGTTTAGTTAAAACCAAACTCAGAATCTCAGACTGCAACTGGCTGACGTACAACACAAGTAATCTCCCAGACTCACAAGGTGTCTGCTGTTAAATTGAGGGCAGTGATTGGCAAAGAATGGGATCCTGAAAGTTGGATGAGGTTCTGTGGGAAGACCCTGATGAAGCTGAAGGCGTTGAGCCCCTAAATTGAGGAGTCTTCTTTGTCAATGGAAGCAGTCTCCCACCTTGCATGGAAGAGGCCTCTTCACCCCAGTGGAAGCAGCCTCTCTACCTCCAGTAGAAGCAGCCCTTTCACCCCCATCTGAGGAGATTAACCCTGCATTGCCTGGGAAAACTGTGACTTCTCCTGATGCAGTTGCCGTGAAAGACAATGCTGAATCTCCTCAGGACCCACCGCCATCACTCTTCTAGCTGCTATACATCTAACACTTAGACATTTAACTAGACTCAAGTCCCACAGGCCCCTAAAGGTGAGATGCAAAGTATGACTCATAAGGAAGGACACTATGCTCCAAAAGAACAGAGTTTTGTAATTTAAACAAAGAAGAATCTAGGGAATATTAGTGGAAATGAATACTGAGGGTGTGGAATAATGGTGGAAGGAATGTAAAGTTGAATCAAGCCAAATTTATTTGCTGACCAAGCAAAGATTTTGCATTTAATGTTGCAGCTCAAGGAGTTAGAAAGGGCTCTAACATTTTATTTCGTTGGTTGGCTAATACAGAAAGCACAAGGTGGCCACCAGTGAGAGAGTCAGAAGTGCCAGACAAATCCACATCTTTCGCCACATCAGTGAGAAATAAGTTTGTGAGGGGAGCCCCAGCAACCTTGAAGGGCTTTGTGATTACTATTTTTTGTAGGCCAGATCTTCCAATGGGAACTGTAGTTTGTAATGAATTGGGAAACTAAATGCTATGGATATAATTAGATCCTGGGGTGGGTCAATGGGAGTAACTTGATCCTTAGGTCAAGTAGCAGTACTCAGTTTGCAAAAGTGAAGCTATGGACTGAATGTTTTTGTCCCCCCCAGACATTCATGTGTTGATCCCCTATCCCACAATTTGAGGGTATTTGGAGGTGGACTCTTTGGGAAATAATTAGGTTTTGATGACATCAGAAGGATAAAGTCCCTATGATTACATCAGTGTTCTCATAAGAAGAGAAAGAGACTTAACAGCGCTCTCTCTCAGGTACATGCACAGAGGAAAGGCCATGTGAGCATCCAATAAGAAAATGACCACCTAAAAGCAAGGAAAATGACCATCACTGAAAGCCAAATATGCCAGCACCTGATCTTGGACTTCCCAGCCTCCACAACTATGGTAAATAAATGTCTGATGTTTAAGCCATCTAGTCTACAGTATTTTGTTATAGCAGCCCCAACTGATCAAGACAGACAAGGTGGGTGTGGTTACTATATTAGAGGTCAGTAGAGCCAAAGTATCAATCAGAATACTTACTCATGCAGACCTATGGCATTGGCTAGTTGCTCATGGTGTTCCTCGACCTGCAATAGATAAGAATCCTGCTAAACGCTTCATTTGGTCTGTAAAAGTGGAAAAGTTCTAGGTCAAGTGAACAAAAGTCTAATCTGAATCATAAAAACAGTCATGGCCTCTCAATTAATTCCCAGACTTGAGCCAGTTTGTAGACCCAGAACTCTTTGAATGAAGGGGTGGTCAGGTCCTTTGAGGAAAGACCCTGGACACCGCCAAAAAATTATACTGTTAATCTTTCCCTTGGCCATCCTCAAAGGTATCTATGGCCTTTTATCAAGGTCACTGTGCACTAGGGAAAAGAAAATAATCAGACTTTTCATTGATTCTGAATTGACACTTATTTCAGGAAACCTAAACATCACTGTGGTCCATAAGTCAGAGTAGCAGCTTATAGAGGTCAGAGTCAATGGAGTTTTAGCTCAGTGGGCCCAGTGGGTTTCTCGAACGCATCCTGTGGTCATTTACTCAGTCTGGACTGCGTAATTGGAATATATATACACAACAGTTGGCAGGACTCCCACATTGGTTCCCTAACCTGTTGAGTAAGGGCATTCTGGTGGGAAAGATCAAATGGAGGCTGCTAGAACTGTGTCTACCTTGGCAAATAGGAATAAAAAAAAAAATAGTGCATTCCTGGAGGAATTGTAGAGATTAATGCCATCATCCAGCACTTGAAAGGTGCAGAGCTGATAATTCCCACCACATTCCCATTTAACTCATCAATTTGGTCTGTGCAGAAGACAGATTGATCTTGGAGAATGACAGTGGATTTTCATAAGCTTAACCAGGTGGCGACTCTAATTGTAGCTGCTGTACCAGATGTGATTTCACTGCTTGAACAAATTAACACATCCCGTTACCTGGTAGGCAGCTATTGATCAGGCAAGTGCATTTTTCTTCATATCTGTTAAGAAAGATCACCAAAAGCAGTTTGCTTTCAGCTGGCAAGGCCAGAAATACACGTTCGCTCTCCAAACTTAGTGATATATCAACTATCCAGCCTTATGTCGAAATTTAGGTTACAGAGATCTTAATAATCTCTCCTTCTATAAGATATTACACTTGTCCATTATATTCACGACATTATGCTGATTTGACCTAGTGAGTAAGAAGCAGCAAATGCTCTGGACTTATTGGCAAGACACTTGTGTGTGTCGGAAGGTGGGAAATAAATCCAACAAAAATTCAGAGGCCTTCTACCTCAGTGAAATTTCTAGAGGTCCAGTGATACAAGGCGTGTTGAGACATACCTTTTAAGGTGAGGGATAAACTATTGCATCTGGTCCTTCCTACAACCAAAATAATAAAAATACATAATGGGCTTCTTTGGATTTTGGAGAAGATATATTATTAATATGGGTGTGTTACTCCTGCCTATTTGCCAAGTGACTCAAAAGTGCTAGCGTTTGAGGCCCAAACAAAGTGAAGGCTCTTTAATATGTCCAGGCTGCTGTGCAAACTGCTTTGCCACTTGAGCCATAATATCCAGAAGATACAATGGTATTTGAATTATTAGTGGCAGATAGAAATGCTATTTGGAGTCTTTGGTGGGTCCCTGCAGGTAAATCACAGCTCAGGCTCATGGAATTTTTGGAGCAGAGTCCTGGCATCCTTTGTGGATAACTTCTCTGTCTTTGAAAAACAGCTCTTAGCCTGCTACTGGGCCTTGGTACAGACCAAATGCTTAACTATGGGCCATGAATTAACATATAACCTGAGCTGTCCATTATGACCACCACCAAAAAGTGGACAGCTGCAGCATCCCTAAAGGTTACTGGTGAAGGGAAATCTGGGACATCCATAAAGCTGAGTAGTGAATGGAAATCTTCCCAGTGAACAGAATGCTGATCATTGCACCTGGTTGTTCACTTTGCTTGAAAGGAGAAATAGCCAGACAGGCAATTATATATAGACTTATGGGCTGTGGCCAATGTTCTGATTGGAACATAGAAACTTGGAAGAAACATAATTGGAAAATTGGTGCCAAGAAAATTTCGGGCAAGATATATGGATAGACCTTTCTGAATGGGCAAAAGAAATGTGAAGATATTTGTGTCTTAAGTGAATGCTCACCAAAACACGAACTCACTAGAAGGAGATTTTAATAATCAACAGTATAAGTTAACCTGTTCTTTAGATACCAGTCAGCCTCTTCCCCAACAACCCCTATCCTTTCCCAATGGGTTCATGAACAAAGTACACATGATGGCAGGGAGAAAGATCATATATGGGCCCAGCAACATGGACTTCCACTTACCAAGGCTTACCTGGCTTATGGTCACTGCTAAGTACTTAAATTACCAGCAGCTGAGACAATGAGTACACAGTATAATACCATTCCCCAGGGTGATCATGTAGCTATGAAGCTTTCTTATCTACTATCATGGTATTCCATGTAGCATTGCTTCTGGTCAAGAAACTCACTTCATAGCAAAAGCAGTTTGGCAATGAGCTCATGCTCATGGAATTCACTGGTCTCACCATGTCTCCCACCATCATAAAGCTGCTGAATTGATAGAAAAGTGGAATGGTCTTTCGATGACTCATTAACAGCCCCAGTTAGGTGGCAATATATTGCAGGCCTGGGACAAGGTTCTCCAGGAGACTATATATGCTCAGAATCAGCATCCAATATATGGTGTTGTTTATCCCATAGCCAGGATTCTTGGAGTCCAGGAATCAAGGGGTGGAAATGGGAGTGGCACACCTCAGTATTATCCTTATTGATGCAATAGCAAACCTTTGTTCTATCCCTTTAACTGTATATTGTGCTGACCTAGAGACCTTAGTTCCAAATGGAGGAATGCTTCTACTAGAAAAAGCAATATTTCCATTAAACTGGAAGTTAAAATTGCCAACTGGCCACTTGGGGCTTCTCAGGCCTCTGAAACAAGAGGCAAAGCAGAAAATTACTGTACTGGCTGGAGAGATTGATCTTGACTACCAAGAGGAAATTGGACTACTGCTTTGCAATAGAGATAAGAAGGAGTATGTCAGGAATACAGGAGATCTCTTACGGTATCTCTTTGAATTATCATGCCCTGTGATTAAGCTCAATGGAAATCTGCAATAACCCAATGCAGGTAGGACTACTAATGGCCCAGACTCTACACTCTTTTTTTTTTTTTTGAGACGGAGTCTCACTCTGTCGCTCAGGCTGGAGTGCAGTGGCATGATCTCGGCTCACTGCAAACTCCGCCTCCTGGGTTCACCCATTCTCCTGCCTCAGCCTCCTGAGTAGCTGGGACTACAGGCACCCACCACCACGCCCAGCTAATTTTTTGTATTTTTAGTAGAAATGGGGTTTCACCGTGTTAGCCAGGATGGTCTCGATCTCCTGACCTTGTGATCCACCTGCCTCAGCCTCTCAAAGTACCGGGATTACAGGCATGAGCCACTGCGCCTGGCCTAATGGCCCAGACTCTTTAGGAATAAAAGTTTGGGCCACTTTACAAGGCAAAAGACCACACTTGGCTGAAATGCTCTCTGAGGTAAAGGGAATAGAGAATAGGTCATGGAAGAAGATGGCCAGCCAAGCTGACAAGGGGTGGCCTTGTGCGAGTTAATTTTATGTGTCAATTTGACAGAGCAGTGGGGTGTTCAGATATTTGGTCAAACATTATTCTGGGTGTTTCTGTGAAGGTGTTTTTGGATAAGATTAAAATTTAAATTGACAAACTGAGTAAAGCAGATTGCCCTTCATAATTTGAGGATACCTCATCCAATTATTTGAAGGCCTGAATACAACAAAAACTCTGATTCACCTCTGAGTTGAGAGCATTCTTCCCACATGACAGCCTTTGAGCTGAAACATTGGCTTTTTTCTGCCTTGGGACTGGAGCTACACTATCAGCTCTCCTAGGTCTCCAGCTTGATGACTCACCCCATGGATCTTGGGACTTACCAGCCTACATAATTTCAAGAGCTAATTCTCTGGAGAACACAGACTAGTACAGCAAAGGAAAAAGATGCCTTTACCCTCCATCTCTGGTTCCCCATTGGTCAAGATTTGTCCATGAAATGTTAACTCACTCACACATTCAAGTTCACACATGCATGTGCCCAGTGGATGCCCACAACCACGCCACACAAGGAATTGAAAAATCCTCAAAGCAGAAAGTGAAAAATATAGAGTGAAGTTGAGGTAAGATTATTTGAGACAGAATTGAATAAACTTGCATGGCTGGTATAAAAGGAAGGCTGCATATACAAACATGGCATGTATAAAAGGTAGGCTGAGCAGGTGTGAGGCAGGGCCCATGCACTTCATGTGCTACTCAGATAAACTCAGGTGCTCCATTAAGTCCAATGCATTACAGAATCCTTCAAGCAGATCCCTGCCAAATTTTCTACAAAAGACTTAACATAGAAAGAAGAAAGCTACCATTCCTGCTATGGATTCTGGTCATTACACCATAATTATCAGTCATCTTCCTGCCCACCACCCATGCTAAATGAAGTCGAGACTAAGGCTGCTGCAACTGACCATTTACAGTTCTCACTGAGTGTGGAAGTACCAAGATATGTATAAGTGAATCTTCTGGGTTCCACACATACTTCTCCCTGTCTGCAACCAAAGTGTTCTTTGGTTCTTCATAGTGTTGAGCATAAATTACTCCAACAATACCGTGACCGCTTTCTTTGCCTGGGGTCAACAGATATTCCTCTATGTAACATAATCTTCCACTTTCTCCACTCTTACATTTGTCCTGGTGCTGACAGCATATGTTACTTGGATCTAGCTATTATTTGCAAATGTATGTCATTTCCTCATGGAGAATGTATTGTACTTTCCCCTCAGGCTATGCTACAATTTGATCCTTGTGAGTGGTCTGGAGGCGATGAAACAAAACGAAATCTTGAAAAGAAGAAGCATTACTTTGCAAGAAACTTCCCGCAGGTAAGGTCTCTAACAGACCTCCAAGTGATGGGAGGCTATAGAGAAGAAGCTGCTTCTGCCATCCTCAATGGTTCAGGAGCATCTGGGAGCTGATAATTCTCTGACTTGTCCACCCAAATGTTCCCCAATGTTCCCATTTTGGGTTAGATGGTCTCACTCAGTTTCTATTAGGGCCCTGACTTTAACCCAGAAAACCTGTTACGTCTCTGCATGGCACCTCTACTACTACTACTACTACTACTACTACTACTACTACTACTACTACTATCACTATAGTGATAACCAGATGGGAGAAGAATTAATATCTTGCAAATGATTGATATCAGAACAATTAAGGAACTCCTGTAACTCAACAGCAACAACAACAAAGAAAGAACTCCCATGGAATATTGGACAAAAGTTATGAAAAATTCATTTGCAGAAAAATAAAAAGCATTTGAGGAATGATTCAAAGCATTACAGAGAAATGATAAACACTAAGACACAATAAAGTATCACTTAATACCTAGGACTGGTAAAAATGAAAATGCTGAATTTGATGAGGGATGTTGGTGAAGTGAGAACGGAGTAACCACCACGCTCCGCTGGTGAGCATGTAGCCTGTTGCGGTCCCTGTGAAGAGTAGCTGACATTACTGAGATGAGTGTCTGTATACCCGGGAACTAGCAAGTGCACTCCTGAATTTATATTCCAAGGAATTTTCAGACTAAATCAAAGAGAAAATGCCAGCAAGGTTCTCTGCAGTTTATTTGTTATTTCCAGCAGTGGGAAAACAAACAGGTAAAGTGTGATTAACACCCTATGCAGTATTATGTAGCAGTAGGAAGCAACAAATGAGGTGTACATGAAGTGACATAGAGTATAAAAACAGAGTACTTGGTCACAAAATATAGAAAATGAGCACAATCCCATTTAGATACATTAATGTACATGTACACAAACAATATACATTTTTGGAAGAACACAAAAATAGATACATATAAAATATATAAGAATGACTGCTGAGGAAGAGAATGGAAATTGAGTATAGGAACAACAGAACAAGTAATTAAATAATAGAAGTGCATTGCATGTATCGGTAATGATGACAATATGCCACGAGTTAAGGGGTATTACTTACTCAACCTACTGAAAATGAACCCCAAGAATAAATTTTAAAGTTTTAAATTATAAACAGAAATGAATAAGTAAAGTCAGAAAAAGAACATTTTTTGTGACAAAAACTCTTCAACATAGAAGTTTCAGTGAATGTGATGGAGTCTGAAAAATGATCAAAAGTGTTAAAAGATAATGAACATCAGTAAAATGGAGATAATGAACACTGATCATTCAGTATCAAAGTTTGCCAGTGAAAAGATGGAACAATTTTAAGATGGTTGATCAAAAATATTTCAAAGGAAAATATTTGCTTTAAATCTTATTTTCTACTTTTTTTGAAGTAGATTGGAGGGCAAAAAACATACAACCAAAGGAGAATAAAAAACTGGATGTGGTTGGAATTGGTAAGTGTGAATGAAAATTTCTTGGAACTTATTCTTACTTTGTCCATGTTCCATATTAAGATGTCTCTGCCCCAGCACTCCACTGAGGCTACTCCTCTTTGGGCAGGAACCCTTGCACAGAATTCCCCTCCCGTTGACTTACCAGTCATATCTATGGCTGAGCTGAAGCTTACTGACTTGTTCATATTTGAAGATATAAATTGAGTTTTAATTACTATTCAGCTAATACGTTCTTTTAAAAAATAGTATTTGTATTTTGAAGAGAGGTAGAAAAGTCCTGCTCTGAAAAAAATGATTCTCTAATGGGAATTTAAGGCCTTCGGGAAAGCAGGCCAGTATGAAGGGAACATGTTTTACTAGAAGGTAGAGAGTGCAGGAGGACTTCCAAAAATTTCATAACATATGAGATGGGCAACTTCTTATTCTACAAGGTTCAGAGACCTCATCTATTTCACCCCTTTACAGTTACCAATTCCATGTCATCTATTTTCTGTGTCCTATTGTCTGGTTGTATCAGGAATTGGGTAGGCACAAATGAAAGAATATGTAGTATTAGAAGTCAACCTAAATATCTCAAGTCAATAGAAATAGCATTTAGAGATAAAAGTCCTGTTTTTGTATTTAAGTTAAACTACATATAAAATATTTTATCCCCTTACGTAGAAAAAGAAATTCCAATCTTTTGCTACATTTCTCATGAAGCTTGATATAAAAGAAGGAAGAAGTTTAAAAATAATGGTAGTTGATCTGTTTTCTGATTTTACAGCATTTTGTGTGCTTTACGATGTCTCAAGCTTCCTTTGAATTAATATAGAATATGCAAATCAGAATTTAAAACTATGTGAAATTCAGAGTACAGTCACACAGTTGCATAAAAATCCCAATTAAATATAATTAGTATCTGCTTTGGTATATCAAGCAATACCAGAAAACAATATATTTTGAGTTCTTACATATTTTATTACTTAAATATTTATTTTCAAATAAAGAACAATGAGCATTTTTAATCCAAAATAACTTAGTCCATGGAAACCATTGGACTGGTGGTTTATATTTCATGTTCTATCTTAATATTTTATTCTATTGCCTTGATTTTTTGAAGTTGTTGTTTGTGAAAATATCTGGCTATGACTGCACACACGAAAAGTTTGTCACAGCTTTTCCTCAATCCTCAACTCTTCTCCCTCAAATAAAACACAAGGAGAGAAAAAACTGCTCAATTTGGTTATCTGGGCTCTCACAACACCACATATATGGTGTTAGTCCCTTAAACCCAGCAAACTGTTCATGCATAAAAAAAACAATATTCTCCAAGTGCAGAGGGTCAAGTAGTGCAAAGATACTTAAAATGATACAGAAGGCCCATGTCTCTACTACCAAAAGAAAAATTACTGAACTGCTGTTTGCAATGCTCTGTTTTTGTATGTAACTTTTCTTGGCAACAGATGCAATATTTATAGTAAAGTCTATCACCGTTTATTAATGTTATACATTAGAGTTATTTGCTACTCTAAAAATGATATGCTAAAATATGCCAAAGCATTTTCAAATAAAACAAGAAAAATGAACTGATGATTTATTAATTGCATTTCATTGTTTCATAATAGAACGTGATAAACCTTGAATAAAACAATGTAAACATATCGATTCCATTTAGCATAATTGTGCTAAAACCATTTATAATGAAGTCTCCAGAGAGTTCTTTCAACTTCATTTTTTGGAAAATTGTGAGATTTCTTTTCTCTTTCTTTCCTTCCTTCTGTCATTTTTAAAAATAGTTACTTTCCAGTAATTCATAGACAAGCAGAACAAGAGCACAGAAAAATCCTGAATGTGCGTATGTCCATAGTAATGATAAACAACTTGTTGATTGGGATCTTACAATTAAATGTGATTTTGAAAAACATATTACAGGTATAGTTTATCTTGTATGGTAAATTTGATGTAAGACAAAATTAGTTAAAGGACTAGTATCAAAGTTTTAATAACAGATTGTTAAAATAGATGCATTATTAAATGTATACCAATGATTCTGCTTGCCAAAAGAAGCAATTCCACCTCGTTTTATATACTATATTTTTAATGATTGCATAATAATCCTCAGCTTTGAGGAGCTGATATATGTGAGAACACCCAACAACTCTGTAGCTGAGTTAAATATAGGACCTGTGGGTTTTATCTGTGTTAAAGACACATGGAGCAAGAGATGCACATTTACATAAAATGTATCTTTTAAAGGCCATACATTTTGTGCACACCTGTTTGTGTTCCTGATAGTTCTGAGACTCTTCA
This sequence comes from Homo sapiens, assembly GCF_000001405.40. Taxonomy (NCBI): domain Eukaryota; kingdom Metazoa; phylum Chordata; class Mammalia; order Primates; family Hominidae; genus Homo; species Homo sapiens. Next base: position 29,326,689 of record NC_000014.9, read on the forward strand.
GCAGGTGCACTTCATCGTTAATGAGAAGGACCGGTTTATTTTAATACTAAGAAGAAGAGAGTAGAAACAGTGAGGAGAGGGTAAAAGAGGAAATGGGCTTAATTGCTTATGAAAATGCCATATTTAAGAAATCAGTATCTCCTATAAGTAGTGAGAAAGTGGACTGCTTAATTAACAAGATGGCTAGACAAGAGTAGCCACTTGGAAAACAATAAAAGTGAATTGACTCTTTACATCATATATCAGGATACATTCCAAAAGGATCTGAGAGTTGAGTGTTAAAAAATAAAATAAAATAAAACAAGTGCTAAAAGAAAACATGGATTGATTGCCCTATAATTTGTGTCTGGGGAAAACTTTCGTAACTGTGATTTTAAATACAGAGGAAAAATGACAGATCTTATTAAATTTTTAAGAATGTTTTACAAGGAAAAAATATCATAAGCAAAAAAGAACAACTGGGGAAATTGTTTGCAATTATATTACAGGCAAAGGGCTAATATTTTAATATATAATGAACTTATAATAACAGAGAAGAAACACACCAACAATCAATCCTAAATGTTCTGTGGCTATGAAAAATGTTCAAATTTTCTTACAGTAAGAGAATATAGTGTAAGACCATTTCTCACCTATCAGAATGGACATAATACAAAAGTTTGATGACACTACCTGTAAGTGAGCCTGTTGGGAAACAGATACTCTAATATATTGCAGGTAAGAATGCAAACTATAATAACTTCTATGGATAGAAACCGGTAATATTTAATTGAATTTCATATATATTTACCTTTTGACCTAGCAATTTCATTTCTAGGAAACTATCCCAAAATATGCTGGTAAATATGCAAATGGTGATTTATTAAAACACTTTTTGCAATAGCAAAAAATTTAAAAAAAAGTCCGTCACATGGGGAACTGCTTGAATAAACCATGTATATCAACACAATGGAGGAATTAAAAACAGTGAAAACTAATGAGGACTATTCTCCATATACTATTATGGAGAAATGTCAGGTGAAAAAATATCAAGGGGGTAAACAAGGTGTATGGTGTGTCACTGTTTATCTAAGAAAGGGAATATATGAATATGTACATATTTAAATTCTATCATATTTACATTACAATATCATGGAAATATAACATTTACATTATATAATAATAAAATATATATACTATAAAAATAAGCATCAAACTAAATATATAAAATTTCTCTAGAAGAGGAAGGGGTAGATAGAGAGGGCAGATTCTGAAACAGTGAACAATATAGTATCAATGTATGCTCTTAGACCCTTGTCCTTAACTACAATTTCTGACTAAATACCAAAAAGCAATTTACTATCAAAGCCTATTCAGATGATCTCCAATGGACTCAGGAAAAATATTAAATGGCTATTACTGGCCAAATGATATTCAATGGATATCATTATTCATAATATATTCATATTCATAAATATAATGTCTGCCATTAATTGAAACACATGAAATATGTTTACATCCACCACTTTGTGTTGATTTAAACAAGGAAGGAAGGAAGGAAGGAAGGGAGGGAAATGGGGGAAAAAACTCTTACTGTACTTTGGAAGACACTAATGAACCAATTCACTAATTCACTTCTCCTTCCTTTCTTTCTTTATTTCTTCCTCTCCTTCCTTCCTTCCTTCCTTCCTTCCTTCCTTCCTTCCTTCCTTTCTTCCTTTCTTCCTTTCTTCCTTTCTTCCTTTCTTCCTTTCTTCCTTTCTTCTTTCTTTCTTTCTTTCTTTCTTTCTTTCTTTCTTTCTTTCTTTCTTTCTTTCTTTCTTTCTTTCTTTCTTTCTTTCTTCTTTCTCCCTTTCTTTCTTTCTCCCTCTGTTACCCAGGCTGGAGTGCAGTGGCGCGATCTCGGCTCACTGTAACTTCGGCCTCCCAGGTTCAAGCTATTCTTCTGCCTCAGCCTCCCGAGTAGCTGAGATTACAGGCGCCTGCCACCACACCCAGCTAATTTTGGTATTTTTGGTAGAAATGGAGTTTCACGATGTTGGCCAGGCTGGTCTCAAACTCCTGACCTCAGGTAATAAACCCAACTCAGCCTCCCAAAGTGCTGGGATTATAGGCGTGAGCCACTGTGCCCAGCCTCAATTCCTTTTTTAAAGCTAATAAATAAGGGAAGGGATGAAGGAATTATCCTTCTTTATTTTCACCTAAGAAAGATATATTTGTTAAATTGCACCCTTGAAATTTTGGTTAAAACTCTACAGCTCTAAAAAAAAAAAAAAAAAAAAGATGAGAATTAATGACTTAAGCATGCCACTAAAGTTAGAAAAACAAAAATTACTGGTTCTAAATCCTTGCGGAATCACCACACTGTCTTCCACAATGGTTGAACTAATTTACATTCCCACCAATAGTGTAAAAGTGTTCCTATTTCTCCACATCCTCTCCTGCATCTGTTGTTTCCTGCCTTTTTAATGATTGCCATTCTAACTGGCATGAGGTGGCATCTCATTGTGGTTTTGATTTGCATTTCTCTAATGACCAGTGCTGATGAGCTTTTTTTCATATGTTTGTTGGCTTCATGAATGTCTTCTTTTGAGAAGTGTTTGTTCATATCCTTCGCCTACTTTTTGATAGGGTGTTTGTTTTTTTCTTTAAATTTGTTTAAGTTCTTTGTAGATTCTGGATATTAGCCCTTTGTCAGATAGATATATTGCAAAATTTTCTCCCATTCTGTAGGTTGCCTGTTCACTCTGATGATAGTTTCTTATGCTGTGAAGAAGCCCTTTAGTTTAATTAGATCCCATTTGTCAAGTTTGGCTTTTGTTGCCATTGCCTTTTGTGTTTTAGTCCATTACTGGGTATATACCCAAAGGATTATAAATCATTCTACTATAAGTACACATGCACACGTAGGTTTATTGCAGCACTGTTCACAATAGCAAGGGCATTTGGAACCAACCCAAATGCCCATCAATGATAGACTGGATAAAGAAAATGTGGTACATATACACCATGGAATACTATGCATCCATAAAAAAGAATGAGTTTAGATCCTTTGCGGGGACATGGATGAAGCTGGAAACCATCATTCTCAGCAAGCTGATACAGGAACAGAAAACCAAACACCACACGTTCTCACTCCTAAGTGGGAGTTGAACAATGAGAACACATGGACACAGGGAGGGAAACATCACACACCGAGGCCTGTCAGGGGGTGGGGGCTAGGGGAGGGGTAGCATTAGGAGAAATACAGATGACAGATTGATGGGTGCAACAAACCACCATGGCGCATGCATACCTATGTAACAAGCCTGCACGTTCTGCACATGTATCCCAGAACTTAAAGTATAATATACAAAAAAAAGAAAAAGAAAAAGAAAAATTAAATGCATGGAGAGTTGAAGGAGATAATAAATCTAAAACCCAAAACCTCCAAAAAATTTAAAAAAAAATAAAAAAAAAGATACATTAGAGATGATCTACACTGCAGGGACAAAACTTTTCAGTAATAAAAATAAAATGAAAGGACTAATAATAATGGCCAGAAAAGACACACAGGCAGTAAATATTTTATTTCGATGATGTTATACATATATATAAAATCAGGCCAGTAGAAAAATAGTGAAAATAAATATTATGGCATAAAAAAGGAAAAAAGTAGTGAAGCAATGCTTTTGAATTACATTGATAAATTTTATTGAAAAAAGAAAAAAACTTGTACTTATGGATTTTGCTGCAGTAATGAAAAACATTACAGTTAATAACAAGGAGCAATTAAAATTTAAAAGATGACATTTAAAAAGGAGAATAAATTTTTACTTTAGAGGTATTATCAAATTCCATGTAACATTTCAGGTTTAAATGAAAATTTTTCACTTCACAAAAGTAATCTTACACCTAGCACTTCACACTTTACTTCACTGTTTAAAACTTTAAACAAAATAAGAACTCCAAGTGTAACCTAGAATGACAGAAATGAAATAACTTGAGCTCTATGTCTTATCATTATTTATCTTGAACCTGCTGTATAACAGGAATATGTAAACCATTGCAATTGGGAGCACAAACTGTCTGAAATAAGATGTAATAATTCTAAACTCTTATGAATCTACTCTCCAAATGGAGTCATTTAACTAAATCTACATGTGTCACAGGTAGACTGTACAGAGTTACTCCATTACCTTCCAGGCCAAATACAATGTTGAATAATGCAAATAGTAAGCACATAGTAATTTGAAATTTTCTGTGTTTTTGAAATTCAACAGTAACCACAGCAATCATTTAGATGGTAGGACAACAAAGCAATTTTTAATAGAGGAGTATTTTATCACTGATTTTGTTTAGGATTGCCAGTCCATGATGATAATAAAAAGCACACCAACTTTTAGTCAGTTTTATCGTAGTGTTTTATCCTCTACACACCATGCTTTCTCTTGTATCCAGGCGAGACCACTCCCACCACCCCATTTACTGTATGCTGCTGCCGTAAATAATAATACTTTACGAACTAGTAAAATGGAAAAATAAATTTCACAAAGTGAAGGCACAAATAAATAATATTGGGAATAAAAAAGATAGATACAACTATATATATCTCATAGCAGTTAAAAAGATAGCAATACTCTGAACTGCATGACAATAAATTTGAAAATTTAAATGAAATGAAAAATACCCCAGTAAAATACAGCTTCTGAAAACTAAGAAAGAAAAAGAATGCTTTAATAGGAAGTTAAATTAAATGCTAATTTTTTCACACTAATCATTCAGGGTTAATGACAATTTATGCCAAATCTTCAAAGTACTAGTCACTCCAGTCTTCAGCTAACTTTTTCAGAAGTTTCAAAAGGAGGAGAAACCTCCCAGGTCACTCCCTGGGATCGGTATAACTTTGAAACCAAAATCATCAGTATAAGAAAAAGAAAAGGATTGTATTATTTGTGAATATAAATGCAAAATACTAACAAACTGAATATAGAGGTGTATAAGAAAATGTATCATGAACAAGTAGAATTTATCCCAATATAAGAATTATTTGGCCATAAGGAAAATATCCCTACTATCATATGCAAAAATGTTTTAATAAAATTCAACATGCATTTACGATTTTTAAAAATACACTTAGCAAACTAAAAATAAGAGATAACTTCCTTAAAAGGTACTACTATGGTTTGAATATTTATCCCCTCCAAAACTCATGTTGAAATTTAATCCCCAATGTGACAGTATTGAGAGGTGGGGCCTTTAACGGATGACTGGCTCTTCTTTTTAATTCTTAATTTTTGTGGGTACATAGCCAGTGTACATATTAGATCATGAGGGCAAAGCCCTCACGAATGGATTAATCCATTTATTGATTATTAATGGGTTAATCAATTAATAGGTTGTCATGGGAGTGCCACTCGTGACTTTATAAGAAGAGCAGATACCTGAGCTAGCACACACAGCCCCTTCACCATGTGATGCCCTGTACTACCTCAGGACTTTACAGAGTCCCATCAGCAAGAAGCCCTTCACCAGAGGTGGACCCTTGATGTTGGACTTCTTGGTCCCTGTAACTGTAAAACATACATTACTTTATAAAATAAATTACTCAGTTTCTGGTATTCTGTTGTAAGCAAGAGAGAACAGAATAAAACAGCTCCCTATAAAAAGCCTATAGAAAATGTCATTTTTTAATATGGAAACTTTGAAAACATACCTTTAAAAATTAGATACAAGTCAAAAGTGCATGCTATAAGCACACTAATAGATCTTAATAGTAAAGTAATCATTTAAGAAATGAAGCTAAGTACCTGAGAATGGGGGAGGTAGAAACAAAACTGTCATTATTGGCAGATGGTATGATTGTCTACATTGAAACCCCCTAAAAAATAACTATGAACAGATTATTAAAAAATAAGTTTAGCAAAGTGAAAAGACACAAGGTAAATATTCCAAAATCAATTCAAATGTTTTGCATCAGTAACAAAATAATGATAATTAGCTATCATTTACAATAACAAAAATTATATATTAATGAGGACAAAATGACAAAACATATTTAAATCCTTTGTGGAGAAAATTATAAAATTTATTGAAAGATCTTAATGAAGACCTAATAAATGGAGAGATATGTTTATGGATAGAAAAACTTAATATCATAAAGATACAGATTTTCCATATATATATATTCAATGTGACTCATATAAAAATCCCAACAATATTATTTAAAGAAGCTTCACAAGATGATTTAAAATTTGTTGGAAGAGCAAAGCATCAAGTATAGCCAAAATATTCCTAAACAGGATTAATGTGGAAAATTAACACACCAAGATTTCAAGAATTATCATAAATTTCAAGCATTTAGGATAGTTTGATGTTTAAATAATGATAAAAAAAAGAGATCAATGGGGCTAAATAGCCAATGTATAGATACATGCTTACACATGGAACTTTAATAGATGATAAATGTGTTATTATAGACCATTGTGAATACAGGATAATGCCCTAAAAGGTGCTCAATTAGTTATTTATGTGGGAGAAAAAAATTGAATCCAACCTCACACTACACACACACAAAAACAATTCCAAGTGGAACAAGAATTTCAATATGAAAAGTGTAACTTTAACATTTTTAGATTTAAAATATAGGGAAACAGCTTTATAACTTCAGAATAGGGATAAAAATGAAAACTAGAAAATCCCTAACCATGAAGAATAATACTGATATTTATGACTACATTGAAAGTTTCAACTTCACATCCCTCGTAAGTTGGATTCCTAGGTATTTTGTACTCTTTGAAGCAATTGTGAATGAGAGTTCAAGGAGAATTACAAACCACTGCTCAAGTAAAAGAGGATACAAACAAATGGAAGAACATTCCATGCTCATGGGTAGGAAGAATCAATATCGTGAAAATGGCCATACTGCCCAAGGTAATTTACAGATTCAATGCCATCGCCATCAAGCTACCAATGATTTTCGTCACAGAATTGGAAAAAACTACTTTAAAGTTCATATGGAACCAAAAAAGAGCCCGCATAGCCAAGTCAATCCTAAGTCAAAAGAACAAAGCTGGAGGCATCATGCTACCTGACTTCAAACTATACTACAAGGCTACAGTAACGAAAACAGCATGGTACTGGTACCAAAACAGAGATATAGACCAATGGAACAGAACAGAGGCCTCAGAAATAATGCCACATATCTACAACTATCTGATCTTTGACAAACCTTACAAAAACAAGAAATGCGGAAAGGATTCCCTATGTAATAAATTTTGCTGGGAAAACTGGCTAGCCATATGCAGAAAGCTGAAACTGGATCCCTTCCTTACACCTTATACAAAAATTAATTCAAGATGGATTAAAGACTTAAATCTTAGACCTAAAACCATAAAAACCCTAGAAGAAAACCTAGGCAATACCATTCAGGACATAGGCATGGGCAAGGACTTCATGTCCAAAACACCAAAAGCAATGGCAACAAAAACCAAAATTGACAAATGGGGTCTAATTAAACTAAAGAGCTTCTGCACAGCAAAAGAGACTACCATCAGAGTGAACAGGCAACCTACAGAATGGGAGAAAATTTTTGCGATCTACTCATCTGACAAAGGGCTAATATCCAGAATCTACAATGAACTCAAACAAATTTACAAGAAATAAACAAACAACCCCATCAAAAAGTGGGCAAAGGATATTAACAGACACTTCTCAAAAGAAGACACTTATGCAGCCAAAAAGCACATGAAAAAATGCTCATCATCACTGGCCATCAGAGAAATGCAAATCAAAACCACAATGAGATACCATCTCACACCAGTTAGAATGGCGATCATTAAAAAGTCAGGAAACAACAGGTGCTGGAGAGGATGTGGAGAAATAGGAACACTTTTACACTGTTGGTGGGACTGTAAACTAGTTCAACCATTGTGGAAGTCAGTGTGGCGATTCCTCAGGGATCTAGAACTAGAAATACCATTTGGCCCAGTCATCCCATTACTGGGTATATACCCAAAGGATTATAAATCATGCTGCTATAAAGACACATGCACACACATGTTTATTGCAGCACTATTCACAATAGCAAAGACTTGGAACCAACCCAAATGTCCAACAATGATAGACTGGATTAAGAAAATGTGGCACATATACACCATGGAATACTATGCAGCCGTAAAAAATGATGAGTTCCTGTCCTTTGTAGGGACATGGATGAAGCTGGAAACCATCATTCTCAGCAAACTATCGCAAGGACAAAAAACCAAATATCACATATTCTCACTCATAGGTGGGAATTGAACAAGGAGAACACATGGACACAGGAAGGGGAACATCACACACCGGGGACAGTTGTTGGGGGAGGGGGAGTGATCACATTAGGAGATATACCTAATGCTAAATGACGAGTTAATGGGTGCAGCATGCCAACATGGCACATGTATACATATGTAACAAGACTGCACGTTGTGCACATGTACCCTAAAACTTAAAGTATAATAAAAAAAAAGAAAGTTTAAACTTACGTTCATCAAAAGCCATTCTTAAAGGAGTTGTAAGATTAGCCACGAAATGAGAGACTATAATTTCAACACATGTAATTGACAAAAAGTAGTATCTAAAATGCATACCAGATTTTCGATTCCTCTAAAACAAAAACAAAAGTAGGAAAGATATATGAACAGGAATTTCAGAGGATTTGAAATATGTATGGCAATAACCCATGGAAAACGAAATGCTATGTCATTATTAATCAGTGCCATGTCAATTAAGTCAAAAATGAGATACTCTTCATACCTACTTTCTTAAAAAAAACAGCAATTCTGGTAGTCCCAAAAATTGAAGATGTTGTTAATAAGTGGTGATGCTTACATGCTGTTAGGATGGCAAACTACTTTGGATACAATTTTGTATTATTTTGTAAAATTGAACATGTGCACACGATATTGCACAGCAATTCTACTGCTGAAGAGAATCTCTAGAAACACTTTGGGACACGTATACCAAGAAACAACCATAAGAATATCTACAGTCTCACTTGGGAAACAGTAAAACACTGGAAACTACCCAAATGTTTAATGATAGGAGAGTTAATAAATAAATGGCTAAATTAAATTGTTTATGGCAGGGAAAATAAATTGAACAACCACATGGATGAAACTTTAAAACAGTTTGAATAAACACATTCAATTCCAGGTAACTATTATATATTGTATCATTTTGATAAAGCTTTAAAAAGTAAACTCTAATAACGTTTTTGGATATTATACATATAATAAAACTGATTTTTATAAAGCAAAGGAACAGTGCTTGCGTATGAGAAAGTAGGCAGTGAGATAGGATGGACTGGGAGTGAGGCCATATTCATGATGTTCTAGATGTTACATTGATGTTCTAGTGTAACACTCAATGTAACATCTAGAAGATCATCTTGTTTTATTTTGTTTTATCATCTTCATGTTATCATCATGCTTTATAATCTTCATATATGTAATTCAGTATTACATTGTTCAAATGGTGAAATACAATTAAGATTGTAATATATATATAAGAATAAGAAGAAGAAAGAAACGAGGATGGAGGGATAATAACATAAATACTCATCATAACTCTGAACACTTATTGTTTCATTGGGAAGGAGGAGAGGCAATGAGTACAACTCAGTAATTCCTTCTTGGTCGTAAATTAAACATATGGGAAGGTAGGTTTCAGAGCATTATGATGTCTATTCTTGTTTAGTATATCACATGGGTTTGCCCTGACTGAAAAATTTTAATAGAAATAGTAGGGGAAAGTTGTTTGTAGAGAAAATAATGTTTAAAAAAATAATATTAGGAATACAATTTTGGAATAAGAGAAAAGTAAAATATAAATTTTACTAAGGCTCTAGATATAGCCATAATTTACAAGAAATACAGAAGACAGCACTTGTTGACACAATGAGGAAAATAAATGAGGCTCTCCAACAAATAAAATGCATTGTGAAAAAAGGAGCGGAGTAACTCATAGTTTAAAACAACATTGAATCACAATTTATGGACAAACGCTAATATATGGACCTTATTTGGATCTTCATTCAAAGTGTTGCAAAAACTTATCAGAAAAGAGGAGGAATTTGAATGCTGGATTTTATCAATGATTATTTGATGTATTGTTTGATATATTAGATTGTTACTTTTGATGTATTATATCATTACTATTTAATTATTTAACCTGTGATAATGGTACTGTGATTTTTTTTCTTTTTTGAGACGGAGTCTCGTTCTGTTTCCCAGGCTGGAGTGCAGTGGCGTGATCTCTGGCTCACTGCAACCACCACCTCCTGGGTTCAAGCAATTCTCCTGTCTTAACCTCCCAAGTAGCTGGGATTATGGGCACACACCACAACGCTTGGCTAATTTTTGTATTTTTAGTAGAGACAGGGTTTCACTGTGTTGGCCAGGCTGGTCGTAAACTCATGACCTCAAGTGATCTGCTCGCCTTGGCCTTCCAAGTGTTGGGATTACAGGTGTGAGCCACCGTGCCCAGCCGGTTCTGTGATTTTTATGAGACCATAGTTTTTGGACATAAATGCCAATATATTTATGGATGAAATTATAAAATGTTGAGTATTTGCTTAAAAACAATTTTGAGGCCGGGCGTGGTGGCTCACGCTTGTAATCCCAGCACTTTGGGAAGCTGTGGCAGGCTGATCACCAGGTCAGGAGTTCGAGACCAGCCTGACTAACACAGTGAAACCCCGTCTCTACTAAAAATACAATAATTAGCTGGGCGTGGTGGTGCATGCCTGTAATCCCAGCTACTCAGGAGGCTGAGGCAGGAGAATCGCTTGAACCTGGAAAGTGGAGTTTGCAGCGAGCTGAAATCAATGCACTCCAGCCTGGGTGCCTGGGTGACAAAGCTAGACTCCGTCTCAAAAAATAAAAATAAACATAAAAAACTGAGAAGTAGATAGGAACATAAATGCCACAAATTGGCCCTGAATTTATATTCATGGAAGTTGGGGATGAGTGCATGGAGATTCTTTATACTGTTCTCTCAACATGTGGATATGTTGGAATTTTTCATCGTAACATGCTAAAATGAAAAGTAAAATATATATTTGCGTGTATACTACCTATCCCATTCGTTTCTCATAATAACATTGAAGAAAGCAGAGTGCTGTTTACTCTCTGTTTGTTTGTTTGTTTTCACAAGAAGAACCTGTAGAATCTAAGAGACTCATAAGTCAGATTTAAACTAAGGCAGAGATGGGATCACAATTCAGAGGCTACAGATTTTATCCAATATCTGTATACTACCTCTGAATCCATAGAATTTTATGTTGCTGCTAGGTGAAGTTCCACATCATCATTATTTATAAATGAGATAAGCACTCACAAAATGCAATGCATTCTTAGACGTATAAATGGGAGTGTGTCATAACCTTGTAAACAAGTCCTAAAAATGAGCCCGCCTCTTGAGGTGTTTTCTTTTATCATCACACTCTCCACAAGCAAAACACGTGCCAAAAATTAAATGAACTTCAGTGTTGTTTGGTTAATAATTTATCTGAAAAAAATAAATAAAGTTATTATTTCTAAAAGGAGTGTGCTATTTAAATTAATGTAGCAATTTTGGCACCATCTTCTGGTGCCAAGTTAAACCTTGGATTCTGTGTGATTTCATCCACAGTCTCAAAAAGGCTCATGTCCTAGGGCAGAAGAAAGGAAAAGGAGACTAGGGTAAGACACAACATTTGATGGGGATGGTGGAGTGGGGAGATGGAAATTAAGTACTCTGTTTTAAATGGCTCAATGTGGCTTCTTTTGCAAAATATAAAGATAGCTTGGTATGAAAACTTATTTCTCTTTATCTCTATTTGGCAGAAATAAATACGCCTATGTTTACAAAAGTATGTCTATGCGGGACTGAAATTTTTATGTTACCAAAAGTACTAAAAGCCACATAGCTACAGAAATGTTACAGAAATGTAACAGAAAGCCAGATGCAAAACAACAATAACTTAAAAACAAAAACAAAATAAAACTGTTAACAGAACATTTGAGACTTTTGTTATTTTCTCTTATACATTAGTTACTTCCTGAAAGCTTGGTTTCATGTTAGTTTATCTTGGTCTTTCAATATAGTTTGGAAATATATCCTATTTTGTGGTTAAAACTAATAACTCTACTTTTCATCAACCCAAGCCTGGTTCTGTAAAGCATTTTTAAATTTCAAAGTTAATTGAGCTTCAGAACAAAGTCGTGCATAGAATTCTAATTTGCAGTGGAGAATCTGCATCATGCCTGATGATGTCTCCCTGGAGACAAAGCATCAGGTAGTTTTGTCAATCAAATCAAAGTCATCATGTTCCCTTCTAATTTATTACAGTTATTTATATGTTTACTTATGTCTTCAAGGGAGATTTGATTATGAATTATTTACTGTTGTTATTCACTTGTAATGCACCAATCACCACATCGAGACCAATTTAGGAATGATGTCTGCAAATTTCCAGATAAAGAGTACTAGGCAATTTATGTGATAAACTAATGATACTGTGAAAAAAAAAAAAGGAAATTGTTCTACATGAAATTCTGGTTATTATTTTTCTGAAATTATTAAGTTACTCTTTTAACAAGACATTCTTATGGAAAACAAAAAAGGGGGACACATAAAAGAGAGGTAATGTGAATTGGAGGGTCATAAGATCATGACAAGTACAGAAAATAAATGTGGTTAAGGAAGTGGATGAATTGGAAGTATGAGAGGGAAATATTGGAATTAAGAATTTTAAGGCTTTTACTATTCCAGGTGACACCAAATCCAATGTATTGAAGAGGCTGACTGGAGTCTATAGTGCTGAGAGTTAGTAAGTTGTTCGCTAGAGTTCAAAAGTGTTATATGCATGGACAAGAAGTTCAGATCATTGTGGAGGATAAAAAGGGTGAATCAGTTGCCAGAATCCTTTCTCATGAACCTGTGCATTTACAAAGGCTGTTTCTTCTGCCTAGAATATCTTTACAACCACCTATTTTCCTGTCACACTCCTATGCCTTTTTCAAGCACCAGCTCAGATCTCAACCAGTCTATGAATCATTGCCTATGAATCATGTCACATTAATTCTTCCAAGCTCTCTGATCTTATAGCATTTTGTTCTCACCTTGGTTATAGCATTTAACAGATTAAGTTGTATCTATATTTTTACAAATGCATTTCTCCATTACACTATGAACTTCTCAATGGTAGCCAGCAGGTCACATTCTCTGCTGTCACCTTCATAGCATCCATAGTGCCTGCCATATAGCCAGTTCACTATATTATGTTTGTTGAGTTAAATAATGGATACATACATAACAGCCACCAAGGGAACATACAGGCAGGCACAATTAATTCTCACGTAAGAGGGTTGGGAGAGTGCCACATAAAAAGAATCAGTCAAACCAGACCTTTAAAAGATATAGATTTTCACTAATCACAGAGTTAGAAAGGCAATCCAAGCTGAGCAAACCACAGAAGTAAAATCAAGGCTTGCGAAAAGGTCAAATACATTCAAAACTGGAATGAATTCATCATTTATTAGTGCATTCAGTCGACAGATATTCGTTGATTATCGCTCTATCCCAAGCATTGTACTAAGTAAAGAGAATAAAAATAAAATCATAATACATTATTGTTGCCCTCAAGAAAACATAGTCTTAACAAGGGAAAACAAATATGAAAAGAAAAAATTATGATACAGCATGGGAGTGTTGTGGAAACATGAATTAAGTAATGGGGTAGCACAAAGAACAAGCAAGAAAATTAGCCAAGCTTGGGGACTTGTATGAGGTCACTAAAAATATGACATTTCATTGAGTATTTAAAAGTGAGGAAAGGAGAAATAGACCTTAAAAAATAAAGAACAGGGACGGGCGCTGTGGCTCACGCCTGTAATCCCAGCACTTTGGGAGGCCGAGGCGGGTGGATCACGAAGTCAGGAAATTGAGATCATCCTGGCTAACACGGTGTTTCACCGTCTCTACTAAAAATACAAAACATTAGCCGGGCGTGGTGGCGGGTGCCTGTAGTCCCATCTACTCGGGAGGCTGAGGCAGGAGAATGGCGTGAACCGGCGAGGCGGAGCTTGCAGTGAGCTGAGATGGCGCCACTGCACTCCAGCCTGGGCGACAGAGCGAGACTCCGTCTCAAAAAACAAAACAAAACAAAACAAAACAAACGAATAGTATGTGCAAATTTTTTGTAATATTTTATTTATAGGTATTACAAATACACATTATGGGGTCCATGTGATATTTGATACAAGAATACAATGTGTGCTGATCAAATCACAGTATTTGGAATACCTCTGGTGCCTTTTCATTCTAGTGCATTTCCCACAGAACTGCCAGTGTTATCTCCCCATAAAATAAAATTTGATTATATCCCTTGTTAGTTTAAAGGCTTTTATTGGCCTGCTATTGTTTAGAAAATAACATTTGTAGTTCCTTACTTTGGAACAATTTTTTTAAAGAATCACATTATAGAGGTCATTTTTTTCAGAATTAAGAACTGTAAATGTTATTTTGTAGACAATAGCAGGCCAATAAAATGTTTTAAACTAACAATCAATTTAATCAAATTTTATTATGGGGAGATAACACTGTCAATTCTGTGGAAAATGCACTAGAATGGAAAGGTACTGGAGGTAGAAAGAAGTTGAGGTTTGCAACAGTTCAAATGGTAAAGAGAAAGTAGAAATAGATACAAGAAACATATCCTGAGATATGACCTGACAAATAAAGGATTGATCCAGAAAAATAATGTTGAAAGTTTTTTATTTATGTAGTAAGTAATCAAAGATACTGAAAAGAGAAAAAAAATGACAAGTTAACAGACATTTTAGGTAGATGTTTCTTGTGGCAATGCAAATACTAGATTAGAAACACAAGAGACCAGAGGCCTAGGGATCTGTTAGAAACGTATTACAAAAGCCTAGGGAAGAGATGTTAAGGACTCACTAGAATTGTGGAAGAGAAAATAGAAATAAATCAAAGGAAGAGTGATAGAGCTGATATATGAAAAGTACGAGAGATAAAAAGTATATGAAAAGTATGAGAGATGGCTCATTCATTTACTTATTTATTCATTCGACAGATAGCTTTTCAAGTATCATGTACCAAGCAAATTGCTTGGTACTGATAATTCAGGGGTGAACAAAATAAACATCCCTGCCCAGAGCATATGGCTTAGTGTAAAGAGAGATAATTTAAGCAAGTAATTATAAGAAGAGATGCTGAATGCTGTATTATGAAAGTAAAGGATTCTATGGAAATACATATCCATAGCACTCAGTGTGGTCTAGAGGGCTAGGAGATGATGATGTTTAGGTCGAAATCAAAAGAATGAGTAGGATTAGCCAAGCCAAATCATCCAGGGGAAGGTAATTTTGGAAAAGAGGAACAGCATATGGGTGGGGGATTACTGTAGTGAATGACTGAGTTTAAGGCTGCGCAAAGGTAAGAAAATGGAGAACGCAAATAAAAGCAACCCATTCAAGAAGTCTGGCTGTTGAAAGAGATGGATTTTATATGAAATAAAAACAGGATTGTAATTCCCACTTTTTAAATTGTGTTACAATTTACATACAAGAAAATACATAGGTTTTAAGTGTACAGTTCAAATAGTTTTTAAAACAAGACAATCAAGTAACCGCCAGCTCATCCAAGGTATAAAACATTTTCATGATCCTAAAAAGCTCCCTTATGCTTCTTTCAGGTCAGTCCCCAAAGGAAATTGATCCCCTAATTTCCATCATTATAACTTCGGCTTGCTAACTCTAGAATTTTATATGAACGGAAGCATACAGCACATTTTCTTTTCTGTCTGGCTTCTTTCATTTAATATAATATTCTTGGTGGTGTGTAGCGGTAGTCTGCTGCTTCGTATTGTTGAGTAGGGTTCCACTGTATGAATATGCCATATATTGTTAGTCATCCACTGGTGACTATTGGTCTATCATTTGTAAACAAGTCTTTGTTTGACCCTATCTTTTTATTTTTCTAGGACTGACTAATGGATTATAGCCTAAGTATATATTTGAGAAATAATCTATATAACAAATTCCTGTGACATGAATTTACTTATATAACAAATCTTCACGAATTTACTTATATAACAAACCTTCACATGTACCCATGAACCTAAAAGTTTAAAAAAAAGAAAGGAAATGTCACGGTTTCTCAATGTGACTGTATCATTTATCTTTTCCACCAGCAGTTCACATGAGTTCCAGTGGCTCCACATCCTTTCTAGCAGTTGATATTTTCCACCTTTTTTAACTTTAGTAATTCTAGAGTGAGTTTTAATTTGAGTTTTCAGTTTGCAATTTCCTGATGACTAATAAAATTACGCATTATTTCATAGACTTGTTAGTTGATTGTGAAGTGTTTATTAAGAGTTTTTGAGTTTTAAAAGAGAGGTGATAATATTTATTTAATTTTCAGAGACAGAGTTTTGCTTTGTTGCCGAGGCTGGTCTCGAACTTTTGGGCTCAAGTGATCCTCCCACCTCCTACTCCTGAGTAGCTGGAATTACAGGCGTGGACTGCCATGTATAGCCAAGGAGAAAATATTTTGATGCACAAAGCCAAGAATCGGGTGGGAGGGAGAAGTTGAAAATACAAAAGAAAAATAAAATTAAGAAAACAAGTTCCTGTTGAGAAGCAGATAGTGTATTCAAAGTTTACAACTTCTCTTACAAATATTGGATCACTGATATATTTACTTTTCCAGTCTTGTTGAATGGGACTTAGAAACATTCTGACTTTACTACGGGTAGAATTGATTTGAGAATGTCAAGAAAATCTTGGATGATAACTTATAATTAACCAAAATCACTTGTTCAGCTACAGATTGACCTCTTCTGATTTTGAAATTACATGAGATCTTGTATCTGATCCCAAAAGATACTGTTCTGTATTTAGCAGGAGCCATTGTGATGACGTGAATTCTGAGTAATACGTATGTGAAAACAGTACAAATGAGATTAGCCATATTATGTAAATAAAATCAAATAAAGTAACTCTTCAAAGAAGTTTGTTTTTAAAAAGTTTAAGATAGATATATATAGAAAGTTTAAAATATATATATATACTTGATGTTTAGTAAGACTATATTTAAGAAGACATTTATCAAAAGCTGGCAAAAGAATTAGCTGTACTGTGAAGATAAGAGAATAAAAATGTTGATTGTTGAGTTTAACAATAATCTAACACCCGCATTTTGCCATTTCAAAATTAGCTGGTTTATAATGAATGTTTAAAATGAGGCATCTTCTTTATGTAGAGACTTATCAAATAAGACTTTGAATTTTTAATTTCTATGGATGGATGGGGTTTTAATAACAATATACTTTTTACGTAAAATCATCAATAAGTGGTAGTAGGTAAAACAGTAGAGAAGGATTTTTTTCGGTTAGAGTTTACCTTCCTTGACATGTTGATTTGCCTCAACCACTTGCCCACAACCACATCATAGAATCAATGCTCAAGTGTTAGTTGTGGTGTCATTTTCAACTCTATGCAGTGGACCACAGAAAAGTAAAGTTTCTTAAGTACAAAGTTCAGCTGCTTTCTCATTCCCTCCTTCTGTTGCAAAGATTATTCCCAAAATCAAATGAATAAAGAAGAGAATTATAGTCTGTATTTTAGGATTGTTAAAGGTTTTTCTGTTTCTGACAGTTTGGCTTTCTTTTGTCATTTTCTCACTTAAATGTTGTAAACTCAGAAAGTGCTAAGCTAAGATTCTTTATGTAGTGTTACACATGCCGTAAGACAATATTATTTTACCATGTCAAAGTTGTTTGCACCATTTGGAGCACATCTATCATCAAAACTCAATTAAATGGAGTCTTTCTATCTTCAACTAAAACAAACTGTTTACTTAGATTTGCTCAGTGTTTACTTCGCAAGAGGTAGAAGACCCAAATAGCACAGTAACATAGGTGTCTGGGGATATACCAGGGGTCAAAAAATTTAACCCAAAGAAGGAAGCCTTCTTTTCTGGTTGCAACAAGAGACTTTCTTTTTCTTTTGCCAAGTAAATGGCAGCATTATAATGTTATTCATACCTCACTGGTGTCCTAACAATTCCTCTATTCAAACTGAAAAGGGATATATTCTCTTTGTTGCAAAGTATTAAATTTGTCCCTTGAGATTAGTGTGTAGGCAGTTTTAAAGGATGAAACAGGATTAGATAAGGTTTCTTTACTGAGAAAGAGTTCTGAAACAGTACAGCAGAAAACCCTCTTATATTACCTGTATTGAAAAAAATCCTTTGTTTTAACACTTCAAATCACAAGTCAAATTTATTATATCGTTACTTGACAAAATGTTTCTTTGTGGGGTTTTGTGAAAGGTAGACAAGTTACAAATAGAAAAGGAAATGACACTTGCCTTAACTGTATTTGAAATTTCTTATATTTGAAATCCCTCTATGGCATTTATAATTTAAATATGTTTTAAGAGATGATATTTAAAACTTTATAGTAATTATAGTTATCTGCTTAAAGATTCAGAATGTTTCTGCCTCTCTTGATGCTATTTAGAAAGGATGAAAATTGTATTGTATATGTACTGAACAGAGCCAACATTTGTAAGTTTAAAAGTGTCAAAATTTTGTCAAGGGCAGTTCTGGAAAACACATCAGTGGTTCATTTGTGTTCCACTTACCTGTTTATAGTTAATAATGTTGTTCATCACAGGAAGAAATGAATGAATATCATCAAGTTTTCAAGTGAAATGGCAATATTTGTTTTCTTCAGAAAGAAGAAAAATGACTTGTGATAATATACTGCTTCTCTAGTTATATAATCACAATGTTATAGGCCCTTTCTAATTACTAGTAAAGCTACTATGAGATTTCATGATTAAGTATTTGTGTTGGTCTTTTTTTTTAATTTTACGTGAAAGGGTAGAGACTGAGTAAGGCTTTCTAGACTGCAGTAGTTACTTCTCTTTAGATGTTCACATTATTCTACATTAGTGCTTTTGCTGAATGTTACTAACCACAGGGAAGATTTTTTTGTCAAAAGAGAAAGATTTGCAATGAGACCCCCCCAATTTTTTTTTGTGAACTCAATGTGAAAAATATATATTAATTTAAGATTGAACATAATGTTTTGCCATGTATGCAGATTTTAAAGCCTAAAAGAAAACAGAATTAGGTATATAAGATTTCTGCCAATAAAGCTTTAAAAAAAAGTCCCTTTGTGTCTTGATGGCACCTTGTTATATGAAAACCAGGGAACCTTCTCCATACACTTCTCTTTTTCACATTGCTGCTAGGTTATCAATCTTCTCATGGCATCACTCTGCTTATATCAACCCCTGCTCACAAACTATCTTGGTTTCCCACTGTCTCCAGAAGAAACTCCACACTCTGACTTGATATTCAAAGCCCTCCAAAGTCCTTCTCTAAGCCTCCCACCATCACTTTTCTGAGTTAATTATATACCAGGCTTATTAACACACCCAACCTAGATTCCCTCTAAACTGTATTCTTAGCCAGACTTATAAGTATCACTATGGCTTGGGGCTTTCATAGCATCACTCATACTGTTCTAGCTCCCTGTCTATCTTTTCAGTTTTTGCTTTGTCTATTTTGCCTTTCACCTGCTGTTACCTTAGGAGAGTAAATATTTGCTGGTCTGTTTCTGATAGATACCCCTGCGCTGGTCCACAATACAAAGACATCCTAATGTAATGCCCCTTGCCTGCATGGAAAGTTTTAAGTCATTTTTAGAAGGCTTTGTTATTTGGCAAAGCAATAAACTTACCATGTTTTCAGGTTTCGGCATGCTCAGTGACACTGGAATGTCTTTAATATTTCTCCTGATTTCCACTTATTCCTTCTAGTTCTAAATAAAAATAAAAGTGCCAATGTTTTACAAATATAACTGACATAAAAAAGTTTTAAGTGTGCATTAGTTATACAAAAACAAACATCTGGATGTTTGCAAACACTCAGATCTTGAACTAAATGTTTTTTACTATTTTCTTCCTGATGTTCAAGGTCATAAAAATAGATACCTGAGGTCTGATGGTATTATAAAACTAAAACTAAAACTAATTCTATCCATATCTTACATTTTTATGGATGTCTGAAGCATATCCATGCATCTAATTTAAATTACATTTTCTCCTTATGTCCCATTTTAAATATTCTCTATTTAAGTTGGATTTTACTTCTGTGAAAGGGGCTCTTTGCAAATAATTTGAGAAGTTTTGGGAAAAAACCACACAAGTAATGGGGGAAAATGAAGAAATATTGGATGGTATTAAAATGAGAAATGAAAGATTTGAAAAAATTAATACCGTTGTTGAAAAGTGATAGTTTTTTCCTACTTTCATGCTCACATCACAACATTCACTACAATGAGGAAAACCTAGGCATGGAGCTGGCAAGTGGGATTGTTTACTCATCATTACTTATGGTGATGCTGGTGTCGCTTACTTTGAATTTACTTAAGAACTTCAAAAACCATGGGAGCCATGCAAAGTAAGGTCCTAGCTTATTGGCACTTTCAAAAGTCACTTATATTTGATAGTTTCAACGCAGTTCTACATTTGAAGAGAAAACTATGCTGAAATTATATGACAAAAACTATCTTTTTTATCACCTCAGGGTGTTGGAAATCAAATATACAGTTTCTCCTACTTCAGTCATTGCCTAATGAACCATGACAAAGTAAGCTTAACGATGAGAAAACTTGTACCCATAAGTTTTCTCCAAGTTCATAGGGCCTGTTTTTGTGAATCAAGACTATAAACCAGGTAGGTTCACTTCTTTGTCTGTTCTTTGTCTCTCAGCAAACACTTGAAATCCTCTTTCACTAGACAGATTTGACTAATGGATGATTACATTTTGTATAACACATATTTTATGTAGTTCAACATGGTTTAATTATTTAAAGAGATTCTTGGTCAGATCAAAGATGATTCTCGCAGTCATGCTACATGAAATTTGTGCATAAAATCAGAGTTGACCCATCAAGTTGATTTAGAAGTTTAGCAGCAGATTTTTTATTATTATTATTTTTTTAGATGGACTGTCACTCTGTCACCCAGGCTGGAGTGCAGTGGCACTATTTCGGCTCACTGCAAGCTCCGCCTCCCAGATTCACGCCATTCTCCTGCCTCAGTCTCCTGAGTAGCTGGGACTACAGGTGCCCGCCACCACACCCGGCTAATTTTTTGTATTTTTAGTAGAGACGGGGTTTCACCATATTAGCCAGGATGGGCTCGATCTCCTGACTTCATGATCTGCCCGCCTCAGCCTCCCAAAGTGCTGGGATTACAGCAGCAGATTTTAAAGCAACAAATTGAGATTCTAATATCCAGAGAAGATGGCCAAATATGGCCACCAAAGTACCTTTCCATCATTCAGAGTCTTTTTAAAATGATCACTATTGATTTTTAATCATAACAGCATCATCATTTATTGTGTGTTTCCAATGTGCCCTGCATTGTGCTCCCTATACATACAAACTTATTTCATCGCCTCAGTGATACAATAGGTAGGCATTCTTATCCTCACTTTGTAAGTCAATAAACAAAGGCTCAGAAAACTCAAGTTATGAACACAAATTTACACTGAGAGTGTCAGAATTGAGAGTTGAAGCCAGGTGTTTCTGAGTTAAAACCCAAATTCTCTACTGCTGTAATCTCTGCTTAAAACTACTAATGCTAGTTTTAAAAATGAGCTGATATATATTGAAGATTTTCTATGTATTATCAGACATTAAATGCTACATGTAATATATCATACAGTCTTCATAATAACTATTTGAGGCTAGGTACTATTATCTTCATTTTCCATGGAGGTTAAGAACCTATAAAAGTTATGCAATGTCTTCAAGTTTACTTGGTTAGAAAGAGGCAAGAAGAAGGTTTTAGCCTAAAGAGACTGGCTTCATCCACTTCTCGATGTTGCCTCTCAAGATTTCCTTATTTCTATGAATACATTGCTGTTCTCTAAGTGTATTAGTCAGGAGAAGATCATCAATGTGTCATAACAAATGAATCCAGAATTTCAGTACCTTACAACAGCAGAGTGTAATTTTTCACTCATCCTTTGTCCATTGTAGCTGTGGCTATATTCCAAATGTGCATTACAGGAGGAGACTAATAGGTCAGCCTCTACCTAGACATGGTCTCATAGCAAAGGGGGCAAAAAAGACATAGTCACTCATATACTGACTTTCAAACTTCTGCCTGGAGGTTTCATGGCCATTCCTGAATCCAGCTGTGTGGATTGGCTGGTGGTTGGCTCCACAGTGACATAAATCAGACTATTTGGGAAATGGGTGTGCTGGTGTCTGGCACAGTGCTGCCAGGATGTGAATATCCATGCATAAGGTGACAGGATACAACTGGGATTTTTTGAGTTTGTGCCTCTTCAGAAAAACTCAGCTCTTTGATTACTAGGGTAAGATGCACAAGGCAGTAGTGCAGGATGGAAGAATTAAAATAAACAAATAAATCTGATGGGCTAGTATAATATTCTCTACTAGTATATGAGGCACACAGTTTGTAGTTTAATACTTTCATCTGCTTAGGAAAGGAGACTTATTTATAGGAATTTATTGATTGAGGAGAATAGATATTATTGTATCCTGCTAAGCAGTGTATTCAAAATACCTTAAGTGCTTTCAAAAACATACCTATGAGAATACGTCCCTACTGGCATTTCTTAGAATAGGAAAAAGGAATGAAAATAATCTACATACCCAGTGGTAGAATATGGGTTAAATGAATTACATGTCCATTAATGGAATTCTATATTGCAATGAAAATAATATTTAATGATATGGAAACTGTTCATTATATGGTAGAAAAATCTGTTTATAAAACAATATTATTTTATAATTTTATATAATATGAATATATATTCATATATTATATATATTATATATTTTTATTTTATTTATTTTATTTTAATATATTTATGTATATTATATATATTTTATATATTATATATGAATATATATATTCATATATTTTATACATTGAGATGGAGTCTCGCTCTGTCACCCAGGCTGGAGTGCAGTGGCACAATCTCAGCTCACTGCAACCTCCACCTCCTGGGTTCAAGAGATTATCCTGCCTCAGCCTCCCAAGCAGCTGGGACTACAGGCGTGTGCCACTATGCCCAGCTCATTTTTGTATTTTTACTAGAGACGGGGTTTCACCATGTTGGTTGGCCAGGATGGTTTCGATCTCTTGACCTTGTGATCCACCCGCTTCGGCCTCCCAAGATGCTGGGATTACGGGCATGAGCCACTGCGCCCAGCCCATAATATGAATATATTTTTTATATAAAAGGCATATATTAGAAAAATCACTAAAATATTAAATGTTATGCCTATGATAATTTGTGGAGTTTTGCTTTGTTTTATTTTATTTTATTTTGTGTAAGAATTTGGGAGAAAGGGGACCTAGTCAAGAGTTTCCAAATCTTCTACAATGAATAGTTAATACATTTTAAAATAAATAAATAAATATTAATTAAATAATAAACTAAAGGACATGAGGAATAATGTGTAAAGCCCACGAAACTTTAAAATAACTCTATGTTTAAATAATAAAGAAAACAGAGAATTAAATTCAGATAATTCTTGGTCATTTGTCAGATCAGTCACAAAATAATAATGATCTTTTCTTGAACATTTCCCAGTCAAAATTAGATTCACATTTTATTTCCTCTTTAGACTCATCTTCTGCACAAAGCCTTGCTTGAGCCTCTGACTCTCACCACTCAGAGTTCCACATTAGGTTGGAAACTATTCATTTCTCTCTCCCACTAAATTATCTGAAACTTGGTGTCCTACAGCTAATATTTCTAACTATGG
Organism: Homo sapiens; assembly: GCF_000001405.40. Taxonomy (NCBI): domain Eukaryota; kingdom Metazoa; phylum Chordata; class Mammalia; order Primates; family Hominidae; genus Homo; species Homo sapiens. Next base: position 29,350,519 of record NC_000014.9, read on the forward strand.
GCTTCTCCACACCCACCTGTTCTCCACATTACAAGCAGAGTTTCTTTCATGTAATAAAAACTGAAATGATATCCTTAGGTTTTTTCTTATCTTGGGTTACATTGATTCCTCTGAATAGCCAGAATATTACCAGTACTTCAGATTTATTTTTAACGCAGCAAAACTTAAATTTGCTGATTATGCGCCTTGGTTCTATAGTATAATTAATGTTTATTTACTGAATGTTAAGCCAGAGAACTTCATAACTCGTACATTGCTGGAAAACTATTCTAGAAAACTTTAATAATGTATATATTTTAAAAGGCTAACTTATTAGAAAACTAAAGTGTGGGACCTTTTTAAGATTGTGGTCTTACTTTATTTAACTGCAGTAATTTGATCTAGGTTTAGGCTAGAAGACATCTTTAGAAACTATTTTTAAAGAATGGATAAAAATTATTTGTAATTACCATATCACTGTTTATTTATGTAGATGCTGCCAAAGTATTTAGGAGTGCTTGGGAACAGTTACTTGTCTTAAAAATATTTATTTTATAGTTTTATTTACATTTACTAGCCTGGCAAAACCTTTCATCATAGATCTATGAGAGACACTGGTTTTCATGTAATTGAAAAAATATAAGCAAAGCTGTTATTTTGCATCACACAGACAAAAGAAAAAATACTCAGTTGCTTTTTAGAATCTAAACATTATAAACAGAAACCAATTTAAGATATGCTGCTTATATGTAGAGAACAAGTCTTTCTGTATTCCTTGGTAAAACAGTTGCAAGGAATGAAGATATATATGTATCTTGATATAGAGATGGAAGGATAGAGATATATCCTATAGATATATCTATATAGGATTTTATAAGTATAGTTATATACAGTTATAGATGTATAGTTGTAAATACATATAAACATATGTATAAGCATTCATGTAAATATATAGATATATAGTTTTTTTTTTCCTTATGGTTAAGCATTAGAGACATTACTTTAGAGAAGAGTAAAATACACATTGCATAGTACTCTGAAGACCACTTATCCTGGGTAAAAAATACAGGTAGACCAAATAGCTCTACTGGCATTTGCGGACAATGCCACAGAGGAATATCAGCCTCTAAAAGCCTTGACTAGGGTCAGAAAAGTTACTCGCTGTTAGAATGCAAAATTTACAAAATATCAAAAACTGGTTGCAGTATTACATGTTGACAACTTTATTTGTATATTGGAGATAAAAGCAGTGGGAGTTCTTCCTATAAGCAACACTATATTCTAAGCTCATTGAGCCCACGATGTCTGTCTCTCACATGGTGATGCTATCTATAAGAGGGTGCTGTCACATTACTTTGTAAAATTTACTGATATATACAAAACAAAGAAAGTGCTTTTAATAATCCTGAATGTCATGCTTCCACATTTCAACAGAGACCTTAAAGATGAAAGTAGGCCTCAATTCTGATTCAATGTACAAAATACTTTTTAAATTTCTGTTGCGAATAATTAAAGTAATACTTAAAGCATTCAGATTAACTCGGAGTTTTGTTTCAGCTTCTATTTTGGTTGCAAAAGTATGTCAGTTCTAAGTGTACCAAACTCATATGTGTTTGCTAACTTGGTTCAATGGATGATGCTGCCTAGAATGATCACTTTGAATTGAAATATGCTTAACCACACTTGAAGTTTTAAAACAGCCGTGTTTTTTGGGCAAGGTGAACACATGATAACAGTCATTGCATAGTTGTAAATTTCTTAAGTTAATAGTTGCATGTTACAAACAGTATCAAGTACAAGCCAAAGTTTTTATATTTTTTGCATTAAACATGAACTGGGTTACTGTATAATTTCAACATATGACATCCCATTTCAAAAATTATTTTCCATAGGCAGTTATTTATACTTTTAGGCATTTTAATTTCTTGAATTAAAGGACGCAATGTAGGTAAAGATATTCCTATATTTTCAAGTTCTCTTTTGATTGGTAAGGGACAGTGCAGGCCCATCTGTTTTGCAGCAAAGAAAGCCCCAAACCATCTGTGTAGGACCACATGCCAGCTAAAACACAGAGATATGCACAGTTTTTTTGTTATGAAAAATTTTGCAGTATTTTTTTCTGTATTAGTGTGAATAAATTAGCAACAACTAAATTAAAGAAATCTTTAGAGAACATATTAACTTTCTAGTGCCTACAGTAAATTATATTCATTTAGAAATTATTAAAGTTGCATTGTGCCCATATGAATTTTTCCTTACTGTTCTGAATTTGATACTGAAAATTCACCATCATCTACAAAGTAAATAGCTTCATTGTTGGTAATGTAAGTTCATTTTTATGAAGTTGTTTTTGATTGGGCAATACATTGGCTTTCAATAGCAAATAGTTGTGGTTTTTAAAATTCAGCTATAGCTAGTAGCACAGTAAGATGAACAATATTGTTATCATTAATATATATTAAAATCGTTGCACAATATTGGCAGACTATAGTGCATGAGAATGTTTTGTGACATATTTTGAAGAAATTTTTGTTTTCCCATTTTCCAATGAAGTAAGTAACTCTGTGAAACTATTTTTTAGATTCTACTAGAGTAATTGATAATATAAATTAATTGCTGGTTCTTCAGAAGTCAATAAGAATGTTGAATAATAGATGAAATATTAATTGTAATTTATAATTCTTCCATTCTGAATAATTAAATTAACATTTTAAAATACTTTTAGATGAAAAATGTTTCCTACAATATTTAATAATAGGCTTTTGCCTAAACCAAGTTGGCTATCCAAGCCGTTTTTCTCAAAATCAGAAAAACACATCTCTGAAAGCATCACAAATATCACATTTTCTGATTTTCTAGCAAGTCTTTATCTTCATCCTCCTTTAGTTTATAGGTGATTGATGTTTGATGAGTTAGAAAATAACAAATAACAGACATAGGCGAATGCATATCAGCTCTTTAAGGCTTAGCAAGTATTGACGAAAAATGTCACTCTTTGAGGGAGACCTTTTCTATTATGTTTTACATTGGTATTGAAAATGCTTATTATCTGTTTGAAAAACATTAAAAGCTTTAAATTCAAGCAGCTCATTTTTCATTTTGTTAATTGCATAACATACTAATGTTGCACTAGGTTGTTTTTTTCAGTGGTATAATGATGCAACAATATTTACATACCAACTCTGGTTTTCCTTTAATGGTTTCTATAACAAGATCATAATTTCCTTTAGCGTAATCACTGGCAGATTTATTTGGCGTCCCATCTTCGCTCCGCTCTGGCTTTGGGGGCCTGGGAGAGAGCGCATACTACTTTCCCTCCCTTTTACCCTTAAGTACAGTCTGCTCAAGTGCAGTTGCTGCAGGTCTGAGTTATACTCCCACCAAACATCCATGTTTAAAAGCTTTTAGGATACAGTATCAGTAGAAATTAAACAGTTTCTTTAAATCTTGCCCAAAAGCTTTCACAAATTGCTTTACCCACATAATGTTACTGCACAGTAGAGATGTGAATATGTGAAAGTGGGTGTTTGGAGGAAAATTTCATTAAACTAATTTCAGTGGATTCATAGAAGAGGTGACATTATGAAAAAGAACATTATGATATTAAGGTTTTTCTCTGATGCACTTACTGTTAATTTAAATGTTGATGATAAAAACCCTGATTTCAACCCAGACCTCTATCTTATTGCCTGAGAAGTCCTTGTGACCTGTCCTCCACCTACCATGATCAAGAAAGGCTTTATATTGCTGTGGCACATGCCATACAGGACTGTAAGTTTATACTGTGGGTTTTTTTATTTTTCCACATATAACAATAATAAGGTGTTAGAATTTGTCTGGTGACTTTGCTTAACAAGCCTTGGGAGCAGATGAAAGCATTGTAATATGACATTCCAAATTTAGCCCCATTTGTCCTGCATAGAGAAATAAACTCAAAAAACAAAAAACAATTTCAAGCTGTCTCCTGAATTGAGCTGATTTCAGAGAAAAATACCATTAATCGGAGTACTGCAGATTGGTGTGACTCGTTCTTTGGATGACACTGTATGAGATAACTTTACAAAACTCTCATTATGTTTCAGAGATAGTTTGTTAAATGTCTAGATTCTTTTCAGTCAAGGATCAAGTGACCTGTTTTAAACCACAGTAACAGCAGAGTTTTGAAAAGAAAAACTCTTCACACATGACGGAGCTGGGCAAAGCTGTGATTTTCTGCTTGGCTGGAACACAGTCTATGATTCAGTTATAAGGTTAATCAATCTGAACTAAAATGTAAAGGGATACGGATAAAAGATACACATAAAATGGAATCCTTAATGTCTCAGAGGAACATGTATTTATATGTCCTCACAGTGGAGACTCAAGCCAATTTCAAACCTACCATGGGATCTCTAATGGCTACCTTAAGTGTTAATTCACTTTGCTGTGAAAGATTCCCTTTGAGGAAAAATGAGGAATAGGCACCAAAAACTATGGCATAGTTTTGAAAGATATCCTTAGCAAATTAAAAGCTGACATAATTACTCATTGCAAGCAATAAATGAAACACATTTCATATTTTATTAAAATGTTCTTAAAATAATTGAAACCCAAAGCAGAGTTTATTTCAATTAACTTGTGACTCAAAATAAATATTTAACGTATTTAGCATTCTGCAATTAAGATCTATAATTTTAGTGATATGCAATTAGTTTTTTTTCTTGAAGCTATTCTCCACATAGTGTGGGTCAAAGCTTTATTTTACTTTATTCTTCAAAGGGCCCATTTGTTTTTGAGAGATTCTCTTTTTTTCTGCATTTAATCTGCTCAAAAAAATGTCAAACTTAACTGCTCCAATACCTGCACAGTCAAGACTTTCTACTATTTTATAATGTATGCCTGCTTATTAAAGTCTTCAAGACATCCTAGACTTAGACAAACAGTGTCCAAATGTACCATATTTAGCTTCTATCTCAAAATCTCCCGAGCTGTCAATTTAGGTGTTAAAGAGACCATTTGTAAAGCTTGGCTGGGAATTGCCATTATTGACTGGAATGTGTGTTTATCATTACATTCAATGATGAAAGTGGAACATGTAGCATATGAATAAATGTCAGCAGATGTTTCTTTTAAATGGCCTGATTTCAACCTCCTGTTGTTTGTCTTGAATACAAATATTAAAAAAGGGAAAAAAGGCAGAATTTTTTATGACATAAGTGCAAGGGTAGTTAGATTTTTTGAAAAACAACAAAAATAATGGCTGGAATATCAGACTGAGAGAGTAAAGTAGAATTAAGAGTTGGTTGTGCTTGGCTACTCTTATGAGCTTCTAAATAGGTCTAGCAAAAGGAGAGATTTTTCAGTATTTGGTTATAGCAAAATTTAATCTCATAGATTTTTGTGTTTAACAGCTGTTTTTTTTTTTAATCACTGAATTTGATTACTGCATGGAGGGCATTTAACTTGGATCAGGGTCTTAAGTCTTTAGCTTTTATTTAGAGACATTGAGTGAAGACACTCAGTAGCAAATGGACACTGTTTTCTTCCTAACTCTTACTTTGAAAGATAGGCATTGAACACAGAAAGCATATTTTCCATATTACAGTGAGAAAAACACAACTTAAATTCAGTGGTATACTAACAAAATAGACATTTTAGATGGAAAGACACAGAATCATCCTTTGTTCATTTCTACGACAGCTTTTTGTGAATGTAATGCATTTCATGTAATTCCTGTGGTGCTTTTGGGGCTGTAAATATTTGGGTGTCATTTGAAGAGGTGTAAAGTGACTAGAGACAAATTCTGGGTGGGCTTTAAGAGCAGGAAATGTAACTTTAAAAATCAGGCAGTCATATTAACATAAATTTCCAACATGATTGGTGTAAAATACTCCAGAGAAAATGTTCAAATATAATATATCTTTATAATAAATTGTTCAGAATTTGTCACCATTTCCACTTTATTTAAATGATAATAATTTGTACTTCAGATTGTAAGGAGCACTACAGGCTAATGCTTATGTCTGTCAAAAACAGAACTTTCAAAGCCACTGAAGTTATGAGCAAAGCATGTTCCAGGCTTCCAAAAGGGCAATGACTTGGGGCCGGCTTTTTATCCCTGGCTTTCATTTTGGTAGCAGGATTGTTTGTAGCCACTGTTAGTTGTGGGCACAGATATTGCATACACAATCAGACATTTTCTCTTAATTTTTAGAGTGTAAATGCCTAATTGCTTGTGCAATTACAGGAAGCACAAATTTTCTGCCTGTAAAATAGACGGCTGGGGTTGAATGTAAATTAAATCATTAGTGTAATTTTCTGACTTGTATATGAACAAATCATATATGTTTTTCCGATATGTGATATTTCTGTAGTATTGATCAAAAAGCTACTCTTGAAAATGGGATATGCTTTCCCATAATGTTTAATTACCCCTAAGACAGAGAACATTTTGACAGTCATGCTAATCAAATGTCAAGTGTAACGTTTAACAATCAAGCCTTTAATTTTTAAGAAGAAATAAAGTACTCTGTTTACTGAGCGTTTCTAGTGGAATAATGCAGTAGTTATTTTGATAACCCCTCTGAAATTTAATATTGAACCTTTAGTTGGCACGTATACACTATTAATCTTTGCAAGTCAGAGCAGCAAAAAATATACTTACCTGCCTTTCTGTCACTTAGACTGAAAACATGCCCCAGCCATTGCTCCATTTCCACCAGATACTTTCAGTACCAAACTCCCATCTTTCATCACTATGTACATTTTACACATTCCTTCAGTTCAGCACTTTACATAATCTCTTCCAATCACAAATACAAATTGTAGTCCCCCCTCTAAAGAAACACTACTCTCAGTCAGGTTAGAGTCACCTTCCTTCACATTCTTCTCTTTTTTTCTCTCCCTTTTTACCCAGTCCTCGTGTGTTCCTTCCTGATCTGGGCACACACACATACCTCCACAATAACATGTCTATGACACCTGTTCCAGGGCTCATCCCCATCTACAAAAATACTTGGCATACGAAACATGAAATGCCTATTAATTAACTCTGCTTGACTTAACTGTGCTTAACTATGATCGAAATTATTCTCTAAGGCTCTATTAGGATGAAAAGGAATTATTAACTAGCTAAAGGGTTCTTCGGATGATTAGAACATGAAAGGACCTGAGAAATGCTGGAATTTAGTTATACCTCGTTTGTCACAATAGGGAATGGGACACTAAGCAGGCAAAGGGCCTGTGCCGTGTTCTTCACAGAAAGGTCAAGAATCCCTTCAGTCACTCTTCCTCTACCAGTGTGCCAGACCATGACTTTACCTCCCAGACTCTTCAACACATTCTAGGCCAAAGAGAACATCACTCAACCTTTCTAAACCTCTATTTGCTGTCCCATGTGTATTGCGCTCGGCCACAAAAGTGGGAGAGGCACAGCAGGCATTCCAGCACAATGCGTTATAATGGAAGACATGAAATAGGAGTTTACTAGAATTGAACTGAATTAATATTGGTTGGTAAAAACCACATTTAATCCACAAAAAGAAAAAAAATCATTGTTAATAGCAATTATCTCTTTGTAATCATACATCTCATATTTCAGGATAAGCTCAAAAAAATAGGTGCTCTATGATGACAGGCTGCCATCAACTCCCTGAGCTGTTTTTAACTGCCAACAATAACTAATGACACGTTAGGACTTTAAATAAGCCAAAAAGGCCAGAAAAATGGTACCTTCTTTAGGGAAACAGATTCAGTAGCAAATTTGAGGATATGATGATGTATATTCCTCTTACACTAAGAAGAATGGCCAGTTAAGACGTAAGGATTGCCATATTCTTAAAATTAGGTTTCTCACTGAAGATGGAAGTGTCTAGCATGTTGTCCAGAATGATTTTTAGGAAATAATAATTGGGGGGGGGGCACTGAAATAGATCATCTTAAGCAAATTTCACCTTCCAGGAACTCACAGACTTTGTAATGTCACTTTGCGACTCTACATGATTGGGGGTATGGGAGGAGGGTATAGCACGCAGCAGTTTTCAAATATATTTGACTATATTTTCTTAGAGTATCTAAGTGCTATTGTTCTAGGAAGAACTTTGCACCTGATTTAACTTAATACTCTAATACTGTAAATGATTACGAAATGTTAGAGTACCCTACTAGCATGTGCTACTTAAAACTAGGAAAGGGAAAGGGGCTCTGGCCACTTAGGCAACAGCTCTTTTCACTCTTCCATGGTAATTTCTGTGGCCCTTATGGTTCTCACACTAACATTATTTATTTGGTTTTTCAATTCTTTTCTTCACTTGGGATGCTGTTAGAAATGGGTTACACTTTCTAATCATTTAGACTTCAGGTCTTCAGATTTGTTAAGTCAAATAGCAGTAAATATATAGGAGAAGCTTGAGAGGAAAGGAGTTTAAGGTGACCAACAGGGAAGTCTACCAAGGGTAGGCAGTCTTCTACATGGCATGGTTAGGTAGCATGAAATACCACTGGCTCCAAAAGCTCTCATTACCCTGGGTACCAGCAAATCTCATCATACAGCAATTCTCATCATACCAGCAGGTAGGGGCAGAGAAGAGCTGGGAAAAGAGCCTTAATTTATTAGCACCTTCTATGTACGAGGCACTGAGCTGAGCACTTTCACAAATGTTATTTCATTTATCACCCCAACCACTTTGGAAGGTAGGTAGCATCATCCTTATTTTCCAGGAAAGAAAATAGAGGCATCATTTCTAGGAAGCACTAGTCAAAGTACACGTTTCTTCTCAGAGTTAATACGCTGGGAAGATTGGGGAAAAAAAGCTGAGATAATAGGTATCAAAGAACTGGGGAAGTTGAATGATAGAGGCCAAAAAATGCACAGCCTTATATAAAGCTTATTATAATTACTGAAACCAGGTAGCAGCAAGAGTCCTTTAATCCTTCAGTGAATTATCACTGATATTAAAGATGGTATTTTAACATTTAGAGATGCTCAATTTTTAAGCAAATAAAAGAACAGATGCTGAGAGTTTCCAAGTATCCTGAAGTCTCTGCATTGGCCTACTCAGGAACTGATGTGTCCGAGATCATAAAGAGAATTCTTGATGTCTCTATAGATACTTTAACTCCACCCTCAAATTCAGCTCTTACAGGGATCCTCAGTTCACTGCACTCCTGTCTTTTGCTGGGAAGGTTTGTTTCTTTGTTGCTGATCTAAGCCACCAATTAAGAGCATGAAGAGTTTCTGTGGGAAATGGATTCCAGAGGCTTCTTTTCTCTCTCAGTAACTCAACCTATTGGTCTTCAGATATCCTTAAAAACAATGTTTTCTATATTGCTATATATGCTTATAAAAGTTTTTATCAGAAACAGAAATTTGTTTTGCTTAAAGACCTTTCCAAGTGATTCATCACTAAAAAGAAAAAAATTTACTCTCACATGCATAATATTGCTTTAGAAAACCATTTAAAATATCATTATCATGTCATTTATGTCTAAATCTTTATGATTTATGAGACCACAAAATGCAAAGTTCATGTTTTCTACTCTATTAAAGTGCCTAAAAAAGAAAAAGAAACCCACCTAATAGTGCTAAACCCTGTAATATAAAACTGTCAACATATATATTAAAATTCTACTCTTCTAATAGTTACTATCTGGCTCGTTATCTTTATATACTAACATTGTCACAGTTAACTCACTCTCTATCAAATATAGGAACAGAATGATACAACATGGGATGAGCCAGATATGATCAGATAACTTTTAATCTATGCAATTGTGAATCTCATATTAATGAGAGGATCCACATCAGAAATTAGTAACAGGAGGTATCTTACAGATGGATGGTGATAAAAAATTCCAATTTAAAATGAAAGTAGCAGCAATGCAAATTAGTGCAAAGTGGAACTTTTGTTCACAAAAAAATTAAGGTCAAATTCCACAGATTTAGAATTAAGCGTGTTAATTCCAGACATTGTCAGCAGTTTCTTTAAGAACCTTAGTCATTCATCTTTCCGAGATTAATATTAAAATTGTCTTAGACAAATGCCATACACTAATTGGCACTTTTCAAGTCCCTCCCGCTTGACCTGTGTACTTACATACCCTTTCAACTGTTTCCAAATGAGAAGCTACAATCTAAAAGCCTATTTTTAAAGAGAAAACATTTGGAAAATAAAGTTCAATGCCTGAAGAGCTGAAATATTCCGTGTGAATACCAGCCTGGACAGAAGATTTTCACTGAGGAAATGAGAGTTTTGAAGCATTTGGGACCAAGGAAAAGAATATTTCCTCTCAAACATTTCCAGCTTAAAATATGTGGTGAGGAAACTGGAATTTTCAAAACTGGAAAAAAAAAAAAGAGAAAACATTTTGGCTGATAAGATGCTCCTGAATAAAATATTATCTGAAACAAATGTTTAAGTCAGAAAACACCTGCCAATGTAGATGTGCCCTTCGATAAATATGGTGTCTCCATCCTCGCTTCACATGTTTCTTAGCAATAACATGTTGGCATTCCATTTAAACATAAGTGCAGTAGAAAAGAGGCATATACTATATCTTATGGACATGGTGTTGTAACAGCTAGACCAGGGATTTTCAATGTGTTGAAGTTACAACTGTTTTATATTAACACCACTTAGAGATTATAATTAAGTAGTAAGGTGTTTAATGACATAGATAAGAGAATAATAATATAACCAGAGTGATATCAGGCTGTTGCTGATAATTTATATAAAAGTAATAATCTGAATATAAGGCTTATGATAGGATAGTAAAGTTTGTGGATAAAGGCCACCAATAATATAATAATATTTTCATTTTGCTTTTTATGGTTTGCTTTCTGCATTTTGTGAAACATCTTCAAAATTGTTTTTATATACAAGTGGCAACGTATGTATATTTTGTTTTCTAATGCATCCTTGAACATCACTGAGACAAATATCTTTATAGAATGGAGGTGTTAAAATAATTTAGAGATTTTAATGCAAATGTCTTATTTTTTCATGGACTTACAGATAACATCCCTTTTAAAAGCATACTATTAAATTAAAAAACCCGTAATTTCCAATAAAAATATCCAATGGATATTACACTTGCAAACTGTGAAACTGGCAGACACTCATACATACAATGCTAATTTGAAGGAAAATGTAAAATTTCCTGAAACTGGGAAATTGCAATTGTCAAAATAAAGAAAACCAGATGCTACCTTGGTTGGAAGAAAAGTTTCAAAGTACAGGAATAGATTAATTACTATGACAGTTGTTCTACCATATCCCTCAGGTTGGAATTGGTTGAGGGGGGAAAATCTTTAGAATCTACTAAATCTATATATTTATAACCAGAAAAGTGTAATATGAAGACTCATTTAAATGCTTAACATAAAAAAACAATGTTTTTCCTTTGAAAATGTGTTTAACATAACATGAAGACTATTTTACTCAAGACCTATCATAATGAAATATTTGATTGAAATATGTTTAAAGCTTTCCACTTGAAACATGGATCTTATTAAATATCAGTTTATCAGATCAGCTATTTGATAATGTGCACCTGAATTCATCATGCAGGAAGATGAGTTCAGGAATATACCTGCCTTTGGTGAAAAAAAAAAAAAAGGACATACCTGAGGTAAGATTACATGAGAGAATGGGAGGATGGGAAGGAGCAGGAAACATGGAATTAAGCCTTCCTGAGAATCAAGGTACTAAAATATAGAGGAAAAGCCAATCATGATTTGTAATCAAGTATCCAAAATAGGTCTTTGGTGCAAACAGTGACAGTGTAATGTCAAAAAGAAATAGGTGCTGAACATGGCAGTTCCAAAACTATTTCATTTAACACAGAGTTTACTCAATTTCAGCTTCTTGAGTAAGAAATTCCAGGACACACCTCACTTGCAAAATATTTTTGATTCAGTATGTATACTAATTATTTTAATTTTATATCAATTCTTAACACATAATTGAAAGCTACAATTCTAAGAACTCATTCTAACAACATTCATTGTTCATTATATTACCAAGATAATCTAACTATTGAGACTCTTTTTAAAGGCATCCATATGAGCTTGTACCCCAATAGCCAAATATATTATTATGAAGTTCCAAGTTTTTTTTCTCCTATGTTATTATCATTTGATATAGTTTACATATTTTTCCTGCCCAAATCTCATGTTGAATTGTAATTCCTAATATTGGAGGTGCAGCCTGGTGGGAGGTGATCAGATCATGGGGGTGGATTTTTCATGAATGGTTTAGCACCATCCTCTTGGTGCTGTCCTCACAAAAGTGAGTAAGTTCTCATAAGATCTGGTTGTTTAAAATTGTGTGGCACCTCCTTCTCTCATGTGAAATGTTTGCTCCTGCTTCACCTTCTGCCATGAGTGAAAGCTTCCTGAGGCCTTCCCAGAAGCAGATGCTGGTGCCATGCCTCCTATACAGGCTGTAGAACTGTGAGCCAATTAAACCTCTTTTTTATAAATTACCCAGTCTTGGGTATTTATTTATAATAAGGCAATAATGGACTAATACATCACTTTATAATTAAAATATTATGTACTAAATTTCTAACAATATCTCAAAACATAGCCAAGCTTAAAGCATATAATACATATATTTTAAGAGGTATTGGCAGATTGTTTGAATTCAGACACACAATTTGCGTACTCTAGAAAGGATATGGCTGGGCGTGGTGGCTCACACCTGTAATCCCAGCACTTTGGAAGGCCAAGGCAGGCGGATCACCTGAGGTCAGGAGTTCGAGACCAGCCTGGCCAACATGGTGAAACCCTGTCTCTACTAAAAATATAAAAAATTAGCTGGGTGTGGTGGCATGTGCCTGTAATCCCAGCTACTCGGGAGACTGAGGCAGGAGACTCATTTGAGCCTGGGAGGCAGAGGTTGCAGTGAGCCAAGATCACACGCCATTGCACTCCAGCCTGGGCAAAAAGAGCGAAACTCCGAAAAACAAAGGGAAGGGGAGGGGAGGGGAGAGGAGGGGAAGGGAGGAGAGGGGAGGGGAGGGGAAGGGAGGAGAGGGGAGGGGAGGGGAAGGGAAGGGAAGGGAAGGGAAGGGAAGGGAAGGGAAGGGAAGGGAAGGGAAGGGAAGGGAAGGGAAAGGAAGAGGAAAGAGAGAAAGAGAGGGAGAGAAAGAAAGAAAGAGAAAAAAAGAAAGAAGAAAGAAAGAAAGAAAGAGAGAAAGAGAGAGAAAGAAAGGATACTCAGAAGGTTATACATTGGAATTCCTTGTAATACCAGAGGATATAGAGTTTTAAGTGATTTATTTTCAAACAATTTGTTAACATGTAAAAATCACTGAACATTATCTAATATCATTATTTTCCAAAGAAAATATTCATAGGAAGTGATTTCCACTTCCAAATATCATGGAGCGGCTTATAGTAGATCAAAAATAATAAAATAGACTTTTTTAAAAACCTGAAATAAGTTTATTTATTTTATAATATATATGTAGTAGATAATTATTTTTCCAAAGTTAATAGATTTCAAACTGGATGTTGACCCTTGCTTCATCAACAAAATAATAATAATAAGCTGTAGCTAAAAGCAATTAGGAGAAGCTGGACAATATGCAAAGACACAAGATGAAGGCATAGGAGAGCTTCTGAAACAGTCAAAACTTAGGAACAAACTTGTGGAGAAAAGGGAGCTTACCATGGCAATCCCAATTTTTTTAATATTTATTTTCTCTTTGTGGCATCTGCCATAGAGCAAGAAGACGGAAGGGCAGATGAAGGCCAGCTGCTAATAGGCAGAGAAGTTTTAGGCAATCTCAAGAGACTAACAAGTAAAAAATTGTAGTTTTGTGGTAACAAAAAAGATAGAAATTTGAAAGACCTAGAATCCAAAGAAAAAGAATCAGGATTTGTACCACTCCACTCTTCAAGGAAGATACTAACTAATTAAGCTGCATTGAACAATAGTCTAAGAGGCATTCAGGAAAAAAAAAATTATATATATATATGTCAGGACTGAATACTGGCATTCTCATGATCCTGTGAGAACTCTCAACTAGGATATCTAGAAAGCTATACCCTTGGAAAGAGGAATACTAAGACTTATGAAGGCAGAAAACCATCTACAGTCAGCTCAATTCATCATTAGATTGATATGTCCCATTCTTTTGCTCCCTGTCAGAGAAAGGAATGAATCTTCTCTGGAATGAGATAACAGATTGGCTCTTACAATCAAACAAAATGTCTATGATTCAATGAAAAAAAAAAAAGACAGTACAGTCTTGTTGAAGAAGGAGTCTCGAAAGAACAAGCAGACAATAGAAACAAACCCATAGGTGACACATATATTAGAGATAACAGACACATAATTTAAGATAAATTAATCAATAGCTTCAAGAAATGAAAGATGACAGAGAAATTTACCACACAAATGAAACCTAAACAAAATCAGATAAAAAATATAAATCTAAAACTATAGTCACTTAAACTCATATGTTAAAAGATAAGCTTAACAGTAGTTTGGAAAGAGCTAAAATAGGGATTACAACACTGGAAGGTAGCTCAGTAGAAAATATTGAGACTGATGTGGAGTAAAATGAATGGAAAGTACAGAAAAGAGCATAAGACATATGTGGGTCATGATAGAAAGGTCTATCATGTATGTTAACTTGAGTGCTGGAAAGAGAGCAGAGGGAGAATGTGGCAAATGCAATATCGCAGAGACTTTTACCAAGAATTTCTCAATGCTGAAGAAAAACTGCAAGCACAAATTCAGAACATCCTGTGTACCTGAAGTAGAATAAATATAAAGAAAACTATACAAAGAAAATCACAATGAGATACTTCTGCATAAAACTAGCAAAATGTATGGACAAGGAGAAAAACCTTAAGAGTGCCCAGAGGGTGAAAATACCATTTCTTTCAAAGAAGTGGAAGGGACAATAGAAACCAGGAGGTAATGCCATATCTTTAAAGTGCTTAAAGGGGAAAAAAATCCCTACTAAAGTAGAATTTTAGACTCAGATAATATGTCCTCCAAAAATGAAAGAATATAAAAACTAAGATTAATTATTAGCAGTAGACACAAAATAAAGAAAATAGTAAAGTATTTCTTTGAGCAAAATGAAAAAGAACCCAGAAGCAAATAGAAAAATGCAGAGAGAAGTGAAGATCAATGGAAATGGTAAATATGCATGTATATCTGAAAATACATAATACCTACAAAAAGAAATAAAGTACTTTGTGGTTTAAAATACAGCTAGAATTGGTAGGGCACAGTAGCTCATGCCTGTAATCCCAGCACTTTGGGAGGCCGAGGCCGGTGGATCACCTGAGGTCAGGAGTTCGAGACCAGCCTGCCCAACATGGCGAAACCCCATCTCTACTAAAAATACAAAAATTAGCAGGGCATGGTGGCTTGCGCCTGTAGTCCCAGTGACTTGGGAGGCTGAGGCAGGAGAACTGCTTGAACCCAGGAGGCGGAGGTTGCAGGGAGCTGAGATCGCGCCACTGCACTCCAGCCTGGGTGACAGAGCAAGACTCCGTCTCAAAAAAATAAATAAATAAAAATAAACAAATACAGCTAGAATTAAAATGCATGACAATATGAATACAAAAATCAAGAAATGGGTAAATAAGATAAAGTGTTTTATGGGTTTTGTATTTTCTGGAAATTATTAAGAGTGCAAATTTAAGATAGATGCTCTGGGCTTGGCCCAGCAGCATGTGCCTGTAGCTCCAGCTACTTGGGAGACTGAAGTTGGAGGATCACTTGAGACCAAAATTTGATACCAGCCTGGGCAACATAGCAAGACCCCATTTCCAAAAAAATAAAAATTAGCTGGGCATGGTGGCTCGAAACTGTAATGCCAGCTACTCAGGAGGTTAAGGTGGGAGGATCACTTGAGCCCAAGAGTCTGAGCCCAAGAGTATGATCATGCCACTGCACTTCAGCCTGGCTGACAGAGACCCTGTCTCAAGAAAAACAAACAAACAAACAAAAACAAAAACATACACACAAAAATAAAATAGATTATCTTAAATAAGAGTATGAGTTGCAATCTCTTGGGAAATCAATAAAAATATGTGAAGTATAATTACTAAACTAGCCAAATATGAGAGTGGATTCATGAAAAATTTAATTAGTGCGAAACAAGGAAACAACAGAAACAAAGTAAGTTAATGCAATAGAAAATTAATTGTAGTATGGTAAATATAAATTCAAATGTATCAGCAGTTACATTAAATATAAATGGACTAAATACAACATTGTAAAAACAAAGATGTGAGATTATTTTTAAAAGCTCTACTTTACGCTATTAAAACACACACACACAAACACATATGCCCTTAAATACCACAGAGCGGATGAAAGTAACGGATGGAAAAACAACTCAAAAATATGAATCAAAATAAAACTGATGTTGCTACAATGATATCAAACAAGGTAAACATTCAGGCAGCCTAATTTTATTAAAGACAAAGAGCATATTTTAATGATAAAAGGGTTAGTACCTGAGAAAAATACAGTGGTTTAAAATTTATACATCTACCTATCTAATGACATTGCTTCAAGCATATGAAACAAAAGAAATTGACAGAAATAGAAAGAAAATGAACAAATCAACAATCATAGTGGGAAATTTTAACATATTTCTCTAAGAAATGATAAATGGACAAAATATCAGTAAGGATACAGATGATTTTAGCAAGAAAATAAACACTCACGATGTAACTGACTTATTTAAAACATTGTGTTCAAAGGTGATAGGTATTCTTTCAAGTGCATGTGGAATGTATGCTAAAACAGATCATGTTTTATTCAATGTTGTTATAGGTTCAACACATTTCTGAGAATTAAAATCATAGTGCATTCTCTGATCTTATTGCTGTTGATTAGAAACTGAATTTTTTAAGTAGAAAATCCACAGATGTTCGAAAATTAATCAATGCACTTCTAGAAATAGAATAAAATTTCCTAATAATATATACAGATATTAATAGGTATCTACATAAAACTCATAATTAGTATCATACATAAACACAGAAACTTTTCTCCATGAGGTTGGAACAAGACAAAGATGTCCATTAATGCCTCTTCAGTTCAATATCTAGCTAGAGTTAAGCAAGAAAAATAACTGGAAGATATAAGGATTAGAAAACAAAAGAAAAAATGACATTATTGGCAGATGATGTAACTCTATATGTATAAAACTCAAAGGCTTCTACAGTAAACCAATTAATATTTATAAATAAATTTAGCAAGAGAACTGAAGGAATAGTCAATATTTACAAATCAATTGTACTTTTAAATACCACTAACAGACAATTAGAAAATGAAATTATAAAAATATACATACAATTTGCAACAGCATCCAAAGAAAGCAAATACCAAAAGAAAAAAATCTAATAAAATATGCATAAGATCTGCACAGGTAAAATCAAAAAAAAATTACTGAGAGAAATTAAAGACTATAAAAACTACAAATGAAAGGATTTACCATGTTTCTGAACAGAATACAATGCTGAAAAGATAGCATTTCTTTCAAAAATGATATATAGATTCAATCAAAATTCTAGCAGATATTTTTAAATATGGAAATCCACAAGATAATTTTAAAATCCATATGGAAATGTAAAGGGATAAGAATAACCAAGATCATCTTGAAGAAGAACAAATTCAACAGAGATATAACCCTGGAAATCAAGACTTAATAAAATATATAGTAATTAAGACAGTGTATACACAGAGAAAGGAGACAGTGTACACAAGGAGAACCTAAAGACAAATCTGCACAAATATGTAGTCTCTTGCTTTATGACAAAAGTGAAACTGCACTGGAATATTGAAAGAATTTTCTTCTCTATAAATACTGCTGAGCAAATTGGTTATACAAAAAGAAAAAATATATAAAGGACCTTACCTTTCAGCATACACAGAAATCAATTCAGGTGCTTTGTAGACATAAAAATGAATGGTAAAAATACATTTCCAAAAAATAAGAATATATTGTTATGCTCTTGGATAAGTAAAGCTATTTTTAACAGTACACAAAATGCACTAACCATTAAGGAAGACCACATTAAAATTAGGAGATTATATTCATCCAAAGACATCATTAAGAAAGTCAAAAAAAAGCAAACCATAGACTGGAAAGAGATGTTTGCAAGGCACATGTTTCAAAAGAACACATATCCAGAATATACCAACTACTACACCACCAGAAGAAAAAAGACAACTCAAAAAAGAAACGAGCAACGGAGTTGATCAGATATTTCACAAAAGGTAATATCCATGGCCAATAAATGTAGGTAAAGTGGTCAAATTTTATTAGTTGTCAAAGGGGTGCAAATTAAAATTACAGTGAGATATCACTATATATCCACCAAAATGGATAAAATTGAAGAGAATGACAACACCAAACCCTGGTGAGGATATAGAGCAACATCAGACGTTGCTGGTACAAGCATTAAAAAGTACAACTGCTTCAGAAAATTATTTGATCAAATCTACCACAGTTGAACAAACATACACCTTATTACACAGCATTTCCACTCCTAGGTATATTCAACAGAAATGTGTACTTGTGTGCCCAAATCACATGAAGAAGATTAACAGCAGCCAACAATTAAAGACAACCCATGTCTATCAAAAGTCGGGTTTAATGAATTTTAGTATATTTATGTGATGAAATATTCTACTGCAATGAAAAGGAATGAACTGCAATTACACAACACAATATAGGTACAACAAAGCGCATATGATACGTTACTACTTATATAAAGGTCAGCAACATAAAACTAATTGAAAGATAAAAGAATCAAGACAACAATTTCTTTTGGAGGGGGTAATGACAAAATGTGAGAAAGGGGAGGTTCTTATATGCTAATAATGTTCTATTTCTTGAACTTACTGAGTATTACACAGATATGTTCCCTTTTTAAAAGTATTTAATAATATGTACATTTTCATTTGTGCATTTTTAATGTCTTATTTCTTTCTTTCTTTTTTTTTTTTTTTTTTTTTTTTTGAGACAGAGTCGCGCTCTATCGCCCAGGCTGGAGTGCAATGGCATGATCTCGGCTCACTGCAACCTCCACCTCCTGGGTTCCGGTGATTCGTGCCTCAGCCTCCCGAGTAGCTAGGACTACAGGCACGCACCACCGTGCCCGACTAATTTTTGTTTTTCAGTAGAGACGGGATTTCACTATGTTGGCCAGGGTGGTCTTGATCTCTTGACCTCGTGATTCACCTGCCTCAGCTTCCCAAAGTGTTGGGATTACAGGTGTAAGCTACTGCGCCCAGGCTTTAATGTTTTATTTCAACAAAAAATTTACTTAACACAAAACAAACTGCAGGGCTGATGAAAATATAGTTCAGAAGAAAAGTTTTAGCTTCATCTTTTCCTCTCTTCACTGACCTGCTATACCAGTAAAGATATTGTCCCAAAATTTTAAGTTCTATATTGGCTTCATGGAGACTTTAGTCTTCAATTTTACTTATGGTAAAGAGAGGTTAAGGACATCAGTTCATACGTACCACCACAATAATAACTTCAAGTGAAAGCCACTATAAACCACAATAGAACACTTACATGTCTTAATTTTTATATGGTTGTACTTTTTTCCCCTTAAATCTCTAAGTTATTTTATTGAGAACAGTCATGTGTCATCTAGTGACAGACATGCAGTCAGAGAACTGCATCATTAGGCAATTTCATTGCTACAGGAACATCATAGTGTGTACTCACAGAAACCTGGATGGTATAGCCTACGACTCACCTGGGCTATATGCCATAGAGTGTTGCTCCTAAGCTACAAACCTGTACGGCATGTTACTGTACTGAATACCATAGGCAACTGCAACACAGTAGTAAGTATGTGTGTATCTACACATAGGAAAGGTACAGTAAACATCTGATATTATAATCTTTTGGGACCACTGTTATATATGTGGTCCATCATTGGCTGAAATGTCTTTATGTGATGCATAACTGCAATTGTCTTTTACTGTGTCCTTGCCACGTGCTTATGAAGTGAATAGAGAAAGATATTATCTGTCTCACAAGGCAAGACAAAATGAACCAAAACCACCACCAAAACCCATTTGGATTTTTACTAAAAAGAGGGTGATTGATTGATTCTGCACTTGTTTTATGGCCTTACCAACTCACACACATAATTTCTGCTTTGACCTAATCTGCTAAACACAGACTCATCTAGTCATGCCCAGAGACTAGTTTCTAGCATCTCCTTCAGTGAAGAATTCTATGAATATTTGTTTGAAACACAAAATGCTTTGGACAGCTGTCCACATTTCTCTCCAGAGCTGTTTTTCAGGGCTCCTTCATTTCTCCTAATTACATCAAGTGGAAAGCCCGAATGACGTGCTAATCAGCATTCAACACCTTACATACTTACATCCATAGCTTTACTAGGAGAGTAACTATTTTTTTTTTTCTAAAGAGAGAGGATACGACCTGCCTCCTGATGCAGAATTCTTATAGCTACATCAGCGAGAAAGAGAAGTGAACTACTTGTTCTTAAGGAACTGAAGATTGTTACATTCATACTGGACTGCCATGCAATGTGTGCAAAACTGGTAACAATTTTCCAAAAATTATAGGGGTATTCTGATGATAGTAACCTCATCCTCCCGAGAACAGAAGAGCTGGGGCATTTCTGAAAGGATTAATGGGACCAATTTGCCTTATCTCAAGAGATTGATGTATTCTCTCTGATTATGCTACAGTAGACTGAGAATTGACTTCTCTAAAGGGTAGTTGGTTCTAGGAGTGATCCAAATCTATAATTCTATCTTATGAAATTCTACAGGCTTTCTTTAAAAGGCTTATAATTCCTTGACTTCAATAAGGGGAATTCTCATTTTCTAACATATCTATGAACCACATCATTAATACAATCATCTATTTCTCCCCAATTTTAGGCACCAAAACTGGGGAGGGAATAGAGCAACATGGTGCTCTATTAAATCTAAATCTAAATTAAATCACATTTCCATTAAGGAAATGAGATTCAGTTCAATGTAACGGCTGTCATGAAATCTAGGCTGGGAAGTGGAATCAAACTTACTTTTCCTAATTTTAAGTCCAATGTGTTCATCCTAGTATTTTCTAAATTGTATGATATTAACAAGAATATCAGCTGTGAGACAGGAATTACAAGTGAGATCATGCAAGCTCAGAGCTTGAGAACTTTGACCACTTGGTCTTCTTGGTTTGTTTTACTTCTATACATCCCTACCATCCATGCTGCATATCCCCTAAGAAAATCTTAAGACTAACGTTACTGATATTCTAAGAAAAGCATAATCTTCTGCTATACTTTCAGAATTCAGTCCAAATTTCACATCTGAAGATCATGGTGAACTAACTTCTCTCATTCTCTCATCTTTGCCTATCATGGTGGTCCATCTAGTTTTGGCTCTACCAACTATTTCACTCAACTGGAGGAGATATTTACACATACACATACACACACACACATACACACACACACACGTGCTTGCACCTTTCTGGGATATGACTGGTTGATTAGAGGAAAATATTCAAAGATATTAGATGTGTTTAATTAGGATTCCACATGCGCCTATTATTTTAAGATGAGAAATAAAATGCTCTCTGAGAAGCCTTATCTAAAATTTGAATGGAATTTCCAAGTCATTCTGTTCTTGGTTATTGTGATAGTTCAATGTTGTGGAAATCATTACAAATTCTGTTTTGCTACTATAAAGAAGGATGAGACCTTGAAATGAATGAATAAATCTTCCAGATTTTAAGTTATTAGACCTTCAACTTTTACTCACAAAATCTATTACTGTAAATAATAAACATGAACAATCAAACAGCACTATAGTCTTTCATCCCAGAATTTATTTCAAGCATATCATTGATAATAGAAATACCTTTATATACTCAAAATACTTTTTGAAGGAATCTCATAACCAACCTGAAGAAGGAATGAATTACTTATTAGTATCTTGCCCCTGAAATTTTAAAAATGACCTTTGAAAGATATTTCCAAGTCAACCAAGACCAACATATGAGAAATAACTAGGGGTAAATTGATTTTTGTCACCCAAATTCTTTTGCAGTTAAAATAGCTTCTCACTCACCTACATATCAGGGTTTCCCTCATGCTGTGGATCTTGAATATTGATTTTCATATAAACATTTTTTAAAAATGATGTTCTGAATTATAAGAAATGTAAACTCTTTAGGTATTTGAAATTGAAAAGAGTTGAGAAGAGTTGCTTTTAGAAAGAGCAAAGAGGACAAGTGAAAAATTTAAAAATGGAATGAATGGAATTTAAAAATGCAAATGAGTGAATCATATTTTTCAGAGAAGCCAGATGTCCACTTACTTCCATGTTACAAATCAGTCTAAAGGCTTATTTGTAAGGAAAGGTTTACACAATAAAAACAAAATGATGTATTTAGAAAAACAGTCTATTGATCCATCTGGTTTCAATGTCTATATAAGAAAGAAGGAAAAAGATGGCATTTTGGTTAACGTTACCTCAATTATCAAGACTAGAGTTACTGAATCTTCCTTCAAGAAGATCGTGAATAGACATTACTTTTTTTGCAAAATTTCTTTGTGTGTACTTCATAAACATTTTCTGTAAAGAAGGACCACAGGGTTTATAAAGAATTGTATTTCCAAAAAGGTTTAAGAACCTCTGCTTCTCTAGCCCAAATATCTACATTATGAGATCGCATTGTTTGCACCTTTTTTAAGATAGATACTACCAAAAGACACAAGTATGGTGTTTTTTAAGAAGTCAAACATCCTGCAAGTAAAACTTTTTTTTTTTTGTAATCGTTCAATTTGATGAGTTCAATCAATACCCTTTGGAAATGGGAAAAGGAGTAGAAATGACAAAGTACTTAATTACAAATTATTATTATAATCATTTATCCTCATAAATGATCATATAAAAAGCCACATACACCAGGCAAAAATAAATCTTAAAATCATTATGATACTTTAAAATAGTTTTACAATAATATGGCTAAGGGCTTTGGTATTTGCATTAACAAATACTCAAATCAGTTAACTATATTTGTTCCAGTCCAGCCAAATAAATAAATACATAAATAAGCAGAATAGAAATATTTACTGCTAACTATGCAAACATCATTTCAAGTAACTGAATTACAGAATTTAACAGTATCATATCACTTGAAAATTTGTGAATGGGAGCATCATAAGAGAAAAAAGAAAGTATGCATCCCCACGGTTCTTCAAACAATTCAAAGTTGGCCAAAATGTATACTACAGATTCTATTACTTGTATTTTTTTATTTGAATGCTCTGTTAGAAAGTGATACTTCAAATTTCTTAATGTATTATCATTATCATTATTTCACTGTTCTATTTTTTAAAAGGTTTACATAGCAGAGAAGAAATGGAGAATTATCAATTACTGAGAAAATGTGGGTTGAAGACAGCCAACACTTATTAGTAAGGCTCCTTCACGCCCACACCCATATAATCCACCAGGTACTGTTATCTCATCAAAATTAAGTATATTTTCCAGCTCATTTGACGAGATTTAGTTCAACTTTTTGCTTTATATGAATAGACTTTGTCTAAATAAAAATTTTAAATAAGGGGGTTAGATAATGATCCTTGCCTAATATGGTATTTCTAAAATGCTTCTTTGTTTGAGTTGAGGTATTAGAACAATCCTTTTTTGCCATCTGTACTTATATACAATTTATTAGAATCAAGAAAACATAATAAACTTAATAAATGACCGGTCTGGGTAGTGTTTCATTTCTAAAGCTTCAGAATACTTATGGAAGCTAAGTAAAAGAAGAAATCCACTTTTTACTTAATTAGTAACTAGGGCAGTCATTTCATACAGGAAACAGGAGCTCAGTAAATGCTTCTCTCAAGGGGGTGATAATATATATTCATACTGTACACAAGAAACAGCGATCTTGTTGGTAAGGATACAATCTTATTTGGTCAGGAAATAAACTCGAAGCCTTATTTGAACCTATTATTTTCTGAAATCACCAAACCATGCAATATGACTTGGGCTTATAATAGTGGATCATCTAAATCCTTGCTTCCCACAATGGGTCTGCGGAGAGTAGCATAAGCATCACCTTTGAGCTTGTTTGAAATGCAAATACTCCCACCCACCTGAGGCCTATGGAATCAGTATCTTCAATATAACAAGATTAGGGGGATTTGTACAGATTAAATATCAGAAGCCCTTGTCTAGATAAGTGATTCCCCAAGTGTGATTCTAAACCAACAGCATCAGCATCATCTATGGGTCTGTAAAAAATGAAAATTAATCGGTCCTACCCCAGGCCTACTGCTTTAACAAGTTCTTCAGGTAGTTCTTAAACACATTATAGTTTGATAATCACTGACCTAGATCATTAAATTCTGATTTTGTTTCAAATATGTTCTGTGTACCAAGCTCTCCTGCTACCTGCTTCTTTTTCACACCTACTAGAAAAAGAATCCTTCTAACACATTGTATAATGGGAAAAAAATTTTTGAGTATTTAACTGTTCTTGGATAGCCCTAGAATTACTCAACTATTTAAAATAATTTGAGTATAGATTTCTCTTCTTGGGCTTATTAATATTCCATTATCTTTCCTGTTATCTCAGAAAAATATCATAATAATTTACATATATTTACTTTTCATGCACATACACATGGAGATATATTATTTTTTAAATGGAGGTATTGAACGAGTGGAAAGTAGTCATGATATTAACCATACACCTACATTTAGTACTTATTGTTTTTCCCCTCCCTTCCTATGTAATGTAAAAGAGACAAGAAAGCAAGCCAATACCAAAACAAAATGATAGAAGCAGAGCTTTACGATAATGTATGTTTTTGAAGCCATGGAAAGTGTTAAAGCCAAAGACCTTCTAAAAAACATTAATTAACTTTGAGCCTTCCTGTGGCAATCTTCAGTCTACTGACAAGAGTTTGAAGTGGTCCCATCTTTATCGTCAATCTAGTTCAGCAATCACCTCCTGTATGAATCTTCTAGCCTCTCTGAGGCAAGTTAGGAGCAACTCCTCCAACTTCCCATAAAAATGTTGGCACATTTTTATCATAGCGCTGGCTGTGTTGTGTTGTTGCCTTTGTTTTATATCCTCATTCACCAGATGATCAGTATTTTGAAGTTTTGAAACTATATCTTAGTGGTTTCTGAATTACTGACAGACAAGATAGACATGCCCTTTAGTCAATACTCGGTATTATTTTTGAGTGAACAAATGAGCAAATGAATGAAACCATCATAGTAAATATAATATATCCTCTTGGGGAATAAGAGCTCAAATAACAATGAAAAAAAAATCAGGTATCAGCAATAATCTTGCATCACTTGTTATGTCAACAGTGTTAGAATATCGTTTGCCTTGTACCCATGTAGGCACTTTTGACAACTATAGCTGTGACACAGAATCATCCAATACCAGTATCCCAAAAGACCTGAAATATAATCAAATGGATGCTATGAATTTCTGCTAATGAGGCAATACAAAGCCCTAATTAAATGAATTGCTCAAATTTGTATTGCATGTTATTGAAAAAAACAGAAATAACCTATTTATTTTCCCATTGCCCAACACTGCCACTTAAAAGATCGTGAAATAACTTAACTTACCAATTATGTGCCTTTCACACTTAAATAACTATGAAAATTATGATGTATTTCATCTGATGTTTTATATCTGTAAATAAAAAATTACACTGTCCCATCATTACTATCCTGCTCCATCTTACCATTTGGAACAGACTTGTTCCTTGTCTGTTTTAGGGTATCCTTGAGAAATTTCAAGGCCCCATTTCACTTTATAAAGCCCCTTCCTCCCTCAGTACCCATGAATAAATCTCCTTAGTGTTAAAGAAGTTGTGCATACATGCCAAGAAGGGAACAGACAACTTAACACTGCCTGGGAGGAGGATTTCCTTTCCATGCTTTGGTCTCAGGCAAGCTTTTATAACGTTGGATGACCTTTTGCTCCAGAATACTCAGTCTATTGTACAATGACTTCCTTTTCTTGGATATAGAACGAAGAGATCAGGCTTCAAATCTTTGAGGTGGAGCATCAGAAATTTACCATATGAAAAATCCCGAAGATCTCTGAAGCCAGAGAATCAACATCGTTAACAGTGCCATGTCTTACCCAACAATTACCTCCTTCCACATTTTAGCTTATTTTAGTTGCAGAAGGCTAGTCAAGTGTCATGTCTGAAGAAATGCAGATAAATAGGAAAACAGGAAAAAGAGAAATGTGGTCACGGTGAAGAAAATAATGAATACAAACTCGTCCTTATGCATATAATCAGTCATTAATTTGATTATACATTTATTCTTTTTGCTTCTTAGACTTTCTTAGTGATAATGTTTACATAAATCTTTTGTACAGGTGATAAAATTAGTTCAAGAAACAGTATCCCCGGGACTGAAATAAATATTTCAGGTTAAATATATTCAAAGTGTTTCTCATTGAGCTAAAGGCAATGCAGTGTGTGTGTGTGTGTGTGTGTGTGTGTGTGTGCCTAAAAACCTGTGCTAGAAACTAAAAACATGATTTTGAGATATTGAAAGGCAAACTATATTATTTCTGTAAGCCTTTCTCCAGCTACACATACTGCAAAATGATTGCATAGATGTAATATCAAAGTCATAATAATTTCTTAACCATGTGGAAGGAGATATTTTTAAAATGAATATCGAAAGATGCCCTAAACTTCAGTGACAGCAAACATTGATTTATAGCAAATTCCCCAGCAAAACAAGTCTGAAACAAACAGATTAATTTTAGAACTTAATTGGTTCAAATATCTAATTCTTTCAGATCATGGAAAATATAATTCCTAAAATAAGAGATCTAGAGTATATGACCTTATAAGTCTTTAACTCCATAAAATGTGTTAATGATTATTCAGGTGCTTACCTAAAATGAAACAATGACCCTCGAATATGAGAAGAAAACAAGTATCTGTAATATTGTGAATGACATTTTCCCTGCAATATCAGGATTTTTGGGGGGGCTGGGGATTTAAATACTGGTACTCATTTATTTTTGCTGATACAAAAATACTATTAGCCATGCCTATGTTCAATTAGAAGGAAAAAAATGAAGAAGTTTAATCGTTGGCTAAAAGCTCTATGTGCTAAATTCAGTTCAGGCTTAATTTGTGAACAGAAATCTTTTAATGTATATTTGGTTAAGGATATATGATCTAGTCACCAATGGTGAATGGCTTGGGATATAAGGAGGAGCATAAACCAGCTGTGAATATTTAAACTAAACATAGAAAATTAAATGTATTTTCATCTATTATTTTATGATAATATTACAATCTGTTTTAACAACAGCATATCCTATTTTATTATTTTGTAAATTCTCAATCCCCTCCTCCAAAAAAATTAGATGTCAGAAGTTCTCACACAGTCAAAACCCTCCAACATGAAATTTATAATCAAGGACTCAGCCCGGAAGCACATCTAAATTCTGTTCAAATAAAATACCTCCTCCCTTAAATGTTCTCACATATCAAATCACTGTATTCATCCCTATGTATTATTCGTACCATAAAAAAACACCCATGTGCTTTAGAAAAAGGCTTTTACTCTTGCAAAATTATTGAGATGTCTATCTGAAAAATCAATGGCAGTTTTGGTGACATAATTACTCTCATTCTCAAAAGCCAGGCATTCATAAATGTGGAGCTATGTCTTTTTCTGATGGTAAAGTTCAGGATTTACTAATTGGTACAATCAGAGAGCACTGGTTTCGAGGCTGCTGCAGCAGTATACTTACCTAAATTGAAGTGCAAGCTAAATCCATAGTGAGAAGCACTCACTTACTCATACAAACTGATAAATTATACTGCCGAGTAATCAGTTTGCATAGGCAGTTGTTCATAGACGTGTCTCTGCTCCATCAATGCACTAAAAAGCCATGTAGGGTCTCACTTCTTCACCCTCCAAAGGACAAGTCACAAAACAAATCACAGAGAAGGGAGTCAGAAAATACAGAAGCCCTATCTTCAGCCCACATACCATTTATAACAGTGAAATTAGAATTATATCAGTAAAATGGAAGAGCACTGAAATAAAGACTTCTCATGTGAGAGTAAAGAAATATAGAGACATAATGAAAATAAAGGCTGAAAGCCAGTGTTAGTATTCCGACTTCAAAGTTCATGAAGTAGTCTGTAAATAGCATGCACTTTTTAACAGGCACATTCTATAGCTTTCAAAAATACTGCTATATAGAGGGTATGTTGCATTTATTTAGTTATTGCTTACAGCAGAATAGACATCTGCCATTTACTTATTTTGCTACCTATAACTAGGAGCCTATGGTAGCCCCACCCCCACTGTATGTGTATTATTAATTCTGTAAGGATACTATTGCTGTATTTACATATATACAACTTGAGGTGCAAGGAAAAAGCAAGTAATCAGGAACTTCAATTTGGTGTCTTAAGAATCGTCCTGTATTCTTATTATCCTGCGATTGTGCTCAGAGCTAGAGAATTTAAAATGAAAAAAAAAAAAACACCTAATACTAGCAATCACTATATTTCCTGTAATCAAGTCCATACTTCTTTTCATATTCTTTCACTGGATTGCTTTTCTCTGTTTATTGTTGTTGCTAAACAAGGTGAGAGTTTAGGCGACATTTTTCAATGATGACTTCTTTTGCAATAACAAAATTCTTAAATGTAGTCTCCATTTTCCTCCTGCTATGTGCTATCAAATTCATCTTTGTATGGGAGGCACAAACTAAAATGAGTAAATTGCCTTTAGTAGGTAGTACTCTTTTTCTGACACTAGGAAGTAAATTGTCAAAGAGTTACACAGGGTTTTAGCTGCAGGATTCCCATTGACTTTAATGGGAGTTGCAAGGAAAACACCCCATGCAAAGCTTAGAAAAGTAGGGGTTAGTTTTCTTTATGGTCTCCACTGTATTTTGTACTCTCTAGCCTTGAACACTCTGTCTTCACTCACCTTCTGTTCTCCCCTTTCTTTGTAGCTTATCCCTCAAATAATATAAATCTTAGGCCTTTTCACTTAACCATCCATGTGCATAGGTACTCAACACACTCTATCCCAGCACCACTTCCACGGTGTCACAATTAAACAACTCATTATCCAACCTGCTGACCCTCAGCCATTCACCATTGTCCAGTTTATGTGGGGAAAACATTTTTGTGGAATATTGTTACAATACTAGCTCGATAATTTTTGAAACATGTACTGGATTTCAAATAATATCAAAATTACCTAAATTATATTCTTTCTTCCTTCTTAAAAATGCCTATTAATATTACTACTCTCATTATTGTTTAACTTTTAAGTACTTTTAGGATTTCCTGAAGGTTTGCATAGAGCACAACTAAATAAGCTTCTTGGAAATACATCAGGCATGGCCAGGCAGTTAATATAGCGACTTAAGCAGCAGTTAGCTAAAGTGCTTCATAGGACAGCTAGTGAACAACATAATAGATACCATGATGTTAGCTCCTGGCAGAATGGGTACAAGATTCCATCATGTCTGGGGAATGAAGGATACCCTTGTCTGTGTAATGGAGAGAGCAATACCACAATTGGCTGATGTCACTCTTATATAATACATTGTAACACACACACACACACACACACACACACACACACACACACACACCCCTATGGGATTGTTCTAATTCTCCAGCAAGTTTTGATTGTGGAGAAAGCCAAACTAGGGTAGCTTTGAGCTAGATTTTTATGAGTGTTTGCTTCTGTATAGAATGCACAAAAGGCCCAATCTTCGTGCCTACCACTTTTTTCATTACTGTGGCATTAATTACAAAGTAAGATGCCAAGTAATTGGCAAGGGGAACACTACTTGCTTATTTATCAGATACCTTTATCCTATGCTCCTGGCTTCTTTCCTTTACTGCACTTTTATAATAGATTACCAGGATAGCAATGTAAAGAGTAAAAGGTCTTTCCTTTGCAAATTTTTAACTCAACTTACCTTGTACTCTTTGTCTTACTTCAAATCAGAGCAATAAGAAAGGATTTGCACCCAGCAACATATTATTAATCAAACACCATATACAATCACATAAAGTCCAAAACAAAGCAAAGAGCACGGTCTGCCTAAAGCAAATGGCTTAATACCCCCCAAAATCTTCCCAGTTCATTCTGCACCTATGGATTTATTATTCCTATGAAACACTGTGGAAGTGTGCCATAAAATACCAGACACATCAAGCAAACATCCTGAAATTCTCTCAACAGTCAGGGTACCTAAAAAAATACAAGGACATATTTTTCTCAATTTTTCATCTCATTTTCCCCAGTTATTATCGATTACTTCTATTCTATCTCTATGTTGATCATGACAAAAGATATGTTTTTCATAAAATAATACATTTGGACATAATAACGAGAACCTTGGTTCCCATCTTCCCGTTGCCGAATAGCACGTCTCGTGCTGTACAGGCGCAGTTGGCTGTCCAAGGACCCTGATGCCAAATTGCGGAGGATATTCTTGTCGCAGTGACAAATTGCTTGCTGGTGGGCTGTGCAGAGTGTTATTCTGGCAGCATCGGAGTTGTCTACGTGTCTGTCACTTGGTTAGGCTGCTTCAATGCTAGGTGATTCCACCCCACTCCCCACCCCCTTTTCTTTTTTCAACGCATTTTTCAGACTTACCTTTGCTTCTCAGTGAATGGGGACTTTAACATTCACTTGACAATGAGCTTATAAAAATGCCTCCCAAGTTCTCCGTACAGGTATCTGTAGGGTGAGAGAAGGATTTTTTCACAGTGCCATACTTGTTTTCCATACAAACCTACAGGCTGCCATTATAGCCACCCACATTCCGGTTGGCAACGCACTTAGGCAGTGAGCGCCTTAATGAATCCAGACAAAACTGCACAGCATTCCTGACACACAGGAAAATCATGCATTTCCATGATATTTCAGGGTAATTTAATTCTTTAGTGTGTAAAATATTGATGGTCAATATTATTTGATAACATTTCAGCAAAGAGATTATTCTGCTTTTGATCTGACACTTATTTTTTAAGCTAAAAAGATTTCCTTTACAAGTTCCTTATATTAAGTATGTTTGTCCAAAGAGGATCTGCTAGAATAAAAAAAGCAGAAATGTAAATGAGTAGTCAACATTCTGTAAACAAATTAGCTTGTAAACATACTGTAGACAATCCCAACAGTGTCTGTTGACTACCTATGAAGGTATGTAATTTAATGCCTTCAGATAATTTGTGGGTAAAGTCTAACCAGCTGACATTTTGAGATAAATAATAAATAACACTCCTATTTCATTACTGAGTTTATAATTAAGTATTAATGTAAAGGCATTTTAAAAACTATAGCTACAGGAGATACAGTATTTTAAAATTGTTTTGTGAAACTGAAAAGGATAATTGTAATGAACACAAAAGATGTAGGAGGCCTTTTTTAATTCTATGGAGTGACAGTAGATTTTCTCCATAAAACACATCCTGCAGCAGTGGTGTGTTGTTTAAGATTTGAGGATGTATAAAAGAATCTAATGGATTTTTTCACAAAAGATAATATACAATAGAATAATTCTTAAAGGAAATGAACAGGCTTTTAATCTTGTGGAAAAAAATGTTTGTTTTTGCTCCTCTCATATATAAATGTATTTGTTGGTTTTATTGTTCAAACTGTAGCCCTGAATTAAGTGGATTGTAAAGTTCTCCTAAATACTTTAGACTTGTTTTCAAGGAAATATTTGTAATTTTTATACATATATACATACATATATGTATATATACACCCCAAAGATTTCACTTACACTAATTAGAAGAAATAATAAGAAAGCCCTAAGTAGTGGAACTTGGAGAGAGTCTAAAAGATATTTTAACAGTTCCATTTGCAGGATGCATAGGTAAAGTTTTCAGCCCAACGTGATGTTTAAATTAGTTTGTTTTCATCGTAACTACTGACGGGACTTAAGTTAGCCCTCTAAACTGCATGGGTATTTCCAAACTAAACTTATTAAATTATCTTTTCCCAACCTTTTTTTTGTGTTTTGCGTTTTCTCTAAAACCTGGCAGCACAAATTTTCTAGCTTTCATCACTTAAGAGCATCTAATGTGAGGCTATTGATCCTAAAATTGCTAGGGTTTTCTAAGAAGTCTCCTTGTTGGTGCTGCACTGTTGTCACTGAAGTGGTTAAAGCTTTGTTTGTTTGTTTTGTTCTGAATGGCTCTTAATGGATTAAGCTTTAGGCTTTCACCAAAGCAGTAACTGATTGTTAAAAGTAGCAAGGAATAAACTAACCACAGGGTGTGTGGGTGTGGGTGTGCACATGAGTGTTTGTGTATGTGTGCATGCGTGTGTGTGTGTGTGTGTGTGTGTGCATGCACTGGCAGAGCAAAGTAAATTATAATCTTTAAGTTCTGAAACTCAGCTAGTATAAACATATGTTAAATAAAATATTTCTTACTATATATCTTTAACATATCTATCCTCTGCAAATTGCCAGAATTATGTTAATCAATCCTGACAATGGATTAACTCTATTTAATCAAGAATAATTGAATTAAACTGTATAATAACCCACAGCTATTGAAATGGATAACATTAAATTTAGTTGCAAGATTTACCTATGAAATTAACATGCCATTTTGTTTTCATACTAAAACTCTTTTTCATAATTTTACCAATAATATTCAAAATGGTGATTTCAAGTTATATAAACCTTTAAAGCTCTCACTACAACATTAAGGAATATATATGCACTTGTCTTTATAATATTATGCTGTGGTTCTGGACTCATATAATTAGGTTTTGGCTTAAGTGTGATATTAAGTAGAAGATTAATGACTTGACGAGTAAAGAAACACCCTTATCTGCAGAAACAGATGGAAATGCATGAATTTATATGACTATTTAACACAGTGCCAGCTCCTCTATAAGAGGAGGACTTTATTCAAGGTCTCAGTACCAATC
Source organism: Homo sapiens (assembly GCF_000001405.40). Taxonomy (NCBI): domain Eukaryota; kingdom Metazoa; phylum Chordata; class Mammalia; order Primates; family Hominidae; genus Homo; species Homo sapiens. Next base: position 29,383,473 of record NC_000014.9, read on the forward strand.
CATGGTGACTCCAAGAGCTAAATACTCAAATTAAAAAAAAAATGTTATCCCATTACACAACTCTCTTAATGGGTATGATGGACAAAACACTAGACAGTTTTCAATCACCCCTCCTGTTGTCCAGGAATGGCATACACTGCCATTCTTGAGTATCCCTAGGCACTGGTAATGGATGGCGACTACCTCTGGCAGAGAATGGCTAACTGCTCTTGGATTTGCTGGAGAGCAGTTGCGTTTCTTTTATTCCAATGGGAAAGTTGCGAAAGTCAAGAAGAAATGGATTAAAATAAAAATGGCCACTGTTTCAGCTTTATATAACCTGATTTCTTAGCCAAAAACCACAAGGTGACAGTCCCTTGGTAAATTTTCAACATGGATGATCCAAAAAGATGCAGCACAGCATTTAGGCCCCTCTGAATGCCATATTTGAAATGTTGTATTTAGGGAGTACAGTTGTCCCTCAGTATCCACCAGGGATTGGTTCCAGAACCCCTGCCTTTATCAAAATCTGTGGATGCTCAAGTTTCTTATATAGAGTTGCGCAGTGTTTGCATATAACCTATGGATATCCTCCTGTACACTTTAAATCATGTCTAGATTATTTATAATACCTAATGCAATGCAAATGCTATGCAAATCATTGTTACACTGTATTCTTTGTATTATTATAGTTGTGTTGTTATTTCTTATTGAGTTTTTCCCGGAATATTTTCCTTCTGAGGTTGGTTGAATCCTCGGATGCTGAATCCATGGATACAGACAGCAAATTGTACATCTCGTTATAATTAAGTTACTTTAAACATGGGAATTAAAATGAATATTGTGCCATTGTGTTTTGATCCTAAAACTACTTTTCATAATTTTACCAGTAATATTCAAAATGGTGATTCCAAGTTATATAAACCTTTAAAGCTCTTACTAGAACATTAAGGAATATATATGCACTTGTCTTCATAATATTATGTTGCAGTTCTGGACTCATACAATTAGATTTTCACTTAAGGTGATATTAAGTAGAAGATTAATGACATGGATATTGTCTTTCATACTTGCACATGTAAGTACAAATGAACAGCTTGTTTTATGTCTTAGGGTATTATCTCAATTCACTAAATTTTATAAATAAAAGAATAGCAAAAATTTCTCTTCCTCATAAGTCTTGCACACAAAAGATATGAAGCCTTGGAGGAACTTTCTAATTTCCATCTCATACTTGTAAAAAATGCAATGAATTGAATTGAAAGGGAGGGTATATTAAAGGGAATGCATAAGATTCAAATGAGGGTGCATTTAGCATGTAGAGGGAATGATCGATTCCACTATATGCCTGTGCAGTCTTTGTAATTTTCAAAATTTCATTCAATGTGCTGATATTCTGATAACAGAACTAACTGCCACTATAACTTTAGAGCCTACCATTAAGAGAAGGTATTTCAATGAATGTGATAAAAAAGAAGGCGATTTTTCCCCTTGCATGTAATATTCTAAAATTAAGGTGGGGAAAGTGTTATAAAACCTAGATTAATAGCTTTAGTCAATGACTAATTTGCTAATTGTGTGACTCCCAAAACGCCAAATGTAGTTAATATTTATATTAAAAAGATGATGCATTTATAAAAAGCAAGGTCTCTGTGTCATAATCATTTCCTGAGGCATTGTACCAAAATAAAGAGGGCAGGGGGTGGCTACTAAGGCGAGTTCTTTCCCCCTACCTCTTTTTTTTCCTTTGTAAGATCTGGGATACCTCTAATTGACCCACTGTACTTTGTTCCTAACACCTTTTGAAAAGCAAAACAAACAAGCTGTATGTACAAACGCTTAGGCCCTCTTTTTGGTTGTGCCATTTTTTTTATTGTATATTCCAGTATTCCCTCATTTCACTTTCCTATTATTGTTTTATCGTCCCTGCTCACATCATCCCCATCCTGGTTCATATTCTCTTGCACTAACATGCCTCAAGTCTCCTCTGCTCTTGTCACTCCTTTGTCAAAAAAAAAGGAGGAGAGGCACTAAGGAAGGACATGGCCCAGGACACACCCTGATCTTTTCTGTTTACACCACCACCTGCAAAAGAGGAGCAAACTTACCACAGTTAGAGTGAAAAGCTTTGGCCTCTCCTATAGACTAGGATAAACAAGGCAGAAATAGTGTTTGTTAACCAGGCTGAACTATTATGAAGATTATACACAACATAGTAGCTCTAGAAACTCTCAGGAATGTAGGCCATACCAGGTTAACTAAATGGGAACTCACTAAATCAGGTGAAATGTATTGACCCCCAGACATCCAAAGGCTCAAGTTTAAATAACTGAATAAAGACTTGAAAAAAATTATGAGTATGAAAGAGTACTTAGCACACTGGCAGCACTCCATTTAAGAACAGAAACACGTTTGCACTTTGGAGAAAAGTTCAAAACTTCCCAGAACTGATCATCAAAGAATTGATTTCAATAGTGCTTGGGCTTTAGATACCACAGTAGCAAGATGAAGCATAATTTTAAAGTATTTTCTTAAAATATGTCTCCCCAAGTTTTCATTAAATTTTTACTCAGAGTGGAAAGTCATACATGTTTGGAAGTAAAACATAAAATAATTCTATTATAGGTTAAAAACCGGAAGTGTAGTCCAAAGCTAATACACTGACTGGTCCCTCTTTACATAGTTTATCTCCTGTAGAAGACATTGGGTAAAGATGAAACGGATTATAAAATGTATTTGGTTTGGGGATCATAGAAATGATTTACACCTATAGATAGGCTCAAGTAGCTTGAAAAAGTAACATTTGCAGTAAGACCCTTCTCTTTTTTGGATGGTAAAATACAGAGAAAGGAATTTCAGAGGAGATATTCATTTGTATGCCTATTGCCAGAAGGCTTTGCCTTTTCACTTAACTCTCAATGTTTTGAATAAAAATGCTAACTTTCCTCGAAGAGGTTGTAAGGACTTGCCCCTTTATATCTATGTATGCAGAATATTTGAAGTGCTAGAAATATATTAGCATTTCCAAATGTCATTAGTAATATTGCCGCTTTGCATTTGTCAGTGTATGGATGTATATATACCACATATTGAATGATTGCAATCTATAATTATGTTTGATGAAGAATGCATTTTATTGTATTAATGTTCATGGGGGTATATTTTTATTATAAGTAGATACATGGATAGGTAGGTAGACAGGCAGATATATAAGATAGATAGATAGATAGATAGATAGATAGATAGATAGATAGATAGATAGATAGACAGACAGACAGATAGATGATAGATAGAGCTTTGGTAGAATGAGTTTTAGCATGGAATTATTTTTGGTCCTTAGATAACTATCTCAGGCCTTATTTTCCTCTAGATAAATGGCATATAATGATTGTTATCTATTTTTAAGGAATTACAAATCAAAGAAATCAGTTTTTCATAGTGGATTCAAACACCAACTTGCAGCATATACTGATGGTCAAAATGTCCTCAAAACATCCTAATAAGCAGAAAAAATGTCAAGGAATATGATACAAATGTCTTATGGTATTAATATTCCAGACCCCAGGTTCTGAATTCCTTCAGAAGAAAATTTCAATCATTCTTGTATCTTAAACATCCACATCTCTTCCAATGGTACCAAGAGTCTTTGTTCGGTCCCATGGATGCTCAGCAGCATGGGTGTTGACTGACTGTTCTCAAAAGAGAAACTGTATCCAGCCTAGGTTTCACCGCTACCAATTCTGTTATTTTTTCCTTGAAGAGTCAAAATTTCTAACTCTACTTTTGGGAGACTCCAGTTTATTCAGATGTGTAACACAAGCACAGACATAAACTCATTTAAAATACTTCAAAAATACATAAATACTAAGCATCTCCCAACACCACTCATCCACCCTACCTTACATGCACTGCCTCCCCCACTTCTTTTCAGAATGAACGTTACAGAAAGAATAAGGAAAAGATGTTTTGAAATAAAACAAAAAGGGTCACTGCCATAGATGGCAATGCGACGAGTGAAGCTGAACAGTAGCAGTGGTCAGTGGATTCCTTTTTGCTTGATCACTTTGCACTCACAAAAAATCAGTTAGGGTTGGAATATAGAGAAACTAACAGAGCATCCTATTTGAAGCACCTACTATGTGTCAGGTGCCAGACATAAATTAAATATGGTGAAGAATTTTACAGTCTGAGAAAAGTAAATTTTTTTGGTAAGTGCTTTCTCTATAAATTGCCTTAACCCATTTCAAGTGAAGATATCTCCAATATAAGAACATTAGGCAGTTGGTACTATTTGACTTTGATAATGTACTTAGAAAAGAATGCCTGGAACATAGTGGAAACTTAAATATTTGTTGAATGAGTGAATGGTTATAAGTACTTTTCAAAGACAAAATAAATCATCTGCCACTTCTAATGCATTTGGAAAGACATCAATAAATAGCTATTGTAAGGAAGATTGCAGATGCTAGTTAAGATAATATAACTGTGTAGTAGTTTATTTATTCAACTATAGAATTTTTGTTCAGAACCCCTGGGGGGAAACTTTTGTTGTGATTGCTTCTAGGCTGGCAGTCAGTGACTCTACTCCAGAACAAGATCTCAAACCAAGCCCATGTCCTTTCTTTATGTCCCTGCCATTTAACCATCCAGTTGTTAACACATTTTAAAATTTGACAGGTTATTTCACTTCCAAAATGATACTAAGAGTCACACATGTCAGAACTCTACTTGATAAGTTGTGTTCATTTCAAATGTGGTATGTGAGCACTGAATCCTTACTCTTTAAATCCTGCAAAGTGTATCAATAATTATGCCAAATCCATCCAACAGTTGATTGAGGTGTTTTCAGTTTGATATGGGTGTCAAAATGCGAACATTAACTTTATTCAGATCTTTGCCTGATGTGTTGAATGGGGGAAAAATCCATTCATACATCACAGATTCATCCTTAATGCTGGAAATTAGAGAAAGGAATCTCAGATTCCACGCACATTTTCTTTGTGGTTACAGAGGTGACTTTGCCACCTGGGATGAGTTTGTCCTCATTATACCCAATTATATCTGCCATAAGTAAAATTTTAAGAAGGATATAAATTTGTATAATTCTCACATGATGCTTACAAAGAAATCATTTTTGTGACTCTAATTTGTTATCTATTTTGGAAAGATTAATTATCCCTCGATAATAAAGTAAATGTTAAAAAGGATATCCCCCACAATCTCTTCTTCTTCAGGCCTTTCCTGATTTAATCTTAGATGTTCTTGCTATATCATGAGTGGCTGAGCTCCAATCAGAGAAAATTCAGCGATGGAAACTCTTTACTTGGGCTTCCCACTATTTATGTGTGGTATTCCCAATTTGTAGCTGTATTTGTGCTGGAGCAGACAGAAATAACCAATGAAAAAAAATAGGAGCAATACAGTTTTATATTTAAAGTAGTGTCATGAGGCATCAAGGCAGTTAGTAATCCAAGAAGGCTCAAATTATGTTTTTTAACTATAAAGTATAAATTTAGTAAAAAAGACTAATTTCTAATAAATAATAGACAAATATTGGAATGAAAAACATCACTTTCTATATAAATTTACTAAGGGAGAACTTTCGGTAAGGTTACCATAATTTTATTTTACAGCCATAAAACTTTTCAGGAAATAGGTTACCAATTTGATATTGTAGATTAATTAACCTCAGTTATATACATATTTTTTAAATGCTAATTTTTGGCAATACAGTTGAGAAGAATTATTTTGTAATTGCATATCTTTCTGTGTCTGGAATTCATCCCCTATAAAGTCCTCTGGCCATGGGTGGCAGTGGCCTGCGGTCAAAATCTAAACATAAGTTCATCATCATCTTTTAATTTTGTGGTCTTGAGCTTTTGACCCAAAGAGGAGTTGGGGGTTCACTAGGGCAGGACTAAATGGAGCAAACACTTGTCTTTGGAGCCCAAGCGCTGACCTTAAAGATGTAAAATGAATTGCCTGCTCCCAAGGTTATTGTTATAATCAGGTATGTGAAAATGAGCAGTAAGAATGTGAAGGAGAGAGCGGAAGAGAGAGAGAGAGAAAGAGAGAAAACATTCCTTGGTTTGCTAGAAGTATTTAGTGCATATTTTATATTTTTTAATTTTATTTTTTAACCATGTTCTGCTTTAAAAACTGTACATAGAAGAGTCAGGCTTCTGACTTTTAATGAATTGCTGTGAAATTTGGTTACATACATTACTCCAACCCTGTGAGGGGGGGACAATTATAGTTCATTATATGCATCTCAAGTTGTTTATTCATTATGATGCACAAGGATAGTTTAAGGACTTGTTTCTGCCAAGAGCTCCCCCCACCAAATAATTTCACAACAGAGTAAAAACACATGGACTTTATATAAAGTAAAAATAGAAGTGATATAAGGGTTGTATTTTTATAGCTGTATTTGAGTACATTTCAAATGAATGTTTGTTAAACAGGGGGAAAAATCAGACTGGCATTGTCGTGATTCTAAGCGAATTAGGTGAGGCAGGAACAGGAAGAATCTGAGTAGCTTGCATTTAATTAGCACTTACTGGTACAAAATAAATTAGACAGATTTGTCTTGTTTTATGAGCAAGATCCTGTTTTTCTATTTCATTTTCTTTGTGCTTTTGGTAAGGACGGATCTGGCGCTTTGGATACTAAATAGGCAACTAATTCAATTGGTGCTTTCTCCGAGGGTCTCCTTGCAAACCGGTGCCAGACTCACTGGTCCTTTGTGTACTGCCCGCCCTGCATGTGTCTGGGCTCCCCTGGCCAGTCCGTTTTTTTGTCTCTGATGGTTAATAAGCTTTGAGCCTAGTAGTCAAATGTGGTGGGAACGGGGACAAGACGAGGGTCCTTAGTGAAGGTGTTTGTTGTTAAATAGAACAATTCAGCTGTCTCTTTAGAAAACTTGACAAAAGGAAATGCTCCCTGCTGAAAATTTTCTTAGCCTGTTGCACAAAAGATGAAGTTTGTTTAAGAAATTGCTGCTAAAGAAAGCGTCAACCCATTAAGGTAATTATATGGAACCTGTGCCGTATAACAGCTTAATTGATGTTAATGTTTGTCTAATTGGTGATTGGGAGAGTGCAAAGGACTAAAGGTCTTCCGAGCACTTTCAGTCACGGCTCTGAAAGGGGCTCTTCTGGTTTTCACAGTTATAACAATGCCTGCGCGTCTTTCTCAGATTACGCCTTGTTTTCAGCCCCTTACAGCATTCTGCTCCACTACTTAAAGCGTAAAATAAGGGTGAAGAGCCATTGTCTAATGCAGCCTTTTTCAAAGAGTGTTTCTGACAGGGATTGTTCTAGGAATCAGGCAGGAGAGAAGGGAGTGTGAGAGGTGAAAGCCACTATCACCCACTTGTGTCACCTCCCCAATGAGCAGCAAGAGCCGCCTAATTGCTGCATCTGTTTTTTTTTTCTTTTCCTCCAAGCCTCCATTCTCTTAAACAAGATCCTTACACCGATGCCACATGTTCCTGTGGAATCTATCAAACAAAACAAAACAAAAAAACACCCCAACCTGGCTGACATTTTTTAAATTGGCATAAAAAGAACCGTTAGGAAAACATATATAACAATTAAATGCATGCACAAAAATATATGAACTTTTCTCTTTCCTAAGATTTCACACATTGTATGGACACATTTACAAATAGAATTAGATGAAAGAATACACTGTGGGTACCTAAACACATATATGTGACTTTTCTGTGTAAAGATACATGCATGATTATTACATGGATACTTACATATGCAGACACAAATGTATAGATTTGGAAACCTTGCTTTTGTTTCCATATGAGAAAGCCATTTAAATGTGTCATCAATCTTGGTGTTTTTTTTTTAAGTCATAGTAAACACCGTTGATCCAGGTTATAAAACTCAAATGCTTAAATATTTTACATTCCTAGATAAACTGATTGAAGAGCCAAGACTTGTCTTAAAAAAAAATTCTCAGCTTACACACTCATTCATTCGCGCGTGCAGACACACACACACAATGCATTTAACATACCCACCCCCCCCCCACCATCCTGCAAAGTTATAGTTCTCAGGCTTTTCAATTTTTATGTTTTACATTCCTATATTTAACAGATTGATATTTTCCTGTTTGTTCTCTTTAAGATTTCTTTTCTACATACAGAGTGTATTCATGTGCTATCCTAATGAGGAAATGACGAGTTTTTATCAACCTTATTAAACATACACCCAGAAGATATCCATTTGAATAAGGGGCCAATTACTAAGTGTGTCTTCAGTTAGAAAGAACTTAGCTTTTACCTTGTACTTTGGCTCTCCATGTCTCTAATTAATTGAATCTTGAAATCGTTGGACTTTCAGCTTAAGAGAAGACTGAAGAAGGGAACTTAACAACACTGCCTATTCCTTTATGTCTAGAACGGGCTAAAAAAAAAAAAAAACACCTGTAATGCTAAAAGACTCAGGCTTTTGTCTGTTTCTAATATTACTTTTCTGCCTAATTGCCATCACTGCCACGTACATTAGGCCCTTTTTCAGCAGGGTTAAAACAGGGCCAGTGATGAATGGAAAACTGATTGTACTGCTGTCAAACTTGAATGTGAGGCTTATTCTAGAGATAGAAGTATGAGGAAAAGGACAGAGAATTGCACTTCATTAAAGCTCTACCAAGCTGATTGGAGTGGAGGAGGTAATTGAGATTTAAAGTGGCATTCCCATCACACTGTCCCTTTTTCAACTTAACAACTGTCATTCAAGCCACATAGGGCAACAATTGGCCAGATTTCCCAGCTCTTCTGAGTAATAAAACAGACACTCACCTTCTGGCTATTCGTTTTACTTACTTTGTTCTAATTTCCAATTCATGTGTCATTAGTGAACGAAGATTGACAAGAAATAGCTTTGACCTCACAGATTTGACCTTCAACCCCAAAGACCCAACTCTAGTCTGAACATAGGTTGGAATATGCTAAGAAACACCTTTCCTTTGCACAAGAATGAATGGCAGTTTTTTCATCATTGTACCACCCCCTGCTTGCCACTACATTTAGACTATGAGACATGTCAACTGCCTGTCACAATTACAATAGACACAGCAAACCAGAATTTTCCCCAAATCCAAGGGGAACTTCGCGAACAAAGAGTAAATTTTATTGCACAGATTTTGGAGACCTCCAATTTGTAGAGCCATAATGAATGCATCCCACAGACAAATAGGTAGTTGTTAATTATCCCAGCAATTTCTTTTTTTAATGTGCTAACAACACAGCACGCTAAGCCTTCATATCCTACTCTGTTACCTGATGATCTCATCACATTTGCAACGATGGTAGTCTGGGAAGAAGGCATTATTTTAGCAAGTATGCATGACAATAAGTTACATGATTATAATCCCTTATTTTCATGATTTAATAAAAAGAAAGTGTGATATTTTGGAAACAAATGGGTTTAGCTACACCTTTACTAAATCAGTTGAAGTAGTTTACCTATAGAATCACTTTATGATAAACGTAATCTTTGTATTTTCCTTGACTGAGTATCCTAAAGCTTAGATATACCAATTTTGTGTCATCAAAACATGCTGTGGATAAAAAATGTTGAAGGGCAAGACCTATGACCTGAATAAGAACCCTCAATGAATTTAAAAGTATTTTATGCCTTTCACACAGTTTTGAATAGCAATTGGGTCCTGGAAATCTATTATGGCAAGGAAATTGTTACGGTTTTTTTTACATTAAGTGACAAACATTTGGATGATTCTTGTGTTACATCCCCCTCGCCCCCTAAACAGAATAATGAAATACATCACTTTATCATGTCAAGTGTTCAAAAACTTGACTCCATTTCCTTCATGATAAAACATTGGGAAACACTATCAGGTTGCTGCTTTGACTTTATTTTAATGAATTGTGAAGTCATTTTCATTTTACCTGTAAAATTCATTCTTCTGCAGGTATTTTTTCCTTTTCAATCATGGATTTACTTACTTTAATGGTTGTCACAGTTATTTGTTTTTCCCTTGCAATATTCTTCTCTTATAACATGGATTCACATAACTCATTGTGCTTCACTGTATTTTCTGAATTTCTTGCTTGTGTTACTTAAAAAGGAGTATACAATATATTTTCTTACAGCAGGAGGCATTAACTTTCATGAGAAATCACAATTGTTACCACATCATCCGTAAGTACTCACAAAGCTACCACTTTCAGAAAATTTAAATAAAAGTCAAAGAACTGATTTTTTTAAATGATGATTAGCATATAAATCAAAAGAATAATTTCAGAACAGGACAAACTTCCAGGGTATGACATGGTAAGAGTTTACTAAGAATTATAAAAATGCAGGGATAAATGGAATATTCTTTATTAGATCTGTATCACAATTATGTTTGAAACACGTTTTCAGGGTAATGACAATAACACATTTGCCATCATTTTGCCTCGATGCATGTACCTTCTCTGTTACATAGCGCTCTTCCAGCCAAACAATAAAGAAAGCTCTTTGCATTTAGAATTTTGCTTTCTTGTGAGTAAATTTTTATGTCCTTATAGCTCAGAGAAGGTCACAACTTACGGTTTTATCCCAACAGCACATTAGTGATAATCAAAAGAAATAAATCTCTAACTGTTGGTAGCTTCTACAGAAATGTCTTTTATCCTACACCTGTGACAATTGCCCTGTGTTAGTGAAGCCAACAAGAGTCAGGACACAGGTCAAGGGTCAGGGCACTGTCAAGGGGAAGTTATTCTTCAGTCTACTAAATCTTATCATTTTCATCTAATGTGATATCCTCCTATCAGTCAGAGAACGTAGGCTATTGTCTTGTCTAAGTGCTGCACTTTCCTCCTCAAAGACAGTACATTTTATTACTTTTTTATAATTACCATTTTTTATCTTCAAAATTTTATCTTCCAAATAAACACACTGAACTGATAAGCCATCTCCAAGACTTAATATTTTTATACTAAAATCACAACAAGAAGTGATACTAAAAACAGGGTTCAGGTATTAGTGTTGTTTGATTGATTTGATTGATAGATTAGTTTGATTGATTTAATGGTTATATTATGAATGACTTAAAAAAAGAGTTAACTAAACAAATAATGAAATGAGTAGCAGTGGATAAATAATGAATGGCAGAATAGCTTGACAACTTTATGTGTGCCTAAGTGAGTTTATTCCTACATGATGGCACGCTCACCCTAGATATTATGGGCTAGCACATCCTGCTAGCAAGTAGGTTACTAAGATATAATAAAACATGTTCTGAAAAATATTTTCATAATGGACTTCAGTTAAGTATACACAGTTGAGTCTGCTTTTGCTATACTTGTATATAATAAAATTCGAATTCTAATGCAGTATAGTGAAAGACTCGGTTACCTCAGTGTAATGCAGTATGCAAATTGCAATTCCCCTTGTCATGAGATTTGACTCACAAGAAAAATTTGTGTTAGCGTCTTCCAAAAAAAAAAAAAACAAAAAAAAAACGATATCTCAAAGCTTTAAAAAGCAGGTTACAAGTGGCTAAGTTGGGCCATTTAGATCTTCTCTCTCATTGGGAGGAAAATAAATCACAAATAAGTTTCACGCTATCCTTTGTATCCACAGAAAAGTAAACCAAATCTCTAGCATTTCATATCTTTTCCTTCTGGCAATTCCCGTAAGGATAACATAGTGGAATGAACAGTTATAGACGGGAACTCAAGGAGCCATATGCTTTAGCCTCAAATCTGCTATTAGCCTGCTGAGTAGCATGAGCCTCAGTTTCCCCAGCTGTCAAATGGGAGTGAGAGTGTTATTCTCAACTCTATGGATTTTTAAAGACTTAACAGTATCTTTGCCCATCATGTTTAAGAGATAGAAACCTTTCTTTTGTGCTCCTTACAAAGAGTTTTATCTTAGTTCCTAATAAAAGCATATATGTTTCACCTACATGGTCTTAATCTTGGGGACAGGAATTTATCTTCTTCATTTTTTTACCTAATTACTTAGCAAAGTGTCTGTTGAATTAATAAATGGAGAAATAATTCTTATGGTAACTATATATCCTGCTTTATGCCTATTTTGACTTTATGCCTTTATGCCTGTTTAATTACTAATAGGCTTCATTCACTTTCAAACATATCCCAGTTTGGATGCCAAATTATACGGTATTCATCATTTCCTTAATGGAAGAAGAAACTACTTATATCACCAATTTATTTGAGATCACTTAATGTCCCTCAGATTTCTCTTTTCTTTACAAAATAACTCTAATTTGTCTACCTTTATCACCTGTTTGTTTTAAAGTTTAGAGATTAATTTAGTGACCAACTGAAGCATATATTTGGGCTTCTACACTTATTGCTATCCAATATTTAAATCACTGTGCTTCAAAGACAATTTCGAGTTCCTTACAAATTTAAGGTTATAGAGTTCTAATAAACAGTCCTATTTTTAAATGGATCCCCCAGACTGCATCTAAAGGTCTCACATTTTAATAAGTATTATCTTAGGTAATCAACCATCCATGTTATTTGTCATAGTTATACACAAAACTATCTATTAATGTGTCTCCTGAAAAAAATAACCTTCTACAAGCAAGCAGAAATAAACAATATGTTTCAATAGATCTTGTCTTAGAAAATATTAATTCCGTAAACAGGAGGACACACTTGCAAGGGCAAGGATGGAATAATATGTTTTGTCTTTATGATATTAACTGTTATAATAAATGACACCTTAAAATATAAAGCATATAGTTCAAAAATTGATAAGTTTGGGTCCTGTGTCTGTATATAGCTATATGTTAGGAACATGACAATTTGTGATGCAGCATGAACAATGATTTTCTTAAGAAGACATTTCCAAATTCAACCACCTTTTTGTCCAGTCTTGGCATGTTTTCCAAACAATCCATTCACTTATTTAAACATTCTATATGCTGATACATCAAAAGCTCTGATAAAAGCCTTGAGGTAAAAACAAAACAAAACAGAGGGGAAAAATACATGGTTTTGCAAAATAGAACTCTTAGCTTATGAAGAAAATAACATTTTCAACATTTTATATTTCCAGTTGAAATACAGACATTTATTGTAGGCTCTTTAAGAACCTATAATATTGCTACTGGTTCCGTGTAGTCAATGTGCATAACTCGATTTTTGGCTTTTGAGGTAACATGGAAGCAAATATTCTCAGAAACCAACAGAGAAATTGAGCTGATTCGGACACTAGAAGAGCCAGCTACCTTCTGTTTTATTTTAGCTTTGTTGTTTCATCTTCGTCATATCGTATCCAAGTAAAATTGGAGGAAAATGTCAGAAGAAGCTTACAGGTGAGTCTTGGCAATCACTTCTGACCAGCCACTAGCTGAATCACCAAACTACAGTAATTGTTCTTAATAAGCATATCACCGGCAAAATGGAAAGGGGAAAATGAGAGCAGACCATACAAATGTTCAGTAATTCCCAAATCTTTAACATAATTACATTTTTAACCTTGGTTTAGCTCAAAAATAATACTGGTTGAGATGAGCAAAGATAGACAAGTAAAAATAGTATTGATGACACTTCCTAGATTTCTCAAGATGTCATGAGTTCCTTTAGCATCTTTCTGCCATCAGTTGTAATCAAACCTGAATTCAGCTGTTTCCAAAAAGTTAGGAAAGCTAATACCAAAAAAAAAATAATAAAAATGAAAAATTGTGCCTGTTTCTATACCTGAGTTACGTACATTTAAGAAAAAAATTAGAATCTTTTCAATACAAGCACCTGAATAATTTCTGTGAAAAGCAAATATATTCCTTGAAATGACCTATAAAGAATGCTCTCCCTCTCCACATTAAATATTTAGTAAACCCTCTTTCTTCAATGTGAAGAATTACAGAAATCCACCCAAAATAGCCTTAAGTAAATACATGGATATAAGCCTCAAAATCAATTCAGCTGAGCATCAAAGTCACAAAAGTAGAAACTTGATGACTTTAACTTAAATATTCTTAAAGAATTAATTGAGAAGTATTCTAGTAGAGGGGAAAATGTCTGAAATGGAGTCTGTTGTGATCTCTCACCAACTTTGATTCCTCTAAATTTGTTGATGCAGATGCTCTGATGTCTTTTCCTATTAAGATTCTTAGTTGTGAAACATTTTTTGCTTTATCTGTCTTCAGAATCCAGGTTGCTTTTTAGTGAAATTATTTATTTTGAGATAATTGTATAGTCATATGCAATGGTAAGAAATAATACAGAAAGAGTCTATCCCCAGTTTTCTCCAATGATAACATTTTGCAAAACTACAGTACAATATCACAACCAAGATGTTGACATTGACAGTGTGATAGAGAATATTTATATCACCACAAGGATCCCTCATGCTGCCAAATATAACCACATCCACTTCCTCCCACCTCCACCCTCTTCCTATATTGTCAACCATTAATGTATTCTCTATTTTGTAATTTTTCCATTTCAATAATGTTATATAAACAGAATCATAAAGTACGTTACTTTTTAGGATGTTTTCATCCAGCAAAATTATGTGGAGAGTCATCCAGGTTGTGGCATGTATTAATATTTCCTTCCTTTTTATTGATGAGTAATATCCCACGGTATGGATGTTCCACTGTTCGTTTAATCAATCACCTGTTAAAGGATGTCTGGGTAATTTCCAGTGTAGGGAGATTACAAATACAACTGCTGTCAACATTTATGCACAGGTTTTTGTGTGAACATAAATCTTCATTTCTCTGAGATAAATGCCCAGGAGTGTAATCGACAGTTAATATGGTAGTTGCATGTTTAGTTCTTTAACTGCCAAACTGTTTTCCAGAGTGTCTGTACCATTTTATATTCCCACCAGCAATATATGAATTATCCAGTTTCTCTGAAGCCTTGTTTAACATTTGGTCTTGTCACTCTTTTATATTTTAGTCATTCTGAGAGGCTTATATGATATCTTGGGTTTTTTTACATTAATAAACTTTATTTCTTAGAGAAGTTTTAGGTTCACGGAGAAAATGAGAAGAAAGTACAGAGAACTTCCAAATGTCCCCTGTCCCCACACATGTACAACCTCCACCACTACTCATATTCTACATCACAGTGATAGATTTGTTACAGTCAATGAACCTACATTGACACGTTATTATCACCCAGAGTCCATAGTTTACATTAGGGCTTACTCTTGGTGTTGGGAAAAGGTATAGTAACAAAAGTATAATAACATGTATTCACCATTGGTGTTGTACAAAGGTATAGTAACACAAATATAATGACATGCATTATCATACTTTATAATTTCACTGCTCTAAAAATCCTCTGTGCTCTATTTATTCTTTCTCCCTACCTCCTAACCCTTGGCAGCCACTGATCTTTTTACTGTCTCCATAGTTATGATTTCTCCAGAATGTCTTATAATTGGAATCACACAATATATAATTCTTTCAGGTTGGCTTCTTTTGCTTACTAATATGATTTAGTTTTCCTGTATGTCTCGTCTGGCCTTGACAGCCCATTTCTTTTTAGTGCTGAGTAATATTCCACTCTCTGGATGTACCACGATTTATTTATTCATTCACCTACTGAGAGACATGGTTGCTTCCAAGTTCTGACAATTATTGATAAAGCTGCTATAAAAATGCAAGTACAGATTTTTGTGTGGATGTAAGTTTTTTTATTCATTTGGGTAAATACCAAGGAACGCAATTTCTGGATCATATGTTAAGAGTATGTTTAGTTTCCTAAGAAACTGTCAGTCTTGCAAAGTGACTAAATTATTTTGCACTCCTATCAGCAATGAATTAGAATTCTTGTTGCTCTACATCCTCACCAGCATTTGGTGTTGTCACGGAATTGAATTTTGGCCATTTCAATATGTGTATAGTGATATCTCATTATTTTAATTTGTAATTTTCTATGACATATATGGAACATCTTGTCATATGCTATCTGTATATCTTATTTGTTAAGAGCTTGTTTAGGCTGCAGTCTTTTGCCCTTTTCTTTTTTTTCTTTCTTTCTTTTTTTTTTTTTTTCTAGTTTCACTCTTGTTGCCCAAGCTGGAGTGCAGCGGCATGATCTCAGCTCACTGCACACCTCCAACCTCTGGGTTCAAGCAATTCTCCTGCCTCAGCCTCCTTAGTAGCTGGGAGTACAAACGCATACGACCACACCCAGCTATTTTTGTATTTTAGTAGAGACAGGGTTTCACCATGTTGGCCAGGCTGGTCTTGAACTCCTGACCTCAGGTGAGCCACCCACCTCGGCCTCCCAAAATGCTGGGATTACAGGCATGAGCCACCGGGCTTGTTTTGCCCATTTTTAAATCAGATTGTTCATTTTTTTGTTGTTAAGTTTTAAGATTCCCTTGTATATTTTGTGGGCTTTTTTTTTTCTTTGTTTTTATTTGTTTGTTTCTTTGTTTTGTTGTGTAGTCTCATTCTGTTGACTAGGCTGGAATGCAGTGGTGCGATCTCAGCTCACTGCAGCCTCTGCCTTCTAGGTTCAAGTGATTCTCCTGCCTCAGCCTTCCGAGTAGCTGGGACTACAGGCAGGTGCCACCACGCTGGGCTAATTTTTTGTATTTTTAGTAGAGACGAGTTTTCACCATTTTGGCCAGGTTGGTCTAGAACCCCTGACCTCAAGTATTCCACCCACCTTGGCCTCCCAAAGTACTGGGATTATAGGTATGAGCCACCGTGCCCGGCCTCTTTTATATATTCTGAATAGCAGTCCTTTATCAAATATATATTTTGCAAATATTTTTTTCCCAGTACGGGGCTTGGCTTCTTACTATTTTGTCATTGTCGGTTTACTTTGCAATTCCCTAATGATTAATGACGTTGAACATCTCTGCCTATCTGTATTTGTCATATGTGTGTCCTTTTCAATGAAATGTCTTTCCATATCTTTTGACCATTTTTCCAGTGGATTTTTTGTTGTATTTTGTTTAGTTTATTGTTGACTTTTAAGAGTTCTTTACATATTCTAGATAGTTAATGAATATCTGGTTTGCAAATATTTTCTTACAATCTGTACCTTGTCTTTTCATCTGCTTAAAGAGTCTTTCATAGGTAAAATTACAATTTTGAAGAAGTAAAATTTATTCATTTTTAGCTTTATAGATTTTGCTTCATGTGTCAAGCCAACAACTCTTTGCCTTAAGCCTACATCCTGAATACTTTCTCCTATGTTTTATTTTAAACATTGTATAGTTTTATATGCTACATTAAAGTCCATGATCTATTTTGAGCTAATTTTTATATAAGGCACGAGACTCAGCTCAAGGTTTATTTTTTTGACCTATGGATGTTCAATTGCCCTAGCATCATTTATTGAAAAGGCTATCTTTCCTCCATTGAATTGCTCTTGCACCCTTTTCAAAAATTGCTTGGGTATATTTGCATGGGTCTATTTCTGGGTTCCCTATTCTGGTCCATTGATCTATGTGACTGTCCCTCCACCAACACCACACAGGCTTGGACTATTGTGGCATTATAAAAAGAAGAATATAAGAATAAGAATTATATTTTTATTCTTATTTTCAAAATTGCTTTACCTAGTCTAGTTTTTTCTTTTTTACTTTTTGTATGGACTTATAATAGTATTATTTATATCTACAAAAAGTATTGCTGGAATATTGATAGGAATTGGATTAAATCTGCATATTAGTTTGAGGAGAATTGACATCTATACTGCTTTGACTTTCCCAATGCACAGAGTACCCCCCTCTATTTGTTGAGATTTTCTTGATTTCTGCTGCCAATGTTTTACAGTCTTCCTCATACAAGTTTTGTGTTTTATTAGATTTACACTTAATCATTTTATTTGAAGTGAATTTAAATGGTATTGTATTTTTAATTTTGATGTTCACAAATTCATTAGTAGCATTTAGAAATACAATTGTTTGTTGTATATTTAACTTATACTTAACATGCTGAACTTTATTATCAGGTTTATAGAATGGTTTTTTGGTAGCTTCTTTGGAATTTTATAGGTAGACAATCATGGCACTGGCAAATGGGACAGTCTTATTTCTTTATTTCTGATCTGTGTTTTAATTTTTTTAAATTATACATCTAAAACTTCCAGCACTTTGTGAAATAAGAGTGGTGAGAGCAGACATCCTTGTTTCCCAAACTTTGGGAGAAAGAATTCAGTGTTTAATCATTAAGTATAAGGTTAGCTGAAAGCATTTTGTAGATGCCATTTATCGAGTCTGGGAAGTTTAGCCTCATTTCCAGAATTCTCAGAGTTTTCATCACAAATGGGTATTAAATTCTGTCAAATCCTTCTTAAGAACCAATTGCCATGGTCATGTGATTTTTCCTCTTTACCTCTTAATATGGTAAAGATTATATTGATAGACTTTTGGATATTGAACTAGCTTTGCATCACTGGGATAAACCCCACTTAGTCATAGTGTATAACTTCTTTTATACGATGGTGAATTACATTTGCTGATACAGTCATGTGTCACTTAGTGACAGACATATATTCTGAAAAATGTGTCATTAGGTGATTTTGTTGTGCAAACACCATAGAGCATATTTACACAACTAGATAATGAAGTCTACTACACATCTAGGCTATATAGTATAGCCTATTGCTCCTAGGTCACAAACCTGTACAGCATGTTACTGTACTGAATACTGTAGGCAGTTATAGCACATTGCTAAGTATTGGTGTATTGAAAATCTGGTACTATAATCTTATGGGATTACTGTCATATATGCAGTCTGTTGTTGACTGAAACATTGCTGTGCATCACATAACAGTATTTTATTAAGGAGTTTTGCATTTACATCCATGCGGGATATTGGTGTCTAGTTTTCTACTTTTGTACTGGGGATACTAGCTTCAAAAATGAATTGACAAGTATTCTCTTCTATTTTCTGGAAGAAATTGTGTAGTAGTGGTGTTAACAATTCTTTAAATATTGGGTAGAATTCTCCCGTGAAACCGTCTGGGCTTGAAAATTGCTTTATCAATTACAAATCTGATTTCCTTGTTAGTTATAGGGTTATTTTCATTTTCAATTTCATGTTTGATAAGTTATGGTAGTTTGCATTTTTTGAGGAATTAGCCCATTTCATCTAAATTGTCAAGCCTATATGTATAGAATTTTTGTAGCATTCCCTGATTATTCATTTGACGTCCACAGAATCTGTAGTGATGTTCTTTTCTCATTCCTGATATTGGTAGTTTGTATTGTCTCTCTTTTTTTCTTTGACTTACTAGAGGTTTCAACTTTGTTGACCTTTGCAAACAACTGGTTCTTTATTTCATGAATAGTTCTCTACTGTTTTTCCTTCAATTTCATTGATTTCTACTCTTTATTAATTTTCTTTCTTCCTTCTTTTCTTCCACTTGCTTTGGGTTCCTTTTTATTTCTACTGTTATATTGCTGGCTGAAAGGTTGGAGTGCTTCATTACTAACACCACAGGGATGGAAAGAAAAGGATGGAAAGATCTGGCTAGGAGCCAGTGTATTAGTCCATTTTCATGCTGCTAATAAAGACATACCTGAGACTGGGTAATTTATAAGGAAAAAGAAGTGTAATGGACTCAGTTCCACGTGGCTGGGGAGGCCTCACAATCATAGCAGAAGGTGAAAGGCATGACTTACATGGTGGGAAGTCAGAGAGAATGAGAACCAAGTGAAAGGGGTTTCCCTTTATAAGATCATCAGATCTCATGAGACTTATTCACTATCATGAGAACATCACGAGAAGGACCCCACCCCATAATTCAGTTACCTCCCACTGGGTCCCTCCCACAAGCCATGGGATTTATGGAAGCTACAATTCAAGGTAAGAGTTGTGTGGGGACACACCCAAGCCATATCAGGGAGATTGCCCTCGTACCTCATTAAGGCAAGGTAGGCTTTCCAAGTGATCTCTACTGACATCATAGGGCAGGAGTACAGAACAGGTTGTGGGAGAGGGTTCATTACTGCTTGAGGGGAGGGAAAAGGAGGTATCAGCCTTTTCTGATACCATTTTGGCAAGGCATTTGAGGTACATCATTGCAGCCTAGAGTGGGTGGCAGTCTAGGGTCCTGGCTCAGCCTTTGCTGGTATGAGTAGGGTGGGGCCACATTTTTTTCTACTATGTTTTGGCTGATGTAAAGCAGTTATTGTCTATAGTTTCCAGTCTTGCTAGACTGCCCCTTCCCGAGCAAGAACAGACTTTTATTGGAGCTTTTTGTGTCTGCACCCATTGGTATTTCCAGTTTACCAACTTCTTCAGTTCCAAATCTGAGATACGTGAAACAAAAAGGAAAAATAGAGAATAGGCCCTTAGTCCCAAAGCCTCTAGGCAGCATGGCTTTTTCAATTCAGTTTTCAGAGTCATCTTATGTTTATTTTATATATAATGTCCAAGGTTTTCAGTCTTAGGGAAAAGTCTGTCTATCTTCCTAAAAGTGGACATCAATCAACATTATTTTTATAATTTGTAAATGTTGGTTATATATTGTATTAGTGAAAGTTCCACTCAGTGTATAATAGAAATTGTTCCTCAACAGAAAATTTAGGTCAGCCGGGCGCAGTGGCTCATGCCTGTAATCCCAGCACTTTCAGAGGCTGAAATGGGTGGATTACCTGAGGTCAGGAGTTGAAGACTAACCTGGCCAACATGGTGAAACCCCATCTCTACTAATAATACAAAAATAGCTGGGTGTGGCAGTGTATGTCTATAGTCCCAGCTACTTAGGAGGCTGAGGCATGAGAATTGCTTGAACCCAGGAGGAGGAGGCTGCAGTGAGCCAAGATTGCACCACTGCACTCCAGCGTTGGGGAAAAGAGTGAGACTCTGTCAATGTCAAAAAAAAAAAAAAAAGAATAACAAAAAAGAAAGAATAAAGAAAATTAAGATCAACTTAGTTTGGGAGTAATTGGATAAGCAAAGATAAACCCATGTTGATAAACTGACCTTAACATTATCTTTGTCCTTCTGAAAGCTAGAAAATGTGCCAATACACAGTTCCAGTTCTGAACTACCTAAAAGCAATGAAATATCTTGAGTTGAGGGCTCATAGAGTTTCAGAAGAATAGTAAAATTTTCTAAAGGATTTTAGGAAGTAGAGTTGTCAGCATTTTGTATTTTACCTCAAGAAATATTAACTATTATTATTATTATTATTATTATTATTATTATTGAGACAGAGTTCTGCTCTTGTCGCCCAGGCTGGAGTGCAGTGGTGTGATCTCAGCTCACTGAAACCTCTGCTTCCCAGATTCAAGTGATTCTCCTGCCTCAGCCTCCGGAGTAGCTGGAATTACAGGCACCTGCCACCACGCCTGGCTAATTTTTGTATTTTTAGTAGACAGGGGGTTTCACCATGTTGGCCGGGCTGGCTTCAAACTCCTGACCTCAGGTGATCCGCCTGCCTCAGCCTCCCAAAGTGCTGGGATTGCAAGCATGAGCCACCATGTCCTCCATTATTTAGTGAGATTTGGTTTATTTTATTAAGAAGACTACAATTCCTTTATTGTTAATTGATATCAAAAACTGGGGCCAGGCTGGTGGTTCACACCTGTAATCCCAATACTTTGGGAGGCCAAGGCCAGTGGATCACCTGAGGTCAGGAGTTCAAGACCAGCGTGGCCAACATGGTGAAACCCCATTCCTACTAAAAATACTAAAATTAGCTGGGTGTGGTGGTGCGTGCCTGTAGTCCCAGCTATTCGGGAGGCTGAGGCAGAAGAATCGCTTGAACCCAGGAGGTGGAGGTTGCAGGGAGCCGAGCCTGGGCAACAGACCAAGACTCTATCTAAAAAACAAACAAACAAACAAACAAACAAAAAATTGTTTACATTGGCTGAGGTGTGGGAAAAGCATTTCTATGCATTCTTTCCAATTGGTGGAGTTCTGCTAAATACCTGTAGTAATGTCTTAATGAACTCAGCAGCTTAGACCTAAAAAAAATCTCTCAATGAAGGGAGAATAATTGTTTTACATTTATTTATTTATTTATTTATTTAATTTTATTTTTAGACAAAGCCTTGTTCTGTCACCCAGGCTGGAGTGCAGTGGGGTTCTCCTGCCTCAGCCTCCTGAGTAGCTGGGATTACAGGTGCCTGCCACCACGTCCAGCTATTTTTTCTATATTTATTAGAGACTGGATTTCGCCATGTTGGCCAGGCTGGTCTCAAAGGCCAGTCTCAAAACCCCTGAGCTCATGTGATTCGCCTGCCTCTGCCTCCCAACGTGCTGAGATTACAGGTGTGAGCCACAGCGCCTGGCCCTATTTTACATTTAAATGATATAGATGGTTGTCAGATTTAGCAAACAAACAAATAAAGAAAAAAATACAACATAACAATTAAATTTAAATTTCAGATAAATGCCAAATAATTTCCTATAAGAAGGCCCCAAATGTTGCAGGGACATACCTATACTAAAAATTATTGGCTGTTTATCTGAGATTCAAATTTAACTGGATGTCCTGTATGTCATCTAACCTTCCTATAGTATAAACATCACTTTTATTTTTTTATTTACTTATTTGTTTATTTAATTTCAGCTTTTATTTTAGAAACAGTGGGTACATGTACAGGTTTGTTACATAGGAATGTTGCATGATGTACAGATCCCATCACCTAGGTCGTAAGCATAGTACTCTCCAGTTTTCTTTTTCTTTTTTTTTGAGATGGAATCTCACACTGTTGCCCAGGCTGGAGTGCAGTGGTGCAATCTCAGCTCACTGAAACCTCTGCCTCCCAGGTTCAAGCGATTCTCCTGCCTCAGCCTCCTGAGTAGCTGGGATTACAGGCACACACCACCACGCCTGGCTAATTTTTTGTGTTTCTAGTAGAGACAGGGTTTCACTCTGTTGGGCAGGCTGGTCTCGAACTCCTGACCTCGTGATCTGCCCACCTCAGCCTCCCAAAGTACTGGGATTACAGGCACGAGCCACCATGCCCAGTCTACCCTACAGTTTTCAACACATGCCCTTCTCCCTCCCTCCCAACCCCTCTAGTAGTCCACAGCGGCTATTGTTCCCATATTTATGTCCATGTGTGCTCAATGTTTAGTTCCCACTTATAAGTGAGAAGATGTGGTATTTATTTTTCTGTTCCTGCATTAATTTGCTTGGATTATAGCCTGCAACTGCATCCATGTTGCTGCAAAGGACATGGTTCATTCTTTTTTATGGCTCTGTAGTATTCCATGGTATATATGTACCGCATTTTCTTTATCCAGTCTACTACTGATGGGCACCTCGGTTGCCATGTCTTTGCTATTGCAAATAGCACAGGGATGAACATATGAGTGCATGTGTCTTTTTAGTAGAATGATTTATTTTCCTTTGGGTATATACCCAGTAATGGGATTGCTGAGTCTAATGGTAGCTCTGTTACAAGTACTTTCAGAAATCTCTTGGCTGTTTTCCAGAGTGGCTGAACTAATTTAAATTCCCTCCAACAGTGTGTAAGTGTTCCCCTCTTGCCACAACCTTGCCAGCTTTTTGATTTTTTTAATATTAGCCATTCTGACGGGTGTGAGATGGTATCTCATTGTGATTTTGACTTGCATTTCCCTGATGATTAGTGAAGTTGAGCATTTTTTCACCTGTTTGTTAGCCACTTCTATGTCTTCTTTTAAGAAATATATGTTAATGTCCTTTTCCCATTTTTTAATTGGGTTATTTGGTTTTTGCTTGTTGATTTGTTTAAGTTCCCAGTAGATTCTGAATATTAGACCTTTATCAATTACATAGTTTGTTAATATATTCTTCCATTCTGTAGACTGTCTGTTTACTCTGTTAATAGTTTCTTTTGCTGTGCAGAAGCTCTTTAGTTTACTTAGGTCCCACTTGTCCATTTCTGCTTTTGTTACAATTGCTTCTGGGGACTTAACCAAAAATTATTTGCCAAGGCCAATGTCAAGAAGAGGATTTCCTAGGTTATCTTTTAGGATTTTCAGTTTGAGGTCTTACATTTAAAAATTTGATCCATTTTTAGATACTTTTTATATACAGTGAAAGGTAGGGGTCCAGCTTCAATCTCCTGCATATAGCTACCCAGTTATCCCAGCACTATATTTATTGAATAGGGAGTCCTTTCACCATTGTTGGTTTTCATCAGCCTTGTCAAAAATCAGATGGCTGTAGGTGTGTAGCTTTATTTCTGAGTTTTCTATTCTATTCCATTTGTATATGTGTCTTTTTTTCCCACCAGTACCATGCTGTTTTGATTACTGTAGCTTTATAGCATAGTTTGAAATAGAATAGTGTGATGTCTCCAACTTTGTTCTTTTTGCTTAGGATTTTTTTTTTTTTTTGGATATTTGGGTTTTTTCAGTTCCATATGATTTTTGGAATAGTTTTTCCTAATTCTGTGAAGCATGATATGGAAGCACACAATCTTCCAAGATTAAGTCAGAAAGAGTTTGAAACCCTGAATAACCAAATGTCAATTTCTGAAACTGGATCAGTAATAAGAAAGCTCTCAATCAAAAACAAACAAAAAATCCTAGACCAGATAGAGTCACAGCTGAATTTTAACAGACATACAAGAAGAACTGATACCAATCCTACAGAAACTAGAGGAGGAGGCTTCTTTACATGTTTCTTGAGAACTGAAACAAGACAAGGATGCCCATCCTCGCCACTCCTATTCGATATAATACTGGAAGTCCTAGCCAGGGCAATCAGGCAAGAGAAAAAAAGAAAGGTCATTCAAGTAAGAAAAAAAATAAGTCAAACTATCTCTCTTCACTGAGAATGTGTTTCTATACCTACAAAACCCTAAAGACTCCACCAAAATGCCCCTAGAACGGATAACTTTAGTAAAGTTTCAGGATACAGAATCAATGTACAAAAATTAGTAGCATTCTGCAGTGGCTCATACCTGTAGTCCCAGCACTTTGGGAGGCCGAGGAGGGTGGATCACGAGGTCAAGAGATGGAGGCCACCCTGGCCAACATGGTGAAACCCCATTTCTACTAAAAATACACAAATTAGTTGGGCAAGGTGGCACGCGCCTGTACTTCCAGCTACTCAGGAGGCTGAGGCAGGAGAATTGCTTGAACCTGGGAGGCAGAGTTTGCAGTGAGCAAAGATTGCACCATTGCACTCCAGCCTGGCAACAGAGTGAGACTCCATCTCAAAAAAAAGAAAAAAAAATTTTGTAGCATTCCTCCACACCAATAAAATCCCAGCTGAGGGTAAAATCAGGAACACAATCCCACTTAAAATAGCAACAAAGAAAATGAAATACCTAAGAACACAGCTAACCAAGGAGGTTGGCTCTGTGTCCCCACCCAAATCTCATCTCAAATTGTAATCCCCATATAGGGCGGGAGGGAGGTGATTGGATCATGGGAGTGGTTTCCCCATGCCGTTCTCATGATAGTGAGTTTTCACGAGATCTGATGGTTTTATAGGTGTTTGACAGTTCCTCCTTCACAGGCTCACACTCCCTTCTGCGACCTTGTTGAAGAAGGCGCCTGCTCCCCTTTTGTCTTCTGCCATGATTGTAAGGATCCTGAGGCCTCCGAGCCATGCTTCCTGTTAAGCCTGTGGAACTGTGAGTCAATTAAACCTCTTTCCTTTATAATTACCTAGTCTCAGGTAGTATTCTTTATAGCAGTGTGAGAACGGACTAATACATATGTGAAAAATCTCTGCAAGAAGAACTACAAAGCACTAATGAAAGAAATCAGAGATGACACAAATAAATGAAAAAGCATTCCATGCTCATGGATTGAAAGAATCAATATTGTAAAAACAGTCATACCACCCAAAGTAATTTACAGATCCAATGCTATTCCTATAAAGTCCTATGTTTTTAAAATGTTAAAAGAAAAATATAGCCCACTATATAACTATTAGATTTATATATACGTTATTAGAAATATTTTTAAGGGATCAAATAAAATATGTCACTTAAAGAAATTGCTCTTTAGTTAATCATGAAATTTAACACAAAAACAATGACTTATGCTCCAAAAATAGTAAAGCAGAATGAAAGTAATTAATTGGTTAGGAAGTAAAATCAATGAATATATTTTATATTTTATCTTTTCTTTCTGTGTATGAGAAAGAATAAGTAGGAAAGAGGGAGGGAGAGAGAGAGAGGTTGAACTGATGGAAGGTATGGGGGAATACTGGGAAGATTTTGTAAAATCTGGTTTCATATGGGAAAACAAACTGTGGTCAAGCACTTAATAAGGGAAAAAATGCCTTTGAATCCCCACACACAGCAATATTGAAGGAAAAGGAAGAATAAATGAGGAGCAATGTTGAATTCCAGGCAATGCATGAGGTAGAGAGCCAATTACAGCTTAGTGGCCAAATACTTGTTTTCCTTTAAGCCACTAATACGGAAACACTTTTACACATTATTTTAACCAATAAAAAATTACTGTTGTCTTTAATAACTATCTTTGTAATTTACATATATACATATATATGCATTAAACTGCACATTAAGGGAAACTTTCAATATTTTATATATGAAATAAGAAAAAATGAATCCAGGGTCAGTTAAAATTTTGTTAGATTCGAATGCCTTCTTACCTTTGACCTGAGTTATTTTATTTTGCATAAAGAATCTCCTGCTACCACATGGCCCAGGTTATCCATAGATTAAAGTAGTATCCTGCACCCTGGTAACCTAACTTAGCTAAGTGCAGTTTTATCTACACTTGTCTAAAGTGATAAATTTTCCTTAAGTAAACCTCTTCCCACTATCAATCAAATCAAGACCAAATCCCAACCCTGTCTTTCCTAGGACACTTCACAGTATACCAACCTACCCTGGAGCCTTAGCTCCAGCCACTTCCCCACTTGTAACCCATGAAGCAATCCAGTTGAAATTACTTACAATCTTCTGAAGCCCTTTACTTTCCTATCCATCTATTGTTGTTCTTGACAGCCTCATCACTTGGACCTTTCTCCCCAGATACTACTTTTTCTTATATAAATTTTACTTTAATTTTATGGCATAAATTGAATTCCTTTTTAATCACATGGATTATTTCCTGATCAATAACCCAGTTGTTCTCTTTCCCTACTTTTATTTCTCACTTTATTCCTTAAGATTGTTTAGTGTATTTGCACTGATTCATTGCTGCTTGGTTATTTGGCCTCCCCAGCATAGCATTAAAACCTTTGATAGAAGTGGGCTATGATTTGCTCATCCATCTTCAGGACCCTAAGTGTGACTTCGATAGTACCTTGGAATCTAATGGTTCCATAAATATTTGTTTAATCGTATTAGTGAAATCCCAGAATTTTATGGTTTCTGATTAATGACTTACATTTTGGGTGATAATTTACTTTCACATTCATATGTTGTCAGGCTTGTCACTTGCCAAAATGAAGTAAGTGAACCACTGAAACATGACTTCAGTGATTTGAGTCAACAGCTTGTATTAATGAATAATCAAAATGACCAACTAGAATAAAACAGACTAGAAGTGGTTTTGTAATTTTAGGTGCCTCAACTCCAGCTGAATGCTTATGAAATAATAAACTTCTCAGAATCAGAAAGTAGGATTTAAAGGACTCAACATTCTGTATAACTTTTGAAAGTAGAAAAGAAATAATTATAGATCACTTTATAGGTTTTTTTTCTGGTTTAGTGGAAACCAGGATAGCTGAGAAATAAAGTCTCAATTTGAGAGATTTAAAAGGTTTTTATCTTTGCTACTAGAAAGGAAGGAAATGTATTTCTTTAAAATGAAAACTTAGCTGTAGAAGAAACCAAGAAAAATTGCAAAAGGCAGGGAAATTACAGAATCTACAATTTTGGGTGTTCATTATTTTCCACTACCCCAATTCAATAACCCTAAAATTAGATGACAATAAGAGGTGCTTTCTGTGACAAGCACTTCAGTTCTTATTAGATTTCCAATAGTCATTTAGATTTGGCATGGCCCCAAAATGACTCAAAACGCTATACCTTCTGTTATTTCCAAAGTCATATAAATGTTTTAAAACCATTCCTGATATAATGAACTTTTTAAATAGTAGGTGATATCTGTGTCTCCTCCAATAGACCCTGTCATTATATCTTTTTACATATCTTTACATCTTTATCTGCATTGATGAAGAATAAGGTTATTAGTTTGATAGCAAAACACAATCTAATTCAGAAGACTCATCCTGTTTATCCGAGAAACTATTCTCATAGAATCTCAAAATGCCACTCTCACCTGGACATCTTAAAAGCCCGATCTTCCTTCAAAGTCCAGTTTAACTCGCATACTCTTCAAAAAGGCATTTCTCACCTTTTCACTCCTTGATCATGACCCCCTAACTTGAACACCTGCTATATGATATTTGTCACTTAACATGACCTGGTAGATTTCATTACTTTTTCTGGTGGTCTGGTCTTTCTAACCATAAATAAGGTCCTTATAGTCAGGGACTTTTAGCATAGTGCTCCAAGCATAATGGGACACTGTCAATACATCAATAGATGTTAGTGGTTTTATTTATTTATTTATTTATTTTTTATTATACTTTAAGTTCTAGGGTACATGTGCACAAAGTGCAGGTTTGTTACATAGGTATACATGCGCCATGTTGGTGTGTTGCACCCATTAACTTGTCATTTAACATTAGGTATATCTCCTAATGCTTTCCCTCCCCCCTCCCCCCAACCCACAACAGGCCCCGATATGTGATGTTCCCCTTCCTGTGTCCATGTGTTCTCATTGTTCAATTCCCACCTATGAGTGGGAAAATGTGGTGTTTGGTTTTTTGTCCTTGCAATAGTATGCTGAGAATGATGGTTTCCAGCTTCATCCGTGTCCCTACAGAGGACATGAACTCATCATTTTTTATGGCTGCATAGTATTCCATGGTGTATATGTGTCACATTTTCTTAATCTAGTCTATCATTGATGGACATTTGGGTTGGTTCCAAGTCTTTGCTATTGTGAATAGTGCCACAATAAACACACGTGTGCATGTGTCTTTATAGCAGCATGATTTATAGTCCTTTGGGTATATGCCCAGTAATGTGATGGCTGGGTCAAATGGTATTTCTAGTTCTAGATCCTTGAGGAATTGCCACACTGTCTTCCACAATGGATGAAGTAGTTTACAGTCCCACCAACAGTGTAAAAGTGTTCCTATTTCTCCACATTCTCTCCAGCACCTGTTGTTTCCTGACTTTTTAATGATCACCATTCTAACTGGTATGAGATGGTATCTCATTGTGGTTTTGATTTGCATTTCTCTGATGGCCAGTGATGATGAGCATTTTTTCATGTGTCTGTTGGCTGCATAAATGTCTTCTTTTGAGAAGTGTCTGTTCATATCCTTCACCCACTTGTTGATGGGGTTGTTTGTTTTTTTCCTGTAAATTTGTTTGAGTTCTTTGTAGATTCTGGATATTAGCACTTTGTCAGATGAGCAGATTGCAAAAATTTTCTCCCATTGTGTAGGTTGCCTGCTCACTCTGATGGTAGTTTCTTTTGCTGTGCAGAAGCTCTTTAGTTTAATTAGATCCCATTTGTCAATTTTGGCTTTTGTTGCCATTGCTTTTGGTGTTTTAGACATGAAGTCCTCGCCCATGCCTATGTCCTGAATGGTATTGCCTAGGTTTTCTTCTAGGGTTTTTATGGTTTTAGGTCTAACATTTAAGTCTTTAATCCTTCTTGAATTAATTTTTGTATAAGGTGTAAGGAAGGGATCCAGTTTCAGCTTTCTACATAGGCTAGACAGTTTTCCTAGCACCATTTATTAAATAGGGAATCCTTTCCACATTTCTTGTTTTTGTCAGGTTTGTCAAAGATCAGATGGTTGTATATGTGTGGTATTATTTCTGAGGGCTCTGTTCTGTTCCATTGATCTATATCTCTGTTTTGGTACCAGTACCATGCTGTATTGGTTACTGTAGCCTCGTAGTATAGTTTGAAGTCAGGTAGCATGATGCTTCCAGCTTTGTTCTTTTGGCTTAGGATTGTCTTGGCAATGTGGGCTCTTTTTTGGTTCCATATGAACTTTAAAGTAGTTTTTTCCAATTCTGTGAAGAAAGTCATTGGTAGCTTGATGGGGATGGAATTGAATCTATAAATCACCTTGGGCAGTACCACCATTTTCATGATTTTGATTCTTCCTATCCATGAGAATGGAATGTTCTTCTATTTGTTTGTGTCCTCTTTTATTTCATTGAGCAGTGGTTTGTAGTTCTCCTTGAAGAGGTCCTTCACATCCCTTGTAAGTTGGATTCCTAGGTATTTTATTCACTTTGAAGTAATTGTGGATGGGAGTTCACTCATGATTTGGCTCTCTGTCTGTTACTGGTGTATAAGAATGCTTGTGATTTTTGCACACTGATTTTGTATCCTGAGACTTTGCAGATGATGGCCAAATAGGAACAGCTCCAGTCTACAGCTCTCCGTGTGAGCGATGCAGAAGATGGGTGATTTCTGCATTTCCAACTGAGGTATTGGATTCATCTCACTGGGGCTTGTCAGACGGTGGGGGCAGAACAGTGGGTGCAGCCCTCTGAGCATGAGCCAAAGCAGGGTGAGGCATCACCTCACCCGGGAAGCGCAAGGGGTCAGGGAATTCCCTTTCCTAGCCAAGGGAAGGGGTGACAGACAACAACACCTGGAAAATAGGGTCACTCCCACCCTAATACTGCACTTTTCCAACGTTCTTAGCAAATGGCACACCAGGGGATTATATCCCGTGCCTGGCTGGGAGAGTCCCACACCCAGGGAGCCTCGCTCATTGCTAGCACAGCAGTCTGAGATCGAACTGCAAGGTGGCAGCAAGGCTGGGGGAGGGGCGCCCGCCATTCCTGAGTCTTGAGTAAGTAAACAAAGCAGCTGCGAAGCTCAAACTGGGTGGAGCCCACCGCAGCTCAAGGAGGCCTGCCTGCCTCTGTAGACTCCACCTCTGGGGGCAGGGCATAGCCGAACAAAAGGCAGCAGAAACCTCTGCAGACTTAAATGTCCCTGTCTGACAGCTTTGAAGAGAGTAGTGGTTCTCCCAGCATGGAGTTTGAGATCTGAGAATGGACAAACTACCTCCTCAAGTGGGTCCCTGGGCCCCGAGTAGCCTAACTGGGAGGCACCCCCCCAGTAGGGGCAGACTGACGCCTCACAGGGCCGGGTACCCCTCGGAGATGAAGCTTCCAGAGGAACGATCAGGCAGCAACATTTGCTGTTCAGCAGTATTTGCTGTTCTGCAGCCTCCACTGCTGATACCCAGGCAAACAGGGTCTGGAGTGGACCTCCAGCAAACTCCAACAGACTTGCATCTGAGGGTTCTTACTATTAGAAGGAAAGCTAACAAACAGAAAGGACATCCACACCAAAACCCCATCTGTACATCACCATCATCAAAGACCAAAGGTAGATAAAACCACAAAGATGGGGAAAAAACAGAGCAGAAAAGCTGAAAATTCTAAAAATCAGAGCACCTCTCCCCCTCCAAAGGAATGCAGCTCCTTGCCAGCAATGGAACAAAGCTGGACAGAGAATGACTTTGACAAGTTGAGAGAAGAAGGCTTCAGACAGTCAAACTTCTCCGAGCTAAAGGAGGAAGTTCAAACCCATTGCAAAGAAGCTAAAAACCTTGAAAAAAGATTAGACAAATGGCTAACTAGAATAACCAGCGTAGAGAAGTCCTTAAATGACCTGATGGAGCTGAAAACCATGGCATGAGAACCACGTGATGAATGCACAAGCTTCAGTGGCTGATTCGATCAACTGGAAGAAAGGCTGTCAGTGATGTTAGTGGTTTTAATACAGATGATTATACCTAAGTCTATGGAACTCCTGCTTATCCCCTTTCACTGTATCAAACAGGGGGAGAGAGTAGGCAGTCTTAAATTTCTGCGAATGAATAAATAATTTTTCAAACCATATAGACATTTGTGAATTCTAAATATAAATACAAGATAACCAGACTCAGATGTCAGTAACCTAACCTATCATTTATCTAAGTGCACTCCTTCAAACAGCAGTCTCAAAAACGTGTTCGTTGTAAACATATATTTGAGAAATACAGTGTACTATACCATCTAACCATTTGCAATGCACATTTTCATATTAAAAGTCCTCAGAAATCCAAGTATGAACACATTTTAAACCCAGCTTTTAACTCATCATTTCCTAAATGTATTGAACCATGTAACCTTACCATCATATCTTAAAACTACCGTTATTTGAATCTTACTTTGGGAAACAAATTGAAATGGCCCTTTGGAACAGAATCTAACACTTATCTTCTGCAGAAGTGGGTGGTGGATGGGAAGCTGCCCAGCTAAAGATGTGGAGGCATTTTCTCACAGGACATATCATCAGTCTATTGTCATCTTCCTATACTCTCTAGAAGTACTCGACCTGCAGCATTAATTTCATAGCTGTTTTTTAAAATAATTAAAAGCTTGGCACACTGCTATTCTCATGAAAGCATATTTTATTTATATTTTATATTATATATATATTTAACAATGATGCTGTGAGCAAGATGGCTTTTCTCTCAATGCTAATGTAAGTAAAAAGGCTAAGTGTAGGCTGGCACAAGTTGGAAGAGTTGTTATGAAACAATATTAAAAGTCATTTTGTCACAAAAAATATAGTTAAGTTTCTGAATGTATTTTCCTATCATCTAATATTTAAGGAAAAATAAAAACATCCCTCTTATATTCAAATATCCAGAATTTATATATTTTTATACCAAGTCACATGAGATCTTTGTCTCCTACCTAATTTTTAAAAATAATTATTGTTGCTGTTAGTCATACACCGTAAAGCCAAGGATATGAGTATGATCGTTGTGAGGGGCCAAGGGCTATTTCCCAGTGTAAATCAAGAAGCTTGTAGTCCTGTTTGCCCTTGGCAACCATGTTGGAACCCTGAGGGAAGCCACCCTGAGAATGAAGTAAGCATGACAACTGAAGAGGGAAGATACAAAAATAACAGAATTTTTGCCCTAATAAAATTTTGACTAAGTCTTTCCTGCTTTTGGATTTATATTACAGAAGATAATGCATCTTCTTTAAGATTTAGGCCTTTTTAAGTTAGTGTTTTCTGCCACTTACAAAATAAAAACAAAAAAATAAATTGATACAGGATCTGGTCCTAAGAGGGGCATCATATAAATAACAATAATATAGAATGAACTGAATACAGTGAAGACATGTCCTACATCCCAGGCTGTGAGGTTGTCCATCATTGTAATGTGCTTAGGCAGTACTTGCTTCAAATGTTGCCTGGCTCCAGCCAGGTGCTCAGAGAACCTGGCTGAGCAACCTGCCTGCTCAGCCAGGTTCTCACTGAGGCTTTAGCTCTAGGATACTTACTAGGGAAATTCAGGGTTTTAAAATAGGTGTACATCAGTGAGGATGCCAGAAGGAAACAGATGACACACTCAGCTGAAATTCTGAGAATTTAATGAAGAGATATTTAACATAAGTATGGACAGGATTAATGGAACCAACTGAGGGTCTGAGACACATCGGTGTTGACAAGAATGGGAAACCATTAGCCTCCTTGGGTTGCAGGGCTGAAGGGAAGGAAGAGTGTTACCATAGGGCAGAGAAAGTGAAAGCTATGGAGGAACACAATTATTGTGGGAACTGCAGCAAACCTGATTCAGAGGAGGGATAGAAATACTCCATCTTCTCCCTCCTCCCATGCTCCAATCCCCAAGAGATTAGTCCTCTTGATCAAATCACAACTGATTCTTTTTTACTGATACATAATAGATGTACATAATTTCAGGATACATGTGATAACAATATATGCATACAATTTGTAAAGATCAAATTTGTATAATTGGGATATCTGTCACCTTAAATATTTGTCTTTACACTACAAACATTCAAATTATTCTCTTCTAGTTATTTTGAGCTATACAATGGATTATTGTAAATCATAATACCCTACGAATTTATCAAACACTAGGTCTTATTTTTTCTATCATAGTGCATATGTATACCCCACCAAGATCTACACGACGAAACAAAAAGTTGGGGATATAAGTGGCTCATTTGAAGACATTTTGGATGATTTTGATCTAAGATTCTTATGTGATAGGTGTGTTGTTGTTGTTTTTGATTTCCCCTTAAATAAGATTCTAGGTCTGATTATCAGGATAAAATCTTAATGAGTTCTCTTATGGGCTTGTCTCACTTGATTGTCAAATACACACTTGTCACAACTCTGCTGTTGTGAGGAAACAGAAGTGACATCAGAATGTTGTGTGGCACGTGGAGAAAGGATAGGATTTAAAACAAAATTACTTTGAGGGCACTTCAGAGCACTATCCCTAGAAGCTAGGGACATGGGACAAAGAACATAGGCAGAGTGTTAGTCTGTAGCAACCAAGGCAGTAAGCTTCTGTGTGTATAGAACTTCATTCTGCCTTCCTACCTGTCTCCATCCCAGGCTCAGAAAGAAACTTAAACCACTGTGTGGATCAATAACGGTGATCCAGAATGAAGACTAGTCCCCAAGATTAGCATATGGGAAAAAAAGACCTTACTCATTTAGAACTTTTGAGCTAAATTTTCACCAAAATATTCTAAGAAATAAAAATAGAGAAAAGAGTAACTGGTGGAAATACATGGAGAGAAAGTAAAAGAATACATAAAGCAAGATGTTGGTACAAATTAAAATATGGTAGCAAGAAGAAGTGTAAGATTAACACAGACAGATATTTGTGCTTTGTAAACTGTAATACACTAAATAAATGTGAGTTATTTAAAAATAGTATATGTCAATTTTCCTTCTAATGATTATTTTCATTATATGTCTGATAGTACATGTCTCCTTGCTATTCCTGTTGGTTGAATAAAATCAAATTTTAAAGTGGGGTTACATCATCTCAGATAATTAAATCCAAAGTTTCCTAATATAAAGTGTATCCAGAAAACATAAAAATTTTAAAATATTCTCTGAACATCTAGGCCTATTGTTAAAAATAGATCTGTGGAAGCTTGAATACAAAATTTAAATTCCTGAATTTGAGATTGAAAAGTGACTCCTTAAAGAGATCATCACATTTTCACCACTTAATAGGTGTGTGACATTGGGAAAGCACTTTCTCTGACCTAACTTTTTGTATCCATAAAATAGAGATAATATTTTCCTGTACTTTTTATGGATGTTATAAAGCTAAATGAATGAACACATATAAGGCAGGTAGAACAGTGCCTGACACAGGTCTCAATAACTGGTACTGATTGTATTCTATGGAAGATTCTCATTGCAAAACAATCACCTCTCAATCATCTGCTCAAATAATGAAGAAACTGCATTGTTAATACTATTAAGAATATTTTATATAACTATTAAATAGGTTTCTGTGTTAACAGTTATACCTAAAACGTGAGTGTGAGACTCTGAAACTCCATTACAAACTGAAAATAAAACCACACTGGGAAATCTGGTTCAGCAGAATTTGACATTTTCCCCGACTTCTCTCATGCCCCAAACCATTTCCCTTTCAAACTCATGTAAAACTTAATCAGTTGCATGTGAAATTAGATTCTTCTTCTAAATATGGTTCTTTAAACTTCACTGGGGTGGAGAAATCATTTAAATAATTTGATTTGCCCTGCATTCCCCCTCTAGATTCAGCTGTTTTTAAAATCTATTTTACACACTGTCAATAAGAACTGGAAAGCATGATGCCTTCCTGATTTATTGAATGAGGATCCTTGAATCATCTGTCTATGCACAGAACTTCAACTCAGTGAGCAGATATGCTCTTTTTAACAAAACCAAAACATGTTTTCAGCGCAGTCCCTGCTTTACAGAAGCCACAACTTTATTCCTTCCAGCACTATTTCTACACCCCTATGGTTAAGGTCTGTCACGTTATGTTATAATTGTCTCTTTACTTCCGTGCCTCCTCTATTAGACTATAGGTTCTATGAAAGTTTTATTCATTTCTCATTCACATTGCTAAATATTTCCTTTATATGACATTAGTAAATTTTCTATATATATAAATATATATATAAATGAATACATGACCACTTTACACATAATTAAAGTGAGAGATGAAATGTATTTGAGAATAAAATTCATATTCCTGATTCTTAAAACTGCCAAAGATTTTGGATTATCCTCAGAGACTTGAGGAGGAAGGACTTTTACAATAATTTTACAAAATACATGAA
This sequence comes from Homo sapiens, assembly GCF_000001405.40. NCBI lineage: Eukaryota > Metazoa > Chordata > Mammalia > Primates > Hominidae > Homo > Homo sapiens. The sequence continues at coordinate 29,419,538 of NC_000014.9, forward strand.
GAAATTTCTTACAAAATATTTTTATATGCTTGGAACCAAGGGTTAATATAAAACACATATAATGCTAGCATTCACTAGAGGCTCACTTCTCTGTAGCTGCCACGTGCCTAGCCTACATCTCTTAAAATCAAATCCATCCATTTTCTAAGTTTCCTTTTTTTTTTCCTATGGCTAAGATTACAATCTATCATTTAGAGAGAATGTGACACCTAGATAAAAGCAAGTATATAAAAAGGAATCGAAACTGATGCAGAAGGAAAAAAGTACAAATAGGCTGCAGTTCTGTTAGTTAAAATGACATGGTTGGGAGCTGAGAAGATGGCACAGAAAAAAAAAGAAAAACTTTTTAGGTCATTTTTATCAAGTGACTTGTATTGTAGGAATGTGAAAACATGTCAAAAATAATCACATTTTCCAGGTTCATTGTTCTAAAATCCTTCCTCCTTCCTCTCTGATATTTGATATATTTGTTAAAATACTCATGCTTTAGTTTGAAATCAGTTTTACATTTGTTTTAAAGATAATAATATCCAAGCACCTACTACTATGTGAAATGTTTAATCACAAACCAGTCAGTCTTTGTATTGTCCTCAAGTCACAATTATCATGTACCTTTAGTACATAGAGTACATATTGCTTTACACAGATATACCAAGCAAAAGCATACTTATATGGCAATTGACAAACTAATCTCAAAGTGGTCCCCACTACTGAATGCTGAACGTTTCTCATCTTCTTTCATATGTGTGATGAAATAAAGCGCAAGAGAATCAGGAGATGCGAGTTATCATCCTGGTTCTGTCACTGGCATCATCAAGTCCCCTTCTCTGGACCAGTTTTCTCATCTGAAAAATAAAAGAACTTGGACTACCTGCTTTTTAATGTCCTTTTCTTCATACTTATATAATTCTTCCTGTTAAGGTCTTATTTTAAAAACAAGAAATGAAAAGCCTACATCTATGATAAATTCCTTAATGGATATTTTGGAATTTTTTATTAGTTGCAGTTATTTCTGCAATTATTATAGCAAATAAAGTAGAATAAGAAGCCTCTTAATATTAATAATGTGTCCAACTATGTTAAATAAAAAATCACTGGGCTAACCTTATTGTACCATTTGTGAGGGGGAAAAAAATAGTACAGTTTGGTTTTCCCTGTACTGGAGCTTGTCCTTCTCTTTTGAAGAGAGATGTTTCTTAACTCTCAGCAGCATACGTGCTTGTATAACTTAACAGATGACAAGGGCAGTTCCCCCGCAATTCTGTGCATTTTTAGCAGTGCAAAATTTTAGTTGGTGGTAATTCTAGGTATGAGAGGTGTTATTTTGTCTTTAGGATACCTTAACAATAAAAAGAAAGAATGAACCAAAAGTCAGGCATGCTTTCAACTAAACCATTAATGTGTGCTGTTGGCTAGAATTGTACTCAACCCGGGGAAACTTTATTTACTAATTCCTTAGCATTTGCTTTTATTGCCTTCATGTTTCTAATAATATATTTATTGATGTGTGCCTCATATATTTGGGGGACTTCTTAAAAGAAGTTTTTGTATCAATGTGTAAGCTGGCCATTTAAAACTGAGATGGTTATGATTTTCATGCAATTTTAAAATCATAACTATGAACCATAATTGCAAAATACAAGACAGTATATGCTGCAAAAATACAAATGCATTTAGTAGCTCAAAAGGAATAAAAGTTTCAAACCATACAACAGATGAAAAATATATTGTAAAGAAGGAAGGAAGAAAGAAAGAGAAAGAGGGAGACATGGGGGGAGGGAGGAAGGGGAGAAAGGAAAGGAAGGAGGGAAAGAGGAAGGCATCATATCTTAGGCATATGCTAGGCACTGAATAAATGTCAGTTAATCTTTCTCTGCTAGTTTGAAATATATGAAATTAGGGATATTATTTTTATCTGCAAAAATCCCCACAATTTTCATATGGTTCAACTTAGCATATTCAAAATTATTTTTTCAAGATTTGTCTTTGTTAACAGACTAGTGGTGAAAGAGTCAAGTGCAAGGCAATGTCCTCTGGAATAGACAATGCTGACAAGTCAGGCTTTCTTAGATGGCCAGTTCTGTCCTCTTCAGTCCACCAACCAGGTAGGGCATCTTCTCTACTAATGGCCAGAAGCATACAAGTAGCTGTTTTTCACAAGGTGTATAATTGTTCACTGCAAAAGGGATGCCCTTGCTTTAAAACCTTTGCCATCTGTGTTGTGATTTGTCCTTTGGGACATATAAAACCTATATGCCATGCTTCCACCACTGATACATCTAATACCATGGGGTTTACCAGAACATATAGACAAAGTGGCAAGCCTCCAAAATTTAGACCTGATGCAGAGCCTATTACTGAGCCCCAAATAGCAGCATTTTATGACATCAATATGTAAATCAGAATAACATTCAAATGTGCAGACTATGATACTTCTAATTCCAGTGAGGCTCACCTAGCATTTTGCCTCCTTTTACCTGATAGATGATGTAAGGTGTAATAATTTGTCCTTTATTTTGGATAAATTCCATGATGCCTAATGTTGGTTGGGTCCCTCATAATTTCAGCTGTGCATGGTTTATAACATTTGAAGGGGTTCTTTAGGATTTAGAGGAGAAAAAAATCTGATGATTTCAGAAACTAAATAAAACTTTTAGTGCATAAATATATTTTATAACTTTTTATAATTAGTTATAAAATGTCTAAATTAACAGTTAAGTAAATATATGTACATATTAATGTGGGCAACTTCATATCTAAGTATAAATTTTATATAAAATATATAGGTATAAATATATACATATATAAAATATAAATGTATAATTAATTATGTTTGTGCTTAAAGAAATTGTTATATGTATATAATTACTTAGACACATGTTTTTATTTTTATTTTCAAATTGTCTACCTTAATCTATAATAATTAAGAATATTTAAGCAGAGATACATAATATTATTAAATATAATTTTTACATTAAATGAGGGTCAGAAAAATATGAATAAGAAGCTCTTTTGAGCTCAAAAATATTAAGAAAAAAGCATAAAGACAAGCCACAGGTTTCTACTATAACAAGCAAAAAAAAGAAAAAAACATATGTTGTCCCTCCAGAGAATTACACAACTTTGTAAGAAAATTGTTTGCAAGATCATAGTCTTTGTCCCCATTTTTGGCCTCCCTTTCTTTTTACACCCAAGGCGAGAATAATACCCCTAGACCAATGAGCTGGCATTCCCTCCCCTCCTCTCCCCTCCCTTCCCTTTCCTTCCCTTCCCTTCCTTTCTTTTTTTATTCAGAGTCTCCCTATGTTGCCCAGGATAGAGTGTGGTGGCACAGTATTAGCTCACTGCAACCTCCACCTCCTGGGTTCAAGCAATTCTCCTGCATCAGCCTCCGGAGTAGCTTGTATGCACCACGACACCCAGCTAATATTTGTATTTTTAGTAGAGATGGGGGTTTTACCATGTTGGCCAGGCTGGTCTCGAACTCCTGACCTCAGGTGATCCACCCACCTCAGCCTCCCAAAGTGTTGAGATTACAGGCATGAGCCACCGCGCCCATCCCATCTTCTTTTTTTATTCCCAAATCATATTGTCCAGTTCTTGGGCCCTATGCTGACATTACCTGTCAGTAATAAAGGACCTCAGATTCTCTCTATGCACTCACAGAGATCTTTCATTACAATATGAGCACTTTCTTACTAGTGTGTTGTTCTTTATCCTCTTCACCTTGTGCACTTCCTGACATTCTGCTTTCTCTTTTATATCCATCTCCTGCTGTTGTCAACATAGGTTCTCAATGTTCTTAATGTTTCTTCTCTCTTCGGCCACATTTTAAGCTGTTTCCTTAGCATTTTAGGCTCTCCACTGAGGTCTCCAAATGACTACAAAACCAATGATCTTCCTGGTCATCAATAACTTTATTGTTCACTTATGTTTTTGTCTCATTGACTACCTTGGCTAGATCCCTAGATGCTATAAACTTACTGGTTTAACTTCAGCCAGTTGTGATGCTAGTTGTAATGAATTCACAAAGTAGTCTCTGAAAACTTCCCATTAGCAGGCTACTCTGTTCTAACCTATGAATCTTTATGAATCTATATAGTTCGCCTTCACGAAGCAGAGTCTTCTTTTCTCGACACCCTTGTGGTTTGAGAAAGAAATAAATCATTTCTGAGAGAAGGAAAGTGAGGCCGCCTGTCCTCTGGAGAAAAAAGTCCTTTTCCAATGGTGTTTTCTTCTATCTATTTTAAAATTTCTTGATGATTTCCAGGCTCATTTAAAAAAAAAAAAAAAAGAAAAAAGCTTTTGTAGCCAGCTGTGGCAGTACATATCTATCCTGGACTGAAGTAACTCCTCGCACAATAAAGGCAGCCTAACCACTGACTATTGAAATAGTATTGAAAAAGTATTGAAATACCTTCAATACTTTTTCAATTCGCCGGCTCCTCTGTCATTCCATCTCTACTTCTCAAATATAGCTACTGCAGTATGTAAAGTAATGGTTCCAGAATTCACACACAGTTTGTTGTAGCTCACGGTAAAAAAAAAATGAAGAAATGAACTGTGTAAATAAAGTCTTTAAAGTCAAAACTGTTAAAAGACCAAAGGATAATTTGATCATTGAGTAGGAAGTGGTTGTCTGACCAAATCAAATTCATATGTAAATTGGTGATTGTAAATCAGGAGACCTATCAATGTCAAATAAAATATGTAGAGAAAAATCTCTAAATTTAACATTTTACTTGGGATATACGAATCATAATTCAGGGCATACACACAGACCAGGTGGTCTTCGGTATGTCCAAAGAACAAAGAGGAAGTTGGAAGTTTTATAAAAAGGAGAGCTCTGATTGGTGAGTGACGATGTTGGGTAAAACCACTCTTAAGGTTGTAGTAGGTTGTTTCAGAAGTCATTAGGTAAAATTGTTTCAGGTTACAGCATGCAGTTTTAGCAGCCAGGCTTGAAGAAAATTACACTCTTGGAGCAATGTTAAGTGCCATGAATGCTTTCCCCCGCTGGCTTCTCAACTCTTTTTTATTTGAGTATGACTAGACTTGAGTCTCCAACTCATATGATCAATTTTCAAAGATCCTTGAATTTTAAAAAGCAGAACTTTATTATAAATATGGACATCTATTCATGTAAATGACTTGACTACTTTTTGGGGGATTTAGATGTTACTATAATTTTACATTATATGAAGCCAATTAACTTAGTATCTTAGTCCATATAAACTCTAGTTAATGTCCCTTCAGTTTCCATGAAGTTAGTCAACAATCATTTTTGGAACATCTACCATATGTCAGGCTTCCAAACTCTAGATTCAAGGATTATAAAGATGTGCAATACATGATACTTGTTTTCACAGAATCTCAATCTTTCCGAGAAACTAAATGCATCTTATAATATACAATTTCAGAGTACTATACTGATAGAATATGCACAAAGGCTATTAAAGCGTTCCTCAAGACAGGACCAGCTTTCCCTGATGAATCCAGAAGTGCTCCATAGATTGTGTACACTTCCACAGCGCATGTTAGAATAACATAATAGTTCTTTTCCAGAAAACTAGGATTAAAATGCAACCATTTGAACTATTTGCATGAATTGCACTGTTTTAAAAATAAGCTAATCTTGGTTTAATAGTGAGTTCCTAATGAAGTTGAAGTGAAGGTAGAGCACCAGCGTTAGTGATTAAATGTTATCCAAACGTGTATTTAGGTACTATATCTCAATGGGATCCTTTCCGCTCAAGTTTTTTAAATGCTTGTTCTTAATCCTATAGGAAGCTAGTAGTATTTCATTTGTAGCCGTAACACGGTTGCAGAATTCCAAAAGGACTATTTTGTTCCATTTATTATAGTAAAAAAGAAATCCTTGCTGAATACAAAACATTGCTGTTTTGATTATGTGAACTGATTGTGTGTAATTTTGCCACTTCTTTTTATGTCATCATGTCCATTGAATCCCTTTTAAAGGAAAATCATTTTCTAGACTAAAATGTTATCATAAGAGCAGCTCTACTTTTGCTGACATGATTTTGATTAGGAAATTTAGATCTTCACGCTATATGAATACATTAGAAGAGGATTACTCTGATCGAGACTTCACAAGAGAGCTAAAATATACCACAAATAAATAATCAAGCATCTTGTATGAATTTAAAAATAAGTCATGTATCATAAAAGTAAAAATGGTCAGTTTAGGCTCAGAAAGAACACAGATAGGATTGCTAATTTGCAGCAGAGTGAATTCAATAACATGGGTTCTTAATTAGATGGCAGAAACAGTAAGGTGACAGGACTGAGAACAGGTAAATCATCCAGGAATAGCAATGCACCGAGCGCAGAGCCAGCTGGTGTGGTGCTGCCTCAGTGTCAGAGATCTGTGCTGCATCCTGAAATGGGGACTGTTCAGACAGTCTGTTGCACAGCTGTTCTTACTCAGAAACAAACAGCCAGGTCTGTTAGTGGTATCACTCTGCAGGTACTATAATGACAGCAAAGTTTCTAGGAAGAACTGGATGTCTCAGGCAGATGAAAAAAAAAAAGAGCTTTATTAGAAACAGAAAAAAAAAAGAGGGATTTAAAAAATATATTCCTTTCTTTTCTTAATCTAGTGCATTATGTTATCAACTGATTTATTTCATCAAAACTATATTCATATCATCAGATTTTAAGAACTTGGGCCAGGGAGAATCGGCAAAAATTTGTTGGCGCTATTTTTCATGTTGAATTTGATGACACATGAATTCTAAGATTTTGTTTTCTAATTGAGATCATATCAATATGTGTAAATACATCGCTAAAAATTGTTTAAGAAGGAAAAGAAGGAAGGCCTTTAAAATACTTGTCTTTATTAATGCTTTTTACATTTTTAAATTTATTTTAATTGACACAAAATAATTGTACATATGTATGGAGTACAGTGTGATGTTTTGATATATACATACAATGTGTAACAATCAAATTAGGGTAATTAGCATATCTATCACAGACAATTATCATTTCTTCATGGGGAGAATATCTACAATCCTCTCTCCTAGCTATTTTGAAACATGCAACATATTACTACTAACTATAGTCAATCTACTGTGCAATGGAACACTAGAACTTATTTCTCCTATCTAACTGTAACTTAGTATCCATTGACCAATCACACATCCCACTCTTCCCACTGCCCCTCCCAGCTTCTAGTAACCACTATTCTCTTTCCTACTTCTATGAAGTCAACTTTTTAGATTCTACACATAGGTGAGATCATGCAGTATTTGTCTATATATAACTGACTTATTTCATTGAACATAATGTCCTCCAGGCTCATCCATGTAGCTGCAAATGACAAGATTTCATCCTTTTTTGTGACTGAAAAGTATTAGGTTGATGCAAAAGTAATTGCAGTTTTTGCCATTACTCTCAGTGGCAAAAACCTCAATTACTTTTGCACCAACCCAGTATTTCATTGGGTAAATAAAACACATTTTCATTATCCATTCATCTGTTACTGCACACTTATTTATGGTCTTAAATAATATTTTATTTGTTGAGACTCTCCCCCAATAAAAATAAACAATCAGAAAATTCACTAAAATGAGAGATAAAATGTTTAAATAGGTTCAATAGATAGAAAATCAGTACACATGATATAATTAACCAGAAGAAAGCATTCTTTGGTCAACAGCGAAGAAAATTACTTTGGGAAATGGTACTCAGATCCAGTTGCTAAGACCACACTACCTCACAAAGAAGTGAGAAACCCCTGGAAGCTGCTGTTGAGTCTTGAGGGGATTGGACAGTGGAAGTTGAACACTGCTTCCACGTGCTCCTGAACTAAAAATGGGGTCTGGACAGTCCAACAGAGGTAGCCACAAATCCAAGACACTTGCTATGTCCCTTCCCATTGATAGTTTTGGCTTCAGTTTGTCTGGTTTTGCTTTTTGTTTAGTTTCTGTGTTTGTGGGAGGAGGGAGCTGCTTGCTTGTTTGTCTGCTTGTGTGTTTGTTGTGTATAAAAAAAGAAGCACTTCAACTTGGTAAATTATTGGCATTTCAGTTTCAGCAATTTTGTTTTAGAAAAACTATCTTGATGAAACAGAAGAAAATCGCCCCCTTTAGCACATGTCAAAAATAATCTTTTACTGAGTGTTTTCTATCAATGACTGATAACTCAATAATTTTTATGTAAGAACCAGCCAACCTCCATTAGGAAGTAAGAGCTGATTACTTTCTCAATTTCTTGCCTTGTTGAATTGGCAGAGGCTCAAAAGAGGATGTATCCTTAATGATATTTGCCCCCAAATAGTAAAGGGCAACAATCCATGAGAGAGATTCTAACTAAAGCCAATACAAACATGTAAAGTACTTTAAGTCTGCCTTCATGGTCCCATCAGCTTTATTTTTTAATCTTCTTATCCCTACTTATTATTAGTTTTCTATGTTGCAAATCTCCTAGATACTATCTATAACCATTTATTTAAAAAAGTAATAATTGCTGGCTAGATACTGAAAATATACAAATGGAAAAACCATTTTGCTTGCTTTCGAGGACCTAAAAAATCCAAATGGACAGACAATTATGTAAATAAGTAAGTGATAATACAATAAGCATGACAATGGGAAAATGAACATATTCAATGCAATAATGAAGATATGAATTATGGTAGATTGGATGGTAAGCAATGGAATGGGAGAATAAATACTCTGTGAGTACAGAGGAGGGAAGAAGTCAAAGAAATCAATGGAAGAGACATTATTTACTGTTGACCTTAGGTGATGGGTCATAATTTGCTGCAAATGTAGAGGAGGAATCACAGAGATGATTCCTTTGTCAGCACAGCAGTAAAAAAAAAAAAAAAATTAATTTGCATGCCTTTGTGGGAAAAGGACATATGCTCTCAATTCACATGATTCCTTTCTGTGCTTTACCAGACACCTACAAAATACTTAAATTTTCAACTCCCGGAATAGAATAAGCAAAGTCATGGCACTGGTAGAATAGACAGTGCCTATTCTAGGAGAGTGGCAAAACATGTTATTAATAATAATTAATAATAAATGCAAACACTTATGAGTCCTTAGCATGTACCACTTCTTCTAAGTACTTTACAAGTATTATTTCAACTAACCTTTATTACTAACCCATGAAAAATAGGATTATTGTCATTATTTTAGAAGAGGAAACTGAGAGAGAAGAACATGGTATCTCACCCCACATCAAGTGGTAGAGTCAAGGTCTGAAGCCGGTGATTCCAGAGCATAAGCTCCCAAACATGAGCACATACTGAAAAAAAAAAAAGACAGAATGAGGTCACTCCAATAACTTTGAACTTTATTCTGTAGTATTCTGTAATAATGGGTAGCCACTGAAGGTTTTTAAGAAGAAACATGGTTGCTCCAATTTGTGATTTAGAAAGATAACATGGAGGATGGACGAGAGTGGAGTGGAGACTTTAGTCAGGGGGAATAATAAGGAAATAATAGTGATAATCTAGACAGAGAGGTGATGAAAGAGTAACCAAAGCAATGATACAATGATGACAGGGATGTGAGAAACCCTTTTTTTTTTTTTTTTTTTTTTTTGAGAAGGAGTCTTGCTCTTGTCATCCAGGCTGGAGTACAGTGGCGCAATCTTGGCTCACTGCAAAGTCCGCCTCCAGGGTTCAAGCTATTCTCCTGCCTCAGCCTCCTGAGTAGCTAGGATTACAGGCATGCACCACCACGCCCGGCTAATTTTGTAGTTTTAGTAGAGACGAGGTTTCACCATGTTGGCCAGGCTGGTCTCAAACTCGTGACCTCAGGTGATCCGCCCGCCTCGGCCTCCCAAAGTGCTGGGATTACAGGTGTGAGCCACTGCGCCCAGCCAAGAAACTTTTTAGAAATAGAATTCACAGGCTTCCTTCCCATGCACTCTTACTCCTGCCTCCCTCCCAGCCAACAAGGACTAGATACTTTTGACTGCTGTCCCTCTCTCCTCTGAAACCTACAGGCTTATGTTGCTCCTCCTATGCCCCTCTAGTCTCAGACTTTTCCTAAATTGGTCTCTTTCAAAAGGAGAATTAACAAAAGTCGCTTTAATATACATTAACACATTCGTTAAACTGAAGGGGTCAACTTCAGCCTCAATTCCCTCTCTTGCTGGCAAGGCCCATGTGAGAGGTGAGTTTAAGGTAGAATAATTCTGAACTCTAATATAAAACAGAGTGGGAAATCTAAAGAATAGGTGAAATTTAATAGACTTCTGAAGGTGTACCGTGTAAACTAACCATCACTTACATACACTTATCTGCAGAGTCATAGTCTGAAGACATGAAATTTCAAAAATTAATTCTTAGTGGTAAGAAGAGGTCCTAGAATGATATATAAATTTGGTTCATTTAGCCTATTTTGTTTTTATTTTTGAAATATAATATATGTATGTATGAATGAATATGTCATTTTTATATAAGTTATAAAAGATAAATATCATGAACATCTGTATTCATTACTCCAGCCCCATATTTTAAAAACAGAACATTATTTATTCACTATTATTTATTCATCCTTTTGTCTGGTTCCAAGCTAGGCAAACTAAACTGTCTGCACTCTACAACTAAGAAAACTTTGTATCTGGAAACTTTATAGATCTGCCAATGGTTTATTTGCAGAAAGGACCTAGGAACTTACTATAAAAGAACTCACCATCTTTTAGAGGTCAGTGAATTACCCAAGAGAGATCCACGGGTTTTAGGCCAGTATTTGAGAGATATGTGCCAGATTGTCCAAGTTTTAGGACAAAAATCTAAAACACCTGCTAGAATGAAAGATTTCTAAGACACTAACAACACAGGATGGCATCGGCGGAATAATCAATATTGGTACCTTAGAATCCACAAAAATGTAAAAACTGGCCAATGTAGCAGCACAGATGTCTTTCTGGTAAAAGTCAGGTTCACGGCCATCTGAAATGTTAAACAGTGGCTTTACAGCAACTCTAGGTAAATTACAAAGCCTCCACAGAGGTCTCATCTGGAGCCGACATTCACCTTAAAAAAGATGAATCTCACATTCCCTAGGGAACTACTCATGTTTTTAAATGCACAGATTGGGACTCAGAGAACTGACTGTAATATGCCTCCACATGATGAGTCTTCCTCTCCAGGCAATTCAAAGGAAATCCCTGATTTAATTATTTTTTAATTTTTTTTATTTTTAATATGTTTCCCCTATATATCCCATGACACAGACATTAATCCAAGATTTGTAGCAAATAGATTGCAGTTCTATCTGGAACAACAGAGAATTTGGAAACAGCTTAACTCCTTTTCCAAGGGCAGGTGCCTAGGTTTGGATATGTCAACCTAAATGGAAAATTCTTCTCCACGTTTATGTATAAGGACATCTAGAAATCCTGTTATCTCTGAATCACTGAGAAAAAGTAAGATGAATTCAACTTAGATTTTTGTAATGGTATAGGTCTTCAGCATCACACAGAGACATGAGATGGATCCCCACTACTTACTCTCATCCTTAAGAATGAATACTTTTGGCCAGGCATGGTGGCTCATGCCTGTACTCCTAGCACTTTGGGAGGCCAAGGCAGGCGGATCACGAGGTCAGGAGATCAAGACCATCCTGGCTGACACAGTGAAATCCCGTCTCTACTAAAAATACAAACAATTAGCCAGGTGTGGTGGCGGGCGCCTGTAGTCCCAGCTACTTGGGAGGCTGAGGCAGGAGAATGGTGTGAACCCGGGAGGCAGAGCTTGCAGTGAGCTGAGATCGCGCCACTGCACTCCAGCCTGGGTGGCATAGTAAGACTCCATCTCAAAAAAAAAAAAAAAAAGAGAATGAATACTTCTGCACCAGGAAGCAGCAGTTGTTTTTTATCCACTCGAATCCTCCCTCTAAGTGTCTCTAAGGGCCCGTTTCTTCTCAGGGTTGGAGAGTGAAAAGTGTGAAGTGATGAGGAGGGCTTTCAAATTCCATTAGCAACATTTTTACTGTCTGGAGATATCTTGAAACTCTGTCTCAGATACCAATACTGTTCAACCTAGAACCTCATTTACACATGAAAAGAGATAACCAAGAATTGGCAGGCATTTGAGGAAAACCACCAGCAAGAGAGAAACTAAACTTAACACAGAAAAGTGCTAAACTCCACTGCAAATAAAACAGTGCTAATAGAGGAAACTGATAATGTTAAAATAATTAAAATAATGTCTCCAAGAGAAACACTGAAGGGGATATCACATCTATGTTTTAAAATCAAGATAAGCTCCCTATTATACTATCATAAACAATTCTGAGACTGATATAAATAAGATAACAAAATACATAAATACTCCTTTTAAAAGGGGGGAAAATAACTAAGTCTGCAAGGAATAGACTATTACTGTTTGTGTAAATTCCTAAAGACTATGAAAAACAAATTTCCAAACTCATCCTATGATATTTTGTGATCCTGATATCAAAACTAAGAGTAATACATACAAAACAACCTCTAGACCTATACGATTTGTAAATGTTTTTAAACAAAATACCAGCACATATTTAAAAGCATTCTGCAAAATACTGGTACATCATGAAAAAGTAGCTTTTACTCCAAAAGTTCAAGGATACTTCAAACTTAAAAAAACTTATTAATGCGAAATTTATAAGTAGAAGGATAGAAGCCAAATGATCAGCCCAATGCATACAGAAATTTATTTCATAAAATTCCACATGCAATTCCGATTTTTTTAAAAAATGGGTAAGTTAGAAATATAAGGAATCTTCTTCTAAATAATGGGTTGTTTATAAAACAGCTGTCAAAAAGATATGTAATAGAAAAATTAGAGACAATTTCATGTCAGTCAGGATCCAGTCAGAAATGCTCATTATCACTGTTACAATGTAATAGTATTCTAGCCTGGCCAGCCTAGAAGAATAAACAAAATGTACAGATATTGGAAAGTTATAGAAAAAAAAATCAAGTGAAAAGTGATAAGAGTGGTGGACTTGAGATGCACAAAGGTTTATGTTATCTGTAGACATTTTTAAAACAAGAGCAGGGCCAGCTAAAACTCGGTCTGCTTTTATTATTCCCATTTGTCAGCAATTCTAAAACACTATCAATAATGAAATTCACAGAATTTGTTCTCAAAAAAGAAATTGACAGTATTATAATTTCTGGAATTTCTCAAGAAAGAATTTTTGTGAATCACTGACAATTTTACCCTTATATTTAAGACTTTTCATATTTATACATCTGTTGCTTCATGTGAAAAAAATTAATTAAAAGTAAGAAAAATGTTCTATCTACTGTGAGTAAAGATGGATTAATCTGGCTAGTAAAGATTAATTTTTCCAAAGTCCTTGAATAATGTACAGAAGTTAAGATTTGAAAATAAAAATTATAAAGTTATTATTACTGAAACAGACCATTGTAAATATTAATTTCCCTTTTCAAAAAACACATTAGTATAATTGAAAGTGCTAATCTATAACATGTTCCTTTTATGTACTGTAACACTTGTATTATTATTATTATTATTTTATTTATTTATTTATTTTTTGAGACGGAGTCTCTTTCTGCCGTCCAGGCTGGAGTGCAGTGGCGCGATCTCGGCTCACTGCAACCTCTGCCTCCTGGGTTCAAGCAATTCTCCTGCCTCAGCCTCCCTAGTAGTTGGGACTACAGGCGTGTGTCACCACGCCCAGCTAATTTTTTGTATTTTTAGTAGAAACAGGGTTTCACTGTGTTAGCCAGGATGGTCTCAATCTCCTGACCTTGTGATCCGCCCGCCTCGGCCTCCCAAAGTGCTGGGATTACAGACATAAGCCACTGCACTTGGCCTATTTTTAATATTAATTTTTAAGTAGCATTATATAAATATGAAATTTAAATAAAGAGAATTACTAATCTATCTGCATTCCTTTTCTGGGGATTATTATTATTTGATTCCTTTCATGATTATTACTGAAAACAATTTTGTTACATAAAGGATGGAGTGCTCAAAAATGATCCATTCTAGATGTCACATCCATGAGGTATGCCTTTGTGTCAACCTAGAAAATTTTAGGCTGTCAACAAAAAATCTCTTAAAAATTCTGAGAGAGGTTGGCAATGGTGGGACCATATTGACTTTCCTGTCCTCAGCAAACAATAAAACACTAAAATATCAAATTAAAAAATTAATACTACATAGGTACTAAACTATAGAACTTTAATAAAATGATATAAAATTTAATAAGTATTGGATGGAAAAGTTCAATATTTTAAAGTTCTCCATGTATTAAGATTCTCCAGAAAAAAATAGGAGAATTCAGAACCAATAGGATATATGTGTATAGAGAAATCCCCTTTTATATACTAGAGGAATTGGCTCATGATTATGAACGCTGAGAAGTCCCATAATATGTGGTCTACAAGCTGGAGAACACAGGAAGCTGGTGGCATCACTCAGTCCATGTCTGAAGGTGTGTGAACCAGAGAAGCCAATACTGCAACTCTCAGTCCAAGGCTGAAGAGTTACAGTATTGGCCAAAAATCCTAGGGATTCTGGAGTCCAAAGGTGCGAGTGCTGGAATCTAAAGGTAGAAGAACCTGGAATTCTGATGTCCAAAGTCAGAAGAAGAAGAGTGCCGTAGCTTCAGAAAAGAGAGAGTGAGAGGGTTTGCCTTTCCTCTGTCTTTCTGTTCTATCTAGGCTCTCAACCAGTCGGATGAGATCTCACATTACGTGAGGGCAGATCTTTTCTACTCAATCCACTCAATCCACTGATTCAGATACCAGTCTGTTCCAGAAACTGCCTCACAGACATGCCCAGAAATATTCCTTTATCAGTTATCAGGGTGTCCCTTAACCCAGCCAAATTGACATGTCAAGTCAACCATCACATCCCACCTCCAAATAACGATAAAGTCAGTGCAAAGATTCAGGCCAAAAGTCACAGAATTTGCAAGTGGAAATGACCTTAAAGATCCAGTTGAATCTATTCAAATTACAGACAAGTCTAGCACAGTAAGGGCAGTACTATTTATGCCCACTCTGAGATAGAAGACAACCAGGTTAGAGCTTTGATTTCCACATCAGTGTGATATGGAGGCTTTCATATTACAGAAACACCAAGATGTAACCTTCCTGGAGAATGAGGACAGCTGGACCAGCGTTTGGTTTTGTTCTGTTTTTGAGACAGAGTCTTGCTCTGTTACCCAGGCTGGAGTGCAGTGGTGCGATCTCTGCTCACTGCAACCTCTTTCTCCTGAGTTCAAGTGATTCTCACACCTCAGCCGTCTGAGTAGCTGGGATTACAGGCGCCCACCACCACACCTAGCTAATTTTTGTGTTTTTAGTAGAGATAGGGTGTTGCTATGTTGGCCAGGCTGGTCTCGAACTCCTGACCTCAGGTGATCCCCTTGCCTCCATCTCCCAAAGTGCTAGGATTACAGGTGTGAGCCAACACGCCGGGCCCACCTGTACCAATTTTATGAAACAATTTTGTCAGTTGCCCTACCATTGTGATTCTTGGCTTGAAACACTGATAAAATTACACAGGGACTACAATCAGAGGCACATTCATGAACACTCAAGACCTTGTTTTTCAGAGTCTCCAGAACCACTTGCAGGAAAATAACTCACTGATTAAGGACTTCTATGAAACAATATTATTTGAAACTTGTATTGATCCTGACCTAAGGATCTCTAATTATTAATAACCGTTCTCCGGCAACACATATATGCATATAATAACCTCACTAAATTTTTAGCAAAAGAAATCATTTTTGAAGAAATACATTCTGTGGGTTGGGTAATCTCTCGTTAAATAAATTAAAATCTTAAAATTTCCTGTTCTTGGTTGTGGTAGTCATAATTACCTTCTGACCACATTTACCAACAATTTAATTATAGGGTAAAAATTCACTGAAGGTTATATAAAAATGAATACTTTAATATCACAAGAAAATTGTAGAGAGACAAATTATTAATTCACAGAGATTTTATAGATTAATGAGAACATTTTTGTAATGTATGCAGGAGATTTTGTATACATGCATTTTGCCCTGGAACCTCTTGTTTTATCCAAAGATCAGAGTTCCCATCTCAGTGTCTGAGGACTAGTGCCACCTTTCCCTTTCTCAAAGCCCACTTCTTGATGCTAAATTATTTCTGTAACTTATATTTCCTTTCTCTCATGGTGTTCACTGCAGCCCAGTGGCCAAATGTGGCAAGCCAGTAAACACCAGCTTCCCTATGAGTATACAGAAAATTTGGGGTATAAAGGTTTTAAAATAAGAAAAGAATTTAAAAGAAGGTAGGTTTCAGGAATAGTTAGTTCCAACTTTGAAGCTTCTTTCCTCTATTTACCGTTAATATTCTGGGTTACCACTGGAGGCTTCTATTTCTAGCCAACCAGACTTTATTCCTTTGGGCCCTGCTTTCTTAAGCTGCCATGAATTTCATACCTGCTGATGGAGATGAAGCTCTTTGGGGGTATGATTTATGAAAACCTTCTCTGGTTTCATTTTGTTTCCCAAACTCATACTAAGGGCAGCTTTCTAAATTTTCAGTTTTCCATTTTTGAATGCCACAAAATTCTATTCTGCTTGCAAAACTTCTTTTCCTGTTTCTAAACTCATACTTATTTGGTATTTACTATGTTTTCCCCTTTTTTTCTCATCAGGTCCTGGCTATGGAGGAGGGTTCCATTCTTACCTGTTGCTCTACAATGTACAGCTGATGTTTTACAATAAAAACATGGAGTCATGCTAACTCCCACATGCCCTACCATTCACTCTCCCCAAGCCAGTAACAAAGCAGGCAACGCAGCTAATATAATATTTAGACTAACCGTGAAGAAAAAGATCTTTCTCCCTTCTGTACTCTGAATAAATAAATTAGTCTGACCAAATGAAGAAATGTGGTGTAACATGATTTATTTGGGCCAGAGCTGACACTGGTAAGACAAAGCTTTCTTATCTGCTTACAGAAACTTAAGCAGAGGTCAACAGCCACATCCTCTGATTTGTAAGCCATTGCATGAACATTGTGGGGAAGAACGTGAACCCAGTTTTCAACAGGATTCCAAACATATACTAATATGTCTTATAGACTAACGGGGGTGAAAACAGAGGCTAGACAACAGACAGAAACAATGAGTGCTCTAAGAAAAAAAGTATCCTGAGTAAGGCTCAACATTGGTGTTGCCAGGCAAATTCAGCACCACATCTATGGGATGGAGTTTCAGGTACAGAGCATTGGTACAGTAAAACTGAAAGCTCAGTGTTATTCTGGACCTAGTCTCACTAACATGAGACCACCAGCCTCACCAAAATCTGGACCTAGAAAGGAAGATGTTCCCCTGCTGGATGGAAAGTGACTGAGACTTTACTACCAAAGATCAGATATGTAGGGGCAGCTGGAAGCTGCCCTAAGTGGCCTCTGAGACACTTTGAAACATAGTAAATCAGGAGAGGTCCATCATTACTATGCCAAAGTGAGAGAGACAGGAGGCAAGCTAAGAAATAAGGCACAGCTGGAGAAGAGAGAGGCAATAATACGGTTTGGCTCTGTGTCCCTACCCACATCTCACCTTGAATTATAATAATCCCCACGTTTGGCTGGGCGCCGTG
Organism: Homo sapiens; assembly: GCF_000001405.40. Classification (NCBI taxonomy): domain Eukaryota; kingdom Metazoa; phylum Chordata; class Mammalia; order Primates; family Hominidae; genus Homo; species Homo sapiens. Next base: position 29,437,126 of record NC_000014.9, read on the forward strand.
GCTCATGCCTGTAATCCCAGCACTGTGGGAGGCCGAGGTGGGTGGATCAGGAGGTCAGGAGATCAAGACCATTCTGGCTAACACGGTGAAACCCCGTCTCTACTAAAACTACAAAAAATTAGCTGGGCTTGGTGACACGCACCTGTAGTCCCAGCTACTAGGGAGGCTGAGGCAGGAGAATCGCTTGAACCCAGGAGGCAGAGGTTGCAGTGAGCTGAGATTGCGCCACTGCACTCCAGCCTGGGTGACAGAGCAAGACTCCATCTTAAAACAAAACAAAACAAACAAACAAAAAATCCCCAGGTTTTGGAGGAGGGACCCAGTGGGAGATAATTGAATCACAGGGGTGGGTCTTTCCTGTGGTATTCTCATGAAAGTGAGTAAGTCTCATGAGATCTGATGGTTTTACAAAGGGGAGTTCCCCTACACAAGCTCTCTTGCCTGCCACCATGTAAGATGTTTCTTTGCTCTTCCTTTGCCTTCCACCATGATTGCAAGGCCTCCCCAGCCATGTGGAACTGTGAGTCCCTTAAACTTCTGTCCTTTAGAAATTACCCAGTTTCAGGTATTTCCTTTTTTTTTTTAATACTTTAAGTTCTGGGGCACCTGTGCAGAACGTGCAGGTTTGTTACATAGGTATACATGTGCCATGGTGGTTTGCTGCACCCATCAACCTGTCATCTATAGTAGGTATTTCTCCTAATGCTATCCCTCCCCCTGACCCCCACCCGCCAACAGGCCTCAGTGTGTGATGTTCCCTTCCCTGTGTCCATGTGTTCTCATTGTTCAACTCCCACTTATGAGTGAGAATATGTGGTGTTTGGTTTTCTGTTCTTGTCTTAGTTTGATGAGAATGATGGTTTCCAGCTTCATCCATGTCTCAGCAAAGGACATGAACTCATCCTTTTTTATGGCTGCATAGTATTCCATGGTGTATATGTGCCACATTTTCTTAGCAGCATGAGAATGGGCTAATAGATGTGAAGGCAGAAACTGGGGATGAAATGCTGAGTCTTCTCACCTCCTTTGGAAGTGCCTACAAAGATCTCACAAGAAAGAAGATGAGGAAGGACTGCTCTGCTTAGCAGTTGAACCATGGTGCCTGGGAACAAATAACTAAAGTGCTTTCACCTAGGACCCATTAGCTGTGGGATCTAGTGTAACAACAGACAGATAGAAACATCAAAGCAAAAACTGGGGGCAATGTAAACCCAGGGGGAAAGACATAAAAATGTTCTGAAAACATTTCTGAATGTTCTGAAAAATACATTTTTGTGAAGAAATAAACTATTTTTCAACAAATATGGGAATTCACAATAACTAAATGAAGTCTTTTATTAGCAGGATGAGAAGTTTAAGGTGGAGAATTAACAGGGGTTGAAGGTGGGAATCAAGCAAATCCAACAATTAGAAATCCCTTTCCATTAAAAAACTAATATTAAAAATGCAAATTACACCAGAGCTAAAGCTAATCACATTTCAACATACATTAATATATCCAAACTGATAGACTGACTGCGGAGAAGAGTCTGAAGTGTTAATTCTGGAGAAAGGAGTACTTCATTGAAGAAACTGGCAGCATACAGCTCCAGGGAAACATACAGTAAGTTCCCAGTTAACAGAGAGTAGGAGGCGACATGGTGCTCTGAGAAAGATCAAGAAATGTAGGGAGAGCATCTAAGACAAAATTCAGGTTCCCATGGACCACTGTGCCTGGATTCCTAGAGCAAATTGCTTGTATGTTATGAAAGATCATTTTGATGCAGCAATTGACTTTCTGCTAAAGGTTGATAATGGCAAAGACTAGAGAAAGAATTACATTATACATAGAAAGCATGTATAAATAAATCAATAAATCATTTTGCATAATAAATCAATAAACAATTTTTCATTGTTTTTCTTGTGGAACCCTTTCCCCACAAAGACTAGCAGCATTTTATCTTTTCCTTTTAGGTATTTATTAAAGAAATTCCATGTGAATTTAAATAAATCATATATAGCTATTAGTGAAGGAATTAATTCCCTTTAAATAAACTATTTGTTCTTTTTAAAGGAAAACAAAAGATAGAGATATAGATGTAGAAATTCCTAACTCAAAAAAATTAAGCCAATTTTTTTTTTTTTGGTTCATTAGTGTTCCTCTTTTGTCAGCTTTCAGTATCTTTACACCTTCCGTAATGCTCAATTCTATTCATGTACACTCTATTGTTCTCCTTGTTTCAACTACTGGCAAAATCACAAAACAGAAGACAAAGGAAGTCATAATATTCTATCAGTTGAAATCGAAGGACCATGCATTTAGGAAAGATTCAAGTCTGCTTTTGCAAGATGATCCCAGAACACAAAAACATGATGAATACATCAAAAATATTTCTCACATACTGCCTGCCATAAAAAAGATTGTTTGAATTAAACATCATTATTGCTCTGCTGTCAACATGTTAATTTAGAGAGATAAGCCACACACACGCCTGAGTTCTATCATGATCTATAAATTACTGGTATATTTGCTATTGCTATCTTTTTAATATTTAACATTTTCCAGAGCACATTAACCGAGACCTTGGAACCTATTTTTGTCAGAGTTCGTTTTTCCTCAAATTGTTAGAGATGAATTCAGAGTGATCTTTTGAACCCCTCAAACATTTTAAAATTTATTGCTCATGCATGACAACATCTAGGACAAGGCTGTCGCTGAGATGGTATTTTGTCATATAAATGTAAACAAAACTAAGGAGTCTGCTTTTATTTCAAAGAGCTCATTGTGATTAAAAAAAAAGACCATCTTCATTTCATATAACTGTGTATTGATTTTTCAATAATTTGGAGTTAGCCTACCTGGTTTGTGGATTATAAAAATTTTAGAAACACAAAGGATGTCAAAGCTATCTTACTGAAAGCCTTGCTTTTTTTTCTGTGAGGAATCAGTGGTCACAAAGTTTAAACAGCTTGCCCAGGGTCACACAACCAAAAAATGGGCAAGAGGGACCTAGAGTCCACATTTCTGCTGCATTGTTAAGTCCCTGCTAATGTGTCTGACTTCTCATGTTATGGCCAGCTATGTTTACTGGAAATTTTACTGTAAAAAGAACTTAAGAAGAGCAAGAAATTCAACTTACGTGGAACCTTACTCTAGTTCCAGAAGAAGATAATAATTGTCTTGGGGAATAATCTATGATTTTGTTTATTGGCTTTCATTAAGTTCCTACTAGAGTTTTTGTACTTTAGAACTTCACTAACTTTTTTTTTTTTTGAGTCAGAGTCTCACTCTGTTGCCCAGGATGGAGTGCAGTGGCGCGATCTCGGCTCACTGCGACCTCCGCCTCCCAGGCTCAAGTGATTCTCCTGCCTCAGCCTCTCGAGTAGCTGGGACCACAGGCACGTGCCACCACGCCCAGCTAATTTTTTGTATTTCTAGTAGAGATGGGGTTTCACCGTGTTAGCCAGGCTGGTTTCGGTCTCCTGACCTCGTGATCCTCCTGCCTCAGCCTCCCAAAGTGCTGGCATTACAGGAGAGAACCTCACTAACTTCTCAGTGAACATGAATTGAAGAATTCAGACCATAGGCTTTCTAAATGTGTCAGAATAAGTGTGAAAATTAAAGGATCCAGGTATAAGGTGCAAAACAGGTTATGCTATTGACAATTACATGGTCAGAGCATCATGTTCCAGCTTGCAAATCAGTGTTTCAGTGTGCCATAAGATAGCAGGAAATAAAAATGTGATTCTATGATCTGGCATCCATCTGGAAGTTTTATCTGATAAAAAAATTAATTTCTGAGAGAATAATTAATATCCATTCTTTTCCACAAAGCTTGCTGTGCTAGCCAAGGTCTTCCCCATATATAAATACCTGAAATATCATGACTGAAATACAAAGACAATAAAATATAATAATATGATTGTTATGGGTAGCCAAATTTAAGTGTTTTGATTGAAACAAATTTAGGCACGTAGGGTAAATTATTTGGATAACCATTTTGCCAAGTGATAGAAATAAAAATTAATGGCCAAAGAGTAAATACTTCTGTTAAAAATGAAAATGAATCCTGAAATTTTAAAAATCCTGTATTTAAAGACAAATGGATTTCCTCATCCTAGGTATGAAGAGCAGAAAGGATGTGTTATTATGAACTCTCTAGATATTAGATATGAAGAAATGAAAATCTATTCAATACATATTGAGCAATTACTGTGTTCAAGACACTCTTCAAGGCAGTGGGCAGGTTTTTACCAGACGAGGAAACAGACAAAATCCCTGTTCTCAGGCAGGTTAACATTCTGCTGGTGGAAGACAGTACACACAAATGAAGAAATGCCTTGTATGATGTTCCTATTCTGTTGTTGTTGCTATTGTTGTTGTTGTTCTCCAAGTTTCAAGTTTCCACTTCTAAACCAAAGAGTTTGAGTCAAGTAAACAGTAAAAAAAGAAAATAATTCAACCTTTCTTTTTATATTTTACATCTTTTTCTCCAACAAGTTACCCAGTAATCATCTATAAAATTTTGATTCCATCTCTCTAAATATGAGTGCCTATTTAGGGATATGTTTTTCATTTGAACGGATCTATTTTACAATTACGTAAACTAACATGCATTGATAATCCATGAGCATGGCAGATCATGTTCCAGGCACTTCTGTAGGTAATAGGAATATACACCTCAAAAACTGTTGTGGAGTAAAGACAAATAATCAAAGAAAAATCATCTTTACTTCCTGAAAGCATCAACATACCTGTCCTGGGAAAACAGTAATAATGATAATTCCTAACTAATTTTAACAACTTCATTATTAATAACATATGCATTATGACCAATTCTTACAAAAACTTTACATGATATGCTATTTTTCCTATTTCATAGATGAGGAATTAGGTTGATTCAGGTTAAATATTTTCCAAGACTGCACAGGTGGTAAATAGCAAAATCGGGAATATTTCTTCAGCGTGCCTTATTCTAATACCTTCACTCCTTCTACCACCTTCTCTACCATACCTTACTGTCTCCAAGCATTTAAGTCCTTCTTTATATCTGCTCACATTCCAAGTAAATTGTAGAGATCGCTTTGTGTAGAGTGCTTTTATGGCACTGCCCCCACAAAATGTGAAAATGGAGACCCCAAAATGACTTGCCTCTTTGTGAAATGATGTGCCCTATTGTGTAGGAGTGTGCTTTACTCCTAAGAAACGAGATGCATGCAAATCATTTCCATGTTGTAGGCAGGCTTCTGAGCAATATGTAAATAAGCAAAAGAAAAAATATCCACATTAATAAACAGCCCCTCGGATATATGAAACCCATCTGCAACATTAGGTAAAGAGTTTGTATACTGTGTAGTCAGACGGGATGTCCATATTGCATTCCTCAGTGTCTGTAAGGGAAAACAGAATGATGGTTCAGGTAGGGCGGTGCCATATGGCTGAATCCATGAAAATATCACAGAGTTATTTTTTTTCAGCAACTGTGATCAGTCCATGTAAGCAAGGATCAAGTCTCTGCAAATAGAATTATGACACTCCAAGTTTCATCCTGTTTCCAAGGTCTCTTTCTCACACATCCTGCTGAGATTAACCTATAATATTTCTCTGCACGTGGATTGAGTTCTCCTAAAATAGGGGATGGCAACCAAAGGGAAATTGAAAGTAGAAGAGACACAAGCAACAGAAATGGCCCAAAGTGAGAATCACAGATTGACAATACAACATGTGCCAGTGAGTCCATGGCTGACATTATCAAGTAAGATGACTCAGAGGAAAAAAAAAAAAATCCACCAAAGGAACTGTTAACTCACACCAAACAGGAAATGACTGATTAAAGACAGAAAAGAAATGCAAAGCCAGGATCCAACTCCAGTCTGATATCTTTAGCTGTGCCCTGGTATGACCGAACAGTAACATGAAAAAGCACCTACACTTGCCTGATAGCTACTGCCACTCTCTTGGAGAAGTGGGATGATAGCAAGAAAATAACGGGCCTGCTGTCATTTATCTTTCTCTACAGTTTTTAAAAATTCCTTTCCTAATTTGATATTTAGGGTTCAGTTTTGTTATGATAACTAAAAAAATAAGAATTGAGGATGACAAGATACCAATAGAATTCATCAAATTTAGCTGTGAAGTTTTTCGGGGCTTCTGTTCACCTCGCCCTCGCTTATAATTCTCAAATTCTAGATGAAAGAGACTGCTTTTTTGCTGCCATTAGCATCTGCTTTGGGAAAAATGACTTTAAAGGCTTTAATAATATTTTTGCTAATTATATCACACAACCCAAGAAACTCAAATCAATTTTGGCTAGGTCCACATGCAAATTTCAACTTTGTCCCACAAGTGAATTTTACTTCTATTCAAAACATTAAGCATATTCACACTTAACAGCAGCACACAACTCCAGGTGTAAACTTTAAAATGTATTTTAATCAATATTCTTTTTGGAACCTCAAGCTAAGTCACCGCCTGCCGACTAAGACACAAAGAGAGAATGAATAGAGCTACAAACTCTGACGACCTCAGCCAGGGACAGCAAGCGGTTATGTACCAAAGTTCTCTTCAGAAGGCTTTCTTCAGAACAGTCCACTAAATTTCTCTCCCGATTCCCTCTGCTTTGCCTGTCATTCAAAACGCAAGCTTCACTAGCTTTTTATTCTCTACTGTGCTTTCACTTTCTTCATGCTTCGCTCTTCCTGCTCTCTGAATCATCTGCCAAATGAACTACCTCTATCTCCTTACCTGAAATCTGGCTCTCCCCTAAGAATAGCTCTTCTCATCCTTGTCTATGTCTTCTAGCTCTGCAGTTGGGGAAGAGAGATAGAGAGAATGATTAGTATTCCATTGTCCTGGTTTTCCTTTTCAGACCATTACCTTCTTAACTCCTCTCAAATCTGTTTTCCTTTCAGGCTTTTGCCCTCTGATATATGTTAACCCTCCTTGCTGTTGTAATGCTCATTATCTTAATTTCATTCTATTTAACTCCCAGCGGTTTCCCTCCATGTCTTTAGAACCTGGAAATGTGTCTTCCTCTTCACCCCAAGTTCAACCTTCATCCTAACCAGCTTCAATTTCCAAGCAAATCCCCAGCCTCACAGTGATTTGACTTTCTAAATTTATTGGTTTTGACTCCTTTACTTTAATCCTCCCCTACAAGGTTTTTCATCTCCTGAAAACTTTCAACCTTTAAACTATGAAAACCCATTATCCCCTTATCTGACCACAGCCTGCCGTGTATCTGTCCAGCTCATTCATTGTTTTATTCCCACTATGTTTAGACATCCTCAACCTCCCCGTCCTACCTCCCCTGGATGTTCTGCAAGTCTTCAACCCTTTGCTATTATCACTGGGCAGTGATGGAGAAAATGTAACATATTTGCCCATGTTTGCCTACTAGAAATTTATAGTCTGGAGTTTATCAACACTGCCTGACACTTCTTCCCATAGTTAGCTTCTTCTCTTCAGCTGCTTCTTCAAAGCTTGACTACTCTCCTCATTCTCTTCAGAATTACCTAGTGACATTACCTCTTTCCTCAGGAAGATCAGGCAAAACGGTCTATGAAGAAGAAATTGTTGGACTTCCTACTTTCCCTACAGTTGCTTGTTCCCTTTGATTGTTGCATAGAGATCCAAAGTTTCCATGTGTCCAGTGGGACGGGAAGATTTGCTGAGAGATAGAGCCAGCGGTCAGTTGAGGAATCCTAGGGCTGGGATGATGGGACACAGAGTTGGTTACTGTTCCAACCAGAAACCTGAGAACAACAAAGCTGCATCTCAGAAAAATCAGCTGGGCCAAACATCTAAGCAGCGTTCCATTCAAACTTCAGACATGTCATCACTGAAGAAACACTGTGTGCCATTAGTGCCAAAGGAGAGTCTTGATAAATCACATCTGGGGAAATTGCCAGTGCAGAACCAACTCAGAGCCAGATCAGACCCTGGTGACAGTTGCATAAGCACCCTGGAACTAAGAACTGGCCCCAGATAAGATACAGTAAGAGAGGCCCAGAACAGAAAATTTAAACCTCCACATGGTGGCATTTTTAAATAGCATTAACTAAGTTTAAAGTTACTTTATTGGACTGATTTAACCTAAAATTGACTATTAGATAAGATTTTCTGTTGTCAATTGGAAATGGGGGTTTACAATAGAGGTGCCGTTGTTGAATTATGAGAAAATAAAGTTATAACTTGTATGCATAAATATATGTCATGTTAATTAAAAAACTTATAGAACTACCTGTGTCCAAATGTGTAACACATATATCATTTAGCAAACAAATCTCACTTCTAAAAATATTTCCTGAGAAAAAGATAATCAACTATACAAAAAGAGATGTGTGTGTTAGGTTGTTCTTCACAGCATCATTTATAATAAGAAAAACATGAGGAAAAACAAGATATCTATGAAAGATGAGTTATTTATTGGACCATAATTCATATATGCAACAATATGCAAAGCAGTAATTAAAAATAATGATGTAGATCTATATATTTAAGTCCATAGAAAGATGTCACCACATAACACTGGTGGAAAACGGGGGTGAAATTACGATTCCTTCTCATGTATGAAGCAGTCCACAATATCCAATTGGTCCCAATCTAGGATTAATTCTTTGTTGTGGCCAAGATATATTTATCAGCATCCTTCCTAACAGTGTCACTGTGACCTTATCAGATAATCCCGCATTTCTTCACATTTACCAGCAGCAAGAATTCATCCTGCCAGAAATAGAGCAAGGGATGAAAAAACCACTTGGTCTGAAAGGACATTTTTCAACACCTAAGATGGCCCTACCTATAGTCACACAATCCAAGATCATGATTCTCACAGTCCATCCTTGACCGGTGATATCCCTGTGGGTTTTTTGGGGGTTGTTTTTTTTTTTTGACATGTTTCCTTTCCATTTTAAATACTCCACTTGGATGGTCTTACTCACAATATGTTTTAAGTAGACATACCCAGAAATAGACCCGAGATGAGAATTTGCGTTCCAGTGATTCATTAGAGAAGTTCTCCCCAAGGAGACTAGTAAGCGAATGCAGAAGCAGGACAAGCAATGGGAAAAAATTAAGCAAAGGTACAATTTTGGGTAAAGTCCTGGAGGGCAAATTACAACTCACACTTTGCCCCTGACAAGAGGCAAGAGAGCTGATCTCATACTCCTGTACTGGTTGGTCCTTGTCTAACGTCTGCTTCTAGGATTGGAATAACCAGATGCTTTCAGCTCTCTGAACCTGCAGATGAAGCAGCCACCATACCCAAGGGCAACCCCCCACACCAGTAGATACAAAACTATGAGGGAGTGGGGTGGAGGAGCTGGATAGAAAGCAAAGGGCAAAAGGGATCCCAAGGGATTTGTGTTAAAAATATCAATGCCCTCTATAATCCCCACAACTTCAACCAGCATGACAAATTCCAAACTTGTATCATTACCACAGACCTTGCCCTTGAACTCCAGACTCACACACCTAAATGCCTTTTGGACTTCCTCATCTACAGGCTCCCCAAACACACCCTGTCCAAAACTGAGCTCTCTTCCCTATCCTCGTGTACTTTTCTCAATGAATGTCCCCTTTGTACCCGCTATGGCCAATCCAGAAAACTCAATTCACCTTGCCAGACACCTAATCTTTTAATTCACCAAGTCCTTTTAATTTTGCCTATTTAATATGCCTTTATTCTATCCCTGACTCTTATACCTCAGTTCTGGAGTCATACCTCTTCACTGTCTCTTTGTCACAGTTTGTGCACCCCCATATTCATCTTCTATCATGCTACTCTAGATTAGCCCTCTCAAATTTACATTTTATCATAGCACTGCCCTGCTTAAAACTTTTCAATGGCTTCTCATTTTGCAGGTTACAAAACTAAGTACTTGGCATTTCGGTTTACATCATCCTGTCCTAACTCCCATCTACTTTTCTAATACAATCTTCTACCTTTAAAATTCTAAATTCAAAACACCATTAACTATTGGCAGCTCCGAAAGTTGTCTTGTTCACTTATGCTTGAGGCGATCCATGAGCACTTTGTTCCCACATTAGCTCTTCTGAAAGATTTCCTTGGCATTCCTTTCCGCTTAGGCTGATTAAATTCCTTTTTTAATCCCTGTAGTAGCCTGTGCACACCCTCATGGTACTATCTATTTACGTACAGATTATATCCAATTAGATCTTGAGGGAAACAAAATATCTTGTTCATCCTCTGCCTACCTAATATATTGCCTGATGCTATTTTCTAACTCTCATCATTGTGTCCTAATTCTGGCTCCTTATGCATGATCAGGCAGTATATTGCTATATTAGATACCAGTAGTACAAAGATAATAAGGCTGGTGCTGCTCTGCTTACAGTCTAATAGGGAGGATTTTCAGCTATGATATAATTCTAACACTGAACCAGGAGTACACACTAAGTGCCATGAGTTCCAAAAAGGGACATTTAGGCTAATTTACGGGTTTAGGGAAAGCTTGCTTTAGAAAATGACATCTAAGCAGAATTTCAAAGGACAGATAAAGGTTATCCAGGCAAAGAAATGTGATTCCTCCAGATGTTTCCATTTCTACTTTAAGTCAGCATTATTATCAATCAACTGTGTCTTGTCCTTAAATGTCACCAAAGAAACAACCAGCAAAGTTGGGACAGGGACAGTAAAATAATAAAATAATAGACCTGACTCACCAGATGTCAAGGTGATTTTGTCACTTCAGTTGCATTGTTTCTAGGTCTCAGTGAAGTTAAGCAACAGCAAGCAGGCTTAAGAATATATTTAATAGGCTCTTCTTAATATAAACATCTTCGGGAATGAACCTTATTCCCATCCATCCTAGATTTTTCTGGGATTAAGTGGATAGAAAGCAAACTTTATATAAGTGATTTTCCATTGCCTTTTGAAAGGCATCACCAGAGTTCAAAATGTTTGCAAGGTTTTTTAAAACATTATTGCAATGGGGTAAATTTTTATTATTATATATGGAAGCTAATCATTTCAGAGTAAACAACAGATGTTTGCACCCTTATTACTGTTTGGTACTGACATCAGTATTAAATGATAATATGAAAACATGTCACAGACGTGAATGATTAATTCAAATGTCAAGAATGGTGGAAAAGAAATGTTTAAAATAGAAAATTTCGGGGTCTTGCATGAGAATTAAACTATGAGCACCTTCTTCGGGCAATGTGCAATACTACTTTTCCACAGCATAACAATAATCTGGAAAATTCCCAGGCACATTTTTCTCCAAAAGTTGTTACTGAAGTATAGATGTCTAAGATATTCATTTAATTGAATAAGTAATGGCACCTGGCAAAGAATCCAGTTGTATCAAAAATAGTAAACTTATTAGATATTATGAATATAGTTAGATAAATAGATGGACAGATAGATGTTTTTATGCTATGTACCATATTTTCTGGACATTATTTGAGATGTTTCTAGAAACTGAAATTTCCATATTTAGGTATTAATCAATTTACCTTACAGTTACAAATGATATTGTTAATTTAAATTATCATCATCATTCAATGCTTTCAGAGACAGAACCTGATTATGGTAAGATATATGCGTATTGAAATGGGTTAGTTTTCACCAGGAAAGGTTACAACTAGTTTTTTTGTTTGTGTAATTACAAAACATTTGGTGTTTTTCACTAAATTAAATGTTCTATGTCTTTTCCCCATCACCAGCTAAAAACCATTAAGATAGATGAAATGGGGCAGCTTTACCACTAGAGCAGGAATTCTGTCCCCTCTGACTGGAACACAGGCTCTGTGAAAGTAGACATCTTGTCTTTCTCATTGATGTATCAGTGACTATGCTGAGGCTCACATAGGAAGATATATCATATACGTTTCTTGAACGAATTAGTGAATGAATAAATGAACGAATTACACTAATTAAATTCAGAAGTTTTAGATTTTCTTTAAAACAATATCATCTTGAGTACAGTTTTAAAATTGTCAAGAGATCAGAAGTAAGTTATATTTCATAAATGTTATGATTGCCTATAATAAAATTTGAAAAGAAGAATGGTGTTCATAAAGGGGTCTAAAAAGTAAGATGAGCTCACATTCGCTTTTGTTCTCCGGCCAATATTCTGTATTTCTAACAGCTGTCCATGATTCTGGTGTTGCTAGCCCAGGGACCATGCTCTGAGTAGCAATAACAGGTTCTCTATGTGTGAAAAACTGGCATTGGTTACAGCCTCCTGCTGACCACGAAAGAAAGCCAGGTAGGCAGCTGACTCCATCTTCTCTTCCACCACCATTCATTGTTGAGCCAGAGTTCTTTAAAGTAGCTATGTGAAGCCAGAATTATTTATTTCCTAAGACAATAGGGAATACGAGATGACTTAACTTTTCAGTGTAGAGAAATTGTTGCTGCTTGATGGAACAGTGTGACTCTTACCTAGAAAAATGAGGCCAACATCTAAGATGGCTTCTCCTGCGTGTGCCAGTTAATTTCCGTTTTTTTTTTTTCTACAGATTTTGGACTCTACCCTTAACCTAAAAATACATGCCCTTAGGCCATTAACGAAACCGCATGAAAGAAAGTGACTGAATAATTCCACTTCTATGTCTAACACACTTGTGAATAACATGGTCCCTAGAAAGAGCACAGGTTTGAATCTCAGTCTGAACTCTTACAAGCTGTGTGACCTTGGGTAATTACATAACTGTTGCACCTGTATGTCACCTATGAATAAGCGATATAGGTACAGTTCCCACTTAAAAAGATGGTTGTGAGAAGAGTTGGTGATCAGTGCACGAGACCTATTTGTGGTAGATCAGAATATAATATGATAATCATCACTCAACCATGAAGGGCCTCGTAGAGGGAGGGGAAAACCTTCCTCCCTCCCCACCTCTCCCATTGGCTAGTGTAGAATCATGAGGCTGAATCTGAGACTATTAAAACTAAAATAAGGACACCTATCACTTGTAGGAAATGAGGGAAAAGAACTAAAATATATTATTTCCCTACTGTATGGCATGCACTTACCATATGTCTCGTAATGTAATCTTTACAATAAATCTAAACAAATCAGTATTATTTTCCTAATTTCACACACAAGAATATGAGGCTTTGAGACGTCCAGGAACTTGCCAGGTTTGCAGTGCTGGTAAGTGGTGAAGCTGGGGCTCAAACCCAAGTCTGAGTCCACAGTTCACATTGCGTCAGTGGTGCCCTGGAGTAGCTCAGAGTCAGGGACCTCTTTTATAGGGCCCTGCCTACCCACCCACTGTCTCAGCTACTGGACTAAGACACTCCTGGCAACGATGTGAACAGAACAAATCCCCATCACCTCTCTACGGCACAGCTCCAAAAAAAGTTTGAGTAACAAGAGCTTCTTGAGATGAGATAATAATTACCTAACCCAGTGCTTCTCTAAAGGTAACGTGCCCACCTATCACTTGGGAGGGCTTGTAAAAGGGCAGATTCTAGTTCAGGAGAGCTGGAATGGCACACAACATTCTGTTTTTTGTTTTTGTTTTTTGTTTTTCTTGAGACGGAGTCTCGCTCTGTCGCCCAGGCAGGAGTGCAGTGGCGCGATCTCGGCTCACTGCAAGCTCCGCCTCCCGGGTTCAAGCCATTCTCCTGCCTCAGTCTCCCTAGTAGCTGGGACTACAGGCACCCACCACCACGCCCAGCTAATTTTTTGTATTTTTAGTAGAGACAGGGTTTCACCATGCTAGCCAGGATGGTCTCGATCTCCTAACCTCATGATCCGCCCTCCTCGGCCTCCCAAAGTGCTGGGATTACAGGCGTGAGCCACTGCGCCCGGCCAATCGTCTGTATTTCTAACAGCTGTCCATGATTCTGGTGTTGCTAGCCCGGGGACCATGCTCTGAGTAGAAATAACAGGTTCTCTATGTGTGAAAAACAGAAATCAGTTTTATTCAGTGCATGTTTGTAGTGGCATGCAGTGGTTTGATCTAATGATGTGTTTTGTTTTGTTTTTTTGTTTTTGTTTTTGTTTAAGTAGCAGGGATCCACATCCTTCTCATATAAGTTTACATTTCTAAAACAACAGATTTATTTAATTGGTGCAACAGGGTCACTCACCAGTAGGAAATGAAACGAAAGAGCTTATAAAAATATGAGTAAGATGAAAAGGTAAATTAGGATTTATTAAGATATAAATATGGGCACCTAAATACTTTAGTCCCTTCAAAAGAAAATTCATTGGTCTTATTAATATCACTCTTTCAACTACAGTATCTGACTCAGACATTCTCTTATAGAAAGCCATACTGTGGAGTGAGGAATAGGAAGTTATATGTAGGTTTTAAAAAATAAAACCTTCCTCTCTAGTCCCCAAACAGCTACATAATAAAACAGTCTAGGCTACTTGAAAAAATGTGCATGTGGAAGGGGGAAAAAAAGGCACAAAATAAATAAAATTAGAATAGGGAAAGAAAGAGAAAATAAGTACACAGAACAAATGAGATTTTCAACTCAGTAGCAAAACTAAAAGATTTATCTGACAGCTTTTAAGGGCATATTTACTCCCCACTCCTCTTGTTTCCTAAGAAGAGAAGAGAAGTATCCTCTTACTTTATTTATTTGTTGATTGATTTATTTATTCTTATTTCTTAGAAGGACAAACGTCCAAGAGGACCCATATCGCCTTCATTCTCGGGTCCCAGTGGAGGGAGAGCAACTTCTGTACAGGTGCTTTTAGGAGGAAGACAGTTCTGCATTTTTCTCCTTCAGATCTGTCTGCCAATGGGGAGAATAAGTCTAGGTTCACTCTCCTATAGTCAAGAGGCTCCAGCCCTGCTAGGGGTGTTTGCAGGTATGGGACTTTGCCTGTGGCTATGTGGGAGGTTTGTTTATAGAGTTATGTTTTTAGTGGTTTACCTGTTAGTCAAGTCCTATTTTCCACCATTTACCGGTAATACAGCTGACATTTTGAGTTTCATTCTGCTTCCTCTACTACATATCTTTTAATTGATCCTAAACTTAGGAGGAAAAAAAGGGTGTTATTTATTGGCTTTCTCTAAGTCCCTGAGCACAGCCAACTGGGATGGGAAAGCTTGGTAAAGACGGATTCAATATGATTTGGAAGAAGAGGCAGCAATTGCTGGCATATTTGGAACATGTAAAATAAATCCTGCTTTTACTATTGAATGACTCATTAGATTGGTTAATTAGTTGATTTTTTTTTTCCCCAAAAAGCTTTGTGTGCTTTTAAGAGGAATTTTCTAATCCTTTTAGCAACTTTGCTTTGGAGAATACAGAAGTGTTGTAGAAAAAAATGCTAAAATTAAAGTTTTGATTTCTGGTAGTACAGCTGACCTATCCCATGGTCTCTGGCAAAAGCTATGTAAACAGCGAAAAGCAAAATATATTGTTGATTGTGTTAACATCCTTCTGACTCAATTTTATAATCTGCATGTATATAGACTCTTGAGATTCTTGGAAGAGAGAAGCTTAAAGAGTTCTATATATCCTATTCCAAATGCATTAGTTTTGGGACTATAAATTATAGCTATTAAATTTCTTACCACTTTTCTTTTGATAGGAAATACCCTTCCGTTGCATGTATTCTATTCATAACATATTCTGATATTCATCTGCTCTTCTTTCCATTAAAATTTTATTCAAATTACATGGCTACATCATTATTTACATCCTGGTATTTAAACATCTTTCCTGGTGAATATTTTCCCTTTTTATTGTTTAAACAAGGTAACAAGCAGATGAATTTAAATTCAAGCTGAAGATGACTTTTATAGACATGTTTTTATTCTACGGAATGCCATATGCAACTCAAGCCAAATATAACCCTCAAAATGTAAAATTCGAAATATAGGTGGGGAAAATGTTTATTCTCAACTAAGATTTTTTTCACCTTTGTACAAAGTCAAGTATCGTATTTTTGACATTTTCTGCATGGAAAATAAGAGATGAATTTCACATTTTAAATTATGATTCTCCCTTCCTATCCCAGCAGCTACTTTCATGATCATTTCTGCAAAGCACACCAAGCTTGAAGGACAATCTTTAAAATGGCAGTTTATTTGCTGATTTCAGTTTCAGAATTAAGATAAAATTGTGAAAACAAATACCTGAAATCTGCAAGTTGAAACTTGCCCATTGACAAATAACATGCATGTCTCCATTGTCAACAATGTGTTTAAAAGAGAAAGGCTTAATGATTTCTCATTTTAGCAACCCAGATGTTTGTTGTCAGCTCATCCTACTATTATTAATAGGAATCTAACTGATACTAATTCTTCAACAACTAGGTTAGCACTTTCTCACTGATTAACTTCTTCTCTATGGTTGCCACATTTAACTGTTTTTTATAATCCCTCCAGTTAAATTCTACATGAACTTCTCATCTGTAAGGACAAGCTGTAATGATAGCAACTTTGTTTAGAAATACATTTTACCAAGCCTAAATGCTATTGAAGTCTCATCAGCTAGCAAAGGACAAACCACACTTCATT
Source organism: Homo sapiens (assembly GCF_000001405.40). NCBI lineage: Eukaryota > Metazoa > Chordata > Mammalia > Primates > Hominidae > Homo > Homo sapiens. The sequence goes on from NC_000014.9 coordinate 29,453,573, forward strand.
TTTTTAGATAGCTCACATTGTTTTCCATAATGCAATGACTAGAGCTTGGGATGTTTAAATGGTACTTCACAGTGCAGACGTGGTCTAAATTTCTTCGTGATTATACATATGCTATTCTATAGTGTGCACTAATCTCTCCTGCCTTGGATGTTTTAACAAAATGGCTGAAATTTTCAGCCATTATGGATGAGTTATTCAGCAAATCTGTTAAAGCAATTCCACTTGACAAGCCTATAGTACTACTTTAAGTGATTGAATCTCTTTGATTCCACAATGGCAAGGTCCTTATTATTCTTGCAGGAATTTTACAAGTTCTAAGAATATTTCCAAAATGCCACTGGCCACATTGCCAAAGAGAGACAGGCAATTCACTCAGAGCTATACTAATTTGATTTAGTGAATCTAGTTAAAGCAATGATTTCTTTTAGGAGGAAAAAAAAGCTATATTTTGTACTTTATATTCAAATGCATTGACCTTTTTTTAGATTTGGTGTCTTAAAGTTCTATCCCATAACATGGCTTTCTTCTCTTGCTTAAATTTATTTTCTAGTAAATGAATAGAAGCCACAAAATTGATGAAGTCATGAAACTTACTTATCTGAAACACTGAACTGTATACATCCCTTAAAGGCAAAGGGATGTTTTTTGCCCCGAGGGTATTAGTCATGGTCCATAGTTCGTGGGAAAAACTAAGGAAGTCTCAAAATTGTGTTCCTATTATTTCCATTTCTCTAAGACTTTGTTTGAATTCCAAAGTGAATTTTCTATTATCCCATTGTACATTGCATAGGAGGGTACCAACCAACAGCCTTTGGGGAGCAACACCTGCAGTTACATTCAAAGGCATGACTTTTCCAAGCAGTTTGTGAGCTGGCCGGCATTGTCCCCAAAAGGATAAAGGCCTAGGTTCTTTACCTGACTGGCAGAAGCATTCCAGCACCACGAAAGGACTCTAAACATTGTTTTGTAAGTAATGAGTCCTGCTGGTTTCATCCTGCAAGACATTGAAATCCCACAGGGAAAATGTGGTTAGAAATAAAACAGAGGGCTGGGGCCTTTAATGAGTTTCCTATCCACAGATGCCATCAAGCTTTGATACTATTCATTTTATTTCTACAGCTTCAACAAAGATTCCCAGAGTCGTGGGCCATACTCTTAACACTGAAGTGCATAGAACTTGGCAGAAATCTACACTTCAGAGATAATAACATATCATTCCATGAAATAAAGGAAAAGGCATAATCAAAAAAAGAAGTTAAATATGGAAACCTGTTTTGACAACAAATGAATGCAGTTGAAGCCAGACAGGAAAGGTGCTATGTATGCATTTTTTTACATGTTTCACATAAATTATGATATTGCAAGACCCTATCAGGTTTTTTTTTCTTATTTTCATGTCCTTTCAGTCAGATGTATTATTTATATTGCTCTCCATCTTACATTAAAGGAAAATTTCAAAGACTGCTGCTTTAAAATAACAGAACAACACTTGTAAAATCTGTCAACATTATATATGGCTCATTCACCAGTTGCATTTCATTCATTATTATAGTTGGGAATTTCTCAAGGCCACTTGGATGTCCAATGAAATAAATTTAGAATTTCTGAATGTTGAGAAAAGGAAAAGAGAAAACAGTGTTGGTACTTAGTAGACGGATTATGGACATCACCAGCAGAAACATATATTCAACAATCATATTTAGTTAATAAATATATTTACTGAGTTATAAAAAGTTTCCTTAAAATGTACACTAGGTGAAATATCAAGTTTCATCAAATGATTAATTAAATGTTATATAAGGAACATGTCCTGAATTTGTGGTTACTAAAATAAAAATAAAACATGTTTTTCCAATCTTATAAAGCTAGCCCTGACTTTATTTTTTACTTACAAAATATTTTGATTTATACTTAATAGGAGATTTAGAAAAGAGCCAGCCAAGAATTGTGGAAAAATTATACTATGAAAATTTATCTTTCCAGAGATATATTTACTTTAAAAAATATTTATGTTGCATTTTGATACTTTAATATTGACCCTTGACTCAGTTTTTCAAATTGACTTGTGGTAAACTAAAAGTTTCTGAATGTCTTGGATTCTACAATCCTACCTAGAAAATAATTGCTTAGCTAAATTGAAGATAAATCTAATAAATAAGCTTGTTAATTATTATTACTTTAAAAATAATGCTGAGACAAGCTAGTAGAAATTATCAAAATATTTTTGCCATTTCAAACTTTTCTCTTACAATGGAAATGAAAAAGGAGGTCATAATTCAGGAGCCCTATAGAAACTTTTTTAAAAGTAGATATGTAAGAGATGTAAGTTGAGGGACATGCAGGAATAGATTATTGAAGTAATTCAAGCATATTAATTAAAAATAAAAGAAAACCTTTTCAGAAACAATTACTGAAGAACTTCATAACATCTATATCCCCAACCTGAACCATGTGTTTCAAATTCTTTAATCAATAACAGTATATTTTTCATTGTCTGATTTTTGTAACAAACAGGCCAATATGTTGGAAAAATTTGTTTTACATTCCTACAAAAGCCCAAAGTTATGGCTGTCTCTTCCTGTATTGCCACCATCACCTAACACATGTCTTTTCTTCATTCTGTGGGTCATAATAACAGCTTTCACTCTTTGAGCACCTACTATGTGCCAGACTGTTTCACACGCATTTCCAATACAATAACTTTCTGCAAAACAGAGTACTAGTCTCATTTTATGAACAAAACGTAGAAAGTTTATGTGAGGAAAATTTCACATGGTCACACCACCTGAAAGAAGTTGACCCAGGATATAAACCAAGTCTTTTTCACTCAAAAGCCCATGATCCTCATAGAAAACATTCTATATTATGCATTTTATTCTTTTTCCGTCTTTGGTTTATCTTGTGTTTATATCTCTATTCTATTAACTATATTTTTCTGATGATTTGACTGGCAAACTTAGTCAAAATGATCAAGTGAGTTAGTACCTGCTGATCCAACCTTGAATAAATTAGGGAATGCATCAATTGAAAAGACTAGTTTTCCTTAAGTAAATTTTCTGAACCTGGCAGAAATAATTTTAAATATAGTTCAATAATTTTAAATTAGTTGAACTATATTTAACACATAATATTGCTTGAACCAACTTCAATACCAAAAATCAGCATGGTGTATCAAACATGAAAACTGGAAAGAATTATAAAACAGGATTGCTACGATGCTGGCAACAATGGAAAATCATTAAAAGAAAAATATGAGCAAAGATTAAAATGAAGTAACTTGAATAAATGTTTTTAAAATCCTATAAAAAAGAGATAATATAAATACATTTATGGTTAAGAAATAGGAAAATTTTATACAGTATACCTGTATATTATTTATCTTAATATTTGTCTTTTATCAAAATCTTAAATGAAGCATTCATTGCATTCATTGCAAAAACAATAGACAAAGGTTTTAAAGCATATGACAGATTTGATGCCATAAAGAGTTTTCCCATGGTTGCTCTATGGATTTTGACAGCAAAATAGTGGTTTGGGGCCTCATTTATTATTTGAATATTTATTTGGATTTCCAGACAGCTTAATTTATTCTCTCAGAAAAAAAAGTATCAATTTACCATTAAGTTTGCATTATTTTAGTCTACATCTTGTATTATTTACCTTACCATGAATTTTAAATGATGATATCTTGACTTTTCAATTTCACATGATTTGGAATGTGTTAATTTAGTCAGTTAACCCATTAGAGTTTTGTTCAGGTTTTTGTTCTTGTTTCTGTTTTTCAGAACAGAAAAGACTTATAGTACTCCTGATTTTAGCAGGTAACTGAACTAACCTAAACTAATTCACAGGTTTAAAAATTAACATGTGAAAAAAGTTACTTATTCCTCAAAGTTCAATCAACAAAGATGTTACAAAAGTAACATCACACACAGAACATATCTGAGGAAAATATAACATCTTATATTGGTTTTCAATTGACATTCAAGTACATAGTTCAAATTCTTGATTAAGAAATATTAAAGTGAGGCTTCATATTTTTGGATGTATATGTATGTAAAGGATTGAAGCTGATTTTAACACTTAGATAAGTTTAATTTAGGGAAAAACACTAGAGACTTGGATCTCACAAAGTGATTTAAAGAAAAACAATCATGATTCACATTTTAATTATTACAGGAATTGGAGTCATTTCACAAACAGTTAACATTAAAGTTATGTACATTGTTATTGTTTATCATTAACGTTCACTTCATTTAAAAAATCATTTTATTGGCCGGGTGCGGTGGCTCATGCCTGTAATCCCAGCACTTTGGGAGGCCGAAGTGGGTGGATCACTTGAGGTCAGGAGTTCAAGACAAGCCTGGCCAACATAGTGAAACCCCGTCTCTACCAAAAATACAAAAATTAGCCAGGCGTGGTGGCAGGCGCCTGTACTCCCAGCTACTTGGGAGGCTGAGGCAGGAGAATCGCTTAAACTCGGGAGGGGGAGGTTGCAGTGAGCCAAGATCACGCCATTGCACTCCATCCTGGGTTGACAAGAGTGAAACACTGTCTCAAAAAATATATATATTTTATTTATCACAAAATAAGAGATGAACTTTTTAGATCACTTCTGAATTGGTATTTGTTTCCACAAGCATATTTTTAAATGTACAGAATATTGGGAAACTGAAGGAGATTATGTAGGAAATCTGTAAATGATGAAGAGTGTTTTAGCAACACCCTGCTATGTACCAAAATTACATATTTCTGTTAAATAGCAACATTCTATATTACAAATAGATTCTAAAAATCAAATGTCTCAAGTGAAAGTCTCTTAAACATTTCTAGTTACAATTAATGGGAAAAGCAACACCCACTTCTATGCATAATCTATTCCTGCTATTTTGTTTAAGTTAAATAAATAGCAAATGATTTCAGAAGTAAATAACCATTTTTAATGCCTAAATTATTTGGTAAAGCGAACAAGTTTAAGTGCTAACTAGTATTTTGCATACATACCATAAGATACAAAATAGCACGTGCTTTCTATTTATATTGGTTACCAATCTTGATATTCAAGGGAAGAGTGTATAAAGTTAACAAGCAATTATTATTTGCCAAATTAGTACTCAACAACCCTGAGTAAATAGGAAGTTTGAAACCTATCTGTTATACAGCTACTTTAATTTGCATAGCACACTGGTGTGTTTGCTTTGCAAATACTTTGCAATGAATCATCATTTGTACTATACAGTCCAAAGAAAAGCAATCAAAATTCACAGCAAGACAATGAAATTAATTATAACTGTTGAATTCTGTGGTGGTAATTCCTCCTCATGCAGGAAGATTAATTGCATTGCACTTTCCTTGCACTCCACTAAATGATCTGATGAATGTATAATCATTTACAGATTTCTCAAATGCTGAAAATTGATTACCTTTGATTAGCTCTGATCTGCACAAAGAGCTCTGACAGAGTATCAGTGAAACATTACAACATTACAGACAAAGTAACAAATGATTTAATTACCAGTGTGCTTATTAATGTTAGATTCCCTGCAGTGATCCTGGCAAATCAGGGGCCTGTAATAGACCTGTGGGTTTCACTGAATTCCATTAGGGTTTAAATAATATTTCTCACTATTTCTCAAATCCTTCTTTTCATGGCTCCTTAATAACTCTAATTAATTTTAATTTGCACAAAAAAATCCACAGCATCTTTAGAAACTTTTAATTAGCTATAAAATAAAACTCTTCTCCTCCCAAGAAGACATATATGATCAACTTTGGAGTAGCCTCACAAATAAGTTTTCATTAATAGTAGTTAGCTCTCTGTAATATTATTAAATTAAAATCTAAAACCAATGTGGAATTGCACATGTGGTCCAACTCTTCTCTTCTAGCGGCAAACAAAATGCGATTTGTTAAACAAGAACCAAGTTAAAGAACAATATGGTAAAACGTTTAGATAGTAGTGTAGGAAGCATCGTCATAATACTCTTTCTTTTATTTTTAGTGCATACGTATACTTGCAACCATTTTGTTAACTGTAGCATAGAAAACACACTGATTAAGGAGCTTCAGAGTATGTTGAAAGAGGATTTAAAAATGCAATAGCAAGAGAACACTGGCCCAGTTAGACACAGAATGTGATGAATAATGTTGGCACAAACAAGTCAAGCTTATCTAGACTTGTACTCGGGAACATTCAGATCACTTTGGATTGGCAGCTTTTAGGGCTTTCCCCAATTTGATGCCATTATATATGACATTAAATTATTGTGAAGCAACGACAATGAAAACCCAGATGATCAGAGGAGTCAAACAGAGCGGCTTAAATTAAAATATGTGTCTGCAAGTGTTTCAAGGCAAAGAAAAATTAGAGGGTAGGCAATTAAAAGGTTGTTTAGCACAGAAATGCTGATATACAGACAACTTTACAATAATATTTTTTCACAGTGGCTTTGCAGTTCTGCAGAAACAAGGCAGTGCTGCAGGTGTTTCTGGGTGGCATTTCAAAAACCACTAGCTATAAAACTTAAGACATGGGGATATGCAGCCCCTGATGCTGATGAATACATTTATTATGTTCAGTGCTGTCAGCAGCTGAAAAGCTATCCATCACATTGAAACAGCACAGAGTCAGGAGTCTCTTTTTGTGGAGAAATATTGAAGTCAGATTGTTGATGTCAAAAGTCAAAGTATAGTTCAGCTCTCTGTTTTATGAATCTGACTGAGACACATTGTGCCTGTGCGCAAACTGATATCTACCAGAGCTCATTTTAGCAAATGTGTGATTTAGAAGTCAAAAAAACATTCGTACAACCAAACTCATAGCAGGCAGAGGCTGTGGCGTGCATACATAGTTTTTACATTTTAATATGACACCGTGTGGTAGTGTTTATCATCTGAAATCTAAGCCATATCAACTTTCTAGCTATGATATTTAAGATCTGTGTACTTTCAAAAAAGTATTCACACAATAAAAGAATACATTAAAATATCGCCTCAATAGCAATGATATTGGCCTTGTTGGGCTTGGTTTTGCTTTTTTCTTCTGAATATCAAACCACAAAGAAATGGTGAATTCACTGTATTCGCAATTAAAAAAATAGACACTATTTAGGGCCAAAATTATATCAGAATTTAATGGCCACTGGGTTGCAGACACTACTTGAAGCCCCTTTTGTACACATCCACCTCATTACACTTCTGGACTTTTATTATGATATAACTTATAACGTCTGAACATAGATTTTATACATAGTCCTACGTTCCAGACATCCCCAATAGCCAAATGTTGCTGAATTCTTAGAAAACAAGAGTTAAATAGAATAAAAGAGCAAATTTTCTATCCTCAGCCCCCTCTTTTTTGTTTTGCTCCTCAGTTCACCTTATTTCGAAAGATATCCATCTTTTTCTTTCCACTGGAATTTTTTAAATTATTTTACAAAAAAAAAAGTGAATGAAATGAAAATGGTTTCGGTGGTACATATTCATTCCTATTTAACAGAATCTTTAAACTAACTTAGTAATAGATGACACAGCTTGGAAACTATTGTTTTATTTGATCAAATCTTGGGGATCAAAGTGTAGGTTTTGAGTGTATTTCTTTAAGCGAGGGCTTTGTGCCTCCGAGGTAGCATATGCTCAGAATGCTATTACACTTGCCAGCCTTCCTGCAAATTTGTGGTGTTTAACAAAAAACAAGCACATTTTTCAATTCAAGTCAGGAAGACGCTTTTATTTTTGCTGATTTCGCCTTCTTTTCTCTTTTCTAGCACAACCCTCAGGGCGCGTGATGTAATGGTCAGCACTTGCACATGGGAGCCAGAAAGCCTTTAATGAACTGCAAACTTTGTTCAATAAAAATGATTGTGTTCCAGCTTTTTTCTCCTTCCAAAGAAGAGAAAACATACAAATATCATGTAGAAAGCTTTAGGAATCGTAAAGACCTCAGTAGGTCTTAAAAGCATTATTTATTTTTAAAAGCAAGGAAAAAGAAGCAACACACACACACAAAAACAATAGCAGAGATTATTTTTATCCTAACTTGGTTCAATGACACCAGATGCAGAACAGGGCTCTATGGCCTGAAGGGTCACGAGTTTGAGTCAAAACTCAGCTTCAAGTTAATTGGCTGGTGTTTGGGGCTACACAAATTGAAGAGAGACATATTTGTTTCTGATGGGGAGAGGCAGGATCACTGTTCTTGAGTCTCTGCACCCCCTTGCTAGCTTGTCAGGAACTCTCTCTGGTGAATAAATATCTTCAAAGTTGATACCTCTAATCTTTCCTGATAATAAATAAATAAATAACAAGTGTAATCATGATGGATTCTGTTAAAGATTAAAAAGAACAAAACAAAACCAAAACGAGAGTGGAACTTTATTCCTTCCAGGTGCATATTCAAAAGCAATGTTCGTTAACTCTTGGTTTTGCCTATATTATCAAGCAAAAGTGCTGACATCCATATGCATTTAAATAAAAGTTGATATCATATCCTAATTTTTAATATTTTGGAATGGAATGTGCAATGTTAAACACTATAGTTACATGGCCAGACTTTTTTGCATCCTTTTTAATGATTTCTTTAAAAATCAATGGGAAACTTCCTTGGAATACTAGGCAGGATTATTTCCTTTTAAACTCTCTCCAGGTAGATATGTCAGGAATCATTTGAAATACTTATATGTCTGCTGGGGGAAAAAAATCGGCAAAAGAGAAAGAACCACCATATGGAATTCACTAAACAGTAAACCTCTTGTCCACCGAAATTACACCAGTCCCCACATATTAGGAAGACATTGCAGAGGCTGTGCTGTGTGCCTTCCAGGCAGAGCTCCATAGCCAGCAATTAGTCTATATAGTCAGAGGCCAAAAAACCTTATTGTCTTACTTGCTGTATAATTATCTGTTATGATGAACTGTGATTCTAAGGACTATTGTCTTTAAGCTTGGATCTGTGTGTAGAGTGGTTGTCTGGCTGAGACCCAAGAATGGACCTTCCTTTTAGTATCTCTGCCTGAGTGATTTCTCTGGTCTCTTCCTGGCTGGATAAAACAGAGACTGTTTCTGCATGATTTCTTGGGTTGATGAGAAGCAATTATGCTTTAAATGAAGTCATTCATGTCTGCCATTTTGTTTGCATATTTTCCAGTGTTCACCTGTTATTAAACCTGTCTTTAAACTGTAAGCTAGTTCCAAGTAGACTTTTGTGTCCAACACAGTTCGGTAATCAGAGGAAAACAAAATAGATAAAATGTTTTCTGCACAAATCACTCAAGCAAGAAATCTAATAAAGTGATTAAAATCTAAAATAGCATTTAAGAATTTCCTGGGAATTTTTATTTCTTTGAATTTCCCTCCCATTCCCTGTAAGAGGGCAATTGTCTCAGCAGTCAGTGTGAAAGTTACGCAACTTTGTCATCTGGTGGGAGAGAAGGAAAAGGCAGAGGAAGGAGGGAGTATTAATAAATCTTATTCCTATTGTCAGAATAGTTATTGTTGTTCATTATAACATGAAAATGACATATTGGCATATTCAATAAAAGGATTATTTGAACTACTTATCAAAAATTGATTATATCTCATAGGTCAATTTACTTAAAATATGAATTCAATAAAGATCATATAATGTAACCAGACATAATTATTAATTAAAGGTGTATTCTAATGAACTTACGACTACTAAAAAAAGAATATTTTTACATCAAGTCTTGTAAAACAGAAACATTCCACTTCACATCTTCTGGTCTTCAAACATCTGAAAAGCAAATGCCTAAACTAGCTTATCACACATTATTAGGTGAACTATAGCTTATAGCTACGAAAGTCACAAAACAAAGCATGAGAATATTATCAATTTATCTAAACAGATCTATGTTTTATTAAATGAAATTTTATTTAATAACTTTTTACTTTTTGCCTTTTGAAAGATTTTACATTTAGTGAGCTATTTATTAGCCATTCCTTCCTAAGAGGTATATTTTACAGATACAATTAGCTTTAAAAATAAGCCATAGTGGTTGAGCCAGAATGATTTACTGGATATTTTTAATAGTAAACACAAAATGGAATATTGTTAACCAAGTTGGAAATATATCGGACCCTATGATTACTTAAATTATTTCATGTAATTCTCCTTTTGGAAAAGAATCATTTTAAAATGGATATAAATAAAAAGTAATTGAACTTTAAAACAATTTCATTTTGCTCAACTTTTTTAAATTCCCAACTAACCACGTGAGTTTGATTTTTGAGTTTCAATGAAATAAGAGAAGGGTTACTGATCGTTTAAAAGTACTTCATTTATCACCACTGAACAGAAAGCATTTCCCCCCCTGAAGAGGTTTGTACTAAGGTGACCTCTGCTGTTTAAAAATAAGGTTTGCAAAAGGCAGTCCCTCTCGTAAGATATCCAATAATCCTAAATTACAAGGATAAAAGTGGATACTGCTGTGCTTAAAAGTATTTACTAAATTCATTACTGTTTCGATTATATACATGATTTTTAAGCATTTTTTCCTCATAGCTGGGAAATTTCCTCTGTCATTTTTACCTCCTTGCATTTTGCGTACAAATTCTGACTGACTGGGATCCCTGCCATTGCATTTTCTTCTCACTAAAGGGTTTTATCTGCTCCTGGTGGGGCAAAGTCATGACCCAGAAAAAAATTGATTCATGAATTCTCAGGGTGCAAGTAAAGAAGAGAGGAAATATGCCTTGGCTGAGCTCCGACTAGTGACAATTTAAAACCTGTAATTAGTCTGAATTCAAGCTGCAAAAGGAATCTGAATTAAAAATTCATTAATTCAAACTGATATATTAACTTGAACATACTAGATCCCTCATTATAAAGAGTCATTTTACAAGCTGTTGTGTTAACTGCTGGAACCTAAATTTTACTAATTTTAAAATTATTTAAAGGTGTTAGAAAGACCACCAGACTATATTGCATTGTGCCTTCTCTCTACCTTGAGAAACTCAAACTTTATTGGATTTGCTTGGTGTTAACACCTTAGCCCTAGGTTTCATTTCCATCTCCGTCCTAAATTTTGTGTTTGTAAATCTCCACTGTCCTGTGGAGCACACATTCTCTTACGAGTCCCCCGCTGATGTTTCCAAGACCCCAAGTCCCCTTTAGCTAACTCCCTGACATTTTCATGAACTACACTGCTGAAATGTTATACAGTAATTAAGGTTGATACTGGGGCACATTCAGTCTCCAGTACAAATTAAGATGGAAAAGATTATCATAATATTTTGCTAATCTGTTTGGTAGTTTAGAGTTGTTCCCTGTGGGGGACAAACAAAAAAGAAAGGTATTTCAGGGTTAGGCTTCAGAAGAAAGATCAACCAGGTAGTAATGATTGTTTTAAAATCACACGTATTTTAAACTTTTCTTCTGAAAATCTTTATGTGTTGACATATTGTTACTTAAGTTATAACTCCCTTGGGACCAGTGTGCAAGCTTGTCAAGCGAGTTAGTAGGCACTGTCAATGGATGGGCTCTTGAATTCAGACTAAAATTCTGTTATCATTGTGTGGAGTTCAAATCCAGGTACCACCAGCAGCTGGAGGCTCTCCAACTGTCAGTAGTGTCTGAAAAACACTAAGAGACTAAATAATTTAGATTACACTATACTGACCTGTATAATTGTTTAAATGAGTAATGCAGTCACCAACTGAAAGAGGTCAACCATCTGTAGAGGAAACACAGAATTTGGTTTCATTTCCAAACAAACTTTTGAAGAGCAAATTGTTTTTTCTGTGGGAGGTAGGGGAAAGTCTGAAGACAGATTAATGGCTTTTCCCGCTAAATAAAGGTTAAGGCTTCTGTCATTTCTAGAACGCAACTTCAATAGAAAAGAAGCAATAGGGCAGCTGGTCTCAACTGCCACATAATCAACATGCACAGGCACTGTTTTGAGTGGATTAAAAGGTAGGTGGCTTTGAAAATACAGTATTATTTCATTACATGTCATCATCATTCACTACATATATGTGTGAGTACATGTGTATATAAAAAGAAAAAACTTGGGTAAGACTAAATCCTTAAGTTAGAATAATCACATTTTTGCAGATAATGGCAAGTGGTTTGTTTTAAATGCCACCCTACCTAAATCTTTATCTCTAAAATATGGAGTTACTATAAGTCAGATTTTTGAGATGCATACATTTAGGTACCCAGTTTACTTTGAGGAAAAAAGTGCTTATTTTAACTAGATTAACACATACTGATCAAACTCTTAGTGTTCAGGCAGCTCACATTGAATTAAAGGCTGCCATAATTAAGTGCTCCTACCAACTTATTCTCCAGAACCATTACCTTCCAACGGGTTACTTGCCAGGCAAAGTGGTTTAATTATTGGATTTCTCCTGAGATCTCCTGTTCTCCTGCCACGGTACCATAACAGGCTTCTCTGATCTCTTTATGGTAAAACAAATTATAAAAGAAGAAAATGACAGAGAAGAAAGAGACTAAATTCTGTGTGCCTATGAGCTAACTATGAATTTAATGCAATGAATTAAAATATATCTATATTTTATATACATAAATATATATAAAATATATATAACAGAAATATATATACATAATATATAAATTTATATACAAAAATATATAAATATATTTAAAAATATAAAATAGATATATAAAATATATAAATATATAATATATAAAAATATATAATATATAATATATAAATATATAATATATAAAAATATATAATATATAATATATAAATATATAATATATAAAAATATATAAATATATAATATATAATATATAAAAATATATAAATATATATAAATAATATATCAATTTATATATAAATACATATAAAATATAAATATATATGTATCTTTGCTATTTGAGTTTATTTCCTACACATACACACATGTGCACACATACACGTTTCATCACAAATTGCTTGAGGTCACATGCAGATAATGTTTAGTAAATTCTTTTCTCAAATGTTTTTGAACACTTTGTCTATCCATCTAGCAAGAATGTTCTTCAAAATTCATCCTTGCATCATTATTCATCTGTTCTGAAGTAATAAAACTTTTTGTCATAATATTCAATGTATCAAGAAGATATTTACATTGCATACATAAAATCTTAAGCTATTAAAATGCTCTATGGTTGTAGTAATGCTCATCCAATAAATCTGCTTGTTTGGGCAATATCCACATATTGTTATCAAAATGTGATTTTGGTTGCTGCTGGTTGATAACAAATGCTAACTGGGAATGCATTATTTTTTAGAATAAATTTTCTGAGCGACTACTGAGGGCTTGGCACTGTGAAGTATGCAGAAATAAACAAAATATAGACACGACTCATGATTTGCTTATGATATAATATAGCCAGAATGTTAGAAGTTTCTGTGCCATACTGTCATGTTCTAACTTTCATAGGTAAGCACTGTCATGCATTTTTCTCTCTCTCTTTCCCTCTTCCATGCACATGCACGTGCGTGTGCACGCTCACACACACACACACACACACACACACACACACACACAAAGCTTTAAACATTCCTCACATGAGCCCAGTTAAATAAAGATGAAGAAAAGGAGCATGATTTCACAAAGTATTTCTTTGTACATGTTTGTGAGCCCTGAATGCCATCAGTATTCTCCTTTCTCACTTCACCTACCTCCCCAAAATTGAAAGTACAACGGGTGGTGAATGGTAAAATATGACACAGTTGATAGACATATTTCAAGTAAAAGGCAATATAATGGATAGCTCTGGTTCATAAAAAAAATTAGCACAGAATTAACAACTTAGTAGTGGATAAGAAAAGACAAAGTTCAAAAATTTTGTTCATTTTTCCAACAGGATGCATCAGTTACATTGACATAATCTTGATACACTAATGTCTACTTGTTTATCTTTGGGTTCAAACGTTTCTACATTACCTATCACAATATTTATCAGATAAAATGGAAATAAAAAATATCATTCCAGAATATAATTTCTCAAATTATTTGTTGAATTTCTAAACATTTTTCTGGTCTTAAGGCAAAAATCATAGTTTGCTTGAATACTGCAAATATGAAGTCCTTGCCTCATCCCAGTCACTGGACTAAGTGCCTGGGATGTAGCAGTGAATAAACAGTACATTCCCTGCTCTCATAGAGCTTACATATTAGCTATAAACTATGAAAGCTATTAAACCTTCTAAAAGGAGCAAAATAGCCCAATGTTTGAGGAAAAATAGAAAGCTCAGGTATCTAAATTATCTAGATCAGCACTGTCCAATGTGGCAGTCATTAGTCACTTGGGAAAATAGGGAGGTGATGGGGGTTTTCAGTAGAATACGATGTGATATTTTTCAAAGACCACTATGGCTTCTCTGTTGAGATTAGCACAATCAAGTTTATACCAGTTGTCTTGGAGTATACCCTTTCACTCTCAAAAGTGCCCCAGTATGAATGACAAATATATGGTCACCCTAAAGTACAAGACTATAAAAGTAATGCAGTAGGAGATTGATCCAGGTAGCTTGGATCATGGAGGTAGCAGTGAAATAAAGCATATTCTGCACAGGAGATGATACTTATCACATAATCCTACATTTCCTTTTTCTTAACTTGCATTTTATTTCTTGTGGTAAAATACATACAATAAAAAGTTTACCATTTTAACCATTTTTAAGTGTGCAGTTTAGTGTATTAAGTACATTCACATTCTTACACAACTATCATCACCATCCATCTTGGCAACTCTTTCTCCTAAAAAACTGAAACTCTATACTCATTAAACAATAATCTCCCATTACCTCTTCCTTAAGTACCTGACAACCACCATAAGACTATCTCTATGAATTTAACTAGGTATTTCATGTAAGTGGAATAATACAATATTAGTCCTTTGGTAACTGGATTATTTCACTTAGCATAACATCATCAAAGTTCAGGCATATTGTAGGGTGTGTCAGAATTTACTTTTTTTCAAGGCTGAATAGTATTTGATTATCTGTATATATCACACTTTATTTACCCATTAATCCATCAGTGACTATTTGGTTGCTTCCATCCTTTGGCTATTTCAAATAATGCTGCAATGAACATGGGTGTACAATAATCTTTTTGAGACCCTTCTTTCAATTATTTTAGGTATATATTCAGAAGCAGAATTGCTGGACTATATAGTAATTCTATTTTTAATTGTTTGAGGAACCATCATTTGTTTTCCACAGTTTGCTGCACCATTTTGTATCCCAGCAATAGTGCACACAGGTCCCAATTTCTCCACAGTGTCAACAGCTCTGGTGACTAGTTCCGTTCTGTGTGCTTCTTTGATATTAGTCAACCTAATGGGTGTGGAGTGGAATCCTGTGTTTCTTAAGCTACAATTTATATATCTAGAGTCAACATAGCTCATATTCCTAGAATGTCAAATTATTGCAAAATATGGTAAAACCTACTTTTGTATTAAAACAATAGAGTTTTTGGAATTAAATCCATTTTGCAAAAGAATTAATCACATATATTTGTTAAGATAAAAGTTTCCGTTTGAAAGCACAATAGCATAGCCCTTCCCTAAGTCTTCATGAAATGCTGGTTCATTCTTCTCTCTTGATTGAGGTGCTTGGGTGGAATAATTTGTAAAGCAGTGGAAAATCTGTTCTTACTAATACTCATACCAGATTATGTCTGCTAATATTTGAGTCTGTGGTTGACCAAATGCCTGACATATCAGATATGACTTCTATATATTCAAGTCCTATTACTGGAGGTAGGGAATGGCTGTCACACTAAGGGCTGATAACTATGGAAATTCACAAATAATCACAGAACTTTCATCTTTAATAACCCTTTCAGCCTAATATTTCCCCTATTCCTTCACCAAAGTAAGTAGTACATAATAATCTATCCAACTTTTTTTTAATTGAGAAACAGCATTGCAAAATAGTTAAGAGAATAGCCTCTGAAGTCAAACTACTGAAATTTTAATTTCAGCTCAAGTGCTTACTAGCTGGTGGTCTGGGTGACATCAGGCAACTTACTTATCCTCTCTGTAACTTAGTTACATCACCTTTAAGACATCAACACATGCAAAACACTTTGAAAAAGACTTCAACAACTGTTTGACATATTATTACTATTTAAATTACATTAAGCATACATTCAGCCACAATAATAAATATACTATTTCTGATTAATTAGTATTAATATTCTCTATAGTTATGAATATCTATTATATCCACCAACAGGTCACTCTGTAAGTAAACAAAGGTAAACATAAAACGAATTCACAGAGGAAAATCTTCAGGTTTGTAGGTTAAAAACTTTGCCTTGATTAGAAGTACAGATAAAAAAAATTCACTTGAATTTGTTTAATTTGGCATTGTTAGAAAATATCCAGATCAAGGGAACATTTCATTTGGTTCACCAGTTCTAATACAAGCTACTATTCAGAAAAATCAACAGAAGTGCTTGCTTCATCTAGAAATGTGTTGTTGTATAGATGTATTATATTGCTGTTTTCCACATTAATCTACCAAAAAGTCCATAAATGACTACTGTACAACACTATCATCTGACTAGGGAAAAGCATTTCAATTCTAAATACGACATGATACTTCCTTAGGCAAACACACAGAAAAGTCACTAACATTTGGCAAATAATTGGCCCCAATAATTGAGTTCCCTGATGACGTGAAATAGTTCATGGCTACCCCCTAACTGCTGTAAAAGGACAATGAATCATGATTGTCAAAATATGAACTTTATCAGAATGACTACATTTGAATTTAGCTTGGAGTTTACTAATGAGGTGAGTATTGTTTTATACAGAAATTTCGTTTTGTTTTGTTTTCTATTATTGGGTTTAGAGTCAGCCCTGAAGATGCCCTTACTGGGAAAAATTGAGCTAATGAATAACATAGTTACCAAAATAATTTTCACAAAACTTAATAATAAAAGCTTTAAAACTTTTTAACAATTCAGTGATTTAAAAAAATACTAATTAAGCACAAGACATTCTTCTTAGAATTGTATCATGTCAATTCCCAATGAAAATAAATACAATATTTAGTCTAGCACATAGCAGACCTAGCATATACTGTCATTTGTAATCACCTGTGACTCAAACAATTATATTTTATCATTGATCATTAGCTGTCAGAAAACAGATATGAAATGGCAGGGAAGCTCCAGTCAAAGGTTGGTGGAAATTTTTTAGTGATTCAACTCATTCATTCATTTAAATTATAATTCATAAACCATAAAATTTACTCTTAAAATTTTACGCATTAATAGGTGTTAGTATATGTACAAATTTTTGCAATCACAATCACTATCTAATTCCGGTCATTTTTGTCACCCGAAAAGAAACCGTTTACCAATTAGAAGTCACTTCTCATGCTTTATTCTCCCAATACCTGGCAACCACTAACAGGATTTGCCTATTTTCAACATTTCATATAAATACAATCATACCATACATGGCCTTGATGTCTGACTTCTTTCACTTAGCATAATGTTGTCAATGTTCGTCTGTCTTGTAGAATGTATCAAAGCTTCACTTCTTTTCACAACTGAATAATATTCTACTGTTTAAATTTTAGGATTAGCTTTTTATTTCCTGAAAAAAGTCAGCTCTCGTTTGATAGTTTTGATACAGATTGCATTAAATCCATAGAATAGTTTACAGAGTATTGCCATCTTAATAACATTATATTCAAATCTATTAGCACAGAACGTCTTTCCATTTTCTAGGTCTTTAATTTATTCACATTTATTAGGTCTTTGATGTATTCACAGATAATATAATTTTCTATATTGACAATTGGATTAGGTTTGTTACTATTTTCTGACTACTTTTGTGTTTATATTAATAAGGAATATTGGTCTGTAATTTTCTTTCCTTGTGATATTCCTGTCTGATTTTGGTGTCAGAGGAACACTGGCCACATAGAAGAATTGGAAAGTGTTCCCTCTTCTTCTATTTTTGGAATAGTTCATAAAAGATGGGTGTAAATTTTTTTAAGGCTTCTTATTTTTTTAAGTGTATGTTTTGCACTTTTCTTAAATCTGTTACTAAGCATTTCATTCCTTTTGATGCCATTAGAAATGCAAATTTTTTCTTGGTTTGCCAATCTCTGCCTTGTGATTTGAGAATTGAATTGACTTATATTTAATGTAATTGCCCATATTTTATTATTACATATGGCATTTTACTATTTGTTTATGTCTTATGTCTACATGTCATGTCTTTTTTCATTTCTCTGTTACTCTATTTCTCTATTACAAGAATATTTTTTGTGTCAATAGATATTTTCTAGTGTACCATTTAAATCCAGTGTCATTTATTTTACTATATTTTTTACATTTATTTTCTTAGTGGCTGTCCTGGAATTTACAATTAACATATTCACTTATAACAATCTGTTTCTTATTGATACCAAGTTAATTTTAATAGTACACAAAAAATTGCTCTATGTAGTTCCATTCACTCCCTGCTCCTTTGTGCTATTGTCATATAATTTAACCTTCAAACACTATATGCCCGTCAACACAGATTTATAATTATTGTTTCACGTAGTTTTCTTTGTAAATTAGGTAGAATTAAAAATGAGCTACAAATTTAAAACTACGTTAATATTGTCATTTACATTTATCTATGCAGTTATATTTACTGGTGCCCTTTATTTATTCTTGTAGAGTCAAGTTACTATCTCGTTTCATTTCAGCCTAAATGTCTTCCTTTATTATTTATTTTAGGGCAAGTCAGCTAGCAATGTGTTTTCTCAGTTTTTATTCATCTTAGAATATGTTAATTTTCCCTTCATTTTTGAAGGGTAGCTTTGATGGATATAGATTTCTCATTTGACAGTATTATTCTTTCAGCACCTTGAGTCAGTCATCTCACTCTTTCCTGACTTGTGTGATTTCTGTTGAGAAATTGTCTGTTACAAGAGGTAACTTACACATAAAGGTAACAAGAGGATCCTGTGACATAAAAAGTCACTTTAATTTTCTGCTTTCAAAATTCTTTATTTAGCTTTTGAAGTTGATTGTGTTGTATCTAGGTGTGGATCTTCTTGAGTTTATCCTAAGTGGAATTCATTGAGCTTCATGGGTACACAGATTGTTGTTTTTCATGAAACTTAGGACATTTTTGGCCATTATTTTTTCAAGTATTCTTTTTGCCCCTTTCTGTCTCTCCTCTGCTTCTGGAACTCCTATTATGAGCATGTTAGTATGCTTGGTTCTATCCCTTGGGTCTCTTGAGATTTTTGTTTATTTTCTTCCGTCTTTCGTTCTTGGATTTGGATAATCTCAATTGACGTATCTTCAAGTTCACTAAATTTTATTTTTGCCATCTCAAATCTGCTACTAAGCCCTTTAGTGAATTTCTCATTTCAATTTCTTTAATTTTTAATTCTAAAATGTCTGTCTTTTTATAATTTCTATCTTTATATTGATATTATCTATTTGATAAGATACCATTCTAATATTTTCTTTAGTTCTTTATGTATACTTTCCTTTTGTTCTTTGAAAGTATTTTAAATTGCTAATTTAAAGTATTTGCATAGTAAATCCAACATCTGTATTTCCTCATTGGCAGGTTCTATTGACTGCTTTTATTCTTGTGCATGAATCATACTCTTGTTTCTTCACATGCCTCACAGTTATTTTCTTGAAACCTAGACATCTGCAATAATATAATGTGACAGCTCTGTAAATCAGATTCTCTATCCCATGGTTTATTATTCTTGCTGATATATTTTTTCAGTGGCTTTCCAGAACTAAATCTGATCCTTTAAAATTTGTATTCTCTGTTGTTTCTGTGATTAGTTAGCTTAGTGGTTGGCTAATGATTGGACAGAGATTTCCTTAAATTCCTGAAAGCAATAGGTTGTCCAGCCTTTGCTCTGTGTACATGTTGGGTCATCACTTAACTGTTCAGCTGGTCAGTTTTCAACTCTGCTTTAGCCTGCACTTTCTGTTTTAACAGAGCCTCAGGGTCAGCCAGAGATGAGAGGTTAGGGCCTTTTTAGGTGTTTCCTGGGCATGTACGTAGCCCTGTGGACTCCTTGATTCCCAGGAATTAGTAGAAGCTTTTCAAAGTGCCTTACAGACATCTCATCTCTAGCTGTTTCTTTGGCAAGCTTCTTGTTTGCTCCAACTGTTATTGCTGCCTCAGACAGAGGTGATATCAAATAATTACAACTGTTAGTTTTCTCCCAGGGGAAAAGTGATTTGTTCAGAGTGATTTCTGAGTTGCTTCACATATAGACAAACCCTTCCCGCAAGTGAAGAGTTTCAGAGAACTGCAAGATAAATGACAATTCTCTGAGAATAGAGCGTTGAAAAGGCATCAACCCATTGTGACCCTTCTGGTGACTGCTAACTGCCTTGTTTTCATTGTGATTGTGGGGCTGCTGGTTCGCAAGGCTACTGCAGAGCTGGAGAAAGAGGGGTAGAATTAGGACAAATTAAAATACCACAAAGTTTGCTGTTCTTACCCAGATTCAGCCATTTTTCTTTAACAGATGTGTCTTGGATTGTTGCAAGTCTTTAGGTAATTTCCAGAGTTCTAAAAAAGATATTTAGACCATTTTTGCCAATGTTTTTATTCCTTAATGCAGAAGTGAATTTTTGAAATTCCTTACTCCACTATTCCTGCTGCCATCCAACCAAAGTCCTTGATGTTTAAACATCAAATTATTTATCATCTTCAAAGAAGGTTTCAATAGATGATTTGGAATTTTACTTAGTTCCTCTCAATCAAACTCAAATAATAGTTAATACTTACTGAATTCCTTTGGGTCTTAGTGCCTGGGAATAGCTTTTGAATATGTTCTAGGTCCAAAGGGTTGATTCAAAGTCAGATAAAACATGGCAATCATTAAAAATCCATGCTTAATAAACAGGTATCCAAGATATAATTATTTTCTTCTTATTGTTAACTTAATATAGGTCACTATGGGTGTCACAGCAGGCAACTTCAGAAAGGAGATTATATCAGATAGAATTAAGAAATCTACCAGAGACAGTGCTTATTAATTAATTATTGTGCCCCTGAGTTTTGTGAGCAGTTCAGTCCAGAAAGAAAGAAGAGAAGGATCTGCTGAGTGACTGGGGTTCTCCAGTGGACATACTGGGAAATTTATAGAGGTACTCTATGTTCAGTGGTATTGCATCTTTTCTCACCTAAGCCATGTTTACAGTGAGACCCACTCCCATATTTCTGAAATGCTTTAAGTAGCCCCACTGAAAGGTCATAAAATAGGCTTAATTATCCTTTTCCTGGCTTTTCAAATCTTTAGATTTCACAAGCTCTTGCCTTGTTATAGCTGTGAGGGTTAATTTTATATATCAACATAACTGTACTAAGGGATGCCCAGACAGCTGGTAAAACATTATTTCTGGATGTGTTTGTGATGGTGTTTCCAGAAGAGATTAACATTTAAATCAGCAGACTGAGTAAAAAAGATCCTTTCTCACCAGTGTGGGTGGGCATCATCCAGTCCACTGTGGTCTCAAATAGAAGAAAATGTGGAGGAAGGATGAATTTTCTCTCTCTGCTTGAGATGAGACATCCATCTTCTCCTCCCTTCAGATATCGGTGTTCCTGGCTCCTGGGCTTTTGGACTCAGGCCAGGACTTATACCATTAGCCCCTCAGTTCTCAGACCTTCACACTTAGAATGAATTACACCACCAACTTTGTAGCTTGCAAACAGCAGATCATGGTAATTCTTGGCCTCTATAACTGTGTGAGTTAATTTATGTGATAAATCTCCATACATACATGCACGCACACAGACACACACACACACACACACATATATATAATTGGTATAAATATACATATATACACACACACACATATATATTCCAATATGTGTGTATCTATATACACAATGTATGTGTGTTTATACACACAAGTCATTGGTTCTGAAATAGCTAACTCAAACATTTCTGATATCAACTCTGCCAAACCTAAAATTGGTATTTCCTATATTAAACTACCTAATCCAGTACATCAATTTCTTTAAATTTTCTAGAAATGGATTAAATGACTAAGTTTTGCTAGTTTAGCTGGTAATTTTGATACAATTTGAAGTCAAATATTTCAAAACTATAGCTCCCTCACAGCTGAGGTAGATGACTTATCCTGAAAGTGTGGGTGTAAAATTATTTCTGTCCTGTACTTTGATGTGTAATTATACTTTATTCAAATGCATCTTCAGGAATTTGAGTAGCTCACAAGCTACTTCTTAAAGGAAAAGATAAGCCCTGAGGGCTTTTACTCACATCTGTACAGGAGGGAACTCCTCTCTACAAAAAGAATTCAGTCTGACTCATGTCATAACAGCATGTGAAACATCTCATCTAAGACAATAAAAGCACTCAATTAGATGGTGCTGATTAGGTGTGATATATGCATTAATCATTGCCTAGAACTTATAGTTGTCTCTAGTTTCAACTCCATTTTATAGAAGAGGATGCATAGGCACTAAAGTACTGCAACTAAAAAGAGGGCGAATCTTGCATTTGAACCTTGGCATTTTGTCTCTACAGCTGCACTTTATACTGCTACAATAAACCTTTGAGAGCTAGACATTTTTAATTCCTAACACAGAACTTATATGCAAACCGTGTTTTATTAGTGATATAAACACATTCTCCTATCTAGTTTCCCTTCAAAAGCTCTAAGTGGTACATATCAAAAGAAAATAGAATATTTAGAGGGGTGTATGAGTAGTTTGTCTGATAGACTAAGAACTACCTCATAGCAAATTAAACCAGAAAGCTGTAAACTTGGACCACATTCACTAAGCCTCCCACGATAACAGATTTACTAAGTAAATGGTTTACAAATTATTTACAAAAAAAAAGACAAGTAAAAAATATTGCAAATAATTTACAAGTACTAGAATTTTGATGTGATGGCCTTGATTTTTATCTAGAGTCTATATAGGACAAACCATATAAAACTATCATTGGAAACCATCTACATATTTTGTTCAATGTCCCTTACACATAATTTTTTCCTTTGAAAAAGTAATCCACATCTTTTACAAGATTATAGGAGTTATAAAATCCATTCTGTTTACCTTGTTACTGGCTATCAGGAATTTCTGTGTGGGTTTAATCACAGTTAATATATTTGCTCCTGTAATCATATATTTTCGACTTCCAAAAAAAAAAAAGCATTTTTTTTCTCTATTCTAAACGGTTTTTTGAAAAAAAAAAAAAAAGCTGCTGTTGTGAGTGATACATGCAGGGCAACTTGATTGCTCTTAGTGCAGAATTGACATCAAGGAATTTTGGAAGTATAATTTTTTGGCAGGTGGATAGCTGGTTGTATTAGTCCATTCTCACACGCTACAAATACCTGAGACTGCGTAATTTATAAGAAAAGAGGTTTAATTAGCTCACGGTTCTGCAGGCTGTACAAGAAGCACAGCAGCTTCTGTTCAGCTTCTGGGAAGGTTTCAGGAACTTTACATTCATGGCAGAAGGCAAAGGAGAAGCAGCTCTTCTTACATGGCTGGAGCAGGAGCAAGACCAAGAGAGGGGAGACGTACTACATGCTTTTAAACAACCGGATCTCATAAGAACTCACTCACTATCATGAGAACAGCACCAATGGGGAAATCCACTCCCATGACCCATGCCTCCCAGCAGGCTCCACCTTCAACATTGGGGATTACAATTCAAGATGAAATTTGGGCGGTGACACAGATCCAAACCATATCACTGGTGATTGTTGGTCCTGGTGCCCTTACTCATAAAATAAATAAATAAATAAATAAATAAATAAATAAGCCTTTTTGTGTACACATCTTTTTAAATAAGTTTTCCTCAATCCATTCTGAAAGTAAATAGGTGATTTTTTAAAGCTTTACAAAAAAAATCTTTCTCAAAATTAAGGTAAAAAAACTTATATTGTTTATCTGGAGGCTAATGCTGGAGTTATTTTTTAAAAAACCAGAAACACTACTTCAAAGAGGATTTTTAATAATAAGTTTTAAATTTAATTTACTATCATTATATACACAAAACTGGAAGAAATGGGACTAACGACCTCTAGACTTATTACTTCAGCAAACCACCTTCCACACCCTAACAAAGCAGAAAGTAGTTATGCTCTGCTCTTTGGACCTCAAGTAAACTTCTACCACTTCAATTTGACATCTGAGTGTCCTACAGGCTGGAGAGTCTCGACAGGTCTTGACTGTATACTAGAAATGCCTCACCCACTCTACCTGGTGGTTTGGAGCTTGTCCCTGTCCTGTGAATTAACCTAAAAGGATGTATGCCCTGGCTCATCTTAAGTAATGGCGATTTTTATTTCTCTTTATGTATTTATGTGAATGTATTCAAGGACAGGGAAAGGAATTATCTTTAGTTTCATTGACCCTTGTCCTTTGGAAGATAAATAAGAATTTAATTAACATAAATGCTTATATTTCTTATTCTTGCTCTACTTTTCTTGTTTTAAAAAATAACTCTGATTGATGTCAAATATGCATCTTATCTCAATTTTTAGGCCAGACCCTCTTTTTTTTTTTTTTTTTTGGTTACTGTGTCTCTTAAATCTCTTTTTTTTTTATTATTATTATACTTTAAGTTTTAGGGTACATGTGCACATTGTGCAGGTTAGTTACATATGTATACATGTGCCATGCTGGTGCGCTGCACCCACTAACTCGTCATCTAGCATTAGGTATATCTCCCAATGCTATCCCTCCCCCCTTCCCCCACCCCACAACAGTCCCCAGAGTGTGATATTCCCCTTCCTGTGTCCATGTGATCTCATTGTTCAATTCCCACCTATGAGTGAGAATATGCGGTGTTTGGTTTTTTGTTCTTGTGATAGTTTACTGAGAATGATGATTTCCAATTTCATCCATGGCCCTACAAAGGACATGAACTCATCCTTTTTTATGGCTGCATAGTACTCCATGGTGTATATGTGCCACATTTTCTTAATCCAGTCTATCATTGTTGGACATTTGGGTTGGTTCCAAGTCTTTGCTATTGTGAATAATGCCGCAATAAACATACGTGTGCATGTGTCTTTATAGCAGCATGATTTATAGTCATTTGGGTATATACCCAGTAATGGGATGGCTGGGTCAAATGGTATTTCTAGTTCTAGATCCCTGAGGAATCACCACACTGACTTCCACAATGGTTGAACTAGTTTACAGTCCCACCAACAGTGTAAAAGTGTTCCTATTTCTCCACATCCTCTCCAGCACCTGTTGTTTCCTGACTTTTTAATGATTGCCATTCTAACTGGTGTGAGATGATATCTCATTGTGGTTTTGATTTGCATTTCTCTGATGGCCAGTGATGATGAGCATTTTTTCATGTGTTTTTTGGCTGCATAAATGTCTTCTTTTGAGAAGTGTCTGTTCATGTCCTTCGCCCACTTTTTGATGGGGTTGTTTGCTTTTTTCTTGTAAATTTGTTTGAGTTCATTGTAGATTCTGGATATTAGCCCTTTGTCAGATGAGTAGATTGAGAAAATTTTGTCCCATTTTGTAGGTTGCCTGTTCACTCTGATGGTAGTTTCTTTTGCTGTGCAGAAGCTCTTTAGTTTAATTAGATCCCATTGGTCAATTTTGGCTTTTGTTGCCATTGCTTTTGGTGTTTTGGACATGAAGTCCTTGCCCATGCCTATGTCCTGAATGGTAATGCCTAGGTTTTCTTCTAGGGTTTTTATGGTTTTAGGTCTAACGTTTAAATCTTTAATCCATCTTGAATTGATTTTTGTATAAGGTGTAAGGAAGGGATCCAGTTTCAGCTTTCTACATATGGCTAGCCAGTTTTCCCAGCACCATTTATTAAATAGGGAATCCTTTCCCCATTGCTTGTTTTTCTCAGGTTTGTCAAAGATCAGATAGTTGTAGGTATGCAGCATTATTTCTGAGGGCTCTGTTCTGTTCCATTGATCTATATCTCTGTTTTGGTACCAGTACCATGCTGTTTTGGTTACTGTAGCCTTGTAGTATAGTTTGAAGTCAGGTAGTATGATGCCTCCAGCTTTGTTCTTTTGGCTTAGGATTGACTTGGTGATGCGGGCTCTTTTTTGGTTCCATATGAACTTTAAAGTAGTTTTTTCCAATTTTGTGAAGAAAGTCATTGGTAGCTTGATGGGGATGGCATTGAATCTGTAAATTACCTTGGGCAGTATGGCCATTTTCACGATATTGATTCTTCCTACCCATGAGCATGGAATGTTCTTCCATTTGTTTGTATCCTCTTTTATTTCCTTGAGCAGTGGTTTGTAGTTCTCCTTGAAGAGGTCCTTCACATCCCTTGTAAGTTGGATTCCTAGGTATTTTATTCTCTTTGAAGCAATTGTGAATGGGAGTTCACTCATGATTTGGCTCTCTGTTTGTCTGTTGTTGGTGTATAAGAATGCTTGTGATTTTTGTACATTGATTTTGTATCCTGAGACTTTGCTGAAGTTGCTTATCAGCTTAAGGAGATTTTGGGCTGAGATGATGGGATTTTCTAGATAAACAATCATGTCGTCTGCAAACAGGGACAATTTGACTTCCTCTTTTCCTAATTGAATACCCTTTATTTCCTTCTCCTGCC
The DNA here is from genome assembly GCF_000001405.40 of Homo sapiens. Lineage (NCBI taxonomy): Eukaryota > Metazoa > Chordata > Mammalia > Primates > Hominidae > Homo > Homo sapiens. The sequence continues at coordinate 29,480,149 of NC_000014.9, forward strand.
TGATTGCCCTGGCCAGAACTTCCAACACTATGTTGAATAGGAGCGGTGAGAGAGGGCATCCCTTTCTTGTGCCAGTTTTCAAAGGGAATGCTTCCAGTTTTTGCCCATTCAGTATGATATTGGCTGTGGGTTTGTCATAGATAGCTCTTATTATTTTGAAATACATCCCATCAATACCTAATTTATTGAGAGTTTTTAGCATGAAGGGTTGTTGAATTTTGTCAAAGGCTTTTTCTGCATCTATTGAGTTAATCATGTGGTTTTTGTCTTTGGCTCTGTTTATATGCTGGATTACATTTATTGATTTGCGTGTATTGAACCAGCCTTGCATCCCAGGGATGAAGCCCACTTGATCATGGTGGATAAGCTTTTTGATGTGCTGCTGGATTCGGTTTGCCAGTATTTTATTGAGGATTTTTGCATCAATGTTCATCAAGGATATTGGTCTAAAATTCTCTTTTTTGGTTGTGTCTCTGCCCGGCTTTGGTATCAGAATGATGCTGGCCTCATAAAATGAGTTAGGGAGGATTCCCTCTTTTTCTATTGATTGGAATAGTTTCAGAAGGAATGGTACCAGTTCCTCCTTGTACCTCTGGTAGAATTCGGCTGTGAATCCATCTGGTCCTGGACTCTTTTTGGTTGGTAAACTATTGATTATTGCCACAATTTCAGCTCCTGTTATTGGTCTATTCAGAGATTCAACTTCTTCCTGGTTTAGTCTTGGGAGAGTGTATGTGTCGAGGAATTTATCCATTTCTGCTAGATTTTCTAGTTTATTTGCGTAGAGGTGTTTGTAGTATTCTCTGATGGTAGTTTGTATTTCTGTGGGATCAGTGGTGATATCCCCTTTATCATTTTTTATTGTGTCTATTTGATTCTTCTCTCTTTTTTTCTTTATTAGTCTTGCTAGCGGTCTATCAATTTTGTTGATCCTTTCAAAAAACCAGCTCCTGGATTGATTCATTGATTTTTTGAAGGGTTTTTTGTGTCTCTATTTCCTTCAGTTCTGCTCTGATTTTAGTTATTTCTTGCCTTCTGCTAGCTTTTGAATGTATTTGCTCTTGCTTTTCTAGTTCTTTTAATTGTGATGTTAGGGTGTCAATTTTGGATCTTTCCTGCTTTCTCTTGTGGGCATTTAGTGCTATAAATTTCCCTCTACACACTGCTTTGAATGTGTCCCAGAGATTCTGGTATGTTGTGTCTTTGTTCTCGTTGGTTTCAAAGAACATCTTTATTTCTGCCTTCATTTTGTTATGTACCCAGTAGTCATTCAGGAGCAGGTTGTTCAGTTTCCATGTAGTTGAGTGGCTTTGAGTGAGATTCTTAATCCTGAGTTCTAGTTTGATTGCACTGTGGTCTTAGGCCAGACCCTCTTAACAATGATTGCTTTTTTCTCTCCTCACTCCCTTTAACCATCTCAGATTATTTTTTTTTAATTTTCTCTGTGTTATCACAATATTTTGCTCATATCTCTATTGGTGAGCACATCTCTCTTCTCTTTAAGTGTCTAGATTTCTTTAAGGACAGTCTATCTTTGCATCCTTCCAGGACTTGGCTCTAAGACTCATACACAGTGGCACTTTAGTAAATACTAATAACTGTTACTTATTAGGACTACTGACAGAAGGACTTGCTCAGTGGATTATGCCATAAAATTCTCCATTCCTTAATATAAGCGATGAGCCTGGCCTCGTCTTTAAACTAGAAAATATGATGCTAGCAGTTGTAAGGGATAGCAATTAAGAATGTCAGTGCTGGAACCAGGCTGTCTGGGTTCCCAAACATGGCAAGTTATTCACCTGTTTTCAACATCCTTATCTGTAAAAGGGGATGATAAGGATAAAAAGGGGATTACAGGCATGCACCACCACATAACTTACAGAGTATCAGAACTATAAATTAGCTAATACATGCAAAGTACTTAGTGCTTGGCATAAATTAAACCTTAGAAATTCAAATAGACAGAAAGTGGAAGATGTGACCTGGAAATCAAGAAAGTTTTGAAAGAGTCAGCAATTTAAAAAGTAGAATTTGATATCAAAAATTATATTAGTACTTCATAACTCAATGAGCTATTGTGATACCTCTATATAGATTTTATAATAACTTTTCAGAAACACTTACTGTGAGACATTATCAATATTGAAAATATTTTGTCTAATAATGTTATCAGAAAAATTATTCTACCAAATTGCATAATTTTTAAATTATTGTTTTATATCCAATATAGAAAAAATAACTTTTGCATGAGTTTTGTCTTTCCTATGAGGTTTATCCTAGAACATTTATTTTGAGAAAACCTTCATAAAAACATAATTTGGGCAAAAATTTAGATTCTATAATAATCAATCATCTTAAAAATTAATTACTTAACTTCCAGAGTCTAGGGTTGAATAACATATTTGTCTCACTTTACCGATAGCTGGTACTACTGACAGAAGGATTTGGATTTGGTAAAACAAAATGAAACACATGTTTATGAAAAGATACCGCTAATAATGAGTCCTAACACACAACAAGCACTCATCTATCACCTCTCTAGAATGTTCTGATAACAAAGAAAGAGCAATATTCCTCTTAAGAGAAAGATTAAGAGAAATTTAAATCAATAAAGTTTTACTCTATGTCAACATCAGTCATAACTTAAAATACAAGCATCTATGTCTCTGTCTCCATGTCTATATTTAGATCTTTCTATTTTCTAATTTAAAATAGACCTAAATCAAAATTTTGAAAATTAAGGACAAGCAATCAAATATTTATTTCCATAATTTCTTCTCCAAAATTTTTTATTCTTCTTCATAAACTCTGTACTTTATTAATCACCCAACCCTTTCAATTTAAGCAAATACTAGTAATTTTTGTGTCTTTGACTTTTTTTTTTTTTTAGACGGAGTTTCGCTCTTGTTGCCCAGGTTGGAGTGCAACGACGCGATCTCAGCTCACCGTAACTTCTGCCTCCTGGGTTCAAGCGATTCTTCTGCCTCAGCCTCCCGAGTAGCTGGGATTACAGGCATGCACCACCACGTCTGGCTAATTTTGTATTTTCAGTAGAGATGGGGTTTCTCCATGTTGGTCAGGCTGGTCTCCAACTCCCGACCTCAGGTGATCCACCCGCCTCGGCCTCCCAAAGTGCTGGGATTACAGGCGTGAGCCACCGCGTCCGGCTGTCTTTGACTTTTTTATGTAGCCTTTATAAAGTAAAAATAATTGTTCATTATCATAAAAAATATACATTTTTTTGAAATGGAGTCTCGCTTTGTAGCCAGGCTAGAGTGCCGTGGCGGGATCTCGGCTCACTGCAACCTCCGCCTCCCAGGTTCAAACGATTCTCCTGCCTCAGCCTCCCAAGTAGGTGGGACCAGGCACACACCACCAAGCCCGGCTAAAATTTTTATTTTTAGTAGAGACTGGGTTTCACCAGCTTGGCCAAGATGATCTCAATCTCTTGACCTCGTGATCCACTCGCCTCGGCCTCCCAAAATGCTGGGATTACAGGCATAAGCCACCTCGCCTGGCCAAAAAATAATTTTTAAATCTACTTCTTCCATAATTACTCTTCCTATGAGTTAAAAAATCATTATAAACCTTGATAGTGAAAATACAGTTATTTTTCTATAATACATTTTACTTTTGTGTTTGCTAAAAATATTCATAATTTAAAGTTTTCTTCAAATTTTGAGGGAAAGTCAATTTAGTACAGTAATTAAAAAATTCTTGAAATTTCCTGAGAGTAGCTCTAAAGTATTCTCATCACACTAGAAAGCAACTATGTAAGGTGATAGGTTAATTTGTTTGATTATAGTAATCATTTCACAACATACACATACTGTATACCAAAATATCATGTTCACCTTAAGTGTGCGTGTGTGTGTGTGTGTGCATATATATATATATATATTTGGGGTTTGTTTGTTTGTTTGTTTTTTGAGAAGGAGTCTCTCTATCGCCCAGGCTGGAGTGCAGTGGTGCGGTCTCTGCTCACTGCAACCTCCACCTCCTGGCTTCCAGTGACTCTCCTGCCTCAGCCTCCTAAGTAGCTAGGATTACAGGCACGCACCACCATGCCCGCTAATTTTTGTATTTTTAGTGGAGACGGGGTTTCACCATGTTGGTCAGGCTGGTCTTGAACTCCTGACCTTGTGATCTGCCCACCTCGGCCTCCCAAAGTGCTGGGATTACAGGCTTGAGACACCGAACCTGGCCAAATATATATAATTTTTATTTGTCAGTTGTGCCTCAATAAAGCTGGAAAAAGTATGTTTGTTAGGAAAAACAGAAAAATTCCTAGGCAGTGTTAAGCCAGTAAAGTACACCCAGTTAAAGGCTATGGTTGTTTTTTTTTTTTTTTGCATTTATCACTATTATTATATTTAATATATTATTTATATTTGTTAATTAAGTATGAAATGGTCAGAAGGGGAGGTAACTTGATTACAATTTTAAAACTCATATCAACAGTAGATTTTTTTATAATGTTTTACTTCATGCCAGTGCAGTAAAGCCGTGGCATTCACAACCTGCCACCTATCAGCCCTCTACAGAACCCTCAGTTAGATTCTATTGCATTTAATATGGAGCTTGAGTCTTCCTAAGAGTCAAATATGCTTTTGGAATTTAGGGTGTACGGGCCGGGCACAGTGGCTCACATCTGTAATCCCTGTAATCCCAGCACTTTGGGAGGCCGAGGCGGGCAGATCACGAGGTCAGGAGTTCAAGACAGCCTAACCAACATAGTGAAATCCCACATCTACAAAAAAAAAAAAAAGAAAAAGAAAAAAAATACAAAAAATTAGCCAGACGCGGTGGCGGGCACCTGTAATCCCAGCTATTCAGGAGGCTGAGGCAGGAGAATTGCTTGAACCCAGGAGGCAGAGGTTGCAGTGAGCCGAGATCGCGCCATTGCACTCCAGCCCTGGTAGTAGTGTGAGACTCTAAAAAAATAATAATAATAAAAATAAATAAAAAATAAAAATGTAGGGTGTACATTGGAGTTAGATGTTCCTATTTTTTAAATTGTAAAGTTTTAATTTCCTTTAATTTTTTTAGTGTTGGTGGAAGATAAAAACCAATAAATTGATGTGGAATTAATGACAGACTATTTTAACATACACTTCCTAATCAAAGATTTCAAAAGTCTAAAAGATTGTCAGACATGAGAGAAAGTTAAGGAATTGATTTTAAAAGACATTCAAATTAAAAGCAAATAGAAAGTTTTTATTTAAAACCATTTAAATATCTGCGTAGAGCTGGAAAAAATATCAAACACAAAAATGTTTATTTTTAATATTAATATTAGAGATTTAAAATCATGATACTGAGTTCTGAAATAGTGTGCTAATTTATCTCTACAAAATGTGAAGTGGACAGGTTTGATTAATGAATTGATTAATTTCTTTAAATCTTTAGTTATTTTTTACAAATATATTAAAACGTAAAATCCAGAGACAATAAGCTAAAAATGTTTGAAGAGACTGACAATTTCAATGTGAATAAGTGTATATCATTTAAAAACAAAGTAGGTAACAGTAAGAAGTAGAACTAAAAATTCCTAATTGGAGCTGTCTTAAAAATATACTGTAGGGATACATATGGATGTGAATATATACACCTTTGAAAATAATATGCCTATATTTTCTTCAGTGAGTTAAGAGTATATAAAATACATGTCAAATTGTGAATATTTAGGAGAAAATATTAAACTATATTTTTAAATAGTCTACCAACAATGAAAAAAGTAACAATCATGTATTCTACACTATTTTCTCCTAGAGTACTTGCACGTTAAAATAAGGAGATTTCATTATTTTCACAAATAAACCAATAAAAAAACTCACAAAATAGGACAAAGTTGAGAAATGTATGTTTATGCATACATTCAATATGCATAATTATATACATAAAATATGTGTAATAAACTAATCAATACACTCCAATTAAATGACAATCTTAAAGAATTATCATATAATAAGAAGTGCTACCTAATCCCCAAATTGTGGATAAATAGCAACAGCCTGTGGTCATTTCTGATGCTGCAGTTTTCCTAAGTATTCCAGTATTAAATGCAATATTTTCTTCAAGCATTTGCTTTAAGTACTACAGTACTGACATATTCATTTACAATAAGTATTACTCAGTACCTGTCCTAATAGCAGTGTAGTGCTCTCTGCCCACATCCTTCTCCTCGTAAAACACTAGCTTTCAGGAAATAAAATCTGGAACTAATAAATCTGGTTAGTTAGTCATTGGCTATTCTGGAGAGAGATTGCCACCTTCCACTTGAAAATATAACAAACTTTCTGCAGGCGCGGTGGCTCATGCCAAGCACTTTGGGAGGCCAAGGCCAGCAGATCACTTGAGCCCAGAAGTTCGAGACCAGCCTGGCCAACATGGTGAAACCCCATCTCTACTGAAAATACAAAAATTAGCTGGGCATGGTGGTGGGCACCTGTAATCCCAGCTACTTGGGAAGCCGAGGCAAAAGAATCGCTTGAACTTGGGAGGCGGAGGTTGCAGAGAGCCAAAATCGTGCATTACACTCCAGCCTGGGCGATAGAGTGAGACTCAATATCAAAAATTTTTCATTTCATTTCATTTCATTTAAAAAATAACAAATGTGGCCTGGCATGGTGACTCACGCCTGTAATCCCAGTACTTTGGGAGGCTGAGGCAGGCAGATCGCTTGAGGTCGGAGTTTAAGACCAGCCTGACCAACATGGTAGAACCCCGTCTCTACTAAAAATAAAAAAATTAGCTGGGCGTGGTGGCGGCTCCTGTAATCCCAGCTACTCAGGAAGCTGAGGCAGGAGGATCACTTGAACCTGGGAGACAGAGGTTGCAGTGAGCCAAGATTGTGCGATTGCACTCCAGCCTGGGCGATAAAGTGAGACTCCGTCTCAAAACAAACAAACAAACAAACAAACAAAAGCAAGTTCCAGTCTTGTAGACATTGACATACTCTGTTATCCAGTTCACATTCTGAATTGATACTAAAGATGATTCAAATCTTACAGGTCTTGGTAAGATACTTAGATTGTATTCTCAGAGGAGCAAAGAGCCATTGGAAAATACTAAGCAGGGTAGTGAGATGATGCCCCTTCAGGATCCCATGTGGATTAGGGTGAAGAGATAAGCGTGCGAATGGGGAGGGAGGACTCTGTTTTAGTCCAGATGAGAGATGAGGGTGGCTTCACCAAAGGTGGTAGCAGCCAAGATGGTGAAATGTGAAAAGATTTGAGATATATTGGGAATAGTACTAAAGGGACTTTCCAATGGACTAAATTGGGGAGCTAGGAAACGAAGGCAAAATCCTAGGTTTTTCACTTGAGTAACTATGTCATATGGTGAGAAAGACTAGAACACAAAAAAGTAAGAGTTATTTACAGTTGTGCTTCAGACATGATAAGCTGGAGACACTTTTTACCCATCCCTGTGGAGGTGTGATAGGTGAACAGAAACACAGGTCTAGAGTTCACAGCTGAAGAAGTCAAGCAACTGATTATCATTTGAAAGCCATTAACATGGCTGAGAGAGGTGGCTCACGCCTGTAATCCCAGCACTTTGGGAGGCCGAGGTGAGCAGATCATGAGGTCAAGAGTTCGAGATCAGCTTGGCCAATACAATGAAACCCCGTCTCTACTAAAAATACAAAAATTAACTGGGCGTGATGGTGCGCGCTTGTAGTCCCAGCTACTCGGGAGGCTGAGGCAGAAGAATTGCTTAAACCCTGGAGGTGGAGGTTGCAGTGAGCTGATGCACCACTGCACTCCAGCCTGGGTGACAGAGCAAAACTCCATCTCAAAAAAAAAAAAAAAAAAAAACCATCAGTATATAGATGATACATATATTTTGAGGCTGGAGTCACTCATTCATTTGTTCAACAAATATTTATTGAGCACCTAATATGAACCAGGTACTGTTCTAGGTGCTAGGAATAAACACTGCAAAAAAATACAGCTAAAAATTCTTGCCCTTATAGGGCTTGCATTCTATGATGAGAATTCCCCTGGAAGGAAGATGTAGAAGGCAAGAAGAGGATCCAAGACTGATCTCTGGGATTCCCAGCTTGACTGCATGACAGGATGAGGTGCAGCCCAGGAAAATACAGTAGAAAAGCCACCAGGAAGGGAGCAGGTAAACCAGGAAATTGCAGTCATAGAAGACAAGAGAGCAGCGCAGCCTTTTAAGTCCTTTTTCACAACTGTTCAACTTTGTGAATGCCTCTTGAGGGGTGGAGAAACATTAAAAATATACAGTGATTTTTCAGTTTGCTGATCAGGAGATTATGTCCCTACGGCTGAATGAAATGGCAGACAGAATCTGTATTCATTTGGGTTACGGCAAAATGCAGCAGTAACAAACTGGAGGCAGTGAGTATGGACTTCTGATAAGCGTTACTGTCGAGAGGAGCTGAGAAGTAGGCCAGTGACTGGAGAGAATTAAGGTGATATATGAAAGTCTTTCCCAGAGTGTATGCCACATCGTTAGCGTTCAATAAATACTATACACTACTGTTGATAATAAGTGAGATTTAATTTTAATAGTTTGGATTAAATAATAGTTTACTGACAACAACTTGTCACTGAGCCTGAGAATTACAGATTTTTTTCACTGAGTCTTAAATTAGTTCAAATACATAAGCAAATAAACATGAATTAATAGTAAACACATAAAAATCTTTAACTCATTAATAAAATAAATACAAACAAATATTTAGGTAGCATTTTTTACCTGTTAAATTTCCATTTTTAAGTCTAATATTCAATATTGAAAAACATGAATCATAAACTGAGTTGGTAAAAATATAACTTTTCTGAAAAGCAAATTCATATGTATCAAAGGCCTTTACAATGCATTTGTTTTTAGTTTTTAAATTTTTTTTCTAAATTGCATTATAGTATTATTAATGGGAAAGAAATTATAAAGTAACACAAAACTCTGACATTTAAAGAAAGAAACTAGAAATATATACATTTCTACATTTCCTGTAACATCTGATATGGGACTATTCACATAAAATTGATGAAATACCAATCTCTTCAGACTTTTGTTACCTCCAAGCTAATTGTTGTGAAGCGCTCTATACAAGGCTAGCTTCAAGACCACCCAGCGTTTCCTGCAGGTGGGAATGCAGCTGTTCACCTTCTTAGTGGGGTGAGCTGCTAGGAGCACAAACACCCAAGTACCAGTCTCTGGGTTGAATTTGCTTGTTTTCTTTATTTTCTGAAATAGTTCTTCAAAGTACTTGATGGCTTGGGACCTGTTTTTTCCAATAGTCCCTTGCTCCTTTTTTGCAACCCTCTTCTCAGAGCAGTGCAGTTCAAATCTGGCTGCCTACGTGTGGCTCACATATTAGATATTTTTGGTTTACATGAAATTTGGCGGTCTGGGGATACAGCCCCCAAGCTGGCATATAAAGTAAGAAATGTAAGAATTCTATAAATCTGTATGTCCTTGAAGGGCCACAAAACCAGTCCAGTGTCTTGGAATCTGATGACTCTTACATGATGGGAATTGCTGGTGATAATATAAAGCTAGAGTATGCAGACTTTTAGTGGTTAGATATAGGACTCCTTTTACAATGCAGTGTGGCTTTAATTTCTTCTCAAAACTGAGTTGTTATATCAGCTACATAATAGCTTATATTTAGCACTTTACAAGTTTTGAAATATTTGTATTATTTCATTTGAGCTTTAGAGTAATCTTATCCCATTTAAGATCCTGTATTTAGAAATTCAAATTCAGGGACAGCATTCCCTATGTAGCAATGAGGTTTTGCTTCATAAAACTTCCTTAACCTCTGTGAATATGGTACCCAAGTGTGGCATGATAAACAGGAGAATCTGCAAAGTGTCAGCAGGTATAAGGGTGACATTTCCCCTGCCCTTTAAGGGCCAGTGGGAATACACTGGCAAAGCTGCCTTTGCAGTAGCTGCTTCTTACATATGGCCCAGCGCATGCTTCCGGCACCAGTGTCTTTGGGAGAGGTGTGAAAAAGATTTCTCTCTGAGTCCAGGAGAGTGGGCTGTTCGAATCCTCCTGGAGACAAAAGAAAGAATTGGTTCCAGTGCCTTTTTCAATCCTAACAGCTTTCAGATGACACATTGGGAGTCATTTATACAGCCTTGAATATACCCAAAAGTGTTCCTCGCCAAGTCTTCCCACAGTCTACATGAGCCAATGCAGATCACTTTATTTTAAAAGGTTACATGTTATATAAAACCCACACAAGTAGCTGCCTTAAATTTTTCTCTATCCCTGTTGAACTTCTGTGGGGTTTCCTCTATATTTTCCATATTTAACTATAGACTAACTAATTTATTGTCACCCATAAAGCAATGTTTATTTTAGTAACCCACCTTCCAAAGGTAGCAGCCATTGGAAGTCCTGCTCAGCTCATCAATAAAACCTACTGCTGCTGCCAGTTGACAAGCTAACTATAAATTCAAAAGGCAACACTCTAGGGAGTCTATTTTTCTTTTGACTAGTGTATCAATCCAATATACTGTGCAACTTATGCCCAAAAATGTTGCTTTTTTATTGATAGAAAACTCTTGGAGTCATCGTTGCATCTTTCCCTTAACCTATGGGTCAACTGGATTTAACGCCCTGCTGCAGCTGGATGCTTCAGCAGAATGTGTTTTCTTGATAGTTCATCTCAGCGACTAGAAAGTCTGCCTTATACATTTTAAAGGTAAGGACTCCTTGAATTCAGTGTGTCCTGGCACCAAAAGGCACAATAAACCTCTGCAGTGACATACTGGAGTGCGGAAATTTGTTGCTGGCTATGTCTAGATTCAAACTCTTATTCCACGAACATCATTGGAGGGCCCTCTTGTCTCCTTTTAACAAGGTGGGAAATAAGGTTTTATTTCTAATTATTTATTACTGTAGCTACTACTTTAACTTTGCATGATGCCTTTTATTCTATTGTGGTTATAAAACAGTCTTACTTCATATTTTTTGTTCATCTTTACAACTAGCCATGAGGTAGATAGCTTTAAATGAAATTTACATGGATAATATTTTAGAGATGAGAGATCAATTCCCTATCATAGTATAGTCTTGACTCACGTCATAAACACATTTTAGTGAAATAGCAACAAGAGGAAACAAGGACAAAGCATTCACAGCTGGGCATTTGGTCACCCCTTATCTTAAGCTCCTTTTATTTTCTCTGCCTTATAATATCATTTTTTATTCTTCTTTGATTAAACCTATATAATTTTCATTAACATAAATTATTCAGTTCAAATAATGCCAGGTTCACTTAGTATTATGTAATTTCAGTCTCAGTTTGCTGGCTGACCTACAATTCTATGCTTCATATATGCAAATACAGTTGACATGTAATTCCTCCATCTTGAGAACAAATAACAAAAATGGATCTTTAAAATATAAATATTTTAGGCCATTAAAGAAAATTATATATATACTCATAATTTTATTTATAAGTCAAATGAATGAATTTCTATTTTAAAAAGCATAATTTAAATTTTATAAGGAGTATAAGTCAATTTTTACTTATAAATTAAGGACATAAGTTCTTATACATATATGTATAGATGTGCATGTGCATATTTTTCCTCGAATTTTAAAATGCACACTTAGTCAAATGTGTATACATACTCAATTTTTAGATTTCATGTTTTAGTCTGCAACTAAGTGCAATGAGCAATTTTTTCAAGTCGGTTGTTATATTATTTATTTGCTGGAAATGAAAACAACATGAAATTATACTTTAATAGTGGATTGCCAATGCAATTATAAGTTATTTTCCCCAACCATCTCTATTTTTGGTAGATGATTAGTGCCCCGTGGGATCCAGAGACTTCTCTGATCGAGAGCTGTTTGTTTTCTGCATGCTGCAATTATATATTACACATACACCAATGATGAGTAGCCTCATGTGTTGGGATAAATATGTTATTATAAGTTCAAATGCTTAGATACTTTTTCGGTGTTTATTTGAGCTGAGCAAAACATAGTAGTTTCAGTTCACAGGGGGCTTACATAAACCTTTTGGGGGAGAATTTCAGCTCACAGGGGTTTGTAAGCAGATGGCATATGCAAGCAATCACACTTCTCCTTGGTGGGAGGAATGGCATTCTCAAGATAACAAAATAAGAGCGGGAGGTGCCATGACAAGTCTGTTCTCAGTCTCCACCTGGGCTTTCCCCACAAGGCAGAGACACTAAGTATATGTTTGAAGGCTAATATGGAATCAGAATACAGGGAAATTCTTTTTTTTTTTTTTTTTTTTCTTGAGACGGAGTCTCAGTCACCCAGGCTGGAGTGTAGTGGCATACTCTCGGCTCACTGCAACCTCTCTGTCCTGAGTTCAAGCGATTCTCCTGCCTCAGCCTCCCAAATAGCTGGGATTACAGGCGTGCACCACCATGCCCAGCTAATTTTTGTATATTTAGTAGAGACAAGGTTTTGTCATTTTGGCCAGGCTCGTCTGGAACTCCTGACCTCAGGTGATCCACCCGCCTCGGCCTCCCAAAGTGTTGGGATTACAGGCGTGAGCCACCTCCCAGCCAGGGAAATTATTTTAACACCTCCAGCCTGCCCTGCTCCCATTCTCCCTCTGGGATTCTTGGAACCAAGTGGAATTATCCCACTGTTGAGAACAAGGTACGATTTTGCAGGAATTTTGTGGGATTATGTTCAGGAATGCTAGAATCTTACACTACAAATTACTTGTCCTCATAGTGTAGGCACAATAGGCAAGAAACAAATTCAAAATGGTAATGAAAGGACCACTGTTATGATAGTTGAACCAGCACCCAATTCTCCAGTGTATGGAACTCTGGAAAATCTGTTGGAATATATGTGAGAAGAGCTATCTACCTTCCAACCAGCTTCATCTATTCCCCACCTGAATCTTGGCAGGACCATTCTGCCCAATGTTCTAAGAACTCAAAGCAGTGACTAGTACACTAATGTGAAAAGGAGAAAAAGGAAGAGGAATAATCTAGCCCCAAGGAAAGCCCTAAACCAGTTTAGTAAATGTACAAAGGTGGGGGTGAGTAGAAAGTGGGGCATGGGGAAAAGAAAGGAAAAAAAGAGAAGAGGGAAGGGGGAGGAGAAAGGAGTGGATGAGAGAGAGAGGGAGGAGAAAAACAAGGAAAGAAAAGGGAAACAGAAGAGGAAGGGAGGGGAGGAGAGAAGAGATCAGAGAAGAAAAGAGGTGGGAAGGGTGCATGTTTCTTATTCCTCAGTGCCCCATTCACTAACCTCTGTGAACCTTGAAAGTGTTTCAAAGTCCTACCAATCTGATAGAGACCAGTAGCAATGCTTCCTCCCTAAAAGAAATGGACATAAAGTTTGTCAGAGAAAACAAAAAAGTATTTTAATTCTCTCCTCTCTGCTAATCCATCATGTTTTAAAATAACTGGAGATGTCTAACCAGGACCCAGGTAATTTCCTCTAAGAAAAAAAAAGAAAAGAAAAGAAAAAAACTACAACTACAATAGATGTTTGCAAAACAGGATTGGCACTCAGATGTGCCATACGACAGGTCTATTATGTGACCACTAACACCACACAAACATACCAAAGCTGACTTCCGTCATTCTGGTTAAACTAGAAATAAACTTGCCTTAATGGCAAAAAGGGCAGAGGAGACAATTGATTAGACTTCACACTCTTACTTTACATGCTCATTCTCTGCAAATGTATATTTTGAAGGATTTTTTTTTACATCTGATTGAATGTGTATCTACCTAGCATTACGCAGGACCCAGATTACTGTAAAGAAATAACAAAGGGCACTTCTGATGTGCAAAGAATATTTAGTCCATGCTCATTTCATACACACTGAAACAAACCTTGAAATATAATACCTAAGTAGAAAGACTCTACATTTCTTTACGTCATGCCATAATCTAAATGACTGTAATTCCAAGATTGTGAGCATAAACTTGTTCTAGTCTTTTACATCTAATTATTTCAAACGGGTCATGAGTGTAACCAATGGCAACCCTGCTGATAGCTGACGTTCTATCACTTCACCAGTAACCAGCTTACCTAGCCAATAATACATCTTGTGTGTGCAAGTTATTTCATAAGTGAAGAAAATACCATGCTAAATCTTGAAAATGTGGGAAGGGTCACTGTTAATCGCTGGACTATTTCTTGGAAGTTATGTTTTAAAAGGAGAATAATAACTCCAGTCACTTATGTCAACCACTTACAATTTATGTCTAACTCCCACGCTGCTCAATAGTAACATGTATGTCTTTAAAGGTGAAGGTTATATCTGATTAGGAAACAAAGCAAGATTCAGATATCCCTGACAGACAGAATGAATGAAATGAAAGAAGGGGAGGAGGGAGGGAGGGAGAAAAGAAGGAAGGAAGGAAGGGAGAGATGGAGGGAGGGAGGGAGGAAGGAAAGAAGGAAGGAAGGAAAGAAGGAAGGAAGGAAAGAAACTTTGGTCTATTATCACAACAGAATAAAAAGCAAAGGATGGATAAGCCCAAAGATTTTGCAAAGGATGTATTAAGATTTGGTGATCTGGAGAGTGGGTACATAGAAAGAGGGAGATATTGAAGGTGAATTGAAGATCTGAAGATTGTTTAATATTTTAGCTTCATTCCATTAATAAGGTGGCTCTTTTATACTTCATGGCCACAACAGAAACAAAAGATTCACAAGGAACTGTTTTCAATATTGGTTGTCTTCCAACTAGAGGCAGATGAATTGGCTTCCCCAGTGGGAGCCAGAACCTAAAGAGATATTGTGGAAGGTCTGGCTCATGTTACCAGACGACAAGGGGACAGGTGAAGAAGTATTCATAATGACGTGGCTCAGGGAGGGGAGACACAAGAACCAGAAGATAAATGTGTGGCATATAAATGCCCCTTGGGATTACAGAAATACTTGAAGAGAAAGCCTGATAAAACAGTAAATTAATGTGGGTTACGAGACATTAAAGAAAAGTAGATTTTCCTTATATATTTTTTCCATCTAAAACACTTGGAACAGAAAAGGGGCTTTAGAGGAGAATTAATGAAATCTGTTGGAGTTTAATCAATAATAATAATATATGAAGTTTAGTTAATAATAATGTTCTAAAGTTTATTTGTTAGTTGTGACAATGGTACCACAGTAATATGAGATGTTAACAATACAGGAAAATGAGTGTGGGGTATATGGGAACTTGCTATACTGTTTTTGCAAATTTTCTATAAATCTAAAACTATTCTTGAATAAACACTTGTTTAAAACAAAATAAAAGAAGAAAAAGTAAAAAGCACTTGCTAATATATGCAAATTTCAAATTTTGGCTTACATTCTTAGAACAGTTGTTAACACATATAATAAACCCTCAATGAATGATAAATAATATTATTATCAGTAAATGTGCAATGCAGACACATTTAAAAGTGTCTACAATTAAAAGTTTAAGAGCTTCACATAATAAAAACAAAGTTTTAGAAATACTGATTTAGTGACTTTTTGATGGTTGACCTGGATAAAGACAGTAGATGCAGTAGCTTTTGAGAGTCCAGTTAGAAAACTTTTCACCTCTCCATACCTTGGTTTCCACATCTGTAATGATGAAATTTTTGGACTTTTTGAACAGTGAATGAGTTACTGAATGTAAAGTGCTTAGAGCAGTCTTTGTCACAAAGAAAGAGTTAAATAAGTATTATTATTACAATTATTTTTATTACCATTGTATTACTCTTATATTGAGGCTTGCTAAAGAAGAAAATAAGGATAGTTTTGACAAAATGGGGGGAAAAACAGCAAGTTTGAAGGAGAAAGTAATCATCTAAGACAGAAATACCTAGTAGAGACTTGGCAATATAAGACTGGAAAACTTTATATAGAAGGGATCATTTAAAGCATGAGAATAAATGAGAAAGAAAGAAGATTCAAGATCTTAGCCTTTTAAAATAACTTCAGCCAAAGGACAGAGAGAGGTAGACAAACTCACAAAGGAAGAAGAAAAAGAGATAGAAGAGTCCAGCTATTATAGTCTCAGACAGGAAAAGAATAAGAATTTATTTATTATTATTATTATTATTTACTCTGTCGCTCAGGCTGGAGTACAGTGCCATGATCTCGGCTCACTGCAACCTATGCCTCCTGGGTTCAAGTGAATCTTCTGTCTCACCTCCCAAGTAACTTGGACTACAGGCACATGCTACTGCACCTGGCTAATTTTTGTATTTTTATATTTTTAATAGAGACAGGATTTCATCATGTTGGCCAGGCTGATCTGGAACTCCTGACCTCAAGTGATCCACCCACCTCGGCCTCTCAAAGTGCTAGGATTACAGGCATGAGCCATAGTGTCCAGCTTAGAATAAAAATTTATAAAAAGGGAAGGTGGGAAGTCAATGTTGTTGGACACCTCAAATGAGATCAAATAAAATGAGGTCTAAGAAAAGCAAGAAGAGTCACTTGTGCCCTGAAACAAATAGTTCCAAATAGCATAATTATGGAAGAAGTCAAATAAGGATGTTTATATTCATTATGCACATAATTTTTACATGTTTTCCACTCCTTGAATGTCAGCTTCCCAGGACAAATGTTATGTCTCATTTGTTCGGTGATGTATGCCTGTGTATTATACACAGTAAGCATTCAATAATATATGCTGAATTAATGAATAAATATTTAAAAATACAGGTCAATCTTCTAAAAAATCATCCATATTATAATGCAATTCTACTACTAAAAAAGTGACTGGAACTAGGGCTACAGAATTTCAAACAGGTAACAACATTTTTTCCAAGAAAAAAAAAAAAGCCAAGAATATATATCGCCACATCATTCCAATATTAACTACATGCAGCTTTTTATCAAGAGGAGTAACCATGTTTTTCAGCACCTCCAAGATTATAACTATCCTGAACATTCTTCTCACCATTGCTGTTCATTGCATTTTTCAATACCCATTTTGAAAACAAAACAAAGCATCCATGTTGCCCAATGTGAGCATGAAGTATATTCTCCACTAACATTGCTTTATAATGAATAAAATTCTACTATACCGATCATGGTCTTTAATTAAGCTATTTCATTATATTTAATTGTTCTTATGAGAAAATGCTGTAAAATAAACTTTTATGACAATTTGTAAGTAAATTTGCTGATTCCTTAAATAACTGGAAGCCATGGGTGATGAATAAAAGTATGTTAAAGTCATATCTTGTTTGAGAATTAGGTTATTAATATTCATCTTGCTAATAATGAAACAGAAGATCAAGTATTTTACAGAAACAGGATGTATACTACCAAACCACTAAAGATGTTTTTGAAACATAGAGTTTAATGGATGACTATAAAGTGGACATTTGTGCAATCACCTTCATTGCCACCCCCTTAGCAGCTTCCAGTGTTCTCAACAAAACCATTCCCGTTACCTGACTTGCAGCTTGTTGCCCACCATCTTTGTTTTTATGGTCCTTAGTCACACTACCTTAGTAGGCATACCTGCAGAATAGTTGAGCTTTGCCTATTCTCAAATTTATACAAATGGAATCATACTTTATGTATTTTATGGGTATGTCTTTAAAAAATTTAAGGAGCAATGTCATGATAATTTCATAGAAGTCAACATTAAAGAAAGGGAAATAAGAAGAAGGCAAAAAATAAGATGTTAAGAATAAGATGTTTCAGAGCTCATATAAATATAAATGGACTGAGAACCATTTATATTTAAAAGACCAAACATTCAATTTGAATAAACAAAAAGGAAAATCTATAAATGCTGTTTTATAGAAATATACACAAAATGACATAGAATGGTTTAAAATAAATAAAAGCTAAAAATATATTTGGCCAATAGAAATAAAGAGAAAGTAAACTTGAAAATAATGTATCAGCAACTTTCCCGGCACAATATATTCAGCACATAGAAACTAGATAACTTGAGGAGAGTTTGACAAAAGAACTGGCCAAACATTGGCATCGCCTGTAGTTCTAGCTATTTGGAAGGCTGAGGGGGAAGGATCCCTTGAGCCCAGGAGTTTGAGGCTGTAGTGGACTATGATAACCTGTGAATAACAACTGCACTCCAGCCTAGGCAACCCCAACTCCAACAAAGAAGAAGGAACTATTTACAAAGAACGGGTAGGGTGTGGGAAAACCAACACTAGTTACAGCTGGAAATTATTGGCACCACTAGGTCCCAGTGGTTAAAGGGAAGGAAACATTACTGAAACCCCAAGGTTATAAAGAGACGGCCATTTGACAAGAGCAATGACCTTCGGTCAAAACCTACAGTTACATGGCAACTCCACAAGGAAGAAGCCTGTAAAATTGGGAACCCAAATTCATTCTCCGCCCTTCCTGGGATGTTCTGCCAGTAATCCCCCTTAGTCTAATCCAATAGAATCCAGAGGGCAGGAGCACCTCTTGATGTGGTCCACAAACCAGCATTCAGAAGCAGAGCGGGATAAAAAAGGGCAGAGAGTGGATATGGGCTGAAAACATGAGATTTTCAGCACAAATAGCAATAAAAGGTAAAGGAGAATTCCATTTAAAAACATTAAATGAAAACATAGAAGAATTGGAAGCCATTATCTTAAGTAAAGTAACTCTGAAACAGAAAGCAAAATGCTGCGTCTTCTCACTTAAAAGTGGTAGCTAAATAATGTGTACACATGGTCGTAGAGAGTGGAATAATAGACAGTGGAGCCTCGAAAGGGAAGGAGGGTAGGGGGTTGAAGGATCAGAAATTACGGAATGGATATGATGTACAATATTCGGATGTCTGTAACACTGAAAACCCAAACCTCACCACTAGGCAATATATCCATTAAACAAAATTGCATGTGTATCTCTTAGACTTATACAAATTGATTAGTTAATTAAAAAGACGGAGGGAGATCCCTCATAAGGTTAAAAATTTGAAAGAAGACCGGGCGTGGTGGCTCAGGCCTGTAATCCCAGCACTTTGGGAGGCCGAGGTGGGCAGATCACGAGGTCAAGAGATCGAGACCATCCTGGCTAAGACGATGAAACACCGTCTCTACTAAAAATACAAAAAATTAGCCGGGCATGGTGGTGGGCGCCTGTAGTCCCAGCTACTTAGGAGGCTG
Organism: Homo sapiens; assembly: GCF_000001405.40. Taxonomy (NCBI): domain Eukaryota; kingdom Metazoa; phylum Chordata; class Mammalia; order Primates; family Hominidae; genus Homo; species Homo sapiens. The sequence continues at coordinate 29,499,213 of NC_000014.9, forward strand.
AGGCAGGAGAATGGCATGAACCCGGGAGGCGGAGCTTGCAGTGAGCCAAGATCCCGCCACTGCACTCCAGCCTGGGTGACATCGCGAGACTCTGTCTCAAAAATAAATAAATAAATAAAAATAAAAAATTTTAAAAGATATATAGGAAGTTTTATGTGCCAATAAATATATCATTCAAGTATTTACAGCCAAAAAGCATAAGCAATATAAGAATAATTTGATGAAACTTGTGGAGTGACAGTTTAAAATTTGACATGACTAGAACTGAAAAAAAAAAAACTATTGACAAAGGTACTTAGTAAACATACACAGAGGGAGCTTTGTACCTAATTTAAAAACATTTTTTTTCTAAAGACTCAGAAAAAAATAATCATCTACTAAGAAATAAAATAAGCCTCAATAATTTCCAAGAGACAGAACATTTATAGAACACATTCTCTTACTGTAATTCAGTAACTAGAATTTACTAAGTACTAATTTTGCATTCTAATTTAATTCATACATTACTACAAGGAAGATGTTATTATCTTCATTTCAGAAATAAATTCTAAAACCGAAGGAAAATATACTGATTTTAAAATGCTGTGAAGATAGTAAAGAAAATCAGATATCAGCTATATATATTCTTACAGCAGAATGAAGTGTTAAAAATAAGGGGATAAAAGAAGATAGTGCCAGAAGATTATATATAATATACACAGATTATATATATGCACATATATTTTTCTAGAAAGATGAAACAGATCAGAAGAAAGAATTAAATTTTTTAAATGGAATTTCTCTAAACTAAATATTCAATTGTTGAAATTGAAAGAGCCCACTTGGTACCAGGCGAAATGAAAGGAGAAACATGACTAAACACATCTCATGAACATTTGTTTCTATTTCAAAACTTGTTCACCTTGTTAATCACACGTATGAAGCTATAAAAACCTGATAACAATCACAAAATGCATAGTTTGCCTTTGGAAACAAATTACAGAGCAATGATCTTGTTTATGTTAAAAAAAAAAACTATGTGCATGTGTTTGTGCATGCACGCACGCGCACATGAGCAAGCACACGTGTAAATAAACAGAATGGAACTGGAAGGACACATACATGCAGTAAAGATTGGTTACCTGAAGGAGGTAGTCAAAACTTCATGGCGACTCAAACTATTGAGCTGAAGAATATTTCCAGCCTCATCTAGGACAATAGACAGACACCCAATGCTCGGCGATCAAGCAACATAATTAATGTGCAAGTGAAAACTGCAAGCACCAGCATTCAAACCAGGGTAACTGTCTGAGGCAGTTTCACTGCATAGATCAATTAAGTGGAAAGCATAATTTAAAAGATCATCCTATTTTCCAGCCATGTTTCTTAGCTGAAGTTCACTATAGTACCTTCACTGAGACATGAATGTGTCATTAAAGTTTTTGAAAATTTTGTTGCAACGTTTTTGTAATGTCCATGTATTTGTGGCTCAATCAGCAGTAGCAATTGTTCTGATTCCCTGTGGTTCCCTAAGACAGCCCACTGAGTTGAGAGAGTTGTTATTTCTGAGTTCCTGCAGTTCACATAGCTACCTAGAAAGTGATACATGTAAACAATCACATCGTATTCACTTTGAATCCATTCATAAAAACAGTGTTGCCAGTTACTTAGTCTTTTTAATGCATAGTCTTTTTAAAAGTTTTGTTTTTCAGTTTTACTATGAATGTATTTACGGTTGTTGTACTATGGTCTCACTCACTGTCCTATAAATTTCTTGAGGATGGAGATCAAATTTTATTCATTAATGTATCATTAGTAACTAACATCTTCCTATCTATGTCTGGCATAGGGAGATAGAAAATAAATATTTTATGGGCCAGTGGAATGATGAATGGATGGATGGATGGATTAGACGAATTTGCTTACAACTTTCAGCTTTGTTTCCTCAGGGAAAATAATGGTTATCATGTGTAGGATATGGCCTTTGCTAACCATTATGTATTGTCCTGACTACCATGTTTATATGTTATAGTAAAAACATAGGTTTCAACTCCCTCCAACCAAGAAAAAAAACAATTAATCCAAGTGATTAATAAACAACCCCAATTGTGAAAAACACAGTATATTTCTATCTTTCTGGTCAACCATTTTCATCAGTTATTACTATTTCTCTTTTATATCCTCCAAAAGATTATTTTTCAATTTTTTTCCAACAAGAGATATCAAATAATTCTAGGATTTTATTTCAAAAAATGTTCTAAAGTATAGTTTTTAAAAACTCTTTTAAACAACATAACAGCTGAAGCCTGCCTCTGCTTCTCCACCTCTTCTCTTTCCTCCCCCATCCCCTTGACACTCCCCTAAAAAAAAGAGCTGAAACTTGCCATATGTGTCTTTATTTGACCAATTCAATATTGACAGTCTCCATAAACTGATACAGAAAATACTCCTCAAAATCCTGTCACTCTCAAGAAGCCTTCACCAAAAACCTAAAATAATTTTTACTTTAGCTATATGTCGACAGCCCAAATGCAGGTTTATCATCCAATGACAACTGTTGCTCACTGAATTAAACCAAAATGACAGTAGTGAGCAAAATTGAGCAAGCGAACCTTATATATCCCAGAATTGAACAGATTATTTTCATTGTGTTCTCAATCTTAGAAAAGGCGACATAATAGAGAAGTTGTTACATTAAATTTTTCACATTAAAAAAAATCCACTTCTGGCTACTTTCCTATTTTCTTTTGGTAAAATGGTTTTAAATCACCATTTAAAAATCAGTAAAAGAATAATAAGAATGAAAATCCAACTCTAAACTCAGATCTGTGAAATTAGGCTCACTGTCTATTGAATACCCTACACCTGTTACATTTTGCCACTGGAATGGGATAAGCATTGTAACTAAATGGATTATGCTGCATTTTACTAGAAACAAATTACCCAATACTACCATTTATGAGTTAAGATTTCCTGTAAGAAAATAGTGTAAGAAAAAAGAGGGATTATTTCATATCTTTGAAGGGTGTTTTATCACACTGTGCAATTGCATGCAATTTAACACCTAAACTGCTTAAAGTGCAAATGATATCAACTAGTCCACCCTAAGGGCCTGGTAATAGTCCTGCCGTTTTTGCTGCTAGAGCTGGTTTTATAAGCACTTCCATTATAATAAGCTTGATCTTTCAGGATTTTTTTCCCACTCAACCATGAAAATGTGCTGTAGTTTACAACTTGGCATAGGAGGTTTTAGCTTAACAGCTCCTATTTTTCTTCCAGCTATTTTGTCCCAAAAGAAGTCAGCTGGCCATCTCTCCAGCTTGTAAAGAAAAAAGAAAAAGAGTTTATGCTATGAATTATAGAAAATGAGTTTCAGATTAATAGTTAATTCATCAAAAATTTTTTCTAATTTCACTGATGCTAGTTTTTGACCCATCTCTACAAGAGAACCCTAAAAATATTGGGGGAACAGTAATCATTCCTTTTCACAGTAACTCCTGGCCTGGCAAGTTTTTTTCAGTGTACATAGGCTGGAAGTATAATAGGGAAATGAAAACATGTTTAAAAAAATGGTCAGATAAATCTCAAAAGGGTTATTATGGATAGGAGCAGAAGACGTTATAATTATATCTACTTATTTGCTTCTTTGGAACACACACACACACACACACACACACACACACGCAAATATTGAGAAAGTGAGAGAGAGCTAGAAAACAGTACTTACAGCCTTAGACCATTGAAACCATGATGTTCTTATGCAGATATTCCCATTTTTCTGACTTTTCTCATTCCTATGGATAAAGGCCACTCTCTCAAGAGCCTTTCTGGAGAAATCCTCACAGGCAAGAATTTTTTACCTGTCATCTCTAGTTTGCATAGAGAAAAATATGAAAGATATATATTGATTTATTTTTTCTTTTCTTCATGACTAAAGCATAACCACACATGTAGTAGCTCAACCCTGCGGCTGCAAACGAAGAACTCTCATAACTCTGGTGTATCAGTTCCCCTCATGTTTACTTATGGACTCCATTTATTCCTTTTAGTATTCCCTTACCCATCTGCATACCAAAGCCTCTTTTCTCAACCCTCTGTAATTTTAAAAGAAAGTATTTACACTTATTTCAAATACTACACACAAACATATTTATACGTTTAATGCATTCAGAATTTTAATTCATATATGCAATGAAATAGGGATCTGAGTTTATTTTCTCCAAACGATTGCTAATTCTTCCCAAACAATTTATTGAAAAAAGCCTTACTTTCTCTACAGATTTAAAATTCTACCTACCTATTTACTTAGACCAATCAATGTATCCTTTGTAAAGTCTTGGGGTGATACACACACACACACACAAATATGTATTATGTGTATGTATACAAATAAATTTGTAGACATTGTATCTTTGCTTATACATACATTCTAGCTAATTTAAATCAGTATAAATAAAAATGTATTCCATTTTATGTTTATTTTGTATCCTTCAACTTTGCAGAACTTGCTTTTGTAGAGTCTATAACATATTCTAAGTAAATTTTATATCTTTCATAGCAACAAAAGCAATAGTATATTTTAATATTTCCTGGTAATTATTCTATTTTGCTTTGTTTTAATCTTACTGCATTAATGGAACCTCTGGGGATGTTAAATAATAGTGACAGTAGTGAATATTTTGTCTCGATATCAACCTAAAAGAAAAATGTGTAGTATTTCAAAGTTTAATATGAGTTCAGATATTTGATGTTTTGATGAATATTTTATAACATTTAGGGGGTACTTATTATTCCTATTTTGACTATAAGGCAGAATTTATCTGGATTTAATTTATCAGAATTGCCATAAGGCAAAATTTATCTTGATTTATAAGAAATGACTGAATTTTGCCACCTGCTTTTGGGGATCATTTTTATAAAATCATGTGCTTTTTGCCATCAGATTACTGATAATAGCTAATACTTAAGTATTTCTCACCATGTGCCAGGCCTAATTAAGCATTTTATATGTATTAATTTATTGAGGTACTCCATATCATTATCTTCAACTTTGAAATGAGGAAGCTGGTCACACAGAGGTCACACAGCTTTGAGTGGCATAATGGGATTCATAGCCAGCAGCCTAGTTCCAGAGCCTACACTAAGCACCACTATAAATACCACCTCTATAATGTTAACCTATTTCTAAAGTTTAGCAATGTTTGGATTCCTGAGATAAACTATACTTTATCGTTATATATTAATCTTTTAATTCAGCACAGAATATAATTCTATGGTTTACATGATTAGTTCTGTATAAATAAATGAGATTAGCCTATAGAATTTTGTTTGAAAATGAAACATATGAGATTCTACCATTAAAGATATCTTACTTCCTAATAAGATGAATTCAGAAGCTCTCCATCTTTTTTGATGCTCAGAAATAGTTGAAATAATATAGGACATACAGGCTCTTTGGAGATTAAATATAATGCACATATGAAGTTATTTTGGTCTGCCAGCTTTTCTAGTGGTATATCTTTGATAACATTTTAAATTTCTCCCACAGTTATTACTCTTTTCAAATTTATAGACATGTGTTTATAAATATTTTCATTCAATACTTGTAATATATTTATCATAATTATGATCATTTTCTCATTTCTAATATTATAAATCACTTTTTTCTTTTCTCTCTCTCTTTCTCTCTCTCCCCCTGTGTGTGTGTGTGGTGTGTGTGTGTTGGGGAGTACAATTAAGATTTTTATTTCAGTCTTTTATCCCCATCAGCCTGGCCAACTCTTATACTCACTCTTCAACACTTGTCTGAGAAGCTTTCCCTCATCTCCCAATACCTCCCAAGGAAGACAAACTTGTCTCACCTTTGTGCCTGTGTTACCTGTATGTGTGGCACTTATATATCTTGTAGCATTTATCACAATTATTTGTTTGCCCTTCTGTCTTTTTAATACACTAAGAGCTCTTGGAGGCAGGAAAACCATCATAATAATTTCTATGTCTTCAGGTTGTATATACTTGCTCAATAATTACTTGAGGCATGCCTAAATGAAGAAAGGCTAAGAAGCATTTGCACAGTTATGCTAGTTCCAAAGTATTAAAGATCAGATTACCTCAAATGTATTACATTGATTCAGAATGCAGTGCATATGAATAAACTTAACAACTAGGAGCCCTCCAGCTTAAAATCGATAACCATCACACCACCTTATAGTTCATTATGTAACATTTATTTCTCTATCAAACAATGCTAACATGACAGTTGAAGTCACTTTTATTCAGGGACACTCTCCAATTGTGGATGGTGTTAAATGTGGTATTATTACTTTTAGGAAAACTAGCTGCTATAATTTAATCAAAGACAGAAGAATAACGGGCAGTTTGTGAAAAAATAAGTACATTTTTTATATTGTAACAATGCCTTGTCATTGTTCTAGGTCATGGGGACAAGCAGTTAAAACAGGCAAAAGTCCTGTCTGCCCTCAAGGATCTTGGATACTACCAGAGACCACATTAAATAGATAATTGGAATAAAAGGGGTAAAATGTGCTTCGATAATTAATTAAAAAGCCTTACTAAATATGTATTTTGTTCAAGATTTTGTGCAAAAAGAGATAAAAGAAGAAACACTGCCTTTCTACAAGGAGCTCATGCTATAATAGTGGGACATACATATACAGAGAAAATTAAAACAAAATAGAGATATTCGCAGAGATGTAAGGTAACACAGAGGAGTCAGACAGCATATCAGTAATGTGCCATTCTTTAGAGCTAAATATCTTAGCTTATAGCCAAAATAAGCTATAAAATTCAACAAATTTTAAAATGGGCCATTTAGGGAAAGAATGGGAGAAAGTAAAATTATTATCATATATGAGGCTTAAGAACAGATAACATGACAGAAAAATAATTGTAAAGGACTCTTGATAATAAATGAAAAAAATGGATATTGGAACCAGTGTAGCAAGCTAAAATGAAGGAATAGGCAGATCTATAGAATGAAAGTTGTCAAAATCAACGTTTTCTGATTGTGGGGAAAAAAATTACACTAAGACGCTGAACTTTAGGGAACACATCCACAAAATATATACAATTGTGACCATTATATAAAAAATTGAGCATTATATCTGAAGCAATTTCTGTATTTGTAATGAGAAATATCCATGTCCTACCTGACTACAAAATTTCTGGTCTACGAAGCTTGCAATAGTATATGATATTAACTTGTTTTGTATCGGGGGAGCCAGCCCCCAATATTTCAATGTAGGTTCTTTTATATTTTCCCTAAGTGTCGGCTGGTCTGAGAAATAAAAAGAAAGAGTAAAAAGAGATGAATTTTACAGCTGGGCCACCAGGGGTGACATCACATACCAGCAGGTTCCGTGATGCCCATCTGAGCTGCAAAACCAGCAAGTTTTTATTAGGGATTCTAAAAGGGGAGGGGGTGTACGAACAGGGAGTAAGCCACAAAGATCACACACTTCAAAGGGCAGTAAAAGATCACAAGGCAAAGGCAAAACTAGAATTACTGATAAGGGTCTGTGTCCCACTGTGCATGCATTGTCTTGATAAACATCTTAACAGGAAACAGGGTTCGAGAGCAGAGAACCGGTCTGACTAGAATTTACCAGGCTGGAATTTTCCAATCCTAGTAAGCCTGAGGGCACTGCAGGAGACCAGGGTATATTTCAGTCCTTATCTCAACCGCATAAGACAGACAATCCCAGAGCGGCCATCTGTAGACCTACCCCCAAGAATGCATTTCTTCCCCAGGGCCTCAATTATTAATATTTCTTGCTGGGAAAAGAATTCAGTGATATTTCTTCTACTCACACATCCGTCTATAGGCTTTCCGTGAGAAGAAAAATATGGCTCTATTCTACCCGACCCCGCAGGCAGTCAGACCTTATGGTTATCTTTCCTTGTTCCCTGAAAATCGCTGTTATTCTGTTCTTTTTCAGGGTGAACTGATTTCATATTGTTCAAACACACATTTTACAAACAATTTGTACAGTTAACGCAATCATCACAGGGTCCTGAGGTGACATACATCCTCAGCTTACGAAGATGACGGGATTAAGAGATTAAAGTAAGACAGGTGTAAGAAATTATGAAAGTATTAATTTTGGGAACTAATAAATTTCCATGAAATATTCACAGTTTATGTTCAGAGATTGCAGTAAAGACAGGTGTAAGAAATTATAAAAGTATTAATTTTGGGAACTGATAAATGTCCATGAAATCTTCACAATTTAAGTTCTTCTGCCGCGGCTTCAGCTGGTCCCTCCATTCTGGGTCCCTGACTTCCCACAACAGTTTTTTAAAGAATTCCACACAAACTGGAGGTAATGCTTGATATATTACAAAAACAGCTGCCTTTCATAAAGTATTCATGTCTTTCTCTGTCTTTATTCCCTTCCCACCGTTTACTCATTATCTCAGTCCTTTTCTCCCTTTTTTCATGTAATTCAGGATTTTTCTTTTTCTCAGTGACAAGTCTTCCTCTTGCCTTCTGAAAAGAAGTAAGATTTCAGCTTTCCAGGGCTCTGGATAATGAACTAGAATCCCAGGAAATAATTTAAAAAGAGAAAAAATGAGCCTGCTCACCATCACCTATGGTGAGCTGGCTCAGACATAGAAGAGAATAGCATGCAAGAGAAGGGAGAGCAGGGAGGGACAAGCTCTCTTGGCCTCAGTTTCCTCATGTGTAAAATAAAGGCCTCAGATATATCATCCTGACAACAACTGATGCATGATCCCGTAAAGACTTTGTACCAGCTCATGATAGTTCCATGCTATCTACCTGGAAAATTGCCAGTTTTTTTTCCTGCATAACTTCTTTTTTGAAGCCCTCCTAAGAAGTCTCAAGAATGGAGGAGTATCGTTTTAAATAAACTATTATGGAAGTGAGGGTAATGAGTGAAGCCTTCAGTCTGTTACCTTAGGGCCCACTGTGATTCTACAAGGAATGAGGACCAGAGGAAGACCAGGACCTAACCCATCTGTACCTACTCTTTCCTGAACCAAATAATTTTGGGTTTCTCAGGCTAAAAGCCTCTAAACTGGTTATGAAGGCCTGACAATTTTCCATACATGTAAATTTGTTGTTCCCAATCTTGAAATAGCTGAATATCGTAGTGCACCGTGATTAATCATGAAGTGTGCCTTAAGTAATTTGTTGCAAGCTGGGCACAGTGGCTCATGTGTGTAATCCCGGCACTTTGGGAGGCCAAGGCAGGTGGATCACCTAAGGTCAGGGGTTCAAGACCAGCCTGGCTGACATGATGAAACCTTATCTCTCCTGATAATACAAAAATTAGCTGGGCGTGGCATCCACCTGTAATCCCAGCCACTCAGGAGGCTGAGACATGAGAGTCACTTGAATACGGGAGGCGGAGGTTGCAGTGAGCTGAGATTGCACCACTGCACTCCATCCATCCTGGGCAACAGAGTGAAACTGTGTCTCAAAAAAAGAAAAAAGAAGAAATTTTTACAAATAAATTACCAAATTTTACAAATAATTATATTTTAAGTAAATTAGAGCAGACTCAAGGTTACCTACCTATAATGTCACTCTCACAATCTGTATCTCAATTTTTTCTGGAATGAGAAAGATGAAATTATAGCAAAACATGCAGAAAATTAAGCATGGGTTCTCCATGTAAACATAATCTTTTGTATCTGTTACAGGAAAGATATTGTTGAGAATTAATGCATTAAATGGTTAATTTAATCAATAAGCAACCACTGAGATGGGATCGTGTGTGTGGTGAATAGAAAGGAGATGATCTTAATAAGGAGATGGTGGATGTGAGGGAGCACCTTGGAGTAAGAAAGAGATGCTTTGATTAGCCTATTATATATACATGGAGTCTTGCAGGGAGGCTCAGGCTTTCCCTCTGTGCTGTAAGTTGATTTATTTCTCCACCCCTATCAACTAAATTTTCTTCAGATAGTCTATTCTGTGATGTATTGCAACGTTTCCCAACCACAGCTACACGTTGATACCACTGAGGGAACCATTAAAATACCTCCATACCTAGGCCCCATGTCCAATGGTCCTGTTTCAATTGGTTCCCACATTAATCCAGTGGTTCTCAAACTTTAGCATGCTTCAAAATCACCTGGTTAGCTTGTTAAAATGTAGATATCTAGGCCCCACCTCCAGAATTTTTGATTCAGTAGTCCGTGGTGGAGTCTGAGAATTTACGTTTGTAACTGTGGCAAATACTGCTGGTCTGGGGACAACATGTTGAGAAATAAAGTATTAAACAGTGTCACAAAAAGCATCCGATAATCATAACACCATAAAAATCTATTAATAACAGCTTCCCAGACTAGTCTCATGAAGATTTTTGTTTCAGTATTTGGCATGGAAAGGGAAAATTTTTATTTTATTTTGATAATTATCTTCAATTATTCTTCTCAAAGGGCAAGTTTGGGGATCTCTACCATCAAGAGACTTCTGGCAGAAAGTGAAGGACAGTGGGGATGGCATCTGAGTTTTTTGCATAGTGCTGCTTCATGGACTGAAGCCATGTGGCAAGTTACCATGTGTTATCAGTCTGTTCCCATATGGCAAGGGTCAGGAGAGAATCCTGTTGTATCATAATCCGCTCTCTCTGGCCTCTCCCTTTCCGTGTCTGTCTAACCACTTTGTCTTCTATTCATGGCTGGGCCTTCTCTATCATGACCCAGCCTTCCAGCAAGCTGATTTCTCTAGCAATAGCCCTATTTTTTTCTTCCTTTTTTCATCACCTTTCTCTAATGGATGCTTTATATCATCACAATCACTATTTTCTCTCTATAGACTTTCCTTAGATAAAATAAGTGTTGCTTTCATCCTCATTAGTTTACACTGTGAACTCTGAATTTTTTTTCTTATATTGAAGGTATGAACCCCTTGTAACAGAATACCCTTCCAACACATTGGCATTATTAAATTATTTACATTGTTAGGTTGTTTAAACATGTGTATATATAAATTTAATTTAAAGTCCTTAGAACTGTTATCAATTATAACATAACCATAAAATTATAAATTAAAAAACTGGAAATTCAGTAAATTATAAATTAATAATGTAAATTTAATATTCTATATATATTTTAGATATATTTAGTTATAAAAAAATACATGCTTCTATATCTAATTTGCTTCTTTATTTTGATATCAATAATACTTACACCTATCTATATAGTCCAGTTTTAGAAAATATATGAATAATATCAACTCTTTGAATTCTGGTTCATGATAATCAGACCTTGTGCTTAACCTAAAGTCTTTGAGAAAGCAATCTTAAAATGCCAATATTAATTAAATGCCCCTTGAGAACTCTCTAAATTTGTCTTCTTTGCTTAAAGATAAATTTAGTTCCACTGTATTGTCGAAATCTGTGTTAAATGCATATGTGATCAAATTAGTGCCACAAGAAGAAAAAGAAAAGTTATTCATAAGGTATTTAGATTTAGTATTACTGTTAATCATTGATGTGACAAAGACAGAATCTGTACAACACAGCTCACAAAGTGAATATGGAATGACCTGCTACTGCCTTGCTTCTTTCTAGTGCAGGTGCCTATACGCTAAAGTGCCTGGTCATACTGTAACTCCATCCAATGCCTCCCCATTAGGTACCATGAAACTATCACGAGTACATCTTGTACTGATGAAGATGACATCTGTTCTTCATTTCCTAAAATATATATGTATATATATTTTACATTTTAAAACACAGAATTTTGAACTTCATTGTGAACCACAGATCCCAAGACTATATCTGTGAACCCAAGCACTGCACAGAAGGCACTTTGATAGAAACACTTTAGAATAATGGTTATCATTGGGGTAGACGAAAGAGTTGCCTGGTCCCTAGGGCAGTGGATCAGAATAACTTGAAACCTTTCTAAACTATACATTGCTGCTTGCGATTCTAATACAGGAAACTGCTTTCATGAATTTCCTGCCATGGTAATATATTGTTGCTGATGAGAGTTTTGTTTTGTAACATAAGATATAACATAGTGATTCTAAATATAACATAGTGATTCCAAAGCTCCCTTTTCTTTTGTAACATATACATTAGTTACATATGTTACAAAATAAAAGGAGTTTTGGAATCACTATGTTCAAAAACCACCAAAAATGTCTTCAACATCAAAATTAGATGTTTTTCCTCATTTGCCATCTTTTACCTCTCAGATCCCTGTGACATTTATCATCTTTCCTAAAGTTCTTTCTTCTCTATGATTATTGAGAACTTATTTTATTGACTACCCATCTACTCAAGTGAATGTTCCTAATTTTTTCCCACTGACTCCTCTTCATCTTTCTTGTCCTTAAATGTATGTGTCCTGCAAAGTTGTCTTTCTTTTCTAGATTTTCATTTTTTTTTTTTTTGAGACGGAGTCTCGCTCTGTCACCCAGGCTGGAGTGCAGTGGTATGATCTCGGCTCACTGCAAGCTCTGCCTCCCGGGTTCACGCCATTCTCCTGCCTCAGCCTCCCGACTAGCTGGGACTACAGGCACCTGCCACCACGCCTGGCTGATTTGTGTGTGTGTGTGTGTGTGTGTGTGTGTGTGTGTGTGTGTGTTTAGTAGAGACAGATTTCACCATGTTAGCCAGGATGGTCTTGATCTCCTGACCTCGTGATCTGCCCGCCTCAGCCTCCCAAAGTGCTGGGTTTACAGGAGTGAGCCACCGCGCCCAGCCTAGATTTTCATTCTTAACAGCCACTCCCACTGCCATAAAATATTCAAGAAACTACTTTTAATCTTTCAAATTATTGGACAAATAAATTAAGAGGTTCAAGGATTAAATCAAAGAGTATATCAAATATGAATTTAAATAATCTAACATCTCATTACCGTACTATGATTACAAAAATAAGTCAACCATTTCAAAAGGTAGCAAAACATTGGGAAAACGAATTCAAATTATAATCAGAAATTTCAGTACACACCTATCTTAGCACAGTGAAAATTTCCATTAAGGGCAAACGGCATGAAATGATTCTTTACATAATGTCATACCTGATTGTATTAGTCCATTCTCACACTGCTGATAAAGACATACCAGAGACTGGGTAATTTGTAAAGAAAAAGAGGTGTAATGAACTCCCAATTCCAAGTGCCTGGGAAGGCCTCACAATCATGGCAAAAGATGAAATACACATCTTACATTGCAGCAGACAAGAGAGACAGAGCCAAGCACAAGAGAAAGTGCCTTATAAAATCATCAGATCTCATGAGACTTATTCACTACCATGAGAACAGTATGGGGGAAATCACCCCCATGATTCAGTTATCTCCCACAAGTGAGGATTATGGGAGGTATAATTCAAGATAAGATGTGGGTGGGGACACAGCCAAACCATATCATTCAGCCCCTGGCGCCCTCCTAAATCTCATGTCCTCACATTTCAAAACTAATCATGCCCTCCCAACAGTCCGCCAAAGGTTTAACTCATTTCAGCATTAACTCAAAAGTCTACAAAACAAAGTCTAATCTGAGACAAGGCAAGTCCCTTCCATCTATGCCCTTGTAAAATCAAAAGCAAGTTAGTTACTTCCTAGATACAGTGGAGGTGCAGGCATTGGATCAATACACTCATTCTAAATGGGAGAAATTGGCCAAAATGAAGGGGCTAAAGGCCCCATGCAAATCCAAAATCCAGTGGGGCAGTCAAATCTTAAGCTCCGAAATGATCTCCTTTGACTCCCTGTCTCATGTCCAGGTCACGCTGATGCACAAGGTGGGTTCCCATGGTCTTGGGCGGCTGACCCCTGTGGCTTTGCAGGGTACAGCCTCCCTCCAGCTGCTTTCACAGGCTGGAGTTGAGTGTCCTTGGCTTTTCCAGGCACACAGTGCAAGCCGTCAGAAGATCTACCATTCTGGGGTCTGGAGGACAGTGGTGCTCTTCTCACAGCTCCACTAGGCAGTGCCCCAGTAAGGACTTTATGTGGGGCTTCAATCCCACATTTCCCTTCCACCTTGCCCTGGCAGAGCTTCTCCATGAGGGCTCTGCCCCTGCAGCAGACTTCTGCCTGGACACACAGGCATTTCCATACATCCTCTGAAATCTAGGCAGACATTCCCAAATCTCAATTCTTGAATTCTGTGCACTCTCATGCTCAACTCCTAGAAGCTGCCAAGGTTTGGGGCTTGCACCTTCTGAAATCACACCTGAGCTTTACCTTGGCCTCTTTTAGCCATGGCCAGAGCAGCTAGGACACAAGGCACCAAGTCCCTAGGCTGCACAGAGCAGGGGGACCCTGTGCCCAGCCTATAAAACCATTTTTTTCCTCCTAGGCCTACTGGGCCTGAGATGCAAGGGGCTGCTGAGAAGGTCTCTGACACGCTGTGGTGACATTTTCCCCATTGTCTTGGCAATTAACATTTGGCTCCCCGTTACTTATGCAAATTTCTACAGCTGGCTTGAATTTCTTCTCAGAAAATAGGTTTTTATTTTCTATTGCATCATCAGTCAGCAAATTTTCTGAACTTTTATGCTCTGTTTCCCTTTTAAAACCTAATGCTTTTAACAGTACCCAAGTCACCTCTTAAATGCTTGGCTGCTTAGAAATTTCTTTCGCCAAATACCCTAAATCATCTCCCTCAAGGTTCCACAAATCTCTAGAGCAGGAGAAAATGTTGCCAGTCTCTTTGCTGAAACATAGCAAGAGTCACCTTTATTCCAGTTCCCAACAAGTTCCTCATCTCCATCCGAGACCACGTCAGCCTGGACTTTATTGTCCATATCACTATCAGCATTTTGATCAAAGCCATTCGACAAGTCTCTAGGAAGTTCCAAACTTTCCCACATTTTCCTGTCTTCTTCTGAGCCCTCCAAACCATTCCAGCCTCTGCCTGTACCCAGTTCCATAGTTGCTTCCACATTTTCAGCACCACCCCACTTTACTGGTACCAATTTACTGTATTCGTCCATTTTCATGCTGCTGATAAAGACATACGTGAGACTGGGTAATTTATAAAGAAAAGAGATTTAATGGACTCACAGTTTCATATGGCTGGAGAGGCCTCACAATCATGGCAGAAGGGATAAAGCACATCTTACATGACAGCAGATAAGAGACAGAGTGAGAGCCAAGTGAAAGGGGAAACCCCTTATAAAACCATCAGATCTCATGAGATGTATTCACTACCATGAGAACAGTATGGAGGCAACCACCCCCATGATTCAACTATCTCCCACTGGGTTCCTCCCGCAACATGTGGGAATTATGGGAGCTACAATTCAAAATGAGATTTGGATGAAGACACAGCCAAACCATATAGCTGATTAACTCAGTATAGAACTTAAAGTACTATTAAGTCATATTTTTTAAAAAATAATGCAATGGTTAGTCAGAAAACAAGTACTTTGGAAAACAAATTCTGGTTTTAAATATGTTCTTAATGAATAGGCTTTGATACACACACGCACGCATGCACACATGCATGCATGCACTAATATGCATGCAAAAATATTTGGATAAGGATAAAGACAAGAATAGATAGACAAAAAGGTATTCTCCCAGAGGATTTTCTGGCCTGAGTGCAACTGAGGAAGACTTTGTATTATATATATATAGAAGGAAGAAAAAATGACTTAAAAAAATCTCTGATATTTCAGTTTCCCTGGAGGAATATAGAAATGTATATTAGATATACTTATATGCGGAAGAATTTTAAAAATTGCCCTGTGATTTTTAAGATATAACACTTGAGAAAGGGTCTATAATACCTATATATTAATGTAATTTTTGCGTTTTTGTCTTGGCTTTTAAAATTGTTATGGCTACATAATAGCTGTACAATTTATGGAGTACATGTAATATTTTGATACAAGCATCCAATGTACAATGATCAAATCAGGGTAATTCAGATACACATAACCTCAATCCTTCATAATTTATTTGAGAAATATACCAAATCAACTACTGTAGATATTTTGAAATGTACAATAAATTATTGATACCTATAGTTGAATTATCATGCTGCCAAACAGTAGATCTTATCCCTACTACCTAATTGGGGTTTTTTTTTGAACCCATTAACCATCTCATCTTTATGCAAAACCTCCCCACTATCCTTCCCAGCCTTTGGTAACCACCATTCTATTCTCTACCTCCATGAGACCATTTCTTTTTTTGCTCCCACATAGGAGTGAGAACATGCAAAATTTGCCTTTCTTTGCCTAGCTTATTTTAGTTAACATAATGTCCTCCAGTTCCATTCATGTTGTTGCAAGTGATAGGATTTAATTCTTCTTTATGGCTGAATAATATTACATTTTGTATATGTGCCACATTTCCTTTATCCATTCACCTATTTATTGATTGACACTTAGGTTGATTTCATATCTTGGCTATTGTAAATAGTGCTGCAATAGACATGGAAGTACACGTATCTCTTTGACATACTGATTTTCTTTCTTTTGGATATATACCCAACAGTAGGACTGCTGGGTCATGTGGTAGTTCTATTTTTAGTGTTTTTTTTTTTTTTTTTTGAACCTTCATACTTTTTTCACAGTGGCTATGCTAATTTATATTCCCACCATAAGTTTACCTTGGTGCCCCTTTCTCTGCATCTTCATTAGCATTTGTTATTTCTTGCCTTTTTGATAAAAGCCACGGCTATTTGTACGTATTCTTCTGAGAATGTCTATTCAAGACTTTTGCCCATTTTTAAATCAGATATTTGTTTTTCTGCTACTGAGTTGTTTGAATTCCTTATATAGTTTGGTTATTAATCCCTTGTCAGCTGAATAGTTTGCTAATATTTTCTCCCATTCTGCAAGTTGTCTCCTCGCTTTGTTGATTGTTTCTAAGTTTGTGTGTGCATGTGTTTGCTTTTGCTCTGGTGAAGATTTTTAACTTGATGTGATCTCATTTGTCCATTTTTTACTTTGAATGCCTGTGCTTTTGAGGTGTTACTCGAGAAATCTTTGCCCAGACTAATGCCTTGAATATTGCCCCAATGTTTTCCTCTAGCTGATTTAGATCTTATCTTTTAGTTTTAGACCTTATCTTTAAGTCTTTAATGCATTTTTATTTCATTTTTGTACATGGTGAGGGATAAGGGTCTAGTTCCACTGGCTTTTTTTTTTTTTTTTTTTTTTTTGAAACGGAGTCTGGCTCTGTCGCCCAGGCTGGAGTGCAGTGGCGCAATCTCGGCTCACTGCAAGCTCCGCCTCCCCAGTTCACGCCATTCTCCTGCCTCAGCCTCCTGGTTCCACTGGCTTTTATACAAACTGACTTCTCTGGACGTTACTGTCCTTATTAATAAAATGAAGTGTTTTGGTTAGATCATGTTATTAGTCAGGTTAGGCTATGTATGCTGTAGTGGTAATCTAATTCCTAAATATCCTAACACAACAAATATTCATATCTTGCACATGTCTAATACTGGTCTGCAAATGTTTTACTGCATTTAGTCAATCAGTGACCCAGATATGGAAAGCCTTGTTGTATTGAGATACCACCATCTCGGTAACATGCTTCAAGGGCCACCATGATAGAGAAAAATACTGATCAAGGGGCTCATAGCTTTTCACTTCCTTGGCCAGAATGTGACATACATCCCTCCAACCATAGCCAATTGGTCAGAACTGTTCTCATGGTCCCAACCCATTGCAAGGGTACATGAGAAATTTAAAGGTGTATGTACAATATTATGTGACCATTTCTATATCTGCCACACTCTCAAATTTCTCAACAAGGATTGTAAAATTTGTGATTCTTTAGTTATAAAGTCTGGCATTTACTGACTACTTCCTACTTATCAGGCAATTTACATATGTTAAAACTTACTACCTAGAATGATCTACCAAAACAGGCAATGTTATCCCAGTTTCATAGATGAAAAACGGTTTTAGAGAAAACCATATTCCCAACAATTATTGGAGCTAACCTCTGAATCCAGGGCTATTTAACCCAAATAACTGTTTCTCCAAGTTTTACTGTCTTTCATGAGTATGATATAATGAAAATGGTTTTCAAAAGCTTGTGCTTTAGCATAAGTAGGAAAACAAATCTGAAATGTGTTTTAATTATGTTAAAATGCCTGAAGGAAATTGTATTGTTTTCCTGTAAAAAGACTGCAGGTTATCTAAAATATAACCTCTCTTTACTTTTGATTGAAATTAAATAAAATCACATGATGACAATGATTATCTGATGTTTATTAAAAACTCTAATAGCCCATTACTTGTTTTTGCTGAAAAAATTATAAATTATTAGATAAACTGGGTAAAAATTACATAAAGATATAAGTTGGGTGTTATTGGGATAGACTGAATAATCATGAAGAGTTTTGTAGTTCCAGGATTCCCAAATTGCATAAAACACAGTGTTGGTCCATATTTGCATCTTCTTTGTTCTTGAGGATTAAATATGATCGCGTTAGCTCTCCTAATGTTTTGTTTATATGGCACCAACTCGGCAGTTATTTGAAAGCCCCAGGTGATTGAATGAAATTTTCCCTTTGCATTTGAAGTTTTCACATCAATTAATGCAATAAGAAAGTCATTGATTTAATTAATAATCACGGAAAATTCTTCTGCCTTGCCACCTCTAAATTTATCCTCAGTTAAAGAAATGGTTTCATTTATTTATTTAACTATATTCACTGAGTACCTACTGCATGCCCACCACCGTGCTAGGACTGGGGTTTCAAAGATGAATACATCAGAGGCCTTGCTTTTAAAGGGCTCAAGATATCATGAGTAAAAATATTTTAGCATTTGCTTCAGTTTATTTATTTCCCCTTAACTGAGCCCCATACCATTCTCTTTCTAGTAATTTAATTTGCCTATTTCTTAATATAACTAAGATTTTCATTATTTTATTAAGACATTTGTGCCCGTATTCTCTAAATGGCACCTGTTTTCAAAATACTTAGGAATATTAATTAGCTTGTTTTTCAGCACAAAGGAGAAAATCATGTTTTAAAAATGCAATTACCCTTTATCAGTTGAAATAATAGGATTTATTTTAAATATTTGTTTTTCAATGGTATACAAACAAATGCTAGAAACAAAATATAAGTAGTTTTTTCAGCTGATATTATTTTTTAGGATCTCAATATTTTGGAGAAATGAGTTCCTCACATCTAAAATTTATAAATACGTGCCGGTTTTCATTTGATGCAAACTTCTAAAAAACAACCAATTTTCTGGAGCAGAATTAATATAAAAGAAAAATTTTAGAGACTGTCTTTTTCATCTTTTCATTTTTAATTAATTAATTATTCTTAGTTTGCTTCTGAGAATTGGAAATGCCTTTCAGTATTTTCAAATGTAGAAAAAACGTAGAGTTAATCCATAAATGCCCTCTTGTGACAATCTCCAAAAATGCAACTGCCTTTTCCTTCATTTGCTACACTTTTCCTTTTTTTCTAAAACAATTTCATATATCCAAAGTGTAACAGTTTTGATTTAAAAAAATCAGTTTTATATTTTATCTGATGAAACTAACTCATCTATTTTTAATAAGCTATGGGGTGTATTGCAATTTAGACAGAAAAACGTGTGACAATACTATTTCTTCTGGCTTAGGAAAGACTTTCCTTCTACTGTCACTGATCTCCACTTTGGTGGTGTAAGTACATGGTGGAGTACATGGTGAGGGAGTTTGTAGATGTGAAAAGATTCTTTTTCAATCTTTTCTTGAAAACTTCCAGAGTCATAGAACATTTTCCAGTGAGATAGTTAAATATAATAAACACATTGAATTAGCCCTAGTCATTCCTTCACAATTATTGATAATTTTAATAAATGATCTCAGTTATATTGTGTAGTCATCTTTGGAGTTCCCAGAAGCAAATGTTAATTTTAAATTTTAAAATAAAACCAACAATTACTAAAGCAGTCCAATGACTTGCCCAGAGTAAAAAGTGAGTGCATCACTGTATGATCCATGGGCCAACACTGACTTTCTATGGGTTTTAAACATACATGTATTCAGAAGGCGGAAGACAGCAAAGCTTTTCAAAGGGCACTTGGTGTATATTTCTTAAAGTTTATTTCTGAACCTTTGCTTTATGCCAAGAATATCTAACTTTCTCTGGTTTTAGAACACAAAAAGAATGTTGAAGACTGTTTTCTTTTCAAAATTTAGGTTAAAACAGCTTTCCATGAAGAAATAAATCTTAAAATTTTTCTTAAGAAGATGCTATAATGTAGAACTATGAAAATAGCCAGACCTATGTTTGGACAAGTAGTTACTAGATTTAAAAATTACACACACACACACACACACACACACACATCAGTTTCTTTTTCTGAAAAAGGAGAGCAATAGTAACCTAATTACAGAGCTTTAGTGAGATTTACATGATATTTGTATAGCCCTTGCCCTTAGTAGAAGCTTAACACTATAGCCATTATTATTTGTAAAAAGTTTATGGCCCAGCGCTGTGGCTCACGCCCATAATCCCAGCACTTTGAAAGGCCGAAGCGGGCGAATCACGAGGTCAGGAGTTCAAGACTAACCTGGCCAATAAGGTAAAACCGCCCCCTGCTAAAAATACAAAAAATTAGCTGGGCATGGTGGTGCACACCTGTAATCCCAGCTACTCAGGAGGCTGAGGCAGGAGAATCACTTGAACCCGGGAGGCGGAGGTTGCAGTGAGCCGAGGTCATGCCACTGCACTCCAGCCTGGGCAACAGTGCAAGACTCCATTTCAAAAAAACAAAAAAAAAGTTTAAATTTGTGATATGGACTAAAAAAAAATGCCATCTGACTTCATTTTGTGGCTAAGATGGCCACACATCAGTAACTATTCATTACTTCATCACTTTATGTCCCTCAGATTTTAAAATACTATAATTATATAAACATGTTTAATGTTTATAGCATATGGAAATAAAAAAATCAATAATGTCAATATTATTTATACTTATTTTGTTAACTTAAATAATTTGCTTGAACGTAATTCTCTTGATAATAAAACCTGCCAATAAGTAACAGAGTTCCACAAATTTTTTCCTCTGGCTGATAGAATCTTTCGGTTACAAAGTCTTCTGATAACCAACAGAGGGTGAAAGAGGTGTAGAGAATACAAATCAGTGATCTATGATAGAACTCAGAGACATCCTGTAAACCCAGCTGCTCAGGAGGCTGAGGCAGAAGAATCGCTTGAACCCAGGAGACAGAGGTTGCAGTGAGCCCAGATCACGCCATTGCACTCCAGCCTGAGCGACACAGTGAGACTCCCTCTCAAAAAAAAAAGAAAAGAACTCGGAGACATCCTACACAAAGAAAGACTGTAGAGAAAGCAGGGAACAGGGATGTTTGCCATTGTTATATTCAGGATGGAAATCATGGGAGCAATGGAACCTGAATTTCCCACCACTTTTGAAATGGACACAATATATTTTGGAGAGCTACCAATGAAATCAGATTTTCTATTTTAGGAGCCCTGGCAAATAATCGTGTCATTTAATTTCACAAACACAAATGAATTACAAACCAGAGTGCAGGATGATACCAAAAACTGAATATCGATTATGATATTTGAAAAGGTTCCCCTATCCCAAGTGTAGCATTTGATGTCCCCCTTTCCCTCACCTTCCTTCCTTACTTTATTACCATTTTTATACATTTTACTTCCTAAATATACCTTGAATCTTCCCATTTATCTCCACGTTTGCCAATACTACCCTATTAAATATAACATCATCTTCCATGTGGATTACTGAAAGAGCCTCCAAATTAGTATTTCTGAATCCAGTCTCTTCCCTACTACTACCACTTCTCTCCCAGCACCACCACCAAACACACACGCTGAGTTCTGCCTCCAAACTACAGTCAGGGTTATATTTTGAAAACACAAATATGATGAAATAGAACACGACTTTGGAACCTTCAATGATTTTCCATCACACATAGGATAAAGTGCCTAATCCTAACTGCCTAAATTATCTACCCGACCTTCCATGTCTACTTCTCCAATCTTGTGTCTATCTACTCTTCCCAGCAAATCGTGGGCTACACTGGCCTCTGTCTAGTCCCCCAAATACCTTAAATTATTTTCTGTTACTGGGATTTCCCACACATTTTTCTTCTACCACCTGTTGCCTAATGTCTATTCGTCTGATCTCAGCTCAAACATCACTTCCGGAGAATAGCCCTGCTATCCTCAGAACAAGTGTACAATGTGTGCTATAAAATAACGTACTCTGGTTCATTTCCTCCAAGCAACTTATAATAGTTTATACTTAAATGTTTATTTGATGGTCCATTGATAAGTACCTATTATTGGTCTCATTAGACTGTATTCTCCTTCAGACTGGATCTACTTGCTCACCACTATAATTGCAGGGCCTAGAACAGGGCCTGACACATAATTGATGCTCAATAAATTAATAGCTTTTTTCTTTCTGCTAGAAAAATCATTCTGTGTTTAATCTTTCTTCAGGATAAATATGTATCCTACACAATATTTTTATTTTCCCCCTCTTCTTCGCAATTCCAAACCAATCAGCTATGCTTGCCAAACAACTAGACTGTCTTAATGCAACGCTGCCACCTGTTGGCTCCTCTCTGCCTCAACATTTCTCTCCATCTCCTTTGCAGGGAATCAGGCCCCTGGTGCACATTCCTCACCTTTCTTCCTTATTTAGTCAAACACATAATTAAGTGTCTCTTATATGTACACACACATCCTTCTAAACTTCCTATTTATTCTATTTCAACTTTTCTTCACTCATTCAGGAAACATTCTCCACTGCCTTTGTTTTTCCTCTTTCTCCCTCCTCCTCTTCCTGTCAGCTTTTTCCTCCTCCTTCTTCTTTTTTGTTATAGTATTTCTGTAGAAAAAATATATCTAAAGTTCCAGAAATTTGCCTTCCAAATTTTAGCTTGGAATTATTTATAAGATAGAACTTTCTAAAAGACATTGGGCTTACAGAACCAAATTGGCCTATATTTGTCCCATTAACATTCCTGAAAAAACTTAAATTATAGGATTGTATGCTAATTTTATGGTAATATTATCTTCTGCATCTGTTTTAGGGATAAAGTTAAACAGATAACTTGAGCAAGCATATAATCTCAATGAATTAATGCTGTTTTTAAGTAATGGTTGACCATTGTACATATACGGTATTATATTAAGTGAAATAATTTATTGTGAGTTTAAAAACAGGAAAATAAAATAAAATGAATATGAAAAAGGTAAAAAGAGAATGTTTGTTTTATAATTTTCAAAGTAGATTTATTACTTCTTCATCTCAATCATACTGTACTTAATGTTGCAAGTTTGTGATTATAAAATAAAATAATTAACTATATGTAGAAAGACTCTAAAGCAACAGAAAATTTTGAATTATGAGCCATATTTAAGTTACGATCTTGAATAAATCATCTAATCTTTCTGTAATTACATATAAGACTCATAAAGCTAGATACTAATTCGAGTGGAAACTTACCTGTGTAATGTGGAGATTTCACAATTTCATTGAGGAAACTTGACAATGAAGAAAATGTATTTTAAATAACTCCTAAATGTCAAAATTAATTGTATTAAAATTATTTTGTATGAGTATTGATTATTTGGCTACTTTAGCATGAGATATTACATTATTCTCTATTTCTTGAAAACTTTAATACATAATCAATTGGATATTATTTAAAGTTTTACATAGGCTGACAGTTCAATAAAGCAATTATGACTAAAATTACTTTCACATTTACAACACGAAAACTAAGAAGAGGAATTACATTTTTTTCTAAATGTATTATACAAAGTTAATTAAGTATTTTTATAAAATTAATAAATATTTTAACACAAGATGCAGCAAACCTTTCATAAGGAAAACTCTCCTACCATTGAATTCAATTCAATTTGTCAAACATTTAATGAGCAATGACTTAATACTATGAAGAATACACAAATCAGGAAGACAAAATCCCCACTCTTCTGGAGCATGAGCAAACCAAGCAGGAAAATTAGACATCTATTTTCAAACCAAAAGGAAATGAGGAAAGACACTAATTGTTTTACAACTATTAATCTTGCAGAAGTAAGAGAACCTACCTTTCAAGATATAATAAACTCTTTTGTGAGGCCATCAGTCTAGCCATTCCTCATATGTCAAATTCGAAATAATTATTGATTGCTTCGAGTGACATCATTATAATACTTTTTTAAATGTTTTAGCATAAGAGTTATAAACAGACTGGGTGCTATGGCTCATGACTGTAATCCCAGAGCTTTGGAAGGCTGAAGTGGGAGGATCGTTTCAGTCCAGGAGTTGAAGACCAGCCTGGGCAAAATAGTGAGAACCTGTCTCTATAAAACATTTTTTAACGGTGGCTCACGCCTGTAATACCAGCATTTTGGGAGGCTAAGGTGGATGGATCATGAGGTCAGGAGATCCAGACCATCCTGGCTAACACGGTGAAACCCTGTCTCCACTAAAAATACAAAAAATTAGCTGGGCGTGGTGGCGGGTCCCTGTAGTCCCAGCTACTCCAGAGGCTGAGGCAGGAGAATGGCGTGAACTTGGGAGGCGGAGCTTGCAGTGAGCCGAAATCGCACCACTGCACTCCAGCCTGGGCGACAGAGTGAGACTCCCTCTCAAAACAAAAACAACAACAACAACAAAAATCTTTTAAATGAGTGATAAACAATTTGGAAAAATGACCAGTAAAATAGTCCTGAAGGTACTCAGAGTGGATTTATAGCAAATGTATGTTAATCTTGATTAATTGACGAATGAGAAAATGTTATTATGGTAATTTTTTTGCAAATCCAGTTCTAGGTCAGGTGTGGTAGCTCACGCCTGCAATCCCGGTACTTTGGGAGGCGGAGGCCCGCAGATCTCTTACCTCCAGGTTTTTTTTGAGACGGAGTCTCGCTCTGTCACCCGGGCTGGAATGCAGTGGCACGATCTTGGCTCACCGCAACCTCCGCCTTCCAGGTTCAAGTGATTCTCTTGCCTCAGCCTCACGAGTAGCTGGGGGATTACAGGCAGGCACCGCCATGCCCAGCTAATTTGTGTATTTTTAGTAGAGACGGGGTTTCACCATGTTAGCCACGATGGTCTGGATCTCCTGACCTCGTGATCCGCCCACCTCGGCCTCCCAAAGTGCTGGGATTACAGGCGTGAGCCACCGCGCCCGCTGACGGCCAGGAGTTCTATACCAGCCTGGCCAACACGGCAAAACCCCGTCTCTACTAAAACTACAAAAAAATTAGCCAGGCGTCGTGGCACGCGCCTGTAATCCCATCTACTCAGAAGGCTGAGACAGGAGAATCGCTTGAATCCAGGAGGCAGAGGCTGCAGTGAGGAGAGATCACACCACTGCACTCCAGCCTAGGCGACAGAACAAGAGTCTGTCTCGAAAAAAATTTAAAATTTTTTTTTTAAATTTTAAATCCAGTTCTGGCGTAAGTCGCCTCGATTTCATATTGTTCATGAAAATATTTGATTTTTGCAAAATAGGGAGCAGTCAACAGAGACAGAGTTCTTCACAAAACTATTTTATTTATATGCCTAAATATTATTTTTCTATAGTATTATTCAAATTTGAGATTGTATATTTTTCCTTTCTTCTTTTGTGAGACAGGGTCTCACTCTGTCTCCCAGGCTGGAGTGCAGTGGCGGGATCACTGCTCACTGCAGCCTCTGTCTCCCGGGTTCAAGCGATTCTCCTGCCTCAGCCTCCCCAGTAGCTGAGATTACAGACACGCACCACCACGCCCGGCTAGCTTCTGTGTTTTTTTGCAGAGACAGGGTTTCGCCATGTTGCCCAGGCTGTTCTCCAACTCCTGAGCTCAATCGATCCGCCCACCTTGGCCTCCCAAAGTGCTGGGATTACAGGCGTGAGCCACCACGCCCTGCCAATATTTTCCTTTACTACTTTTTTTTCCCTCCATAAGAGTATTTTTGAAGCATAAGAGCTTTTCTCTTATACTGGGATGTTAAAAACAAAACAAACAAATAAAAATTCTTGTTGGACTGGCTGAAACATAAGATTCCATAAGTAAAAAGTCCAGTCTGCCGATATGATTAATGCTTTTATAATACTGCTATGAAATGCGGCTACTTATTAATTTGACCAAAAGTTAAAAAGAGATGACTCAAAATATTCATACTGCGTGTTTGAACAATCTTAGCATCAACTTGGAGAAACTTCTGTCTGCAACAAGTTCTTTTTAAGTCAACCTAAAGAATTACTTAAGATAACTATTTATAGTTCAAATATGTCTAAATAAAGCATTTTATATACTAATTATATCCATAAAAGTGTGGGCTTCATGGGCTGTACTATGTTCCCTTATATCATGTGAGTTAAGATTAGAAAACAATATCCCAGGACTAGATCTTTTAAAATACTCTAATTACTAAAATAGTTAGAAATAAGTTAATAAATCATTGTGGCATTATTCACAATAGCCAAGATATGGAATCAACTTAAGCATCTATCAGTAAATAAATGGATAAACAAAACGCTGTATATAATCACAATGGAGTACTAGTTAGCACTAAAAAATAAGTCCTGTTATTTGCTACAACATGCGTGAAACTAGAGGACATTAAGTGAAATAAGCCAGGAACAGAAAAACAAATACTGCCTGATCACACATATATGTGGAATCCAAAAAAGTTAACTCGTTGCAAAAGAGTAGAATGGTGGTCTCCAGCAGCTTGTCTTGGAAGGTGTTAAGGAGATGTTGGTCAGAGGATACAAAATTTCAGTTAGAGAGAAGGAAGAAGTTCAGGAGTTCTACTGTACAATATAGTACAATATATTGACAATAGTTAATTTCAATGAATCATACAAGTGTATTCTTGAAAATTACTAAAACAATAGATAGATGCATATTGTGTTCTCCCAACAAAAATTAAGTGAGGTAGTACATATGGTAATTAGCTTGATTGAGCCATTTCATTATGTGTACATATTTCAAAATATACATAATAAATACATATAATTTTTATTTGTGAATTTAAACAGGAAATTATGTAATAACCAGTAATTGTGCATCTATTAATGGAAAAAAATCTAATAATATTACAGATAACTTCTAAAACATTATAGCTTGTATATTAATTTAATATCTTTCTCACTTAATTAGGAAATATTATTCATTTAGAAGGGAAAATAAATAAGAAAAACAAGACACGGATCTGTTTTTGCCCAGAAAACAGCAGATCCCAAATCATGTCACTATCTTTAGCACTTACGTATCTCTAATTCTATTCCCATAATGTATTAGGTCATTTGTTCTTTATTTTGACTTTTTAAAGTTTATCATTTGCATCACATTACATATTTCATGTTAAATAAATTGCAACAATAAGTTATATCTCAGGTTAAAATATCTTTTGATATATATGTATGTATATACACATATATGTGGATATATATGTATGTATATACACATATATGTGGATATATATGTATGTATATACACATATATGTGGATATATATGTATGTATATACACATATATGTGGATATATATGTATGTATATACACATATATGTGGATATATATGTATGTATATACACATATATGTGGATATATATGTATGTATATACACATATATGTGGATATATATGTATGTATATACACATATATGTGGATATATATGTGTATATATATAGAGAGAGAGAGAGAGAGAAAGAGAGCACTCTGGCCTTGAGTATACTTGGCCTTCATAACTTCTGTATTGATAATACCAGCAGAGGAAGAATAGTTAACTTGGTTGTGGGGTATAATATATGCAAACATAATAAATCATTTTTTCTCCAATTTTGTATTTTTTTTTTCATGGTCATGTAGGTACAACAGTAGTTTCCTTTGCTCTTAAAATTAAATGTGGATTTTGGAAAACATTATGGGAAAATAATAATTCACTAGGACAATATTAAATATAAAATATGTAGTTTTATTTATCAAGAGAAGATGACGTATTAAGTAGCAGAAAAATAGATACATATATAGGTATATGTATGTGTGTGTATATATATTTCCCAGTTTATAACCTAATTTTCTATATTGATTTTTGATAGAGAAAAAAAGACATTGATTCTAAGAACTTTGGAATCATTGAAGGCTTTTGGAGGGAGGAATGGACAGCAATAAAACTGTTAAGATCAAAATGATTTAAAATTTCAGGTGCTATACACCTTAAGATAATTTTTTATTTAACCAAAATCACAGTAATATGTATCATATTATTTATAGTAAGTCTAATCAGTGAATCTCATTATAAAGCTACCCATAATTTAGTGTACTTAAAACATAAATGTGGTGTCATTTAACTGCTGACAAAACAGTTTTATTGACAGAAATAGCTTGAGTTAAAAGAAGGATCTTGAGAAGTTTACAGTTTTATTTTTTTCAAGCACCACAAACTAATAAGCAAAAACATATGAATTAGATAAAATACTTCATTAAGTTACTTTTATTGGGTAAGTCAATGTGATATGATTACATTTTAGAGACATTTAATTCTTCATCATATAAAATCACATTGATGTTTGGTTATATTTTCTCTTCTGGTGATGTAGCCATTCAAACTATTTTACTCATATCAAAGCAGAGATATTATGAAGTTAAAACTAAAGTCATTTTCATCAAAGCTAATCATAAATTTTATTTTCTTAAGTGTCTCCTAGAGTATTCATATTGCAGGTCTATAAAGGAGACTCTTAAAAGTACTCTCTGGTCTTGGGTTCTAATTAGAAAGAATCCCATCAAACGTGGGAGCATTGATGTGATGATAGTCAGGAGAGCAAAAACAAAAACACTCACATTTGGTTCATGAAGCTTTGGATGAACCCATTGAACACTGATATTTTAGGAAAGTATTTCTTACTGTTGAAAGTATAATTGGCCATTCATTACTTAGATGGCCAGCTTCACAGTGGTTTGCACCCATTTGTATAACTTAAGTAAATGCATAAATGCTTCCTTTGAAATGACATAAAACCTAAATCATTCCATAAACTAATAAATGATAGTTGCTCGCTATCTTGTACACAGTTAGCTTTTTATTGGTTAAAAAAATGTAAGTGAACATCACAGATGCAAAATGTTTGTTGTTAAGAATGTGTGTTTACAGGTGTGGAATACCCTAAGGATGGGTAGAACTGATACCCTGCTGCAGGTGCAGACTTTAATAAACAGGAACTTGTCTTTCCTCTAATCACTTCTCTCCTTTATCATGCTTTTGGATTATCTCAATTCACATTAAGTATCACTTGTGCATAAAGCATATACAGTGTACTATATTTATTTAGGTATACATGTGACTAGATCTTCTATGAATAAAACCCAAAATGCATTCACATGAGAAAATGGAGTGGTTTAATTTAAATATTTTAGGAGTGCTAGAATACTAATAAACATCTGGAAGAACAGATAAAACTAGATAAATGTTTAGCCTTGTTATGAGTAACACACTAGCATACGATTAGGTTTATAATGGTTGTAATTTAACAAAACTGTTGTATGAAATATTTTGTTTAGCATTCATTAAAAACTGTTAATGCACTTGTGTTTTTCATGGACTAAATTTTTTGCAGCAGACGCACGTTATTAGTATAATACAAATATGCTAAAAAGCAAACAGTTTGGTGTTAAAATGTTTTAAGTAGAATTGTGAAAAGAAATTTTACATCAATCTTTATTTTTTTTCATTTTTACAGGGAAAATTTTACCACAAATTCCATATTTTAATGATATTATACCAACTCTATTTTTTAAACTCATTTTGTCACTGTTTTGTAACAGAAACACTGTAAATATTATAGATGTGGTAAACTATTATACTTGTTTTCTTATAAATGAAATGATCTGTGCCAACACTGACAAAATGAATTAATGTGTTACTAAGGCAACAGCCACATTACATGCTTTCTCTTTCACAGTAGGCAGCAGAGCATATGGTTTTCTCTTAATGGAACGCTAGCTTCTCATTAACATACCAGTAGCAGTGTCAGAACTTACAAACCAGCATAACAGGGAGATGGAAAAACTTATAAATTAGACCCTTTCAGTACTATTGAGAAGGAAATGACTGATGTTCTAAGGTACAATATTTAGCTAATACTGTGCCCTTTTCTGCACCTTCTTTCCACAAAAAGAAACTTTTTTCTTATAATAAATATAAATATAAATATTGAAGTGCAAGTAATTTTTACCCTGCTTCTAAGAGTGATTGGCACCCTGATTTTGATAACTCTTCTTAAAAATAATATTTCATTGCCTTTTTGCTCACAGTATGTTTCAAACAGCTGTATTTTCACCATTCTGTTTCAATACAGAGAAGCAGTTGAAATACAAAACTAATTTTCTTATCTTCCTAAAAGAGGAAATCCGTAAGGTAAACACAAAACGAACATGGGAAGGAAACCCTTTATTTTCTGAAGGCTAAGGCCTACCACGCCAATAGCAGAAGTGGAGCCGCCAAGAGGTCATGATTGGTAGTGAAGGGAAGAGAGGAATTGTATTTAATCCCTATTTCACCGCGTGTGGTTTAAATCATATTTAGCCATCTCATAATGATCACAGTGATTTAAATTGATCATCCAATTTTTTTTATTTTTTAAGCTCCTTCTCATTCAGAATTCAGCCGTATTTGAGGAAAGAACATGTCAATATCATGTCTTAAAAGACACATTTTAAAAGTTAAACCTATATGTATGACCTAGAAATTATACTTACATATAGATAACAAAACTTCACATTCATGAATTCCATAAACTGAAGTAGCTTTTATCATCTTCATTTTATTTATTTATTTATTTTTTGAGACTGAGTCTCACTGTGTCGCCCAGGCTAGAGTACAGTGGCACGATCTCGGCTCACTGCAACCTCTGCATCCCGGGTTCAAGAAATTCTCTGCCTCAGCCTCCCGAGTAGCTGGAATTACAGGCACTTGTCACCACGCTCGGCTAATTTTTGTATTTTTTTAGTAGAGACAGGGTTTCACCATCTTGGCCAGGCTCGTCTTGAACACCTGACCTCGTGATCCTACCGCCTTGGCCTCCCAAAGTGCTGGGATTACAGGCGTGAGCCACTGCGCCCAGCCTATATTTTTATATTTTTATAGCATTCACTTATAATTAAATAATTGAGTGCTATAATAGTGAAATATAAGGTTCTGGAAAAGTTGACCTATGTTTCAGGGTTATTGGAAAGTAATTGCCAGAAATAAAGCAGATGTATTAATCCTCTGATAGCCAAAAACCTGAGGAGATAACAAAGTGAATTGGTGATTCTTTCCAAATACTTTAATGTCCACACTAGTTCAAGTCACTGAATGAAAAATTTTCCTTCTAAAAGTCTAGCCATTTATAATACTATGCTCTTTCTATGAACATGTTCGTAGGTGTATCTTTCAGAGCTGCAGATCACAATGAATGACAAGAATAACTTTTAAAAGAATGTCAGGAATATATTAATAATACAAATATTATTTGACTCAACCATAAAAGCATAAACAAACTTTCTAATCATTATTATCCTGCATAAGTAATACAATAATATATGTATCATTCTAAAAACTTATTTTCTCTTTGAGGGAGCTCAAAATTTAGCTGAATTGTGAGGATTATTCAATGTGAGCATATTTGTGACTTAGCTCATTTTTTGTGAATACCTGAAGACACAGAACCAGGAATCAATAATGCGTAGAAAGGTATCCAGGTAACATTCCCAGAGGTATCATCAGCCTGATCTTCTAGGAGTTGAACCCCAGCGTTTAAAATTTTGGAACTTACTTATTTTCCTTTCACAAAGACAAAATTATTAATTCTGTTCACAGAAAGTTATTTCTCTTTTCCTTCCGCCATAAAACATCACAGTATGTTTATTTCATAAATCATTCTCTTTCTCCCCTTGCCTCAAACTTTGCCATTATCTCTAAGACCCCTTTGGAAACTAACTTAATAACTATTATTGATTTGGGTCCAGTGCAAACTATTCACTTAAGGGTGTTTCTACACTTTCTGAGCAGCAAGCAGCCAGATAACCATGGCCCATTCTGCAGATTTAATTTGAGTATCAACAGATCCAGATTTGGTAAGCATTTTTTTTTTCTTTTCTTACCAGACTCCAAGAGAGCCACAGGAAATAACTGGCACTGGCTGCTTGGCATATCCCTTTCCTCCATTTTGGTAATTTCTCTATAACCCTAAGAAAGGTATGTGAAAAGTCATTGCCTCTCAGTGTGTGTTTCAACACCACTGAATCAGGAACATCTCTGCATACAGGTGTTAAAAGAAGCTTCCACCTCATGACTAGCATAAAACTTAAACCAATGGTTGTTATTCAGCTGAAGACAGTATCAGTGTAAAGTGCCACCGATCTGGTCACTGTCTCTGGGAGGCTGCCAGAGCTTCTGCATTGGCTTCAGGGTGTCGTCTGTGAAGGAAGCCAATTAAGATCACAAGATAGTGGCGGGTAATAATAAACTTCTAATGATGTTCCTGACTGAAAAGAGGTAATTAAAATGTGTATATGGATGACCCCAGCTTCTGTCAGTTCAGTGTAGCTGTTATGCTGACAATGTCCATGTTTTGTTTAGGAAGAGGAGTTAGTGTTGTCTAAAAACAATGAAATAAGCAATTTAATAATATAGAAAGAATTGCTTTGGAAAGGCACACTAGTATCAATTTTGTCGCATCCCTGATAGGATTTAGCTGACTGCTGTCTCTTGACTCGTCGATATTTTTTTGTTTTGGTCCCTGGCTGTAACTTCTCCTTCCTCCATCTCCATTCTCCTGTTCCCCAACTCTACACTCCCACCCTCAATCCCCAACCCCAAAATGGGCTTTTTGGTTGTTACATTTCAGTAGGAGTCATTCTTATCTTCTGCAGGTGCTTCTTGAAATCAAAGACTTGTTTTGAAAAGAAAGGCAATTAATTAGATAGCAAAGGAAGCCAGTCCTCTTATCACCCGATCTGGTCATGGACATAGTGCTTCACACTTTTTCCATTCCCTAACCCCACAGCTCAAAGCTTTCCTGTACACCTGCTCTACTCAGCTCATCAATTTTCTGTGAGCCAGTTAAGTTCCTTTAAGCCTATCCACTGAGAGGTGGTGATAGTTCTCCAAGAAAAAGATCGAAAAAGAGAAACAGAATGCTCCTCCAGGCCTTTATCTTGATCACACTGTTTGTTTTCACATTGATGTCTGTAATGAAACAAAGAGGATTTAATCGTGTTAAACAAAAGCCTGTTGGTACCCAGAGGAAACTCATTTAACTCTACTTCAAGTCTTGGAGTTTCAGGTTTCTTGTCTTCCTCTCTGTCGATCCACCAGGCTGAGTTTCTTACCTGGGGCTTAAAATTGTGAGGTGTGAAACTCTTCTTTTGTTTTGACAGGTGCTCTTTGCTAAACATCAGCCTAGCCTTGATGGTGATAATACACAGAAGGGGGAAAATAACTTCAGAGAAGCTAATGACTGTACTTACTCAACTTTTACCTTTAATAGGTTTTGTTAGCTTCTCTCTTTGGAGTTCTTTAGTATAAAGTGGAAAAACAAATTGGGCTGATGGGAAGTGAGTGTGAAAAGATAGTGGTAGTTAAGAAGACCCTGGAACCACCTGCATTGTGGAACTCCAAGAAGGAAAGAAAGGTGAATGGGTTTGAGCTGCTCCTTCATCAAGGAGTTAGTTGGCAGGGCCTGCCATCATTAAGTCTTTGTTTTTTTAATGGTTTAATAGATTTAGGGGGTACAAGTGCAGTTACACGGATATGGGACATGGTGAGGTCAGGGCTTTTAGTGTAACCATCACCTGAATTGTGCACATTGTACCTATTAAGTAATTGTTCATCCACCTTCCCGTTATCCTTCCTTGTCTCCAGTATCTATCATTCCATTCTCTATGACAATGTGTATGCATTATTTAACTCCGACTTATAAGTGAGAACATACAGTATTTGACATTCTGTTTCTGGATTATTTCACATAAGATAATGGCCTCCAGGTCAATCCATGTTGCTTCAAAATACATGATTTCATTCTTTTTATGGCTGAGTAGTATTCCATGAGCATTATTATGTCTTTCTAGAGGAAGAACAGACTCTCAAGTGGCACTCATAACTTTACATTCGACCAAGGAGTCTTCAGGCATGATTCTAATGTTAGAATGCCAGACTAGTCATCAAGAGAGTGGGAGACTCCAAACTAATAGAACTTCTCTCTTATCCCCAGAAAGGGGTCTCTTTGGATAGAGAGAGAAGTCTCGAGGCCCCTCTCATTGGCTTGAAACCATCGTGATGTGTTCCTTTGCTGACTGCTCTTCTGCAGTGTTTCCAAAACAGCCTTCCTGCATCTATTGAAAGCACTGGTGTCCTTTATTCAATCTCTACCTGCTGTTACCTTTCTCTCTGTGCCTCCTAACCTTGACCTCATTCTGGTGAGGAGTGGGAAATCCTTTCTACAGACACTGACAATCAGTTATGCTGACCACGCACTGTGAAATAAAGACAGCTGACCCAAATTTTCAGGCGGTGTCAAATTGTGGTAGTTTTGAGCTTTGTCATCAGCCCAAAAAGTTCCATTGTGCCAAAATTAAGGAAAGAAAATTACCTTCTCTTTTTGCTTTATAAAAGCCCAATCTTTCTTCATCTTTGTTCAGACAGTGGTAATAGGAGTAGGGTATCGACTTCTCCCAGAAAAAAAAACTTAGTGCTTACAAAAATTTCCCGTGTAATTATTAGAGAGTTTGTATGGATCAGTGGTTGAAGGTGGGCCTAGAACACCTGAGTGATTTGGAGTAAATCTTGTTTGTGCTGCAGAGTTCTCAGGTTTAAAATGTATGTGCAAGAGCAACAAGATCATAGGATTCTTATACACAATTAATTAAAGTAGAAAGTGTAGAAGTCTCCTTAAGTCGTATGCTGTGCTCAATACATGTTAACCATCATTGTTTGCAAACTTCATAGTCAAGGCTGGCTGTTAATGCACTGAGCTTCATTGCCTTCATCGCCTTCATCATGTATTTCATCTACAAAGCACTGGTTTTACTTGTTTCCCAAAGGTTTGGGGAAGTAGCTTCTCTTTTCATTGGGTTTCCCAAAGGGTTTTGCCTCCAGTAGCCATTCCATCTTCTCAGCAAGAAAATCACTCTGATTTCTCCCATACACACTCTTATCTCTAAAATAACCGATTGGGCTATTTATTCTTTCTCTTTTCTCATTCAAGATCATAAAGAAGATGAAATTATATATTTGATTTCAGCCGTTTCTGGAAGATCAGAAGATTTCATCCTAGAACAGACCTAGAAGGCAGAGAAAACGAACAGGAAGCTGCAGTTCCCTTTTGCATCGTTATGGTCTTCACAATTTGGCACATCTCATGCCTGCGCTGGGAATCAGCGTCCTCAATCTTCCTTGTCTTTCTTCTTTCTCTGTAGCTAGTATACCACGAAAGTAGATTGCTCGTGAATGTTGCGTTTTGCTGCTGCCTCATATCTGGAGTTTCCGTCTTAGAGCGAAGGCTCATCTTTGATTCTGGGTCGTTTTTGTTGTTGTTGTTGTTGTTGTTTTGTTCGTTTGTTTGTTTGAGACAGAGTCTCACACTGTCGCCTGGGCTAGAGTGCAGTGGCGCGATCTCAGCTCACTGCAAGCTCCGCCTCCCGGCTTCAAGCGATTCTCCTGCCTCAGTCTCCAAGTAGCTGGGACTACAGGTGCTACAGATGTGTGCCACCACTCCCAGCTATTTTTTTTTTTTTTTTTTTTGTATTTTTAGTAGAGACGGGTTTTCACCGTGTTAGCCAGGATGGTCTCGATCTCCTGACCTCGTGATCCGCCCGCCTCGGCCTCTCAAAGTGCTGGGATTACAGGCGTGAGCCACTGCGCCTGGCCGACCCTGGGTAGTTTTTATACCAAAGCTTAGTTCGTTTCTTACAGTTTCCTGAAAGTTAATTATAACTGGCATCTTTTTAGAAGGTAACAACTATTTGTTAGAAGAGTGAAGTAGATGAGAAGGCTTAATTTTAAAAAGGGCTAATAACTTCGGTCATTACTCCTCAGCTATAAGAAAATAACAGAAAATAATAGGAAAACTGGCCGGGCGCGGTGGCTCATGTCCATAACCCCAGCACTTTGGGAGGCCTAGGTGGGCGGATCACCTGATGTCAGTTCAACACCAGCCTAGCCAACATGGCGAAACCCCGTCTCTACTAAAAGTCCAAACAGAAAAAAGAAAAAAAGAAAAAATTAGCCAGGTATGGTAGTGGGCGCCTGTAGTCCCAGCTACTCGGGAGGCTGAGGCAGGAGAATGGCGTGAACCCGGGAGGTGGAGGTTGCAGTGAGGGGAGATCGCGCCACTGCACTCCAGCCTGGCGACAGAGCGAGACTCTGTTTCAAAACAAATAATAATAATAATAATAATAATAATAATAATAATAATAATAGGAAAACTGCAAATCTGGCTAGCTGATTTCCTTCCTTCCTTCCTTCCTTCCTCACTCCCTTCCTTCCGTCCTCTCTTTCTTTTTCTTTCTTTTCTCTTCCTTCCTTCTTTCCTTCTCTTTCTCTTTCTTTCTTTTTATTTATTTCCATTTCTTTCTGAAACAGAGTCTCACTCTGTCACCAAGGCTGAAGTGCAATGGCGCAATCTTGGCTCCCTGCAACCTCTGCCTCCTGGGTTCAAGCGATTCTCCTGCCTCAGCCTCCCGAATAGCTGGGATTACAGGCGCCTGCCACCACGCCCAGCTAATTTTTGTATTTTTAGTAGAGACGGGGTTTCACCATGTTAGCCAAGCTGGTCTCAAACTCCTGACATAAAGTGATCCACCGCCTCGGCCTCCCAAAGTGCTGGGATTACAGGCATGAGCCACCACGCCCTGTCAAATCTGGCTGAATTCTTAAATCGAATGTAGTCATGTGTCACCTAACGACAGGGATGTTCTGAGAAGTGCGTCACTGGGTGATTTCATCCTTGTGGGAACATCATAGCTTGTACTCACCCGAATCTAGATGGTGTAGCCTAGGACACATCTAGGCTATATGAAATAGCCTATGTTACCGTACTGAATACAGTAAGAAATTGTAATGTAATGGTATTTTTTATCTAAACATACCTAAAAATAGAAAAGGTACAGTAAAAATATGATATTATAATCTTATGGGACCATTGTAGTATATGTGGTCAGTAGTTGACCAAGATGTCATTCATTAGATGGCACATAACTGTGCCAGGAATTAAGAAAGAGGAGACAAAAAGAAGAAGAAAGAAAAAGTGGTAACCCTGACTCTCGCCAAAACAGGATCACACTCATCCCTTGTAGACCCACTTTTTCATGATCTCGACATAATATCCTATATTTGCTTTAAAAATAACAATAATCACAAGAATAGTGGGGAGCGGGAGAAGAGAAGAGTGTGAAATTCAAACACCCATTATCTATTTTGAACAATTCAAATTGAATAGGCCTGAAATTGAAATGGGTATTGTGGCAGTAGTCTTAATGCAAACTTAATGTTTAAGTCCTTCTCAAACTGTTTTTAAAAAATCTCCAGCATTATTTCATCTCTGACAGCTGAAGCATTCAGAAAGACTATTTGTTTCTCTAACATCCTTTTATTGGGGGGTGGTGCTGGAAAATATATGGATCAGCCCATTTTATTCCTTTAAATGTAGTCTTGTTGTTTTTTATAATGGGATTTTAATGCAGATTTATAGGGGATTTTCTTGCAACAGTGATTCAAGCTAACTTGGTATTCACAAAATGAAGACTAATACAGAAAATTCTTTTTCTACTCTTTCTTCCCAAAATAAAAATTATTTGATTTGAAAACAGGAAGTTTTGACTTTGGTTTTTCTCTTTCCTACCCTGTCTGGACACAGTGAACTTGACTGGTATTTGAGGGTACAGAGGGCTGTAAAAAGTTCACATATGGCACACAAATTATTTTGTTAGGGTGCCATCTGCTGGTATCAAACAACCAGAGCATATTTTTTCTTAAAAATTAATTATTTTTTCTATTTAAACTAGACTTAGAAATTTGACTCAAATAACTTTTTGTCCTTTCTCATTTAGAATTATAGTATAGACTATTTTCAAATGGTTGTCTGATGCATAATTCTTAAACACTCCAATATGGTAATAAAATAAGGTATAACTTTATTCTTAATTTAGGAAAATGGAGGCACAAGGCATTGCTTTGACTTACTGGTTCCTGACCTGTTTGGATTCAAGTTTCTTTTCTTTTTTTTTTTTTTTTTTTAGTTTCTATGTCTCCTTTGACATTAAAAATTTTTTTTGTCAAATTTTCCCTACAGAAAAGCAATTTAATTGTTGTGTTTGTGATTACATTGGTTTCAACATGCTTTATTCATCCATTTGCTAAACTTGGTCTCTATGCCATAGCATAAGGTGCATGCACAATTTGTTGCTTTTTTATAAAGCTAGCTTATCAGCATAGCCTTTATCATTTGTGTTCTATATTAATGTTGATCCCTGGTCTTTTCCCCACCTGCCTCTATAAGTGGTAAGGAAAAGCAACTGTTCCCCTTTTTAAAAAAAACCTTTACCACCTACTAGTTATATGTCCTTGAGCAAGTCATTTACTTCCCTGTGGCTAAGTTTTCCTTATCTGTAAGTTGCAGATAATAGCAATCACCCCAGAGTATTAAGGAGTTATTCTGAGTGTTAAAGGAAATCACAGGTATAAAGTTTTAGAATAGTGTCATAACATAATAAACACACAATAATTGTTAACTGTTTTGTCACAGTTGTTATTTAAGCATGTCAAAGAATATTAATGAGAGAATCATAACTTTACAGTAACTCCTGGGATTCTTAGCCTCTTTAGACTGAGAGATACAAAATGAACGTGTGTGTGTGTGTGTGTTTATATTTTGCAGTAGAAGAGCACACTATTATTTTCCTTACCTTCCCTCTGTCCCATTCTATGAGTGCTTAATTGACATGAAATCTCAACTTCCTAAAATTTTGTATAAACCCTTCCATAATCTGACTGTGTACTTCTTGTCCTTTATTTCTCCATATTCTCTTTTTCAAATACTGTGTTTCAGCCATAATGAACTTCCCAATTGCCTGAGTGAATCATGCTTTCACTCTTCAGGCCATTGTACATGCTTTTATTTCTTCTGCCTGAAACACCTCTCCTCTCTA
This sequence comes from Homo sapiens, assembly GCF_000001405.40. Taxonomy (NCBI): domain Eukaryota; kingdom Metazoa; phylum Chordata; class Mammalia; order Primates; family Hominidae; genus Homo; species Homo sapiens. The sequence goes on from NC_000014.9 coordinate 29,538,309, forward strand.
CCTGGCTGCTGTGTCACCTGTCACTAGCTGATACCTTCTTTATCTCTCAGCTTCCATGTTAAGAAGTCTTCAGCCAGGCACAGTGGCTCACGCCTGTAATCCCAGCATGTTGGGAGGCCGAGGTGGGCAGATTACCTGAGGTCAGGAGTTCGAGACCAACCTGGCCAACGTGGTGAAACCCCGTCTGTACTAAAAATACAAAAATTAGCTGCAGGTGGCAGCAGCCTTTAATCTCAGCTACTCAGGAGGCTGAGACACCAGAATCCCTTGAACCTGGGAGGCGGAGGTTGCGGTGAGCCAAGATTGCACCATTGTACTCCAGCCTGGGCAACAAGAGCGAGACTCCTTCTCAGAAAAAAAAAAAAAGGAGGTCTTAACATATGGATAAGATAATCCCTTTCATGGGCTCCAGTAATATTCAGTACTCCATCTACTCCAGATTGGAAGGGGTAGGGTCTAGCTAATGGATCATTATACTCCTAGCTTCTAGATCATTATCTACTTAACAATTATAATGTAATAAAAATGTAAATGCATAATAATTAATTCAATAGATACAGGCTGAGTACAAACTTTCTGCTAGGTACTTTTCTAAGCCCTGAGCAAAACAGACAGAAATTCCTGACTCTATTGAGTTTAATTCACTCTATGTTTTTGCCTCAGTTTTTCTGTTTCTGTTCAAGGCCACAGAAGGAAAACCGACATGAGAGAGTGCAGCACCCTGGGGCTCACAAGGAGGGGAGCTGTTACTTTCCCTGCCTCTAGAGTCAAAGGGAAGAAGTAGCAAGGTGTTTGTCTGGGGAAGACCATTTAGTGGAAGCCCTGGCCCTCATTAAGGGGATTCAGTCTGCATGCAGTGTCCTCTAAGAGCGGGGACCCAGGAAATCAACTCAGACATCTCTTGCTTCTCCCTCCTTCCTTTTCCTGCTGTTTCCCTTAATGGGTTGAAGCCAACTGAAGCCAGAGGGCAGGAAGCCCAGGTAAAGTAGTCTACATAGCTCAGCCTCCTGCAGCCCAATATAGGGGTCAGGATCAGCAGAGTGGATCTGGAAGGACAAATGGAAAATATTCAGCACCAATTTTGATAAGAACTCTTAAGTTGTTTTCTTTTAGTTTCTGAATTATTTTGTAAATGAAGAGTATTTGTAGGGCCAGGTGCGGTGGCTCACGCCTGTAATCCCAGCACTTTGGGAGGCCGAGTCGGGCAGATCAGGAGATCGAGACCATCCTGGTAACACAGTGAAACCCCTCTCTACTAAAAATACAAAAAATTAGCCAGGTGTGGTGTCAGGCGTCTGTAGTGCCAGCTACTAGGGAGGCTGAGGCAGTAGAATGGCGTAAACCCAGGAGGTGGAGCTTGAACTGAGGCGAGATCATGCCACTGCACTCCAGCCTGGGCAATAGAGCAAGACTCCGTCTCAAAAATAAATAAATAAATAAAGTATTTGTTCAAATAATTGGCGTTGTGTGTGTGTGTGCTGCACCTGTGGGAAATTAGGGCTTATTTTTATAAACCCACCCCTTTTAAACAAATATTAATGTTCTGTATATTTGAAGGCTTTTTTTGGTCAAATGAGAGATTTAGGCAATCTAATATGAATGAAGAAATTTGTTCTAGATTGTGCCTTTGAGGCTCATTTCAGAACTTTTAAAGGAAAAAAAAAAAGATTTGAAATTCTGTGATTGTGGAAGAACTATTGGTGATGCCAATCGTTTCCATCATTTCTGAGGCCCTCCTGGAACTGCTGCAGATGCAGTCATGGGTCTGTGCTGTAGCTCATGGCCCGAGGAGTAGGCCAGGGGAAAGTAACATAGAAACAGAAAAAGGTTACTGAGGTCCCAGGGCTACCTTTGAAGAGATCAAGATGTCTTTTTAATGGTGGAGGTTCAATCTGAGTGTGTCTGAAATCCAAAAGCACAAAAATCAAGGACCTCGCATTAACCTCTGCATCATACCACCCATTTTTCTGTCATGGGCTGTATCATTTTCCGTGAAAATCTTATTAGAATTTTGCTTGACAAGGCTACTATAACATAAGATTTATGCTTTCACAGGAAGTACTATTTTCAGTCATTTATAACTCAGGTGGATACACTTGCTGTTAGGTAAACTTATTTTGAGAACGATTTAGTTCCTTCTTTCTGTAACCCCACCTTTACACTTCCCTGTCCCTAGTTTAAATGTTAATTAGTTTTTCTAATAGTTTGATACTTAACACCAATCATGTTCCACATTGTGGGGGTACCAGCTTAGATGACGTCTTTCCTTCTAGGGGTTAAAATACAAACATATTGAGAACAAATATGATATCTTATAAATTTGGTACTGTACATTTTTCTTAGAATTGTCTTGTTCATTTTTGAAATTAGATTCTCACAATATTCATTGTTGTGAGATTCTGACTCCTTTTAAAAATAAGAAAACAATGAATGTAAATGAGTTCCCAGAACAAATCAATGTATACATTGAGGATCTATGGCATGCACCCACTATCTGACAAATAAACAATGCTCATATGAATGGCCATATCTCTGATAGTTCTGACCTACTGTACCTTTGTTTTTTGAAGCTTTTAGGTTAAAATCTACTTGAGGGCCAAATCCTCACTCTCTAACTTTTTGTCTTTTCTCATTTAGAATCATAGTATAGACTATTTTCAAACGCCAGCACAGTGCCAGCAAATTGCGTGTAGAAAGTCAATAAATACATATAGGACAGATTTTTTTGCAGGGCTATTTAAGGATAACCAGGTCTCCAGAACTATTTTGAAATACTCTGTGATTCTAGCCTTAGCACACTACAATATTATGTTTTCAACTGCTAACAATGTACAAAGATGTAGGTCAATGGAGTATATTGAATGTTTTAGGAAACTTGGCCAGGGTTAGAACTCTCCATTTGATTAGATTTCTGGAAAGAGGATTCAAGTATGTTTAGCTCAATTGCACAAAAGAACATGTTTGCATTTCATATTTTAGCTAAAATTTTACCAAGAAATCAGACACTTTGTTCATCTTTAACAAATAACCTTTTTAAAGGTGACCCTGTGCAAGAGAGTTTGGTCTCTTCACAAACAAAATAATCTCCTGATAAAGAATTCAGGGTTGATAATGAATTCCTTTATACATGTAATTAATGAATAAGAAATCTAATATTCTGTAATAAATGAATAAGAATAATGATAGTGGTAGGGGGTGGGTGGAGGATGGAGGAGAGAGTGCTGACACATGAAATACTGACACCAAAAGCAGACACTACCAACTCTAGGCAACCCACAGCTTGATGAATTTATCCAATGGCAGAGATTTCCAAACCAAAGCAGAACCTTCCAGGGTTTGCCAGACTGTGAACCTCCACTGCTGGACTCAAACTTGTCCAGGCTGGAAATTGTCTTGTTATTGCTTCTCTAAGAATCCCCAGAGAACATGGGCTCTCTATAAATTTATCTTTTTCTTTTTCTTTTTCTTTTTTTTTTCCCTAGACAGAGTCTTTCTGTGTTGCACAGGCTGAAGTGCAATGGTGTGATCTCTGCTCACTGCAACTTCTGCCTCCCTGTTTCAAGTAATTCTCCCTGCCTCAGCCTCCAGAGTAGCTGGAATTGCAGGCACCCACCACCACGCCTGGCTAATTTTTGTATTTTTTAGTAGAGATAAGGTTTCACCATGTTGGCCAGGCTGTTCTTGAACTCCAGACCTCAAGTGATCCACCTGCCTCAGCCTCCCAAAGTGCTGGGATTACAGGCGTGAGACACTGTGCCTGGCCCTAAACTCATCTTTTATACAACAAAAAGAAAAGAATAAACACACCCTTTGGTCTTATCTTGGCTATAGCAAAACATACCAAGCAGAATTAAACTTTTGTTTATCTTCATACCCTCTGCAGAGAGTATATGACCTTTGTTACACATAACAGGTTTTCTCAAAACACCTCGAAAATGAATGCATGTATCTAGGCCTGTGTGTGTGTGTGTGTGTGTGTGTGTGTGTGTGTGTGTGTGTTTACAAAGATGAGAAATCCAGTTAAACTAGTTCAGGAAAAAATGCTTATTATAATAATATAATAAGCTCATCAAAATGGAGTACAACTAAGTCATATGCAACCTGAAACTAGGACAGAAACCTCTTCATTAATTGAAGCAGCTACTTGTCCATCTGTTTTGGCTTTTCATATTTGTTTATCTTTCCCCAACTCTCTTTCCTTCCCTTGCTACCTCCTTTCTCTATAATTCTCTCTCTCTCTTCTATATTCACCTATTGCTTAAGTTAAATGCTACGCTTCCTGAATATATATTGTCGTTTCCCACAGTTTGCAAATGTTTTGTCACTGATTTATGCCAAACCTCCTAAAGTATATCCCTAATTCTAATACTGTTGTAGCAGGACACAATTTTTTCCAGGTCCCAGAAACCTTCATTTTTCTATTAAAAAAAAATAGCTTTATTTCCAGACCCTGACTCATATTAATCCTTTATGGTGAAAGGTAATGACTCCAGCCCACCTCTGGGTTTATACTATACACACAAACAGAACAAGGGAGTCTCATACATTCCTAAATTATAATACCAAGGCAAGAACACAGTATCTGGAACTGGAAATTTGTAACCTTCAAGCTCAGTCTTCTACCCTACTTTTTTAGACCACTAAAAGTTGAAATATTTTCACTATCAAGGAATAAAACCATGCCAGGTCAAATAGGCACTGTTCTCCCAGCTCACCTCTGCTTCTCTACCACCTAGTGATTGCAGACTGCAAAGGGGATAAAAATTACTACTCTAGATTAACAATAATAATAATAATAAATCCTTCTTTAAATAGATATATAATCAGCTTTGAAGATTTTTCAAATATCGATCAAGTTCCCAAGTAAAGGGTCCTGCCTCATGGAGTGTTCAGAGAAAAATAATTGTGGATATTTTCAGTCATCTCTCAAAGGCTCTCAATTCTAACCAAGGCTCTTCCATCTCAAGTAACACAGACGCCAATCAAGGTAACATAAAAGAAAAAAAAATGATCATGGCACAGTGTTAATAAAGAAAAGATAATAAAATTGGAGAAGAACTCTCAAGAATCTTGTTTGAGATTAGCCTCATGGAGGAAGGAGACCAATCTGAAGCTACTCTCTCCTCTTTGAATGCACACAGGCTCTCTCATCTCTAAGTATCTTTCTCTCTTTCTATCCTGACTGTTCTGCTTCCCTCTGAGCCTATGCATCAATTGCACTGGGGATGACAGTGCAAAGATGAATAGGACAATGTCCCTGTCCTGTGAGCTTAGAGACCATCAGGGATAGGATGATAGATATACAAGGACAACTCAGCACCAGTTGCAATGTTGCAGAAGATACAGTGTTCTGCAGCGATGCAGAAGATAATGTTCTACAATGTTGCAGAAGATACAGGCGGTAGGGAAGACTAAAATGCAGGAATGGTCATCTCCATATGGGCAGAAGGCAATGAACGTTTTAATGGGTTTCAAGGGAGAGAGAATATTTACAGGAAGCCTTCAAGATAGCCAGGTATGGTACAAGGGAACCTAGAGAAATAGGCAAAATCCAGATCATGGATGTCCCCATGTGACATCCTAGGGAAAGCTAAGGGGACTCCACAATCTCATTAGGATCATGGTCATTCCAACAGCAATGTGAGAAATAATTTGTACCTAGGCTTAAATACAGATCATGAATCCTATGGTCCTGAATAGCACTGTCCAGACAGAGACAAGAAAGATGCAAATCCAGGAAACTGGGAGTCAAGGATAAGATGAATATAAAGAGGGGGAAGTAGGTTGCACTTAGTACTGTTAGTGACTGACCACAAAACCGCAGAATTCTAGGTAAGCTTAGCAGGTTGATCTCCTTAGTCCCAATCTTGTGATGGCCTCTCATGACTGACAAGGGTGAGTGCTGTCCAGGTCTTCCCATTTTCAGACCATGAGCCTCTCCTCTATTTTCTGCATCATGTCCAAGTCTCAACAGTCAGAAAAAATTCTGCCTGTACCTCATTCTCAGTTTATCTGCCATTTCTGCACCTCTCTGATCATTTTTACACTCCCTCAAATACCCCCACCCGGCTCTCTTTTACACTGTCTACCCTATGAATGCCTTAGTCCTGAATTCTAGCTACAAAGTTTCTTTCTTCCTTTTTTTTTTTTTTTTTTTTTTTTTGAGACAGAGTCTTGCTCTGTCCCCCAGGCTTGAGTGCATTGGTGTGATCTCTGATCACTGCAAGCTCCACCTCTCAGGTTCAAGTGATTCTCCTGCCTCAGCCTCCTGAGTAGCTGAGACTACAGGCGAATGCCACCAAGCCCGGCTAATTTTTTTTGTATTTTTAGTAGGGACGGCGTTTCACCATGTTGACCAGGCTGGTCTCGATCTCCTGACCTCGTGAGTTTCTTATCTTCAGTTGCTTGATGCCCATAGTTTGCAATAACCATAAGGGAGCATTGTGTGGGGAACCTGTAACTCCAGAATTTAGGTATGGCTCTCTTGATGTGTGGTTGTGTTATATTGAGGAAACCTCACATGTCTTCAGTTTTCATATCTGTACAGCAAGAGGCTTGCATTAGATAATGTTAGGAGAAATTATAGACATAAAAATGTCAAGAATTACCATCCACCTGGAATAGGGACCTGAAAATGCTTATTGAGGAAACATGTGGAAAAGAGGAATTTTGGAAGCAAAAAGACATGAATTTCAAGAGTGGTTCTATCACATTCTATATTTACTTCTTTGAACTTCTGTTTCTTCATTTGTAAGACGAAGCTAACAGCTATATTGCTGGGGTATTTTTGCGAATATGTGAGGTAAAGCACTGAGTAGCTCCCATGTGGTATGCAGCAGACAGATAACAAACAGCATCTATTGCTATTATTACTTGGAGTTAAATTCAATAAAAAAGAACATGTAAGTAAATTCTGATGAGCGAATTTATGACTCTAACAGTGTGTTTTCTTAGCTCTGAGTCTGTCATTCAGGACTTAATTTTTTTTATTAAGAAATAAACTGCTAAAACCATTTAACAATTACCCTCACTGTCCTAATGGCAGTAATATATAGTCTATAGTCATGCTTAATATACAACAAAAATCTACTTTAGCATTAAAAATCAGAAAAGGTGATAAAAACTCAATCTTAATTCTCCTATGTCCATTGGATAATAATTCATAAGAGTTGTGATCTAGGGTTTCTAAATAGCCACATATTTCTGTAACATTGTAAGCGGCGATGTTATTTTCTGTAAATTTCAAAAATAAAGTGTTTGTTTTGTATTATTTATAATAGCTACCTGATTTGAAGTGAGACCAGAGAAAGAAAAACAAACTTGTGTGCACTATAATTTGTTTTGAACAAGAACGTAGGATTTATTGAATGCTGTAATTTGACTTACTGCATATACAAATATCATTAGGAAACAATGAAAATTCACATACACCACTTTGTCATGTAACATTAAGGTAGCAACATGGCTAGCTGGGGAAATATAGTGCAAATTAAATGGCTTTTTCCAGCACTGCCTAACTCTTCTGGCAAGTTCTGCAGAGTAAGGGGTTCTCATTCTCTGAATCTAAACACACCGGCTCACGGACATAGGTCAAAGTTGTATCACTAGTGATCTGTTGCCAATGATTACTTACATGGGTAAATGGTTTACATTTCAAAGAAATTAGAACAGAAAAGTTTATTTCTACAGTGTCATTCTTGTTCCCAAATTGCATGTTTACTTGAGTGGAAGAGAAATGAGTAGAATCTCAAAGGAGAAGAAAACAGCATTTATTGAAAACCTGTGTAATCATTTAAATTTATATAAACATGTGTGTGTAAAGCCTGAAAGGATTTTGGAATTTTGAAAGGATAATGGGATAATGCTTTTTTGTGTTAAGCCACTGAGACTTTGGGTTTTATTTGTTACCATGGCACAGTCTATCCTATCCTGACTAATACATCTGTGTATTTATGAGTTCACTCGAGGTAATTTATCATTATTTTTATATTACATATGACAAAGCTGAGACTTGAAGAGATTTAATAACTTGTCTGGATAGAAAGCAGTCCAGCTGGGATTTAAATCCAGCTGTCATATGAACCACGATATTTTTTGAATTAAAAGTATTTCTTATATCATATGTAATGTGACTTACGTGTGAATGAAGCTACTATTTTTGCATAAAATATGCCCGGTATGTGAATAAAACTGATTCCTTTTATCCCTTTTTATCCTTATGTTTTTCAATGTATTCCCATTATGGCCATCTTCACTGCATAAGTAAAGCCTCCTTATTCTATAAGGAAAAATCCTTCCTCCCCAATACAGAGTTAAACAAGATACTAAAATTTGTTTCCAATATGTAGCAGAAGACAATCTGTCCTCTAAGAAGAACTCTCTCTCCCCATTCCAATTAAAGCCTGGGGGTAATTGGAAACAAATAAGGGGCAAAAGCCCATATATCTTGGCTACTTGATGATTCTGATGGCAATTCGGTCTTTACTGGACACCTGAACCAAAGTAATTCTTGAGAGCCTATCATTTATAATAGGTGCTATGGACCTAATGTTGTTAGCACCTGTAATTTGGATTGGTTTTCTAGTAATAGCAAGCAAACGACAATCTCTCTCCCCATATTTAACTTTTGTAGGCAAGGCTGTGTGTTTTCAAGAGTTGTGCATGGCTCCATACTACTGGTGTAACTTTTTTTTGGTTTTTTTTTTTTTTTGAGACAGAGTTTCACTCTTCGTTGCCCAGACTAGAGTGCGGTGGCGTGATCTCGGCTCACTGAAACCTCCACCTCCCGGGTTCAAGCGGTTCTCCTGCCTCAGCCTCCCAAGTAGTGGGACTACAGGCGCCTGCCACCACACCCAGCTAATTTGTGTATTTTTAGTAGAGATGGGGTTTCACCATGTTGGCCAGGCTGGTCTTGAACTCCTGACCTCTGGTGATCTGCCTGCCTCAGCCTCCCAAAGTGCTGGGATTACAGGCATGTGCCACTGTGCCCTGCCTACTGGTGTAACTTTAAGGCAAGTCCTTTCAACTGAATAACACGAGTAAATATATTTTATTTCAATCCTGTTACCAAAGCTTAAATGAGTCCAAAGTGTAAGCAGTTTTTATAATGAATAAAAAGTAAAAAAAAAAATTAAGTACAGCAGTTCATCTTACTAAATTTTAATATTGCCTGTATTGTGAGAAAAAAAATTCAGCTTAAGAATGATCTGACTGGCTGGGAGCAGTGGCTCATGTCTGTAATCCTAGCACTTTGGGATGGATCACCTGAGGTCAGGAGTTCGAGACCAGCCTGGCCAACAAGGTGAAACCCCATTTCTACCAAAAATACAAAAAATTAGCTGGGTGTGGTGGTGGGTGCCTATAATCCCAGCTACTCAGGAGGCTGAGGCAGGAGAATCTCTTGAACCCAGGAGGCAGAGGTTGCAGTGAGCCCAGCTTGCACCATTGCACTCCAGCCTAGGCAACAAGAGCGAAACTCTGCCTCAAAAAAAAAAAAAAAAAGAATGACCTGACTATGAAACTCTTATTCAAAACCCACTTTATTTCCTTAAGATACAAGGAACTATTGACTTCGAATTGTGAAAACCTCTCTATTTATACTTTAGAAAGACCAATAAAACCAAGATGATGCTCTTTGAGTAGCTTTTAAGACAAATGCTTGAATATTTTGTAGATTTTCAAATATAGAAAATATCGGGCCAGCATGATGACTCATACCTGTAATCCCAGCCATTTTGGGAGGCAGAGGTGGGAGGATCACTTGAAGTCAGAAGTTAGAGATGAGACTGGGTAACAAAACAAGACCTCAATCTCTGCAAAACATAAAAAAATAAATAAATAAAATATCCAAGCATTGTGATGCATGCCTATCATCCCAACTACTCAGAAGGGTAATGCAGGAGGATTAGTTGAGCCCAGGAGGTCAAGGCTGCCGTGGGCTATGATGGCACCACTGCACTTCAGCCTAGGCGACAGAGCGAGAAGCTCTCAAAAAAGAAAGAGAAAGGGAAAGAAACAGTGGAAGGTAGGAAGGAAGGAGACAGAAAGAAAGAGAAAGAAAATATTAAATATCTTGTGAAAAACAATCAGAAAATGGAACAAAAATATATAAAACATGCAGTAATTATTATCTTGCAAGTAGCCCAAACCTTTTAAAAATGCATCTGTCCACATTAGTTATCTGGCAATGGCCACTGTACCACTAGAAATATTTCAAAAATGCATTTCCCCTACACATTTGTTTCATATGGATTGAATCAGAAAACATGGAAACTACAGATTAACCTAAGTGTTCATTGATGCTTTAGTTTGAGTTTTGCAGAATATTCTCTTAATTTATTAACAATATGCTACATATATATGAAGCCATGAGCTTTTCTATTTAAAACCTGTAGTGAAAAAAAAAAACCTTAGTGAATTTCAAAAGGAGATTATGCCTTTTTCTTATTGTTACTGACATTTATTCAGTGTCAAAATAATGACTATAGCAATATGTGGAAAAAATACTTAAGAACGGTTCAGAAAAGGGTGTCAAGCAGATACATCAGCCCATAATAAAGCCATCAGATAGGCATTCATCTTGGCCATCATCAACTTTTTGTCACTGTTGTTCAAGTTTATTCTAATATAGTTTTGCTGGTATTGTTGTTAATTAAATACTGTATATAAGAACATGGAGCCATTTTAACAGGAACATCTTTAGGCCACAACACAGATGGAGTCATGCAAATAACTAAAATGACCACAAGGTGGCAAAGTATACAAATCTACATCATTCAGATGGGCTCTTCCAGAAGAGAAAGTGTCTTGTAGCAAGCGGGTGGGGCTGGGGAGGGAGGGGGGAGCTTTTTTATGATTGTCTGCTGGCTAGAGAATAGCAAAATTATACTAATTTCTCAAAAATTGGTAATTACCCCAAATTCCTAGTACTTGAAATGATGTATCATGTTACTATTCTAATTTATTATAAATTTTTCTGTTTTAGAGCAAAATTGAATTTCTTAAATCCCAAATATATATTTTAAAATCAAAATTATTGGGTGTCTTTCACAGCGTTTTAAATTCATTTGATATGTATACACGAGTCAATCGGAAAATGGGAGTTATTGCTCTACAAATTCAGAACCATTATGTGATTATATGATTAGTACTAGTTATCACAAAATTACAGCTATTTATATTTCAAAAATTTTTAGTTTGGAGCAGCTAGATTATAAGACTTCTTCTTAATATTGTTGTTTCCAACACTCTGTGATCTTTTATTTTCCCTATAATGTAGTTTGAGAGATCAATTAGTTTTCTTTTTTTCTTTTTTGAGATGGAGTCTTGCTCTGTCACCCAGGCTGGAGTGAAGTGGCATGATTTCAGCTCACTGCAACCTCTGCCTCCCGGGTTCATGCCATTCTCCTGCCTCAGCCTCCCAAGTAGCTGGGACTACAGGCGTGCACCACCATGCCCAGCTAATTTTTTTTTTTGTATTTTTAGTAGAGACAGGGTTTCACCATGTTGGTCAGGCTGGTCTAGAACTCCTGACCTCAAATGATCCACCCGCTTTGGCCTCCCAAAGTGCTGGGATTACAGGTGTGAGCCACTGTGCCTGGCCAGTTTTCAATCTAATATTTAATAATCTACATCTGAAGGCCTGACCTCTTGAGTCCTAGATAAGAAAATCTAAAATATCCATTTGGATGTGCCATACATAATTTATAATTAATATATTCAAAACTGAGCTCATTGTTTTTCTCCCAAAAGACCTCCTCCTTTCATCCGATTTCCCTCCTGTTAACCCAAGGCTGAAACCTGGGACTGCTTAGTATCTATTCTCTTGTTTCTCTGCACCCTTCATCATCTGGATCCTACCCACTTCTTTGGTCTCTACTTCTCCATTCCCTTTCCCCAAACTTAACCATATTCTCCCACCCTTCTTTGGCTTGGCCTATGCTACTTTTTGTTATCCGGCTACTACTCCTGGGGTTGTAAATTGACATACTTTCTGGAAGCTTTTGGCATAATGTATTAAATACCTTAGAAAATTCATATTCCTGTATTTGTCAACTCCATTTCTAAAAATGAAGTCGTGAAAAAGTTGATCTAACATTTTGTAAATATTATTTATAATAGAAAAAAACAGAAAACTTAAAACTCTAAGAATGTTTTGCAGTGGCCAGGCATGGTGGCTCATGCCTGTAATCCTAGCACTTTGGGAGGCCAAGGCGGGCCGATCACTTGAGATTGGGAGCTTGAGACTAGCCTCACCAACATGGTGAAACCCTGTCTCTACTAAAAATACAAAAAATTACCCAGGTGTGGCGGCGCATGCCTGTAATCCCAGCTACTTGGGAGGCCGAGGCAGGAGAATCACTTGGACCCAGGAGGCGGAGAGTGTAGTGAGCCGAGATTCCACCACAGCACTCCAGCCTGAGCAACAGAGCCAGGTGACACTGTCTCAAAAAAAGAGAGAGAGAGAGAGAAGTTTTCGCAGCTATGTAAATGGCATTTTCAAATAAATACTTTCATGGAAAATGTTTGTGATGTAATATTAAGTAAAAAGCAATGTTAGAATAAAACTGTTAAATGTGATCTGCTTTATCCCCCCAACAAAGAAAGCTCAGTCAACCTTCACACCTAGACCTAACCCAATAGCATAATTGCACTTGGCACATGGTATTATAATTATCTTCATTTTTATTTAATGTTTCTCACACCATTCTTCCTAAACAGATAGTCTATGGATCACTTTATCAGAGCAATATGTTGTTGTTTTTATATATTCAAATTCTGAACTTACAGAATTCAGCCAGACCCATAAAATTGTCAGGAACTTTGCTATGCCTTTTTCTAGCTTTATTAGGTGATCTTGGTGATTTCATTTATACCCACTGATGTAGCATAGCTATTTCACAGAATGTTAGGGTTAAATTAGTTACCTGTGTGAAGCAGCTAGCACACTGAGGAGCACATTATATAATTAATCTTGCTCCACTTTCACCCTGACTTCTCTACGTCTCACTCCACCATCCCACCCTTCCTCTCACTCCCCCACACTTCACTACACTATTTACTGCCCCCCTGTTATCTCCATTGTGACTGACTGTCCTTTATTCCCGGAGTGATGGGTCTAAGAGCACTTGTGGGGCCAAAGGAAAACGTTATACAACAAAAGCTGGGTAGAAACTAGAGCACAAGATACACTATGTCTCAGTAAGTGAATGTAACTGGAATGAGGAGAAGGTATTCTGCTAGTGGCCAAGGACGCTGGGGTAAAGCAGAAGTCCCACCTTGACTGCCTCTGTCTCAAGACAACAGGAGAAGTAGCCACGCCGGGAACACTGACAAAATGCAGCCTCCTAGTCTCCATGAGGGAGACTACACAGAGTCCCAGAGACTCCAGGAGGTCTCCTTTAGGGGGCCTCCACAGAGACAGACCCCAGGAGGCTCCTAAAAAGCAAGTCTGACTTTTGAGGAGGTAACGTGAGAAACCTTCTGAGATTTCATAAACGGATTGAAAGGAGCCTGAATCCAAACCAGCTCGTTGGCATTGTCACTTTCTCACTGTACGTTATTTATTCTCTCTACTCAGTTTTCCCATCTATAAAATGGACATGAAAATGATAGAGCTGTTATGAATATTGCAACACTTAATGCATGTAGGGTGCTGACAGTGGCTGGCACATAGTAAGAGTTAAATAAAAGCATGCACACATTATTGATGGGTGGATGTCAGGACTGGGGGTCCCGTGATTTTGCCTGTGGCTATTAAACCATGGACACTCCATGTTGGTTATTGTTTCGATCATATCCTTTGGTTAATTCCCCATGCTCATGTAGTCTCAGGAAAATGATGAAGCAAATTATTAAACCAAGTTAAAATCACTCACCTTTGGTCTAAATAGGACACTCCCTAGAGAACTGGTCCATAATTCAATAGAGCAAATCTGTTACATTTCAGTAACAGAATTATTAAAGCACAATGATCTCCTCAGAGAAAAGGTCTTGAAAAGATTAATCTTCAACTGAATGTTCTAAACAAAAGCAAGATTTAATGTTCCAGCTTTTGTTCTTGAAATAGAAACTATGATATACTTTTTCCAAATGAATATTAATGGATATAATTAAAAGCACATTATGATCGTCTACTGATTTACTCTGAGAGTGGCTGAGAATTCTTTAGACCAAAACTTAACTTACATATGTAGGCATTGAAAGACTTCAAGTTGCTTGTGTGAATTATGTTATAATATAAAAGGCAATCAATTTTAGTTTAATTAGCCAACACTGTGAAATTACTGATATTCTGATATATCTGTGATATTGTAAGTCAAGATTTAAGAACTTAATGTTCTCTTATCCCCTCTTAATCTCATCAAAATGGGAACTTCTGCCAGTATAGGAAATAATATTAACCTATAGAAATTTGTGTTGAAATGAGCAATTCTCCAAATGAATTCAGGTGAGTTTTAATTACTTAACTATGGACTTTCTCATTTAATTTTAAAATATATGCATTATATTTTATAATTAAAACTAAACTTATTTGTGATTATTTTATTCAAAAGGTTTCAACTCTAATTGATTTTACCTGTGATGAAAGTTTTTGCGGCCAGACACAGTGGCCCATACCTGTAATCATAACACTTTGGGAGGCCAAGGCAGGCAGACTGCCTGAGCTCAGGAGTTCGAGATCAGCCTGGCCAACTTGGCAAAACCCCAACTGTACAAAATATACAAAAATTAGTCGGGTGTAATGGCATGAACCTGTAGTTTCAGCTACTTGGGAGACTGAAGCAGGAAGATCTCTTAAACCCAGGAGGTCAAGGCTGCAGTAAGCCAGGATCACGCCACGGCATTCCAGCCTGGGTGACAGATTGAGATCTTGTCTCAAAAAAGAAAAAATATTTGCTAAAAAGTATCCCTAAGGAAAAAAAAAAAAGAAAAAAAAGAGATTGCTTTCAAATTTGTAGGACACCGTTCTCATTTCACTATTATAATTCACTTAGTAGATTGTTAGCTTTGTTAAAATTATTATATATACTGAAATATAACCAGATTTTTAAAAATTATTTTCTACTTACCCTAATTCCACCAATTTAGTAAAACTTCACTAGAAAAGTTCATTTTTCCAACTCAGTTTATTATCCATTTTCTGAGCTGTAGTGGTTTGATTTGTGTTTCTCAAAAAAGATGTATCCACAGCCTAACCACTTGAATCTGTGAATGTGACCTTATTTAGCAAAATGATCTTTGCAGATGTAATTTAGTTAAAGGTCACAAGATAAGGCCATTCTGGCAGGGTGGGCCCTGTGTTTAACGGCACATGTCCTTATGAGAGACAAACAGAAGAGAGACAGATAAGAAGGCCATGTAAAGACTGAAACAGAGATTCTAGTTATTCTGCCGTAAGCCAAGGAGCTCTCGGAGCCACCAGAAGACGGAGGAAGGAAGAAAGGAATAATTCTATGCTGGAGCTGTCAGAGAAAGCACAGCCCTGCTCACATTTTTATTTTGGACTTCTGGCCTGAAGCAACTGTGAGAGAATATGCTTTTTTTTTTTTTTTTTTTTTTTTTTTTTTTGAGACAGAGTTTCACTCTTGTTGGCCAGGCTGGAGTGCAATGGCGTGATCTCGGCTCACCGCAACCTCCACCTCCAGGTTCAAGAGATTCTCCTGCCTCAGCCTCCCAAGTAGCTGAGATTACAGGCATGCATCACCACACCTGGCTAATTTTGTATTTTTAGTAGAGACAGGGTTTCTCCATGTTGGTCAGGCTGGTCTCGAACTCCCAACCTCAGGTGATTCGCCCATCTCAGCCTCCCAAAGTGCTGTGATTACAGGCGTGAGTCACCACCCCCGACCCTGCACCTCTGTTGTTTTAAACCAAGGGTGTGGTAATTCATTAAGGCAACCTAGGGAATTAATACAAAAGCAATTTCTAAAAATTAAATAGAAGAATTAGTCTGGCTATATATTTAAAGATTGTCTTTTTACTTAAAAGTCTGTTAATATCAGATATCCTTCGAAAAAATGATTTCAATGAAATGTTAACTGAATTGATTACAAATAAATTCAATATTTATTCCATATTCAAATTGCTTATAGCTTATTACAAGATAAAATGTGTAGCAATATTTGAAACTAGTTTTCTAAGAGTGATTCCCTACTCTGTTCAACTCTCCATTTTTCAATGATGTTTCATTTCTAAAAACAGTTTTAGGTGAGACAAAGTTACCACTTTCGGTATCACTTTAACCTCACCATTGATTGGCCTAGCTGATCCTAGCTGTTAGGGTAGTAGAACGATTCTCCCTTCATAGGAAGATGAGAGGGTCCATGAAGAGATTATTGACTCCTTTTCTGACCCCAGTCCTCTTTTTTCCCTACCGTACCATTGGACATAGTTTGCCATGAGACAAGGGAGGGATGAAGGGAAACAGGGAGGGAGGCAGAGAGAGAGGGAGAGAGAAAGAGAGAGAGAGAGAGAAATGCTGAGTTCCTTTGTCTGAGAAAAGTAATGGGAATTGAGATGTGGACAGCTAGATGAAAACAGAAATAAGAAGTTTGTGGAAGCAAGTTTGACCTAATGAGGAGTTCCCATAATTGAACAAGCTAAAGGCCTTTCAAAGAGAACAGGATGTCTAATATTTCATATCATTTTGTGTGCTGTCACATAAGCCCATATCATTATCCTTGAACAAATAATAACAGCTAACACTTATTAGATGTTTATTGTATATAGGCAGTTTATATGTATAATTTCACTTTATCCTCTTAATAGTTCTATGAGATACAAACTGTTATGAATCCCAGTCTTCAGGAAAGGTTTACAAAATGCACATGCCTCATGGAAGTGGTAAGTCAGGAAATGAAGGGAAATATATTCCCTTTGGGTAAATATAGATTAGAGAAAACACAAGGGAGATAATTTTATTTTTGCAAGCAGGAAGATATGTCACAGTGGGAGAAATATCAAGACTACCCCAAGAATCCCCAAGAAATCCTAGATGAAACATTGTGTTTCCTATCTTAAAAAGGATACGTGCTTAATTTTTGCAGGATAGAGTGGCTCAAGAAGACTGAAAGACTTGAATAGATTCAGGCAACTGATATCTGAAGGCTCTAAAGCAACATCAATGGACTAGTTCATAGGATATGACATATATAATGAATGAATTATTTTTCTTTTCTGTATTCTATGACTCTTATTAGTATTTTGTCCAGTGCAGATTGATACATTTATACATCCCATTTTTCCCCAATTCTGAGAATAATTTTTCTTTTTTTACAGTACAGAGATTTGAATCAATTAGAATTTTTAAATCTTGAACAAATTTTGATAAGGTTTTTCCAATTAAATGTTGTTGTAAAATTTTATTATAAGGGGCCGGGTGTGGTGGCTCATGCCAGTAATCTCACCATTTTGGGAGGCCGAGGCGGGTGGAACATTTGAGGTCAGGAGTTTGAGACTAGCTTGGTCAATATGGTGAGACTCCGTCTCTACTAAAAATACAAAAATTAGCCTGGCGTGGTGATGTGTACCTGTGATCCCAGCTACTCGGGAGGCTGAGGTAGGAGAATCGCTTGAACATGGGAGGTAGAGGTTGCAGTGAGCCGAGATTGCACCACTGCACTCCAGTCTGGGCAACAGAGCGAGAGTCTGTTTAAAAATAAATAAATAAATAAATAAATAAATAAATAAAAATTTTACAAGGAACACAGTCTCCACAGAGTGAGTTTTGTCTCTAAAAACACATCGCATATTTGCAGTAATACATTACTTTACATTAAGCTCTAATTCTAGATACGTAAGGGAACCTCCAGAGAAGTGAGTTGATTCTCATGTTTAACCAGACACCAGTGTTTATATAATATGTGGGTGAAAAAAAACTATTAGTAGGTATTAGCTGAGTTTATTATTCATTCATATACTATATGGGTAATAAAAAGACTATTAATGGGTATTAGTTGAGCAGATTAAATTGAAGGAGTGAGAGCTGTTTGTTAGTGGCCGGGTTGAGATAGTAGGAAATAGTGAACACTCACTGAGTTGCACTGGCCTTCCATTCCCTCTCCTTTGTCTTCATTCCTTTTTATCTTGCAAGGTTTGAGAGTACAGCGCTATGGTGCTCCAAAGGGACATCCAACCGCCTGAGAAACCTGTAGGGGAAACATAATCCCCATCGGTTCTTAGCTGGACTGGACTCCTATCACAAAAGGCAGATTAATAAGAGAAACACAGAAGTATATTAACATGTATATTTCATATATACATAGGAGACATCCAGAGAATGAGTAGTTTTCAAAGAGGTGGCTTTGAATTCCAGCTTATATAGCAAATTCAACAAGGAACAGTAAACTCGTAGATAAATGACAAGGCAAAGGAAAAAGACTTTGAGTTTCTTGGGGCAACAACTTGTGGGAAGGCAAGTAATTGGCAGATAAAAGTTAGTGAAGCTTGTTAATGCAGATGTATCTTGTGCTATCTCCAGGACCATAAAGGTCCAAAGTTATCTTCAGTGGTTAATCTTGTTCTCTCTGGGAGAAGAGGCGGCAGGATACCTTTTGTGTTTGTAAATGTGTGTCATGCTTTTAGACAAATAGAGGAGAGCAGAGAGCTTTCTTGCATCTGCTGCTTTTTGTCTTCAACTCACCTATTCTTCATATTTTAGGGTGGCATATTCTGGCTCCCCACAAACCCCAGGCAGGGACCTTTCTGGGCCTCAGTGTTTCACACCTGCTACAGCAGCTGTTAGGCCCTTCCTACGCAACTAGAAGGACTTACTCTCCAAGCCTAAATTTGAAGGAGAAGAAATGATGAGTATAAACACCAGCTTTGAGGCAGATTCAGAATGAGCTCTTGTGATCCTTCGCCAGACCTTTGTCTCTTACAAATAAACACAGTCTTACGTAAAATTCCCTGCACACTTTTGAGAAATGTTAAGAAGAGTTGAAGAAAGAAAACCATGTCAAGGATCCTGTGTTCTAATTAATGTTGCCATTGGATCTCTTAAAATAGGAAGGCAGGCCCTGTGCTTTGGTGTAGCATGACTCAAATTGGTTGTGGTGAAAAATCACTTTTAAAAAAGTTTCTAATTCATTGCATAGTTATACTTTTGGAAAACATACTAAAATGAATTGCTATAAGAATAAAATAAAAAGGACAATAAAATACAATTCCAATTTTTTTATTATTATATTCAACAGCATACAATTACTCTACTAAATTGTTTTAAATATTCCTAAGCATTTACTTTCAATTTTTGTACTTATTTTGTAGTGCCCAATGACCAGCCCTACTCCATAGATTTCACTTTTTATAACACTAGTTTAGTGTCTTGATTAGAAAGTTAATTTTATGAATACGTGAAAGCTACTGATTGTTTTAATTAAGAAACTTTTTTTTCCTCAGCAGTGAATGATTCCTGCAGAAACCTCTCTTTATGACCTTCTCTATTTAACGTTAGAGGTTAAAAATCTGGGGGTTGGGAGGAGAATTGTGTGAATAAATTCAGCTGATATAACACACATTTTAAAGTATCAATGGGGCGGCCGGGTGCGGTGGCTCACGCCTGTAATCCCAGCACTTTGGGAGGCCAAGGCGGGCGGATCACGAGGTCAGGAGATCGAGACCATCCTGGCTAACATGGTGAAACCCCGTCTCTACTAAAAAAATACAAAAAAATAGCCTGGCGAGGTGGCGGGAGCCTGTAGTCCGAGCTACTCGGGAGGCTCAGGTGGGAGAATGACGTGAACCCGGGAGGCGGAGCTTGCAGTGAGCAGAGATTGCGCCACTGCACTCGAGCCTGGGCGACATAGAGAGACTCAGTCTCAAAAAAAAAAAAAGTATCAATGGGGCTTTAAAATTGTTTTGATTCCCAGAGTATTTCCTTGGCCCATCTCAGAAGTAGTAATATCACCTCATTGTCAACTAATCCTTATTTCTCCCTATACTTGGGGTAATATAAGTTAAGCCAGTAGTAATAACAATCAGGTTCAAATTTTTTCCAGAAGTGTGCAACATCATGTATGCTGAAACAAAGCAAAACAAAATAGAGAACTTAGAACATGTGTAGTGATTAACACTTTGGACTCTGGAGGCAGAGTACCTGGGTTCAAATTCTGACCCCATTAGCAATTAGCTATGTGACCTTGGGCAATTTACTTAATATCTTTGTACCAGAGTTCACTTATCTTTTGTGGAAATATATAGAACGTCTACCAAACTCTCATAGAATTATGACAAAGGTTAAATGAAATGCTTGAGTTTTTGGCACCTTAGCTACCTAAGTGTTACATATAATTATTGTTTGGACATTTATATTAGGCTCTAGACTAAAGCATACTTTCAAGATTGGTTTGATGACTAGGACTCGAGAAATCTAAACTTTGGTTTCTGGTTACAGTCAAAATTGGGTAAACACATTCCACCCTGTCTCTTCCCCCAAATGCAACTAAAAGCCCTCGACATACTGCACAGGGCAGCTATCCGAGGATACTGAAGATTAAATGGTAGCAGGCCTACTGGATAAAGAAACCAGAACTTGAATCATCACCAAATCAGCAATGAATTGCCCATTCTAATTCTCTAACATCTTCTGGGAATGAACTCAACGACAGCCTAAAATGTGAGAGTGCCCATTGAATGTCAGCAGGAAAACCTCCAAGAGAAACTCTATTTCTTGACTAAGGAGCAGAAAGGAGGCCCACTGGAGTGAGAGAGACTGGGGAAATCTCGTGTTGTCATTTTTTCTCCCTTTACTGTTGTTTCTCACCCGAGCCACCGAGGCAATCCTGAAACAGCTGTGACAGCAGTGGCAGTGACTGTCAGGCAGTCACTAATAACTCTAAATGAGGGAACCCTTTTCTTTTGCCAGATGAACTGTGGTCCCAAAAGTATGAAAGGTGCCCCATTGTTACTTTTTCTCTATGTATCCTGCTGGTTGGTCCTGGAGAAATTCAGAGTCATAGTAATTATGAAGAGGAGTAGAAAATCTAAATCCCTGGCTTTCTAGCCAGAAGATCACAAAAGGGATTTCTGAAAAACAGAATGTATCAGGAAGATCATAGAGAGGAGGGAGCTCAAGAAAGTAACTCCGGAAGTTGGGTATAAACTTCTGGGCTCGGTCTCAGTTTATAATACCTAGATCTGACTCTAAGCAGCTTATCAAAGCTTTTGAGAACTAGATTATGGGGTAAACTACCTGGGTCCTAAACTGATACTGGGTGGTGCACACAAAAGACAGATCCAAATAGCACTGCAAAGATTTTAAAAACTGAACCCTTTTTCAGAATTACAGCCCACAGAAGGCAAGTAGAAATTTGCAGGCTGAATTTAACAGGATCAGTTAAAGACCACTAAAATTAAGAAACAAATAAAGCAATCAATATTCTCCGTAAGATTTAAACGAAACAGAAATATAATACTTGAAAATTCAGGATAAAAATCCAAAAGTTACTCAACATACAGAGAAATAAGGAAATAATAACATCACACAAGAAAAATGACAAATTACAGATGTCAATCCTGAGTGGCACAGATATGGGAATTAACGGATAATGACTTTAAAGCAGCAATTTTAAGTGCACTCTGAGATAATGCCAAATACTCTTGAAACAAAATGGAAAGATAGAATTTCAGCAGAATGATAGAAAACATAAAAATGAACCAAAAGTAAACTTTAGAACTGAAAAATGACAATAAATAAAAACTCACCTGACGGATTCAAGAACAGAATGGGGGTTGCCGGGAGCGATGGCTCACACTATAATCCCAGCACTTTGGGAGGCCGAGGTGAGTGAATCATGAGGTCAGGAGATCGAGACCATCCTGGCCAACATGGTGAAACTCCATCTCTACTAAAAATGCAAAAAATAGCTGAGCATGGTGGCATGCACCTGTAGTCCCAGCTACTGGGGAGGCTGAGGCAGGAGAATCACTTGAACCGGGGAGGCAGAGGTTGCAGTGAGCCAAAATCATACCATTGGACTCCAGCCTGGGCAACAGAGTGAGACTCTATCTCAAAACAAACAAACAACAAACAAACAAAACAAAAAACAAAAAACAGAATGGGACAGAGGAATTAGTCAGGAAACTTGAATATAGGCCAATAGCAAAAAAAGATTTAAAAACAACAACAACAAAGCCTGAGGAATATGTGGGACAATAGCGAAAGGTTGAAGTTTGTGTTATTAGTATCCCAGAAGGATAATAGAAACACTATGTTTCAGAGAATTATAGTAATTATAGCAGACAAATCCCTCCCTTAAACTCTTAAAATGTGTATGATGATTGAAAGCAATTATTATAATAATATAATGTGACTTTCAATATATGTACATATAATGCCTATTAAAACCACCACATAAAGAGAAGAGTAAAGGGAACTAATAGCTACTAGCGTTTCTATATTCCACCTGAATGGTAAGATATTCATGTTTTACATGGACCTTGAAAAATTAAGTATGTATTTGATAATCCTTAGATCAACCACTAGCCAAAAATACAATAAAAAAAGTAAAATTCTCAATAGACAAACTAAAATAGAATACTAAAAAATATTCTAATAATTCAATAGAAGGCAGACAGGGGAAATAAGGGAATAAAAAATAGAGAGAAATAAAATTTAAAAAATGATATAATGGTAAACCAACATCTAAAAGTATTAATAATGATACTAAATTTAAATGATCTGAACATAAGATTTAAAAAATATACCTTTATAGCAGATAGAAGAAAAAACCCAAGACCTACCTATTTGCAAGAAATTCATTTTATATAATTATTTTTGTGGGTTTAAAATAAAAGAATGGAAAAAACATTCCATGCAAACACTAACCACAAGAATATAGAAAAACTGAGCAACACCATCAATCAACTAGATTTAGGTAACACTTGTGGAGTGCTCCACCCAACAAAAGTAAATATACTTTTCAAGTACCCATGAAACATTCTCAAGGTCAGTCATATTCTTGGTCATAAATAAATACTAACAAATTCAAGAGAATTAAAATCATACAAAGTACATTGCCTAATCATAATGGAGTTACAATAGAAGTCAATAATAGAAAGATAACAGAAAGGCCTTCAAATACTTGAAAAGTAAAGAATATACTTCTAAAAATTCATGGGTCAGAAAGAAAGACTAAAGAACAGTTAAAAAATGTTTTGAACATAAAAAAATTAAAATGCAACATACCAAAATTTGAGACACACAGCTAAAGCAGTGCTTAGAGGGAAATGTATAGCATTAAAATGCTATATTAAAAATAAAAGTCTCAAACCAAAAACGTAAGACCTGGCATAAGAACTTAGAAAAAAGAATAACAAATAATCTTGAAACAAGCAAAAGAAAGGGAATAATAAAGCTTGGCCAAGAAAATTTAAAACAAGCTGGGCGAGGTGGCTCACGCCTGTAATCCTAACACTTTGGGAAGCTGAGGTGGGCGGATCACCTGAGGTCAGAAGTTGGAGACCAGCCTAGCCAACACAGTGAAACCCCATCTCTACTAAAAACACAAAAATGAGCCAGGCGTGGTGGTATGCACCTGTAATCCCAGCTATTCAGTAGGCTGAGGCAGGAGAATGGCTTGAAGCTGGAGGCAGAGGTTACAGCAAGCCGAGATCGGCCACTGTACTCCAGACTGGTGACAGAGTGAGACTCCATCTCAAAAAAAAAAAAAAAAAAAAGAAAAGAAAAAGAAAAAGAAAAAAAGCAGTAGAAAAAAAATCAATTAAATTAAACGCTGGTTCTTTGAAAAGATCAATGCAATTGATAAACCTCTAAACTAACAAAAAAAATGGAGAGAAGACACATTGGCAAAATCAGGAGTGAAAAACAGAAAATCATTGCAGACTCCTCATATTAAAAGCATAACAAGGAAAAAAATACAGACAAATCTGTATGCATTAAATTCATGCACACAATAACTTAGATGAAATTAGCCAAGAAATAAATAAAACTGAAAAGAAAGAAGTAAAGTTGACTATACATGCACATGACTGTCTGTGTAGAATATTCTAAGAAATATACAAAAAGCTCCAAGATCTTATAAGTGCAAAATAGTTGAACAGGCACCTCACAAAAGGAGGTATACTGATGAAAAATAAACACATGAAAGATATTGAGTGTCATTAGCCATCATGGAAATGCAAGTGAAAGTCACCATGACATACCACCACACACAGATTAGAAGAGTTAAAATAATAATTTTTAAAGTGGCAATACCAAATGCTAGTGAGAATGCAGAAAAACTGGGACTTTCATAAATTGCTGATAGGAACTCCAAATGATGTTGACACTCTGAAAAACAGCTTGTTAGTTTCACATAAAGTTAACATGCACTTACCATATAATAATCCAGCAATCCCACTGATGAGCATTTAACCTAGAGAAATTATACTTATTGCCACACAAAAATCTGTGTACAAATATATATAGCAGCTCTATTAATAATCAATCCAAACTGGAAATAACCTAAATGTCTTCTAATTGGTTAATGGATAAACAAACTGGATACATCCATACAAGGGAATACTTCTCAGCAATAAAATAAATATACTATTGATCCACAAACAACACAGGTAGATCTGAAAGGCATTATGCTGACAGAAAGAAGCAAACCTCCAAAGGTTACATACTATGTGATTCCATTTATATGGGATTCTGAAAAAAGCAACATAGTAGGGATGTAGGGCAGTTCAATGTTTTTCAGAAGTAAATGTGGGAAAATATTTGATAATTAAGGAGTAGTACAAAGATTTTTGGAGTGATAGGACTGTTCTGTGTCCTGAATATGGTGGTAGTTATACTAATCTAAATGTGTTAAAACTCATAGAAGTGTATACTGAAAGAGGTCAATTTTACTGAAATTTTAAAATAATGATAAATAAATATGAATACTGTATATGTTCATAATTTAATGTTCAACAATGAAAGCAAACTGTGGCCATTTCATTTATCAATTTCCCTTGTTCAGAGATCTAAGAAATTATTTTTTATTGCAGTACTCATAAGATTAATGAGATAATGTTTGTGAAATGTTTTGAACTCCTTAAAAGGAAGTTGCTATGCAAATATAAAGTGTTGTTATTACCCAGGCACTATTTTTTTCTTTTGCTTAAATGCTGAAGCTTATGATCATCTTCATTTTTCACATTATTTTTAATGAATTGTAACAATAAAATGTGGTAGCCAAGATATAAAATGAAACTCATGTGTTAATGAGGATAAAACTTTGTAATTAGAATTTGAAATATCAGTCTGTCTAAAGATAATTGGCTCTAATGATTATTTCTCTGTGTACACAAGCTACGATTCTATGAAGTCCAAATGTGGCTTATTCTTCACAGTTTTGCCTAAAGAACATGCTTCAAGTTCGTATCTCCTCTGAGATGTCCTTAGCTTATCTGGGTTTCTGAATGAGGGAATCAAGTATAAAGAAGAAATGAAAGTCTGATAATAAAACAGTGCACTGCCTTCAAAAGAAAGTAAAAAAAAAATACAGTCAGTTTAATTTGGACTCTGCTTCTATTACTATTTTTAAATCATTTAATCTACTTAGGAACACAAGCACAACTTAAAGATATTATTTAAATTCATGGACCCCAAACCAAAATTGTATAGCCTTTTTGTTAATAACAAAATTTAAAAAAATCCACAATTCCTCTTGTCATAGATCTGCGGTACTTATTTTGGGACCAAGAATGAACGGTTCTTTCTGATATTTGAGGCCTTTGATAATCTATCTCTGTTTAACCTGGACAATGTTATTTCCTGAGTCTACTTCTATAGGAACCCAGTATTTCATTAGGACCTTTTCCCCCATGCATGTTAGGTTCATTCTTCCTTCTATATTTTTATTCAACTGATGCTCCTGCTTCTCTGCCTCAATCCAGAGAAGCAAAAACTACTGCAAAAAATCGAGTTTGTTAGAGATTTTATATGAGACCTACATATACGGGTCACACTCAGGTATTTGTCTCTAGCAATCCCTGTTTCTGGGAAGGTAGTGGAATCTAGCAGTCAACCAATACTAGATATTATCTACCTTCAAGTGTGGAGACAAAATTATGAGGAGAAAATAAAAATAATCCATTTGAAGTTCCTTGATAATTGAGATCACTCAGTGTTCAAAACTGAAATAAACCTCAACCTCAGTTCTCTGAGCAAGCCAAGCTCAATATCCCAAAAAGAAAAGACTCAGGCCAAGCATGGTGGCTCACGCCTGTAATCCCAGCACTTTGGGAGGCCAAGGTGGGTGGGTGGCTTGAGCTCAGGAGTTTGAGACCAGCCTGGGCAACACAACAAAACCTGTCTCTACAAAAAATAAAAAAATTAGCTAGGTGAGGTGGTGTGTGCTTGTGGTCCCAGCTACTCAGGGGCCTGAGGTGGGAGAAAAAAAATTGGGGTGTGGTGGGGACAGAGTCTTGCCCTGTCACACAGGTGTGGAGTTCAGTGGTGTGATCATAACCCACTGCAACCTCAAACTCCTGTGACTGAGGGATCCTCCCTCTCAGATTCCTGAATGGCTGGGGTCTACAGGTGCACACCCCAGAACCTGGCAATTTTTATTTTTTTATTATTTTTTGTAGAGACAGGGTTTTGCTTTGTTGCCCAGGCTTGTCTCAAACTCCTGCGCTCAAAGTGATTCTTCTGCCTCAGCTTCTCAAAGTGCTGGGATTACAGATGTGAGCCACCATCCCCACCCAATACATTCTTTAAAACCACGTAAGATGTGAAGATTCTTCCATTCCCAGAAAAAAAATCTTAATTCAATATGTTACTATTTCACTTAAGGTACAGAAATGAATTTACAAAAAATGTTCACCCTTTGCAGCAGGGAGTAGCTCCATATTCACTTAAAGTAGTCCATATTCACTTAAAGAAACTGTCTATTCTCAGAAGTTCCTAAACACAATGTAAGATACAAAAGAGGTCCACATAAGGATATGACATTTCCTTTTTCAAAACAGCATTTATCTTAGAGAATTAGAAAACATAAAGAAAATCGAAAATATTATCCAGCAATCCCACTTTTGGGTATATATCCAGAGGAATTGAAAGTGGTGTTGAAGAGATATCTGCACTCCCATGTTCATTTCAGCATTATTCACAATAACCAAGATATGAAAGCAACATTAGTATTCATCAACAGGTTAATGGACAAATAAAACTCAGTATATATACATGATGAGATACTACACAGCCTGAGAAAAGAAGAAAATTCTGTCATTTATGACAAAATGGATGGACCTGGAGGATATTATAAAAGTGAAATAAGTCAGGCACACGAAGGCAAATATTGTATGATCTTACTTATATGTGAAATCTAAAAAACTCAAAGTCATAGAAACTGAGTAGAAAGGTGGTTACCAGAGGCTGAGGTAGCAAGTAGAGGGATGGGGAAAGTGGAGATGTTGATGAAAGTTTACAAAGTTTCAGTCAGACTACAGGAATATGTTTTAGTGATCTGTTGCATTGCATGGTGACCACAGTTAATTATAATTTGTTGTATATTTCAAAATTGCTAAAAGAATACATTTTTAACATTCTTACCACTAAAAAGAAAGATACGTTGGTGAGTTGATGAATGTGTTAATTACCTTGATTTAATCTTTCTACCATGTACACATAGATAAAAACATCACATTGTTTTCCATAAATATACACAATTATTGCCAATTAAAAATAGATACATTTAATTAAAAGAGTTGATAAAATGTATGCATTATTGATACACTGTTATTTCATTGCAGTTATTGTCATTGCAGTTCTACTCCTGAGTAGAATAAGGCTCAGTGAGTTTAAAGTAGTTTGTCTAATTTCATACAAGTCTCGAAGTTAGGACTTGGACCCATCCAAATTAAACCATGGCTTTCGCAAAAATCTATGAATTAAAACATATGTTAGAAGATACCTTGTTCAGATTCTTGTCTTGATATCAAAATGAGAAATGAATTCAATGAGGTGAAAATTATATCAAAGCCCTGACATTCATATCTATGGTCCAGAAATCCATGGGATACCTGGAGTTTTTATGGACATAGTTCCACATTTTCAGGTATCTTTACAGCACCACCCCACTCCTGGTACCAATTTACTGTATTAGTCTGTTATCACACTGCTAACAAAGACATACCCGAGACTGGGTAACTTATAAAGTAAAGAGGTTTAATTGACTCACAGTTCCACATGGTTGGGGAGGCCTCACAATTATGGCAGAAGGTGAAGGAGGATCAAAGTCATGTTTTACATGGTGGTAGGCAAGAAAGCATGTGCAGGGGAACTCCCCTTTATAAAACCATCAGATCTCATGAGACTTATTTACTATCATGAGAACAACACGAAAAAGTCCTACCTCCATAATTTGATTACCTCCCACCAGGTCTCTCCTATGACATGTGAGAATTATGGGAACTACAACTTAGTTTAAAAGAGAAGCGGAGCATGAAAGTTCAGAGAATTTGCAAATGGAAATTCAAGAAAAGTTTTGGGTGGGGACACAGCCAAACCATATCATTTCACCTCTGACCCCTCCCAAATCTCATGTTCTTAGATTTCAAAACCAATCATGCCTTTCCAACAGTCTCCCAAAGTCTTAACTCATTTCAACATTAACTCAAAAGTACACAGTTCAAAATCTCATCTAAAACAAGGTAAGTTCCTTCCACCTATGATCCTGTAAAATCAAAAGCAAGTTAGTTATGCCTTATATACAATGGGGGTGTAGGCATTGGGTAAATACACCCATTCCAAATGAGAGAAATTGGCCAAAATGAAGGGACTATAGGAACCATGCAGTGGGGCAGACAAATCTTAAAACTCCAAAATGATCTCCTTTGATTCCATGTCTTATGTCCAGGTCATGCTGATGCAAGAGCTGGGTTGCCATGGTCTTGGACATCTCTGCCCCTGTAGTTTGCATGGTACAGTGCCCCCCACCCCCCTCTCCTGGCTGCTTTCATGGGCTGGTGTTGTCTGCAGCTTTTCCTGCACACAGTGCAAACTGTCAGTGAATCTACCATTAAGGGGTCTGGAGGACAGTGGCCCTCTTCTCATAGTTCCACTAGGCAGTACCCCAGTGGAGACTCTGTGTGGGGGCTCTGAACCCATATTTCTCTTCTGCACTGCCCTAGCAGAGGTTCTCCATGAGAGCTCCAACCCTGTAGCAAACTTCTGCCTGGACAAACAGGCATTTCCATACATCCTCTGAAATCTAGGCAGAGGTTCCCAGATTTCAGTTCTTGACTTCTGTGCACCCACAAGCTCAACACCACATGGAAGCTGCCAGGACTTGGGGCTTGCAGCCTCTGAAGCCACGGCCCAAACTATACCTTGGTTCCTTTTAGCCGCAGCTGGAGCAGCTGGGATGCAGGGCACCAAGTCCCAAGGTTGCACAGAGTAGGGGGCCCTGGGCCTGGCCCACAAAACCATTTTTCCTTCTAGGTCTCTAAGCCTGTGATCCCAGGGCTGCCAACAAAGTCTCTGACATGGCCTGGAGGTATTTTCTCCATTGTCTTGGTGATTAATATTTGGCTCCTCATTACTTATGCAAATTTCTACAGCCAGCTTGAATTTCTCCTCAGAAAAATAGCTTTGTCTTTTCTATCACATTGTCAGGCTGCAAATTTTTTGAACTTTTATGCTCTGCTTCCCTTTTAAACGTAAGTTCCAATCTCAAACTGTATCTTTGTGAATACATAAAACTGAATGCTTTTAACAGCACTGAAGTCACATCTTGAATGCTTTGCTGCTTAGAAATTTATTCTGCCAGATTCCCTAAATCATCACTCTCAAGTTCAAAGTTCTGCAGATCTCTAGGATAGGAGCAGAATGCTGCCAGTCTCTTTGCTAAAATGCAGCAAGAGTCACGTTTATTCCACTTCCCAACAAGTTTCTCATCTCACTCTGAGATGGTCAGCATTTGGTCAAAGCCATTCAACAAGTCTCTAGGAAGTTTCAGACTTTTCCCTATCTTCCTGTCTTCTGAGCCCTCAAAACTGTTCCAATCTCTGCCTGTTGCCCACTTCCAAAGTTGCTTCCACATTTTTGGGCATCTTTACAGCAGCTCCCCACTCCCAGTACCAATTTATTGTATTAGTCTGCTCTCATGCTGATAATAAAGACATAGCTGAGACTGGGTAATTCATAAAGAAAAGAGGTTTAATTGGCTCACAGTTCCACATGGCTGGGGAGTCCGCACAATTATGGCAGGTGAAGGAGGAGCAAAGTTACATCTTTTGTGGCAGGCAAGAGAGCATGTGCAGGGGATCTCCCCTTTATAAAACCATCAGATCTCTCGAGACTTATTCAGTATCAGGGAACAGTACAGGAAAGACCTGCCCCCATGATTCATTTACCTCTTACCAGGTCCCTTCCACAACCCATGGGAATTATGGGAGATAAAATTCAAGATAAGATTTTGGTGGGGTCACAGCCAAGCCATATCAGTACTTTATTAATATTTGGACCCCACAGTTTTTGTAACATGAAGACATTTTCATTTATCTTGTAGATAACTGTGAGCAAAGTCTTTGAAAATTTCAAAATACATGAGTACAATGAAGAAAGCAATTTGGAGGAAGATAAATCTGGCTGTGGAGTGTAGAGTGCATTAGAAGAAGAAAAGCCTGAAAGGTTACACTTAGAAGTCTATATAGTACAGCTGATTTGAGGCTAAAATAACAATTGTGATTTTAGATCTGTTGAATTTAAAACATGGTTGGACCTTCAGATAAAAAATGTTCTATCAATTCATAGAGATGAAATTGGATTGTACTTTTGGGAGTGAAGGTAATAGCTGAGTTCATGGGAATAAATCATTTCAGAGGGAAAAATATTAACAGACAAAATAAGAAAACATTAGGAACCACATACAGAGGTAGGTGTGAGGAGTAGATTAGCATTTGTTGAACTGCAATATATGCCAGGATTTTGGCTAAGAAATTTAAATATGTGTCTACTTAGCTATCCCAACTGCACTGGAAAATATATATCATCATAGTCCTACTCCTGAGAAGAATAAGGCTCAGAGACTTTACAGTACTTTGCCTAAGTTCACGCAAGTCTTGGAATAGGACTTGGATCCACACCTGTCCGGCTTCAAAGTTCATGTCCTTTTCATTACCTCACCAAAACAGATGGAGGCAGGACATCAGAGAAGGAAGGCCATAGGGAATATGGGAAGTAACCACATCAGTATTTTCATCTACTATATTGCCAGCACATAAAAAGTGGTTGAAAATATTTGTTGAATGGCTAAATAATAATAAATATTACTTATTGAATCTGTTATCGATGCCATGGGACAAATATTCACTGTTTTAGATTCATTATTCCATTTAATCTCTTAAACACTCTGAAAAAGACATGATAGTACAATGTTTTCATTATCACCCAGAATTCAAGCCAAGTTTTGTCTGTCTACACATTTGGGTTTTTAACCTCTACACTATATTGAGAGAATTGATCAATATTAAGTTAAAGGCCATTGATCATTCTTATGAGAAGAGATTTATTGGTGATAAAAATTAGGATTTTAAATCTGTAGAACAAATTTACGACCTGAGTGTGACACAAATTTACCTATGGAACAAACCATCACATGTATCCCCAAACCCAAAGTAAAACTTAAACAAAAATAGGATTTTATTTTATGGGATATACACACAGAAAGCAAAGAGAAAAAATGTCACAAATTTGGTAGAGAAATAAAATATAGAAAATGTTTGCTAGAAGGATAAAGAAGATCCATGCTGACATATATATATATATATATATATATATATGTGTGTGTGTGTGTGTGTGTGTGTGTGTGTGTGTGTGTCTGTGTGTGTGTGACT
Organism: Homo sapiens; assembly: GCF_000001405.40. Classification (NCBI taxonomy): domain Eukaryota; kingdom Metazoa; phylum Chordata; class Mammalia; order Primates; family Hominidae; genus Homo; species Homo sapiens. Next base: position 29,570,142 of record NC_000014.9, read on the forward strand.
GAGCTTGTAGAAAATCAAACAATAATTTGTTGTTAGAAACCAAACACACCAGGAACAACTGGTGACTGTGGTGGTGGAGTCTGTTTCAATGGAGGTAAGAAAGCATAAGGAGAAGAGTCAGTTAGAAGGTTACTCAAATTAAACAAACAAACAAAACAAAAAACAGTTCGTTCACTGAAAGCGCAAGAAAAGTTTAGAGTGAGTTGAAAAATAAACAACTCAAATCAGAAGGACAAAAAAACAAAGGAGCTCACAATGCTGAGGAAATTATGCAGAATAGTTATCCCTGGTGCTACATTTTTGTATATGGAAAAACAATTTGGCAGGTCCTCCTCGAATGGCATGTTGCTGTTAGATGAGATTAGCTCTTAGGGTTTAAAGGTTTATGTGGGCTACATCTACACCCACTCATATTTTATTAAAGAGATAGAGAATGCTTTTACCCATTCGGGTACAGGGAGTCATAATGTTCAGACACTCAGAGCCCACAAGAGGAAGAAATGGATTAAATGTAATTTTTAAATTAGATGTTTTACTCTCAAGAGAATTAACATTTAATGACCTGATAGTTTAGTAGCTCATCATAAGAAATTTGAAAACAAGAGAAAACTTGGAATTCTCTGAAAGTTTCTAACTCATTTTGTATTTTCATTTATAATAGATTATATAAATTTTGTTTAATGTCTTATGAACATTCTTAAATTAGTTTAACATAATCTCTGGGGACTTCTAGAATAGCAACATGAAACCCTCAGCAAATCCTTTCCCAAAGGGCAATGATATAACTGGAAAAGTTGTTGAAACAACAAATTTAGGACTTTAGAAATTGGCCAAGAGCAGACATGAAATTACTAAGCATTTATTTGAGAAAAACTACTAAAACTAAGTAAGAATAATGGGAATCTACGGCCTTTTAGCTTGCTCCCATTATCCCCTATTATCTGCCCTCTGAAAAGGCAGTTCTACTAGAGTGAGGCAGGCTGGGAAAAACAAGGAACCTTGCTAATGGAGGGGGCTGACAATAGCAATGTCGGTTGCAAACAGTCATGGAAGGACAATGTTGCAGCTCTCTTTAAGTTGGAATACTGATGCATGGAAGGCCAGTGTTGCAACTCTGTTAGGTTAGAATACTGATTGGGGCAATGAAAAGACTAGTAGAACAATCAGAAATTTAATAGGAAGATACAGAGAAAGTTTCTACATATCCCTGGTGGCTGAAAGGCTACATGTATTTATAAGGCTCCATACACACTCAGAAGAGACTGAAGAAAGCCTTAGGCATCTACTCTTCCCTGACTGAATGTAAGGCCTTGCACACACACAAAGTAAAAGGAGCTGGGGCAATGTATTAACTGTTTGAACTTAACTCACACTTAGATAAATCAGAAAAGAGTAGAAGCTTTATTGGCTCAAGGTACTTAAACACAATGTCTGAACTATTATTGTTTGACCACTAAGCTCTTCTGTTACAGAGGTGGCTCCTAGGCAGGCAGACTTAAAGTAAAAACAACAACAACAACAAAACATTAAAAAAACAAAACACCCATCAGAGGCATCAGCAGCTGCCTACTATGCGGAAGATAGATTCTAGAGAAATAATTTTGGAAAGTTACTAAACAAACAAATAGCAACAGCAACAGCTACTGGGGGGATGGATCATGATACAGAGTTGTTATGACACATTATTTAAAATATCCAGTTTTCAACAAGGCATGAAAAAGCAACAACAAAATGTGAATGCATACATCACAATTTGGGGATTTCAATGGAAATTGTCTGTGATGAGGTGGAAAGAGAGGGAGAAGACCCAAATGTTGGAGCTAATAGACAGACTTCAGAGCAGCTGTTAAAAATATGCTTTAAAGACTCAGGAGAACACATGTAAAGAATTAAAGGATAGTATAATAACAGTGACTCGGTCAATATAAAACATTTCTTAAAAAAGATAAGTGTATTTCATAATAAAATAGAACCAAAGAAAGAAAGAAAAAATCACCAGAGGTACTTAACAGCAGATTTGTTCTGGTAGAAGGAAGAACCAATGAAGCTGAAGACACATCAATATAGATTAACCAATCTGAAGAACACAAAGTAAAAGAATGAAGAAAAATGAATGGAGCCTCAGAAACCTTTGCCACTCACCAAAGCACTCCAATTTATATGTAATGTGAGTCCCAGACAGATAAGATAAGAAGCGAGAGAAAAGTCTTTGAAGAAATAATGGCCTAATTTTTCTCAAATTGGATGGAAAACTATTTATCTACACATCCAAGAACTGCAACAAACCCAAGTAGGCTAATCGCAAAGAAAAAGCAAACAAACAAACAAACAAACAAAAAACATCTAGACACATCATAGTTAAACTGTTGCAAGACAAAGAGAAAATATTGAAAGCAGTGAGAGAAAAGCAATTAATCACATGTAAGGAAACCACAGTAAGATTAAAGGTGATCTTTCATGAGAGATAATAGAGGGTAAAAGGTGGCAGGATGACATATTTAAAATACTGAGGGAAAAAAATCTGTCAATGAATAATTTTATACCCAGCAAAATTTTACTTCAAAAACTGAGGTGAAATAAAAACATTGCCAGATATACAAAGACTGGGAATTTGTTGCTAGCAGACCTGCCTCAAGGAAACACTAAAGAAAGATATTCAGGAAGAATAAAAATGACACTCAATAAATAATACCTTTAATCTACATGAAAAAGACAAAGAACAATGGAAAAGGTAAGTAAATGTAAAGGAAAAAATATTTTTCTCCTTTCTTCTCTTAACTGATTTAAAGAATAATTGCATAAAACACTATTACAAAATGGTTTCAATACATACAACTGTAATATATATGACAATAATATCACAAAAAAGGGTGGTGGGAATGGAGCTATATTGGAGCAAATTTCGTATATTTCACTGGAATTAAGTTAGGGTTAATTTGAAGTAGCGATAAGTAATATGCATATTATAATCCCTAGAGGAATCATCAATAAAATAACTAAAACAAATAGTAAAAATTCAACAAAGGAATTAAAATATTACACTAAAAATATGTATCTAGCACAAAAGAGGCAGTTAAAGAGGAGCAGGGGAACAAAAAAGACAGGAGACATAGGCCAAACAAATGGCAAAAGGATTAATAGGTATTAACACAGTAGAGGGAGGGGGCAGAGAGAACAATGTTTCAGGCAATGTGGAAAGATCAGAGATGAAAGAGTGTGCAACCTTTTGGCAATTAAAGGAAGCAGACCCTTCTCCATGGGCCTTAATGTGTCTTCAGATGAACTAGTATTTGGTTCCTTAAGATAGGCCTAAGCAAAGGGTATGCAAAATTTAGTTACTTTATGAAGGTCGTCAAAGTGAATATTGATTGGATAATGAATGAAGAGAGCAGGGGACAGATGGCTTTCTTATTTTAATCACTGTACTTATTATATACATTCAGTGAAACGGCTGACCATAGATTTCTCAAAATTGTCTCTATCAGAGTGTGTATTCACTAAACTCAAAGATTATTTCTTCCTTAGGGATAATGGACATATAAAAAGCATCACTGATGAAAACATTTCTCTCAAGGCTGTCCCCTTGCTCAGGCCAAAAGCAAGAACCATGGTAGTTTGCTCTAATGGTTCTGGATACATAGAGACTAGCAATTTTCATAGCATCTTGGGTGAGCTGACAATAATATGGTTGTTTGAAGAAATATTGCCTCTGTGACAATGATAGAGGACACATCTTTCCTCAAATGAGTTTCTGTCACTTCTTTTACTTTTGTCATAATGATAAAAGATACCTTTTCTGCATCAAAAATGCTAATCTGCATCTTGTATTAAATATAAACTACTAACCTGCCCACATTATTTTTTATAATATACCATGGATGTGAAGTCTTGGCAAACTTATTGCTGGTATTTAGCACAGAAGTGGGTGCTGATTTACTAAAATTGGAGTCTTTGCATCTTCACTAATATTGCTGGTGGCGGAAAGTGGCATGACTCTTAGTGGCCCACTTTTTTCCTTGACATTGGCAGTTGTTTTCTCACCCCTTTGCTTGATGACACTGCAGTATAGGCTGTGTCAGTATCATTGCCACGCAGAAATTCTTTAGACATAGCTACTCTGAATGCAGCAGGAAAGGGCTGTTCACTACAAACTGCTGAAATAGTTGCTAAGGGTGCCCCCAAAAGGCTAAATCCATGATCTTGCCATAACATGTTCTGCTGTTACCTACTTAATCCTTGAAATTATTTCTTCTCTTGATTTCTGTAATATTACTCCATTTGATTCTACCTCTGAAAATTACTTTTCAATTTTCCTCATATTCTGACGGATCCTTCCAAATCAATACTTCTCAGGTTTGTGCCCTAAGACCACTTTCCTTTCATTATATTTATTTTCCCCCAGGGATGAGTCATTCCCCATTAACATATTGTGGGATGTTGACTTTCAAATCTCTATCTTCAATTCCAGATTTCTTTCCTAAACCCCAGACTCATAGCTAACTACTTTTAGAACATTTCAAACTTGGGTGTCCTACAGGAACTTCATATACAAATGTTAAAATGTGAACTCACTCTACATCTCTAACTTCTTCTGATTAATCCTTCCTTTCAGCTTAAACAATGTTGGTTTCCTGGGATTTACACAGAATAAATCCCGAATACCCAGAATAACACACAAGGGCCTCCAGACCAAGATCATCACCCATTTCTACTGGATGGACTTCTTCAGTTCTTCCTTACTTTTATTCTTCTGTTATAAAGAAGTACTTTTGTCTTTCTAACAGTCCTCTTTGGACCTTCATGTCTTCGTTCATGCTGTTTTCTCCTACTTTCAGCCAGGTATATTCCTATGATTTTTTCTAGCTCTGCTCAAACATCATTCTGTTGCTTTCTTTCTCCATTATTAACTGTTCTCCTTGATGCTTTATACCTTTACATCTTATTTTCTAAAAGCACCAAATTTGTTTATTCACTTCTATATAATAAATTTATTTTGTGCAGGGACCATGTCTTATTCACATTACAAAATCTTAGAATCTAGCAAAGAGCTGTGTAGAACAGATGTGAAATAATTTTTTGCTGCATGGATAATCAACTTCTGTGTGGTTTTATAATGTACAGTAATATTTGGTTACTCTTGCCAATCAAGGACTCTAGGATATTTTATACTATATGGATAATATTATCATAGTTTCTTTTCCTATAATCTTTTTAGAATCCCATATCAAGCAAGAAAAGTTATTGATTACATTTTATACTGCAGCTGATAAAACATAGGCATATAAACTATATAAATTATCATAATTCAAACAATAAGCCTCTAATTTATATTACGCACATATTAAGAGGGAAAAACTTTATATGCTTCCACTCCTTTTCCATTTTCCTGAAATTGCTTAGAAAAGGTATCATAGAAAAGGTGTCAGTTATATTCCTAGGTTGGCGAGAGAGTTATTGTCTTACTGATTTACATTCTATTCTTTCAAGTTGGTGGTACATGTATGCTTGTGTATGCAAATTCACTTGTGCATGCATGAGCACACGCACACACACACACCCTACCCCTAGAGAAAAGCAGATGAAGGAACTTTAAAATTTTTATACTTGTTAAAGTTCAATAGTAATACAAAACAGAGACTAATAATTGGAAAGATTATCTATTGTCCCCTCATTCCTCCAAGTGGAAAGAGTACAGTCTTAACATACTTATCTAATATACTCAAGTGTTCCACAACTCTTGTAACATTCTTCCAAACATTAATTACAATTTTTTTTCTGTTACATAGTATGCTATTCCCATCCTGCTACTAAGGAAAACAGCCCACATTATTCATATTATATACCTCAAATCTGCTAGGTCCAATTTGTCTTCTCCAGGCTGTAGAACTTCACTTGAGATGCCTTTCTGTTTAGGGATTACTTTCTAGTATTTTTTGGTTCACCTCAGAACCATCTTTAGATCATATGAAAAGAAACCAGATCTGGTATTCTAATAAATCTCTAGCTTATATTGACTAAATCAGGAAGCTACATTAAGATGCTATTTGCAATATTCCAACTACTCAGAGTCATCCTAACTATGCCTCCAAGCACTCTGTTTGGCTTTGGTCACTTTTCACTTTGAAAGCCTTCCTTTCTATTAGAAATTAAACCACATGCAAGACAGGAAGGCCTCACTCCACTTTGAAACATACTTTTACTGCTTCAGAGTAGATAAAACTACATTCTACACTATGAGCTTTTTTCCTGCTTTTTGAGCAGACACTTCTGCTCCTAGTTGGCCTGAAAACCCTAGTGTGAACGATGAATGAAAATAGTTCAATGAGGTGGACACATATTTTGACAAGAATATTTTTTATTATTGAAAAATACACAAAGGTGAAAGGTTGCTGAGCAGCTGATTTTCCATAGTACAACAGAGTATTATAAGAAAGAGGGAAATGTATCTGTTATATATGGCAGTTTACATTTCTAAGGCATTTAGGCTTAAGAGCACTAGGTCTTGCACAGCTAGGTGCATTGTCTTGAGTTTAAATATACTGAGGCACACCAGGCAGGCAAAGGATTCAAAACTATACATTAAAACTTGTTCATGCATTTGTGTCTTAGGATTTTATTCCCTACCCTCCTCATTCATTTTTTTCCCACATGGGTTTTGGAGTTGTTCATAGAACACTGGAAATAATCGACTCTTCAAGAGTTTGTTTACAATGACAACACCAATGGGACACACCAAACAGAACTACTTCACAGATACATTCTGTCTCTTACCAAAATGAAGCTCCAGTAAGAAAAACACTGATTTGCAAAGGCACAGTGGAGACAGGTTTAATGCATTAAATATAACATGAATCATTCACAATAACAAGTTTCGTGTTTCAGGGAACTTTTGTTAATACAACACAGTTGGTCACACAAAATACAAATGCTTCTGTTGATTTGTCTTGGCAACTCAGATACATCAACAGTGCTAACAGTTTAACAGCTTTGTTCTCATCTGACAGAAAATAATGGCAGTTCTGCAAGGCAAATGTTAAACCTGACCGTATGTATTTATTAGTTCCACAGTGTTTTGACAGATTATAGGAGATGGAACTCAGAGGATGCTGACACGCTCACCGAGGGCTTTCATTTCTGTTTCTTCAGTCTCAGGAGTGTCACTGTGGCTAGCACTTGGATTGATCAGGTGTGTGGGGTACTGCAGCCCCTGCTCGCCTGCATACTTCTCCCACCTCAGGTCATCACTTTCATGGGTGATGTAGCGCTCCCCGATTTTGCATTCCAGCTCTCGCAAATCTAACCAGGTCTGATAGTCCTGAAGAAGAAATTCCAAAATATTACCATAGAGATCATTACAACTCAACATACTGTTTCATATGATGTCAGTTTCTGCAATCTATGAGTTACCCTTCTCCTTCCACTCTAACAGCGCTGAATCTTTCATCACGCATCCTCAAGTGACAGTGTCGGCACCAAAGCCATCCTATTTGTCTAACCTTTGCAAATACATACTGTTTATAAGATAGCATGGATCAAAGAGTGGGCAATTAATGTTTGCAGTCAAGCAATCAGGAATGCCAGTATTCCTTTGAAATTTAATGCCTACAAATAATCTTTCAGTATTTCAGAGTATTAGTTTCCTAAAGTTTAAATTCGATGTGAAAATAATAAAGCACATCCATATACTTTGTATTTGCCATGCATTTGTTCCATATATAATAACCTAGCATTTAAAAATATAGCTTCTAAATGAGTACAGTGCATGACCAGATGGGCATCTATTTGTACATTTATCAGGATTACACATACAGATGCTTTTGAAATCTGGTCCTCTGAGGTCTGTTATGATCCTTGGTTTATTTATTTATTTTTGGTTTTGCCTTTTGGTTTTGGGCTGTGTGTGTGTGTGTATATGCGTGCGTGTATCTCTTCTATCAAATTATCCTGGTAGAGAAAAATGTTTAGAAACACTAAATTGTTATTAAATCCTATGAAGTTGCATGCATTTGAGCAAATAAATTGATATTAGAATAATCACACTTTAAAAATTATTGCAAAAGATTTCTAAATATCAAAATCCTATAAATATTTAGAAGCTCATTCAACTAAGAAAACTCAGTGATTATTGTTTACCTGTAGCCAAGGGTGGCTCAAGGTCTTATCCACACTGTAGCGCTTTCTCATTTTTACTTGCAGCAAATTGTTGATAAGATCAATGGCTGAAAAAAATTACCAGTAAAAATAGATGACAAATCTGTAACATATGCATAATTCATTTATAGTTTATTTCACATCTGCTATTTCACACAGTTAAATGCAGCATAGTGACAAGGCACTAGAACCAAAAAAAAAAATCCTCTTAAGAATACTGAAACTTTGGCCTTCATTTTATTTTGGATACTAAAAAAAAAAAAAAAAAAAAAAAAAAAAGAAGAAGTTGGAAGTAATTATGGAAGAAGTATTAGAGTCTATTGTATGATATGAATTTCAATTGGTCTACTCTTTAACACTTTCTTTAATTTAGAAATTTTGTTTATATGTACATCATTTAAATATGTCTTACAATATGGGCAGGATAAAACTAATATTCAAGATAAAGCATTTACTAATTTTGTTATAAAACATGCTGAACGTTTGAATACACACAATGGTTCACACAGTATTGAATTAAATGACAGATATCTGAACATCATATTTGTATGGAAAAAATGCATCATAACATGGGTCATATCTCATGATAAACTTGGAGCCTGAAAACCAACAGCCCAAGAAGAAAACACTTTAATTGCTTTCACTTTGCTTTTGCTTTCAAAAATAACCAATGTATTGGAATTATATCAGCCTTCATAGACTTTCTAGAGGAAGACAGGAAAGAAGTCTATTTAACAAGAAATGTTCTCTGAGGGGTTAGAACCACAATCCCTCTGGCCTAGTACTCTGCTTGTGACTGGGGAGTCTGTGAGTGTAATTTATGAAGAAAAAGTAATACTCATCGTTATCTAGTCTGAAAATCATCCTAGTTACCCACAGTATCATGTGATGGAGTTCTCACTCTCCTTTTCTGGACATTATATTTTCAGTATACGTCATTAATAGTTCATTATTTATTAAAGTCATTCCCTCACACTTCTCATTCTTGTAATAACTTCCATGTTTCTCTTTTTGAATTTTAGCATTTTCTTCCCAAAAAGAGCTTAGTGAAATCTGCCAACCTAATAGGAAGCATTTATATTTCAAAGAGTTAATTTTTGCCCTTAACCTACCCTAGGCATTATGTCTGAAAGATGGCTCTTCCTACCAAAAATCTTAATCAAACAGGCAGCTGATAAACGAAAATGAAAATTAACTCCTCATCTTTCCCTATCACCAAGTCTTGAATAGGCAGCTTTGAATCCACTTTTTGGTGTGCATCAACCTGTATGGACCTGAAGATACAGACTGTCACATGAGACCAGAGGAACAAAGACTGCTTCCTTCAATCAGAATCCTTCCCAGTGTCAGGCAAAGAAAAGTGACTTCTACAGTCTTTTGGTAATTGAGAACCATATCTCTATGGAGCTAATGTTACAAGTATTTGCCTGCCCTGAAGGGCTGTAGAGTCAAATATCAAACAATTATTTGGAGAAATGAAATGCAACAACACACATTTAAATGTTGCCTATGCCTATACACTCTTGCCTTACCTAGGATACCTGAAGAAATACAGTACTCAGTACATTTTCATATTCCAAGCATGTGTTCTCAGAGAGCTTTTAAAAGTATAGTTCTGTGAACTGCGTATAGGGCATGTGCTTTAAAATATCCATTCACATGATTTACTCACTGGTGAGTAAAGTGCACCTTCCATTCTTGCTGCTGTGAAGTCACCCGGCAAAAATGGAGGACAAGGAGTGAAGGGAGAGCTTATGTGCTATTGCAAGCTTGCTGCAGCATTACACTGCCCTAGACACTGCAGGAAATAAATTCATGTCATTAATTCACTCATTCTGTTTGGAATTCTGTAATTAGAAAGGCAGGAGTACAGTAACTCAACAAAAGGTCTCGTTTGTGCCCAAATGGGCCCCAACAGTGAACCACACTGCATAATGGGGAGGGAAGTACTATCAGAGGGGAAACTAGAAGTGTCTGAAGGGAATGGAATAAGTAAAAATGAAAAAATTGTTCTGCTGAATGAAGCATACAATCATTAGTCTGACTACGCCACAGTACCCAACCCAAGTGACCTGAGTAAGCACAACAAGGCAATGGCAACTACTTCCAAGAGAAAATGGTTAAGGATATAAGGAGAGAATTAGAGGAGAAACGTGTATGTATAAATAAATGTGTGTGTGTGTGTATACATACATTTTGTGGCTTTTGGAAGCACACAACAGAAATAATGAACTATTAAATGTTAGCACCTATAGCTAAATGTTGGGACCACGGTATTAGTGAGAAAATAGGTCCGTCATTTGTAGTTGAGAATTCTGTTCTGCTTGTTACTTTTCTGGAACTCTTAAAATATCCTTTTTATTAATCAAGTTGTATACAATCCAGCATTAACTATACCATCCAAAATGCGTTTTACTAAACATTTTTGAACACAGTTTAGAGGCTTTTTTCCTTCCAATATTCTCTTTACTGGCCATGTCTACATTGATACAATATTCATGTAATAAAATAGTCTCAGATGTATTATGTATGTATAAATCATTCATTTATCTGTTCATTCACCAAATCTTCCTTAATTCCTGTTGGCAATTACTTATGAAATAAAAAGTTAATGATCAAGCCCTGACCCCGAAAAGCTCACAATCTAGTTGCAAAGGCACATGCATGCCCCTCCCCAGACCACAGATGACATCATGACACAATACACCATTCTGAATCTTTGACCTTTAATTCATATCCTACTCAAAGCAAAAAAAAAAAAGTGTTTTCTTTTTATAACTTACTGTCATTAGTCCTATTTATGTTTTAGATGCAATGGAAAACTTTATTCTATATGACAGTTCTTTACATCTTTGGAGACAGTGATTCATTCCCCTTAATCTCACCTCTATAGTTCCTTCAGATCTTTCAGCCTGCTTAGTCCTCCTGTACACCTCGATTTTAATAGTCACTAGCTCTACTCAATGTCCCTGTTAAAATTCAGTGATCATCACTGACCAACATTTTCCTCACTAACTGCCAATTTGAATTATACGCAAATATATTATTCATATAGTCTAGGATTGAGGGGTTTTCATTCTTTTTTAAAAAATTACATTCATATTCTTATTTAGTCCTTATAACAACCCCCTGAAAGTAGTTATTATTTTAATCTCCATTTTAATAAAAGGAAAACGTGACGCTTCAAAAGGCCATGTAAGTTGGTCAAAGTCAGACAGCTCCTAGGCAATACAGCTGAATTTGAAACCCAGGGGGACTGGAATTCAAAGCCTGTGCTCTTAAACACTATGGCAGACTGCAGCCATATTATGCCATTAACTTATCATTGTAAGTGGATAATTATCTCAAAAATTAACATTTTATTTTTACAGTCATGATAATTACATTCTTAGTTATGTTTCCACCACACTTTTATGTGCTTGAACGCAAGGATGTGTGTGTATGTGTATGTACATCTCTGTGACCATAGCTCTGCCTCATATCGTTAATTCTCCTAGCTTTCTGTCATGCTCACACCGAATAAGCCCATCTGCTATGTATTAATACAATTATTAGAACTTTTTTCAGGATAAGGCCTAAACATAGGGCTTTCTGACTCTATCACAAAACACATTACCAACTGCCAGGCCTATTAATTATTCTTTGAGCAAGTCTTAAAAGCAGGCAGTGCTTCCTCCTAGAAGTATTCCTATGTAGCTCATATTTACCATCTTCTCCAAAGGCTATTTTAGGCTATTTTTTTTTTCAAATGCTTTATCATTGAGACACATCAGTTCTTGGTAAGACTCATTCTACCAATCTGGTAATCCTACTTAAAAAAAAGTGCAGTTATTCTGGAATAATACATTTTAAGTAAATTAACATTGACAAATACTGACTTTCAGTCATTTTCTTCTCAGGGCCAAGATTTGTTTTCTAAATATTTGCAAATCATCTATTTAATCATTCATTCATTCTAGAATTTTGTCAAGGATAAATACTGAGCTTCTTGTTGAATAATTTGAGAATCCATTCTTTCCCCCTTTTAGAAATTCTACTTGTCTTAAATACCTTGGTATCTCTCTCATTTTATCGAGCTTCTTGTTGAATAATTTCAGAATCCATTCTTTCCCCCTTTTAGAAGTTCTACTTGTCTTAAATACCTTGGTATCTCTCTCATTTTATCTATGATTTATTAAAAATTACCACGGCTCTAAAAGCACATCTGTTAGTTTCTTCAATATGTAGTGTGTCCAGCTCTGAACATTTACCCATCTCATAGCTGCTATTGAGTGCACTTTTGTGATACTTCCATTTCCCATAGGTGCCAGCTCCCAGCAGAGACTGCCATGTGTAATTTATCAAGCATAAAGACACTAAGACAAGGGAAAGGGGAAGCCAGTTGTAAAGGAACAGCCAGTCTAGTAAAGCTGGGGAAGTCACAGCAGTCCCAGAAGAGAGCCAACAATGAGGGAAAAAAGAGCCCAACTGGGGTCTGGAGTCCAGTTCCAAAACTAACATCAAAATTCAGAATTTAGATCTAGAGTGAATGTGGCAGGACATGCCTTTGGAACTGCAGGAGAGTAGTGGAGAGGGACAATGTGGGAGACATACAAAATTGGGCCATTCTATGAATTCCTCTCAAAAACAAAGTAAAGGAGAAAGGGAACATGGTCTGGCTGTGGGAAGGAAGAAAGTAAGGAGTGGAGCAGAATGAAATGTCATAATCTGGCACAGCTGCAGATTAGGATGCTCGTGCCCCAGTGGGGAAGTGTAGAGGAATGCCGAAACTCCAGTTTACCTGCAGCTCCACAAGGAGCTGGGGCCCTCAGAAATCTGGAGCCCTGTGCAAAAGAGATACTTCGGGAAGAATGCCTCAGACATTCTTGGTACCCTGTACCTCCTTCTATAAAAACAGCAAAAGGACTATATCCAAATACCTAGATTTCTTGGGGTAAGATATATTGGAACATAGTGCGGTCTTTCAGTGGTTTCAGGCAATAAACAGATGCCGTTTAAATAGCAGAGATGGAACAAGGGCCAAAGCAGTAGGGGAAATGAGAATCCTTTATTCTCTTGGGTTCCCTGTACCCTCTTCGCCTGCTATTTTCTCAGTTTGAATACCCCCACCTCACACCACTTTGTTCCTGAAGGACACAGGAGTAAAACAGGCAGTGGCTAGTTCCTCCTTCTTTTTGCAGTAAACATGACACCAACCTTTTCGAAAAGTGGTATGATTATTTTCTGATTATACCTCCTCATTTATTCTGGGGGGTGAGTCTTTCTAACATTATTCTGAGAATTTTATTATCTTTATTCATGCTTAAGCTCAATCCTCTCCTTTCATCTTTTTAATACCTTGTCTTAAATCTAAAGTTTCTTAAATAGCCACAACCGGGCATGTGGGAAGTCTTTTTTTTCTCTTCTTATGGAAAAATTTTAAACAATTGTATGGTGTACATTTCCATTTTAAAATTTTCTCCTCATGAGCAGAGTTTTGTGCTTTATAAAATGTCTCTAGCCATGGATTCACAATAATGTTCCCTACAAATTATAAAAAAAATTTATTTTTTGAAATCTAATGTTTCTTTTGCTACAATAAATTTTTGGCTAACACAGTTACTCTCCTTCTAACTTCCTGTACAGCATTTTTTCTCCTTGCCCTATCAGTTTAGAGACAAAAAAAGTCAGGAAAGCAAAGAGAAAATTTTATCAAACATTCTCTTTTAGCAGAATGGGACTTTCAGCAGCTATTAGGATAGCCGAAGTTCTGTGCAGCCTATTTGCTAGGTGCACAAGGATACCTGAACAAAGACAAAATTAAATGGTATATGCGGGTGCAGAGGGCTTTATGTTCTAATATGAAAAGAAGCATTCCATCAGAATATGATATAGATTCCATTTTTTCTAACAATAACAACAAAATACAGAATTATATTTGAAGTTGCACAAACTATACTGCAGTCATTCTCCATTTTAAAGCAAATACCAAGTGTGTAGATACAAAAGGTGTTTTGTATGCAGAAGGTAGATTTACAGGTGTCATTGTTGTGGCTAAACTGAAAGGCATCCAAAGCTTGCAGAAAACTCTAAGAAAAGACTGTAACTGGACATATTTAAATTCTTAATAGGTTCCCCAGGTCACACCTTTCAATCATGTTCCATTTCCCATTTTATTTCCTTTTATTATTTCAATACATGCCTATCTCCCCACACTCTCATCATTAGATTTTAGCTCCTTTAAGGTCACACAGATTGGGTATTCATTTTTTTTCGCACATAAGTTTTATAAATATTTAAAGTAAAATATATTTAAACTATAATGCATTAGAAAAATGCTTGCTAAGTAGCATTTGGCAGACTGAATACATTAAATAGAAATGTAAATCGCCATTTTCTTAGCTCTAAGTTTCAATACCCATATTGTATGCATATGGTTTGTATATTTTGGCTAAAAATATTTCTGGATGGTAGGGCATCACAACTCTACAAAATATAACAGATCGTAAGATCAGTGACTTCTTTTAGAAAATCAGTGTGATGCTGAGTGTAACTGCCATGCAGATTATGTTTATTTTACAATGTGTATTTTTTCAGGCGGGAAATCACCTGTGAAACCTCAAGGCTGATCTCTTTTGTCAAGACACAGTACATTTTCCCCCGACTTCTCTCCACCCCAAATTATTCAGGTATCTTTTCAAAATAGAAACCAGATAGAACAATCATTCTGGTGATAGAGCCTTCGCCAATCAACCTTCAAGCTCCTTGCCTTCAGGCAAGTGTTTTCTCTTTTTTTTTTCCCTTTCAATTCTGCCTCACCACCTGTCACAGTGTAGTGCTTAGTACTTCTCTCCCTTTGGCTTGCTTCATGCTGATGGGAAGTTGTGTGTTTATTTTAAAAATCGTTTTGCAACCCTTCACATTCCAGCTCTCAACCCAGCATGCTGTTGCTCAGCAACACTAACTGGGACGCTCCTCTCAGGGACTGAAACCAGAGGCTGCCGGCTGCAAACAAGGCCACTGGAAATCATCGTCTCACTCACTCCGGAGTCAATTACTGGAATCCAATGAAGTGCAAGACCTTTAGAGACTCGAGTCGGCATCTTTCCTTTTCAGTTCTTTCCTCTGTAGAAAGTTATTCTATCAATGGTTACTCCTTTGCTTTTCATCCAATTTCATTTCCTCCTGAAAACTGGGGATATGATCTTGGAAATCATAAATTGTTTAAACACACCCATACAGCAGCCTCCAAACTGAAGCCCAATTGATTCAAAATTTAAAGAAGAAATCAAAATATATTTATATTATTCTGATCATGTTCATACTGGACTTGGTTTCATTTTAATGAACTAGGCATATGGTTTGTATATTTTGGCTAAAAATATTTCTGGATGGTAGAGCATCACAACCTTACAAAATATAACAGATCATAAGATCAGTGACTTCTTTTAGAAAATCAGAATGATGCTGAGAGTAACTGCCATGCAGATTATGTTTATTTTACAATGTTCGTTTTAATGGACTACACACTAAAATCCTTTGGGAAGTTTTATTTTTAAATATTGATACTCAAACCAAAGGTCAAGTGAAAATCCTTAGGAGAGGATATTGATATTTGTATCAATATTTGCAGAAGTGCCTCAAGTCTGTGCAGCTACAGTTGAGCATGACTGTGCTAAGTAGTGCTTCTCTTTTACATACATATGAAAAATAGTTAAGAGATCTTAAACTGAAGATTCTGATTTGGTAGTTCTGAGGTGGGGCCTGATAGTCTGTATTTTAATGGCTGCTAGGCAATCCAATATTGCTGGACTTTAAACCACATTTTGAGTAGCAAGGAGCTAGAGGTATGAGAACATTGATAGTGGTTAAAAACTGGCTTAATATTGCCCAAAGGGTCCTTGAATAGATGGACATAAATATACAGAAAGGTATCTAATCATAGAGGTATCTGTCCTCAGCTCCATCTTGTTCAGTATCTGGAATGCAGAGATAGAAGGGTTTAAGGATAATTTCTGCTCAGAAGTTGCCAACAGGAAGAGCAAACAAATTGGATTACACAAATAATTTCCCAAATAACTACAGACTGGAGCAATGGGCCATGCTGGTAAAATAACTTAAAGGAGACAATTGAAACTATGTCCTCTATTTAGGTCCTTCTCTCTCAACCTCCTCAAAAGGACTAAGTACAGAATTGGAAAATCTGGCTTATCAACAATATATGTAAGAATGAAATCTGGGTTTTAAATCCACAGTAAACTCAGTATGATCGTATTTCTTATCCCCAAATCAAATATTATTTTATGTTGTGCTAACAGAAATGTGTACTTTGTAATGAGGGAAGTAGTCGTTTCACTTTACTCTCTCCTTTTTTTGTTTGTTTTTTTGAGACGGAGTTTTGCTCTTGTTGCCCAGGCTGGAGTGCAATGGCGTGATCTTGGCTCACCGCAATCTCTGCCTCCAGGGTTCAAGCAATTCTCCTGCCTCAGCCTCCTGAGTAGCTGGGATTACAGGCACCACACCTGGTATTTTTAGTAGAGATGGGGTTTCTCCATGTTGGTCAGGCTGGTCTCAAACTCCCTACCTCACATGATCTGCCCACCCTGGCCTCCCAAAGTGCTGGGATTACAGGTGTGAGCCACCGTGCCCAGCCCACTTTACTCTTAATTAGACTCATTGACCCTTAAGTCAGATCAGTCCTGAGGGTTGACTATAAGATAACGTAGATAAAGCAGAGAGTGCTTGTGCCACAGTGAACAGGAGGGTGAAGAAAAAACTGACTTGTGCAGGAGAAGAGAAGGCTGGGGGAGACGTGATGATGGCTTTCAAACCTCTGAGATGAGTCTTTATTTGGAAAGGGATTGGGTTTGTTCTATCAGTGTGTATAAATACATGAACATTTTTGTTCACTGTTTTGGGGTCAAATTAAAAAGAAACTGGGCTGCTCATGAAATTGTGTATTTTCCATTACTAGAACAATTTGGTAATATTCTAGATAATTACTCAGTGGATTGGCACTTGGGAGCCGTACAGGGGTTAGATAAGATTTTTAACATCCTGTATTTTGAAGTATTATTCTTTGTTGTTATGGAAGAAAGCAAACTTACAGAATATTTTTGTTGATCCTCTATTCAGACATCTCCACACATAACTCAGGTGTTATATATTTCAACTAAACTATGATGTACATTCAGAAGTGAAACTAACTTTGTAACTGAAATATACAGGAAATATTTCTATTTTGAATGGCAAATAAACAGCCAATTTTGAGCATTTACAATGCCAATGTGCTTGCTAAAACCTCTGAGCAGCTTCTCTCTATAAATATCATTTGTTAGAGAAAATCTCATGAACTGTATTTTGCTTGCTATCAAAATAAATGATTCTTTTCCTAATGGGACATGCTTTGCAGATACTACCTTATTTGGATTTTGAAATATGTATACATAGGTATATATGTAAAAAAATCACTCTACTGGTAGATATTTTTCAAGTCATTTTATGCCTTTGGCTCATAATTGGAAAGTTCCTTCTTATTGTATAAAATATTCTTTTATTAAAATTAAACATAATTAATTCCAGAATCTTAAGTTGAGATTGTTTAGAATGTTAAACCCCAGTGGAGGTTCTGACCACCATAATTCACTTTATCTTATCAATTCTGATTAAATTTCCTGGCACCCAGTCAGCATTTTTAAGCAGTTCACTGGCTAGTCTCCTCGCCTCTCCTCCATGCCGTTATGTCTGACAGTGTGTTAATATGTTGACAAATCAATCTATTCATTAATATTCAGCAGGCTCGCTGGATCTGCAAGGCTCATAAACTGTTACAAACACAGTTTAATTATTAAAATGACAATTGTCTTTCTTTTGTTTCGCGTACCATTGGATTTCTGGGTCTCATCTACCCGAGGCTTATTTTCAATGGGGTTATTTTTTTGTTTTGAACAATATGTTGTGAAAGAGGGACCTACAGCTGGTTCCTTTTCATGGTAAAGTGCTACTTCCAACTTAAGTGTTTAGCGTTCTGGAACACTGTTGGATTTTGAAAACATACCATGTGGTAATGGTGCTGGGCTTTTATTTAGCTTTGCTTTGTGTTTGTACTGGCTATATTTTTCAATCTCCAATTTCTGGAGAAAAAACACACTTGTGACCAATTTAATTTGAATTTACCAAGTTGAATGGCAAAAATATCTTAAAAATTTAGATGCCTTGATAAATGTAGTGGTATATTATGATAGCCATTCTATGCCTTGAGATACCGTGTATTCTATATTGTATAGTTGAGGATTGAGACCAGTTGGAAGAATAAATTATAGCTGTGCTTATCAGGAAAAAGAAGCACAAATACGACCATGGAGGTTGCCAGGGCACACAAGTGGAAGAAACTCGCGTCACTGGTTGCATCACCATAATCTGATAATTTTGCCTTTAGTTCCTTCAGTGCACTAAAGGCAAAATTATCAGATTGTGATGCACTAAAGGCATTTCCTATGCTTTGCATTATTCCTAAAGTTGTGTGTGTGTGTGTGTGTGTGTGTGTGTGTGTGTGTGTGTGTTTGTGTCACCAAATGTCAAGGCTTCCCATCTGGTCTTAATTCCTGAGAATACCGACTAACCATGTGACTCTGAAGCTGAGCAGAAACAACTCAGCAGGTGACTCGGGAATAGGTGCTTCTTCAGACTTCACCTGTGAACACAGAAAATGATCTTCTGTCTGCAGGGGTCAGGGGCTCATTGTGAGACAATTTCCGAGGCTGCCTCTGTGTTGATTACTGCCTGTTTGCCTCTCTAATGGCATATAAAGGAATATGAAAACTCAGAAGGAAAAAAATAGCAACTTCTCTGGGAATCTTCATGGCCCATTACTAACCTTCCTCAAATTTACTGTATATTTCTAATTGAACACATCAGTTCAATTTGATAATGGAAATGTACTATGACGCTAACAAATGCTTTCCAATCCGTCGCTACAGGTCTGTCATCATTTTCCTAGTGAAACGACTTGCACTGAAGCAAATTATATCTCACTTCACCAAGTATACAATTTATATCGCTTGGTTATCTGTGTCATTTCTTTTCCTCTAAGAATAAACTCTGTGGAAAACAACAGCTATATAATCAAGTCAGCTGTAGAGAAGAATCATTTACTATATGTGTTATAATTCTGAGCAAATAAAGGAATGTAGGAAGACAGAATTCATTTGACCTTCACACTTGACTATTCTTTGTGTGGACATGATAGTTGAGTGACTTAAGATTGCATCTTCAACTGCTCAGTCACATTGCAGCAATTATAGAAAAAGAACTGTAATCCACAGCTCCTGAGTGAATATTTACATATAAATATTATATATTATTTATTTCAAATTTTAGACACTTTTTAGACCATGCATGGAAGAATTATAGTTCTACAAAAGGTTGTACTCTATTTACTCCATTTATCTTTCATGCCATGCCCTTTTATTTTTATTAGCTTTTTTATGAAAGTTATTGCATGCACCTGATAAAAGATCTAAATCAGTAAGACATGTACAAAAGCAAAAATAAATAAAGAAATAAATAAAGCCTCTTATATCTCATTATTAGACCTGCCTTCCGGAGACTACCTATTTTAAATATTTAAAATTTTTCTTCTAATTATTTCCATACCTCTAAATAATAAATGCAGTATCTTCTATACTTGTTTCATTGACCCTAAACTAGTGCTGCTTAAAGTGATCTATGAATCAGTGCTGGTCTGAATTGTTTATAATCAGTCAATGATGAGATAAGTATATAAAGTGAGACTAAGTCTTTGGAAATTTTTATAGCTATTTAACATTGCAGTCACATTTTAAGTACATTTTACAAAGTACTGGTCCATATGTTTAGAAATTGAAATAAGATAAAACTGGTCTTTATCACAGATAGTTTGAGAAGAATCACTTTGAAAAAGTGTGATTTCTTTCCATCACAGATGAATAATTTCATTCCAGTTTTCTCTATCTTATTGTTTTCCTCCTTCTCCCAATTAATCTGGATATGTTAAATTATAGCACTGGCCACCTTTGTAATTTAGAATAGTGCCTGGCACACAGTATGGAGGATCTTAGATAATCTATGTGACATTTATTAAAAACGTTAAGCTTTGATGGTCAAATTGTATGTTAAATGATACACATAAACACACATAACACCACTCATTCACTCTGACAGAATCCCATTATGAACTCGGTGGATGTGAGAGCTTTTACGGCTCCCTTCACTTCTTTGTTCTCCTTATTCCTGGTGTTGTAGAAGTTTCGTTATGCATATTCTTTTGCATAATTATAGTTAACTCAGACACGCTTGGTTTACAGGTCATATAAAACAAAATTAATCAGCAATATGTGGAGTAATTTATAAACATTAACTGATAAATTCTAGGTTATAACCCATATTTCCTATAGCCTGTAACCCCATATCTTCAAACCTATACCCAAAGGAGAATTTAAGTGTTAAAGAGATTCTCTTTTCCTACATTCCTTTATTTCATTTATTTATTTATTTTTTGAGACAGAGTCTGGCTCTGTCGCCCAGGCTGGAGTGCAGAGGCACTTGCACCCTCTGCCTCCTGGGTTCAAGCAATTCTCCTGCCTCAGCCTATCGAGTAGCTGGGACTACAGGTGTGCACCACTACGCCTGGCTAATTTCTGTTATTTTCAGTAGAGACGGGGTTTCATGTTGGCCAGGCTGGTCTTGAACTCCTGACCTCAGGTGATCCGCCCACCTTGGCCTCCCAAAGTGCTGGGATTACAGGCATGAGCCACCACGCCTGGCCCCTGCATTCCTTTAATTGCTAAAAATCATGACACATAGGTTAGTTGCATCTTTATTATACACGACTTTGTTATACAACTTTTTGTATTTCCCTGGTGTTTATAGTTGTTTCTTCTTTATTCCTGAAAAAAGATACTTGTGCTTCTTTTCTTATTCTCACTATTTTCATGGCAATCTGTAACATGAACAAGTTACATGTCCTGATATTGTATATCTGATAAAGAAGATGATAAAGATACAAAAATATTTTAGAAATGACAGAAATTTATAAATGATTTTATAAATTTTATAATGTATCTAACTTTGAATATCAGAAACTGAATTCAAAATTGTTTTAGAGCTCTATCAGCTGTAAGTTATTTCTGGGGATCTGGGCTCCAGAGCAGCGGTTTTGAAAGGGCAGTCCATGGACCATGGACTTCTTATGTTCTCAGTGCAAAACGGCAGTTTAAGGGGGTAGAGCCTGGGAACTTCCATTTTTAACTAGCTCCTCTAATTAACTGCTGGCATGCTAAAGTTAAAAAATGCCTGCTATAGATCTATAGCTAGGCCATGACAGGTTGTTTAAAATAAGCCATTATCAAAGAGGCTCTTTGGCAAAATTACTAGAAATCTCCTGCCTTACAAATATTCTTGCTTTGAGTAATAGCTAGTTTTTACATTTTCCATTTTTAAGCTCCACACCCCTGCGACCTACTTCTTAACTCACAGACTGAGTCTTGCTTGCAATTTTCTGGGGTTTTTAGCACTGTCTGGGATTCACCCTTATGACATACCACACACTGGAAACATGAGGGATATCTTGATCTATTTCTTGTTCTTGTTTCTAAAAATACAATGAAAGGAGGGCCATACTGGTAAATGATAAGGTGCAATTTTCCTTAGTTGTACCTGGTCATCTAAAATTATGTTTAAGTGATACTGAGCTGCCCTTCCATAGATAAAGTAAATTTAAAGCGAATATTTAAAAATAGGTACACAAGTTCTTTCAAGGAACCGAGAAGGGTAACAGAATGAATGTGTTGACCTTTAAGCCTAATCCGGTATGAGATAAAGTTGGAGATGACAGCAAGACCATGTCTAATTACTGATGGGTAGCGAGGGATATACTGGAGGATAACAAATGACCACCGACACAGCCATAATGATGAAATGAAATATGGTAGAACATACAACACTGCCTTAGGATAGACTGAAATGTTCCCACACTCTTTCCCCATGATGAGCTAGACTCTCCTTTTGTGCAACTGTTTGTAAATATATAATTCATGCTGGAATGTTTCATTTGTAGGCATGCATTTTTATATAGTTATGTATGCATAACTATATATATGATGTATGTATGTACTCTGTTACATATTGCTTATAATGTATTTTATAACAATTTATTACTTAACTATTGTAAGTTATACATAAATGCATTCAGTTATAATCTTTATACACAATTGTAGTTTTATATATATGAATGCTTACATTTATAAAAAACTAAATACATACATACAGATAGACAGAAGTAAAGACTATAAAGTGACTGGGAAACGGAAAATGATCAATATTTAAACTAATATAGACATGCCAATCACTGTGCTAAGCAGTTTCCAGAACAATCTCATTTAATACTTACAATAACCCAGTAAGGTAGGAATTAGCATCACCATATCAGAAAAGAAAACTGAGACCTAAGAGAACAAGTAACGTGGATGAGATCACCAAGATACTAAATGGTACAGCTTGCAACTCAGTTCTTGATCACAGTGTGATCCTGTTTCCTAGTACTTTTAGAAATTATTAAAATTTGTGTTACTACTCTAGCTCTATGCCTGTGAAAGCATTTTAAAAATTTAATGTGACAGCATGGCTAAATACATTAGAAAGATAATCAAGAGGCTGTCAATATCCTGGATAAGAGCATCTGCCTTGGAGCCAGCGGACAGGATTTGTACCCTGGCCCCACCTAGACAAGCTACTTAACCATCTATGCCTGCATTACCTAATCTTCAAAATGGAAACAATAATAAAACAATCCTTTGAGTAAATACTCAAAGGCTGGGTGATTAAACGAATTCACATATGAGTGTTTAGAATAGTGCCTGGCTACAGGGCAAATACTGTAAAAGTGTGAGCTATTCATATTTGTTCATATTTTTTCTTTCAACAGTTAATTAATTTTACTATCTCCATTTTACTGGAAACACCATTTGCTAAGTTTTCTTCAAATTTTCTCTTATTTTTCAAATCATACCTTATTTTGCACACAAAACATCTATTTTTATAAAGGACATCTGTTAATGCTTTTGTGATTGTTTTTAGCCTATCATCTTTTCCCTGCAGGAACTTCCTTCTTCCACCTGGAGGTTGTCATCATCATCCATATGGCCAGTCAGAGCCAGGCTCCTGGGGCTGCCGAATGATTGTTCCCTGGGTGTTAAGGGAGTTAACCATAGCCAATCAGTGCCCCTTCCAGAGACCCTACAGCTATGGAGAGATGATCCCTTTTCCATTCTGATTCATGGACAATAAGTAGCACATAAGCTTGGAGCTGCTAGGGTATCATTGCTTTAAGAAGTCATCTTAAAGTAAAGCAGAGCTGAGAGATGGCGAAACAATAACACTTGAGCTTTAAGATCTAGCTGAATCAGAGGTTTACCTTTTGGACTTCCCAGTTGTGTGAGCCAATAAAGTATCTTATTTGCCTAAGTTACAGATAGGTTTCTGTTATTTAAACACAAGAGTCCTGTTAATTCATTGATAAAGTATTAGCAGGCATATATGCAGAATGCCAGCACTCAGCTTACTAAATCATCTTAGCAGGAATAATTAATGAGTAAAATATTTCTATAGGTTCCTAAATATCAAGCCATAAGAAATAAGCACCCTTTTGGTATACAACAATGTATAGTGTAAAGAATGGAGACAAATTATAAATGATTTCCAGTCTAAGCCCTTGATTTCAAGATCATGAAACCTCTCTGGGTTCTCTCTAATGCAGAGACGAAAGCAAATCACTTACCAGAGGATTGCTGTGAGGATCAAGCAGTGCAATGACTACTCAAGCACCCCAAGATATAGGTATTATATTGTATCAAGTCAACATCTACACTAACAGAAAAAATACATAATAAAGAAATTTGTAATTCTGACACATCTATGCATGTTATTAAGATTGTAACTTATAACATTTTCTTTTGCTTTTTCATGCCAGGAAAAAAAAATACATTACAACTAGCAATATGTCCAAAGAACACTAAGGAATCCTGCACATCGTTTTTAAAATGATACGATCGATCTTTGGTTACCAGCCAGGGCAAGTGCTTGGTGTTCTGCTGTCCTCCTTCTGATGCAAATTCTTGGCTCACCCCACGCCTGCCTTTATAGATGCCTTTCATAACCTTTATCTCATTCAATCTTTGTAAAACCTCATTATGTAGGTGGGAATCATTTCCCATTTTACAGATGAGGAACTGAAGCCCAAAGAAGGTAAGTGATGACTCCTCGGAATGGCAGATAGGACTCTCTATCTCAAACTACTTGACTGTTGACATTTTATCTTTGTCAAAATCATGGAGGTGCTTGGGTTTTTATTTCCCTGGATCTGGATTCTTAGTGTTTCTGGTGTGGTTTAAAGTATCCTAGACTAAAAATTGATCTAATATCAGCTGTGACCACCCTGTGCCAGATACGATTAATAGTTGTGCTGGTGTGTTTGTCAGGTCCTACAAGCTTAAAATTAAAACTATTTGGTCTTAACTCCATTAAAACTTCTAATGATGGAATTATTTCTTCTCAATAAGATAATGGGATAGAACCTGGGCCAGTAACTACTTTTGTGACACCTTAACTGATATCATGATGTAATTTAACTAACTTTTCTCTATATTCAAGCATGAGTTCTGTTCATACATCAGCAGCTAGGTAACTTTTTTTTTTTTTTGCCATCCAGAGCTTTAGTTCGCAAACAGTAAAATGCCTGTGCCTCAAAGGCAAGAGTGAGCCATAAGGAGGTACTGAGTCATTTGGAAAAGTGAGGGTTCTATCTCCCATCTGAGCTGGTCTCCATATCACTTCATCTGAGTGGTAGGAAATTTTTAGTGCTTAGACATTTCTATAGCCAAGTAAAATGTGTACTTCCTAGTCAAATATAAATGCCTTTTGAATTATCCTGTATAATTCCCTCTTGCTAAAATGCTATGTCTCTTTCTTTCCATTCTTCACTGACTGGCCTAAATTCTATCTCCTCTGAAAGTGGAGTCCTAACTGGTAAAGTCCAAAGTGATTCTCCTTCCCCTGAACTTGGAGGCCCTGGTTTTCCACCTAGGTAACAATTAAAGGAAATATATTATCATTTTATCCAACATCACATAACTCGTCTCCCCAACTAACATTCAAGTTCTTTGAAGCACATCTGATGTTCTGTCCTCTACTTTTGTATTACCTACTGTGTATGTATATTGTGATTTCCCAACAAGTGTTTCCTGAGCCTTTGCTATCTAGTCCTCCGGTGTCTATTACTAGTGATAATTAAAAGTTCATAATTTATAACTATTCATTTCTGGCATGAATAGGTTTTGTCTTAATAGGCTATAGTTACATAGCAAGTCAAATTTTCATGAAAGCAGAGATGGGGCATCATTTGTTCCACTACTCCTAGAAAAAGGATTTAAAGACATGAAGGTTGTTTCCCCACACCCAATTCCTGTGTAACAGGAAAGTGTTTGATTGGCTTCAGTGGTATTACGGATTTGCATTCTGATAACAGGATCAAGTTATTTTACTGGATTTCTAGATGAGCAATATCAAGCATAATGGTTAGCTGTATTTAGATGTAATGTTTCCTAACAAGGGTACTGGTCACAAGGTTATTTGATAATTCTCTCTGTCTCCTGGGAAAGAAACTTAATTACACTTTACTTTTCATCTTTGTTGAATTATGAAAAATATTTAATTATTCCTTTGGCACACATGATAGCTCTTTTGTAGGCCACAGGTTCCTTTAAGATATATCCATCCACCTATGATTTACAACTAATTAGAGGATGTTAAAGGTTGTTGCTAATGGTAACTTAAAGCTCTGATAATGGATAGCTCTTGTCATTTAATACCAATAGCAGTCTAATAACTTAATTTCTCCTAAGCGGTTTGTACATTCTTTTCTCATTTCTATACCAACATATGCAGTAACAGGCATCACATAAGAGATGTTTACAAATGTACTAGCCTTTTCACATGGTGAACATCTGAACAAACAGAATGAACCTAGAACTAGATATTGCCTGTAAACTAGAAAAGACGTAGGGCTAGTACTGAAAAAAAGTATGTTCAGACTACCTGGGTAAGAATTATGCCCCTGCTACTTACTAGCTTTGTATTTTGACCAGTGGTGTCACTTCTTTTTTTTTGAGATGGAGTCTTACTCTGTTGCCCAGGCTAGAGTGCAGTGGTGCAATCTCAGCTCATTGCAACCTGCACCTCCCTGGTTCAAGCGCTTCTCCTGCCTCAGCCTCCTGAGTAGCAGGGACTACAGGCACGTGCCACCACGCTCAGCTAATTTTTGTATTTTTTAGTAGAGATGGGGTATCACCCTATTGGCCAAGCTGATCTTGAACCTCTGACCTCGTGATCCACACTTGAAATATAGCCATCATAGTAACACCTATCTTATAGAATTTTTATGAGAATTAAATACACTCCAATGTATGTTAAAGGAGGAACTCCTTTCCGAAGTACTGAATGAGTCACTTTCTCTGCCCTGTCAGCCCCTGCAATTTCTTTTAAACAATCTTTTGTCCTTTAAGAGGAAGGAAATATTTATTAAGAATATAACTCTAAACAATGCAACACTGTCAAGGTAATCTATTCTAAAGAAATCATCAGAGATATATATAGGAATGATACATCAGGATGTTCTAATACTAAACATAGAGAAATAACCTAAAAATTCCAGGGGAATGGCCAAGTAAAATATTATACATATTTTAATGCCACACAAAGAAAACCAGTAGACAAAGAACTTGGTATACTAACATATGTTATATGATCATTAAAATATCAATGTCATAACATTCTTGTGTTGATAATAGTTTAAAAGTTTTTAACACAGAACTAGGCACATATAAGTAAGCCCTTACTAATAATTCATTATTACTATTATATTAAGGTATAAGTATTTATAAGTTCTAATGAAATGTACCAAAATACATTCTCTCTGGTTGTTCACTTACTTCTTAATATATATAACCCAATTTCTGTTATGTGTATGTGTCCCACCCAAATTAATTCGTGTCTTTGTGTCTCCACTCTGGTGGGCACTTTACAATGAGCATGTATTAAGTTAATAATTTACAATTAAATTAATTTAAATTAATAACATAAACAAATAAGGATTAGATTATTATCATTTTTGAATGGAAGATATTACCTTCATGAGATATTTCCTTCCAGGGATTTGGTGGATACATGAAAGCTGCATTCTGAATTTGGTCGTGTATGTCTTCATCTTCATTAAATGGGAATGTGCCGCTTAGGCTTACATAGATGATGACCCCAACAGACCACATGTCTAGAGAGCGATTGTAGCCCTTGTTCCTTAGGACCTCAGGAGCCAGGTAAGCGGGGGTACCCACCACTGACCTCCGGAAAGACTTCTCTCCAATGATCCGGGCAAAACCAAAATCACAAAGTTTCACCTGTTGATGAAAGGATTTGCAGAAATACTCCGTTCACAATTGTGTGTCTGTGTGTCTTAGTTCAGATTCACCAGATACAACCATAATATTTTAAATACTTTACCTTTACATTAAATGATATGGATTTCTTAAAGTAATAGCTATTTTCCATTTTAGGTATTTGAAGACAGTGGTTTATGTAGTGATACAAAAGTATGTTTTCATTCATAAAAATATCATCTAAACAGTCTCCCTTGGCAGGGTGCAGTGGCTCATGCCTGTAATTCTAACATTTTGGGAGGCTGAGGCAGGAGGATTGCTTGAGGACAGGAGTTCAAGACCAGTCTAGGCACATAGTGAGACCCCCATCTCTACAAAAAATTAAAAAATTAGCCCGGCGTAGTGGTGTGCAGCTATAGTCCCAGCTATTCGAGAGGCTGAGGTGAGAGGATTGATTGAGTCTGGGAGGCAGAGGTTGCAGTGAGCTGAGACTGCACCATTCCACTCCAGCCTGGGGCAACAGAGTGCTCTGTCTAAAATAAAATAAAATAAAATAAAATAAAATAAAATAAAATAAAATAAAATAAAAATAAATGAAAAAATAAAAACAGTCTCCCTCCTCCAAAAACCGAGAGACAAATATGAAGACAAGTGTACTCAGAAGTGGGTAATATTGTATACAAGGCAGGAAAGCGTTATGCAAATCTGGGAAGTGATGACCTTCACTCAAGCGCTTATTATGAGAAGAAGATGAAGGATAAGTACAGAGATGTGTCATGTCATCCACAATAATCCTCAAAATTAGCTCTGCACTGGCACATATATAGGCAGGACCGGAAGGTGTTAGGGAAGCAAGGCAGGACAGTCACATCAGTCAAGTCACTTCAGACCTATAATTCCCTGCGGAGATAGCTGGTTTCCCACTCTCTAAGTTGAGGAAAGGAAAAAAGTTTTGCCCTTGTCCTTGAGAACAACAGTGAGGTTTAATATCTTGCCCATTAATGAGCAGGTAACATCTCTGGGACTCTCAAGTGTTGTCACTCTCAGGCCACTTCCGGAAAAGCCAAAAGGCAGAATGAGAAGGCACTTTTGTGTATAATTAAGGCATGCTTCACCAAAAGGCCAGAGTAACAAGGCCATAGTCCCAAAGTAACAAATGAATAAAAATGGATAGAAAACACTTGAAACAAATAAAGGTTTTAAGGGAAAAATGGAAGGTGACAAGATGCTACATGGAAGCTAGCAATGCTTCCAACTGGCTTTTTGCTGAGAGAGGCTTTTATACTTGCCTGAGGAAAAGGATCAGCTGAGGCTAGCAACACATTTTCTGGTTTGAGGTCACAGTGAACGATATTTTTAAAATGAAGGTGCCGCAAAGCCACGAGTATCTGTAAAGAAGAATCACCAAAATTTCATTCCAGTTTATTAATTTCAAAATGTCTTCTACCAGTTAAAAGGCCAAGAAAAAAAACTGACAATGGACATTCAAATTTCTTTATGTTAAAGACACTGAAATGAGCTAGATTAACATAGGTTTCTAAAGAAATTTCAATGAAAAAATTACCATATGATGGTATTCATACAGCGGCCAAGACAGATGTAGATAAAAGACCTATATCTAACAGGGACACCCATTCTTAAATATTCTCAAAGAACCAAAACTAAACCAATGTACATTTTAAAATTTCATGAAAAGTTTGAATACATGGACCTGCAAACATGTTACTAATTTGGTACACTGTGGACTCTGATTAATATAGATATAAATCACATAATACAATAAAGCCACTACAACCTTTTCTAGTGTAGTTTAGACTGGAGGTAGGGACTAAACAACAAGGCTAGAAAGCTGTAGTTAAACAGTGATAACATTTGATATTAAATATTGTATTTTTTCCGTCTCTAATTGATTTCTTACCTGAGTAATTAAAAACTTCGTTATGTGCTCTGGCAACCTGCCCTTTTCACTTGACAAGATCATTTCCAGCATGTCTCCATGGAGTTTTTCCATAACAACAAACACTCTTTCAGGCGTCTCAAACATACACTCCAAATTTACAACACCAGGGTGATGAAGGTTCTATTAAAGATAAATAAAGCACTTGAAGAAAATGAGTTTTTTGATACTGTTTGGCAAGCTCGCTGATTATACAAAACTGTTCAAGCTTAGAGCTATAGAGAAACCCACACTTAAGATTTTTAACACCTCTACATTCCACATGTGCTGCCTTATATTTTTGAAATTCTAATGTCTCCAAAAAATACATCTTTACTTTCTATGCGTAGTGAAATTATTTCTATGTGAAAAAAATCCAAGTTCTAGCACAGTGAATTGCTAATTAGGTTTTAATTAGAATACCATATTGAGAAATCTATAATTTCTTAGGATCATCCCCAATATTAAACATATTGTCCTAACTAAGCATACTAGGCTATTTATATACAATTGGTAGAAATCTAATGTAGTAAAGATGAAATTCATACATGTAGTGCATCGGGCCATGCACTGATTAAGTACCTTAGTCAAAACCTTTTAGAAATGCTTTGCTACTGGTACTGGAGGCTGCAGTTTTTGACAGAAACTCTTATACTAAGTGAAGATCATAAAAATAGCAACAAAAAAAAAGTGAGCCTGTGCTTTGTCTACAATACCATCCTACCTGCTTGGTTTTCAAGCACGCAATAAATATAGCTAATCCTTGAGAAACACAAATTTGAACTGTGTGGGTCCACTTACATGTGGATATTTTTCGATAAGTACAGTTGGCCCTTGGTATCTGTGGGTTCTGCATCCACAACCAAGTGAGTATTGAAAATACCGTGTTCACCGGATCCAAAAACCTGAGGATGAGGAGGACCAACTTTTCCTAGAGGGAAGTTCTGCAGAGCCAAATGTGGGATGTAAGTATGCGTGGATTTTGATATGTGGTGCGGTGGTTCTGGAACAAATCCCATGCGGATACCAAGGGACTGCTGTCTTTCCACAATAAAGTAATGACTAGTAATGGTAAGCAGCATTTTGCTTGACACATTAATTGCCACATGTCAAGTAAAATTACGCTTAGCATTAGACGATCTCTTGTAATAATGCTTAAATCTGAACGTTCTTCTGGGTCATCAACAAATGCCTTTGATCATTTGACCTTTACCTTTTTTCTCTGCACAACAACAAATCCTAACATTAAAAAAAAATTATATATTCCACTTATATCCCAATGAGCAAGAGAAGAAAAATCATCATGAACAAAAACCACCTAAACAAAAAAAGCAGGAACTAACTTAAATGTGCTAACAGCTGAAGAGAGAAAAAAATTAAATGCTTCTTTATTTTAGAAAAAAAAATCTCAGTGATAAAATTGTACGTAAAATGAAATTTAAAACCTCAAATGGCTCACTGCTCAGAAACCTCACAGATGGATGCTGGGTGGTGAGCAGCAGAAGGGGTTGTGGGTGAGTCTACATTGTTGTAGTTGTCCTCTCACTACCCATTTGCAAGGAAAGCCTGGCATCAACTGGATATAGAACCAGGAGCTCTGATGATGATAACTCATTTCTTAGAGAGTCCTTTTTCTACTTTGCCTGTTTTGATCTCTGCCTCAGGCATCTGATGGGTCTCTTTGATTCTGATGCCTTGGGTCAAATCATACAGCATAATGGAGTCATGGAATTGCAAGTTTATTATGAATGTGATCTGAGCAGACGCCTACACATCTACCCAATAGCCTTTAACCTCTAAAGGGCTAGAGTCATTGTTCTTCAAACCGTTGCACTGTTAACTGGTCAAGTCTGGCAACTTCGAATAGACCTCACCTCCCACGTTGCTCTCTCCTGGTCAGAGCTGAAGCACATGGAGATAGTTGGGGTTCACAAAGCTCATATTATCAACCCTCTTACTTTACTTTTCCTGATTACTTGCAAATAAGAGCAGATAGCCAGATGGCTTTGAGTATTATGGGAGGGCCAGAGGCTAAGGAGGCGACTAATATGACGACATACACTTGTTTGATAGGCACTATGGAACATGTGATAGTATTGTTCATACTTGAACTTGTGTCCCAGGCTGTCTCATTTCCTTTTCCTTACATGCCTTTCCCTGTTAGAGAAGCCAGACTGACTGCACAGACCACTGGCCTCTGAAGTGTCAAAGGTCTCAGCTGTTCTCTTTTAATCAATAATCACAGCACGAGCTTTAAGGATTACATGAGTTCGGCTAGAGTTCTGATTCTCCTAGGACAAGTCCACTATGATATGTGCAAAGTACACGTTCCTCTTTGAGCATCTTCATTGATTCTTTTATTTTTCTATTTAATATAACTGTAAGCACTTAAGCAGTGTTCTGGGGAGTCTGGCTTCCTTAAATGGCTAAGCTTTGCAGTACGGGTGGGAAGCAGAAGCAATGAATCAGAAAGGAGCAGAGCAACAGAAGTAGACAGGAAGGGTAGGTGTCCTCTGTGTGTAGGCAGACGAAAAACTAGTAGGAACAAGAGATAAGCGTTAAGGGAGAGTGACCTCGGGGGCCCAGGGAGGGCAGGGGTCACGGGAGTAGTATTGGAGCTGCACAGCCTGCTGCTTCTGCTGATCTTAGATTCTGAAAGTTGGAGAAGAGGGGAGAGACGCAATGACTGGGGAGTCCTCCTACCTAAATTATCTGAATGATATGAATCCTTATGTGCCTCTACCTGTATTCCTCTTTTTTTTTTTTTTTTTGTTTTGACGGAGTTTCACTCTTATTGCCCAGGTTGGAGTGCAATGGCAAATCTCGGCTCACCACAACCTCTGCCTCCCAGGTCCAAGCGATTCTCCTGCCTCAGCCTCCCGGGTAGCTGGGATTACAGGCATGCACCACCATGCCTGGCTAATTTTGTATGTTTTGTAGAGATGGGGTTTCTCCATGTTGGTCAGGATGGTGTCTAACTCCTGACTTGAAGTGATCCGCCCACCTTGGCCTCCCAAAGTGCTGGGATTACAGGCATGAGCCACTGCACCTGGCCAGTACATGAGTTCTTAGAGGTACTAAAGTCCTTCACTCAATTTATTCCTTTTTCCTACTCCACAACATGACCTGAGGTGCCCCTGTACAGAGGGTAGAACTTTAATACATGTTTATTTCC
The DNA here is from genome assembly GCF_000001405.40 of Homo sapiens. Lineage (NCBI taxonomy): Eukaryota > Metazoa > Chordata > Mammalia > Primates > Hominidae > Homo > Homo sapiens. Next base: position 29,602,849 of record NC_000014.9, read on the forward strand.
AGAATTGGGGTATTCACAGAATGTTCTAAATCAAAAGTAAGTGACAGATTAATGACAGTGTTCATTGTCAACTATTTTGTGCCATGTTCACCGTCAGCTCTGAAGAGCTCTACAAATGTTCTCTAATAGCATCTTGATGTAAAGGATAAGGGAACATTTTGTTATTTCCCAATTTGGGCTTTGAATGTGGTTAGATATACAAATTTTTAAAAATACATGTTCAATGAAAGCATCAGACTCAAGGCTAAGTATACACAACTGATAAAAAGAAGTCTTAGAAGTTTAAATTCATTTCACTTGGCCCTTGCTCTTTTATGAGCATATTTACACTTTACAGTTTTCCCAAAGTACATATTGAATGACAGCTGAAAAATCTTCTCAGTAGCGAAGTGATTTTGCTTTATCTGAATAGTTGATATACAACAAGTTTATTTTAACATTTATTGTATATGGTTGAGACAAGGCCATCATAGATACTTACTTAGGAACTGTATTTTTTCTTGCATTGAAACAAATGGCCAAACTTGTTTTTATATTTGATAGTAACAAAAGAAAACAAAACAGACTACATAGATCATGCCTTATTTAGTCAAACTTCTTATACTGCACTGATAAGAATATGCCGTTAGCCTAGAGAATATATTAGAAGACTGGAAATAAGAAAAAAGTTCCAGCTATTATTTCTCCATTTTCATGTGTAATTATTATTTTTTAATACCTTAAGTACAATTTTAAAATAAGTTCAACCAAGGTGGTCCATGTGACTTTTCATGAACAGTTTTAATTTTTCATATAAAATATGAAATAGCCTTTAAACCATTTCCTCCTAATGTCCAAAGTAACAGAATTATTAATAATTTTAAAATGGCAAGAAGACTGCAACATCAATCATGGCATAGTAGTGTGCAAAAAGAGTTTTGCCCAACTTCTCAGGCTTTCCACAGAAATGCAGATAAATTTCATGGCAGAGCAAGCTACTACAGGACTCTCTGGCCATCTGTCTGTTGCATTTAAGCAATTTAATTTTCAGGAAATGAAACATTTGGCCAAGTACAGGAAAAAATAGTGTCCATTCACACATAACAGATTGATGACATATTCACGGGGTGAATATAAGTTGTTTCGATGCCTGGGAGGAAATATCGTTTGTAGATCAAGACAAAAACTCTCCTGACCCAAGTTGCCTAGAAAATGTGTATATAATCAATGGAAATTAGTCACTAGAATCAAAAGCTTTTATAAAAGTAATATCTCAAGAAAATAAAGAATTGACTAATTCTAATTTTTTTGTTTTTACGTAATTCTCATTTACATTTTTTGATTTGTGTTAAAGGATATTCTTTAATATTGGTATCTAAGTACTAATATTCTTTAAGTCTAACATTGTTGCTTTATTGTAAATCTAGAGTTTATAATTTATTCCATATATGTAGTTTCCACCTTCTACCTTTAGGATTATTCTACTCAAACATATGAGAGGTAGGAAAGAGGAGAATTAGATTCAACCTATCTTTGCAATAGGTCTTTAGGAGCAGTGCAGTCTTAATATGGGGACCTCTGACTAATTTTCTGTCAAAGAACAAACTGATTTAGTTCATAATGAGATAGAAAAACTAAATATAAAAGTGATGAGCCTAGGATCTAAATTCTAAATGGTATGCAGATCAGAAGGAAGAATATTCCATCACACAATGGAATGGGTGGGGGGCATGAGGTACAGTACTGCAGCAGTGGCCTTGTCGACTCTCATTCCTGCCAGTTTGCCAGGGTCAAGAGAAGAGCACACCTTCTTATCCATTTTCTAATTACTGTCTCTTATAATTTATGCTTCATGTCAAGGTCTTAGAAATCACAATCCTTAAACGCCTTATTAAAGGGAAACAGACTATACTTACCTGATAGAGAATAAAAAGTCATCTTGCAGAGAACAGACAATTATAAAAGTATTTGTTAAAGATAATACCCAAATTGATATGATAAGATCTCCTAAATTCCACAATCTTATATTCAATTGTCTTTGGGGTATGTTCATTTAAATGGAAGAGGTCCAACAATGACATCAGCGTCTCTCCACCCAAACTTATTCTTCTAGTATTTCTTCGCTTGGCAAATGGCGAATCACCTAGGTCAGAAACCTTGAGCTCATCCTAAATGCTAACTTCTCTTTCACTTCCAACAACCCACTGGTCTCTAAAAGTAATAGAGCCCACCTCCTTCATCTCTCACACTGACCCCTTACCTTCATCCTCACCTCTGCTGCCTTGGTTCGAGCCCTCATCTCTTTTACAGGGATCCACCACAGCATCCCAACTGATCTGGCCTTAGGTCTTCTTCTCCAATCCATTCTTCAAAAGGCTGCCACTGTGATCTTCCCAAAGGTGATTCTGATGCTACCATCTTGCTTCAAGCCCACAAATGAATCACCACCAACTTCTGGATAAGGTGCCTACCCTTAGCAAGGCATACAAAACCCTTCAAAATCAGCTCCTTTTTCTCTCTCTGCTTAAGTATTTCTCCAGCTTTGTCTCTTCACCCAAATATCCACCCTTTTTGCCACCCTAAAACCATTTTTATAACAAGCCACACTCTCTCCTTTCTATGTTTTCATACATACTACCCTTCAGCCTGACCACGAACGTTTATCGGGTGTGAATATTCAGCTGTCAGGTAACTTTTATTGACTCTCCCAGTCTGTCTTGGATGTCTCTCTACTCTCAGAGTCTTTGCTATAATCCCCTTTCATAACACTTATCCTACCATATTTGGTTGTTGGTGAACCTATTTGTCTTATTTACAAGGCTACAAGCTCCATAAGAGCTATAATTTATCATTTTGTATTCCCAGTCAATATAAGTCTAGTGCCTGATACATACTAAATATTCAACACATTTGCTAAATTTGATTGAAAGATGAAGAGTCTCTACGTCTCCTTACTTTTCATTAAGTGAATAATATTCTTTAAGATCTCCATGGCTTTTAGATATGCTAGTACGTGTTCGACATATTTAGTGATAGTACATTTTGCATCAAGTACGATATATAGTGATAGCCTCTCTTCAGAAAAAAATACAGCACATGGCTTTTTAATTGAGTTCTCTTAAATCTGTTAGTCGGAAATTTCAGGAGTCTGATGACAAATATGATCATAAGTAATGACTTTTTTTTTCTTTTCCTTTTTTTTGGAGACAGATTCTCACTCTCTTGCCCAGGCTGGACTGCAGTGGTGCAGTCTCAGTTCACTACAGCCTCCCCCTCTCGGGTTCAAGAGATTATTCTGCCTCAGTCTCCCAAGTAGCTGGGATTACAGGTGCCCGCCACCATGCCTGGCTAATTTTTGTATTTTTCGTGGAAACGGGGTTTCACCATGTTAGCCAGGCTGGTCACAAACTCCTGACCTCAAGTGATTTGCTGGTCTCGGCCTCCCAAAGTGCTGGGATTACAGGCATGAGCCACCACACCTGGCCAATAATGACTTTTTTGATAAATACTAATAATATGGATGTGATTCTCAGAGATGCCACTACTGATGAGTTGCAATGATTTCTCTAGGACCAAGGATATGATAAAGACAGTCTCTTTCACTTTTTAGGTACAACCCCCTCAAAATCTACCAATTTTGATCAGTGTTTTTGTAAAGATTTCAACATCTTTGATAGGAAGAAACATGATTTTCCTATGCTCTAGGAGACTTGTATTTATTTAATATCTAGCTCTTAATAAGGAGATACTTTAGATTCAGATCATTCTCAAAAGCCACCAGGAAACAGTTATCAGCAAGAGATAAGCAAAGTAGCAGCACAGTCAGGATATTCCCTTCCCTCCATGCCAACCCTCATTTACATTGTGAAAACCTTACTATGATTCCATCATTGTCCTGAGGATGAGAATAAAGAATTGAAAATGGGCTATTCAGATGATAATGACCACTGTACCTCTTTTACTTCTTACTTAGAAAAGGTCTTTCAACTCCTCTTATTTTTTTATTTAACCCAGAACAGGTTTGACTACAAGGAAAGCCTGGAAACCTGGAGCTTAATTTCAGGAGCAAGTTCTCTGAAGACAGATGTCCTGAGTTTGAATTCCAGCTCTGCCTCTTCCCAGCTTCTGCCTTCAGGTGAGTTATCTAAACTCTCTGAGGTGCTTCCAAATCTTATGTAAAATAGGATGATAGTAATGTGTCAACTCATAACACAGTCAGGTCTCATTATTTAATGGAACAAAATACTTGGAATTGTGCCTGGCACATAGTATGGGTTAATTATTACTACTGGGTAAATTTTATGGCATTTAAAAATGATTTGGGCCCAATGTCCCCCTTTAGTTTGATAACTGAAAGTTTACAGTAGTAAGCCACAGAGAAGAAAACTTCCTTTAGCCTTTCACCCAACAGAGGCTCTATCAGATTAAGTATGAACTGCCACAGACTTGCACCTTCTAGTTAGTCAATCCCCGTCTTTCCCCTTACTGTGTGTGTGTGTTTTTAAACAACAAATGTATTATCTCACAGTTCTGTAGGTCAGAAGTCTGGTGAGCTCAGCTGTTTTCTCTGGTCTGGGTTTCATAGACAGAAATCAAGTTGATGGCAAGCTGCTCTCTTATCTGGAGGCTCTGAGGGAGAACCGCTTCCAAGCTCACTCAGGTTGTTGACAGAATCCAGTTATTTGGGCTGCAGGGGTGAAGTCCCCGTTTCCTCGCTGGCTGTGAGCCAAGCGTCTCTCTCAGCTCCTTGAAGCTACCTGAATTCCTCATGATGTTGCTCCCCACATCTAACCAGCTACTGCGTGTGGAGTCCTTCTCACACTTTGAATCTTTGTGACTACTTCATCTCTTCTGCCTCCAGCTGGAGAAGGTACTGTGCTTTTAGGGGCTCATGTCATTAGATTGAGCACACCTGAATAATCCAAACGACTCTTCCTATTTTAAGGTCTGCAACTTTAATTATACCTGTAAAGTTCCTTTTGCCACCTAAGGTAATATATTTACTGGTGTCAGAGATTAGGGTGCAGACATCTTTAACAGGGCAGGGGTATGTGGGGGGGCATTCTGCCTACCACACCATACAAAGACTCCACTATTTGGTCTGCCTAACACATTCCTCAATACTAGGGCAGGAATATGAAGTCTTTGTCCTTTGAAACTGAGGGAAAGAGTTCACAAACAACTGTAATAAGATTTATTTATTAGTTATATTATTTATAAATTAACATATTCAAATATACTCAAAAGTAAAGTGAACGCTATAAAGACATCCATGTATCTGCCAATCTGGATGCATCCATTTTGCCAATCTGGATGCATCTACTTTTTCACACCTTGCTTTTTTTCTTTTGATGTATCTACAAATGGAAGACAGTATCTTTATTTGTGAAGATGTATAGGGCTTCATATTTTATTGGAAATTGTAATCATTTCAAATAATACAAATTAAAGAACAAAAGGATACAAATAAAAAAAGAATACTCATACTTTATCCTCATTTAGTGAATGAAAAATAAACTTTCAGATATTAAAATCTTGCCCAACTTACATATTACCATTATAGTTCATTAATATTTTATATTAACATAAAAGTCTTTTATTTTATTCTTATGCTGATATATAAGGGAAAGATGAATGAAAGGGAATGGGAAAGGTGGACTCCTTTTTCTCAGAGAATTAAAAAAATGAAGCCCAAATTATACATTTTTCTCAAGGATGCTTACTTTTCTCCCCTTTTTCTTGTTGCCAACCCTAAGGTATTTTCAGGATACTATATAACTTACTTATGAAGATGTTTTACTATAATAACATAATTATTTGCTATCATGGGGTACCTTGCTGTGTTTTCAGACCTCAGTGATGACAGAGGTGCTTCTACTCTAAGGTCAATTAAGGGAAAGGCTGTGTGTTATATCACATGAAAATTCTCCTGCTCTAAAGTGAGAACAGAGATCATTTGGTTATTGCCTATGAACATGTCCCCGTTTCATCTTCAGTTGGCAAAAAGTTTGCAATTAAAACAGGCTCATTCTTCATTAATCATCTTTTGGGGGTACCATGTTTTGAAAATTTTCATCTACAATATTTTAGAAATTCACATTGATATTAACTTAGAACAAATTATGTTAATATGTACTGTCAGAGGAATAAATACAAATGACATGACTTCAACAAGACCAAATAGAACAATCCACCCTCTTGTGAACAGGTGTCACTGGTTGACTGTTACATCAACGAGGTCATGATCAAATATAACTCACTGGACTCCGAGGATTCAGAAATTCTCAGATCACTCCTATTAAGAACTGTTTGCTCATACCATCCACTGGAACTAGAGTATAATTATACTTTTGTTGTGCCACTAATTAGCAGAGATTTATCCTGGTTTAATATAGTTCAAAATTTTGTAGAAACAATAGTAAGTTGAAGCATCTCCATTAACTGCTAATGACAACAGATATATTGTGCCCTCATATCAAGAAAGGGAGTCAACCTTGAGGTGGCTAGCTTATAATGCACAATGCATGATTACAATTTTTTCATCATAAATTAGTTGTAGTCTTGTGCATTCTATTAAGTAAAATTGGCCCCAAGTGTTGGGGAGAGGTGAGGATCAATTCAATGTTTGCATAGCAAAAGAAATCACTTGAGGACTAATCTATTTGTGTGTGTGTGCGTGCACACACACACACACACACACACACACACACATATATATATTTTAATTTTTTGAGACAGAGTCTTGCTCTGTCAGCCAGGCTGGAATCTAGTGTTGTGATCTCCACTCACTGCAACCTCCACCTCCCAGGCTCAAGGAATTCTTTCACTTCAGCCTCCCAAGTAGCTGGGACTACAGGCAAGCACCACCACGCCCAGCTATTTCTTTATTTTTTTTTTTTTTTTGTACTTTTAGTAGAGACAGGGTTTCACTATGTTACCCAGGCTGGTCTCGAACTCCTGGCCTCAAGTGATCTGTCTGCCTCAGCCTCCCAAAGTGCTGAAATTACAGGCATAAGCCACCATGCCCGGCCAAAAACCATGTATATTCAAAAACCTATCCACACACCTCGCAGTCATTCTTCGTTTCATACATTCTAGAAATGATTCAATCTAGATTTAGATCCAGGATTGCTGCAGACACATGATAAATGTAATGAGTCCTCTCTTTTCCCTATAAAAGGAGAAGTAGCTAAATGTAGAGGGGTGAGAGGAGTATGCAGAAAGCAACACTTATAAATACTCTCTCATCATCTTTCATTTTTTTCTAGTTTTTTTGACTTTTCCACATAGAAGTAGTATAAAAATATTTGACATTTTCTACCCATCACAGGGCATCCTTCAGAAAAGATGAATGGAAAATTTTAAAAACAAAACCTATCAAGAAAATGAGAAAAAAAGCCACAGACTGGGAGAAAATATTTGCAAAAGACACAAATGTCTTTGTGATATAGAACTATTATCTAAAATATACAAAGAACTACTAAAACACAACAAGAAAACAAACAGCCAGATTAAAAAAATGGGCCAAAAACCTTAACAGACCCCCTTACCAAAGAAGCTATACAGATGGAAAATAAGTACATGAAAAATTGCTCAATATCAGGTGTCATCAGGGAAATGCAAAATAAAATACCAGTAAGATACCATTACACACCTATTAGAATTGCCAAAATCTGGAACTCCGACAAGGCCAAATGCTGGCAAGGATGTGGAGTAACAAGAACTTTAATTCATTGCTGGTGGGAATATAAAATGGTACAGCAACTTTGGGAGACAATTTAGTAGTTTCCTACAAAACCAAACATATACTTAATATACTATCATACTTCTGGGTATTTACCCAAAGAAGTTTAAAACTTACGTTCACACAGAAACCTGCAGAGATACTTATAACAGCTTTATTTATAATTGCCAAAACTTGCAAGCAACCAAGATGTCTTTCAGTAGGTGAATGAACAAACTGTGGTACATCCAGGGAATATTATTTAGTGCTAAAAAGAACTGAACTCTCAAATCATGAAAAAACTTGGGGGAAACTTAAATGTACATTACTAAGTGAAAGAAAGCAACCTGAAAAGGCCACATACTATGTGATTCCAGCTATGTGACATTCTGGAAAAGACAAAAAGAGAAAACTATGCTGACAACAGAAAGATCAGTGGCTGACAGGGATAGTTGAACATGTGAAGCACAGAGGATTTTTAAGGCAAGGAAAATACTCTGTATGATACTATATGATGGATACATGTAATTACACATTTGTCCAAACCCATGGAATATTCAACATCAAGAGTAAACCATGATGTAAACTATGGACTTCAGGTAATTATGATGTGTTAAGGTGGGTTCATCCACTCTAACAAATGTACCACTGTGGTGGGGGATATTCATAGTGGGGGAAGGTACACATGTGTAGGGGCAAGGTGTATATGGGAAATCACTGTATCTTCTTCTTAATTTTGCTGTGACATTAAAATTGCTCTAAAAATAAAGTCTTTTAAAATATCTCTTTAAATAAAACAAACAATAAAACCTCAACGAAATCTAGATGCTCTAAGCCCATCATCTGGGCTCATACACTGGGGAATCATTGGCATTAATGCTTGTATATGTTTGAATTCGATACTGTAATTTTAGGGGGTGGGGGGAGTGAGAACTCAAGAAAGACTCACATAGCAGGGATCCTGAATGCATGCATCCCAGTACCCACCTTCTAACTCCCAACCAAGGTTAAAAGAGTATAATGTTGGAGAACCAGCAGAAAAAGGCCACAAAACAGAAAATTAATGACTAACCCATACATTTCTAAAAAATCAGTGTTACAGACATTCTGTTCTTCAAGTATGACCCCCTTCCCTTCACACCATTATTGGGTTTGTGTTTAGG